>NC_000003.12:25010000-26260000 GCF_000001405.40 Homo sapiens
CCTTCTGCCAGTCCCAAATGCTGGGTCATGACCCTTTGACTGATTGTTTATTATAACCTTAGTTCAGGTAAAGTTTTTCTTAGTGTAACTTACCCTTTTCTTTTTCTTGTAATATTGGGTCCCAACTTTTTTTTATACCGAGGCCAGGACAGAGGAGCTAAAGAAAACCTTAAGAAACATATCGGATTAATTTTACACCTTTCTCCATCAGATTTTGTATCTTAAATGTCTTTCCTACAGTGAGTCCATACCTTTTCCAAACTTAAATTTAAAATTCCGTTCTCTGTAATGTTTAAACTAGTACAAATTATAAGAATTTTTAAATAAACTAAATCAGAATGTAAAGAATTGCTATGACAATCAATTTTATAACTGCATGCACAAAATTGAAAAAACCATTTGTGTAATAATTAAAATGATCCTAATATGTAACAAAAAGTGTGATATTTTACTTTGCATACTGACTTTAGTTATATAACATAATATTTACACCAGCTTAAATCTGTGTTTGCTACTGTACTTGATGCCTTTGTTTTGGGAGCAACAGATTATTGTAGGGACTCACACTCAACTAACATTGGAGGATCTTCTATCTGGTTGCAACAAAGTGGGCACTTCCACATTCATTACCTCATTTAACCCCCACAGTACCCCTGTGAGAGGGATTTAATTCTATTCTGTTCTTCTCAAAGAGCAAGGTGATGCTTAGGAAGGTTTTGTGATTTGCTCAGAGTCAAATCCTTCCAGCACTAACTCCTATGACACCCTTCATGAACCCTCCCCGATCCTTCTTTGGTCAGAATTAACCACTCCTCCTTTTAAACTCTCAGAAAATATTGCCGTGACTCTTTTTGATATTCATGTAATTCTGCCTTTTAGTATTATCTTTCTACCAATATCTGCCACTCCAGATTTTTCCTTGTCTCAATGTGACCATCGAGGCCAAGGCTTTGCTTTCTTTTCACATCCCTGCAATGCTCAGCATGCATCTTTCCTGTTGATATCAGTGGCCATGTTCACATTTTTAAATGGAATCAAGTTAACCTATATCTGTTCGATTGTTATTTGTTGATTTCTTCATTCAACAATTATCTACTGAATGCCAGTAAGGTGGCAGACAAGATGCTAAGGTTGTGGAAGTGAATAAAGCAGACAGAAATCCCTGCTTTTATGGAACTTACATTCTAGCAAAAGGGAATGAACAATAAAGGGAATAAATGAGTGAATGATGTAGTACCATATGGGATAGGGCTGCGGAGTTACAAAGCAGATCGGGGGAAGTTGAGGAGAGGTTGCAAGTTCTAAATAGCACGTTCAAGGAAGATCTCCACTGAGAAGGTGACGTGTGAACAAAACCTGAAGGAGGTGAGGGAGCAAACCATGTACTTATGACAGTGATTTCTTAAAAATCAATGTGAGTCTAAAACTTTGTTAATGGTAAAGCCAAGTGTTGGCAGATTTTTCCATCGAATTATAGCTATATTTAGTTAGGAATTAGGAATTATCTTGTCTGCCTCTTCTGTCTCCATTTTATCAGTGAGGAAACTAAGGCTCAATGAGGTCAAGTGCACTTACTTTCTTAGCCTTGGATTGACCAGGAAATCTCAGCAGCCTACTGAAAATCCAGTTAAACATTAAGATCCAGGTCATTCATCTGTGCATCCATTCACTTACTCCTCAGCTCTTATCTCATACCTACTCTGGCAATTACTGGTTTAAAGATGGAAACAATGTCAAAGAAGTTGGTGTGTCCTTAGTGGACTTTATAATCCACATAGCAGACTAGCCCCACACCTAGAAGTCTGGTGTATCTAAGGCAAAGTAGGAATTTAAACTAATAGCATAATCACTAAGCCATGGAGTTTGTCAGAGCTCTGAATCTTGATCCAGTCCCTAAAAAAAAGAGGCACAATTTTATTTAGGGAGAGAGATCATTTGTTTCATGCAAAGGTCATAAAGGGATTCTGATATTAACAGGGCAGACAGGACTGACATCATCTGCACTGGATTGGAAATCCCACAATGAGGAATAGAGACAAGTACTTTTAATTCAACATATAAATTCAATCTCAGTGGGGAAAATAGTAATTAAGCTTCATTTCATTTCAGACATGGACAGATTAAATACATGTCTTCATGTCTCTGGATTACATTGACCCCACTAAACATTGAACAGGAAATCAAAGGCACTTCAAAAGCATATTGATGCATATGTTAAATGTTCCAAGCTGATATTAATGTTCTAAAATATTACTAATACGTAGGAAAGCTTTGATTTTTAAAGCAGTTTGTTTCTTATTAAAAAGAAAGTGGTTCACAAATCTAGCTGACAAGCAGAATCACCTGAGAAGTGTTTAGAACGCTATCCCCAGATGTTTTGATTCAGAAGGTCTTGATTGGGGCAACAGAATGAGTATTTCTAACAAGCTCCATGTGCATCCAGATCATCAGCCAGGTTCAGAAAACTGTACTAGAAGCTCTGTGTTCCTCAGGACTGTCAGCTCCTCCTTCTGGATGTTAGAAACCTGAATGATACACTGATTTCAGTTTTACCGTCTTAT
Source organism: Homo sapiens (assembly GCF_000001405.40). Lineage (NCBI taxonomy): Eukaryota > Metazoa > Chordata > Mammalia > Primates > Hominidae > Homo > Homo sapiens. The sequence continues at coordinate 25,012,562 of NC_000003.12, forward strand.
TACACATGCAAAAGGCCTGGAAAGGAAAATGTCCTCTATCATTGCTTCTGTAGTTTGGCATATTTTGACTTTCTAATGAGTGAGCACCTAAATGTTGTTTGAGGTGATTTACATTTTATTTCCTTTAGTTAGCTGGAAAAATGAGACACCTTATCTTATTTCAGTGGGAAAAGTAATCTATGCAAATAAAGTGAGAGATATACAAAATTTGTGCACATAAAATGAAATAATTTGATTATTGTTTGGCTTTATTGTATATAAACAATACGGTAGGCACAACTGAAAGACGGAAATAATAATAAGACCAACTCCAGAGGTCAAATAAGAGATTATGAGGTACTTAGAATAGTTTCTGACACCAAACTTAAGACTCTGATTAATAATAGCTGCTGGTATTTAAGAATCTTTTTGGTATCTTTCTCAGGTTGAAACCTACTTGGTGTCTATGGAGAAAGGGTAGATGCACATGTAAGGAATCTCAATGACTTGTTTCATCTGGCGTGGACCCACTGTAGTATTGCCAACCTGATTGGTTCTGCTCAAGTTCTAGTCCATTTGAATCAACAGAGACCTAGGCAGTGGTTGCAGACAGCATTGCCTTGAAGAAATGACTGAATAGTTACATTAGGTCTGGAGTCAACTCAAAGTTAAAGATGACCTTTGGCATGAAGACCAGTGTTTAGCTTTGCTTAAGAATCTCAGAGCTATCTCAGACCCTTATGTCAACCTGGGAACCACTTTTGGCTCCCTGAAATGGCCCACATGAAAGATGCATTTGGCCCTATATTCCATGTTCTCTTCCATCACATAGATACCTAGAAATGTACTTGGTTTCACTGAATTCAAACTGTACTGTCGTCCTGATCTGCTCTACTTTCCCAACTATTCTTAACCATCTCATCTTCTAACTTTGTGATTAGATTTCCTGTTTCAGTCATCCTGCCATGAAGACTGACCCTCATGCTTGGTACTGCTTCCTGGGCTCTGACCTCTGATTTGAACCCTTAACCACCATTTGCCCTCATCTCATTGACAATATCAGAGTCAGTCATTATAGGAAAACAAACACCCAGTTCTAGGATAGGATAATCAAGGACAATACAACCTACACCCTGAAGATAGCTTTGTTAAGTGGTACTGACAGAGAAGTGAGAGCTGGAATTGAGAGGGACCATGTGCTGGTCAGAAAGGTCTCCCACACCGGGCTTCAAGGCTCAAGGGTAGACTGGACTAGTTTCTTCTCTCTATACTAACAGATCCTGTCTGTGTTACTCAGGTTTGTTTTTATCACAAGCAACAGGAACACAACTAAAACTAGCTTAAACATAAAAGGGAATGTTTTGGTTCACAAAACTGAAAAGTGTCGGATAGTATTAGCTTCAGGCATGTTTGGATTGAGGTGTTTAATGTCATCAGGACTTGGTCTACCCTTCTCCCTCTCTCAACTTTGAATTTCCTCCAACTTCAGTTCTCTACTCATGTGACAAGATGAGAGCCAGAAACTCAAAACTTACCTCCTTATCAGCTCAAGCAGAAATAGAACACTTTTTCCCTTGTTGCTGTATAACTGAGGCCATTTTGTGGCATATGTTTTTTCCCCAAACATGTTCTTCACTTTCGCATGCCTTTTTGCAATATAACTATGTCTCTTTTCCCACCAAGAGATGGAGTCCCTTTGAAACATGGCTGGTCTTTTGCATTGTTTGGATCAATAGAATGTGCTGGGTTCATGTTGTGCCAGTTCTGGGCCGAGGCCTCAAGAGTCTTGGAAGCTCCTGAATTCTTTTTCTACTTTGAACCACATGTAAGGAATTTAAGCTATTTATGTGAAGAGAGGCTACCTGTAGAGAGAAGTTCAGGAGGATGATAGTCAGTGTAAAAACAAAGATTTCAGGGAGGAGAGATGGGTTTTCTCAAATGACTGGCAGCGTACAGACCCCAGTCATGTAGACGAATCTATTTTTGACCTTCCAATTGAACCCAGGTGTCAGCATGCAGCTGAGTAAGTGTAGCCAATGTCACATAGAGTAGAGATGGTTCAGCCCCACTGAGCCCTGCCCATGTTCCTGATTGACAGACTTGTGAGCAAGAAAATGGTTATTGCTGTAAGCTACTAAGTGGTGGGATAGTTTTCTATCCAGCAGTAGAGGACTGGCATAGTCTTGTAACTACCCATTCCTAGAGCTAGAGAGTGAGATGGACACTACTAGCAACAATAGGATTGATAATAGGGGCTGTGTGGCCCTGAAGGAAATAAGGATAGTATCACAGGAATAATTAGGCAGAAAAAAAAACCCTCACAAGTTCACCTCTCCTCCTATTTTGGTTATATTTCCCTAACTTTGTTTATACTTCTGTTTCTATTTGTCTTTATGGAGTCCACAAATATTAAAACCAATTGTATATCTTTTTGTATTTCTTTAACTGTGACACAGTCAGGAAAACAGCGTTGTTTATCTACAAACAGATTTGAAGTGCTCGTAATCAGGACTTTTCCACATTTTGCGTTCTGTTGCCCTGAAAAATCTGGCTTTGAGTGTCTGTGTATAAGATGAAGATGGCTTATATATACAATATGCTGAAGAATTGAGGTTCTGTAGCAAAACCTATATATTTGATGGTGTGACTTCACTTCAAAAATACTCATTAACGCTAACCATATTATATAAGATCAAAAAGCACAGAAGGAAATTAAAAATGCTGATAGGTTGAGATCCACTAAACACATGAATTTAACATTCATTGTTTATTTCATTCTAAATTTGTTATTACAGTGTTTCTTAGATGCGAGGAATACTTTGAACTTTCAAGAAATGAATATTTCATTGGGAGAGAATATTATCTTTATAATTTGTTAAAATAACTGTGAAATAAATGGAATCCTGTTGTCTTCAGAGTGGAAGAGCTGGTTGACACCTTCCCTCTTTTATGTGTAAGATTTTAGTTTCCTGACCCAGGCATAATGGGAAACTTCTTGATAGGACCTGTCAGTAATTCCAAACTGATACAAAGGATTTCATCTTCTGTAATGTGTAGACATTGCCAATGAAATGAGCCTGGTTCCCACAGCCTCCCTCTTGATGCACTCTGAAGTTTCCTCAAGCCATTTATTCCTATCTACACTGTTAGACATTCCAAGGAGAGAGGCTATTCTTTTCTGTTTTTGGTCAGACAGGAAGTAGATTTAGTGCTTTTAGACTATATGCATGTGAATATGAACTGCCAAGCATTTCAAGAAGTCAATGGACAAGCACATAGTGAGAACAAATAGCTGATTATAAATATTCACCAACCCAGAGTACTCTGATTCTACATAAATAAATCAAGTCATATCATGTTGACCCCTCCTACCACAGCTCAACTGATCCCAGTGGATTTGTTTTTAGTTTTGCTTTAACTCTGTTTTAGATAAAACATTGTACAAAAACTTGGAATGTATTAATTTCTTCCATGATTTCATAAGGTCTTCAGGTCTTTGGTGGAACAATGGGTACATGCTATTTGCAGGATAAATAATGGACAAATATTTGGAATTTTGCAAGGGCAAAATCAGTATGAGACAGGAGTTACCTGCCTGTCGCTTGTAACAATTTTTGGAAGTGCTAGTATTATTGTGTAGCCTGTAGAGCACACTGTACTTATAAATTTCAATACAAAATAAATGAAGCATGATTGTGGGATTAAGATACTATACTAACTCATGTCCAAGGAAAGCTACTGGGTGATTAAGGTTAAAGTTGTGTTTCTCAACTTTGCCACTCATAAGGTTTTGGGCAGAATAATACTTTGTTGTGAGAGGCTGCCCTGCAGACTGTAGGATGTTCAGCACCATCGCTGGCCTGTACCCTCTGGATGCCAGTAGCACCATCCCCCAAAACTGAGACAACCAAAAGTGTCTTTGGACATTGACTAATTCCTGCTGGGGCATGGTGGGAGAGGGGAATCATCCAATGTTAAGAATGTTCCAACGTTACTGGTTTGGAACATTCACAGATGTCACACTTGTGATTTGCAGTTTAGAAGAAAGTACGGTGGATACAATCATCTTAGTACAAAACTTAAGTGTGCCAGAAATATAACTTTATCTGGGGGAACGTAATTTCCATTGTGACACCCCTCATGGTGTGGCAGAAATTCAATCATGGTCAATATAGCATTTCTTTTTTCCCCCCAGGATATGCCAAGCCACAGAGACATAGTGCTCAGGAATGAGGAGTAGGAGTCTTCTGTTAGAACTCCTATCCTGTGCCCTCTCCACTCTTCTTGATAACACTTACAAGAACAAACACCGGTAAAAGCTAGCCAGACACCAGCATCTGATTTATACTATCCCCTTAGATCCTCTAACATCTGGGTTCTGAGGAATGTCCATTTTAAAAGATTTTAGGAGAAGTTAACACATGTTCTTCCAACCTGGCCTTAGAAGACACATAGCATCATTTCCACTGTGTATTGTTACAAATGAGTCACCAAAGTCAGCCCATGTTTAAGGAGAAAGGAATTAGGCTCTACTTCTTGGTGTGGAGTGGCAGGGCCATGTTGCAGAAGAGTATATGGGATGGGAGATACCGTTCCTGTCATTGTTGGAAAACGCAACTTTCCTTATCAATGTTTGGATCCTGGCCTCGTTGTTTACAAATTAACTAGCTTTCCCCCCCCCTTTCAGAACCTAAACCCCCAAATCTCTAAGAAGTGAACTCGATTGTGACTAATTTCTCTTCTGGCTATAAATAAAATCATCTTTGTGTTTCCACGTAGACCCCACATAACCCAGTCTATGTCTTCTCAAAGTTTAAACAAGTCAGTTCATCATGTTTAAAAAAAAAAAGATTAAAGAAGATTTTTCCCATTTTGATGAATCTGCAATCAACATTAATTCAAATATAAAATTGAGAAGGATTCTGAAGGTCAGGTTTCCCCTGGAGCATTGGCTTATCTGGTGCATTTTTAATATATGTTCTAAGGAAGCAGTACACCTAATAACTATCTTAACTTCAGCTGTTTGATTGATCAAATACCTTTGTGTTTAATGAATATCTATATAATAGGAGATAAGGTGGAAACAGGAAGACAGCTTGTTAAGACTGTGTCAACTGTAATCTTTTTCTCTTAAGGTAGACTAAAAGGAACTTTTAATGAGTACTTCTAAACTTAGTGCCTCTGAATCAAGGCCAATCACTTAGTTTTTAAATGGAAGATCACAAAGAATAGTATTAATCCTTAATGCTATGGTCTGAATGTTTGCTTTCCCCCTACAAATTCATATATTGAAAGCTAATCCCCAGTGTGATGGTATTTGGAGGTGGGGCCTTTGGGAGGTGATTAGCTTTTAAGGACAGAACCCTTGTGAATAGGATTTGTGCCTGGTTTGTCCCTTCCACCATATGTGCAATGGAAAAGGCTGTCTATGAGAAAGCAGCCCATCTCTAGACACCAATTTGCTCACACCTTGGTCTTGGACTACCCAGCCTCCAGAACTGTGAGAAGTAAATTTGTTATTTATAATCACCCAGTTTATGGTATTTTGTTATTGCAACCCAAACAGACTAAGACACTTGCACAGAGGTAGATTGGAAGTTTTATAAGGCCTGTTTTTCAGAGTTTAACTGGATGAATGGCATAATTACTACAAACACAGATGTGTTACAGTAAAACAAACATATTGTGCAAATAGCATAGCAAATACAGTTAGATCAGATTTCCTGAAACTATAGGCCATGATAGGCAGGTAGATGTATTGTTTTGTGTGTTAATTCTCTAAAGCAGTATAATCATTCTTCCCCCTCTAATCTCTCACAAACTGGAATTCCAGTTGTTGACCTGGTTATCATAGGCTGGAATCAAATATGGCAATGGATGAGAAGAAAGGTAAATTAGGATTATTTTTTAAAAGTTGTCAAGAATGTTAGCATCTTGACAATAGGCCTCAAAGTCTTGATGATTAGAAGGTATCTTCTTTATTAAAGGTGTTTCTCTCTTTGAAGGCTGTCACTAATAATAGGCAACTGTTAAAAGAAATTGACTCCTAGATCTTGAAACCGAGCCCATATGAGCAGGTCACAGTCATTTGAAATGTTAAGGTAATAATATTCATGTAGTTAGAAAAGTCATTGTATATAAAGTGAGAAAATTTGGAAAACTCAATTTTACATCTGTGACTCAGTCACCTGGGCAACTATCCTTCTCAGGCTTAAGTTTGCTCATAGGTAAAATTGTATCATTCCATCCAGCTCTTGAGTTCTACCTCCATTATATTGCCTTACAATAGCAAACTTTCTGGGTGATGGATAAGAAACTTTCGTAAGCACCGGCGCTGGAAACACATATTTGAAAACTCATTTCAGTCATTTTTCCCCTTCCCATCCAACTTAAGTTTATGCTACTAACCCAAAACCTAAGGACTCCAAATTAAGGATGTTCACATTTGTGATTGGCTTGAAATTATAGCCTGTTTAAGCCATGAATAAAAAGAAAAGCAGAACTTGTTCAAATATTGAGCTAGTTTTAAATGGCTTCAACTGAGAGATGACTCTTGGGAAATCACCTTTTCATTATAGCCATAGAGTTCTCATGTCATACCTCATTTGAACACTTCACCATAGCATCTGAGCTATGCTAGGGAGAAATAATTTTATATCTAGGATTGTGGAATGTTATTGTTATTTTTAAAAATGCCCTAAAAATGTTAAATCAAATTCAGAACTATTTTTGATTGTAATAGAAATTCAAGAAATAAAAATAAGACACCAGAAAAGCCAGTATGGTTGTTAGAGAAGCTGAAAAGAAAGATAGAGGTGTGATATGATAGACAAAGGGTAGCATGGAGGGAGATAAGCCATGCAATTGCTAGTGGGGTCCGGTTGGGATTGGCATAAGAAATCCAGTTTTTATCTATGAGAGTGCCAGTGATGCCAAATTCCCTTTTTTTTTTCTTCACGGGTTTATAACCTTCTAAAAATAATTCTTTGTAGCTCAAGGTTCAGAAAGCTTAATTTGCATTAATACATGATGTGCTGTGAATGTGAATATCAGGGCTTTTTATCTGTGCCTCAGAGAGAAGCATAGACAATAACCAAACCTTGTAGCTCTTTCAAAAGACAGACAGGTAAGGTGTTCATTTCTATTCCCTCTTGCTGCAGGGCGAGGGTGGAGAAGACTGAGGCATAACTTGGTTATTACTTTGCTACTTAGGAAGATAAACAACAGGGTACCCAAGGAGGGCAGCACATTTTGGAAAGCAGACCAACGCTGGATGATCTGAGCTTCAGCTGGCTCTGAGTTCTGTGAGGTCTTCCATGGGGGCACTTGTTTCATAGGCAGCAGGGAGCTTGGGAGATTAAAGAGACTCTCAACTCTCAGCCCAACTTTCATACTCTTAACCCTGGGGAAACAGATTATGTCATTCTTGTGCATTTATCTCACTGGTGACCTCTTCCAACTTACACAGAGAATATGACCTTTCTTATATGAGTAAGTATAAGTTGGGGATTTTACCCAAAACAAGCCCTCAGAATAAAAGGTACAGATGTATACTCAAGTTCTCTATTATTATTATTATTATTATTATTATTATTATTATTATTATTATTATTATTTTATTTGAGAGAGGTGGGTTCTCACCAGGTTGCTCAGGCTGGAGGGCAGTGGCTTTTCACAGGCATGATCCCACTGCTGATCAGCACATGAGTTTTGACAGGCTCTGTTTCTGACCTGGGACAGTTCAACCCTCCTTAGGCAACCTGGCAGTCCTCTGCTCCTGAGAGGTCACCATACTGATACCAAACTTAGTGTAGACACCAGATCAGCAAAGTGCACTACAGCCCAGGGCTCCTGGGCTCAAGCGATCCTCCTGTCTCAGCCTGCAAGGTAGCAGCTGTGACTACAGGTGCACCTCTATAAAGCATCTTCATATACGGCACAGTCTCATAATCACTTTATTTTGAATAACCAGGAATCCTGTTTGGAGAAAGCAAATTCGTCTAATATATCCTTCCCTGATGCTGGTTTTAAATACCTATGGTGGTCACATGAAAAGCCCTTTCTTTTTTTAAAAAAAAGGCAAAGAAATGTAATATGGTGTTTGATTTCATTGCATATAGGCTTTTGAAGATCACCTTCAAAAGTAATAGAGCAGTGCTTATGTTGTGGAGATCACCCATAAACACCTATAGAATGAATAAACAAGTCACATATCCTGATATTTTGGAAATGAATGCTTGAGGATCTCATTTAAAATATTTTAGATTTTTCTACAAAAAGTAACTGGGCGTGGTGGCACGTTGCTGTAATCCCAGGTACTTGGGAGGCTGAGTCAGGAGAATTGCTTGAGCCAGGGAGTCAGAGGTTGCAGTGAGCCGAGATCGTGCCACTGCACTCCAGCCTGGCAACGGAGTGAAACACCGTCTCAAAATAAATAAATAAATAAATATTTTAGATTTTTCTAGTGGCATCATTTTACTTGGATTCAAAAAGTGGAGCATCTCTAATGAAAGTAAAATGATGTATTCTGAAAAATTATTAGATTATGAAAATGTAGTTCTCTTGATGGTGAACGCTGTTGTAAAAGATCTATGTGAAGGATTTCAACACTATTGTTTGAAATGAGAAGGAATAGTACTCCTGAAGGTAATATATTACTAATGCAAATTTAATTTTACATCCTAAAGCAGGAAATTATCCTAAATATGTATGTAAGCATTGAATCTCCATCCCTAGAAGTTTCTGTATTTATGTCAGTCAAGGATTTTTTCTGGTATTACCTGAGAAAGTAGAAGATTGACTTATTTGTAGTCTTGTCACTTGAAAGTCAGTTTATTGCCTTTTTTTTAGTCAGATCAAAAATACCATAAGATCTCTGCTTGTAAATGAGCTAAGAATCACCTTAAAAGCCGTAAACTCACCAGAACAACATCCCATGCTAATGGGATCTGGGACAAGGAAGTGATAAGTAAAGAGAAGCAGAGGTAGAGTCCTTCAGGGCAGTGGTTTGAAGACTTAGTAATGGGCTTATATACCTAGTTTATTGCAACCAGGATAGGAAAAATAAACAATTCATCTTGGTGTTTTCATTCACTTGAGAGTATTTTTTACTGGAAAAAAAAATACCCAATCCATTTAGGTGTACATTCAGTTTTCCATTTGTTCAAATTTTTTTTTTAAATTCGAGGACCTATAATGTCCAAATGTTGTACTGAGTGCCAAAGAAACAGTGTTGGCCAGAAAGACACAAGTCACTATCTCACTCAGCCAAATATGGCTGGTCTTACAAAATGAGTTTTAACACATAGGTCCTTTGCTTCCCAGGTTCATGCTCTGAATTACTGAGGCAGATTGTATTTATACATTTTAATTTATCAAATATTTGATAAATACTGAGTTAGGCACCAAGTAGTAATGATTATTAAAAACTGAATTTCCCAATTACATGGAGCTTGCAGTCTAGACTCTAGAGGGCAACAGAGGCACTGATGAAGCAATGACACAAGTAGGTGGTAAAATCCTAAGAGAGATAAGTGCAACAAAGAACAAGTTTTTATTACTGCCAGAAACTGGAGAGCTTTGAATTTTTTAAACCCAAGTATAGTGTACATGTAGAAAAGTAACGAAATCGTAAATGTACAACTCAATAAATTTTCACAAACAGAACGTGACCAGCATCTCAGAAGCCTCCTTTGGCCACCCTTGTCATTACTCACCCTAAGGGTAACCAATATCTGGACTTCTAAAGCCATTAATTAGTTTTTCCATTTGTATATAAAATGAATCACATAGCTTGTGTTTTTTTGTGTGTTGACTTTCTTTGCTCAACATTCCCTTTGTGAGACACATCCATATTTTTGTGTATAAGTTGTATAGGATTTCATTTATATGCATATTTTATCACCGATGCTGTTAATGGGCAATGGGAGTAGTTTCTAATTTTTTAAATTTTTCTAATTTTAAAAACTCTGGTCAAACTATTCCAAAGCGGCTGTATCATTTTGCATTTTTACTGGCAATGCAAGAGCATTCCAGTTCCTCTACATGCTTACTAGCCCTTGGCACTTTCAGTCTTTTTTACTTTAACCGTTCTGTTGAGTATATAGCATCACATTGTAGATTTAATTGAATTTCTAAACAGGGAGGACAGGGAAGGCTTCCCTGAAGAGCTGACATTTGAAATGATGATATGTAGTTAACAAGATGACAATGAGTACTCCAGGAAGAGGGAATGGCATTGTGTAAAGATGAGTGGCAAGAAGCAGCATGGTGGGAAAGAGCTGGTGAAGGGAGCTAGGGTGGCTGAAACAGGAGTGGACAGTCGGAGATGAGGACAGATATGTCAGGAGTGGCCTGATAGTGCAGAACCTCAGAGAACTAAGGAGCTTTATATTCATACTCGGAGCAACAGAAGATCATCACCAGACCCTAAGCAAAGAAGATTGATCAGATTTGCCCAAATCACTTTAGCTGCTGCATGGATTACAAATTGGAGGGACAAATGGGTAGAGGGAGGGAGATATGGGTATTGATAGGCAGCTACTCTAATAGCCCAGAACAGCTTCAGTTCTTTCAGTAAGGAGTCCCCTTTCTGTGGCTACTTGGCCTGCCTGGGTCTCAAGTCCATAGTAGGCCTAATTTAAGAGCCTGATGTTACCATAACCTTGGGACCTTTTGTGACATGCAACCCTTGGGTACAGGATTATACTCCACAGTAATGTGAGAAAAGTATAGCCACAATCTTAACTTCAGTCTGCTTAATCAAGAAGCCTATTTAATAATTTCTGAGCACTTGAGTAGGAGATTGATTGATTAATGCGGTTAAAATGATGGCTTCTTTGTCTTTTTTATTTACTGAGGTTAAGACGAATGTTGGCTTTGTCCTTTATTGATTAAATAAAGGCCTAGGACTAATAGCTCAGTATGTGTTTATGAGCACTCACAGGATACACCGACGCAGCTGAGTTTGCTTCAACATAAGGGAAACACAGGGGTTAGGACTACATCACAAAGGGAGTCTATCCTTCCTGTGTACCAATCAAAACTAGAATTTGCATTTTCAGTCTCTGGGTCACTATTATTAGGGACTTGGGATGCGTCCTGCCACTGTGATTAGCCAGGTGTGTGAAGTCTATAGATGTGGTATGTGGATGTTTGTATGTGAGACAGCTATGAAAGGACAGAGTGGAAGTTTCTTCTGTGAGGTTATCCAGTGAAACCTCAATAGATTAGAGCGGCTATCTAAACAGTTATTCAAATGACAACATAACAATCTGGAGAAATTAATTTAGGGTACATTAAAAAGTAATACATGCAGAAATATCTCTAGATGTGGGTGTTTGGGGAGGTGGGTAGAGGATTACGTGAGTGTGACTGTGTGTGTATGTGTTGATATCATAGTCTGAGTCTTACCATTAACTCTGTTATTGGACAATTCCCTGGCTCTCCATATGTTGTTTTCTACATCTGTGAAATGAAGAAACTGGGCTTAGATAATCCCTAGGGACTATCAAGCTCTACTCTCAGAGTCTTCCAGTATTAATCAGCCATAATAACATGCTCTCCAATGAGCCTTCCATCACAGCCTAATCCCTGAGTCTCAAATTAGAAAATTAGGTTAATTAAAACACATAGAAACTCATAAGACTTTTGTAGATTTTTCTTTGCAGCCCTGAGAAACTTTAGATCTGTCTTTTCTAATTTTTGAAAGGATTGTTTGATTTAGTAGGTGCGGCCAAAATACAATTATTTGATTACCATTATTTATTGACTGTTAGTTAATAAAACTATCAGAATACTTAGAAACTATTTCTGAGTGTGAATTGCCCTAACTTTGAGACCATGGAGATACAATTGTGTTGTGCTTTCTAATTCATATAAACTGACATGATTAAAATTAATAAGATTTGAGAGTAATTATAGAGACTATCATGAACATTAAGCAACAAAATGTGCCTTTGAGATCAATTTCTATTTATCTTCTCTGCAGATAAGAGACTTAGGATAAGTTTCTTTCCAATAAAGCAACCTAAAATAGTCTCTAAATATAAGAGGTAGTCCATTGGACTAGAAAGCCATTAGACAGTTTTTTCAGCTGCAACAAGATAAGAAATCTTGAAATTTAAAAAGAGCTGGGCACGGTGGCTCATGCCTGTAATCCCAGCACTTTGGGAGGCCAAGACGGGCCAGATCACTTGAGCTCAGGAGCTCGAGACCAGCCTCGCCAATATGGTGAAACCCTGTCTCTACTAAAAATACAAAAATTGGCTGGGCGTGGTGACACACGGCAGTAGTCCCAGCTACTATGGAGGCTGAGGCAGGAGGATCGCTTGAACCTGGGAGGCAGAGGTTGCAGTGAGCCGAGATCATGCCACTGTCACTCCAGCCTGGACAACAGAGTGAGACTCCGTCTCAAAAAAAAAAAAAAAAAAAAAAGGAAATTTAAAAAGAAAAATTGGTTAGCAAATATGGCCATACCACCCTGAACACTCTCAATCTCATCTGATCTCAGAAGTTAAGCAGGATTGGGCCTGGTTAGTACTTGGATGGGAGAAAAATTGGTTAGAGAAATCCATGTCTGCCAAGAAAAGTTGTAAGCATTCTTATGAATAAAGACTTGATATTCCTCCTTTGATGTCCTTCTGAAATACAGGAATTAGAACATTTTCATCTACATAGCACTTCCAAGATGAACTTTAATTGTAATTTAATGTCATTCAGGTGATAGCAAATGCTTATGGAAGTTGTCAGCAAATTATTCTGTTAATAACTTTGATACCAACTGACTGTATCTTGGAGCCCTTCTCCTTTTGACTTGTCTGCACATATTAAGTAATGTCTATATTGTGTCAAACTAAACTGTATAGACTTGTGCCAAGCCCTGGGGGACCTACATTTCTGGGATTGCAATCTTGACCCAGATGATTCATTATCTCTCTTTGTATGTGCCCAGCTGTTTGATGATATATGGAACTAGCCAGGATGGTAGAAAGTTAAAGTAGAAACTATAAGTTACAGTAGTTATGTACACAGATAAACATAAGGCCAGGAAGGTATTACAAATGAACAAAGTGGCCTACCTAGGGAATAGGGACAATCTGGAGAGTATGTTCCATTTAGAGGGACCAGCTGCCAGGAGGGACATGGGCCCACTGTAGCCTGGTATCCTGGGTTTCCCAAAGTTCTTAGAGTATTTGCTCAATTTTTAAATGTGGGTAACTAAATTCAAACTGCAAGTAAACACTTTGTGAAACAAAGAATATTTGTCTATGGCCCATATAAATCCCATTAAGTGTCAGTTTGCAAAACGCATTATAAGGATAAGAAATCTGTAGGAGCTATATGTCAAATTATGTTAAATTGAATCATATAACATTGCTATTTTTATGGCTTAAAAAATGCTCAAATATCAATAATTCCTCTGATTCAACCTGATAGTCTGCAATCCCAAATTAATGAGACTGGTAGTCTGCATTGCCAGAACCAGTGTACAAATTAGATGAAATGGAATAGTACAAAGTGATTTTTAAGTTTTCATGAGTGCTCTTGCTCCCCCCACCTTGAGAAATTTGATAAAAGCCGTGGGCCTTCTTAGATACCTGCACTTTTGCATAAAGTTGTGGCATATGAGGAAAGGGGCTGAGAAAACCTAGAAGTCCAGGGCTTCGAGTTGACCCATGTGTAAGGAGATCCAATTACAGCAGTGTATTAGTCTGCTAGGGTTACTCTAGTAAAATATTACAGGCCTAGGTGGCTTAAACAATAGAAATTTATTTTCTCACAATTTTTCTTAAAGTCTTCTATAAGTGGGCTCATTTTCTCACAATTTTGGGGGCTACAAGCCCAAGATCAAGGTGTTGGTGGGTGTCGTGTCCTCTGAAGCCCCTCTCTTTGGCTTGTAGGTGGCTCCCTTCTTGCCATGTGCTCACGTGGTCTTTTTTCCTGTGCACGCACATCCCTGGTGCCTCTTTGGGCATCCAAATTTCCTATTCTTATAAGGACATCAGTCAGATTGGATTAGGGTCTACTCATATGATCTCATTTAACATTAATTACCTCTTTGAAGGCCCAATCTCCAAATCACATTCTGAAGTACTTAGGGGTTAGGGCTTTAACATATAAATTTTGGATGGAACACAATTTAGCCCATGACAATCCATGTCCTGGTAAATTTTTACGTGTATCTCTATGGAGAGAAAAAAATACTATTTGTAGCATTTGCCCAATTTTTGTGGTATAAATACTCCCACCTTATCTAATTTCAGGTTACCCCAACATGACATCATTAACCATGGATTTGGGAAGATAGCTGAAATATGTAGCAATTCTGTAACACAATAAACAAAAATAGTCTCAAGGGCATAGATCGTAGTAAGATGATTAGGAAGCGATGAGTTTTAGTTTTCATTTTTCTTATTCATATCATTTATTGTAAGTTTATAGAATTTAATTTTTAATAATAGCTGTCTTTAAAAGCCAGCTAGCAAAACTCTTGAAAATTTAACAATGGGCTCTCAAGAGCTGTACAAGCCAGTCCTAGCCTATCACTGAGTTATGTAGCCCTTAAGTAGAATTCTGCCATTAGGAATGGAAAAGAATAACTTACTCAGAAACTATAAAGAGACAATATATTGGCTGTAATAAGTGACAGGATATGGGAGAAAATAAACAGGAAGAATCCAAAATTAATAAGAGAAGGATGGAGAGTTTGGAAGGGGGAGCGAGTTTTGATGGGGCAGCAAATTAGGCATAGTAGGAAGAGTGAGTCCTGGGGTCAGGTGACCTGAATTCCTATCCTGGTTGTACCCAAGCAGGCTGGGCAATATGGGCAAGACATGGCTTCTCTGAGCCCCAGTTTCCTTCTCTCTAAAATACATCTTCCCCCCCATATGATTTATAGGGAGACATTCATTTCTGAAATTCTGGGATCCTATCACTTAATGTCCTACATAATTGCCAAGCCCTCTTCATTTTTCTGTCTGTATAAGCCAGTTTGTGGGGGAAACAGCCATAATTGAGGTGAGTATCTATCCCTCACATATGACAGTCACTGCAGAAGGTACACTTTATGGAAAGGAAAAAAAAACCACAATTCTGTTGACACTAATATATAGTTAGCAAGACCATAAAAGAGATTTCTATCAAAATGCTTTTTTTTTCCCCTTATGATCCTCAGTGGCAATTATAAGTAACCTATTTCAATGTGCATCTGGCTTAGAAGAAAGGTGTGTGAACTATATCAGAGACTCAGGCGGCCCCAGAGGAGTTCTGCTTTCACTTCAGTAGTAAGGCTCAGTGAATGCTTTGTGATTTGACTACATCATGGCAGGGTGCCTGGTTGCTGTGCTCTTGAACAGGTCATTTAAAAAGAAAAACGATGGTTGTGCACACTTAAGACCTTCTCTGAAATAAACAGGCCTTCATTGGCTCATGGATTTTTTTTTTCAAACCCTTCTGTAAATATGCCTTCCTAACCATTTCAGAACGATCTTGAAATGGTTCTAGTCAACACATTGTTATCGGAGACATAAGTAATCAGCTCATAACATGTTGGTCACCCCCACCTACTTCACTTTGTGTTAGGATTCTTGCCCTGGTGCTTTTCAAGGAGTGTTCCCTAGACCAGCAATGTCTCCTGGAAACTCATTAGAATGCAATTCTCAGGCCCTACCTCAGAACTACTGAAGGATAATCTTTGTAAATGAGGCCCTGTCATTTGTCTTAACAAGTCCTCCAGGTGATTCTGATGCAGGTGGTCTGACCAGAAGCTCTGCCATAGAAAACAGGCAGGAGTCAGGCTTTCTCTCATTCTTGCATCTCTTTATGCCGGTGGTTCCCAAAGTGAAGTCCCTGGACCAGCAGTATCAGTGTCACCTGGGAACTTGCCAGCAATCTAAATTCCTGGGACTCCACTGGAGGTGGGGTTCAGCAAGAGGCAGAGTCGTTGCCAATATGTAGTTTCAAATAATGGACTTGGGTACTTCCATTTGGGACTAGGGAGAGAAGCATGTTAGTCTGATAAAAACAGTTATAGGTACAGAGTGGATTTTAGAAGAGGGAGAAGGAATCATGGGAAAGGGTGTTTCTGTGGTTTCAAGTGTGTGAGGATAAAGGGTGTTTGTGGGAGAGGAAACCTGGTTTACCGGGAGAGCCATGTACAGAGAAGTAAAAGGTATTGGCTGTCCCACCTCTTCCTGTGCTTAAGGGAACTTTCAAGGTCCTATAACTTTGAGGAAGTCTTGTAACTTTCTGGAAAAGCTATGGAGAATATCCTGTGGTTGTCTGGAAAAGCCCTGCTGGAGAGTTGGCTTTTACTTGTCCCGTTCTGGGGCTCTCGTGAATTTACCAAATGTGCCTGACCATGTTAACCTCCAACTCCACCCCACCCCTACTCTTTTTCTCTTCCAGCTCTTGCCTGCCTGTTTGCCGCTGGCAAAGGGAGCCCAGGCGTGTTCTCAACTCTGTGCTAGGGATGGGAGTATTCCTTTCCAAAGTAAAGCATGAGAGGAGCTTACCCTCAGACAGGCTTCCTGGCAAAATCCTGGCTGCCATATGCAGTTGTCTGTCTTCAACTTCAGTTCAGGACCATTTTTAATCAGATGGCATTGGTTTGGGTACTGACAAGTTCTGCATTTTAGAGAGGGCATTTTCCAAAGTGGGAAACTGTCTTGGAAAAGACTTCACACTCAAACTGAGACTAAACCATGATTCTTTTGTCACCCAGGACTTTTGCTGCTAACATCCTTCTAACTCGTAAAATCATAGGTCAGTCGTGAGAAACCTAAGAGTCAAATGACTGGTAAGTTTCCTCTTCTTAGAAAGCAGGAGGCTCTACCATAAAAGACAAACTCCAAGGATAAATAAATTGAGTGAATTGGTCTTGAACTTGGCTCTACTCTGCTTTGCATAACTGCTTCAAAACTGGTGACCTGGGAATAAATTCCAAGTGGAAAGTATTTCCCAGTTTCATTTATGAATAAATGGTCCACAGGAGCCTTTTCCTAGGTCTTCACTGATGAGCCTTCTTAGCTTTTTCAAATGTGCGGTCAGTGGGGAGTTGCCTTTTCTCCACGTGACTCTGACCTATTTCTCACCCACTTCATTGACACCCTGAAGCACCATTTAGCACTCCAGGATACCTTGTGTATTAAAGGTAATCCTTTGAGAGGTGTGAGTCCATAAAGTAGTGAATAAGTCACGTGTGGCACAGCAGTGCTGCTTTTCATTTTAGGAATGGGCAATGAGGGTCACACTACTATTTCATCCAAATGGGAAAAGGAAATTAACATGGGACAGAGTAGAAGTCAGAAATCCTTTAGTTGCATTTAGCTTTCATAGAACACTGGGCCCAAGAAATCATATCAGAGTGAAAATATCTGCCTGATGATGTATGAGACAGGGCCACTGAATTTGGGGACGTATGGAATATGGTGTCAGGCAAGACAAATCACATCCTTCAGTTATAGTGCCGTTGGAAAGCCCTTTATTCCTCTGAGAGACAGATATCTCATGCCATCAAATTGAGCTTTCAGTGCTAGAATGGAGTCATGCAGGGTGATCAAGTAGATTGTATTGCTAGTCAATACCTTTTCTATTATTATGTTACTGGAAAATAATAATTACCTTCTGCCTGAGCCTGTGCAAGATTGAGAAAGACAGGGGAGAGGAAGAATATTATATTGTTCAACTTGTGTTTTATATTCTGCCCTTACACATGTTAAAGCCAGCAGCGCTAGCTGAAAATTACATATATTTTTTAAATCATCACTCTACAGTAATTTCTTCTGCCTTTTAAAAATGACTATTAAGCTAGGTTGGAAATGTAAATCTGGAAATTATAAACAAAGTAAGAGTATTGTACATATCAGTATTTAATTCCATATTCTTTCATAGATTTGGTTTTGGTTTAAAACTGTATTATCTTTTAATAATGGTGATGTCAAAGATGTTTAAAAATATTTTGAATGAGGAAAACATTTTTGAGGTTTAATTTAGTTAAAAGTTTATAATTTGTATTATGTTATCTCATGCTTCTTCCTGGCAATTCTTTAAATTAATAAGTTGGGGTCTAGAAAAGTTCAGCTTTTTGTAGAGCAGGAGTGCCTAAAAGAATACTCAGTTTTGTCATACAATTTTGAGGAAATCTTGCATCTTCCTGGAAAAGCTGTGGAGAATACTGGGCCCTGCTGAAGATCTGGCTTTTACTTGTGTCATGTTCGGGTGCTCTCTTGCATTTACCAAATGTGCCTGTCTGGTTTCTATAACACTAAATGTAAGTTCAAGAGCAAGGACCTCTTTTCTAGTTTGTCCTCAGCTCATTTTAGATACAAAACAAAATCAAAAATTTATTTTCCCTTTCAACAGGGGCAGGCAGCAGAGTCAGTCTCTGAATATTCTCATCCCCAGGTATTTACTCTGGAGGCTGCTGCTCCTTCACCTTCTACTATAGGAATGTAACCCTTTGCTTTCATGGGCCACAGTAGGGTTTCTTAATTTAGCACTACTGACATTTGGGGCATGATATGTTTTGTTGCGAAGGGTTGTCCCGTGCATTGTAGGATGTTGAGCAGCATCCCCGGCCTCAACTCACTAGGTGCCACTAGCACCACCCTCGCCAAGTTGTGACAACCAAATAAAAATATGTGCCCATATATTTTAGCAATGTATCCTTGGGACAAAAGTGCTTCCCCTTCCAAACCCCTCTCCCCATACACCCATATTGAGAACCACTGGACTAGCTCAGTGTTATTTAACACACCTAGCCACGCTTTCTGTTCTCATACCATAAAACTGTTAAGAAACAGAAACATAGAGCAGGTCCCAAACTAGTTTAGTTGCCCTCTTCCTGGCCGGTAAGCTTTTCCTACAAATTCCCAAGGAAAGAGAACTGATCATTTTAGTGAAAATATTATGAGGCCTCCCCCTTAGAATGTGGACACATTTTGCTGATGTCTGGAGTAGAGAATTGCAGAGGTGGGTGGGTGGTGGGTAGGAAGAACATAACGTGACAAAGACAATGCCTTGAAAACTAAGTAGATTCATTTATGCCCACTAACTCTGTTGACCCACTTCCTCTTACCTGATGAACTCTTTCTCTCATCCCCCCTCTCTATCTAGCAAGCACTTGGGGTAGTGACCCAGGGAAGGGAACTGTCTATGGAGTTGCATGTTTCTATTAGCCAAACTTGAGAATGTCAGCTATTTTGTGTTACTACCATATGAAGTGAAAACTAAAAAGGGCAGTTGCAAATAATTCCATATCTTCATATACTTATCCCAACCAGTTACTCCAGTTTTAGGGATTAATATTAGTACTTAAACTAAAAAGAAACAAAAAACTCTAAACCTGACCTGAATAGAATCCACATCAGGAAAAATACATTAAGAAAGTTCATAAATTTGACTTTTCTTAACACTATTGTTAGAGTTGATAATTTATTATTCCTCAGAGAGTTTGCCTTTATTAAAGCCAGGAGAAGGAATTTTTTTTCTAGATCCACACCCATCTGCTAAGCCTGTAATCAAGACATAACATATCCATTGAGCTAAAATTATTTTTCTCCCTAAAAAACTATTAATAGGTCCATAATTCATAAATTTACTAATTGTTTCCCTCTGCTACTATAGTAGCCAGTGTTGGTGACAATAGCCATCATTAAAATTGGATTATAAAAGACATCCGCAATCAGTGAGCTGTCTTATTTATCTTAATTAAGTCACGGGCTGCATAATGGAACCTGCCTTTCCCCACCTTCCCCTTACCTAAGACAAGAATGGTAAAACAAAGGCAGTAAAAGCTAATGGCCCTATGGGCTATGAAAATTAGCAGCAGCACTTTTTTCTCCAAAGCCAGTTTCAGTCATTAGTTGAAGTGCTACATAAATGCTAAGTATCCCTTGTTGGTTTATAAAGTTAATTCCACCCCAGAATGAGACTGTCTTATTCACTGATTACGTGGATCTGAAGTGAAGCAGAGATGAGAACCTCAGGCACTACTGCATATTCAAAAGCAGTGTTCACTATAAACAACACTGATATTCCATTATTCTCCTATCAGATTGGCTGAGGGTGAAAAGCTTCAAAATACATAGCACTGGTCAGGCTGTGTGAGACACAGTCACTTTTATATACTGTTGGTGAAAGTATAAAATTGATGGAACATAGATGGAAGGGAGGGTATTTCAGCAGGGGGCAGGGAGGGTAATATGCTGGAATTGCAACTGAACCCACCCTTTGTTCTAGTAACTTGCCTTCTAAGAATTTATTCTGCAAATGTATTTATAAAAGTTCACTAAGGCATAAGGACTAGATTGTGTTGTGGTAGCAATGTTTATAAAAAAATAGTTCAATTGTCATTTCGTGGGACAATACATTACCTCATGCAATGAACATAGTATTTTGCAACCCATAAGCAGTACTCAGTGAAACCCATTACAGTCAAATTGAAATGTCCCTCATCACACATCAACTTAAGTCATTCCTTCTACTCAATTTCTAAAATAATCATCAAATATCTTCTAGTTGCCAGTTATTCATCTAGGCTTTTGATCTGGTTAAATTTTTACTTTTTGTTTTTAAAATGGAGAGACAATATGATGTAGATCATATTAATGATTCTATTTCCTTTATTCAGTTAATATTTATTAAGTGGGTATTATTATGAAGGTCTAGAGCTTTCAAAAGAAACAAGGGAGTCCTGGCCCACCAGAAACTTACAAGCAAGTGGAGCAAAGACAATTAAAGTAGGGGTCACTCATCTATTGTTAAAGATAGCTGTATTAGTCAAGGTCTCAGAATAAATTATTTCTCATAGAAATTAGACCTTCCCAGTCATGGGAGAAGCTGGGAAGTTAATTGTCTGAAATGTGGGAGAGATGGTGAATCAGAAGTTATTAACCAGAAAATCTGAGAAACAAGCACCTCCAGTCCCTGAAATGGGACTGCACAGGGAAGTGTGTGGGAAAGCTAAGAGAAGCTGTGTCTCTATGTGGCTGCTGCTTTTCAGGTCCACTGCCAAGCATCTGCCAGGAGACATGCCGATTATGTTGACAATCAGGTCAACAGTCAAGAAGAGCTCCCCCTGGAGGACAGCAAGGTCAAGCCAGACCCACATCCAAACATGAAGATTTCAGAGAGCAGTGGCTGCAGCTTTATCTCTGCCTTCCAGTTCCCAGGCAAATTGCTCTGTTGACTAACTACAGCTTGGAACCACACAGGGAAGGGGATTCTTGGAAACAAATTTCAGCCTAGGCAAGTTGGCACAGTAGAAAATACCGTAATAAATATTTGTTAGCTTAAATCTCCTAGCTTACATTACCGACAAACGTATATTCAAGAACGTACATGGGTGTTGTTCTCCCAGACCTTTTCTCCTCATGAATAGTTGAAAGTAGATGCTTTAAATGTTGGTAAAATGTATGTCTCTACTAAAATCAGGTGACTGATTTTAGAAATCCTTGTTTTTCTTAAGCCGTAGGATCTAGTCACTCTTGGCTGAGCCTGTGTTGCTCTGAGGGTGTTTTTGAGCCTCTGCTCCTGCGCTCACAATGGGAGTCAAGAATAGCTGTTTGGACCAGTCTGGCCAACATGGTGAAACCCCGTCTCTACTAAAAATACAAAAATTAGCTGGATGTGGTGGCGTATGCCTGTAATCCCGGCTACTCAGGAGGCTAAGGCGGGAGAATCGCTTGAACCTGGGAGGTGGAGTTTGCAGTGAGTCAAGATCGCACCACTGCACTCCAGCCTGGGCCGCACAGGGAGACCTTGTCACAAGAAAAAAAGAATAGCTGCCTGGATATATTTCAGATCTCTCAGTTGTGTGTCGAGAGGACCAGAGCATTGTGACTTAAAGGATGTTTCTCCATTTAGCTTAAAAATGCAATGTCTTTCTCATAGTAGGTGCAAATAAAGGCTTGAACGAGTGGATAGATGGAAAAGTGTATAGACAGTGATTTCTCTAGGCAGAAGAAGATGGCTGCATATTTAATAGCTCAGTGTTACAAAAGTAGATGTGCAAAGAGTAAACCTTCAACAAAACTGGTTTTTATGGCTCAACAAAGCTATTTTAGGTCAATTCCAACACAAACATCTGCCATCTTCTATGCCAGATACAAAAAGCTCTTCCCTCCTTTCCTCCTTGTGACACTCTTTGACTTAGCCAAACATCAGTAAAAAACACAAGCCTACATACAATGTTTTGGCTCACAGAACGAATGATTTGAAACATTTTTAATCAATTATCAACCCTTAAAAATGGGAGATTTTGTGTAAGTATCCACACTTCCAGTGTCTCTTGGAAATTCAGAAGACCTGGAAACATTGGAGTGCCATTTCCATGTGGCAACTGCAGCTGGAGCTCAGTGGCAGCTGCTCACTTTACACAAAGTGCTCTTCTGATTGCCACTGTCTCCACCACTGTGAATTGTCCATTGACACGAAGGCTGCACATGCCTTGCCATTTATCATTCCACATGTGATATGATATTTCTAATAAGTAAAGAAATATTAATAGGTTAGGATCGTAATGAAAAAGCTGTTTCAATTTATTTAACCCTTATCACATGTCAGGTACTGTTAACTGCATTTTTTTGTTTGTTATTTGAGACAGGGTCTTACTCTATCACTCGGGCTGCAGTGCAGTGACACCATCTTGGCTCACTATAGCCTCAGACTCCTGCATTCAAGCAATCCTCCCACCTCAGCCTCCCACGTAGCTGGGACTACAAGCACATGCCACCAACCCTGGATAATTTTTGTATTTTCTATAGAGACAGGGTTTCGCCATGTTGCCCAGGCTGGTCTCCAACTCCGTAGCTCAAGCAATCTGACATGCTCAGTCTCCCAAAGTGCTGGAATTACAGTTGTGAGCCGCTGCGTCCAGCCTTTTTTTTTTTTTTTTTTTTTTTTTTCTCTCAAGGTAGCTATTCCATCATGTGGATAAAAAAACTGAGATTAAAGAAGTTAAGGAATATATCTGAGATACATTGAAGGAAGTGATGCAGCCAACATTCAGGTACAGAAAAATAGAATCTCTTAGAACTTGAGAGCCCAAACTCATATTGATGTTGCTTCACCTAAACTATGTGTCTGTACAGCAGCCAGCAGACTTTTTTCTACAAAAGGCCAGATAGTAAATAATTTAGTTTCAGCTTTGTGTACCCTACCATCTCTATTGCAATGACTCAGCTCTGCCCTTGTAGTATGCAAGTAGCCAAAGAATATATGGAAAAGAATGGGTGTGGCTGTGTTCCAGTAAAACTTTGTAAAAACAGGCAATGGCTGGATTTGGCTTATAGGCTGTAGTTTGTGAACCACTGGTCTACACCCACCTGCTGTGAGCCTCAGTGACTGCCACAACTGAGGTGGTTATACACTCGGTAACTAAATGGTGAACTGCCATGGAGGGCCACAGATGTTGTGACATGGTCCTTCACGAGACCCTTCATAGCAGGCAGAACTGTAGGAAATTGCTGTTTTTAAATATTGGAAATTTCATGTAGTTTAACCCAAGTACTATGCCACGCTGTGAATGAAAAGACAAGTATTTATTTTTTTTATTTCTGCCTCCAAATTTGAGTTATTTCTGGCTTTTTATGTTTTTTAAACACTTGAAATCCCCAGCCAGGGGGACAAAAATAAGGGAACGAATACCAAAGGCCTACTATGAAACAAGAACCTCCTTGCGGCAGTTGTATGAGATAGACATCTTTAGCTCCCTCTGCTGTGGACAGAACTGAGGGTCAGAGCTGTTATGAAACTCTCACAAAGCCATACCACTAATCAGTACCTGAGGTTAGAATTTGAAGCCATATGTCTGTAGCGCCAAATCCCAAACCCTCTCCATTCTACCGTAAAAATGTATAGCATTTTTACTCTGAATTTACCTCTATTAATTACATGCCGGAAAAGAAACAACTAGACTAATAGACCATCTTTTCCTTTAAGTCTTCATTTTTTTTCAGCATTATTTATTGATGGCCTACTGTGTGCCAACACTGGAAATGTGATGCAGAATGAGATAAAAACACAAGCTTGAAGATTATTCCAGTGGAAAGGGACAACAAATGTCTCTAAGTGATGAAACCCCAGAACTGGCCACCTGGACCTCAGGCTTTGTGCCCACACCAGTACCTGAGTGTGGTGCCAACAATCTGAGTTATCTTTGTTTGTAGGGCTGCTTCGGAGAGCAATGGTCTGGTTAGGATGTCGAAAAGGCATCACTACAAGCCATGCAGCCAACTAACTCCTAAGTGTGCTTGTTTGCATTCAGGGTGGGGAGGGGGGATCTGGCCAGATTCTCTGGGTTTCTTTGGCACCTTGTCCCAGAGCTACATTCTTCTGTTTTACAGAATTGAGTTTTTTCTTCTAACCTATGGTACTTTCAAGGTCATGCATGAGAGGTGTCAGGTGTGCTCAGTGAGGATAGGGATTTACAAAAGTTTGTATGTGTGATGGTTTTATTTCCCTCCTGTCAAAATTACTGCTGGTTCCAAAAGAGTCAAGAACTCAAACTTGCATGAACTCTTCAACACCTTTCCAAATTCAACAAAACTGACATTTATAGCTTCGTTGAAGCGGAGACATGGCATTTGGCTTCAGATTGTTTGGACTGTAGAGTGTCAGTATAAATAGCTCTGATTGACTTTTGTATCGTGCACATCTGGAAGCAATTTATGGCATTCCAGCTAGATTAAAGCACGTTTTAAAGGAATTTCACCAGCTTTTTTTTTTTTTTCCTGTTGGCCATGGCGAATAAAGTTTCAAAGAAGTTTTAGTCGCTGTTCTTCTTAATGTAGACTGTGGTGAAGTCAAATTCAGGGCAAACATGGGGTGGAGGGAGGAGGGAGGTTTGTTTTGCCAAAAGAGCTAAGCACAGAAGTGACTTTTCCCTGACTGTTTTGTTCACACTGCAATGAGAGATAAAACCTCAGACACCAGGAAGCTGCTATCCCTACACAGAAACTAAGTAATTTTTAAGGAGGTGAATGGATTGACCTAGGAGAGTGAAAGGAACTAAGTATGTGTCACTTGGCTCAACAACAAGGACTGGGACTTTCATCTATTGAATAGGTACTGTGGTGCTCATTTAGCAAGTATTTGTGGAGCACCTACCAAGGGCTAGGGGAGAGGGAGAGAAAGCAAGCTGAAGAGCAAGTGTACAGAGATAAAGACAGAATTGCTGCCCTCATAGAGCTTATATATAGTGAAGTTGAGAGCAAATTCCCTACACATTGTTTAATCACCACTGTGATGAACTTACAACAGGGAAGTACAAGGTGTCCTTTGTGTTGGGGACCTTAGCTTGAAGGATCTGCAAAGACTTCCAGGAAAGATGGAAATTTGGCATAAGATGTGAAAGGGAGAAAGAGAGAAAACCAGAAGAGAGAAAAAGAGTAATATTCCAGGAGAGAAATTGTCATGTTTAAACCCCCTAGCCATGATAAGTAACAACTTGGCAAGCTAGTTATTTTCCCATTTAGACATGGAGAAAATGAGGCTCAAATTGCTTATAAACCTCTCCAATATCACTTAGCTATTAACTGTCATGCCCACTTTAAAGCATAGCCTACCCTAACAGCCAGTTAATCCTTTAGCATGGATGGTCTGTAAGTGAAGGCAAGTCATATTACATCTCTGGGCCTCAGTTTCCCCATTTTTGTGATGAAGGAATTTGATAGATACTTGGTAAATTGAACCTCTTAGGAAGTCAAGAAATTCATGTAAAAATGAAGTTGTGTATAACATATAAATCATAATATGTAATGAATGCAATGGAAACACTGCTGTTCATGACATTTAAAGATGAAAAAAATTGTCTAATGGATAAACTGGGAGGAGCAGTAAAGTCTGGGGGAATGAGTATGTACCCTTGAGTTTCTCTAACTTAAGAAAATAGAATATCTATTATTAAATCTGACTCATAAACTTGGAGAGACTGACCCCCACACATTGTTAGAGCTGTAATATATAGGTCATTGTGGCCCTCCTTTTTTTCTTTGTTGCTGAAGGAAGGTGATGAAGTGGTGCCAAGAAAGTGGCAAATTGCCCTAAAAATCACATAAAAGTGCAATTTAGCACACACAGTTCTGCTGAAGAAAACCACCTTTGTTTCATTATTAGCTTCCCAGGGATTTCTTTCCTTGGTTGGCATTTAAGTGTGGAAACTTGTCCTTTTTTTCTTAACATAATGAGACAGTTCTTATGTTTTAAGAACAATAGAAAAAGCATGAAGAGTGATCGATACATTACTTGAGATTTATTAACTACCACCTGGAGCCTTATTGCCAACCTCTGGGTATGATTTGAAAAGACAAGGAGGCATAAACCTCTGTTGTTTTAAGTAAAAATAGAAATCTAATCTCTGAGACCATGGTATGAAATGTGTTCTATTAGGGATTTGCTTTGCCTTTTTACCCTTAATTCAGGTTCAGGCTTTGACCTATAGACAGAGGAGCAGCTACTTTGCTTAAACGGTTTAGAACTAATGGGAAAGTAAACTCTGAAGTTATTTGTTGACATAATTTCTGGCAGTATTTTCCCAGCTTCTGTTTCACTTCTCTTTCCACTTGTCTGTACAGGCTTGACAAAAATACATCAAAATAAAGCTGTGCTAATGTGATCACATATCCTATTTCATACACTCTGCATTTGATTAGAGGGATACGTATGAAACAAAGAAGGGTGAGGCAGAGGCGAAGTGGGAAGCTAAGAATGTTGAGTCCTGCTGTAGTAGCAGAAAACGATTGTTGTTAAGACCAAACCTCAGTGGAAAATAAGCTATGCATTAAATAAGACAGTGGTGGGGCAGATCAGTAAAGCCTTTTAATTCTGATGGTGAAAAATGTTGTTCTGGGAAAGCTTGGTAAGAAGTTTACGGTTCAAATGATGTGTTCAGTAACTTACTAGTAATTTTAATTCAACAAATACTTAAGTATCTCAAATGTCCCAAGAATTAGGAAATAGGGCCACGGTAGTGAGGAGATAGGTATGATCCTAGAGTTCACATTCGAGTGGGGCATGGGCATAACCGATCACACTGTGGATTATGTTGTTAAAATTGTACATTATTAAAAATAATGAAAAAGCTAATAAACCATTTGGGGATGAAAGTTGAGATCTAAAGGACAAGAAGCTTTTTTCTTTGCCTCTTTTATTGTAATAAATTTGGAGGTAGAACTTTGGGCACCAAAGATTATTTTGGATTCCCATTCCTGTTAGAAGTCCCCAGTGTGAAGAGCTGTCAACTGTGGGCATAGAGATCTCTTTAAGAGAGGTGAGGAAAGTGGAGAATTGTTGCATAGATTTTGCAGAAAATTAGACGTGGCCCATGGGCAACTTGATAAATCATTCGTGGCTGGGTAGAAGACAAAATTGTCTTGTGGGTTGGGATAGAAAGTGAAGGAGAGGTAACTGTCCTCAGAAGAGAGTTTTACTTAGCTAAACAAAAGAGAGATGTTAGCTGGGGAAAGTCAACTTAATGGTGACATTCTCCTGATATCCTGAAGGTGAGCTCTGCTGGCCAGGCCAGGGGCATTCATGGTAATGTGGGTTGCATGTACATTTTTATTTTCTGGTCTGAAATGTTATTGTGGGAGCAGTGAAAAAAATTCCGTCAACAGAGACGAAATGAAGTGCAAAGTGAAGCTCTTTGGGGAACAAATTATTTAGTTTGTATGTTTCTATAGTGATGGAAAGGAGACCTGCTATTCAGTTTTGCACTTGGCCTTTTTTATATAGTCAATGTAGTTGCCATTCTTTCAACAAGCTTGCATCTGATTTGGGTTAAGGGGAAGCCAATGGAAATATTCATAGGTGGTTCATAGGAGGGTGGAATCCATTACTATGGTTTCTTTTACATTATGATTGTTCAAATGAGCTGGATTGGTCCTTGATATATTAGAATTCACAACCAGGCCAGGCACAGTGGGTTACACCTGTGATCTCAGCACTTTGGGAGGCCTAGGTCGGCAGATCGCTTGAGGACAGAAGTTCGAGACCAGCCTGGCCAACATGGTGAAACCTCATCTCTACTAAAAATACAAAAATTATCCAGGCATGGTGGTGCATGCCTATTGTCCTGCTCGGGAGACTGAGGCAGAAGCTACTCAGGAGACTGAGGCAGAAGAATTGCTTGAACCTGGGAGGCGGAGATTGCAGTGAGCCAGTATCACACCACTGTGCTTCAGCCTGGGTGACAGTGAGACTCTGTCTCAAAAAAATAATAATTCACAACCAAACTTTGTAGAACATTTTATGTTAATTACAAAGCGTTTTCCTTAGCCATTGTCTCACTAGATAGTCAAAATAGTCCTAGGAGGTGGATAGGCTGCCTGGTCTAAGGTCTGTCTCGAGTCCTATAAGCCTGAATGATTCAAAGTCAGCTCATTGCTGGAATGTGAACTCTTTGAGGGCAAAAGTTTTTGGTTGCATCATTCATGCTGTATCAACGGAAATCCACCACAGTCTCTGCCATAAAGAAGGTACTACAAAAGTATCTACTGAATGTATGGAATGATTAAAATTTTATTACACATTTTGCTTTCTTCTTACAACTTAAAATGGTGGGCAGAGGGATTATCACATGGTCTTTACTGCCATTCCATATTTAATAACAAAAGTGTCTGGAGATGCTTAACCTGAGATTATGTTCTGGCTATTACTTACTGTTTCCAAGGCCTGGGGGATGTCACTTACCACCCTAAATTTCCTACCTGTAAAAAGAAGTGTCTTTTCCAGCACTAAAGTTCTATATTTGATGAATTTTTCTACTGATACATATGATTCACAAGTTTTTTTCAAGGTTGCCGTTTAATATTTAAATATTCGAATCCATCTTTAAGAATTTTTACTTGGAAAGTTCATAGAACAAGGTCTGTAGATCTGACTTTCAAATAAATATTCTGTCTTTTCCCCTAACTGCAATAACTGGTCTGACATCCTTAGTGGACGGAGGTGGAGGAAGACATTAGGGAACATAGTTGAGAGGGAGGACATTTGGGAAAAAAAAAAAAAAGTCTTGCCATGTCCTTCTACAATACATGGATCAAAATTGATGAGATAACACATAATTCTCCAGCTAAGAATGTTTTTTTTTAATCACTGCTCTTATCCTCAACTCTAAATTCCTCTCTTAGATTCAGGGGTTCTTAAGAACACAGATTGTGCCTTATACATTTATTTTTCCTCCCCTAATGCCAACTAGTATAAAATAATTAAAACATTATTGAATGCATAAATATATAAATAATTGAGAATGGAGTTGGAACTGTCACAAATTCAGAATTAATGAAATTCTGAATTTTATTAATTCAGAATTAATTAAATTTAAGTGGAGGTGGTAATATAGCATCCATGGAACATGAGAATGTAAAATACTGAAAAGGAAGGACTGAATTGATGTTGCAGTTAAAGCTTGATATCACAAATCCGCTGTCCCCAGGGCAGGGTGCAAACAATCAATGAGAGAAGGTCCCCTGGCCCCAGGTGTAATAACATCGGGAGTGGAAGGGACTGTGGTAACATAGGCAGCACATCCCCATCTTGAAAGCCAGATGCCACTGTGCTCCTGCTGACTGATGCTAATATGGAAATATTATCAGACCTTACCATTTTTCTAAAAAAGCTGGATATCTGGTTGTTTATTTACAAACTGATTGTAAACCGTAGCTATTTTTACTATTTTTAAAATTTTGTATGGCTGAACAAATCTCCCAAACTCTACTTGTTCATCAACAGGTCTACTAATTAAACAGATATGAAAGCACAGTGTTTATTTCAGTGGTGTTATTCAAGGCATTAGGAATGTAGATTAACTTCTGAAACTGTGTCCAGAGCCAAGACTATTGTCTCACTAAAATGTTCCAGAATGCTCTAAGTGCTTTAACACCCAGTAATGTTTTGGTTCCACAGTCCTTTGCTCTGCAGAATACTTAGTGTCTGCTCATGACTTTCTCTTCAGCCATCTGATCTGGGTCTTTCCTTGTTATCTGAAGCTGTTGGTTCATCTTCAGATTAGAGATATGATATTAAATTAACATTCAGGCTTCTGATGGGATGGGACAGCTTGATATGGAAATGTCACTTTGGTGAGCTCTGGTTTGTGCCACTTGATGGGCACTGAATAATACTTAACACACTTATAACGATGTAATCCACTGTGTAGTTATTGAATGTCCATGTCAATGTGAATGTGAGCTCCAGCATCCTGTCTGTTCACTTCCAAGTTCCTATTATCTGTGATAAGTTTTTCAATTCTTTTAAGTTGAACTTATCCTTCATAACTGAAACTTGGTACCCCTTGACCAATATATCCCCATTTCCTCTACCCCTCCAGCCCCTGACAACCACTTTTCTACTCTCTCCTTTTATAATTTTCTCAGCTCTGATGTCAGGGTTTTGTGGCTCTGTACAAAGCTTCAGATATCCTTCATCCAGTACTTGTCTTCACAGACGAAAATGCTGAAAGCATAAGAGCAGTTTTGTGAATTGGATGTGCCTTCATGATGTAATGGCGTGAGGCAGGGGAGCGACCGTCAGAGGGTGTTGTGTAAAAGGCTCTTGTAGTAAGCTTAAGCTTCCATGTTGCTCTCCCTAGAACCTGATCACTTTCTCTTTCATCTTTTTTTAATAGTCATAACTCATCAAAACCATGTTTTGACACTCATTCTAACATTATTGGAATCCATTTCTTTTTTAATGTTGGATTCACAAGCTGTATTTCTATGACATAATTATTTAGCAGTCACATAAAATGTGTATCTGGCCATTCTTAACAGACTCATTTATACGTGGGCCACATAAAATTTGCATTCTTACACCAGTGACTCATTTATTAATAGTAATAAATACACCGGCAACAGGCCAAGCACACTTCAGAGGCTTGTAACCTGAGAATGGTCAGAGGGGATGTGAAATGTAATGTGTTTTTATTTTATTTCTTTTATTTTAAACCTCTTTCAACAGGACTTGGAATTTTAAGAAGGAAAAATTTGGACTGATGTATTAATAGATTCAAAAAGAAAGAATGTTTTTCTCTAGAAAGATAGCTTATTCCTCCCATGGAGTTCAGGGAGAGAAAAGATAAAGTAGGCGTTACAGGGTTTTTTTTAAAGGATACTATTTATAATTATATCAAGATGATTTTTATCTGAGTAGCATATTAAACATTATAAGCAAAGGTACCCTTAAGCATTTACGTGACCACTCAGCATGCTCCCTAAGATGCCGAAGTCACCGATAGTTCAGAAAAGGATAGAAAACTTCAGGACCATGGTAGGAGGTTAGACATATGCAATAAAAAGCAATCATTTCATGAATATTGGTGAGAATTAATAGCACTTTATTTCGTGGCTCATTGAGGAAATGTGTGGTTGATGCTATTCAGAAGTACCTCTCAATGGTTTTAATAGAAAGCATGTGTGTGTGGATATGGAGTGCAAGTCCTCCTGACTGGTGGATTGAGGCTCTGCAGACCTCTCAGGTTTTCCCATTTTTTTTTTAATTAGAGTTTCAGTCCACTGATACTACCTTCAAAGTAAATGAAAATGAATCAACAGAAGGTAAACAAGTTCAGGGAAGAATTTTAAACAGCAAAACCCTTTTAGTCAATTCTTAATAGACTCTTCCCTCTTTTTTGAACAAAATTATGTTAAATGCCTCACATTTTCCTTTCTCACCTTCAAGGACTAATGACAGCTGCAACATTTGATGTATGTGTGATTCTGACATTAATATCTTATTCCCTAGCTGGGCAAAACATGAGAAATTGGCCTTGTGTCAACTTTTTAAAATGACAGGCAGGAACTGTATCTGAGTCTGCCTACTGTTGTATCTTCAGCGCCTAGCACTCTACCAAATGTATCCAGACCCTTCATTAATATGTGTTAAATTGTTGAGAGGAAGAAAGGAAGGAAAGAAGGAAGTCTATTTTTATATATATTTAGGGCTAAAAAAAACAAATCCTCGAGTTCTCACTTATCAGACCTTGTCGTAGTAATCAGCCTGGGATTGGTGTTCAAGGTTCCATGTGCTAGGAGTCGTGGTACATGGCCGGCACATGCCTGGCTTATAATAAATACTTGAAATATTTCTAGGGAAGTAAATGAATGTGTCTCTCTTGTTCCCTGCAAATACTGTCTGGAAAATGGAAGATATTCAACTTTTTGTAGATGGAATGAATAGTTAATTTAAGTAAGTATCTTTCTAATATTACTGAAAGATTCCACAACCAAATAGAACTTCTTCCTAGCAGCATTAGGACCTACAGGATAAAATAGCCAACTGACTATAGAAGGCCAGTACTGGAATCTTTGAACCATTCTTTCCCCCAGACAGCAGTCCTGTCTCTCTTTATTAATCTCCATTGTTCTCAGTGAATGCCCTGTTTATATCTGACAGTTTATAGTTTGAAGGGGGAATCATGAACCTTACAATCAAAGTCCTCCCGGCATTTTTTTGTTCTACTTGGAGGAATGGACTATGACCAATGACTTCTGAAAGACAAGTTTCGAAAACCTAAAAAGTTTAGTTTGGTTATTTCAGTGGCATCAGGAGGTTTGAGAGGAGCGGAAGATGTCAGGTCTGTTTCTAGGAAATGACTGGCCTAACAGCTGGAATAGCAAAAGTACAGTGCCTTCTTGCAAAAGCAACTTTCCTGGGTGTTTGATGGAGAAAGGAGAGTCTTAAACCTCTGAGCCAGGAGGAGAGACCGAAATGTTGTGCATTTATAGATAGGTCAGTGAGCTTTCTGGTTTCCCTCTCCCTTTCTTCTCTCCCCTAATTAACAGAGTTGAGGAAGACTGGGGTTCTGCAGTGAGACAGGAGGGGGGTTTATCAGGAGGCCCTTCCGAGAGAGAAAGCGAGGTAACTCTTTGTATCTGAGAGGTTTAAGTAAATGGACAGCCTGTTGGCTCCCTTCCTGACATTCAAAGCCAGAGCTCCCTCCCTCCAGAGGAGTGTCCTGTTTCTGTGTGTTCATTGTTTGGGGCCTCTGTTTGTGTTCAACTGTCAAAACGACTTCAGTGTTGCTACTTCTACTACAGTGTGTGAGTTGGTTTGTGTACCAGAACAATGAGACATGACTGAACAGTTTTTTTCAGATTTATATTTTCTAATGCCTCATGAACCTTTTAAAAAATGTAAGCTATGAGTCTGTGGAATACAAAATTCATTGTTAAGGAATTGAATCTGTTACTTAGGGAAATTACAAGCATATTAAGTTCAGCTGCCTTAGCAAAGCTTCAGAACTTCTTAAGGTTTAATATTTTTATTAGTTCCAAAATAAAATTTAATGTAGCCTTTTTCTTAAAATGTTTTAATGAATGTAAACTAAAGAGGACAGTTGTAAATACAGTTAAATCACAACATGACTTAGTATTTTATTATACATAGGAAAATGGTTTGATCAGATTTAATATTCATTAGACCTGGCTTTTCAATAGCTTGGATAAATATGTTCCTTTTTATTAGAAATCTGTCATACCCAGGGCATAGGCCAACATGTTGGCTTTGTAAATCATGTAGTCTGCCCGGCTCTTTTGGTCCTAGATCAGAAAGAGGCTTTTGCAAACCCACCATTTCTGGGGTTGAATGGGAAATTAGGGAAAGAAAATGAGGTCAAGAAAGGCATGGAGAAAAAAACCGCTGGGCCTGTTGGCCTGAGCACCCCCTAGAAAATATGCTGGGGTAGACTGATAAGCTCAAAGGCTTGTGTAATTTTCTTGCATATGCCTTTGAAAAACTGCAGAAAAGGATCAAAATAGTCAGTCTCCTAAGTTATTCCCTAAGTGAATAGAGACTGAGAAACTACAGGTCATTCATAGAGCAATTTTAAGATCTATTGAAGACTTTGATATTCTGGAAGGCAGCACTCTTTAAGACAAGATATCCTAGGCTTCTATTGGGGTATAAAAAATATTATAATTTTTTTATTTTTGAGACAGGGTCTCACTCTGTCACCCAGGCTGGAGAGCAGTGGTGTGATCTTGGCTCACTGCAGCCTCTACTCCTGGGTTCAAGTGATTCTCCCACCTTAGCCTCCCTGAGTAGCTGGGATTGCAGGCACACACCACCATGCTCAGCTAATTTTTGTATTTTTTGATAGAGACGGGGTTTCACCATGTTGGTCAGGCTGGTTTCAAACTCCTGTCCTCAAGTGATCCTCCCACCTCGGCCTCCCAAAATGCTGGCATTACAGGCATGAACCACCACTCCTGGCCTATAATTGATAATTTATATTAGTTAGTAGATTTTATTAAAATATTAAGCTTGACTAATAGTTAATATATGAGTAAACTATAGTAGGTGCATATAATTTATAAGTTAATACACGTGTGTTGGGAGTGCTTGCTAATTTTTTAAGAGATGTGCACTCAGCCACTGCTGTTTTGGCTCAGGAACACTTATTTCCTAGAACATAGCAGGGAGAATGTGCCTCTATATTTTATCCTGTGCCCAGAGTCTTAAATTTTTCTTCAAATTTATTTGTGGTGTATCATTGGACCACCCTTGTCACTAAGAGCTCCAGTGTCTCATGTGGCAAATGATAATATTATTCTAAATTCTCTTCCATTTGCAAAGACTTCTGGAGGAATTTGTCTTGAGCTTTACAGATTACTTACAGAAAAGAGCCCAGGAGTTATTGCTATCCATTGGGTAATTAGGTAATTCCAAGGAAAATAATAAAACTATTTTGTGCCTGGGAGATTAGAATGGCAAATGGTGACTCATATTAGTCAGCTGAGTAATTATGTAATTACAAAAGAAAGAGAAAAAAACCCTTCAGATTGTTTTTCCTAAGAGGCCCTTTTGGAAGCGTTCCAGCCCATCAGGTACTTATGTAATTAGGTCAGGGGCACAATCCATAAGGAAAAGCTGGGGGATTCATTAAAAAAAATGTTTATGTAAAAGAAACCTGTGAAAAAGAAAAGGAGTTTTTAAAGGATTCACTCAGACTCTACATCTACTATATTGGATGTCATAGCAAATGTCAAGGAACACGGTGTTGCATAGTAACTAGAGGCCATTGTGTACATGGGGAAATGAAGGGCAGTAGCATATTTTGGAGTAATCACCACTATCTATTTAGCCTATGCTAAGTGCTCTCTCTCAATCACTCAATACAGTAGGTCTTTTGTTTTCCCTGTTTTTGCAAATAAGTAAACAGAGAGGCTCAACAAATTTGAACCTAAGTCCTTTGAATTCCAACACCTAGTCTTCCCACTGTACCATACTGTCTATCTGCATTTCTCACCTGAATTATGCAGGTGGTTTTGCTTGTACAGAGCAGCAGGATGATATGGTTTTCTGTGTCCCCACCCAAATCTCACACCTTGAATTGTAATAATCCCCACCTGTAAAGGGCAGGACAAAGTAGAGATAATTGAATCATGGGGGTGGTTTCTCCTACACAGTTCTCATGGTAGTGAATAAGTCTCATGAGATCTGATGGTTTCATAAATGGGAGTTCCCCTGCACAAGCTCTCTCACCTGCCGCCATGTAAGATGTGCCTTTGCTTCTTTTTTGCCTTCTGCCATAATTGTGAGGCCTCTCCAGCCATGCTGAACTGTGAGTCCACTATAAACCTCTTTTTTATGTAAATTACCCATTCTCAGGTATGTCTTTATTGGCAGTTTGAGAACAGACTCATACACAGGATAATTGCTCATTTCATCTCTTCATTTAGTATATATATTATCTACTTAGTGAAAAGCACTGGATTGAAAAATGGTTAACTTGGTGATTTGGGCCATCTAAGTTACCAATCTGGATTTCCTACTTGGTTGATCTAAATAGCTATACCTTGATTTATGTTTTGTGTAAAGCACTCTTCTGACCCCCATCCAATATATGATATCTTAATTAAGTACACACAACTTTCCTATATGAATACATGTTAATAAATGCAAAATGTTGTCCTGTTTTGAAGGAGTATATTATTCTGTCAAGGGCTTATTTCATTATACAGGTTTGCTTATACATCTTCACTCAAGTTGTTTTCTAAAAATATTTATAATTGTGTCTACATTTCTGGGACATTCTGTGTATACTGATTACTTTTTGTGATGGCAGAAAATTAGTGGTTTCTCTGGCCAAAAGCACTTAATTTCAGATTTCTTTGGTCTTTATCTGATTGCTAGGGTTCATCTGGCCACACTTCCATAATTTTAGGGGATTAAAAACGGCATATTTCTGCAGAGAAAGAAATTAAGCCCACTTTTTTTTTTTTTTTTTTTTTGAGACGGAGTCTCGCTCTGTTGCCCAGGCTGGAGTGCAGTGGCGCGATCTCGGCTCACTGCAAGCTCCGCCTCCCGGGTTCTCGCCATTCTCCTGCCTCAGCCTCCCCAGTAGCTGGGACTAGCGCCCGCCACTGTGCCCGGCTAACTTTTTGTATTTTTAGTAGAGACGGGGTTTCACCGTGTTAGCCAGGATGGTCTCGATCTCCTGACCTTGTGATCCACCTGCCTCGGCCTCCCAGAGTGCTGGGCTTACAGGCGTGAGCCACCGCGCCCAGCTCCAAGACCACTTTTAATTTTATTTCAGTAAATTATATAATTGCCCCTGATACAGAAAGATGAACCATAGTTTTCAGCTGATTTGGAGAAGTTTTGTGGATTAGGCTAGGTCGAAGTATCTCAATAGAAGCAGTGAGACATTTTAGGGATGCCTGTGGAAGAACTAAGGAACTGGGAGAAAGGAAATAGGCTTCAAAAGGCAGGCTGAAGCTCATCAAGAAAAAGGTCCCTCTGCCAAATCTGAAGAAATTTGTCTTCTGCTCCTACAGACTCTAGCATTCACGTGACTTGACTCAGAATTGTCAAAAGTTTGCCAAGTATCGATTTAGGGTTCTAGGAATTTCAGCATTGAATATGGTAGAATATGTATGCTTTTGCCTGGCAAATTATCCTTGCTTATTTACATCACTTTGACTATTCTTTTTCCAGTTGAGGTCCTTGTCATGAAAAGGGTGGGAGACTTACTGGAATAGGCTGTGAGATTCATAAAGGCAGGAATGCACACTTTGAATATTTTACCTCTGTAGATGTATATGTCTATACCACATGCTTTTTATGTAGTGTTAAAAATTA
This sequence comes from Homo sapiens, assembly GCF_000001405.40. NCBI lineage: Eukaryota > Metazoa > Chordata > Mammalia > Primates > Hominidae > Homo > Homo sapiens. The sequence goes on from NC_000003.12 coordinate 25,049,624, forward strand.
AAGCATCCTATTGGTGTCAGACTTCTGAATAGCGATATAAAGAGAATACATGAAAAAATAAAATTAAAAAATTAAGGATATTATTTTAGCTCAGCATCTTCACATTTGTTTGAAGATACAACTAATCCAAACTGATGTGTTAACTATGGATGATTCCCTGCAAATTTCATCAGCATTTCAGTTAATCACTTGAAACTGCCCAGTGTACTGAAACTGTTTATTTGTTTGATACGTATTTTTGGCATTGTGAATAAAAAGCAAAATATAGTTCTCTCATGGACCTCAAAGTCTAGTAAAGGGAAAGACACGTAGACGGGTAGTTTGTTGTTAGTGATGTGGTGAGCACTATTACACCTAGGAAGATGATACTATTAACAATTTTGGGAGGAAAAGTTTAATAGAAGGAAAGGGTATTTAATCCGGATTTTAAAGGCTGAGTTTTCTAGGTGGGTGAGGAAGGGTATTTTGGAAACGTGGAAAAGCATATGCCAAGCTTGTATGAATGTGACAAGTTTCTGGGCTTGGAGTTTTGTGTGACAACACAGAAGATTGTATATTGAAATGACTATGCAACGGTCAAACCTAAAAATCTGTGCTTCTCCTTGACTCCCAGGCTGTGGCTGTGGAAAGAGTCTAGAGGGCACATTTACTATGTCAAGGTGAGCTGCTTTCAAGCAGATAAGACACACTGCATCACCTTATGACCAAAGTCATCATGAAATGGTCAGTATTTTACCCAAGGATCAATCCCAAAGATAAGAACCATAATACTTCTAATTAAATCTTTACTTCTCAAAAGGCTCATGATTTAAAAAAAAAAATTAACTCTCATCCTTTTACACACGAGTGAAGTGATTTGATTTTCGAGAAAAAGTATTATGTGTATTCACTTTACGAAGTCAAATAGTTCTATAAGGCTTTTAACACTACTCCACCCTTTTCCACCACTGATTCCTTCTCTCCTGAGGCAATCATTTTCAGCTTTTTAGCAAGTTTCTTGTATTTCATTCCAATATTTCCAAATTCCTTGTTACACTTTTAAAAATTCATTTTAGTCATTTCCTGGCATCCAATTATAGAAAAAGATTTAACTCTTTCATGTCACATTTGTGTGCTCATTCTTCCTCCCCCATTCTCCAATATAGTTATATCATAATTAATCAATATTCAACACTTATGAATATGCAAATATTGCTTACATATGAAAATGCCATATACTAGGAAGACATTTATTTCTGTCATATAAATGAACTTGCTTCTTGTTGACCATCCACTCCTCTTCAACTCAACAGAGTTTAATGTTTTAATTCTTTCTGGTGCACCAAGTCTCCCATATGCTTTCCAGCTTCTAAAAATTTGACATCATTCATTTACTGTTGTCTCATCTCTCACTCTCTTTAACTGTGTGGATTTATGGCTTCTGGGAGGAGGTAGAGAGAAATGTGTATCTTTGATATGCCATGTTTAACACAAGTAGAATAGGGTTTCCTTTTCTGAAGCCACAGAAAAGGAAGGAGTAGAATTGTAAGTGAAAATGTCTGATTATCACAGAGGAAAAGCAGGTGTTGAGATAAAGCAGAGTTTAAATCACCTGTCAAGGATATTAAGACACAGATAAAGTAATACATGTATGGGGGAGGAATAGAAACGTGTAATTGTTGTTGTGAATGTTATATTTGTTATTGTAGGAGAAAGGGAGTGTTTCCAGCGTTAAGATAGGCCCTGACCTGAGGATTATAAGGAAAGAAAGAAAAAAGAAGCTTCTAAGTACTTTCAAAGAACTGTCTAAAGATGCTTTATGCCTAAAAACCAAAGTAGAATCCAGCCTCATTGAATCCTATGTGCATAAAAATAGAAGAGAGGAGAATAAGATTATTTGCAAAGATCAAGCGGTATATCTTTGAATTAGTAAAGGAAAAAGTTTTATTGTTAATAGAGCTTCGTTACCTACATGTATAAAAATAAGACTACACATTCAATTTAATCAATATTTTTAAAGATACTATTATTCATTAGGAACAGTGAGCTATTAGATGATAGATAGATCAAGAAAGTTACAGTTCAGAAAAGACCATGAGACAAGCATATAAACAAAATAATGCAAGATAAGCTATCATAAGTACAGAGAGAAAGGGGTATGATAGAGGAGAGAACATGGCCAAGCTAAGAATTTATGCAGATGAGAAACTACTTCTATGCTTGAAGGGAGGAAGCATCTTAAATGGACTGTGAAAGAAACAGGTACAAAAATGGTGAGAAATGGATTCTGTGTGAAAAGACTTTCTCACAAAAGCTATGTTATCCTACCAATTTCTCTAACCCTCTCTCTACCTCCCAAATATATTTGACACTCATGCTACAGGCACAGTATAAGATGTTTTGTTGATTGTGGATACTCAGGGACCCAGGCTAATGGAGGCTCCATCTCGGTATATGCTTTTGTGAGCACTAAGGGAAGAAAATGGGAAAAGGTCCTCATACCCATTTCACTGGCCAAAGCTAATTGGCCTACACCTAACTTAAACTGGACAGAGGAGGTGGTATGTAACTTACATCCATCCTGAGGAGAAGAGCACAAGAATATTTGCTTAAAGCCCTTATTATCACAATATGTGACAGAGAGGATGCATCCCATTGTGTATGTGATTCCCAAGCCTCTACTGTTGACCATCACACCTAACTGCCTCCCAAATTCTATTACAGATTCATTGAAACTCAATTTTGAGATACAGAGAAGTACAATTGCTAGCTTTAACAAATAAAAATATAGGACACCAAAGTAAATTTGAATTGTATATAAAAAAATACATTTTAGTGTAAGTAAATCCCATGCAATAATTGGGGCATACTGTACTAAAAATTGTTTTTTCTTCATTTAAAATTTAAATGTAAGTAGATATATTTTCCTGTTTTATGACAAATGTACAAGAAAAAACTAAAATAGGGTAGGAAATGTCTTAACTCTTTTAGACGGACTAAATGGAGAACCACATAGCAGCATGGAAAAGTTGGTTAGATTATAATTGAAAGTATTTTCCTGAAGGTTAGTGCATGCAGGAAGTTCTTCAGGTGAAAATAGTAAAGTAGATTGCAATTTAACAATCATATTCTCTTATCTTTATCCTAAAGCATTCTTCCCTTACACCAGAGGTAGTTTTGTGTTCTCCATCTAGAAATACGTATGTGACTTCTTGGGTATGACGAGAGAAGAGAAGCCAGGAGTAGTAAAAGTGGGGTCACAAGTGAGAGGTAAAAAAGTCATAGAAAAAAAAAAAAGATTCTAGATTGTGAGATGCTGAGAAAGAAGGCAATTTGGCAGAAGCAATGAGATTGTCCTTCCTCTAGGTTACCTGGACCCAACTTTTAATAGCATGTTTATAGTTTGGAGCATTCCAATTTAGTTGAGATGTGAGTTCAGAGTGAAAATTAATTGAAACATTGAAAATTGGAAAGTATCCTTAAGGAAAGGGGAAAAGAAGTGGAGTAGGCTGAGGGGGAGAGATTATAGTTTTTAAGCAATTGAAGCGACGTAATTAACCTAGTAAATAGCAGCACCCCTGGACTACAAGGGAGTGTGGCTTATGACAAGGTTTGATGGTGGTAATTAACTTTATCCCTTCATACAATCACATTAAACAACTTATTCTTAAGAAAATCTGCTGCAACTTCCAGCCTCTGCCTTGTATCATACATGGTCACCTACCTGTCTTTTTCTCTCACAAGACTGCAAGCTTTCCTAGGGGTAAGAATTGGGTTCCGTTTATATCTGACACATCCTTAATCCAAAAGCAGTTTCCTTTGCTTAGCAGGTCCATAGTAGATGTTTATTGAGTTGAAATGAATTGAATCCTTGGCGGCAGTTCCTAAAACACAAATGCAAAGTTTGCATTGCCATTCCAGCCGGAACTTTGAACTTTGGTTTAAAAAAGTCAGATGTCCTTTCCTCTAGGCATCTGTAAGCTGTGGAGGAAAACAGTTACAACACTTTTGAAAGTGGCTTGCAAACAAATACAAAGAACACTCAGGCCAATAAATATAGCCCATGTGTTCCATAAATGTTGATGGAGTTCTGATAGGTTAGTGCTTTTGGAAATCACTTTGCTTTGAATGTTAGGTGAAAAAATTTCTGTAGAGTTTCTGTAGAGTACCCAAATCAGTTACGGAACTGGAGCAAGGTTAGGGTTTATGAGGAAGGCTATCATCTCTCTTCCTTGCTGACCTAAGAATCTGACCTCAAATGCAGTGGTCCATTAACTGCCCTGCCTGTACTCATCTTTTGAAATGTATCTTTGGAAAGGAACATATGAAATCACAGGGCATTGTAATCCCATTCATCCTACAGATATGGCTTGTGCTCCTACTCTGGGCCTGGCGCAGGTCATTGTCCTTGCTCTTGAGGAGTTCTTGGTTTCATGGGGGTTGAGTGGGGAGTCCATGTGGACACAGTTCCAGTACAGCTTGATCAAAGCTAAAACCTATGAATAAACAAAGGCTCTGAGGTGAGTTAGTGAGACTTGTGTTGAAAGAAGTAGTTTTATGTGTCTAAAATGTAGACTCATAGACAAGCCTCTTTTAAACCAAATGTGCATACACTAATTATCCATTGGTTTATTCATTCAGATGTTTTTTTGACAGGGAAGTTGGCTAAGCACTACGTGAAATAAATAGATGAATGGCTTGTTATTCACACCCTTAAGAAATTGATTGTGTACTAGTTGGGGGAGCCATGTGAATGCCTCTAAATCAGTGTAGGGAGATGAAGAAGCATAGGAGAGATACAGAGAAGTCCTGAGGGAGCTGAATGTCCTCTTCTACCTGGGGAGGTCCGCAGGAGAGCTGTGGAGATGGTGGTGTTTGGTGTGAACCATGATCTCACTTTGTATATCTGGATTTGAAAGGCAGAAAGCTACTTCAGACAGAAGGCACAGGATGAGTGAAGTCAGAAAGGCTGACTCTCAACAGTGTGTATATAAATATTTCCTAGCACTTGCCCCTGAGGGGAAAGGGGGAGCAGGAGAAACCTGAGATGCAGGGAAACTGTGGATGCTGAGTAGAGCATAGCAAAAGAGCTGGAAAATGGAGCACAAACTGTGGAGCACAAACTGTGTCTACCTAGCTGTTTTGCCAAAGGCCAGACAACCCTGCTTTGGAATCTGAAAAGAAAACCCAGATTATTTATGTGCTACCACTAGCAATATATTGAAGGCCAAGAGGAGCTGAGAGTTATTGAGCTAGTTCAAAGCAATCTCGATTATTGAAAATGAATGAAATTGAATTCCACTTCCTACAGAGTCATTTATTGAGAGACAAAAGCAATTAATACTGAAAATAAAATAATTGTGAATTCTGAACTAAATTACCATGTAGATATAATGTACTGTCTCATCAGTCTCTAAATACTTCGTGTATTAGAAAATTGTGACACCGGTTTCAGAAACCAGGGACTTGTATATCATTAGCATTTATTCCATTCTGCTTTTGCTCAAAAGCAATTCTCAAGAGTAACAAATTAAAAGCCAAAGTTTCAGAAATATTATTCAAAATTTAAAATACACAACCATGTCACGGTTTGGGATTTGTATTTGTAAATTAATCCTGTCATTTGGTAAATTAAAAGAGAAGATGAAGCTGACCTTGTGAGGTATCCTATAGTTCATTGACAGCGGCAGATATTTTTGAATATGATTGCAAATTTGGCTTGTCATGGAGTACCTGCCAAGTACCATGAATGTATTTGATGAATAATTCTGCTGTCAACAACAAGCATCATTGTCTAACTGATTTATGCACTGAGGGCCCTTAAGAATTGAAAGTACAATATATATACAGAGATGGTACATATAATTTGCACAAGTTCCAGCTTGAGTTATAATACTTTGTTTTATGGAAACTACAGGGTCTCTGGAAGAGTTGGCTACCCATTATCCTTACTCTTTACAAATTTGGGAAACTAGCTGTCTTAAGTAGCTTTCTCCAGAAAATAGATCTTGTGATGAAGATTGGGGGAAAAGTTATTAGGAGGAATTGGGGAGGAGTGGGACTAGAAAGAGGAGGCCAATAAAGGGACAGTAGCAAGCGTAGTTACATAGAGAGTAACTTCGGTTTGATCCTGCTCAGAGGCTCTGGAATTAGGGTAGGGCATACCCCGGAATCATCACAACCAGAAACCAGGAAGCTGGTGTATTTAAACCTCCTCTATGCAGCAAGCCTCCAAAAAGAGTCACAGGTGCTGGCTGTTGGGAGTGAAAGTACATGGGGAGCTGCCATGTTCTAAGATGGTAAAGGGATCTGGGGACATGTGGGCAGTGCTCTGACAGCATCTGCCACACCAGTCATGTTAGCTACTCCATGATTATCGTTAAATGCTGTGGGAACAGAGTTTAATCTAACCAATCTGTCCCAACAGTAAAGAACTCCCTATTACCCTGCCGGGAAACATGCCCAACTCTTAGTGTCATCTTGTTTCAAAGCCCAATGTGCAGGGAGAGGTTTCAGGGGGTCAAGAGATCTATTTCCTGCTGGTAACAGGCTGGTCAAAGAGAATCAACACAAACTAGGCAGCCTAAATTAGGAAAACAAATCAGAAGCAGGGTAGCCATCTCAGCTGCCTTCAGAGGCCAAACAGATAACCTTAGTGAGAGAAAGCTTCCAAATGGCTGGGTGTAGCACATCAGGGGAGGGAAAAGCTTCTGGAAAGCCACAGAGATTCCCATCTAAAAGCAATAAAATTCAATCTTGAAGAATACTGGCTCAAAAGTATATTTTGTGAACATAATTTGCCCAGTAGCCTATCAGTTTGCAACATTGACTGTCTAAAATAAATGACCTTAATATGTGCATAAATATTGTTTGGACAATTACAGAAAACTTTCTAGAATACAGAAAGCAAATATAAAAGGAGAAGAGTGCTTAAATCTACTGGATTCTTGCCACATGTTTTAAAAGTTGGGACTCTGTCCCAGAGCAATAGATCCTCTTAGTAGCAGTTTCATTATAATGAATTCTTTAGTATATACCCAATAGATACCCAATTTATATACTTGTATGTATCTCAATGTATCATATGATATACATACCTGTATATATGATAAGATAATTCAACCCTTATTTTGGCTGAGAGTTTTGCCATCACCATTTTGAGAGGATAGAATTCTTTTAATTATTCAGCAAAATATAATGTTGTCTCTTAAAGACAAACTATCTTGATACAATTCTTCCTTTGCCCCTCCTTAGAATCATTAGAGAAAAAATTCCTTAATGACGAGTGACTCGCTAAAGTCTGTGTAAATTGATTGACTGTAGCACTAATGACTAAGCCTTGAAGTAAACCATATGGTTAGTGTATGAGCCTTCATTGTTAGATGTTCAGAAGTTGTATTTCATGGTGGCACTCCCCAGTATGTTTCCCATGTTCCTTGGGATTTCTGCCATGATTCATCATCCATAATCAGGTAGATAACTCAAAGTCTGAGCTTTCAGTCTTGAAGCTTATGGGCTGAGCCTAAATAGTCCCACTGTTTTATTTAAAGAGTATAAGTATTTCTGCTGAATCTTCCATGCTTATTGCATTGAACCCACAAACCAGCCCGTGTTGGCAGTCATAAGCCAGTCAGGAATAGAAACTTAGGATTCTTTTGCAATAAGCATTCTTGTGTTCCCATTATGACTTTAAGGTAAGATGCTCCATCATTAAGGGACTTGTGATTATCTCCATAATTTTTCAAATTATATTTGAGAATAAGAGTTGGGTTTCACTATTCTGGCCGTTTTTCCACACTTAAAATTCAAAACAAAATACTTGTCCTTGAGGCTGAATTTTAAATTCCTAATCTCTTAGGGAAATCATAAGCAAAAATAGATAGAAAAATAAAGCTTCAATTAATCTATGTTGGCTTGCCTCACTGACTGAACTTGCCAGCTAATTGAGTAACTTTGAATCCAATTTTTGCTTTGAAAGACTTGGCATAGGAAAGACTTACTCATTTGTGGACCCTATGGGATGAGAACAGCTTCAAAGGAAAAATGAAAAGGACTTCTTTTGTTTCAGTTTCTTGGCTTTTGATTTATACTCATGCTTGCTTTTTTATTTTAAGAATATGATGAGTCCTTATTCATTCAGACTTACTAGAAGAAGACTATTCCAAATGATTGAGAAAGCTAAACTATCATTTTAAAATAAATTGAATTTTTTTTTACCATCGAAAATGTATTCAGAACTTGACCAATAAAGTCTTCTAAAAGAGCTCTTACAGAAATTGAATTATTACTTAAATAAAAATGATGTATATAGAATTGTGGTACAAAGATATACTTCTGAACAATTATCATTGTATTTGATTATTTTTCCTGAATTAAACTATTCCCCTCTTGATGCTGCCCAAACCAATATTGAATTATGTACTGCACTTCCACTTTGCTTAGGTTATAAAAATTGACTTTAGAGCATAAACTTCCTGTCCATTAACTTTCACCTAAATGGCACTGAGTTGCCATTTGGTTAATTATGTTTGGAGTTCAAAGTTGTGATTATAGCTGATTTATCAGATGTAATCTTTTAAAGGCATAAAATTAATTAATGGCAGTATAGGTAAAGAAGGTTAACTTTCCCTCAGTCATAAAGATTAATGGTCTTGATTTTCATAATTATCCTGGATGTTGATATAGTATGCTTTGCTTTTGTGTGGTTGGGTTGTATAAACTCCAAGTGGTGAAATTCAGGGAACATTTTGCCACAAAAGGGTCTTTATAGGTTAAAGGAACTGACCAATCTAATGACTTTTGGTTTTAAAATTGTATAAAACTTACACAGTTCTGTCCTTTTATCTCTGGCCATTGAACAAATGTGAAATCTGTACTAAATCAACCAGTAAGATATAATCCATGCCCTCATGAAGCTTTGATGGGCATCTCCAAAACCAAGTAAAAAGCAAATAAGTACAGTTATTACAACTTATTAAAATAAAATCTTTGAAATTAAAAAAATCCAGTGTCCTAAGACACAGAATAAGAGGGGCATGAGTGGGGTAGATGATCTAATTGTATTATTTTCTTTATTGTTCACTATTACTAATTTAATTTTCTCCTATAAAAACAAAAACCAACCAATTGATTATGCAATTGATCAAAAATTTGTTATTGGATTCCATTAAAATGACATGATTTTTGAATTATTAAAATGATTGGTTCTATATAGATTTGACAGGTCCCTATGAGTGAATATAATCTAGACATTTGAAAATTTTTATATTTGTAATTTATAGCTCCTAAATAATTCTTATGGTAATAAAATATGCAATCAATGTAGAAAACTTGAAAGTTACAAAAAAATTCCAAAAAAAATTTTACCCATAATTCTACCACCAAGAGATAACCAGTATTAATGCCTTGGCCAGTATCCCAGTCACTTTCTAACACATGCATAAATATTTATACATGTGCATTAGTACAAGAAATCTAACTATACACATTATTTTACAATCATTTTCCACATTTTGGAGTGAGAATTTTCCCATGATATTTTACATTTTCTATAATATAATTTTAGTGGCTGCATAGTATTTAATTACATTGTTGCATCTCAGTTGAGTTAACCTAAGCCACTATTTATGTACATTCGTTTCCAGTTTTTCATTTTTATAAATACTTGGATGCCTATCTATTTCCTTGCTTTTAATTATTTCCTCAGGGCACACTCCTAAAAGTAAAATTGCTTTGTTAAACTCCTGAGGCTTTGGATATATGATGAAAAATATCCCCCAGAAAAAAACCATACCGATATACACTTCCACTAGCTGGAAATATGTCCACTCTCACCATACCTCACTTTTACTTGGTACTTGTTTTTATTTTTAACTTCTGTCATTTTAGTAGTCATAAAATGACTAAAAAACCATGTTCTGTACTTTGTATTTCATGTGAAATTAGAATACGTATTTAATGATGCTTTAAGATTTGTGATGCTGCTTTAAAAATAAAACTAGAAACAAAATCAAATTTAGAGGAAATGGGAGCTTCTAGGATATGAGCATTGTGGAGACAAAGTTCAAGGTGATGCTGTTTACAAAAGCAAATGAACAAATTACAAGAGAATACGAGTAATAGAAGGGGAACAGCAACAAAACCTCCTATTTAAAAAAAAGCAAGCAAAATCAGGGCCGAGGATTCTTTGTCCCCCCAAATCAGAGTTTGCTATAATCTCTGATGAGAAATGTAGTCTTAGGTTGGTAAATACGGTAGCATCTTAGAATTCCTGTGACTTTTCTCTTGAAAGAGTTTACATTGATAGAATCTGAAAAAAGTGAGTTGTCGGTGAAAATGACATTCCACTAGAAATCGTAAATAGAAAATCTTAAGTTGTGGGATCCCTGGCAAGCATCTTTCCCTATTAAAATAGTTATCAAAATTATATAAGAAAATTGAATAGCCGTGTTAAATACAGTGATAGAATGTTAAAATTGAACAGGATTTGGAAGACTGTCTAATCCAGCCACTTATTTTACAGATAAAACAGAGTACTGCAGAGATGAAGTAACTTGCCCTAAGACCCATACCTGGTAAGTAATGAAAGAAAAAGTAAATTACATTTGAACAAATATTTTGAAAAACATGGAAGTTCTCCATAATCTAGCACTTCAAATATAACCGTAGTTTGGCATATGAATTTTGAAAGTCCTTATTATATACACATAAAAACCAATATTTATATTTTTACTATATATAAAAATGGTTCTATAAATGGTTCTTTTATGTATATTTTGTAGAGATAGAATGTCTTATTTTCTCTCTGCTAACACGTGGATGGTATAGAGCAGAGGGTTGCAAACTATAAGGGGCCAGATAGTGAATACTTAGGCTTTATGGACCCTACAGCTTCTGTTACAGATACTCAACCTTGCTGTTGTGTTGCAAAAGCAGCTCAGGTCAAAATGTAAACAAATGGTGTGACTACATTCCAATAAAATGAGATTTATAAAAACAGGCAACATTTGTCCTGCAGATTGTAGTTTGCTAATTCTTGGAATACAGAAGGAAAAAAATCAAGTTGATTTAGAAAACAATGAAGCTGAAGGGGAAACATAAAGTTTATCATGGGAGTAGATGGCAGAAACTGAATTGGAGTTTCCAGTGTTAGCCATGACCTTGGTTAAGGTAGGTAGACTCGCTGGCTTCATGAGTAGAGTGTGAGTACTGATACCCAGATTGCAGGGTTATCTTGAAGATTAAATGAAATTATTTATGTAATTTATCTGTTAGTAGGTAAGAAAAGACTTTTTCTTTTGGGATGGGGTAAAAGCAGAATTTATGTATTCACACAGATGAAGCATTTGTGTAAGGAAGAAGTGGCCAAATTTACTTTATCTCAACAACTCAAAGACTTACATCATATGGATCCCCTTAAAATTCATGTTTCAAACTGTTGGGAAAGGTTGTGTAGACATAACTATTACCAGAATGGTCCTGAGTTTTCCTGAGAAAGGATTAACATACTTGGCCTGGAACTTTTGCAATGAAGGAAACATTATAGTTTAATTCATAGTGATTTGAAAAGATAGAATACTTTTTAGAGGGAAAATCTAATTACAGTGAAAATAAAATTTAATTTATTCATCATTTCCTTCGTTATTATTTTGGGAGAAAGATAAATATGTACATACAAATAATAGCAAAGGTAAACATATCAAAGTGTACTGGGAAGAAATAAGGAATTGATGTGATGCTGCTTAACTATAAATTTCTTTTATTATAATCATATTTTTATTTAATCTTCCAGTGTATCTATTGGGTAAGTTCAGTTGGTATTTTAAAACAGAATTTCTATAGCAGTTCCAAATAACTTGATTGCTTTTTTCTAATTGATTTTGAACTTAATGTATTTTTTATGACTTTGTAACTTTGTTTTCTTCTCTGCTTGGTGTAGTTACACATTCAGTTGAGTACTTTAAGATTTGAACACAGACAGCTTTCTTGGTATTTTATTTTCCTATTGCTTTTTATTCAGAGCTAGCTGCTTTATCTAAACTTAAATGTAAGCTGGAATAATGCTAATTTATTGTTGCAGTTTAATAATAATATGTTGATCCACTAAATTTTATATTTTGGAGAGAAAGGTGTTTTATACTAGTTAAGTGTTAATAATGACTATGGTTTACAATTTAGAGGAAAAAAGTGATTCAAGTTAATGTTGATTTGTTAGAATAAGTATATGAATTTTTGAAAAAAGAACTTACCCAACTTAGTAACACAGCATATACTCTAATAAAGTTTAAATAATTAAAACATTTTGGCACTGGCATAAGAGTAAAGAATGAAATCAGTAGAACAGCACATCTGGAAAAAATCTAAATATTGGAATTTAATATAGAATAAAAGTGGTTTTCAACTTAAGAAAATAATAGTAGAATCAAGAATCAATGATGGGAAACAAGAATATAGAAGTATAAAATATCTTTATGGCAAAAGATAAATGAAGCTGAAGCATTTTTGTAAATGAAAAATGGAACGTGTTTATATCAATAAATCCATTAAAATAATATAAATAATTTGGTGGGAAAATAGATTATATTAACTGGATATTCTCAGAAGAAATAGCGACGGCCAGTAAAGAAAATGAAAAAAGTGTTCAAGCATACTAATATTTAAATACATATAAAAGCTATATTTTGTGTTTTGCCTTTTATTGACAAAATGTAGCCTCAATAATATCCAGCAATGGCAAAGCCATAGGAAATCTCTACTCTTATTCCTTGTAGATGGGAACGTAGCATGAAATAACTTTTTCTAGTGTGAAATTGACCAGTATCTATTAAAACTTTAATTATAGACATTCTATAACCCAACTGCCTCACTTCTCAGAAAATATTCTACAAGGTTACTTAAGTTCACATGATACATGTTCAAAATGTTCACTGTGTATTATAACTGAAAATCAAAGCCTGCTTAAATCATGATATGTCAATATAATGAAATATAAGTATTGATACTTGCTATAACCTGGATAAACCTTGAGAACACTATGCTAAGTGAAAGAAGCCAGTGCAAAAAAACACATATTGTATGATTCTACATATACAAGAAATGTCCGGAATGTGCAAATGTTTAGAGACAGAAAGTGGCTTATTGGTTGCCTATGTTTGGGGCCAGTAGAGGTGAGATGGGGAGTTACTGCTAATTAGGTATAGGATTTCTTTTTGGGAAAAATTAAAATGTTATCAAATTAGACCATTGTGACAGTTGCAAAATTCTGTAAATACATGGGAAAATTCAATTGTACATTTTAAATAGGTGAATTTTAGAGTATGTGAATCATGTCTCAAAGGTTTTTTTAAATGCACATGTTCAAAACTAGGAACGACAAAACTTGAGTCATACAACTCATAGAGTTTGTGAAACTCCCCTTTGGCTTTTCAGACGAGAACTGTGTAACTTAGGACAACTTCTGAGATGCTTCTTAGAGACAAGGAATAATAAAGGGTATCAGTGCTTCAGTTGTCTGGAGTTGAGTCTAAAGATGTAACACCCCCTTTTGAATAGCCACAGAAGGTTTTCCCCAGCAAATACAATAGAATCTATACCAATGGTGGTACCTGCAATGATTAAAATCATACAAATTGTATTTTGAGGAAATTATTTTATTCCCCTCTCAATTTTGCTCTAAAACTTCTGATTCTCTTGATAAGAAAGGTGATTTGAAGGTGTTATGTCTTCTGTATCTCTTTGTAACTGAGAGATATCAGATTTGAGACTCAGAGCTTTCCTTAAGCCATGCCTTCTAACTTGGACTCAATTACATTGTTTGCTTTCCATCCTATTTCTTTTTATGGGCTACCTTCTATTTGAAGTAAGTGAAGCCAATTTAGTATTTATGGCAGTGTCATAATTTGTCGATTTTTAAATGCACATAAGGTAAAAAAACAAAAATGTACAGGCCTAAATAAAAATATGAAATAAATGTGAGTGAAAAATGCTTCCAATAAGGCAAAATCTATGCCGGTGGAATTTGACTAAAGTTTAAGGAACAACTTAAAGACTACCACAGTCATAAAATCTTGAGGTTCAAAGGGGTCCGTAGACCTTGTAGTTTGAGACTTTTTTTTTTTTTTTTTAAAAAGATGAGGAAACAGACCTTGGGATGTTAGGATCTTGCACAGGGTTACCACGGGTTATATTTTCAGACTCAGCTTCAAGATAAGAAAAGCACTGGTAGCTCCTCTTAGTCCATATCACTAAGAGTCTCAGAAGTTGTGGTTTAGGAGAGTCAAATAGAATTAAGCACTACTTTGTGACTTAGCAAGGCTCAGGGAAGACTCTAATTACCAAATGCCAGATTCGAATGATCTCCTCATTTCTGATTGCAGTTGAATATTTTTGAACTTTTATTCTCAGGGCAGCCATAGAGACAGAGAAGGGATTACAAAAGTTAAGGAAGATGGGCAGCGGTGGGTGGATAGAACCTAGCTTGCCTTATTGTAAAAATGCCAAAGCTAATTTTGATGATTGCTTTAGTGATATAATGATAACCAAGATTAAAGCAAGCAAGCATCCACTTTAGGATATGAGAACTGGAGTTTTAGATTTCATTATAAGATTGCCATCTCAACAAAATAGTAATATAATGGCAATAGATTTCCATTTTTTCTCCATTTCAGTTGAAATATTATCTCATAAATATACTTTGATACAAAAGAGATCTCTCAATTTTATGGGAGCTCTATTTTATTCTTATGCTGATTTATCCCCAAAGTATCTTTTTGATATACAGCTTCAATATTCTTGCCAATGTCCATGACATCAGCAATCAAAAATAGCATTTTTAAATGTCTTTTTCACATACAGTTGTAAGTTATCCAAAAAAGAACTCCTGCTTAGTGCTCACTGAAACTGTCTTATAGAATTACCGAGAGACAGTTATGGCTTATGTAGCTAATTATTCCAAAAGAGTGGCAAAAAATATCCATGAAAGGGGTCAACTTCACCCAGTGCTATTGTGAAATGTAGTTAGGGAAAATAGGAAGAGAGCTAATAAAACAACACTAGAAGGAAGTGTGGTTTTTCCAAATTATATTTTTAGGAAACTAAGGTTCTGAGACCATGTAGCTAGAAAATGACAGAGCTCTGTGTCTCTCTGTTCCACTAGACTCAGAGCCCCACAATTTGAATTCCAGACTAATCCCATATGGGTCAGCTTTCCCAGGCCTCAGAAGTGTTTTACTCATTGATGCTGTTAGATGCCAAGGTAGTGATCAAATGTCATAATCCATGAGGTTCATTTAGTTGAACAGGAAGAAAGCAAAGAATCTGTGATGCAAATGCCCTACACTAACCCAGCTTATGTGAGCCACACACATGGAGAATGATGTCAAGGAGTTCGTGCATAGGAGTAAGGCAATGGTGGCCATTGGCTCTGATCCTGATGGAGAAGGAAGTCACTATTACCTGGTACACCTCGGGATTTTTAGATTGGTTAAGTATGCTTCATTTTAAATACGACTCTAGAACTTCATTTTTTTTTTTTTCAGTTTCTGGAGTCACTTCTACATTATTGTGAGATTTTTAAAAAATTGTTATTATTTTAGTTATTAAAACTCCTTGCGAACAACCTGAGATTCTCCTGTTTTGTGTATCATTTTCTCCTATATCAAGTAGGAAGAAATATCACTATGTCACTTTAGTGAAACTCAAGCTTTCTGAAATACAAGTGTTAAAAAACTCGTTATCAGGTTAATAACTATGCTTTTCCTCTAGACATTGCATTTAAAAATCTGAATATGTTTTGATAGAGGATAATTTTAAACTTTTTTAGTAGAATAAATGAATCTTTGAAGTCTACAAGCAGCACTGACTATAGTTCTGATAGTGTTATACTGATTCAAGCACTGTAAAAGTATTTTCACTAGATGTGCCACATATTCTAGTAAAGTCTTCTGTTGCTATATATGTGACCATCTAAAAACACTGACCAAGATACAGATACGATTGTTCTACCCAAAGTATGAACAGAATTCATGACTATTTTTCTTATCACAGTGAGCGGAGACTAAAAGTTCTTCAAATAAATGTGTAGTTGAATGACACTTCGTACCATATCTGAGAATCTGGCATGCAAATGCTCTACACTAACCCAACTTATGTGGGTCACACACATGAAGAATGATGTCAAAGGGCTCACGCATAGAAGGAAGGCAATGGTGGCCATTGGCTCTGATCCTGATGGGGAAGGAAGCCACTGTTACCTGGTATATCCTGTGATTTTAACACTTTGATGACTTTTGTGGTTGTTCTGTAGATGACTCTCTTTTACCAAAAATGAAGATTTTTTTTTTAAAGAAAGTGGTATTGCTTTCTTCTATGAGTCATTAACTAGTGCAGAAATGTGCATTTTTTTCCAGAAAATGCAAAGAAGAGGAAGTTAGATGGAATATTGAGCATGTAGAATAAACAGGTGTTTTTTTCTGAATAACCCAAGATTCCCTTATTACTGTGATGTCTAAAGAAGCTGCTGCCCTTTCATTTTAATGTGAGAGACATAATTTCCTTGTATTTTTCAAGGCTGTCAGATCATAAACAAATTGCCTTTGATAAAACATGCTTTCAATTTCTCCAATGTAATATTCAGTTTTCATTTTCATAAGAGGTTGTTTATTTTGATGACTTGAATTGGTTGACTAGGATGTCAATGTCTGGTACTCATCAGGAAAGATTGTGGACTGAGTTAAAATTCAGGAGAGCATGTGTTACTATCAAATTTATTATCCATAAATACTTTTCTGTTTTTAATATTTGAGAATCAGGAGTAACAGGCCATTTGAGTAAATAATTTGTGCCCTATTCTTCCCTGAAAGTCACTTAGGAATAAAGGCAGTATGGGCAAATCCAGGAGTTTCAACTTCTAGAACTCCTGCTCCTATGTCAGTCGCCTTTGACATTTTACTCTCCTGATTCTGTGTGTATATGTATGTATGCATATGTGCACACGCACACATAAACACACACACACACACACACACACACACCTTTCTCTCTCTTACCCTGTCATAAGGCAGTTTTCCAAAGAACTTTACATTTTTTTAAAAATCCCCAATTACAAAAATACTATATAAACATTGTAGAAAATTCCAAAAATACCAAAAAAAAACAGAAAAATAAAATAAAAATTATCTTTGTTAATTGCCATATTATACTCCTTTGTCCTCATCTTATGTAAACCTCACATAATAAGTTATCATCTGAAAAGCTATTCTCCTGTATCTTGGCTCACCGGTCTGGTCATGTATTCACGGTGCTGAAGCAGAATGACCCAGCCTCCCCTTATGTGGAGTGGTACTGGGCATTTCTCTCCAAAGCCCTGCCTCAGTTCCAGTCAGCAGTTAAGTAAACAGTGAACTACTACTACATGCTGGATACCATGTTAAGCATTGAAAGCACATAGCTGAGAAATGCATAGATCCTAACTGGCAGATATAGACTGACATACACCCACTGAGAAGGGCTCCAGAAAAGGGTATGGCTGATCACGGGTGAGCACCTGGTTGTAGAGAGGGAAGCCTGCCTGGAGAGGTGATTTGAGCGTCCTTGTCATATTAAAGGCAATTGAAACCAGAGGTTGGATGATACTGCCCGAGAGAGTATGAAAAACGAAAGTGAGCATGGGACCCAACCTTAATGAAATCACGTTTAAATAAATGAGCTTGCAAAAGAGATTGAAAAGAAGCAGAGAAGTACTTGGAAAACTAGAGAATATGATACACAGAGAGCATGAGAAAAGTTCAAGATGGAGGAAGTGGTCCATTGGTTCAGACATTGACAAGAGCTGTTTTATGACGTGATGCAGGAAAGAAACCAGACTGGAGTGGATGTAGAGGAGTTAGCAACATTTCTACATGCCTTTTATCACATTTTAATGTTTCATTAATTATTTGATGTACAGTTCTGATGTTTCCATTGCTTAAAACATGGATTCCTTATGTGTATTGACTATGTGTTATCTGTTATCCCTAGTCCTAGTACCATACCTACCCTGTAAAAAGTGTTCATTAAATATTTCAATGAATAAATCTTCCTTTGCAAACCCCCTTCTCCTCCTATGCTTGCACCACTATTGCCTTCTGGTCTTTCCTTCTTTTTGCTTCCTGCACTTTTTAGGCTGTCAGGTTATATCTGTTCTTTTGCAACATTTACGTCACAGTTTTTGGCTAGAAACAAATTAACTCCTATTCTTCTAGGAAATTAAATCTTGGCCGGGTGCAGTGGCTCACGCCTGTAATCCCAGCACTTTGGGAAGCTGAGGCAGGTGGATCACTCGAGGTCAGGAGTTTGAGACCAGGCTGGCCGGCATGGTAAAACTCTGTCTCTACTAAAAATAAAAAAATTAGCTGCACACAGTGCCGCACACCTGTAATGCCAGCTACTCAGGCTTAGGCATGAGAACCACTTGAACCCAGGAGGTGGAGGTTGCAGTGAGACGAGATTGCACCATCGCACTTCAGCCTGGGCGACAGAGAGAGACTCCATCTCAAAAAAAAAAAAAAAAAAAAAAAAAAAAAAAAAAAAAAAAAAATCTTAAGGATTAAAGTTCAACAGTCAAAAAATCTGTCCCCCTCTCCCACTCTGAGTGTACCTCCCCCACCCACAACCCCTTTCCCCTTTCATCTGCTTCTCTCTTCCTCCTTCCCTTGCTCTTTTCTAAGAGTTGAAGTTCCATTTTGACCTATCTCAGTTTGTAGAAGACACAAGTTGCAGAAGTTAAGAATCACTAATCACCATACTTCTCCCATGACAAGATATTTGAAAGATAGTTTGAGGAGGAAAGAAATAGATTTAGAAGGAAACTAAGAAAACAAAAAGGGGGGTAATATTGAGGAATAGATAAATTAAATAAAAAGACTTAAATTACACATTCTGTGAGTCTGGTAACTACTGTTCTGGTTAATGACATCAAGAAAAAATTAACGGAAGTTATGAAATGGGTTGTTAGCTAGTGCTTTCTTCTACTTGTCCATGATGATATTTTAATCCTTAGGTACCCATTAACTAAAAGGACTTGACTGGGCTTATATGTCCTATGGTGCAGTCCCTCAGCACAAAGCACTGCCTGGGCTGCTGAAGGATGAATCTGATTGAGGCAAGAAGCACCATCTATAATGGAGGCGTCATCTATAATGGCGGCCCTCCTTTCCCTCCTGTAATGCTCAGGGGAAGAGCGGCTTATCTTCAGGATGGCCAATTCTTTATGGTTAGTATCAGAAATGAGCCTATCAATCAGCCACATGAGACCTTTAAAGGGGCAATAGGGCCATAAACTTTATGAAAAAGGCTAGAGATTGCATTCAGCCCTCAAGCAGATACACAATTACCCTAAACCCAGTTCAGGGCAGGGAGACTAAATCTTCCTCTGAAAAAAAAAAAACACACACACACCTCATGAAGTCAAGACCTCCCATACTCATCATGGTTTTTAAAAGCTAAGAGGTAAGAGCAGTTGTCAGACAAATCTTTTCTCTGATAGCTATGCAAAGAGAAGGGTAAGGAAGAAGGAAAGGGAAGAGAAAGAAGAAAGCAAGCAATTAGGCTAGAGCAGGACTGTGAGAAAGATTTTTTTTTGAGTCTATAAATACTTGTCTGCTTTATGAAATAAACTCATTGATATTGAGGGAACTTGAAAAATCCCACTGATTTATTCACTTTGGGCAGAAGTTAAAGAAAATCTCATTTTCATGAGCTTTCCCTCCTATCACTCAGTTCCCTGGTGACACAGAAAGTAAACCTTCTCTAAGGGCTTTCCCAGACAGTTTGACATTTTGTTGAATTAACTGGCATATATTGTACCAAATTTATATGCTGGATCATTCCACCCAAGCAAGGAATGATTTCCTATTGAATAGAGTTCTTAGGTCACCAAGAGAACTCTGGAAACTTCCCAGAGTGATCTTGTTCCCAAGTCTGTCTCAAAAATTCCTCATCTCACTGTCTACCACCTGGATGTAAAGGCAAGAACACTGTAAATCTCAGAGGGAACTGCACCGTAGCTCCTTGTGTATACACTGTCACAGCGTTTTATCTGGCATATGTCAAGAACATCTGAAAGCGGAGGGGGAGGCAGGGAAAGTTAGATGAATGAGCAGTCTTTTTGCTGGGACAGTCGACTCTGTCTTGACCCTTCAGTAGCAAATATTCACATATACAAATGTTGAGACACAAAATGAACAGTACATTATGTGGTGTGGCCTCCATTAGGGGAGCCCATCTGACCCAATTACTCATATGAACCACACAGTGAGGCTGAATTGTCAGTGTAGTTTCCTAGGGCTGTCATGACGAAGTGCCACAAGCTGGGTGGCTTAAAACAACAGAAATTTGTTGCTGGACAGTTCTGGAGGCTTAGAAGTCTGGAATCAAGGTATCAGGCAAGGCCATGCTCTCTCTGAAACCAGTGGTGGAGAATCCTTCCTTGGCTCTTCCTAGCTTCTGGTTTTTTGGCAGGAACCTATTGGGTTCCTTGGCTTTGCAACTCTATTACTCCAATCTCTGCCTTCACCAGCGCATGGCGTTCTCCCTGTGTGTCTCTGTCTTTGCATGGCTCTTATTATAAGACATCAGTCATATTAGATTAGAGGCCCACCCTACTCCAGTGTTATCTCATCTGAACTAATTACATCTGCATCAACCCTATTTCCAAATAAGGTCATATTTAGAGGGGTAGGTCTTAAACCTATCTTTTGGGAGGGTAGGAGGGAAGAGCGAGTGCATACTTGTAATTTAACCCAAAACTGTGACTATTAGCGATATTTGAAGTCTTAATTGAACAAACTTAAACACAATTTTCTAATTCAGTTCAATAAGCACTTAACTAGAAATCACTGGTATCAAGGACTCTTAGGTGCTGTTGGAGTTATATGAAATAATCAAAATAAGACCCCCCACCCATTGTTTACAGAAATAGAAAATTATAGTACTTACAATATACAAAATGCAGAGGATACAGTAGTGATTAGTAATAATAGTAGCAAACCATTTATATAGCATAGGAATATTTGCCAGACACAATCCCTGAGTGCTTTACACTCCTTTAACCATCATGACAACCCTATGTGGAAAGTTCAAGGTAAAGCCTGTTTTTTATGGAGCTTACATTCTCAAGGTATGTTCAGGTATTTTAGTCCCTGCAGGCATCAGTCACTTCATCTGAAGAATATGATTAAATGAACTCCATGGCCATCTACAACTTTAACATGCCCAGTGTACTAGTACTGGTGTCTCTATTGCCTTGTTGTTAAATTTTAGGGAGGATCCAGGTATTGGGGTATTAGCCTTTAAAGCGTAGCCAGAGTGAATTCTTCACAAGCTCTTGCCTTGCCCTGGGATGCAGCATTGACATTTACCAGACTAGATCTACCATGCTTCTTCTGAGTCTTGAGTGCCACAAAGAGAAACAAGTGCAAAATGGAGACACTAAAATGTAAGGATTTAATGGGCTTCTTAAAAATAAAACCATTTAAAAGTAAGCTTCTTGCAAGTTAGGAATTTTTCCTCTTCACTGCTACTTCTGCAGTGCTCAGAAGAGAAATTGGCCCATTAGTAGGTGCTCAATAAATATTTATGGAATGAATGAATGTCAGCAATTAGCAGGAAATTTAGATCCAAAACCCAAATCATACCAGGGAAGACAGGGTGCTAGCTGATTTTGATAATCACAAACAGTTACTTTGGCTGTAAAATTTAAAATATAAACATGCCATGATACTTTGGATTTAATCTGAGACTTTGCAGAAACACAACCACACCAGAAGGAGAAGTAATATATCTTTCCCTCCACACCCAAACTAACACTCAATAATCCAAACGCCCCATCTAATTTGAGTTGGTTGGTTGTGTGTATGGCATTCCTGCTTGAAACTCCTTCTTGCCAAACGGGAAAAACATGAACAAGAAACTACTGCTTTGGAAACTTAGTTCTTTTGCTTCCTGTCTAGACCACAAGGTTATATATTCTTTTGTCACAGTATAATCAGTTGGCTGAGAGGAAGGAGAATAGTAATGAATTATGGAATGCTGATCAATGGCATGATTAAAAAGGTAAAAGATTCAAATTGGAAAATACTTGGAGGAGAAATTCCGGCCTTATGGTATAAGGAGAGGCGCTGCTTAAATTGACCTTTCAGCCCAAAGTAATAAAGTAAGTAGTAGGACAGTTGAACATGCCCAGTGTGCTAATATTATTGTCATGCTGTTGTCAAGCTTTAATGTGCTACTACTTGGGGTTAAAAAAAAAGCTTCCCAAAGATGCTTGAAAGCCCTCAATGTGATATTTAAATGCTTTTGGGACCTATTATTTTCAAGGCAAACCATGCTACCTACAAGTGGCATACACTATTTGGAGAATCCACGTGAGGCATAGACAGAAAATGCTGTCTGTTGTCTTTGCCCTGTGGCGGTTCTTATCTTGAAGGATTCTCGTTTCTGTGTTGGTCTTTGCTGCTAGAAGGCTGCGTGATGATAGTGTGCCGAATGTCCCTTAGAGTGTTCTGTTCTGCCTCAGTCCTCTCATTGCCTCAAAATTTGCAAACTAAAATGTGTTTAATTTAAAAATTAGGAAAATAAGTTTAATAACAATTTGAATCTTAAAACTGGGCAGCTTACAATTTCAGCTCAGAAGAGTAAGCATGAAAATGGGAATAAGGACACGTTCTGGAGAGCCAGTCACCGCCTTATGGGGGTGATCTGTGAAGACCCAGTGCTGTTTGTTAGTAGATGAGAGAGTTCACTCTGTAACCCCATGGTGGAGCTGAGCAACCAGTCACTGTGATGTGAGCCTCAAGATATAAAACAAGAAATGAGGAGCGATACCATTTGGGAGGAAAGATCCATTTTTGGGGGAGCACAAATGAACTACTTGATAGCGATAACTGTTGGAAACACAAGATTCCCATACTATTTTAAGAGCTTCTGGGTTTTCAGATACAAAGAATGGGGCAAATACCATTTGGAGGCCACGGTCTGATGTAAGAACCTCACTGGGTTCTATTGTTTGTGTGAAATTCAGCAGGCTTAGAAATGGCTTCTATCTACCTACAAGGAGGGTTTCTTTAATTTTTTATTTATTTTTTTTTTGAGATAGAGTCTCGCTCTGTCGCCCAGGCTGGAGTGCAGTGGCGCGATCTCGGCTCACTGCAAGCTCCGCCTCCTGGGTTCACGCCATTCTCCTGCCTCAGCCTGCCGAGTAGCTGGGACTACAGGCACCCGCCACCACGCCGGGCTAATTTTTTGTATTTTTTTAGTAGAGACGAGGTTTCACCATGGTCTCGATCTCCTGACCTGATGATCCACCCACCTCGGACTCCGAAAGTGCTGGGATTACAGGTGTGAGCCACCGCGCCCGGCCGGAGGGTTTCATTTTACACTGACCTTTTTTTCCTGCCATTTGAATATTGTCATTTCTTTCTCCTAAATGAGTATTAGGGAAAACTGAATGAGTAAGACACCCCAGAACAAGAATTCCAAAGTCAAATATCTACAGAAGCCAGGCAAGTGATGTGTGCGTCTACAATAATTTGGGAGTAATACAAAGGGAATATCTCAGCCGTAATGAAGCAGAGAAAGCATGACGATCATGAAGGAGGTAACAAGACCAATGCTGTGTGAAAGTGCAGTTCCGGTGTTCCCACACTGACCTTGCTGACATTTCTCCCACCTTTCTTTCCCTTAATGTGTTTGATCCCTCAATTTTAAAACACAAATTCAATGCAGGTCATCACTTGATAATCTCTATGTTAGGATGTTGTCCCAAGGATGCACCTCAGAACATTAGTTCTGCAAGACAGTGAAAGCCTTTCAAAATAGGTTCCATGGTTGTAACAGTTTGAGAAACAGTGGGTTAAACAGTTAGTTAGGTTTCTTTATTGCAGGGTTTCTCAGAACCTTAAATGTGTTACTTATAAGGTAAACCTCTAAGAGTATGAAGCATTTCTCAAACTCATCTGACCCTTGGACCCCCTTTCTGTGGATACTTCATCAAAGTACTTTAGAAAACCATGTGGTAATTTACTTTGCAGTAAATAATGTGCGTGTAATTCCTGTAAGTGAAAATGCTAGGGGAACAGTAGATGTTGAAAAAGAAACAAATATCATGGCTACAATAAGGATGCCTGTAAGTGGCTTTGATAAGTTAGAAACCACAATTTCAATGTATAAAGTAGAATTGGGAAACAATAGTGACTTTTTTTTTTTTATCAACTATCTTGTGAATTAGACTTTCTTATTCAGAGTGTTTGGATTTTACAGTTTTAAATTGAAAGTATGTCAAAGTATGAGACTAGAGTTGGTAAATCACGCTTTTATCCATCTATAAAATAGTCTATGCCTCAGTACATGACAAAATCTTGACTTCTGTTATTCATTGGACAAATATTTCTCAAGCACCTACTACGTGTCAGGCAATGTGCCATACACTGAGTTGAGTCTGGATTAAATTACGGATCTAGCTAATGCCAGTTCTAAACTAAACCAGGGATCAAATTAAAGTGTATGTTTTCAATTCATAATTTATCACAATGGAAAACTACTAACACACAAAGGAATAGTGTTTCCTCCCCATAAGGGTTTTTCTGACATTTTGAAAAAGAATAGCTTTGTCCACAACTATTTACCAAGTCACAGTATGACCTGAGTTGGAGGTTTTCAGTTACATAGGTGGCTAAAAATAGCATCTGCTTCCCGATCGGCTGCTGAAAATCAGAATGATAGGAGTGTGTTTATTTTATCCTGGACAGTTGCTACTGACTATTAAGAATCCTGGTGCTATTTCCCGTTACTCCCTAGGAATTCTCCACTTCTCTGTTCACACTGTTACTTGTTCTCCCTCAGTGTCTCTGTCAATCTCCATAAGGCCCAAATCACATGCCACATCTACATAGTTATCTTTGACCCTTCTGACTGGAAGTAAGTGGTTCACCCTTCGAAGCCTGCCAAGTTACATATCTGTAGCTTTTTTTAATGGCTGTTGTTGCTTTCTCCTTTATACAAAAAAATTAGTTGATTAATTTCTTGAAGAGATGTATATCAAAGACTTACTACTTACTATGCATGCTGCACTATCACACTGTACCACTGAGAAATGGAGATGAAACAGATACCAAGGAAAATGTGATTCCTACCAGCCTCACTTTTGTAACCTGGCATATGTTTGAATGTGTCTTTCTTCTGCTTAATCTGAGCTATAGGGTCACTGGGGCCAGGACTCTTTTCCTACATATGCAGCGCAGTGACTTGTACGTATTTGGCAAATAATTTAGGGAATGTGAACTTGATTTTCCTCACATTTCTCAATCTTGGTTCCCAGTTCTATAGTTTCATGACATCTCAGCAAAGAAAGTTAATTTTCCTGAAAATAATGTGTCAATTCAGGTTTGAAAAACTGTTGACTCCCTCTCTTTATTGCTCAAATTTAAATTACATTTACAGGTAAAAACATCCTCTATGCTTAGCCATCAGGCACAGAGAATATGTAACACAGTCTAAGATGCAGATGTGGGGGTCTTCCAGTAATTTAGCTAGTGCCCCGACACTTGACGTAAAATTGCAATACAATTAGAGTGTGTCTGCTTGCGTTTTGTCCTCGAGTTTGCTAAGCTTATTTTTCCATGCAGATCCAGCTCTGCTTCCCTATACCCCGTCTTTCTCAGTTAATAAAAATTGTCCTTCAATCTCTGTTTATCCTTTAGCCAACAAACCAGTTTCAGTGGCAGCATTATGTTTACAGCCCACAGAAACCTTTTCTGTGCAGTAATTTAGCTGTCAGTCTGGAAGTGGCAAAAGAGCAGAAAGATGGATGCTGAGCCTGGGGCATTCCTGAGCCAATACCCTACATGTCCCTACTTGGATGTGCATTTATTAAAGTAGATAGGGAAAATATTTCCCCCGCTTTCTCTAGCCATTGCTACATTATAGCTAGGGGGAAATATTTTTACTGGAACTCTGCTAATTGCTAAGAACCCTCTTATTATCCATATACAGAGGGGATGGGAGGGTAGAGATCATTTAGTGAGAGAATTGTCCTCAGGAAAAAAAAAAAAAACCTGTAAAAGCAAATGACTATGACATTTGTTGGAGAATCCCCTGATAAAATATTATTTCAGCACACTGTTTTGGAGTTACTTGGCAGAGAAGAGAAAGTATGGATTTGGGAGCTTTCTGTAAAAGAGCTTGTATGAAAAGTATAATGATTTTAGGCTTATCAACTGACCGATGAATCAACAAATTGAAGAGTTATCTCTTGACACTTCAGTTTGTAGACTAACAAGTTGTTTATCTGTTTGTGCCATTAGATGTCTGAAAGAGAATGCTAGAAAACCCACAGTCAGCCTCTGGTCATCAAAATGAATTGTTAAAAATTAATTCAGATAGAGTTTATTGCTTTGCAATCTCAAAAATCTTTATTAGGATGAAACAATAATCTGTTCAAAGATTTCAGCTGTCAGTTAGATTAAGCCCTTAAATTGAATAGTAAGTAGTATCCCCAGAAGCAGTTATTTATTTTTTTTTTTTTTAGACAAAATCTCTCTCTGTCGCCCAGGCTGGAGTGCAGTGGTGTGATCTGGCTCACCGCAAGCTCCGCCTCCCGGGTTCACGCCATTCTCTTGCCTCAACCTCCTGAGTAGCTGGGACTACAGGTACCCACCACCATTCCGGCTAATTTTTTGTAATTTTAGTAGAAATGGGGTTTCACCATGTTATCCAGGTTGGTCTCGATCTCCTGACCTTGTGATTTGCCTGCCTTGGCCTCCCAGAAGCAGTTAATTTTTTAATTCAGGAACATTATATATGCTTTGTACATGTAATGGCAGTTACTAGAAATCTGTGGCTATTTTAGATTTAAATTTGCCCACCAAACTTATTTTCCATGAAACTCTTCTCTGCTGACATTTTTAGTGAATAAATGATTCCATGCAAAAGTAGGTTTAAAAAGTTTTCCCAATGTAGCTCCACTTTTGAAGAGTTACCTGAACGTTTACATATTAAATATTCTGAGTAAGTCTTATGATTAAGCTTTGTTTAAAAGCTTAATTTTGTTTTGTGAAAAACAAATTTTTTGTTTTGTTAAAAAGCTTTGTATTTTTTTTGCTTTTTAATAAAACCAAGTGTTTTCAAATCCTACATGACCACGGAAGTCTTCATTCAAATCAGACCAATTACCACATGGAAGAACAAGAGATCCTCAATCCTTCAAGAAATGTGGGGTTACTTTATGAACCACAATGCTTCCCATGAGACATTTCCCATGACAGTGGGATTTCTAGGACAAATCTGGTCCAATATGATGGGAGCTATAAATAAACATCATTGTAAGTGAGGACATCAGGTCTCTTTTTTGTTTTCCCAGTCTTTCAGATTTGTGTGGAAAAGGAGCAACTTCTGTTGAAGTTATTTTCTGTAGGCATCTAAAGTAGGGCAACTATGCTTTGGGCCCAGATAGAAATACATTGGTCCTCCCCATATGGTCAAACCCAATATTGATAATTAATGGGCTCCTCAAATAGCATGTTTTCCTGTTTTCCTAAACTACTCCTTCTAAACCAAGTGCATTGGAGCATTATTTTTTAAATCAAGGCATAATAAGCACATAGTGAATGTGCAGATCTTACATATAGAGTTTAAGAAATTTTGACATATGCTCACATGTGTGCAATGTCTGTATCAAGATAAATTTCCATCCCTCTGGATGGAAGGTTCTCTCATGTTCTTCCTCCGTTCTCCTCCCCTACAGACTGTGAGTCAACCAGTGTTCTGATTTTTATTGTCTAAGATTAATTTTATCTAGTCTAAAAGTTTATATAAATGAACCTACCCTTTTGTATCTATCGCAGTATAATATTTTTAGATTCATCCATGTCGTTGTATGTTTTAATAGTCTTTTTACTGCTGAGAAGTAGTCAATGGTACTAATATATCTCTATTTATCTATTTTTCTTTGGTGGATGGACATTTGGTTATTTCCAGAGTGGGGTTTTATAAATAAAACTGCTATGAAGATTTTTATACAAAATTTTGTAGATACATACTTTCATTTCTCTTTGGGAAATTGCTGGATCACAGAGTGTGTGTGTGTATGTGTGTATGTATATATATATATTCAACTTCATAAGAACTGTCTAACCTTTTTACGGAGTGGTTTTACCATTTTACAATACTGTCTGTGATGAATAAGAGCTTTGGTTGCTTCATATTCTCACCAACGTGCATTATTGTGATTCTTCGTAATTGTAGCCATGTTTTTGGTATAAAGCAGTATCTCATTTTTCCTTTAATCAGGATATCTTTGCTAACTAATGAAGCTGACCATTTTTTCCCATGGCTTTTATTCACATTTCTTCTTTTCTGAAATTGCTATATAAATCTACCTATTTTTGTTTGACTTCTATTGAATTCCAGAGTTTATACATTCTAGATATAAATATTTTGAGATATAGTTTGCCTATGGATATCTTGCCCATTTTGTTGATGTTTTTTGAGAAATAGAAGTTTTTTAATTTAATGAATTTATTAATCTTAACTGGTTAGTGCTTTTTCTATTCTAAGAAATCTTTGCTTACTCAAAGGATACAAAAATATTTTTGTGTTGCTTTCAAGAAGCTGTAAGATTTTATCTTTTTATCTCGGGATCTTTAATTCACTCTAACTTTTGTGTGGTATAAAGCTGGGATGTAAGTTCGTTATTAATACTCAGTTTTTGCAATACTATCTGATGAATAGATTTTCATTTTCTTATTGTTTTGGCTCTTCCATCAATAATCAATTGACCATTTACGTGTGGTTCTATTTTTTAATTTTCTATTCCTTTTATTGATGGATTTATCTATATGACAATGCTGCAATGACTTGGTAACTGTAACTTTAAGATAGTGCAAGTCCTCCAACTTTCTATTTTTTTTTTTTTTCTTTTGAGACGGAGTTTCATTCTTGTTGCCCAGGCTGGAGTGCAGTGGCATAATCTCAGCTCATCACAACCTCCACCTCCCATGTTCAAGCGATTCTCCTGCCTCACCCAGTAGCTGGGATTACAGGCATCCGCCACCACGCTTGACTAATTTTGTATTTTTAGTAGAGAAATGGTTTCTCCATGTTGGTCAGGCTGGTCTCGAACTCCCGACCTCAGGTGATCTGTCCGTCTTGGCCTCCCAGAGTGCTGGGATTACAGGCTTGAGCCATGGCACCCGGCTGAACTTTGTATTTCTATTGTATTATTATTTTGGTTATTCTGGGTTCTTTGCATTTTTATATAAATTTTAGAATCAGCTTGTCGAACTCTACAAAGGAGCCTGTTGAGATTTGTATTAGAATTGTGCTGAATTTATAAATCAATTTGAGGAAAACTGACAACTTAATAATATTGAGTATTCTAAGCCATGAACATGGTATATCTCTGCATTTATGTAGGTTTTTTTTTTAACTTCTCTCACAATATTTTACAGTTTTCAGTGTTGACGCTTACACATATTCTATTAAGTTTATCTCTAAATGTTTCATTTTTTGTTCTTGTCAACAGTATTGTATTTTATCTTAATTTCTAATTATTTCTAATATTTGGAAATATAATTTATTTTTGCATATTAATTGTATCCTTCTACCTTGCTAAATTTACTTACACATTTTTAATAAATATCTTAGCCCTTGTAATGGACAAATCATAGTTGTATTGTCTTTGAATAAAGACAGTTTACCTCTTCCTTTTCAAACTGAATGCTAATTCTTTTTCTTGCCTCATTGTGCCAGACAGAACCTCTAATACGTTGTTGAATAGAAGTGGTGAAAGTGGATATTCATGTCCCTTCCTCCAATCTTAAGGGGAAAGCATTTAGTCATTTACCCTTAAGTATTATACTAACAGCTGCTTATCATTTACCATTAAGTATTATGCTAACCTTTTATTAAGTTAAGAGGGTTCCCTCTCAATTTCTAGTTTGCTGAGGGTTTCTATCATAATATGTGCATTGAATTTTTGAAGATACTTTTTCCATATCCGCTTAGATGATAGTTTTTCTTCTTTACTCTGTTAATGTGATGAATAACATTGATTAATTTTTAAAAAATATATTACTTTTGTTTTAGAATAAAACTAGGTTAGTCATGAGGTAGTATCCTTTCAAATATTGCTGGGCTCAATTTGCTAAAGGTTTAAGATTTTCATGACTATATTCATGAGGGATGTTAGTCTAAATTTTTCTTGTAAGCTTCTTGTTTAGTTTTCTTAACAGGATTATCCTGGCTGTATGTAATGAGTTGTAAAGGGTTTTATTCTATTTTCTGAAAGAGTGTGTATAAACTTGGTATTATTTCTTCCTTGTAAAATTTGTCATTTGTCTGTTTTTAAGTGTACAATTCAGTGGCATTGATTAAACAATGTTGTACAACCATCATCATGATTTCCAAAATTTTTTCATCACCCCAAACAAACTCTGCAGTCATTAAGCAGTAACTCTGCCATCCTCTCTCCCTCAGACTTTGCCAGCCTCTAATGTACTTTGTCTCCACGAATTTGCCTGTTTTGGGTATTTCATAAAAGTAGAATCATACATTTGAGTTTGTGTCTGATTTGTTTCACTTAGAAGAATGTTTTCAAAGTTCACCCATTTTGGAGCATGTATCAGAGCTTTATTTCTTCTCATTGATGAGTAATATTAAATTATCTTTGTATAACACATTTTGTTTATCCATTTATATGTTAACAAACACTTCAGATATTTCCACATTTTAGCTATTTGAATAATGCTGCTATGAACATTGTTGAACAAGTACCTGTTTATGTCCCTGCTCTCAACTGTTAAAGTAGAATGGCTGGAATGTATGGTAATTTTACATCTACCTTTTGAGGAACTGCCAAACTGTATTTCCGCAGCAGCTATACCATTTTGCATTCCCATAAGAAAAATGTGATGGTTCCAGTTTCTTCATATCCTTGTCAGCACTTATTTTGTATTGTTTTGAATTTAGCCATCCTACTTGGTGTGATGCTATAGATCATTGAGGTTTTTATTTCCATTTCCCCAGTGACTAATGATGTTGAGCATTTCATGTGCTTATTAGTCATTTTTTTACATTCTTTGGAGAAATCTATATTTAAGCCACTTGCCTATTTTTCAACTGAGTTGACTTTTTGCTGAGTTATAGGAATTCTTTATTCTAGGTATTAAAGCCTTATCAGGTATGTTTTGCAATTTTTTTCTACTTTTAAGGTTTTTTAAAAACTGCACAAAGTTCTTAATTTTGATGAAATCCAATATACCTATTTTTACTTTCATTGCTTGTGCTTGTAGTTATTAATTTTTAAAA
This sequence comes from Homo sapiens, assembly GCF_000001405.40. NCBI lineage: Eukaryota > Metazoa > Chordata > Mammalia > Primates > Hominidae > Homo > Homo sapiens. The sequence continues at coordinate 25,080,941 of NC_000003.12, forward strand.
AACTTTTGATTTTGTTGATGTTTCTGTATTTTGCTTGCCTTTTTATTAATTTCTGATCTGATCTCTTTTACTTTATTATCTTCTTCTATGCATACTGTGGGTTTAATTTGCTCTTCTTTGCTCTCTCATGGTGAAAATTTAGATCATTAGACCAGTTTTCCTATGAGCACTGTCTTAGCTGCATCTCACAAGATTGGGTACATTGAGTTCTATTATAATTTAATTCAAAATATTTTTAAATTATCCTTCTGTGAGTTATTTAGAAATATGTTGCTAATTTTCAAGTATCTTTTCACTGTTGGTTTCTAATTGAATTCAGGTATGTTCAGAGAACATACTCTAATAATATTTGACACTTAGAATTTATTAAGGTTTTTGTTTTATGACCCAGCATACAGTGTATCTCATGGTGAATGCTCCATGTGCTTCTGAGAAAAATACATATTTTGTGGTTGTGGAATATAGTGCTTTTTAAATATCATTTGGATCAAATTGATTGATAGTGCTGTTCAAATATTCTACATCATTACTGATTTTTGTTTACTTGATGTATCAGCTCCTGAGAGAAGGAACATTAAAATCTCAAACTGTAATTGTACATGTGCCTATTTCTCCTTTTACTTTTGCTAGTGTTTGCTTCATATACATATATATATATATATATATATATATATATATATATTTTTTTTTTTTTTTTTTTTTTTTTTTTGAGATGGAGTCTCACTCTTGTTGCCCAGGTTGGAGTGCAGTGGCTCAATCTTGGCTCACTGCAACCTCCACCTTCCGAGTTCAAGTGATTCTCCTGCCTCAGCCTCCTGAGTAGCTGGGATTACAGGTGCCCACCAGCTCGCCCAGCTAATTTTTGTACTTTCAGTAGAGATGGGGTTTCACCATGTTGGCCAGGCTGGTCTCGAACTCCTGACCTCAGGTGATCCGCCTGCCTTGGCCTCCCAAAGTGCTGGGATTACAGGCGTGAGCCACTGTGCCCGGCCTGCTTCATATATTTTTAAGCTCTGTTATTAGGTGTATATACATTTAGGATTTTTATATCTTCCTGATGAATTTACTTTTTATGATTGCTATCTCTGCTACTACTCTGTCAAAGTCTACCTTGCTGACATTTATATAGCCACTTCAGCTTCCTTGATACTAGTTTCCATTATATATTTTTAATCGTTTTTTCTTTTAACCTGTGTACTTATATTTTAAATTTAAAGTGTAAAATATTTTTGCTTTTAAAGAGTGTAGAAGTGGAACTTACCTTTTTCTGTATCCAGTCAGTTTATTCCTTTTAATTATTTAGTCTGTTTATATGTTATATTTATATAAGTTGGGTTTATGTATACTATTTTGCTATTTGTTTACATTTCTCCCATCTGTTCATAACTATTCTTCCTTTTCTTTTGCCTTGTTAGGATTAATTCTTCTTTTTTCTGATTTTTGTTTGTTTTTTAGTATTTTGATTTTTTCTCTAAGTTCAGTAATTATACCCCTTTATATTTTTGCACTTGTTTTTAGGTATTATAATATACACCTTCAACTCATGTTAGCCTATTTTGATTTAAAGCTATATTTCTCCAAGTATAATGGTAAAACCTTACAATGTTACCTTTCTATTTACCCTCTCCTGTCTTTTGTGTTATTTCTCTAATGTCTTTTACCTTTAGGTATTTTATGAAATCCAGAGCACATTGTTATTATTCTTGCTTTAAGCGATCACTTCTCTTTTAATAAATTAAGAAGCAAAAAATATTGCTTATGATTACCCACATGTTCATCTTTTCTTGAGCTCTTTATACTGAATTTCCTTCTGACAGTATTTTACTTCAAGCTGAAGAACTTTCTCTGCTGTTTCCAATAAATATTATTAGAATATTAATTCTAATATTGTGCAAGTCTATATAGTGCAAGTCTTCTGGTGCTGAAGTCTAAACTTTTGTTACTCTGAAAACTTCTTAATATCACCTTTATTTTTCAAGAATAATTTTGTTGGATATACAGCTCCAGCTTGGAAGCTGGTTTTTTTAATTTCAGTAATTTAGAGATGTTCTTATATTGCCTTCTTGCCTGTATTATTGCTAATAAACACCTGTTATTCTTACTGTTCCTCTGTATGTAATGTGTTTTTTTCCTTCTGGCTGCTTTTAGACTTTTTATCTTTTAGCATTTTAAATATTATATCATTAGGTATGATTTTTCTTTTTTTCTGATTGGGATTCATTCAGATCCTTGAATTTAAATAGTTAAAATGTATTCTGATATAATTTTATGGAAGATTACTGATTATTTTTTGCTCAAATATTTCTTCTTACCAAATCTGTCTTTTCTTAGGGGATCCTAATTGCATGTATGGTAACCTATTTTATGTTGTCCCACAGATCACTAAAGCTCTATTTTATTTCCATTTTTAGCATCGTGCTTGATTTTAGATAGCTTCCTGTCATTCTTCAACCTCTCTGATCTCTTTTGGCATTTGAAGTCTGCTAATGTTCATCCAGTGATTTTTTTTTTTCCAGACAGTATTTTTCATTTCTAGAATTTTCATTTGGCTCTCTTATAGTTTGTATTTGTCTGTTGGGGTTTGCCATTTGTTAACTCATTATGTCCATCTTTTATTTAAACTATTGAATATATTTACAATAACTTTTGAAATCATTGTTCACTAATTCTAACGTTTCTGTCATGTCTGGGTTTCTGTATTCTGTTTTGTTTCTCATGATTATTTTTTCAAGATTTTGTTTTCCAGTAATTACTGAGTGTGTGCTAGGCATAGTAAATGCTATGTTGTTGGGACTCTGGGTTGTATTATCATCCTTTAAAGATGACTGCGTTTTGTTCTGGAGTTTTATTTGTTTTGCAACTGGACTTTCAACTTGGTTTTAGGCTTTGTTGGGACAAATCTAAAGTAGCTTTATTTTAGGGTTAGAGTTGCCTTACTCTTTAAGATATGGCCTTTATAAGGTTTCAACTAGATGCCCTGGGTATTCAGCAATTTTTATCCACTCCGACAAACTGAAATGTTGTCCAGTACTGTGTGGCTTTTGGAATCTTTGTTCATCTTCCAGCCCCTCAGTAGCTTTTCTCTGGCAGAGTTCTCTCAGTCTCATCCTCTGGATATGTATCTCAGTATTTGGCTAATGACTCAGTAAGACCCCTAAACTGAGTCCAATGGGACTTCTTCCCTATTTGGTACCCTATTCTTCACATTCTATCTAACTCAGCAGTTCCGTGTTCCAGTTGACTCCTCCTCTTCTCAGGGAATCTGCTGCTTCCTGTTTGAGTTCCTCTTCTCTGTGCCACAGTTTGGAATGCCTTCCCCAGCAGAAACAACTCTCTCATGTGTTTCCCTTTCCTCAAGGATTAAAACAGTTGCTGTATGTGTTTTGTCCAGATTTATAGTTCTTTAGAAGAACTCTGAAGGTTAAAGTCTATATATGTTACTCTGCCATGGAAGTATATACACAAGTGTACAAAACTTTTTTTTTTTGCTATTTGTAATATAGTTTTAAAGTTTTATTTTGTTGACTTTTAATCATCTGTTTAGATTACACTGGAAATATGTTGATATCATCAATACGTATTGGATTCTTTACACATCATTAATCCCTTCTCTATGCAACATCTCAGATATTTTATGAATAGAAAATTATTGGCATTTGGAAGGGGGTTCTATGAAACACCATTTTAAAGGAGATGTATGAGTTTTTCTTTTGGGATTTAGCAGAAAATGAAGGATAATGTTTTGATATTATCTCTTACTGCTATTGCATTTTTCCTTTTTTATATTCCATCTGTTTGGGGTTTTTTTTAATGTTTGTTTCCAGATCTTTGGATTTTATTTTTATTTTTAATATGTATATTTATTTTAATATAATGTTTAAATTAGATTTTAAAGTCAATTTATTTTGAGTACATTTTAAAAGAGAATTTACCAGCTTGTATAAACCCTACCATAAACTGATTTATTCCCTTAATTATCGGCAGTTTTGCCATGACTTCACAATACATTTTTATGCAATGAGCATGACAGACAAGTCATTTATGTGCCATTCTTTAAATATGAAATTACAAAGCAGAGCTTGCAGATCTTTAAGTTGGATAAGCTATAGATTAATAGGATCCATTATTTTGAAGACAGTATAAGACATGCATCATTCCAAAAGCAGAATACCAAGAGGAGACAACTATAGATGTGCCACCTGAAGTTCAAAATACTGAATTATTTTATCAGTTGGGATTTATTCTTTGGCAAGCAATAGTGTCATCTATTCAAAATATGAAAATAGAATTTCTTTAACAAACATAACAATGTAAATGTAAGCCATAAAATGGTAACACATCCTACATTGAAGCATGAACTAATCATTCTTAGGTTAGTCAACTTGTTTTAGGGGTTCTTTTTAAATAGTGGATATACTTTTATTTGCCATTTCATGGAATGGGAAAAATCTGAATAACTCATTCTTCAAAGATTTTCCAGATTCTAGTAAGAAGCATGTTTGGGGGAATTCTTGGTCTAATTGTGTTTTACCATTCTCTCACATTTCTACCTACCCTCCTTTCTCTTCCTTCCCATGTTTTTCTTACTCTAGGCTCTCATCTGGCCCCTGTCAATTTTTCTTTATACCATATCCAATTCAATTCATTTATCTTCCTTTATTCTTTCCTGAACACAAAACTGAAGACAAATATTGCAATATTTATAAATCAGATTTTTTAGTCTTGTTCAGTGCCTGCCCAAATGATGAAATAAACACTTGGCTTCATCATCTTCCTTTTATCTTGGGACCCAGCCCCTCCATAATTGCTCAGACTTGTGTCAAATCCAGTTCCATGATCTTTATTTTGACTAATCTATTGAAATAATCTAAACTGAAAGTGTAGCTGAAATTCCTTTGCACTATTATTGCAAGAATGAGGGTAGGCTAAGCTGCTGTAACAAATAGACCAAAATATGTAATGTTTAAATGTGAAGGAAGCTTGCTTCTTGTTTATGTAACAACCTAAAATGGATGATCTAGGTTGGAAGAAGTTCTCCTCCACGTAACAATGCAGGGACTCAAGCTCCTTACATCTTACGGCTTTGCCATTCTCTATATCCCTGATTAGTTAATGTGGTCACTATGGGTTCACTATATCCAGATCTCTTAGTGACAGATAACATAATGGAGGTTCAGTCAACTATTAATTTCCTGGGCCCAGAAATGGTCCATATCATATCCACTCATATTCTGGTTATAGGAATGGTGAATTCTAATTAGCCCTGAATCATATGCCCATCCCTCATCCAGTTCCCACCAGAAGAACGTGCAATGGGCCATCCATAGGAAAGAACAATTTTGTTAAGGAAAGCGATAGTGGGCAAAGTAACTTCAGATGTTCAATACATCTTACAAGATTTCCCATCTTTCTTTGTGTACTGTGTCATTTGATTTGATTCTTACAATTTGCTAACGTAAGAAGGTGATTGAGGGAAGTCAGGACATTTTTTCTCAGAAAAATTTTTTAACTTATGAAGAGTTTGAATTGTTGAAGGAAAGAATCAAACTCTGTAAAATATTTAAAGAGATTTATTTTGAGCCAAATATGAGTGACCGTGGCTGGTGACACAGCCCCAGGAGATTCTGAGAACATGTGTCCAAGGTGGTTGGGTTACAGCTTGGTTTTATGTGTTTTAGGGAGTCATAAGACATCAACCAATACATGTAAGATGTACATTGGTTCGGTCTGAAAAGGTGGGACAACTCAGGGTTGGGGGTTGGGGAAGGAGGGGCACTTCCAGGTCACAGGTGTATTCAAAGATTTTCTGATTGGCAGTTGGTTGAAAGAGTTTATCTAAAGACCTGGAGTTGATAGAAGGGAGTATCTGGGTTAAGATAAGGGACCGTGGAGAACAAGGTTCTTATTATGCAGATAAAGCCTCCGCATAGCCTGCTTCAGAGAGAATAGATTGTGAATGTTTCTTATCAGACTTAGAAAGGTGCCAGACTCCTTACTTAATTCTCTCCTGGATAAGGAAAAAGATCTGGAAAGGGAAGGGGATTCTCTACAGAATGTTGATTTTTCCCAACAAGAGACAGCTTTGCAGGGCCATTTCAAAATATGTCCAAGAAATGCATTTTGGGGTAATATAATTCGATTTTTTTCAGGGCCTGCTACCTCATTGGTATCTTATTGCTACAAAGAGCCTGTTTTGTCTTAAGGATTGTGTTTCAATGTTAATACTGGTCAGCTGTGGCTGAATTCCAAAGGGAGGAAGGTATATTGAGGCCTGTCTGACCACCTATTCCTTTCATGGCCTGAGCTAGTGTTTCAGATTTACTTTAGCATGCCCTTGGCTGAGAGGAGGAGTCCATTCAATTGATTGGGAGCTTAGAATTTTATTTTTTGATTTACAGAATCTCAGGTTTTGAAGGATATATATTTGATTTTTTTACCCCAAAAGTGAGGTTAGGTGTAATGGTTCAGATTGTAGGTGGAAGAAGCCATAATTCCTGGGTTCAAAACCAGAATCCATCATGTCTTCCTTGTATAGCCTTTTAGCCATGTAACCTTGGGCAAGTTAGCCTTTTTAAGCATCTGTCTCTTCTGCCATAAAATGGGGCAAGATAATAGTAAATACCTCATAGGTTCGTTCAGAAGAATAAATCAGATAATACACATAAATTACTTTGAAGAATACCTGGCACATAGTAAAAGCTCAGTAGTGTTATAATAGTAATGGAGATTGTTGTTATTAGAATTGTTATTCATTCTCTCACCCAAGTACATACATGTTTTACAGGTACGAACAATTTTTGGCAGTAAAAGAGAAAGTGCTTGACAAATGTTAGATCTTAAGGATAAAAAGAAACACTAGAAAACTATAGCATTATTTATTTAACTTCATGCCTTCTGCTTGCTTTGCCCTGTGATGGTATTTCCTTTTGTTTCCCCAAAAGTCAATATTTTTTCTGTTTCTTTTTTTAAAATAGATTTTTATGTGGGGCATGTAAACAGTATCTGAAACAAAGGAAATTAAATTCTCCTAAGTATAGGAACAAAATAGTAAGAAAGCTATGAGCCTGAAATCATGGTTCACAAGAAGGTTGTAAAGGACAGCAGTTTTGCTAGCAAAGAAACCAAAAATAAGTAGAAATTGGGGCGGAGGGAGATAAGCAATTTCACAGTAGGGATCTAAGGCAAGGGGTCAAATTCATATGGATCAAAACATTATTTGGTGAAACCTTGTTGTGATGAAGGAAGAGCTTCATTTGGTTTCATATTAGCTTATTCACACTTCTCTTTGCTGTTTTCTCAATCAATCCTCCAGCGACTTGATACACCATGTCTAATTCTTCATAAATCAACTAAACTTTAGAGTGATATTGACAGTGGCTTTCCCAACTCCATTGTTGTCTGTCAAGAGTTTTATTCGGTCTCAAAACAATTTGCCGTGAACGCCCTTGTTTGCTTGCCACGCTGGTCTTTGTTCAGGCTGAAAACTTTGATTTATAACTGTATATAATTGATGGCTGTGGGGTAGGGGGACTATAGCCCTTGCTCCTCCTCTTTTAATCTAGCTTTGCTTAGAAATCCATGTAGTGGAGCATTCTCAAGGGAACCGGGCTGGGAAATTTTCCATATACCCAATGGGAGGCCATTAATCATGGTGAGGAGTGTGTTTGTGAAAGTAAAGAAAACAAAAGTCAGACCACCTCAAGATGGCTTATCAAAAGAATAGATGTTAAAGCTAATGTATTCATTGTGAGGCATTTCTGAAGAAAAGTGAAGCTATTTGGTGAACCAGATATATTTGCTATTCCAAAAGCAAAATTTGACATTAGTATTTCAAGTTATTAGTATTGAAAAGCCGCTCCCAGAGTCTCTGACAAGTTGCTAAGTTGCTGACTGGGGAGCAGATGAAAGCTCTTTTTTTAAATGGCACAAGTCTCTTTTTTCTAATAATGAAAAAAGAAGGAAAATACAGATTTTTTTGGCAGCTTTATCACAATGTAGCTTGCAGAACCTGTCATTCTAATATTTGCTGAATTTAATGCCTTGTTCCCTCCCCACCCTGCCCCCTTTAAGTTTTACTAATTGAGTAAGAGTCTGTGAAACTTTCTAAGTTGACATTTCTTTAGGGTGCAGAGATTGATACTAAGTTTCTGAAAGTAATTAGAGATTCTTCTCAAGGGTTAGAAATAATAGAGTGAGCCGATTTTTTTTTTAAACAAATTCATTGTAAAGAACAGACTTTATAATTTATTTTTGGTTTATTTTGGTTTTCCTCCATAAAAATTATCCTGCAAGCTGAAGATACTTTATTGTATTTCAGTAGCATGCACAGAAAAAAAAAGTATGTGTTTTTCAAATAATGCCAAGACCAGAGTAATATAGCACAGTAATACAAAATTAGAGTACATTGGAGTATACAGAAAATTTTATATTTATTATTTACACAAAGTATTTTAGTGATTGAGAGTGTTTTTCCAGCAGGGATAAATAAAGGAAGTACAAATAAAACCAAAGAGAGTTGAAAGCATTGATCAGGACTCAATCATCCCAAAAAAAAGTCCCAAATTATGAAAAGAGTATGTTGAAATACGGTTTGATATCAGTTCACTGTATTTAGTAAATTAACTGTTCTTACCATTGAAAAAGCACTTAAAGTGGTCTGAAGCAAAATGTTGTAATTCATTTTTTCATGCGCCTATTGATAGAGACTTTTAAAGTTATTTGTTTTATTTTGGGTTGTTTTATCTCAGTGAGGTTCAGCAATAGCAAGCCTCTCCTTGAAAGAGAAGCCAAGAATATTTACAATTCATTTCCTCTTATTTAAAGGAGTTTGAACTGATAAATAGTTTCCATACGAATGATACTAGAGTCAAGATGGAAATAGTGCTTTTCATAGATTCTATTCCTAGTTAAATCTGAATCCTTTGAAATTAAGAGAAAGACAGTTCCCAGATGTTAGTATATTAGCCGTCAAAGTCCCCACTGAATGGCACAAAAATCAATGGGCCTTGGAGAGCAATCCCTTCACATTGACCTGATGTAGGATGTGACTTCTATCCAGGTCTACTGGTGTAACTTATCAGAAAGATATACATTAACCGAATGACAGAAAGCAGGAATTAAAATCTATAGTTAATCTGAATGAAAGCACAGAATAACACAGACATAGGTCAACTCTGAAGAATTAAAAATCCATTTCCTTGAAGGAGGTGAGAGACAAGCTCTGAGGGAGCTAGCTTACCTCTTGGCACCTTTGCATATCATCAAAAAGAACTTCATTCAAAATAAACCCTCTGAGAACCATGCATACTTCTTTTTTAAGTTCTTGGGAAAAATAAGTACTTGAGGAAACATTTTAATATTGTCTATTCTTAAGCCTCTCTATGCTTCTGGTGTTCGTTCTTTTTTCTAACAGCTTTGCATTTCAAAAACAATGTTAACTTGTTTTGCACAAATATTTTAATCTTAAGAAATATTTCACTGCCTGTGTTCAATATATAACTTCCAAACTTTAAAAACCAAAACACTGTCACTTTTGTCACCATCTCCTGTGCTCTGAAGATGTTTAAACCTAAGAACAAATATCATTCTGAACACTTTCCATTGAACACATTCCTGTTGTCTGATGCTGTCATATAATGTAGATGTTGTAGCCTTGGGGAACGAAATTTTTCATTAATCCTTTGGGATACAGCCCTTAATATAGACAATGAATCTCTTCTCACTTCCTATATAAACAGTTCAGATCAGACAAAAATACTCATGGTACTAAGGAGACAAAAATGCTCTCCCTCAAACAAAGTCTAACTTTTAAACCATAAGCAGGGAAGAATTTCAGAAACAGCCAATATACACTTAGAATGAATAATTGCTGTATGGTGTATCACAACAACCGTCTCTTGTTCAAACTCACACTCCATTTTTCATGTGGGGGAAAGAGATGGTTTCCTTCAAGAAATGTTTAAGATGATCCGTGATTTCAAAACTGCTACATGTATATTATTAAAATATGAAGCCTATTGGCTGTGTTCCAGAAAAGCTGAAGTAGGTTAAAGGACATAATGAACAGTTACAGCTTTGCGTGCAATTATTTAATTGGGGAATGGGTTTTTCTATCACTGTCCCTGGCAGTAGCAGCCATTTGATCCTGGGGCTTGGATTAAATGTTTCATCAGTAGTGCCTATTTAAGGATCTTTATAGAACAACAAGTCAGTCCCCTGGGCAAGCCCACGTCAACTGCAATAAAGAGATCTGTACAAGTGAGTGAGAGGTATTTTTTTGCAAGATGTACAGAGAATTGAATGTGCACTGTGCTGTCTGGATGCCTTCTGAGGTTCGAAGATACACATCTCTTTATGACAAAGGTTGGAAGCTGAACCCAGCCTGTCAGTGGGATTTTATGATTTCCTTAGGAAAATGAATTCTCAAGCTACTGCCCTCTTTCCGAGCTCAGGTGAGTCTTTGGCAAACAGGAAAAGTGCAGAGAAGCTGTGATTTACCTTTCCTAGGAAATAGCGGCTTCTGAACTAAACTTTACACTGGACAGCTCGTTGCTTTATGCCTTCTACGGAATCCACCATCTGTTTCACATGGGGTAGATATAAATTTTATAGGCTTCTCAATTAGGTTTCGGTTTGTTTAGGGTATTTTTCCCCACTTACTCTCCAAGTGCTCATATACATAAATGCATGCAGCTAAGTATGACTGGAATATTTGTGGAGTGGGCATTAAAAGGCATTTGTCACATTAAAACAGTTGGATACATTTAAAAGCATTCTGGAAACTGAAATGTGAACATCTGTATAAAAAAAGACAAAAAATATCTATTGTTGCTGCCATCCGTCTTCATGTAAAAAGGTTTAATTTGGGGTTTATGTTTCCCTCTGTGGTGCTGTGATCATATTGGTTTGGTCTGCATATTCTGCAAGTTATCTCAAAATTGATAAAAATGCATCCTGCAACTTGGTTGAATCGGAAGATGTGTGTGGAGATATATTTTCAGAATCTGAGGGATGGTGTCGGGGTGTGCTGTTTCACTCAAATTAAGAAACCAGTTGCAGCACAATGTTCTTTTATGGACTTGTAGTATTTGGATAATTGAATGGCTATGCTCTGCCTCACTATAGCTTAAGAGGCATCTTTCCTAGATTGGGGAAAAGCAGAAACAAGTGCTTTTACAGCCAGGCTCCAGAAATCTGCTGACGAGGCACTTAGGAGAGAGGAGGCGGTCTTGTCTATTGCTCAGATAAGTTCACAAAATCTTTCCCATCCGTTAAGTGATGGAAAAAAGTATCCAACCGAAAAGGTTGCAAACTATTGTGATGTTTGAGCTCTTTTGAGAACAGAATGGCAAAGCAAATACTCAAAATGCCTTTTTCTCTTAGTTTCATTTAGAACTTTTTGTTTGTTCATTTGTTTGCCCAAGATCTTAAAACAAAACAAAAAAACCTCTTTCCATATAAAGTGTCTCTATTCTGCTAATTTGTAAGTAGGGATTCCTCAAGATTTTAGAGGAAATTGAAGCATAATCTAGTTGTCTCTCTTATTTTTACTATTGTTCCTAATACTACCTTTCATGGTGTGCCTGTAAAGTATACAATAACTGTTAACTCCAGCCCTCTCCCCACACCACCAAAAACAGGCTGCCACCTGGAATTTGTAATCTTTGATTCAAATTACATGTTTGCTCTTTTTTTTCCAGAAAAGAATGTGGGAGATTTTTTTAATTGTGCAGAAATTTTGCGAATGCCTTCTCTTTGATAAGACGCCTCTGAGAGAAGTGTGTTGTCTTGCCATGTAATTGTTACTGGTTATGGAGACATTTTTCCACTGAATGGATTCCCAGATAATGTCACCTGAACATGAGTTTCATGTGTAAGGGAGAATGATGCACTGGTCATTTTTCCTTGTGCCCTTATTCAGTCTCTCATGTTCATTTAGGAGGTAGAGAGAGATGACTTATTCTACAGCTAAGAGAAACTGAGACATTTCTTATAGCATTACAGAGGTATAGTGAAAAAGGGGAATTTAAATTATGATATTCCAATTGCCTTTCCACTAAATGCCATTCCATCCCTACTTAGAGCACAGGTGTTGCTTACAATGATACTGACTATGGATTAGTCTCATCTCATGGTCATCTCATGCTCTGGTACAGGTGGGATATTAAAAATCTCTTGCTCACAGTGGACACGTTGCTCATGAGTTTTGCTACCATCTCAACTGGATAATTAGGTTTTGGTTATTTTATTTTTTGTTCAATGATCCAGCATTATATAAAGCTGTCTGATACTTCTCCTTTTATACAAGTAGCTGGATTGGGACAGAATATTGTTGTTCTTTTAATTTTTGTTGGTGAAAATTAGGAAGTAGTATTTCTCAGAATGAAACTAACTTTGCAAAAACTATAACAGTGAGAAAATTATGGCAGTGAAAAGATCTGATCTGACCAGTTCCCATCTAGCCTTTAGCCTCCAAAATGCCCTTAATTATTCCTAGGCTTGGGCCAAACTAACTTTGGGAAACATTTAATGTATAGTTTACATAATAATAGCCCTTCCCCCCAAACTAGAGCACATTTTTAAAGCTAATGAGAGACCACCAGGCTAGGAAGATGAGATGAGCCTGAATTCTGCTTACATGTAGACATAAACAATTACCTGCCATTATTCTGGAGGTCACAGGTTTGCAACTTCCTCAGTTACTCCTGCAGATAATATCCTTGTTGTAGAATCTAAGATTGGCCTTTCAAGATGTCTTTACGGGGTTTTTTTTTGCATGTCTCATGATGACCATAGCTCCACCTGGACTGCAGACCACTCCTGTGGCCCAGCCAGAAGTGACTAAGCTCACATGAGGACGATTTCCCACACCCCTATGATTGCACACCCAACCAATTGGCAACAAGCACCCATTGCCTAGCCACCCCTTTCTCTTTGCTCAAACTATCCTTGAAAAATGCTAGCCTCCAAATTTTCAGGGAGACTGATTTGAGTCATAATAAAACACATATACACACAAAACAAAATACCAAATACAAGATCTGTGTGTACTCCCAAGTTCAGACTAACAACCCAGAACAAAGTGCCTGAGGAGCAAACTAGCTTGTAAGTGGGTATGGTCCAGACCCAGAGAAAATGATGACAGAACCCAGCAATTCTAAGGATTCTGCTGCCTTAAGAACTAGCCATTGAGTTACTTAAACTGAGTTGAATCTTCACATGTTTACAGTTGTCTGTTACTTGCATATAGAAGGTCTATTCAATGCTGTTTTCCAGCTTATCCACTGTTAATAACACTAAAGTCTGTCTGAAATTCTTCCTAAGGGATGCCTTCTCCATATCATTGGGTGATGGCATATGTAGCTATACCCCTATCAAATATGCCTAATAGTCATTTATTAAGCACCTACTATGTCCTGGGCAAATAGCAAAAATTCTCTGGAGGAACCCCATGAAGAAGGTAATATCATTCTCATTTTACAAAAAGAGGACATTGACCAGGAGCAGTAGCTCACACCTGTAATCTCAGCACTTTGGGAGGCCAAGGTGGGTGGATCACTTGAGTTTAGAAACTTGAGAACAGCTTGGGCAACTTGGCAAAACCTTGTCTCTACCAAAAATACAAAAAATTAGCCAGGTGTGATGGCATGCGCCTGTGGTCCCAGCTATTCAGGAGGCTTAGGGAGAGGATGGCTTGAGCCCAGGAGGCAGAGGGTGCAGTGAATCAAGATCATGCCATTGCACTCCAGCCTGGGAGACAGAGTGAGACCCCATCTCAAAAAAAAAAAAAAAAAAAAAAAAAGGAAACTGCAACACAGTAGTTAAATAACTTGCCCAGGTCACAGGACTACTCAGAATCAGAGTTCTGATGTAGGTTGTCTTGTGCCAAAGCTCTGGCCTTTCACCCTGGGAAGGACTCTCCTGATGTCTTACATCTTTAGTCTGCTTCCTAATTTTCAAAACCATTTCACTTTCGTTTGATGTATTTTTCTTCCTACAGATGCTTGAGAAAAAGGTAAACAAATAGTTACCTCATTTGACAAATGAGAAAAAAGACTGAAGAAATACAGGAATTCTCTCAAGGTCACAGTTAAGTAGAGCTGCTCTTCCTCCTTCTGGCCTCTGGTCCAGTGATTTTTTTCCCTTTGGCTCAAGACTTAATCTCAAGATTGAGTGGCTCCCAAACTTAGCTGTATATTGCCATCACCAGGAGAGCTTTAAAAATTACAGATGCCTGGCATCTACTTCTGGACATTCTGATTTACTTGGTGTAGAATGAATTGGAATGTTAAAAGCTCTTCAGGTGATACTGATATGCAGCAGAATTTGGGAACCACTGCCATCTCTTTCAAGAGAATAGGTTTGGGATTGGTTTACAGCAGTGGTTTTCAAAGTATGATCCCTGGACCAGCAACATCAGCACCATCTGGGAACTTCTTATAAATGCAAATTCTTGGGTTCCACACTAGACCTGTGAAACAGATACTCTGGAGGGTGAAGCCCAGCAATCTGTGTTTTTAACAAGCTTTCCAAGTGATTCCGATGCAAGCCAACCCCCTTGGCCATACATCCTCCCAACAGGTTTATGATGTGGAACATGGTGACCAGCTGTCTGCTATTTATATTGAGGCCAGAGCTGTGGAGAAATATATTTAAACTCAAATGACAGTACAAGGCATTCAGATTTGTATTGAAAGATGGATTTCCTGGTGGTGTAGGTTGCGAACAGCAAGAATAAAAAGCTGAGGGAGGATTTTGGAATCTTTCTGGGGGTGGCCAGAGTATTACACCATCAAAAGAAAAAAAGCAAAAGGAAAAATGGGCCTCTGGAGAAGAATGATAGAAATAAGTATTGTCATCTGATTTCACTTTAGTCACTTGTAGTTCTTCTTTCCTGATCTTTGAAGTTAATGGTGATGTCTTCTTAACTGCCACCTTTTGTTTTCTCCTGAAAATCTCAATGCATTTTAAATCTACATCTTCCAAACTGTTCAGCACTGTGGCAGAAAGCAGGCTCCACCGCCGGGGAAGTGAAGGGGCTGAATTATGAACGGCAAAGTGACTTCTCTCCTGCCTCTTTCCCATTACTGGACTGCTTAATTGGCATCATTTCCCTGCTGCCACAATTATTTTTTTCAACATTATAATTTTAAGTAACTCAGTATATTAACCAATTTCCCTAATGCCCTTTGTTGCATGTTTGCTCAACGTGGCTGGTTTTTGTCATATTTTTCAAGTGTCTCCCACTGGACTTCACTCAGTAGCTACTTGGGTTAGGTTTTGTTGGTCCTTGTGACAATAGTTTGTGAAAGAATTAAGATTCCAGGATGTTGAATTAGGGGAGGAGTTAATGGAATATAATTAAACTGAGAACTTGTATGGTGCCTCAAGAGGGGAGAGAAGGAAGATAAGCATTTATGTAAGACCAGATACCATTGGAGAAATTGTGGAGAGAGGGGAAGTTGCATCTAAATTTATTGTACAGATTCCAAAAATCCAGTTATTTGACAGTAGTCATTAGTCACCAATTCTAAGATGCCTTATACACAAAATATCCCCCTGTAATTTAGTAAGTTATCTATTTTTAGTTGTATCATTTTGTGTCCAATAACTGACTTTTTTGACTCTGACATCATTTGACGTTTTCTGTTTCCCTCAGGTAGTGAGGAACATATAGTTAAAAATGCAATCAAAACGCTGAGGAAGAAAGGCAAGAGAGGGTGGAGAAGAGGGCAGCTTAGCCACTTTTACCTGGGCTGAGTGGGTGTGTTTCACCTCCTAGTATCTCAAGATGATTAATCTGGGGGTGGACCCTGCATATTCATCATCTGTCAGTTGAGGCTCCTGGGAAGACTAATCTATTCACAGACATGACATTGTCAAAGGAATAGGTGCCACAATAAGAAAGTGGCTAGCAACTACTTCATTGACTAAGAAGTGATATGGGATATAAAGTGCTGTTTCCTTTCCAGTTACCTGAAACCTCTCTGATCAAATCTTCTCCAGCCTGTGGGGTTTTGCATAAGAAGGTACAAACCTTTTTTTCTGATAGCCAAGAATAAAAGAGGTATCTTCACCACCTCAGAAATCTTGCTTTATAGGTTATTCCTTTTAGTTCTTTTGTAGCAATTTAGCTAAATGGGTGCAAGTGACTTGAAAGATAGAAGACTAGCAAACAATCAGAGACAGTAACAATTCTACCCTTCATGTTGCCATACTTTGTGCCATGAATGAAAGAACCACTGAAACTAAACAATACACGCATGACTTGATTTGCGGTGCACTGGACCGCTTCTTGGAGGTGAACCAAACACTATTTGATGACTGTACACAACAATTTAATGCAGGGAAACTAAAAGAGAAGCAGCATGGTTTAAAATAGAAATCTACTCAAAGCAAATTTGCAGGTACTAAAAAAGAAAGTAACATGAAAACATTGAGGGGGTTACTTGAATGTTTTTATAAAGTAGTAATATAATTTCATCATGAGAGGGGAAGGAAATTGCAGATATTTTCATATAGAATGTTAGTGAAATCAATCAGAAATACTTTCCAAAAGCCAGGTGCAGTGGTGCATGCCTATAGGCCCAGCTACTCAGGCTTGAGGAGGGAGGCTCGCTTGAGCCCAGGAGTTCTGGACTGTGCCTAGGAAGAGCCACCATACTCCAGCCTAGGCATATCCCAGCCTAGTGAGACATCATCTCTAAAAACAAAAGCTTTCTAATTCTTACCTAATGGAGAGCAGTGCCACCAATAAATTCCTGGACATGTCCCAGACCAGTTCCAAACTCCAGTTCACCTCCTCACTGCCCTCACCTCCTCATTAGCCTTAGTTTCATATCTGTGTCTCAGGTCACAGGTGGTTCTCCTTCGGGAGTGTATTTTTTGGAGGTATGCTTTGTGCTCATCCCAATCTTACCCCTACTTTAACTTGAATTCTGAGCATGTACTGCATGTCAGTATTGTATTGGGTTAGACTTAAGATTCAAAGAGAAAACCATGGTCCCTACCTTTAACTTGTTTAAAGTCCTTTGGAGATTCAGACATGAAAATGACCAGTCCACAGTACCATGTGAATAAATACTGTCAATTTTTGTTTTACTTTTTACTGAAATATAATGTACATGCAGAAAAATATACACACACAGCTATGAGTTTTCACCAAGAGCAAGGGGAGCACTGTACAAGGGGACTGGGAAATGTGGGGAGGCTTCCCACAGGGGGTGAAGCTGGAGCAGAGGCCTGAAGGGTGAAAAGTTGGTATTTACAGGCAGGCAAAGGCAGGCAGTGGAAAGGAGAGTTGATATTCTAGGACAGGAATTCTTTCAGCCTACCTTCCAGAAAGATTTTCATAACCACTTGGCTCTCACTGGTCAGCATCCCTTAATCATAGCTAGTTACCCAAATTGTAGCACATAACTTAGAAGTTTGAGATCTCTATCGTGCTGTATTATTCATGCTTATTTTTCTAATGTTTGGCTTTATTCTCTAAGAAGATGAAGTCAGTGGTGCAGAGTGAGAGCAATTCCTACCTGTGTAATATTGGGTAAAGAAGTCCACCTATATAAGGCTTAGCTTCTTCATTGTAAAGGATTGCTGGGAAAAGATGAACCTAGATCAGGATTAACAAACTACGGCTGGTGGGTCAAGTCCAGTCTGCCACTTGTTTTTGTGAATAAGGTTTTATTAGACACAGCTATGATCATTTATACATTGTCTATGGCTGATTTTGCACTGCAGTGGAAAAGTTGAGTAGTTGAACAGAGATTGTCTGGCCCACACAGCCTTAAATATTTATAATCTGGTCCTTTACAGAAGTAGTTTACTGACCCCGATCCTAAATATTAGCATGTGTTTGTTATTAATAATTGTTCTGAACAAATCCAATGTTAATGCCTAACATATTATCTTCCTCCTCAACATCAACCCCTTACCCCTGCAAAATGTTCTTCATTTTATTAGGCTTGTTGTTAAAGAAATTTTAAAGAATGTTTTCCTCTAAGATATTTAAGATGCTGCAGCCTCATGACATCCCTGTTTTGAGTGGCTGTAGTATCAACCCTGTGAAAGCTGGGGCTTGGGTCCATTCCCTGCTGCAACCTCAGTGCTTGGCTGTGTACCTAGCACAGAGAATGTGTGCAAGAGGGAGTCTGTGAGAGGTAAATGATTAAGTAGTTATGAGTGAGGTGGTGAGCATAAAAGGGAAGATGGTAACAGAACAGGTAGGCACTCCCAAAGCCCTTGGCTTTAAATATAGCAGTTCGTTTGTCTGACATCCCTGAGGAAAATTGGCCCCCTTCTTACCTTTTCTGCCTTCCTGACCAAAGTCCGATGTTAACTGTCCATCCTTGTTTCAGAGGAGACACAGACTTATTGAGGACATTTATAGGATTTTTTGCAACCTTGGGAAAGGGGAGGGCTAGATTGTCAAGATAAGCTTTCAAAGGAAAAATATTAATGTAACAGAATGTGAATGTTCTGAGTGAAGCATTTCATTTATAATGTCTTAGAAAAGAACAACTTACCGGGGGAAAAAGTTCATCTGAAAAATACCAAGATTAAGATGCATATGTATCATTGAATCAAATTACATCTTCTTAGATATTATTATACTATTAACATTGTTCCATTACTGTCAATTTTCCTCTACCTTTCTCATGAGTATTTTCAGGATTTAAAAAAAAAAAAAAAAAAAACTTTCATTATGTAGTAGAAGATGCCCAAACATTTGTGTAAAGGTTTTCTTGATGTCAGTCTGTCCATGGAAGGTCACTGGAGTCCTTCCCTTTGTCCTTTGCTGTCCTTTTTCGGTTTTCCGAGTCTCGGCAATCATAGACCTGAACGTGGTGCATCCCAGAAGTACTTTTACAGAGCTTGGCTTACCTCCATCCTGCTTTCCTTCATTTGTGTGTGCAGTCCCCTGACTGGGACACGCAGGAAAGCCATGGGAAGACATTAGTGACTGTTCGTAAATGCTTTTCCTTATGGACTACCTTGGCTCCTTGGCCTACGATCTTAATTTACTTTAAAATATCATTTCCTGGTTTCACTTGGCCCGTTTTCTACTAAACAAAAGCAATATCTGCTTTGCCTTTTTACCACAAAAACACCTGGCTACGCTTTTAGGGGATGAGAGGTAACAAAGTGCTCATTCATTCATTCATCCCTGGATTGATTGTCATATCCCTCCAAAGTGGCAAAGTGATTATCACTTTAAATGTGGTGAAAATCAAAACAGACAACATATCCGTTTTTATATTTACAGCCTGGGGGATGTGAAATAAATCAGCAATAATTGAATCAATAGCAAGTTAAGGAAATAAATGATAAGTAATATACAGAGATTTTAAATGTTACAGTGCTTGGACAGAGGAACAAATCCAGGTGCCATTTAAACTGTAATCTAAATAACAAGAAGGAGCCAGCATGCAGAGACCAGGAAGAAGTGTGTTCTAGATATAGAATTTATTTGAAGGCTAGGGTGTGCTTACATTTAAACATATGTATTTGAAGGTGAATGGCTTAGGAAAAGCAGAGAAGACTTTAAGCTCAGAATAATAGAGCCTGAAGTATAGCCAGAGATCTGGTTCCTAAGAATACATGTATCATTCGGTAGTATAACTAAGCAAATAGGTTCATTTATTTTATGTTTCCACTGATCTGAAGGGGTAGTATTAAACATAGTGTTTGTGATCTGATAATGAGAGATAACTCTGCTATTTTTATTGTCTTATCTAATTGTAACACTAGGCAAGTGGGAAGGCTCCACAGAAATTTTCATCCTGTGTTACCGTTCCATTTATACTAGGAGATTCCCATAGCCACTCGGTCACGTGTCAAAAGGGACAACACACAGGGTTATATACCAAGATTTAAGCCATCTCTCACATGTTTGGTGAGATAGGGAAATGGGAAGTAGAGGAACTTGGATCATTACACTAAGGTTGACATTCAAGTCCATTCATTAATCTTAGACTCCTGTTGGCTCTTAGCCCTACACTCGGAGCTGAGGCACAAATCATGCAATTGAAATCATGGATTAGAAAGGCTAAAATAGAGTTAATTTACCTTGCACAGGTAACATTTAAGGGGTAGTTGGAGGTGATTATTGGATTTATTTGGTGGAACATCACCTCTGGAATTCCATAATATCATTTAAAGAGACTTTTGTTACTGACAGGTCTTGGGTCTGTCTTAAGAGTCAGCAGAAGCCAAGATTAACCAGAAAATGATGAGGATTTTTGGTTGCTAGAGGCTTCATCTTATGGCACTTCTAGTCTCAGAAAAGATGCTTGATGACCTATACTATACCTGAGCCTGTGAGAATTCCACAAACTTACTGGAAACCAATAAGAAGAGCAAAACATGCACGTGGAAAAGAAAAAAAGTAATAAACATGTACATCAAAAAGTGAAAGCCTCCTTCTCTTGTTCCCATGCTCAACATAAGCACCTATGAGTTTTTGTAAAAACGTGTAATGAGAAAATTGTATTATCTAGAATATATCCTTCAAAGTTATATATATTATATACATATTTTGTTATAGATTACTGTTTTGAAAATTGTTTCACTTTGTTTTATCTTAGAAACTTTTCCATATCATTATGTACAGATCTATATCATTTTTGTTATTTTAAAGGCAACACTGTATTATTTTGTGTAGTTATATCAACATTTATTTAACTATCCTTTTATTGCTAAATCTTTATGTTTTTTTTTTTTATTATATTCAGTATGCCCTATCCTTGCCATACTTCTTGATTCTTTCCATAGATGCTTTGCAGTGGGATTGCTGGATCAAAATGTGTTTACTTTTTGAAAGGCTATTTGTAATTTTCTTTGAGTACCAACATACATTCCCACCAAGAGTGTATGAGGATCCCTGCTTCCCCATATCCTCTTCCACCCTGGGTACTTTAACATTTTTATATCTTGGCTGCTCTATTTAAGCAAAAACTTGTGTCTCTTTGTTTTGATTTGTAACTCTTTAAAATAATTCAGAGTAAAGGGTGAACACTCGGAGGACATGAAGTTTGAGAATGATGTCTGTTGTAAGCATGGTACAGGTCTCCAGTCCTTAAACCAACATTTTTGGATCCAGATTTATGAACAAATTTAAAATTTTTCAGATTTTGAAAGATATGTACAGGTGCCATAAATTAGGTACCACTCCCAGGCTAGTCTGGGCCAGAGCTCCCTAAGCATGCACGTTAGCATTTCTGCAGCAAAATGCGTGAATGTCCCCACAAAATAGTCTAAGATGGCAGATATCCCCACATCAGTTCAGGAAAGGTTCTTGCCATGAAATATGTTCAGATTGGCTGGGCACTGTGGCTCACACCTGTAATCCTAGCACTTTGGGAAGCCGAGGCAGGTTGATCACCTGAGGTCAGGACTTCAAGACCAGCCAGGCCAACATGGTGCAACCCTGTCTCTACTAAAAATACAAAAATTAGTCAGGCATGGTGGCAATGCTTGTAATCCCAACTACTCGGGGGGCTGAGGCAGAAGAATCACTTGAACCCGGGAGGCAGAGACTGCAGTGAGCCAAGATCGTGCCATTGCACTCCAGCCTGGACGACAGAATAAGACTCTGTCTCAAAAAAAAATGAAAATAGAAATAAATATATAAAATACACATGTTCAAAATATATATATTTGAATATATATATTTTTGAATTTCTATATTTTTGAGTTTATATATTTATATTCAGATCAGCTAAAGTCTTGCCTCTAAATGAGTTATGAAAGAGACATTTTGGTATTCAGAGCTTTCTCAATTTCTGAATTTCAGTTAAGATGCCGTGAGTTTGTATAAAGAACTGCTTCATGCTGGGCGCTGTGGCTCACGCCTGTAATCCCAGCACTTTGGGAGTCTGAGGCAGGTGTATCACCTGAGGTCGGGAGTTTGAGGCCAGCCTGGCCAACATGGTAAAACCCCATCTCTACTAAAAATACAAAATTAGCTGGTGGTGGTGATGCATGCCTGTAATCCCAGCTACTTGGGTAGATGAGCAGGAGAATCAATTGAACCCAGGAGGCAGAGGTTGCAGTGAGCCGAGAGTGCGCCACTGCACTAGAACTGCTAGACTAGAGAAGAGGACTCCTCTAGGATTGGTATATAGTGCAGAGGTAGAACTTGTTGAGGGAGTGTAAGATGAGGAAGCTTGGATCCATGCAGAAGTGGCTAAAAGGAGTTGCCAGGATCATGAGCTTCGTTCCCCTCTGTTCTGCATTGCTTTCTTTGGGTGGGAGAAGCATTTTACCATTGGCCAATGGTTGACTTTATTGTTGGTCATGAAACAATTTGAGGAGTTCTGCTAAGGACTCAGTGAGTAAATGAGTACTTCTTAAAACATTTCACAGGTGATATGCACCGTTGTAAGTGACAGGAGAAATGAACTGGCTTCTTCTCACAATTCCATTATTGAACCCCATTCCCCTTCCTCCTCTTTCATGGTTAAAGATGACTTATTTGACCCAAATGTAACTGCCTTGCTTTAGACAAAAATGGAGGAAAAATCTTATTCCTTTGATGACTCATTCACTGCCTGAACTCCTGCCATCTTCAGGATAATTTTAAAAGCGTACTAATTCAAGAACAGATGGATTAGAAATCATGAAAGTTTTGCCCCCAGGCGACAACAGAAGGCCATCTTTGAGCAAGGAGGAGGAGAATAGAGCTGGAAACAATACAGATCTTTTCTCAGCTAATCCTCACAGCTAATTTTCTAGAGATGAAATAACTTGCCCGGTGTCACTCAGTTCCATGAATTGAATGTTGCTACTATAAAGTGCATCATATCCACTTTAAACAGTATTATGAATGGGGTTCTTATTTTCCTCCATTTTGATGGCAGATCTTAGGGTTGCCTGTCTTAGCCTTTTTCATTCTTTCTGTGTCTCTGCTTTTGATAATCTCCTTCTGGTCAATAAAATTCTTCTTGTGAGTTTATTCTGATTGCTTGGAAGAGATTGTGTGATTATTGTGTTGGGAAGGATTCTGAAGCTGAATCCAGATTAGGTGCCCAATTAGCCGCATATTGTGAAAGTGTGGACACTCACATCAGACAGATATGCCGTACAGTTTCTACCTTTGGACTGGGTCATCTTTGAAATCCTTTACTGTCTCAGGAGTCTGTAAAATATATATTTATTTGAAAATATATCAAAAAGTGTCACTCTGTTCAATATCATCAGTCAGCACGGAAATGCAAATTAAAACCACAATGTGATTATACCGTACACCTGCCTGAATGGCTAAATTGAAAAAGACGGACAATACCAAGTTTTCACAAGGCTGTGGTGCAACCAGAGCACCCATACATTGTTGATGGGAATATAACTTGGTAAAACCACTTTGGAAATCTCTCACTATCTACTGAACATGCACTCATCTTATCACCCATTTATTCCATTCCTAGGTATAAATAGGCACTTTGGAAGGCCGGGGATGGGGGTGGAGGGAGAGCGGTGCAGATTGCTTGAGCCCAGGAGTTTGAGACAAGCCTGGGCAACATGGGGGAAAACCCATCTCTACTGAAAATATAAAAATTTAGCTTGGCATAGCAGTGCATATCTATAGTTCCAGCTACTCGGGAGGCTATGGTAGGAGGATTGCTTGAGCCTAGGAGGTGGAGATTGGAGTGAGCTGAGATTGTGCCACTGCACTCCAGCTTGGGTGACACAATGAGACTCCATCACAAAAGAGAAAAGAAAAAAATCTCACAGTGATACTATTGTTAATATCCCAAACTGGAAAATATCCAAAGGCCCATCAATGTTAGACATGATAAATTAGGATATACCCACAACAGTAGAACATCAAACATCAGTGAGAATGAACAATGTGTAACTACATGCCACAATATGAATGAATCCCACATGTTTAATAGTACATACTGTTTGATACCAGTGTAGATACACACATATGCAAAACTAATCTCCAGTGCTAGAAGTTGGGGGAGTGGAGGTAATGCCTGCAAGGGGAGCTCCTGTTTCTTCGTCATGTTCTATTTCTAAATCTGAATGAGGGTCACGAGTGCTTGTGAAAATTCATTGAGCTGTACACGTACAGTTTGTGTACTTTTCTATAAGAATTAATAGTTTAATAAAAAGCATAAAATATTTTAAAAATTCTTGATTTAGAAAAATCACTAATTCAAACATTGTTACGCTAAAGGTAAAATATTTTCATAATTACATTATTTTTAGTGTCAGACAGTTTTTACTTTTGCTCCCCTCAGTTTATACCACATACAAATATCCTGAATCCCCACAGAGCATCTACACACCACTGGACTTTTTTCCTCCCCTACCTAATGAGCTTTAGGATGTGCATTCAGGCTTCTCTGAGACCTACTGTAAAAAGGGCAGGGGAGAAAGATAGTAAAAAGATAGTAAAACGAGTGCTTTGATAGCACTTTTAAAAAATTCATAACAGGTATAAAAAGAAGTGACAGCTGTTTAGTGTATACATGTGCAAAAAAAAAAAAAAAAAAGAAGATTTGTGGTGCCATAAAGGGCATCAGTCATATGTTTTGCCAAGTATGACTGCACTGCTTCTGATATAATAGCCTTAGTTCTTTCCTTGGCCTTTATCTTGTGAATAATGGATTCAGCTGTTTATAGGTGTCAGTGCATTTGGAGGGAGGAATTGGAAGAATATGATTACCAAATTTGCACTCTCTTGACATTTCCTTGCTGTGTCAGGGGAAGCAGCTTCTTTTATCTGCCTTGTAGTTGGGATTGTTTCCCATTCCCAATGTTTTTACTTGCCAGTCTCTTTTTTCCATAGCCTGGCCAGTCTAAATCACAAATGCACATTTGATGGTATAAGCATTGCTATTATAAAGAAAATCATAACCACTTTATAAACTCACTATCATGAACATATATCTTCTTTTCTATGCCTTATCAATTTTAACATCAGAGGAAAATTAAGGCATGTATTTCCCAAGTATAGAAATGAAATGTAATCTAAATGCAACCTCCAGGCCCATTGCACAGTACGATTTGGTAGTGTGGCTGTTACTAATCCCAGCAGGAAAGCAATTCAGATCATTTAGACTGCAGTAGCTACCCCAGAATGACAACAGTGGAAAGACAGCAAGGACTGTGAGCCTAGGCAACAACTTGTGAGAATGGGCACTTGTAATTCACATCAGCTGAAGAGGTTGTTTGTTTCCCATAAAATGGGAGTGCATTAAAAAATGAAGGCTGTTCCTGATACTCTGTATTGTATCAAGCCTAAATGTCATCTGAGTTTGCGACAGAACTTACAGTTGTGGTGTTTCAAAGGGTGGTTTCTCGGAGAAATGCATGTTTCATACAAGTAAAATTCTTTTATTTTTTTTGAGACAGAGTCTCACTGTCACCCAGGCTGGAGTGCAGTGGTGCAATTGCAGCTCACTGCAGCCTTGACCCCTCAGATTCAGGTGATCCTCCTGCCTCAGCCTCCCGAGTAGCTGGGATTACAGGCATGTACCACCATGCCCAGCTACTGTTTTTTGTTTTTTGTTTTTTTTTGTTTTGTTTTTTTTTTGTAGAGACAGGGTTTTGCCATGTTGCCAAGGCTGGTCTTGAACTCCTGGGCTCAAGCAATCTGCCCCTCTCATCCTCCCAAAGTGCTGGGTTTACAGGCATGAGCCCATGGCACCTGGCTCATTTAAGTAAATTTAACAGCTAAATGAATCAATCCCTTAGGCTGCAGTATTTTTTTTTTAATGTTGACCATGTGAATTTGAAATATTCACATGCATATTGTAACACTTTCCTACTTTCTTAAGCAGAGCTTAGGGAATGTGATTTAACTTTTTGATAAGTTAATCATTATTACTAACATCAGCTATTGAAAAGAACAATTATACTGTGATTCTTCAGCGGGTTGCTGGAGCTATGGCCCTATACCAATTGACTCCAGATTCCATTTTTTTCTAAAACTGTTTGTGTTCCTTCTGCATTTTTTTTTGTTGTTGTTGAGATGGAGTCTCGCTGTCTTGCCCAGGCTGGAGTCCAGTGGCACGATCTCAGCTCACTGCAACCTCCGCCTCCCGGGTTCAAGCAATTCTCCTGCCTCAGCCTCCCGAATAGCTGGGATTACAGGTAAGCACCACTATACCCAGCTAATTTTTGTATTTGCAGTAGAGAGGCAGTTTCACCATGTTGACCAGGCTGGTCATGAACTCCTGACCTCAGGTGATCTACCTGCCTCGGCCTCCCAAAGTGCTGGGATTACAGGCATTAGCCACTGCACCCAGCCCCTTCTGCCTTTTCCTTTGCCATCAAGCTATCAGATGCCAGTACTTCTATCAGTTATCTTATATGCAGATACATTGTGCTCTGTTTTCTTGTTTTCTTCCCCTAGTCGAATTTGTACTACAGAACATCTAGACTCATTTGTGCCTTGTGTAAAGTGTAGAGAGGTTCTGAGAGGGGCCTTTCATTAATAAATCTATGTAATATGCTCAGAACAGTTTCTAATATTTTAGTAGGAGCTTAATATTAACTGCTATTATTATTTCTAGTATTGTTATTATGAATATAATTACTAAAATTCATGCATATATTAAAGATGAATTAAGCAGTGGAAATAAATCCAGTAGTCTTTCCCCTCATCCACGAGTGATATATTTCAAGACCCCCAGTGGATGCCTGAAACCACAAGTAGTACTGAACCCTATAAATACTGTGTTTTTTCCTACACATACATGCCTATGATAAAGCTTAATTTATAAATGAGGTGAAGTAAGAGATTAACAGCAATAATAATAAAATAGGAAAATGGTAATAATATGCTGTAATAAAATGTATCACAAATTGTGACTAACTTCTGCAGTTTGAAGTGCAACAGCAAAACTAACATAAATTTTTTCTCACAATTTCGTGGATAAAATACTTGTTCTTACTGTAGATCTTAGCAACCTCAGCATATAATTTTTCTTTCCTTATTAAGTAGAGAACTTTCTTTTCATTTAAAGGAAGCACTTTATAGCTTCTCTGTGGCATATCTGAATTGTCAGCATCCCTACTTTTGCACATTGGGGACAATATTAAGTAAAATAAGGTTTACTTGAACACAAACACTGTGATACCTTAACAGTAGATCTGATCACCGAGCTCTATTAAATGACTAATGGGTGGGTAGCATCTACAGCATGGATACACTGGACAAAGGAATGATTCATGTCTCGGGCAAGATGGCACAAGATTTCCACATACTACTCAGTCCACAACTGAAAATTATAGATTGCTTATTTCTGGAATTTTTCATTTAACATTTTGGACGATGGTTGATCGTGGGTGACTGAAACCATGGGAAAAAAATCATGGATAAGAGGGGACTACTGTATACTCAAATATGAAATGGCTCAGTCATAATAGAAGTTTATGTCTCATACAGAAGAGTCCAGGTTAGGGTTGAGGTCACCAGGTAGTTATCTTTCAAAGGATGATTCAGCTATCCGGGCTTTTTCCATCTTGGGTTTCCTCTATCACCTGGTATCTTGATGTCATCTGTATCCACCCAGAGGAAGAAGAAACAGATAGATAAATAACGGTGGGAGGTTTTATGGACCAGATCAGGAAGTGCCATACATCACTCGTAATCCTATTGGTTAGGACTCAGTCGCGTGGTCACATCTAACTGCCAGGAAGCCTGGGAAATGTCTAATTCAGTGTCCAGGGAAAAAAGAATGGATTTGATGGATAGATTATCAGTCTCTGCTATGGTGTTTTTGTATAGAGAGTTTGTGACACTTTTGACAATTCCAAAGCTATTTTTTCTTGATGTTTTTTACTGTCTTCAAATTGTACCACGTTTTAAAATTAAAACTAAATATGAATTAACTGCATTTTTTTATAATTAAGCTAATTTTTTTCAACTTTCCTAAAACTATCACTTGAAAATTAGTCTCATTGTGTCATAGCAGTATTTCTGTATCTCCTTATGTAAACATTCTGTGTCAGTTTCTAAGTGGGTACTCTGTATAAAATTAGCATGCAAACAGTGGGCTGTAGAGCAAAGATCTCAGGCTTGGGAGTCATTCAGACCAGATTGTATCCCTGCATTGCCACACACCAATGATAACATCTTGGATGTGATACCTAGCCTTTTAAAGTTGCCATTTCTTAGGTAAAATGCAGATAACAATAGCTCTGAAGGTGTTACTGATGTAACATGCAAATCACCTAGTTCAGTGTTTGCCAAATGATAAGCGTTCAAATGGGTAGGTATAGTTACCTCATATAATATTAAAATAGTAATTAAATGCATATAAATATATTAGCTGGTATTTCATTGAGTGTAGATATGATTGAAGATGTTAATTGACTTAACCTTTGCATTTTTTGGTTTTCAACACCTGATGAGTGATGGGTTCTTTGATTTATTTCCTGAGTAGAATAAACACTGGAAGCATGGCCCACAGCATCTTTGGAACAAGCAGGGGCATTTTGGTACTATGATCTGGGGGGATCAAATCAAATATGATAATAAGTAGTAGGAACTGTGATTAAATAATTTGTACAAGTACAAAAACACTGAAATTTACATGTTTTTTTAAACAGTCTCCTGAAAAGCAAAATATATTTGAAAGTTGGATATGCTGGTTATTAAAATATTGTTACTCAAATTCAAGTGTACCTTTCTACTCTCTGTTTTGTCTTGCTGACCCCAAAACTCTGCAACCACATTCATCATTTCCAGCTGGACACCTATTGACTCTGCCTATGGGGACACTAGAGACCAACTGGGAGGCAGGATAACCAAAAAGCAGGTTTGCTTCCCTTTCCGTGAGCGTTACGTCAGCCATGCTTCTTCATTCAGGCAGCAGCAGTTTGTTTCAAAAGCAGCAGTTGATTCCAAGTTAGAATTTTTCCAACACTCTCAGAAACAGCCTCAGAGCTACCAGCACCTACCAGGTGGACTCCTTCAGAGGCCTGGATCCCAGCCCCACAAGATACCCCTGTAGGCTCCTGTTATAAGAATTCCAACTTCATCCCTTTGCTTCCCATCTCGCTTATGAGCGAGAGCTACTCCTTGAAATTATTACCTTATAATACTTGTGTTCTTTTTTTGCCTTTTCATTTCCCCAAGATCTGGTTTACAATTCTTGACATTAAATCCTGTCTGTTAAACTCTCCAGTGTGGTTTCTCTCTCCTGACTGACTGAAACGTTCATACCAGGAGTGGTATCCTCCAAAAAAATCCCTACAAATGGGATATGGGAATTGCAATACTCATAAATTGATAGTTGACCATGCTTAGGCTAAATACATGTCAATGTGTCTTAGTTTACGCTTGTTTATAGGTGTTGCTTTTGCTGTTTCCAATAATAATGTAAAACGAACATGTTTACAGCATTCTGTACTTTTCTAAGGGCATGCATATGTGTTATCTCATTTAAGCCTTGATTTTGTCTCCGAGGAACTTTACAAATGAGGAAACTCAATCTAAGAGATGCCAAAATCACTCAGTGAGTTAAGTGGAGGAGCCCAGGACTCAGCTTCAAATATTTTAATTACTTTTTCCTGCATTTCAGAAATGCTTTAAAAATACCAGTTGTTTCATTTTAGAGCAAATTTTGTTTTAAATATTAAGACTTCATCCAACAAGGAAACGAAGTGCCAGTTCACCTAGTAAAGGAGAACCATAATTCAATAACTTTAGTTTAGTCCTGTAGCTACAGCTAGCCTCCGAAGGCTGTAATTATGTCTTATTTCAGGAGAGAAATGATTTTTGCCTTTTCCATTTTAAAAGATATTAAATTTCAAAATCTCAGGAAGAAGGAGTATTTAGTGTATTGTAGCTCAGTTTAAACCAATCAAGTGTTAGTGGTAAGAATCTGTTCTTAATTACCCCACTCAAATTGAATAATGTTAGCTTTGCCCCAGGTATCAAAATATCTCATCCTCATTTCTCAGGGAAACAATGAGCTGCATTATGTGAAAGACACATAAAGCCCCCAATTTAAGTTTACTTTGACATAAATAGAGTGTATTTTTACAAATGTGTACAGATCGTGTACATTTTTATGAGTTTGACGGAAAGAAGAACAGTGGGAATAGGGAGATATTTCTAACATCTTGGCTCTCTTTCCAGCCTCTTGAGTCTTTCTAAGGCTTGGCAGGATTATTTTCTTACCACTTAAATACTTGTACGGCTATGACAGCAAGGAAGTCAAGAATCCATATCAAATCCATCTTGTTTTTTCAGATGCAAGTAATCAATCCTAATACTATTTTGATTTCATTTATTAAGAGATATATTTATATAAAGCTTTTAGAAGAAAATTCAGTGGCATAATTTTAGGAAGTGCTTCAATCATATTTGAGAGTCAAAATAATATTTAATTTCAAAAATTAATTACCAGCAGCTATTCTTAAGTTCTCTGCCATCTTGACCACTGTTGGTATTAAGTCCATGTCTGGTTTAACCACTAGGAACACTGTTACCACCTGTAGCCTTATTTGTTGTTGTTCCTTGAAATTTCTCTCTTACTAGCAGCCTAGCAAAACTGATTTAAAATCATTTCTGAAATGCCATGCCCCTTCACAAGAGATGGTCCAAAAGAAAACTGACAGCTCTATAATATATATTGCAATTTAAGTCTCCTAGCTAAATGATCTCCGTTTCTAACAGTGGTTTTTTTTTTTTTTTTTTTGAGACGGAGTCTGTCACCCAGGCTAGAATGCACTGGCACAATCTCAGCTCACTGCAACCTCCGCCTCCTGGGTTCAAGCAATTCTCCTGCCTCAGCCTCCCGAGTAGCTGAGATTACAGGCACCCGCCACCATGCCCAGCTAATTTTTGTATTTTTAGTAGAGGTGGGGTTTCACTATGTTGGCCAGGCTGGTCTCGAACTCCTGACCTTGTGATCCGCCTGCCTCAGCCCCCAAAGTGCTGGGATTACAAGTGTGAGCCATCGGGCCCGACTCCAACAAATTTTATATTCATTTCCCCCCTTTTACTCTTATAATAAACCTTTGATTTGGATATGTTTTGAAGACATGCTTTGGAATGCCACATACACACCAACATCAATGTTTTTGTGTTAGATTATAAACTGCTAGGTGGCAAGAGGCAGTATTTTCTTTTTGCAGTCTAACTTGCCACCCCACAGATAGTAGGCAGCTGTTCGGTGTTTTGATTATGATAATAATTTTAAATAAAAGAACAGACTCTTGTAGAAGTTAAGAATTATTGGGACATTGAGTAGCTTAAATCAAGATCTGTAAATGAGACCAGATTCAAATTACTGACATGGACTTGAACTAGAATTTGGCCATCCTTTCAGTCCTCATATCACTGGTGAAAGACTCCACCAAATATAGAGGCCACATGATGAACCTTGCTACTCAAATCACAGTACAGCAGCGGCAGCATCACCTGGAAGCTTGTTACAAATGCAGATTCTCAGGCAAGTTTCTCAATCTTATATCTTCATTTAAAATTTGATATAAAATTAAAGAGATTTTCTTACATTATATATGTTTTGTTTTTTCTCATTGTTATAGAGTATTAAATAACAATACTTCCTTATAAAAGCTAATGGTGGCCAGGAGTGGTGGCTCATACCTGTAATCCCAGCACTTTGGGAAACTGAGGTGGGAAGATCATTTGAGCCCAGGAGTTTGAGACCAGCCTGGGCCACATAGGGAGACCTCGTCTCTACAAATAATAAAAAAAATTAGTTGAGCATGGTGCTACACACCTGTGGTCCCAGCTACTCAGGAGGCTGAGGTAGGAGAATCACTTGAGTCCAGGAGTTCTAGGCTGCAGTGAGCCATAATAGCACCACTGCACTCCAGCCTGGGTAACAGAGTGAGACCCTGTCTAAAAAAGGGAAAAAAAGCCAATGGTTTTCCTAACCATCTTGTATAGAAAATTGATATTCGATATTCTATTTTGAGGGCAGAGTCATGTCAACGTAATGGTGTAAAAAATACACAGATGTGCAAGATCTTCTGTGTTCTTAGCTACAACCTTAAATTTTTTCTGAATTTTCGGGTATTTTTATTTAGTATAGATCTGATTTTGTGGTGCTCTTGATATGAGATATTCAGCATCATTGAGAGCCAGTTTGTTTTCCTGTAGTTTTGTTCTGACTTGCTGTTTATTTGGAAATGAATCACATTATAAAGTTATCTGTCATTTGCTTTATTTTTGTTCTGATTTTTTTCTTCATGTTCTCATTTCTCACTGATCATTTCCTTGCCTTTGCCCCTTTGTATCTATATTATCTGAACTCATGTGGTCTGGTACCAATTGTTTCAATTAGCAATTAGCTCCTTTTCTGCATTTTCTTCAGGAATTCTTGGACTTGGACACATTCTGTTCCCAGTTTCTCTTGGGAGACGCTGATAAGGAAATTAAATTACCACTGGGTACAATATGTTTTAGCATCACTGTAAATTTCCTAAAAGTCTAATTTTGTTCATTCTGGTTTATTTTGACAATCCTAAAACCAACCATTTCCTAATAATAAACATACAGTGGAAATATTTTTTGTTTGTTTTCTTAGGAAATGAAGTTGTCTTCTGAGTATAAGGCCTAAGAGAAAGATCATTGCCTTATTTCATAGAAAGAGAAAAATTGTAATTCCTTTTCTGTACAGCTTCCTGCTAGTAATTGAGCTGTCAATTATCCAATGCATTGGCTTCATCAAATCCTGATAATCACCACTGAGTGCTAGCTTCAGGTCCCCAGAACCTTCTTAGCTAGCCACGGCCCCAGGGTTTTGCAGACAGTCCTGACCTCCTGCTGGGATATAGACAACTGGGTTAGGGAAGGATCTTGAATTAAAAGATGGTAGGTAGAAAGCAGTTCCAGAAAGTTCCCTGGCAACAGCCAGTGACCACCAAGACAGGAGGAAAGGACCCTGAGCAGAGAACAGGAGAGGCTGGTTGCATTGCCAACACTCTTCCTCAGAAGGCAGAGTCCAAGAGAACATGTGTAAGGGACCTGCCAGGATAGTAAATGTCTGCCCTGTTCCCCTGGAAATGGTTGCTATCATTCCTAGATTTTACGTTTGAAGGAGCTTGTGAATCAACCCAAAAAGTTTGAGAGATTTAAAGATGGTGTATAAGAAGTGTTTTGTCAACCTACACACCTGCTTAACTGGTTTGTGTCTTGGGCATTTCAAAAGAATGCAACTTGCATCATCCTCACTATTTGTAAGGAGAGGTAGAGGTGGGGTAAGGCAATTATGTGTTTACAATATTTGTGTTTAAAGCCTTTTCTGTTCCACCCACCCAACTCTGGGTAGCTTGGAGCAATGGAAAGTATTACCATTCAGGAAACTCTTGCCTCCTTTGGTGCAGCACTCTCTGCTCTGAAGTTTCTTTTACTCAAGAAGAGCCATGTGCCCAAACCAGACGGTTGGAGTAGCTGAGGCTTTGCGTTCATTATCCTACCACTGAGCTACTCCACTTGGAAATAATTGAGAGTTTTCACTAGTTTGAAGATGCTCTGAAAGTATCCTTGAGTTAAAACATTTATTTTAGCAGAAGTAAAAATGATGATCCCATCTTGTAGGGATTTTACTTTGTGCTCCAGGATGTGTAACTTTATATTTTACCGATTGTAAGAAAAACTTCCCACTTGCCACCACCTCCCATTTTAGTATTTGTAAAATCGGGATCCAGCATACAGTTTACAGTTGCAAGTGTTATTGGCAGCAACCATGACATAATTGCCATTCTTTGCATGCATTAATATGGTTGTTATTTCTAGTTGTGTGCCTAGACAACCATGTAAGGATCCTTGGAGGAAAGAAGATTAGGTTGCTGTCGGAACACCTTCTGTTGACACCTCTGGCAAGATCAGGAAAGCTCTAACATGCCAAATGATGGTTGGCAGCTTAAAGATAACAGTGGAACACTCTTTAAAAATTACTGCACTATCATTGCTCTTTATGTCATAGAGGATGATATTGTATAAAATGAAAAGTTATAAAATACTGAGTTGAAAAATAATTTTGGAAGTGTTGGACTCTGAGTATAAAGAAGTTTTAAGAGTACATTAACCAATGTATTTAGCTCAGGTTTCCCTTTTAGTGCTCAAGGATGATAATTACTTTAAAAAATCATTTCTTTATTTCATAGAGAAAAATTTGTAATTCCTTTTCTGTACAACTTCCTGCTAATAATTGAGCTGTCAATTATCCAATGCATTGGCTTCATCAAATCCTGATAGTCACCACTGAGTGCTAGCTCCAGGTCCCCAGAACCTTCTTAGCTAGCCATGTTTTACTAAAAAAATGGTTTTACTTAAAAAAACTGTCTACCTAAGTCCCAGGGAGAAATTTCAAGAAGTATAACATTTAACATAAATATTTAAAAAGCATCGTGTTACCATTTAATTGGCAGTGTTTTCTTTGTCTTAGTAGTACATAAAAAACATTGTGCTTTACTGTTAATGACATTGTAACATCTATAACATTCAGTTAGAAAGGAACAGTAACAATTGGGTGAGTGTGTGGTGCATCTATATGTATTAATATAATACAAAAGATGGCTACTTGATTAGGCTGAACCTATGTGAAGAAGTAGTCAGCATTTCTAATTATGCCTAGTATTCTTCAGTTTTTGTCTCTTCTTTCCTTCTTTGCTTCTTTTCTCCCCTCCCCTCCTCTCCTTTCCTTTCTTTTCTTTTTCTTCTTTTCTTTCTTTCTCTTCCTTTTTCTTTTTTTTCCTTTCTTTTTCTTTCTTTCTTTTTCCTTTCCTTTCCTTTCCTCTTTCCTTTCAAGTCTCACTCTGTCACCCAGGCTGGAGTGCAGTGGCACCATCATGGCTCATTGCAGCCTCAAGCTCCTGGGCTCAAACTACAGCACATGCCATCACACTCAGCTAATTTTTTAATTTTTATTTTTGTAGAGGTACAGTCTTGCTATGTTGCCGAGGCTGATCTCGAACTTCTGGCCTCAAAGAATCCTCCTGCCTCAGCCTCCCAAAGTGCTGGGGTTACAGGCATGAGGCTCCATGCCTGGCCCAGTTTTCATTTTTTTGAAGATAATCTTCATTTATCATTAAGAAGAATCCTGAGAATTCTCTCCCACAGATAATTTCAAGATGTGACTATCTGCTTTCTTGACAGCATTCTATATTTCAGAACATTCAAGTGTTTGACATCTCATTGACTAAACTTCTGCTCTACTAGTTTGTATTCTACCAGTTCATTTTCTCTTGATTGGAAGTAACTGAAGTAACTGCAGTACAGCACAGAGCATCGCACAGAACCCAGGAATGGAATGTAGCCAAGTCTGTGAAATTGTATACTGCAGCAACCCAGGAGTCCCCTTTCCCCTTTGCAAGTAATTGAGAGTTGTCACTAGTTTCGAAATGCTCTATAAGCAACCTTGAGTTTAAAATGTGTGTTTTAGCAGAAGTCAAAGTAATCAGCCACCCTTCCCTTTTTTTTTCCCACTTTATGCAAGTCATGACCTAAGTAATCCCCATCTTTATCAAACAGAAACATCTTATTAAAGTTTACAAAAAAAACGAGTCGAGAATATAGGAAAATAAAGGAAAGCCAGGATACCTGTTTGTCCATCCTCGGTCTACTTAATGTTTTCAGTCCAAGAGCGGAGGTCTATGATGCTGTCTTTTTTTATGATGTGTGCAGAAAATGTAATGACAACCTCCTTAAAGAAAAGGCTTCTGCCTTCTGCTTGATGTCATAACTAGCTTGCATTACACTGGCTATGCAAGAGGATGTGAAGCTACCATTGACTTTGGTAAGTAAATGGTATCTTTGAATTACCTGGCAGTTACCTCTCACCTCTGTTTTCTCTCACACAAACCAAAGCCTGCCTTTAAGTCTAAATGACTCAGTATGCCTTGATAAGAGGACAGATCTCTGAAGACTAGCTTTGTCTTCTATTGCTGCATTACCCTAGGTGATTCATGACAACTGAATAAGGAATCAGACTAGGAATGATATGTTGTGCCAATTTTCCTCTTCCTGATTTTAAATTGAAATTATTGCATAGACAAGAAGTAAGCAAATATAATTTTTTAACATAAGAATAAGAGCAACTTTACAGGTTGTTTCATTAAATTTGTGGGTCCACTAAAGATAGACCAGCCAGAAATCATCCTTTCTGATGCTTTAATAATAATTTTTCTCATTCATTCAATCAACGAACCAGTGTTTTTTGAATGCTTAAATGTGCTAGGCACTGTGCTTAGCACAGGGAATACAGCAATAAACAGGGCAGATAGAGCCCGCGTCCTACAGCATGGCAGAGAACAAACTGTTCAATAAGTAACTAAAATCAAATATGATAATCTACTTCCCAAGTAATAACTGCGCCTGAAGGTGTGTAACAGGAATATGTAACCAAATCTAAGAAGCCACTGAGTCCTCCCAAGAGAGGAACATTTAAATTGAGAACTGAATAAAAGTTCACCAGGAGCATGGCACAAGAGGTTTCTAGGCAAAGCAAACAGCATGTGCACATATCCAGAACAGGAAGAAAGTAAAGCAATGTTCCATGGGCCCAATCAAAGAGCACTCATTCCAATTTACCAGGGACATGTAAGGCCTGTGAGGAAGGTTAAACAATATCCAAAGGCCAAAGGAAGCCAATGTAGGATTTCAAGCATGACTGACAATCAGAGAATAGGATGGATAGGGGATGGATTAGACATGTGGGAGGAAACAGGTGAATTATTTTAGTGGCCAAGGAGAGAGCTGCTGGTGGCCTGAGCTTAGGGTAATGGCAGTGAAGATATAAGTTGCTGAATTTGAAGCAGAATCAACTGTTGGGCTCAAGGAAGAAGGAAGAGCAGAGGATGGCTTTCAGAATTTACCTGGATCATTGGTGGAACAAGTCACCAGGGGAAAAATACACCAAAGAAATTAATTACTTATTTCTATCCTTCCTTGTCCAAAAAATCTTACTAAAATGTGTTACTGAAATCTGTTCGGTATAACAAAAGAAGATATAATCAATAAACAGATGAAGGAAAGAGAAAGTTACAATTGAAGGGTGAAATAAGGTCAGGAGTAGAACCAGCACATCACTGAAGTCTTATCTCCTTTGTAAAGAAGTGTCACATATTTGACACTGAGCTTTCTAGCAGTCCAAGATAGGAGGCAAACATGATTTATAGTGTTCATAAGTGAAATGAAACCAATTGCTTGGAGAGGCTCCATCCTGCCTGATATTGAGACCAAAGAGAAATTTCTCCAATAACTTTTTCTAGAGAGGACACTGTATAATGTCATGAATGGTGTCCTCATCATAAACGCAGTGATAACCCTCATCAGCTCTTTCCTATACAGTTCCCCAATATGGACCAGTACATCTACCAAGATAAAATTAATGGAAAATCAATGTTGTGGGGGAAAAAGGCATTTTTTCATCAGGTTCAACCTGATGTGGTCCAGATTTGTCACTTTATCATGATCTGCCATCTATCCCAGGATGGAATGTGGAGTATCTCTTTCACACCTTGTGTCTGTGTGATCCCTGACTTTTGTTAAACAGTACGTATATACAAATTCTGTGTAATTTATGCCAAAAGGAAAGACCACTTTGTCTGAGCAAAGATATAGCTTTGGAGGAATCCTCCATAGGTGCATCTTCTATTAGTCAAGTTTTTGAAATATACTGCTGGATCAGTAATGAGTTTAAGGTTATATTCCTTGAGAAGTACATGGAGGATAGCTGCTCTGTTTTGTCAGGAAGTGCTAAGCCATGTGCTTTTTCAGCCAAGCTGAGGGTGAAATTAATATCTTGCTGAAGTTAAAGTGTTTAACAATGAGATATGTCTTGGTGGAAGGATACCTGGTTTTGCTTAGCAATGAGCCATAGGAGTAGACCCAGGCAACACAAGATCCTCCCCAGAAAGTCATTTTAGGTCCATTATAATACAGACAAATGGGAATGGAGGTCCCAGAGTTTCCCGTTTTAAGGTATAACTTTAATTTTTATCTCAAAAAAACTTTAAAGCATCTATAACCAAATGCCCACTTTGATCATAAAAAATAAAAATATCAGTAAATAGAGTATCCAGAGAATATACAGCTTTGACCAATGTCATTCCCAGTATAAGCTGAAAAAATATCATGCAGTTTTTTAAAGTTTCCATTAAAATTTTTACCAATATCCCAGGATGTTTAAGCCTAGGAACAGTAAATCTTTATTATTTTTTCATTACAAAGCAAGATAGGAAGATGGGTAGTTCTGGAATGCAATATTATTACAGTTAGATTTCAGTTTGATATCTTGCTTAGTAGATTCCTCAGAATACCTTGGGTTTGAACTTGTTTGAACAGGATGCTTGGTTCTGTTCTATGGTCATCTACTGGCAGTGAGCTGGTGAGGACTGAGGGGTCGGTGGTAAGGAGAATATGCTTTGAAATCAGATTTTTCAGAAGTTTGAACCCTTGTTCCTCCATTTGACCTTGGCAAATTGTCTAACTGTGTTTGCTACAGTTTTGTCAACTGTAAGATGAATGAAGTAGTAGTGTATGCTCCATGGGTGTATTGTGAGGATTAAGCAAAGTAATCGATGTTAAGAGAACTTAGGATAGTCCTTGGTACAGACAATGCTCAACAAACATTGGCTGCTATTATGGGTCTTATGCACCCTGACCCCCATCCATCTTTCAAATGCAGGGTGCAGCACAGGACAGGTGGTAGGTCAGATAAATGGGTGTAACTCAGCGCAGCCTAACACCACAAGTGAAAAAGTGATAAAACAAACAAACAAAAAAAAAACAACAACAAAAAAAACACTGCTCTTGTGTCAATACTAAGGAAATTAACTTTATATTTGAAAACCTACTCATTTGTTCAGGTATAGCAAATGGCTACAATAAACATTCAGATGGACTTTCTAATAGACTATAAGATGCCTAGAGCTGGTGGTCTGTATTTTATCACCGAAAAATGAATGGGCATTTGCACTTTTAAAAAATCTGATTAGTAGATAAGTGAGATAACATGTGAGACTGTGGACAATCAGGAAGTAGAACAAGGGCTGGATGAAAGGAGAAGTGATGGTTTGATGGATATAGAGCACAAGGAGAGTTTAGAGTGCCCCCCAGCTCCAAGGCATGCAGTTTTAAAATCATCCATCACAGGAATTGGTATGCCTAATCCTGAGATCCTGAGTGTGCAGGACAGGAATAAAGTGTGCATGGGTGCAAGGAAAGTGAAGGACTTGTGGTCTCAATCTCCCAGGAATTCTTAATACTATATCAGGGTTGCAAACCCAAATTACCACAGGAACCAGATAGGTAACATCAAGAGGCTGGCAGATGAAAGACGATAAATGGCAACTGACATTTGGACTAAACATTGGAGAGACAGTAGAGAGTAGTGACGACTGTAAAAAACTGGAGATTACATACTCCTTTTAAAAGGGGCAGCTGTTACTCAGATCCAGTGACTTGTTACCATAAGGGAAGGTAGGTAGAGTAAAGCCATGTCCTCCAACTTGTCAAGAAAAACAGTAAACACCATCTTTTAAAAAATGTTTAATATCTCTAGTTATAAACTTTAACCAGTTAAATGTAAAACACTGTATGGGTCAGTACTATCAGCCAAAAAGAAATATAAATATATATATAAAAATCTCTCTCTCTCTCTCTCTCTCTCTCTCTCTCTCTCGATATGCCTATTAGAGTATAATTTTCTGAATGTGCAGTTCAACCACTTCATACTGGAGGTAAGTTATATATTGTTAACTAAAGTCTAAAATTTTGTCAGTCAAAAATGGATCTTAATGATATCCAGAATTTGGGAAAATGGCTGAAGATGACCCAGCAAATTCCATGAAGATGAATGACCTACGGAGACTTCATAAGCAATATGAGGCTTTTTGTCTTAAAGATTTAGATCAGGAATCCTCACATCATTGCCCTTTGGCCGAATCTAGCTGGCTGCCAAAGTTTCACTGCAAATAAGCCACACCCGTCATTGACATATTGTCTATGGCCACTTTCCCATGGCAGAGTCAGAACTGAGTAGTCGCTACAGAGATCCTGTGGCCCACAGAGCCTATTTATTATCAGACCCTTTACAGAAAAAGTTGGCCAGCTCCTGATTTAAATAAACATAACCCCAAACTGGTAATATAATTTGAAAAGTGCTGTAACAGAAGTATGGATGCTTGAATTCACATGCATGTGTATAAAGTGGTGGGAAAGCCTGAAGAAGGGGAAGGATCACTATTTCTGCAAGCCAGTGAGGAAGGCTATACTGGAAAGATCATTTCTGACTTAAGTCTCAAAGGGGAGGGCAGAGTTCCCCAGGTGGAAAAGGGAGAATTTTCAGGCATGACATGTTTGGATCACAGCTAATGATTTAAGCTTATAGAAGACAGGAGATATAAGAGGGCTTAAAACTCCCAAGAATAAACCAGAGAAGCCATAAAGAACATTGCTCACCTCCTTTTCAGTTTTCAGAATTTCTAGCTTCCTATTTAGATTTTTAAAGAAAAAAAATAGCTTCTTTGATTCAACTTTAATAGTTGGAAAATGTAACACAGTTAATTGATGTATAAACAACCCAGTAAAGATGGATAATGAATATGGTGCAAAAGAAAAATATCCCACACCAGTCTACGTTTTCACCTCTGTTGAAAACAGTGGACAGTGAGTTTTGGCTTAGCAAGGTATTAGAATCCAATGTGTAGGTGGAATGGGGATTTGCTCTTCCTAAGGGTAGTTTGCAAAGAATATTTTTTTATGTGTAATGGTATTTTGGATTTGGTATGTATTTTGATATCCAGTAACTTGTACATAGGAGGTGTTTAGTAAATACTTGCTGAATTAATAGGCTACTCAAAATAATTTATGTTTTTTAAATTTCTACACATTTATTAAGATTTATCTATTGAACAGTCAACTCCTAAAAACACTAGGAATAATAACCTTGCAGGTATTTGAAGACCATTTGGAGGTTCATTGAGCTTTTTGGAGGATTATATCCCAGAGGGGACCTGTCACGTTCTTCTACTTTCTTCCTCATTCTTCCTTGTATATCTTAGTTCAGCCCTAAGAAAAGCAGCGCTGTATTAGGGAAACCCATACCTCATTCTGATTCAATGTGACATTCTCTTATACTTCTTTGAAAGTCATTCAAAAGTTGAGTCAATGTATCAGTTAGGATAATGTTAATTGTTCCAACACAGAAACCCACAACGCAAATAAGATCAGTTTCAATGCCAGATCTCACACTACACCCCTTTCAATGATGGCATATCTTTGTGAAGCTGTTTTTCAGCAATTGTTGTGATTTGAAAAAGCAAGTATTTTGCAAAAATCAGTGTTGAGGTTGGTGGTATTTGAGAAGTTGTGCGATGCTTAACAAATGGACAAATTGTATTAGTAATGATTAAGAATAAAATGCAAATATTTCTCTCAATTTCTGTTATTGTTTCAAGTGCTTACTAGATCATCAGGACATACTAAGTTTTTTTGAAACTAACTGCTTTTAAATTGAATCATTAGCTATTTCTTTTGGCCTAGGGGTACTGTGGAAAGATTATTGAAACTTTACAGTGCCATGAACTGAAGTTTGGGAAGCTCTGCTCTGGGACATTCTTATATGCAGAATGCATGGTTAAGGCTGGCTTGTGGGTGTGTCCATGCTCAGACTTACGGCAAGGGACAGGAAAGTATGAGGGGGACAAGTTAGCTCTCTTGAAGGTCCCCATCTGGTACTCTGATATCACTTTCCTCATGTTCTAGCTCTATTA
Source organism: Homo sapiens (assembly GCF_000001405.40). Classification (NCBI taxonomy): domain Eukaryota; kingdom Metazoa; phylum Chordata; class Mammalia; order Primates; family Hominidae; genus Homo; species Homo sapiens. Next base: position 25,122,656 of record NC_000003.12, read on the forward strand.
GTGAGATCTTGGTTAAATGGTCTTAAGTCACGGCAAGTAAGGCTGGAAAATGTAATGTGGCTAGCCAACCAGGGACCAGGCATGTACAGAAGACGGAGGATGGATTTTGGTGGACATCTCAATCTCAGCTGCAGTCCACCCCTCTAACCACACACAGAATATTCTCACATTTCCCAAGGGAAGAAACCCAAAATGCCCCAAACGGTTATAACATTCAAGATCTCTGGTGATGCTAAATCCTTTCCATCGGGTCTGGAGTTGGCACCTTGTCATCTTGACATTTATGTCATAAAAGGCAAGTTATCTACCCCACTTCGCCACAGCACATGTACACAGTGGTGACTCAGGAATGGTATAACTTCATTAAAAACTGCTGTTCTGATGAATGGCAACAATTCAATTCTCCTGCATGAGCATTGAGGTACACTTTGACTTGGCACTTGGGGTGTCGGCAGGGAGGAGTTTCATAACTGTTTTCTGCTGTCCAGGCAAAACTCCCTTTCCAGTTATTTGCTATGGCTTCTGGCTCCATTCATTGACAGGTTTGTCTGTGCTTCTCACCTTCCATTACTTTATGTGTGGTCTACTTTGGGAAGTGTGTTTCACAGTTTCATTTCTATTGGCGTCAATTTTCAGGACTGAGCATCTGTTTAGGGGTGGAATAGTCATAGAATTTTGTAGGCTGCTCCTGTGGTTTCTTTGGCAATATGATTTCCTCAAAATCATAGTGGGCTTCTCCTCTATTTGTGCCCATTAACTTCCTTGTGCCAGTAACTACACCCAGTGTTCTTCACTAGACATATTTCACCTTTGTTTCTTTTCTACACATGTATCTCTTTCACACTGACAGTGGCTATATCAAAGCCACTTGAAATATTCCCCTGTGGGAGAAAAGCAACAGTTGTATCACCTTTTCTAATCATATAACCTAACACCTAATTGCTGGACTATCCTCATTCCCTTATGTTTCTCCTTGCAAACTAAAAACTTCTTGTTTAAGCTCATCTCTTTCTTGTAATAGCTCATGAAAAGCAGCAGCAAGGAGCAGCTCACACCCAGTATTATTTTGCTGCCTATTTTTACCCTCTTCTAGTCATAGGCTTAGCGTTTGAAAATCTATCTTTTCAACCACGTTATCTAGAATTGCTTTTTCCTCTCCCTCATCTACTATCTCTAATGTTCTTCACGTGGCTATGGGAGAAGCTCATTTCCTGTTGTCTTCTCCAGAACTTTCTAAAAAGTCAATAGCAAGCATCTGCTCATATCTTATTGGCCAAAGTATCTCAGTCCTGAACCAGTCTGTGTCAAAGATAACTTTGGAATACTCAGATACACCCCTTAGTAAAGGGAAATTCTCCAAACTATGTTACCAGTATTATGTTGCCAGTACTCACCCGGGGAGGGAGTGGAAAGGATGTTAATAAGAATGTGAGTCCAGGCCGGGCGCGGTGGCTCACGCCTGTAATCCTAGCACTTTGGGAGGCCAAGGTGGGTGGATCACGAGGTCAGGAGTTCAAGACCATCCTGGCCAACATAGTGAAACTTTGTCTCTACTACAAATAAGAAAAATTAGCTGGGTGTCATGGCAGGCATTTGTAATTTCAGCTACTTGGGAGGCTGAGACAGGAGGATCACTTGAACCCAGGAGGTGAAAGTTGCAGAGAGCCAAGATCATGCCACTGCATTTCAGCCTGAGTGACAGACTGAGACTGTCTCAAAAAGAAAGAAATTGTGGATACAGCCCTTTCTTTATTTCCCGAACTTTCTTAAATGGTCTTCATTTCTTATATAATGAAAAAGTACACTTACCATGTTAATAGGTATTTGATCCTGTACTGGGAATTTTATGGAATGTACATGCAGGTCCCTCTTCACACCCTTTCTGGGCCTAATAGATCGGTAGAGTCAAAATGACTGTTACAGAATTCTTTTCCCCTTGGAAACAGCAGTATTTCAGAAATTTTTTCTAAATATTTCTTCAAACCTTTGTCTTGCTCCTTGTGAACCTGTTAAGCATATCCGCTGAAATGCAGCTTTGAGGTTTTGACCTGGAGACAAGTTGAGATTGAGGTATTTGCTTTCTTTTCCCATTTGATTTATGGTCCTTATTTGTAGCACATTGGTTTTATTTGCCTCATGTTTGTTGTCAGCCTAGCTGCAGCCGTGTTGTAGACACTATACCATTGGTCACCTATTTCTATGTTCCTTATGTATTTTTACAATAGATTGGTCTTTTCAGGCTTCTTTTTCAAAACATGTAATTCATTTGGTTAATATAGAAGAAGGCAAGTGATTTTAAGGGAAATTTTGTTACTAATGACTTATATAAAACTTAACTGTTTAGCAACTGATAAAAATTCTTGATTGAGATCATCTAGTTTACTAGTAACAAAAATCAGAAATGAAATACAACAGTTAGAAACTATTAGACCAGCTTAGATTTAAAGTGGGAGGCCTCAAAAAATATTGATTTTTTTCTAGACAAACACACTCTACCCAGACACATACTGTTGCCAAGTGAATGAACAAATGAATAAGAGATTCAGAGAAAGACGAAGTTTAATCAGGGCATCTGAAATAAGAAGGAGGTAATCAGTGGAGCAGAGAAAAGATTTTGACAGTTTAACACTTTTGTGTATTCATTCAACAAATAGTTATTATTTGCCTGGGAGGGTACTCCACTAAGCAGCTGGTATTTATTGGAGAGCAAATCAGAGCAGCCTCTGTTCTCATGAGGACCGTTCTAATGAGAAGACAGAGCACAAGCAAATAAAGACACACAAAATTGCAGCGTGTCTTAAGTGCTATGAAAGGAAAGTACTAGGGCGTATGAAGGAATAACCAGGGCAAAAATTGATGTTCAGTTGGGTAGGCATGAAATGTTTCTCTGAGGAGGAGGCATTTAAACAGTATTGCTGGATTCAGATATTTAAAAACAAGGGGAAAGAAGACATAATAAATTGAATACTCTGACAGTGGGATTAAATCTCCATAATCAGAAGCATTTTAAGGAAAGTTCACCTCTTTTGTCTTTAAAATTGTCAATGTGGAAACTTCTCAATCAGCAACTTTTAGTAGCTCTATATGCACATAATTCAAAAACACCTAAGTATTATAGGTGTTCAATAAATACTTGTTGATTTGAATTGAACTTTGATTAATAACCCCTCTGTACAAACCAATACAGTGATATCAGCACCACTGCTCTGGAAAACATCTTGATTTGGTTTTTAAACAGCTGGCTTTTGCATTCCATTTTTAGGTGACTTCTCCAGGCAGGAAAACCAGACTGAGGGTGGGAGAGAGGGCAGTGGCCTTCACAGTGAGGTTCCCCTGAACTCAAGTAAGAAATTAGCTCTGTATAAATGGTTCCATTCTCAATAGATTCACTGCCAGTTGAAAATGTAGTTGAGTACATAGATTTTTATTAAAATTTTTTGCTGCTCTAGTGTGTGTGATATATTGAAGTGCTGGCTCCTTTGCCTTTTTTTCATTAAAAACATCATAAAACATTTAGGGGTCTGTGCAGAAATTGCTGTGACCTCCATTTATAATTAAAGTAATGTTTCCTTTAAAATATTACTGGAGAGCAGTATTTCTGACCACAAAACCCTGAAGCCTGGTAACCAGATTTGTGCAGATTTCCATTCTCTTGTGTGCAATTACTAAAATAATGGGAAAGAAAGACCACTGGAAAGGGAAAGAAATCTAGTCAGGTGATTTGAAGCAAGCTTACAGAAACTGCTTAGTATTTTGTTATTGTTATTTTTCCAGTGAAAACAATCTCTTTTTTTTTTTTAAAGGTCACTAATGCTAAACAAGCATGGTGCTTTTGTACCTTTCTTAAAACGAAGGATACGCTTCCAGTCTGCTAGAATGTCTCTTTGCACCTGCATTTCAAACTTTCATGTGCACATGAACAAAGCAGATTCTGATTCAATGGGTCTGGAGTGGAGACAAAAATTATCTTTCCAGCCAGGTGATGCAGTGCTGCTGGCCCCAGACAATGCTTTAAGTAGCAAAGCTCTTGGCAATAACTTTCATCTCCTGAAAAGCAAACTACATCACTGATCAATGGAACACCAGCTTTGTGTTTATAGTCTGGCTAGTTTTCACCATGTCATGGACAATTTCTTTTGAATAACTTGCTAGAGTCTCTCACTTGAATTACTCAGCATGTGTTTTCTTTTATCTGAGAATTAGTCCCAAGGGCAACTAAAAGGCAAGGTAAAACCTTTAGTCATCCTTGATATTCCCTCTCCTTCACACACTACATTCAATGCAACTTCCATCAAATGCAAGTTCTTCACACACTACATTCAATGCAAGTTCTATCAAAATCCACCCCACATTCATCCTGTTCTCTCCATCTCTGCCACACCACTCCAGTCAGGTCCATCATCATCTTTCGCCTGCATCAGTAGACTCCCCTAACTTACCTCCTACCTGTACTATTGCCCTACAGGAACCAGGTGATCTTGGAAGAGTATAAACTGAACTATGTCACACTCTGCTTAAAATCCTCCAATAGCTTCTCGTTTTCATAGAATAAAAGCCAGACCCATGACTGTGGCATACAAGAGATACCTGATCTGGCCCTGCAAACCTCCCTCACCTCTTCCCAGGACCTGTCACTACTGGGCCTTGCCACGGCCCACCAGCCTTCTATCAACTCCTTGAACTCAGCAGGCCACGCTCCTTCCTGCCTTGGAGCTTTGCATTCGTGCTTCTCTCTGAAAAGCCTTTCCCATGATGCTGGTGTCTTCTCATTCTGGCAGCTCCTCAAGGCCCTTTGTAAATTAGCTGTGTCCCAATTTTTCCGTATTTCATCTATCGGCTTTGTTTCCTATTTAGCCCTTACCACTGTCTGAAAGTACCATTTTTTGCATCTGTTTACGTGTTCATTTTCTGGCTTCCCACTACCACACTAGGTTATAAGCTCCACAGGGGCTCCATGTTTAGTAAAGGGGAGGAGAGTGATGGGGAAAGGGGAAGAGAGTGGGAGGGAGAGAAAAGAAACGAAGGAGCGAAGGAGGGAGGGAGGAAGGCAACCCAGCTACCTTTGATCAAAATGTGCCCCGTGTTTCAATTTGATACTGAGTGGTACTAGAAATTATTATTTTCCCATGGTCTAGGGAAGACAGCAATAGAAATTATATATAGTTTAAAGGCCTAAAAATATATATACATATATTTTTACGAAGAGTAGTTCACTTCTGTGTTGAGTTTTAGTAACACCATTAAGTTTCATTTTGAAAAACAAAAAAGCCACCATTTGGGTACATGTACATAAGGATGACCCTCCTAATGAAGTTCCTCCACTATGGCAAATGCATCTGATAGGTTTCTAAGCTGGCTGTAGGGGACGAAAAGCAAACATTTGCTAACCGGTTGCCTAAGGCTGGAGTGGTTTGTTGTCACAGGGAAGAATAAAGTACTCTGGTTCACTGGGGTATTTAATTCCTGCTTTTCTTAGGGGTTCTAACCTGCTGACCATGCATGACAAGGACAGCAGAATCACTGCAAGTAACTGGGTACATGTAGTGTGTGCAATGAATGTGCATTTTGGAATCTCCTAAGTCAAATCTTGGCTTAGTTATCTGACTCTGCAAAAGCATCTGAACCTTCCTAAACCTCCTTATTTTCAGCTGTAACATGAAAATAAGAATCTTTGTAAGGTTTTAAAATCATGTATATAAAGTACCTAGACTTACATGAAATTATATATTTCTATATATTATAATTTCAAATAATTATACAAAATTATATTTTATAAATTATTCATATAATTTATATATTTCTAGTATACTATATACTAGAAATATATCTAGTATATAATATATACTAAAATATATTTATCACTTTTTTTGTACTTTTGGGGACATGGAATCCTACACAATTCCAGGAGGCAGCCTTTATTTTGCAATCCATGTAATTTGTGTAACATTTACATTTTACCTTTGTGAGTGGGGGAGCAGCAAGTTAGGGCACATTATTTTATATGAAAAGTGATATAAATGGTCCCCGTGTAGTTATACAAGGAGGCATGCCCTGTTTAACTAGATACCTAGGACAGTCCTCTCAATGAAAACAACTAAATATTCTGGGAGAGTTTTAGGTTAATCACTGAAAAAAAGAATGATGAACTCGAGGAAATTTTAAGGAAGAGATATAGAAAAAAAATCAAACATTGTAATAATAAAAACTCAATGAGTGAATCAATAGAAAATTAGAATCTGTCGAAGAGAGGATTAGTTAACTGGAAGCTAGGTTGGAAAAAATAACATAATTAGCTGTGGAAGTCAAAATGATGACATCCAAAACTGAAATTAAAAAACATAGAGTAAGAAGTTCCAATGTAAGTTCTAATGAGAAACAGCCCATATCTAGAAAAAATAGTGTTTAACCCATTCTAGAAATTCAGTAAATAAGAATTTTATGTTTGGTAGATAATTTTTCTTTTTTAAATCATTAGACTGCATGTGTTTCTTACTGTTTTATTGGTTGTAAGGAATAAATTATTGAAGCAGAAGACAAGTCTAGTGGAAAAGAATTATTTCAATTTATTCCACACTCTATCAATTTTTTGTTTGTAAATATTAGAACCCATGATTTCTCTTTCTGAATTTTCATACAAAGGTAGATTTTTATTTTTCCACAATATATATTTTAAAGCATCAGTTACAATTACAGTATGTCTTTTTTGTGTGTGAAGAAATGGTTTCAGGTTTCCTGAGCTTCCTTTATTTAAAACAAAGTTTGGAGCATAAATGGATAAAATGAGATTATGTAGGTTCAATTTGTATTGAAATAACTTATCTCAAGACCAAGTTGAAATAGATTCAATAGCCTCATTTAAACTTACATTTAAACTTACTTTCACTTTAACCCTTCAATATGTCTAAATTATAGTCATAGACTACAAAATATTTTATCTTCAATAAGCATAAAATATCAGAGTATGACTCATCTCTATCATCTGATTGGTATTTAATAAATATTTGTTGAATGAGTGAATTAATGACTACTATAAATTTCTAAAATACTATGAATTTTAGAAAAATTCATGAAAAGTTTAAAAATGAAAGCATGTTTTTGCATATGGTTGGAATTTTCTGTTTACCTAAATGTTGTAGCCATCATTTGTCATTATTTTGGTATTAACTATACACCTTTTGGTGCAGAGTGATGGAGGAAGAAGGTGATTAGAAATTGTTTAGGAGTGTTTTTGGCTGATTAAAAATTTATTTTTACAGGATTTCATTTCAGAAGCTCTCTTATATAGGCTTTCCTTCACTAAAACTGCTTCAATCCTCATAATCAAATCTTTGGATTTGAAAACTCAGCGTGGAGTATCTTTAGGAAGACCCTATTAAAGACCTTGTTGAAGCTTGATTACCTTAGTATGGGAAACTATAGGCAAAAATGTTCTTTTCATTTAAAATAAGACTGTGCCATAGGACAAACAGGAACATGACAGGCCTCTTTTATGTATGCTATGTTTTGTTCATTTACAGGTAGGGGAATAAAGCAACTATTCCTTCACTAGCACCAGTCTTTACTGAGGACTTTTACACATGGTTTTCACTGTCTTGGAAGTCTTTCCCCTCTAGTGGAAGCTGCCAAAACCCTACTTGTCTTTTAGGGCTCAGCTAAAATGTCACCTAAACATACAGCGTTCCCTGAATTCTCTCAGCTGAACTTCATTAGAACATATGCTGTGTTTTCCCCTTTGTGACTAACTCTGACAAATAGAGGCTGAAGAATTGTTCTAAGGAGCTGTGTTCCTATATAACTTTTCTAGCAAGACTGAGCATGTTGTCATTTTTTTTTAATAAAATAGTGGCCAGATTAGTAATGGACCACCTTGTATTTACTCTCTTTCCTTCCTGGCGCACTGCATTTTTTTCTCTCACTCTTGCAGCCCTGGATTACATCTCCTATTAATCCTTAGTATATTTGAAACAAGAGAGGGACCTGGGTGTGGGGGAATTTGCCTTCTGTGCTCCAATTCAACCCTGAGCATTGTGTCACTTTTTATAGTTACTGGTATGAATGTCTTGCAGGAAATTCTAAGAGGCCAAAACACTGTCTCACTCATCTTGCTATCTCCTGCAGCCTCATCCTTGCATACAGAAACTGCTTGATCTGGAAATTTTGAATTAATGAATTGTTCATCTCTGCTTCCACCTCATATAATATGTCAATGTGTCATATTATCAATATTTATTATTGATAATATCAATATTATTGATAATATTATCAATATTTATCATTGATAATATCAATATTTATTATTGATAATATTATCAATATTTATTATTGATAATATTATCAATATTTATTTATTATTTATCAATGAAATTATATATTTTATCAATGATCTTATCAATATTTATTATTATTTCTTCCAAAACTCTCTGTTTATGTGGAATCAACCTCTTTGTCTTCTGAAAATCAAGCTTCAAGGGAAAGTCACTTGAGATCTTAGGACATGCCCAGAAATCAAACCCAAAAGTTATGCAGAGTGAGGTGCCTACGGAATAAGCCAAGTTTTAGGCAAAATTCACAAGCTTAGAGCCAAGGACAACATGACTCAGTTAAGGTTTACTGGCTTCCCCTGAGTTCCTAATCATTTTGTGTTTAGCTGGAGTCATTCGCTCTTTAACATGAAGCTCTTCAGTGACTTGGCTCCCTTTGCAGATATCGCACTAGAAATAATGGACTTTGGAAAATAGTCTTGGCAAAGCCTTGTTTCTTTTTAAACATTTTGATCAGATGTAGGGTTTTATAGTCGTATTGTTTGTGAAATGCCTTTTCTGTACATTTTTATCATGGCAGTGTTTATGTTGCATGTCTAATTAGCTTCAACATACCAGATGAATTGTTTAAACCTGTCTGGCATGCTATAATTTCTCAAAGTTTCTCATTTGCTGAAAAACATATATACATATATTTGTAAAAGGTTTAGATTTCAGGAATCAAAAAGTCTATGATGGATCCTATTCACCATAGGAAATATATCAAGGCGGAGAGAGAGTGAAGCCATTTGCCACGCTGTCCAGTGGGAGAAGAGACAAGGCCCTAAAGACTTTAAATTCTAATTTGAGAATTTGTGCCAAGATTGATAGTTCTTCTCCCCACTCCCAACCCCTCCCCAAAATTAAGGGCAACAAAATACCAAGCTGAGAAGTTTTTCACCGTTACTAGCACAAAATCTATGTGGGATAGATAAAGGCAGAGGAAAGTGTGGGTTCTTGGAAGAAAGAATAAAAGGGATCAGGGGTGCAAAAGAAGGTGAGATTGGTGAACAGGGTGGGTTGAGGCCAAGAAAATAAAAAGCAGGAGTCTAAAGAGTGTGGCTCCATTGAGAGTCAAGTACTTGTCTGCTACAAATTTCTTTCTTGACACATCTTGACACATTACACCATATTGTAAAAAAGTTTACAAGTGAAAAGAACCTAAGCGATGATCTAATCCCAGTTTTTCCTCTCTTCTCCTCAAGGAAGGCTTCAGTCTCTTCCTTCTTTCAACTTCTGCTTGAATCCAAGTGGTAAGTCTTTCCTGTACCAAGGTGCTCATAATCATGGGAAAAGCATCTATGTTTAATAGCAGCAATTGCTATTATAATTATAAATAATAATAGCACCTTTGTGCAGTAGCTTGCCGTCTTGTGCTTTCATGATATTATTGCATTTGAACATCACAACAACCTTAGGAAACCCAGCAGGAGATTTTAGACACAAGTTCACAATTAACTCGGCATCCAAGAATTTTGTGGCTTGCCCATATTAACACATTTAATAATAGCAGGAGCTAGAATCCTTATTATGAGAATCCTTATTATATGCTAGGCATTGTGCTAAGATGCGTTCCCTGTATTATTGCAATTGATTCTCTCAAAAAACGTTATGCTTGGCACTTTTATGGAAGTAAAAGATGATGAAATGAAAACATGTAAACTAATTCATCCAAGAATTCACAGATATTAAGCAGTAGAGGATTAATACAGCATGGTGACTATAGTTAATAATAATTTATATTTCAAAATAGCTAAAATAATGGCTTTTAAGTGTTCTCACTACAATGAAATAAGTATTTGAGGTGATAAATGCATTAATTAGCCTGACTCCATGATTCCACAATGTGTATATGTATCAAAACATCATATTGTACCCCATAAATATATATAATTGTCAATTAAAAATAAAACTTTAAAACATTTTTAAAAATAAAATTAAAGCCTTTGGAAAAAAGATCAAGGACTTACTCCATATTTAACTGATGCTATCTATGCCATGGTATTTTATCAAATTTAAGACAATTTGACTATAAAGTACACCATTATTTTATACATCAATAAAAAGTTTTACAACTACTGCTGGTTAAACAATGGCACGATGCTTTCTTATTGCTCTGAGTTTTCATTCTTAATGTTGAACGAGTTCTTTTAGATTTAATTTAGACATTTTTATCACGTCATCCTTAACCATATGTAAAAGGGGAAGTATACGTGAAATAAATTTATTAAGATGTTCGTAAATATCTTAAACATTTAACTTGAACGTCTCCACATTTAAAGATGGACTCTTCTCAATTACTTTTCAATTCAGAATCACTGATTATTTTCCCTAAGAGTAGCATTCTTTGTGACATTAAAAACATGGTTATGGAGCATTTCTTAAAAGAGTGCTCCACTGCTTTTGCCGGGATATTTTTTTCCAAGCCTATGATATCCACTCTGCAAGTTTTTGGTTGTGCACTTAGGCAGTGACAATCTCATCAGCACCCTGGAGGATAGTAACTGTAAGCACAAATATTAAAAGGGAAACAAATATGCAATTTAAGATCAGTGACATGGTTTACTGCTTCCTTGGTTTGAGGCAAAGCTAGGAATAAATCCCAGGTGCTTATGCCTTAAGTTATCTCAAAAATGCATTCTAATAAGTCAGCCTTTTTTTCTTAACTTTATACCTATTCTTTAAAATGTGTTTTCTGTGACTACACATAATCCACTTTGTTTTTCAATACAGCAGGCTTGTAAAGATTCAGAAAGGAGTTTCACTAAAATATAAGAGTTTTTGGCAAAGCTGTACACACATATGCAGACACGCGTCCAAGACAAAAGGTTGATCGACACTGATGAAAACAAAAAGTATGTGTGTGACACAAGGAGGGGGGAAGGATTTAAGAAAAATGAGTATAAAAGTCATAAATATGTTGATCCAGCTGTGAAGTTAATTAAATATTACAGTCCTGTTTGAACAAAAACAAAAACTGAGATTTCCTGGAGAGTACTGTTTTCATTAAAAAAAAAAAAAAAAAAGACATTTGCCATGATTTAAAAGAACACTGCTTTCTTGCAGCAATTCCTAACAATGTGCTCTTCTATTTTTTGTTATATTTTCTGTTTAGTTCCAAAGTTAGAGAAGTAAACTAGTTGTATGGCATTTTGTTAACCGAATCTCTTTGGTTACTGGAAATTTACTTATTAGCTTAGTAAAACCTGTTGCTCTTAATGAAAATCATAAGATCTGGTAACATTTAACTGTTTTCTGAGGCAATAATGATATATTAAATAATATTTAGTAGAGTGTTGTAAGAGTTAATGGGAAATCTTTAGTCAAAAATTCAGAAGTTCTTAAATGGCACATAGGATATAGGAGGCTGAAATAGTGAAGACACAGGTTCTAGAGCCAGCTGCTTGGGTTTCCATCTAGGTTTTGCTGTTTATTAGCTGAATCACCTGAGTTAGTTTTATTTATTTTCTTTTAAGTAAACCTTTTCTGGGGCTCTGCTTCTGATCTGCAAAATAAGGATAAAATACCTTCCTAACAGGTTTATTGTGAGAATTAAATGAGCTAAAACGTGTACAGTTCTGGTACATAGTAATCATTCAAAGGTGTTAGCTAGGATGATAACGTGATACTATCATATGTGCTTATTCTCTGTCAACTAAAATATTTTTTAGTTCCCTGAAAACTTGATTCTCCATTCTTCTCATCAATAGAATATTCTACATTAAGAACAAAAAAAATGGCTGTAAGATCCAGAATGGATTAGAATTGAGTGATTTATTTTTTCAAACAGGGTTTATGCTCTTTTCTCAGTTACCATGTTCATTATGGAAGAATGAGAATGTAGCTAGGAATGGATCTGACCTTAACCGTCACTGCCTCTACCTGGTCTAAATCGTGAAACGAGCATCACATCTCAGGCTTTCTTGCTGCTGCACAGACTTTTTCCCCATGAGTAGATTTGTGTTCCATGAATTTCAAAGTTACTAATATATGAAGATTAAACGCTACTTATGATGCCACTGTTTAAAAATTACATAGTAAGCATTTGGAAAAGGAATAATAAAGGTCCTTTAGGTCCCATCATTTCTTTCCTTTTCCCTTTTTTTTTTTTGGTCTGAGTTTAATAGGCCTAGGACCATGCTTCCCTGAACTCTTTGAAGCACACTATCCAGAAAAACTTTCTGGGGTGGTAGAAATTGTTTCGATCCATCGATAGAGTAGCCACTAGCCAGGTGTGGCTATTGAGCGCTCAAAAATAGCTAGTGCAACTAAGGAACTGATTTTTAAATTTTATTTAATGTTAATTAAAGTTTAACTTTAGTTTCAATTTAATTTCATTTTAATTTAAAATATATGTGGCTAGTGACTACCATATCGGATGACACAATTCTAAAGCGTCCTTCATATTACTTCTATTTCCTTGGGAATTATAGAAATAACCCCATTTACCTGGATATCTGATATTTAGGAAAGGTAAGCTTTAATCTGCTAGCTGAAAACCAGAGATGAGTAAGAAAAGCCTTAGAATGGCAAATAGACCACGATTATGCTACAAAATATTATGTTGCAAATGATTTGTGGTAATGTCAAAGTGTTGTTCTCAGCAGGATAGGTTGAGCCACTCTGGGACTCTTGTCTGAACAGTTGCGTGCAACATAGCCAGAAAAGCCAGAAACACATTGATGTCAGTGAGAAGACATAGCTAAATGGTAGGAAGAAAAGAGCAAAGACTTTTTTAAAAGCAAGTAGTGCATTAAGTCATATTTTTTAGACAGGCAGTGTATGAAACACAAATAAAAATGAAGTAAAACAGAAAAAGTAGTCAGTAGAACTATAAGGACATATCAATCAGGCACCATGCACCAAGGCAAAAAGCTCAACTTAGGGCAAACTCCAGAGAATGTCACAACATCATGAACAGTATTCATAATCTTGAAAGTAATTTGTCAAGAAAAGCTTATCTTTGTAAAATTCCTTTCATTAAAAAAAGAAATATAAAATTTTAAATGTTATACAAGAAGATGTTTAAGAAGTCTTGGCATTTAGAGGAATAAGCAACATTCACATGTTGAACAATTCCTTATCTGACCCAACCTTCTTGGGTCTAGCAGCACTCATTTCTGACTCCTCTTAGAATATAAGAATAACGTGCTGTCCGAAAACCTCAGAATATAAAGGATTTATTGGTCCATTGATCCCTCAATATGCCAGGAGAATAGACTGAACCCTTGACAGGCATATGTCATGATGGGAAGCTTTACTCAAAGGGCTTATTAAAGACTCTTGAAGATAGTATGTGCAGGTTGAATTGCGTGATTAATACTTATAAAAAGCTAGGGCTAGGACACATATGGATAAGCCATTTTCTTGTCTTTATACTTGTATATTAAAAAAATTCCAACCATTCCCAGCAATGGTTGTATAAAAATTCAAGTGATGATACCTCTTTTAATGGGTTTATGGGTTACTGTGAAAACTTTGCTTGGTTCTTACCCTAATTAAGACATCTATTTTATGTTTTGTAAAAATAACCCATACAGCATGCTAGAGTGTTTTGTTTTATAAATGGTAGGAGTTGTAGATGACTAGATGAATAACTTCATGAAACAATGCATCACTAATTATGTGACAATGGTTGAAATGGCCATAGAAAATCACAATAAAAGAACCAGCACAAAGCTGAATATAACATATGCCACATACCTTCAATTAATAATACACGTTAGAAGCAGTGTGCTAACTGGGAGGGAAGATGATTTAATAGGTGTAGTAGGACTGGATTTCAACACCAAAGGATGGGGGGAGAGTTTGGGGATGAAGAGGGAAGGCCTTAGAAGAACCATCCTTGGCTTAGAAGTTGAGTTCAGGAAACATAGCGTTGGGGAAGGTGGTGTCCATAGCAGATCATTCACTAGGGAAGTAGAGGAATACATATTTGGCAAGTTGGGCCAAGATTGTTAATGGTATCAACAACCGCACAGATTTGTTGGGAGCCCAGAATGGCCCATGATTTGAGTGCACCTAAATTGTTCAAAAAGAAAAAAATATTAAGCAAGGAGTAGCAGCAGACAGATTTTCAAACTGTTTGTGTAATCACTGAGGTACTCAAACACTGCTTTGAGATGAAAGTACACTAATCTCAGGCTATTTAATGCCGACTACTAGCCCTATTATTATCTTCAAACACTTAATATTTCTACCATTTCAAAAGATTTCTCACTGTGGCTGAGTTGTATTTAAAAGGACAGCCTTATACATCCAAAGAAAAAAACTTTAAGAACTTAAAGTTGAAGGAATTTTTAATGTAGCTGGAATTCTTATAATTTATCATTTCTTACATAGGACAGAGCTTGATATTTTAAGATATATTTTCATTTCAATGGTGAAATGCACATCAGTAAAGGATGTGATTTTTGTTCCCTTCTCTTTAGCTTTAAAAAAGCTTGGTAATGCTGAAATTCAGGACTACTGGGTCATATATGTTACAGGTTTGGGGTTGGTTTATCAATATTTTACAGTAACTTACAGAAAAACCCAGTGAAATTAGTTTGGTCAGATATAGAAAAAGCAAAGGAGTTTTGATTTTAGTAGAAAATTTTCTTATTTTCCACATAGATGTTAAAGTTTGAAGAGCTTTATAAATTATAATCACTCTTATTGAATTTAACTGTAATTCTCAATTTCTAGTGGAAATTAATATCTTAGTGGAAGATTTACCAGGCCCATTGAAGGCCTCTTTGTTGCAACTTTGTTTATTGTCATTTAAATAGCTGTGTGATGAGAAGCCATATACTTACCCTGAGGTCCCATTGGCATTCTATAAGGAATGTTAGCCAGAGTCCACCCTTCTAATTCCCAATCACCCTGTCCTTTCGGCCCACAGCCATGACTGAGAGGCGAAACTACTTTGTAAGACCTGAAGGCAAGAGGTAGTTGAGTTTAAAAGAAGATTCTGCTTTTGAAATACCAGAGCTCTCTGAAATAGCCATTGTCTACACAAGAGTAAAGATCCTCAAAACATCCTTTTTACCTAAGATCAAATTTGAGATCTCATTCAGGAAAGGCATGGTCAGGCAACTGAAGAGATAAAAGTCTAGCAGAACAAGTCAAGAAGGCTTTGTTTTGACTTCAGATAATATATCTTGGGGTTACTGAGAATTTCGGTCTTCAGGGAGCTACAAGCCTGCATTTAAAGCAATTCCCCAACATCTGG
Source organism: Homo sapiens (assembly GCF_000001405.40). Classification (NCBI taxonomy): domain Eukaryota; kingdom Metazoa; phylum Chordata; class Mammalia; order Primates; family Hominidae; genus Homo; species Homo sapiens. The sequence goes on from NC_000003.12 coordinate 25,138,169, forward strand.
CGTGGCCCAATAGTCACAAAGTGATTGGAGACTTTTGGGGAATAGTCAAATTACCACTGTACATAGATGAAAACAGATATATCCATGAAGAAATTATGACCAGTTAGCTGTTTATATTTTGCCTCCAGTCTGTGATACAACCTTTTGAAAGCAGCACTATAATTGAGTTTTTTTTTTTTTTTGGTAGCCAAAGGAAAATCCTGCCAGGTTCTAGGTTGAACATTGCTTTAAAAAGGACCATTGATTCAGTCCCTGCCCCTGGTTTGTTGTACCAAGGTATATAGAGTAATGCAAAATAGACCAATATTCAACTTGCATTTGCCTTTTACTGTTTCTATTTAAGCTTTAAATCAGAATTCTAATTAGTAACATGAGTCTCTTTCTTGATAGATTTGAGCATGAATGGACATTTAAAAACATTAGTTTCTAGGAAAAGAAAATCAAGGTGGAAGTTCAAGATTATGTTTATTACAGTTATCAGTTATCTATAGAAATTGTCATCCTAATGTATCTGCATGGACAATTATTTTTTATTGAAACCACATATAAGCAAAAGAGTGAAACTGTTAGTTTCAATTTTAACTTGACTAAATTAATTAACATTTAATAAGAATTCTGTGCAGACATACCTCATTATATTGTGCTTTGCTTTATTGTACTTTGCAGATATTGTATATTTTACAAATTGAAGGCTTGTGGCAACCCTGTGTTGATCAAGTCTGTTAGCACTGTTTCCAGCAGAATGTGCTCACTTCCTGTCTCTGTCACAAATATTCTCTGAATATTTCAAACTTTTTCATTATTATTTTATCTGTTAAGATTCAGCATTCTTTGATGTTACTGTTGTAATTGTTTGAGGGCACAAAGAACCATGCCCATTTAAGATGGGGAACTTAATTGATAAATAGTGTGTGTGTTCTGACTGCTCAACCCACCAAGCCATTCCTTGTCTCCCTCTTTTCCAACTTCCATATTCCCTGAGACACAACAATACTGAAATTAGGCTGATTAATAACCCTACAATAGCCTCTAAATGAAAGAAAGAGTAACAAGTCTCACCTTTTAAATCAAAAGCTAGAAATGATTAAACTTAGTGAAGAAAGCCAAAAGAGGCTGAAAGCTAAGTCTCTTGCACCAAACAGCCAAGTTGTGAATGTGGAAGAAAAGTTCTTGAAGGAAATTAAAAGTGCTACTCCAGTGAGCACACTAACAATAATAAAATGAAACAGCCTTATTGCTGATACGGAGAAAGTTTTAGTGGTGTGGATAGAAGATCAAACCAGTCACAACATTCCCTTAACACCTAATCCAGAGCAAAGTCCTAACTCACTTCAATGCCATCAAGGCTAAGAGAGATGAGGAAGCTGCTGGAAAAAAAGTTTGAAACTAGCAGAAGTTGGTTTCTGAGATTTAAGCAAAGCCATCTCCATAACATAAAAGTTCAAGGTGAAGCAGCAAGTGCTGATGGAAAAAGGTACATCAAGTTACACAGAAGACTAGGTAGGATAATTGATGAAGGTGGCTACACTAAGCAGATTTTCTATGTAGAGGAAACAACCTTATATTGGAAAAAGATGCCATCTGGGACTATCATAGCTAAAGAGGAGAAGTCAGTGCATGGATTCAAAGGACAGTCTCTCTTTTTAGGGGCTAATGCAGCTGATGACTTTAAGCCAATGCTCATTGATCATTCCAAAAGTCTTAGGGCCCTTAATAATTATGCAAACTTTACTGTACCTGTGCTCTATAAGTGGAACAACAAAGTGTGGATGACAGCACATCTGTTTGCAGCCAGGTTTACTTAATATTTTAAGCCTATTTTTGAAACCTGCTCAGAAAAAGATTTTCCTTCAAAATATTATTGCTTACTGTAATGCACCTGGTCACTCAAGAGGTGGAGATATACAAGGACATGGTTTTTTTTTTGTTGGTTTGTTTGTTTGTTTGAACACAACACCTATTCTGTAGCCCATGAATCAAGAAGTAACTTCAACTTTTAGGCCTTATTATTTAATAAATACATTTTGTAAGGTACAGCTGCCATAGATAGTGATTTCTCTGATGGATTTTGGCAGAGTTAATTGAAAATCTTCTAGAAATAATTCAACATTCCAGATGTCATTAACAACATTTGTGATTCATGGGAGGAAGTCAAAATACCCACATTTTGGCAGGAATTTGGAAGAAGTTGATTCCAGCCCTCATGGATGAGTTTGAGAGGTTCAAAACTCTACTGGATGAAGTAACTGAAGATGTGGTGAAAATAGCAAGAGAGCAAGAATCAGAAGTGGAGCCTAAATATGTGACTGGGTTGCTACGGTCTCAAGATCAAACTTGAAGAGATGAGGAGTTGCTTCTTGTGGATGACCAAAGAAAATGGTTTATTGAGATGGAATATATTCCTGGTGAAGATGCTGTGAACATTGTTGAAATGACAACGAAACATTTAGAATATTCCATAAACTTAGTTGATAAAGCAATAGCAGAGGTTGAAAGGATTGACTCCAATTTTGAAAGAAATTCTCCTGTGGGTAAAATGCTATCAAACAGCATTGCATGTTACAGAGAAATCTTTTGAGAAAGGGTATAGAAAACTTCATTATTATCTTTTTTTAAGAAATTGCCACAGCCACCCAACTAATGCCCCAATCCATCAGTAATCACTCATCCACATTGAGGCAAGACCTCCACCAACAAAAAGGTTATGACTCACTGAAGGCTCAGGTGATCATTAGCAATTTTTAACAATAAACTATTTTAAAATTAAGTTATGTAGATGACTTTTTTAGACACAATGCTGATGCACACTTAATATACTCAAGTATATTAACCTAAATCTCATATGCCCTGGGAAACCAAAACATTTGTGTGACTAACTTTATTACAATATTCACTTTATTGCAGTGGTCTGGAACTAAACATGTAATATCTTTGAGGTATACCGATATTAAAAAATGTGTCTCTTTTGTCATATCCCTTATAAAATATAGTTCTCTAAAAGATGGTTCAATAACACTATGAGATGAAATTCTTAGACCCGGGAAACTCATAAACGTTCTTAAAAGATATTTGCCTGTCCTTGCATGACTTTTGACACTGACAAACATACATTCTACCACTATCTAAATTCAATATACTAGATGAATAAGGATGGTACAAATAGAATTAACTTCGGGTTCCTTTGATTTGTTTTTAGCTTAACTCTATGTCTTCAGTGGTTTTTGAAGAAGCACCTGACCTATTTGGGCTGACCCAATTTACCACTTTAGGTGGCCACTGATAGGTAGAATGATCTGCCAATTTCAGAGGGTCTTAGGAGAGGCAGCATCCATGGAAATCTTGCCTCCCATTGCCTGGAGTACCTAAAAGCCTTAGGACCATGGGAGATGTAGTCATTCAAATCTACAGAAAATGAAAGGGCTATCATTTCAATCCTGTGATATTAACTCCTTGCCACCATTTTCCAATCTAGATATTTCACAGTTTAGTTATAAATGGCTTTCTGCACCTGTATATTTAAATTAGGGCTTTAAAAATCATATTTTCTTAAAAGGAGTGCTTTCTACTTTTAGGAATCCTAAGGTGAATTCTAAGAAGTATAAATCAGTTTGGTAAATCTAGATTTTAATAAAATGAAGCTACTTTTATAATATATGAAGTATCTCCCTCACCTTCTACAGGCAGCATAACGGCATGAAAATCAGGTCAGTAGGATACATGCATGTGACCAATTTCTCGGTTATAAGATTGAGCATTGGAAATACTTACTAATACTCATGACATCCATGTGTAGAATATTTTAAAGTCTTGTTATTCCAAGTGTAGTCCTAGGACCAGCAGCATCAGTCTCACCTGAGAGCTTGTTAGACATAAAACATCTTGGCCGTGTGCGGTGGCTCACGCCTGTGATGCCAACACTTTGGGAGGATGAGGCGGACAGATCATCTGAGGTCAGGAGTTCAAGACCAGCCTGGCCAACGTGGCGAAACCCCGTCTCTACTAAAAAAGCACAAAAATTAACCAGGCATGGTGGCGGGCACCTGTAGTCCCAGCTACTCAGGAGGCTGAGGCAGGAGAATCGCTTGAACCTGGGAGGTGGAAGTTGCAGTTAACCTAGATCGTGCCACTGCACTTCAGCCTGAGCAACAAGAGCAAGACTCCATCTCAAAAAAGAAATAATAAAAAAAAAATCTTGAGATGCAACTCAGAACCATTGAATCAGGATCTGCATTTTAACAAGACCCCCAAGTGGCTGGCATGCCTATGAAAGTTTGAGAAGTCCTGCCGGATACCTTTATAAGCTACACCCTATACTGCTTCATTGATCTTTCATAATAATACTTTGAGGCAAAGATATAATCTCTATGTCCTTCCCTCTCCCACTAGCATTCTCTCCCAATGCAGGAAATCACTGCCTGTATTTTTTTTTTTTTTGGTAAATATCCCATCTGTGTCATATCTGAGAGCATGGCCGTTTGCCATCATTAGCTTTGGGGGAAAGGTAACTTTGGGTTAACAGACAGATGATATTTCTACCTTTTGAAGGGGAAATGCTGCCTCCCAGAAAGCCTCCAGAAACCAAGAGCAGAGCAGTCAGCAAATGGGCTGCAATCTATAGCTGGCAGGTCTGAGTTTTACCTCGGGCTCTGTGGTCAAGATGCGGGAGAAAATGTGGCCACTGAGGAATTGCCGTCTTCAGTAAACAAAAGCAGACCTGTCCCCGTGTCTGATCCTCTGCTGGATGGCTGATCCAGTCTCAGAGATAATATCTACATAAAATACATATTATATTTAAAAAAAAGTCACAGTAGTGATAGGAATTTTCTGGACTATTTCTGAAAGAATGCTGGAGCAGGCAGAAAAGTTGAGCCTTTAGCTGAGGGGCATTTATTCTGAGTAGAAGTTAGCCTGGAGTATCCAGTGATACCAGGTAAATCATCACCTGACAATGAATTATTTGCTCTTTTTGCCATTCAGGAGCCTGTACTTAGACACACACTCCCAACTCACCTAGCAGTCTCTCAGAGTTTGTAATTTAGCTAGCAGCTGCTAGCAGCTGGTAACACGTTGAGGCAAATTGCAAGAGGCAGCTACTAAGCTTTTCTGACAGTGTAGGATGAAGAGGGAAGGTGAGTTGCTGAGGCACTGTAAGAACTGGTTTTCCTGTGTAAATCCCAAATAGAATCCATTTATCTGCTGTTTTTCCCAAAAAACCCCTCTAGTACACAACTTAGCCAAGCTGTGTAATTTAGTTTAGCCTAGTGTTCAGATGTGGATTGAGGCCCACCCGATCCAAAAGATGATGAGGCAGCCTCCAGTAGGGAGGCATTCCAAAGGTGTGTGTCACACAAGCTCAGGTTAGAGTTGGTTACCTGGTACTTTGTCTTTCAAGCTTAGGCACTCCTCCTTAATTCAGAGATGCCCACACGGTGCCCTGGTAGCCTCTGTAGGTCTTTACATCTCCTCTGTCATAACACTGAACCTGAGCAACCCCAAACCACCCAACTTTTAGACTTAGAAGCAATGTAACTCAGTGGATGAGTATGCGTACTTTGGAATTAGACTGCTTGAGTTCAAATGCTGCCCTGGCCCTTGGAGTTACGTGACTTGAAGCATGTAGCTGAACTTCTTTGGGTCTCCAATTTCCTAATTTGTACAATGGGCTGTTGAGAGGATTAAATGAAGTGATGTGTGAAAAGTGCCTGGCATCAAGCAACAAAAGACAGCACAGTGCCTAAAGCTCAGCAGTCACCTAGAAATACTCATTTCCTTTCCTCGCAGCTCTAAGTGGGAGAAATCAACCCAGTTCACTTTCTATGAAAGATATTCATAACCTTGCCAGAGTCAAAGGCCCCAGAACAAAATTTTTTCTTATGGGAATCAATTTGCATTCCTCTTTAACCAGGTAGACTCACCTGTTGCTGACAACCTTAGTTCATACATTCAACAGAATTTGTTGAGCAACTACTTATATAAGGTTTCCAGCCTCAAGGATTGTACATTCTTGCAGGGATGAATTAGATAAGTATCTGAAAAGTTAATACAGTACAGAAGATGGCAGGGTACTTAAAAACCTTCTAGACCAGTACACTGAGGATTCAGAATCGAAGAGGCCCTTCAAATTCTGCTTGAAGAAAATGGAATTGTTACCTCATGGGGAAGAGAGGCTCACACTCCTTTGCTAAAATTCTGAACAACAAAAACAGTTTTGAGGAGGTTCTGGAGGGGGTTGGTGAGGAGCTACAAGGCAAGCTATTCCCAAAGCATAGAGTGGTAAGGGAGAAGGTCAGCAAAGAACTAGAGACCCGTGTTCTCTAGTTAAAAAATTCAGATCAAATGCATATAATACAACATTTAAAAAGTGGCAATGTGATGTAGCAAGGCCAAAAAAGGAAAAGTTTCCCTAAGCCATACATTCTTCAAATAATACCTGGGTAGTTGGCATAGTGCCAGGTGCTTAACAAGCTTATTTGGATTGATGTTAACATTAGGTAGATTGGGCTAACTTCTCCCATTGATGAATAACACTACTGCTAGCATACTTAGCAATGGTCTCACATTTTCAATGTCTGGTATGCACAGAAAACAAAGCTAGAATGCCTGGCCGATAGGAGCATGTGATCAGCCCGTATACCTCGAGGCTATATGGACTAATGAACAATACATTCTTCAATAAATGAACAATAAATGAATTTTGGTGGAGTGGTGTGATGGCAGACTCTTGCCACCTTTAATTTACCTTGTCTAATTAGCACTTCAGCATACAGTATGCCTAACTTTCATAATTTACAACATTTTGGAATGCAGATTGACTAGAGAAAGACACAGACCTGTTCTGGCTTTTGTCTTTGCACCTAAGAGGCTGTGGGCTCTATCGTCAGTGGCAGATGATCCAGAAGCTACTCCCAAGGCCCTTCTGTAGACTGAGTTGTCTCAGCATCTAATTTATGTTTCAGTTGCTTTATTGGCTCCCTGTAAAGCAAAATATTGACAATAAAATTGCTATTTTTGTCTTACCAGCTACCACATGGTCTTTGTTCCTCTGTCTTTAATGGTTGCATGCTCTTCTCTTCCAAATGCCTCCCTGTTCCCTTGACAGAAAGCCACGGCAATGGTGGTTCCAGAATAATGTCTGTAATCTTTACCAGCAAACTGTCTATCCTGCTGACCCTGTGGAAAACTAGGAACATATTGAATATATCACAGAACAAATTAAGGGTGTGAGGTTTAATGCAGCCAAGGAAGTGATCATAATGCCACATGTCTGGGAACTTTGAGTGATTCTTAGAGCTTCAGCTTATAGAGTTACTCATATTGAAAATTGTAAATTTCAAAAAAAAGAAAAAGAAATTGTACAGTTCAGCACTCACCATTTTTCAAGCTTGCTAAAAAAATGAATCCTGTTCAGTCTGATTGTTCCAGTGGACATTAGGCACAAGGGAAAAGGCAAGTGCTTGCTTAGATTAGTTCAGACATATGTCTGTCCTCCTGACTTATTACTAGCTAGAAAATTGGAATGATATTGCTCTTCTTATACCTTGTCAAAAAATTCATGCCTGGCCAGGCATGGTGGCCCACACCTTTAATCCTAGCACTTTGGGTGGCTCACCTGAGGTCAGGAGTTCGAGACCAGCCTGGCCAACATGGTAAAACCCCATCTCTACTAAAAATACAAAAAAAAATATTAACCAGGCATGGTAGGGGGTGCCTATAATCCCAGCTACTTGGGAGGCTGAGGCAGGAGAATCACTTGAACCCAGGAGACAGAGGTTGCAGTGAGGTGAGATCACGCCACTGCACTTCAGCCTGGGCAACAAAGAGTAAAACTTCATCTAAAAAAAAAAAAATTCATGCCTAAGAGACATACTGATTCAAACATGTATGTGAGTCCTAGAGTCAGGCAGCCTGCATGCAAATCCTGGCCTTGCCCCTCACTAGCTCTGTGACCTTAGATGAGTTTCTTGACCTCTCAGATATTTGGTTTTCTTCTTGGTAAAATGAAGATTAAGGAGCTAATAGAGACAAGGCACCCATGTCTTATGTATAATCAGTCATTGTTATTATTTATCAACTACTCTTGATCTAAATGTTCAATTAGTTCAGAAGTTGGTAAACTTTTCCTAGAATGGGCCAGATAGTAAATATTTGGGGCTATGGGGGGACCACATATCATCTTGGCCACGACTATTCACTTTTGTCATTACAGGGTGGGAAGCAGCCATAGACAATATATGTTAAAGGGGGCAGGGTTATATCCCAATAAAAATTAATTTGCAAAAACACACAGGCTAGAGGACTCAGCCTGCAGGCTATAATTTGCTAAGTTTTTTGTTTGTTTGTTTGTTTTTTTTTTTTTGAGACAAGAGTCTCGCTCTGTTGCCCAGGCTGGAGTGCAATGGCGCGATCTCGGCTCACTGCAAGCTCCGCCTCCCGGGTTCTCGCCATTCTCCTGCCTCAGCCTCCCCAGTAGCTGGGACTAGCGCCTGCCACCGCGCCCGGCTAATTTTTTGTGGGGTTTTTTTTGTATTTTTTAGTAGAGACGGGGTTTCACCATGTTAGCCAGGATAGTCTCGATCTCCTGACCTCATGATCCGCCCACCTTGGCCTCCCAAAGTGCTAGGATTACAGGCATGAGCCACGGCGCCCGGCATTTGCTAAGTTCTGAATTCATTCTTTTGGCGCTTTCAGCTTTTTCGCTAAGCTGTCGTACTGCATATGGGCTTCCATACCAGAGACCCTTCCTTTGATCGAGTGCAGGTAATGTCAGAACTGCATGGTAGACTTGCCAGAAATGTTTTTAACACTATGAATGCCTGGGCTATGTGCTCTTGTTATTTGGTCGAGGATGGGGCTCTAGTCATGGGTGTTATTTATCCAAGCTCTCCAGATGATTCTAGTGAGCAGCCAGGGTGGGGAATAGATGTTAGTGTTTCTAAACTCACGTGAAGATAAAATTCATTGGGGGACACAATTTCCAGAGGTATTTTCTGAAAATTTTGATTCAGTTTTGGGTTGCAACCCAGGTATCTATATTTTAACAAGCACTCTAGGTGATTATCTTCAGGTGGGTTTGGAAAACTTGTCCTCTCTTCCCCATCCTCTCCTTGAAATATGACTTGTTCTACCGGTTCTTCCCAACACCAAGGCTAGGAGACCCCTGCTAATCCTGTGAGTTCATCCATGTCAGGGCAGCCCCTTGTTCCAATGTGCCATGGCCACATCTCTGGGGTGCCCTATACTGCTTAACAAGGTTACTTCTTCTAGAGTAGAGATTTTGAATATTGTCCTAATCTAGAAAGCATATAACTATATGACATAGATTTTCCTGGGTTGTGTTGAAGTGTTATATCTCATTTTCAAAATAAGAATTCCAGTTTTGAATGAAAGAAAAGTGGTTACTCTTCTAATCAGGTTGATGGTCTAGGATCAGGAAGATTTTCCATTTCTTGAATACGGAGGATAAACATAAATTATATAAGACCTGACATTTGTTTGTAAGTGATAGTAACTATAAGCTGGTGTAAGGAATACCTAGGCATCCTCCCATATTACCTTCTACTGAAGAAGCTAGAAAAGCTACTCACTGTTGCAGTTTCCATTGCAAAGAGGGCTGGACATGTGACATGGTTCTAGCCAATGAGACTTAAGCTGAAACCTGCACCATCCCTTCAATAAAGCTTGGTTTTCCTGGTAAAACTGATTCATACCCTTTCATATTGTCTCCCTCTTCTTCCTACATTGAATACATCTGTAATTGTGAGGCAAAAAGCCAACACATTAATGAAGGTAGGAAAATATTGGAGGGTCTGGGGTCTTTGATGATTTTATTTGAACCACATTCCTCCTCTGGTCTGCCTTGTCTACAGACTACTGTTTATGTGATCTAGTCAAACCCTTTTGCCACTTAAACCACTCAGGAATTCTGTTACTTGTAGCCAAAAAGAGAATTCCTAACTGGGTATGTAAGTTACACTTTTGTTTATTACAGAAGTTGCAATGGTTAAGAGACATTAACACCCCAACATATTGATGTAAGCCTTCTGAATGAGCCAATCAGGGGGGCATTTTGCTGGCAGGTCTAAGAAACACACCGTTCAATTCACTGGCTAGAGACAGAATTGTTTCAATTAATAGATGGCAGACATTTTTAAAGAACATATGTGTTGGTGAACATGGCAGATACTTTACAAAAATAATTTTTAAATGGTCTCATAAATTACAACCTTGATATGTTACAAAATCATTGGATCAGGGGATTCTATTGAATCAGTGAATGTATATCAGTAAGAAATATCTCTTTTAAGGGTTTTTATAGCTTTCTCTACTGGATCTTCTTTGAGTTTGATTTACAGGGGCCATTTCTACGGTATTTACTGACATAATCACTAATTACTAAGTAATCACTGTCGCTGTACTTTTATGGAAGCGTGTGGTGCAGTGGAAAATACAAGTATAGACTGTATTATTAAAGGTTCCTTACCTTTGTGATCTTAAGCATATCTCATAGCTCTGTGCCTCAGTTTCCTCATGTGTAAAGAGTAAATATTGCCTCTCAGCATTACTGAAAGGATTGAACATAATTATATGTGAAAATATATCTATCACAGAGCCTTGTACCTTGTAAGTAGTTGCCAAATATTCCCTTTCTCCTTTTAAAGCCACAGCTTGGATGTCTACCCATGCACAGCCAGCCCCTGAAAAAGGTTGTGCATGGCTTCTTCCCCTATCTTTTTTCATTTTATCTCCTTCCTCTTAGCTCACTTCAAACATTCCTCTCTCTGGCCTATCTTTGTAGCCTCTGAGCAGTAGAAAAATATGAGATAAGTAAAGAACTAGTTTTACTTTGATATGCTAAGGAGTCAGACTGGAAACTTCCTAGCAACATGGCCATCCCATCACCTTTTTCTGAACTTCTTCAAGAAGTAACACTCTTGAGCAGGGGGAGAAAAAATAATTACCACCCATACACATTTTGATGAGAGAAGGGTGATGAGATTGGGGAGGAGAGGGAATGATTTAGCCTACAGAAAAAATATATAGTGGCATTACAATTAATCTTCCATAGGAATGGTTTCTAAAATTTGTGAAGAATGCTTCTATTTGACAATCGAATTTTGTCAAATTTACCCAGAAAATCAAATAGTTCATTCATGCCTGGTTTGTCGTCTGCAATCCTTTGCAGTAATATATTTATGTAAATGTACAACCTGTGGAATAATATTTGGTATATAATAAAGAGCATATATGCTAACCATAGTTCTACCAGAAAATGTGATTGTGGGTGAGTGACTTCTCCAAACCATTTCCATGATGGAGTGATGCTCACAAACGCATTGCCAAAGCTGCATGGGAAAAGAGGCTAACTGAGGATATGGTGCAATCAAGTCCCACATTTTACTCCAGTGCTGGAATGCAAGTCATTCAGAGGGAAGACAGAATCACCCTCTACTATTTAAATTGTTTCTTTCTGTCTCCCACTCACCTCCCATACCCACAGCTCATACAGTTTACCTGTGCATGAATTAGATGCATGTATAACGTACCCTGTCTCTCTCTGTCCCTCTGTCCCACCTCCCCTCTCCCCATCTTTGTTAAATGAAGAAGGTCTCCATTTGCATGTCATTCTTTGGCTACAACTGTGTCATACTCCTCACGAGAGCAGAAGAATGCCATCTATACACTTAATGAAATTTTAACAACTTTACCCATATGCATAAGCAGCAGAACATTTTTTTTTAATCTTAAATATCTGGTCAGGCACAGTGGCTCACTTCTGTAATCCCAGCACTTTGAGAGGCCGAGGTAGGTGGATCACCTGAGGTCAGGAGTTTGAGACCAACATGACCGATATGGTGAAACCCTGTCTCTACTAAAAATACAAAAATTAGCTGGGCATGGTGGTGGGCACCTGTAATACCAGCTACTCGGAGGCTGAGGCAGAAGAATCGCTTGAACCTGGGAGGCACAGGTTGCAGTGAGCCGAGATCGCATCACTGCACTCCAGCCTGGATGACAGAGCAAGGCTCTGTCTCAAAAAAAAAAAAAAATTGTTAAACATCTAACCTGATACGCATAGCATGATGAAACAGAGCAAATGCTCAATGGAGACTAGTTCATCTGACAAACAGAGGAGTACCTCTGGAGCTGGTTTCAGGAAGGGACAGGATTCCCAAGGGAGAATAAGCCCAGCACTGACTCCCAGAGCCCCAATCCTGGCTGGCAGCATTCCACCTTTCCTTTGAACAGTTAAGCCAGTGAAAAAGGCCAGTTGTTTGGTTTCTCATGGTCTGAGTGCTTTGGGGAGGGAGTGGTTCATGTATAGACTTCTAAACATTCAGAATGACAGATGCCAAAAAAGATCATTCTACCTTGATCTGTGGTAAACTATGGACAAGAAAGAAAATTTCTCCTCCACCCTTTTAAGAAATCCAGCCTACTTTTCTTATGTATACATAGAGTACAATCATTTGAGAGAACAGCCCCAGGTTAGATATTGGTACACTGGTTGTGTATTCACAATGATCTTTTTAAACAGAATTCCAGGAGACCAGGAAAGAACTTCTTTGAACTTCCAAGAGAGTGCAATAATGTATTGCAAAAATAATCAGAAACAAAGAATCCAGCCTTCTAGTAGTTTTAGAAACCCAAGAGACAGGACCGCAGTGTTGGCTCTCTTTAGGAAAAATACCTAGACAACGGTGTGCATGGGAATAGTAATGTACAAACTGAATATCCACTACCCAAAAGGAATTTCTTGTTTTTGCTCATAAGGCAGTTTATGTGATATACGTTGGGGGTGAGGGGATGCTAATCTATACAATATTTTCCCATTTATAGAAGTGGGCAGTTGGCTCAGTGGCTCCATGTATATACTCAGATCCCCTTTGACTAGAGTGGCCTGGAAAACTCATTTTGTGTTCTCTTTTTTATGGAGATAAAGCTGGTCACACCGCCCATTTTGCCCCTTGGCTTTCCATTTGGCAGACACTAAATGCAGGTGCCGCATTTCTGAATTAAAGCACTGCATTTGGAGGGGGAAAGATGGAGCCTCCTGGAAATGGTTAGAGTTACAGTATGAGGGTAGTGTCTTCATCCTGCACAATTATTTGGTTTTGCTGACTTTCTTTGCATTTCCCTGAAGCAAATGGCAAGAACACTTTTTTCATTTAGCCTGCCTTAGAAATTTTGTTCTCTCTTTTCTTTAATCGTTCACAAAAGGGAAAGCTCCTTACCCCAGGGCAGGGAAAGACATTAAGTTTCACTGTACCAGGAAGAAATCCACCAACATCTTGTAATACTTTTCCTTTAAGAGCGTCATTTCTTTCTCCAGCTGCCTTCGTCTCTTTGATGCATAAGGGTACACTAAGTTGAATCTATAAACAGAACCTACTAATTAAGAGTAATTGCTTAGGAGATTGGTACAGACGATTCAGCATTATATGCGTGTTCTTCTCAGATATCCATTAGTTGCTAATAAGATACTACAGATGTGCCAGTCTGTTTCCTGTTTCCGTCTATTGTACCTTTATTGCCATATATGGACCAATCGGATGGGCGGAACAATAAGTGGATGTCCTTTTGCTCCCTGAACACGTCTCAAAGGAATGTTTGTTATTAGATTGCTTTTCTGTTTAGTTTCCCATCAGTATGTTAATACGGAAAACATAACACTGAGAAAGTTTTTGTGGCTTTTCTTCACTTCAGCTACTGTTAACTGTTTTATTGTTTAATTAAATCCCTTTTTATAGATTTTTTTTTTTAAAGTACAAAATGAAAGTATGCCTGGGCAACGTGAGCAGAGGGAAAATGACATTCTTCTTCCCTCTCTCTTGAAAAGAAAAAGTTTCCATCTAAATGTTTTAAGTACTTAAAAATTCAGCATGAATATCATGTTGCTATATTTGACTGATTTACACTTGAGGCTTGGTAAAAAGCCTATGAATTATTCATTCCCAAGTGATTCTATAAGCCAGAACACCAGAAATCATATCTCCCGTTGAAGTTTATAAAGTGAAATAGTTTAAATACTCTCTAGACATGTGGATGTCGGTAGAGTTGTTTTTTCTCTGATTTTGAATTGCTGTGCTTTCAACTCACTTGTCTTTTTATTTTAGGAAAACTTGGCTAAAAATTTTACCCTTTTCCACTGCAAACCTAGTTGACATATTTTTAAGTTGGCACAAAATATTATGTTATAAAGCAGGTTAGCAGTTGGTACTTTCTGTTCTTCTTGGGTCCAAAGAGGGTTTATTTTGTGGCAAGGAAAAACTGTGAGGGGAAAATGGTTATCGACTGTCTTTTTCTTTTATTTACAAAGAACTAAAATGTAGTAAACTATTCTTCATTTGATATAATTAAACACTGCTCCCAGGGAAGGAAAAAAATATGTTATTCCATGAAACATACATATATTGTGTGTTTATATATAATACACATTTAATTATAAAATTATGTTTACGTACACATACATACATACATACACAGTAATACAACCAGCCTGGTACATTAAACTGTTTAATATTTTTAAAGGCTCTACATATTAGACTCTACATAGTTCCTATATTTTGGAGTCTGTAATTGTGAGTCTTGGCAGCTGACATTTTATGGGAGTGTATTAAAATCATTTAAGATGCTACTTAGAGCAGTAATGCTTTGACCTATGTGAACATCAAAATTCATAAACAAAATAGGGTCAGGTGGAGCCACTAGCCAGATGATGCTTCCAAGAAAATCTAAAACTTCGGAAAATAGGTGGACTGCAGTGTTTGATACAAACTTCTTCTACACATTATTTCAAGTAGAACCATGACAAACAGTTTGAAGGAAAAAAAGGAACAAACTTCTTCAGGGGAAAAGGACAGAATAATTTTGAATCTATTGATAAGCACTCTTCATTACTACTTTCATGGAATTCTTCATTGCTTGTCCAACATTCATAATCCAAACCAACCAAGTAATAGAGGCAGAGTGTGTGTGTGTGTGTGTGTGTGTGCATGCGTGCGTGCATGCTTTCAGTAGAGTAGAGGTGTCCTGAATGCTGATTCTTCACCAGGAAACATGTGTATAGCAATTACACACAGAGAGAGGCACAAAGACACAGAGAAGTGTTGTTTTGTGCACGTCATCCGCAGACTTTTAACAAGCAATTTCCAAATCAGCTTAGTCATCAAAAATATCACTAATGAGCTGTCTGCCAAAATGTGGCTCAAAATCTCATTCCTTACGAAGGACATGCAGAGATAATTTCTTTATCGAGTTACCGCCATAAAGTACACTGACTTTAGTCCATTTGTACGACTTCTGCTGTTATCAAAGGACAGATCAGATACTGACAATTCAATGAGGTTAGGGTTGGAAAGTCTCGCCTAGAGTATCTGTGTGCACTGGGCCAATATAAAACAGTAATAAGAATATATAACTATAATTAAACAATGTGAAAACCTTCTGAGTTGTTTGATAAATAATTCGCTACTGTAGTTAAGAATGCTGTTTTTCAACAGTCAGGCCTAATATACATTAACAATGCATATTATGTACTCACTGTGGTCAGAGCACAGGCCTCCCAAAGTGCTGGGATTATAGGCATGAGATAACTTGCCCAGCCCTGTTTTGATTTTTGATACTGCAAGTGAGAACATGTGATGTTTATCTTTCTGCCACACTTTCCTCAACATTGTGCATTGTACTTAGCACAATATTCTGTTCACAATATTCTCAATGAGGGCCAATTAAAGAGCCAGGCAAATTGGAGCTCAGATCCTGTTGACATTTACTGAGGCTTCTGAAGAATATGTTGTCTCTAAAGAGGTACATGAAGAATGCAGAGAATTCACACTACATTAAAGCATTTTGCATTGGACTTTATCTTTGTATGCTTTTCACTTTTATTATGCTCATTCCAAATCACTCTCTTCTATGATTATGTGGATTTTTAAGAAGCCAGCTATGTTGTGTTACACAATTAAAGATATCTTATTGATTTTTCCTTTTATTCTATATGATTTGACTTGTTTTCACATCAACCGGTGCTAATGGATATATCTGCTAGTATATATCCACAGGCATTTCAATTAACTCATCCAAAACTACGTTCATCCTTTCTGAAGCCTTTTGCTCCATCCGAGTTCCTTAGCTTGCTGAAGGGTACCGTTATTTGCTTGGTTTATAAAACCAGAATTCTGGAGTCAGCCTTCATTGTTGACTCTCCTTTAATCCCATGTCCAATCTATGTCTTATTCTATCTGTGCTACCCTCATTAATGTTCTTTGGATTCATCATGGCGGAGACCAAAGTCTTGGGCCCTCTCAGTGGGACCCTTGCAATAGTCTCCTGGCTGGTTGTCCAGCCTCAAAGCTTTGCTACCAATCCATTTTCCACACAGCTGCCAAAGTGGCCTTTGCATATCTCACAATGTCATGTCCCTACTTCAGACCTTCCAATGACTCACCAGTGGGTACATGCAGGAGAAAAGTCCAGTTGCCCAAACTACATGTGTAGGGTCTTCCATCCAGATCCTTCCTTTCCATTCCAATCTCTTACTACTCCCCAGCTCAGAGTTTACATTTTCTATATTTTGTGCAGAAGGCCCTTGCCCAGTTCAGTTGTCACCTTTCCCCAACCAGTCCTTTGTTGGCTAGGTGTGCATCCTGTGTGCTTTCATAATACTCGCACCTACCTACATCTGAGCATGGCGCCAACCCTAAAGGCTTGTCTTTTCCCCAGTAGGCTGTGAGCTACTTGGGAGGAAGCAGGGGTGGCATGAGCATGGCTTTTACTTTTGTATTCCAACATCCAATGTAGGACCTAACACATAGCAAGTATTCATGAAACTTGCCCAATTCATTCAATCACTTGTTAACATTTTATCATTCTCACATCCAATTCTGTTATTTCTTCTCATTGCCATTCTCTGATTTAGATTTTATCACTATTCTCTTTCCGTATGCATTATATTCCATCTAAAATGAAATATTGCTTCCCCAATATATCTGTCTTGTCTGCTCAATTCTTTTTTTTGTATTTTTTAGCATTTTTCTTCCATGCTCTCTGTTCTGTCATGTCTTTTCTGCTTTCCTGCCATGAAAGTGATCACCCTCCCTTTTAGAACTAATTCTCTTCCCCCTGACCCCAGCACACGTAAACTTTATTTGCATTGCATTGCTATTATTTTGTAGCAGTCACTATTCCCTTGTTAGATTGTGGGCAGGGATTGTTCCTCCCTTACTGTCTTCCCTCACGGGTCTATCTCAGTGCTTTGGTCATAGAAGGGGCTCAGAATTGAATTGGAACTGAACAGAATTGAATAAACTATCCGTTTATGAAATAATTTGCTTTAGAGTTGCTAGAATTAAATGACTGCTCCAGTGGCAATATTACTCTAACTCACTAATATCATTTGATCCACTGAGGAGCTAGTTAATTAAGTAGGTGGATTAAAAATATAATCTGGAGGAAGAATGTTTTGGCTGGGACCCACACACTTTTTTTCAAAAAGCTTTATGATCTCTCAGCTACAATTCCTCTTGATTTTCACCCAAAACAGCAATAGGACTCTTTCCACATGACTGTTGATGGCTGGCTTAGGAACACAAGGCCATACACCTGTGTGCCAGATGTGCTCTGCAGCCTGTCTGCTACCCCAGCCCATCTGCAAAGCATACCCCATGCTGGCTCCTTTCTATAGGAAAGGGGGCATTGGTTCCCAGCCTTTTTACATGATAGCTTCCCTGGTGTTTGCCTGTTTTCCTTAACTTAAAACCCCCTCCATTGAATTTCAATGTATTGGGTGACCTTTGCCAACACAGGAGGCCTTAGTTCATTTGTTTATTGGTGAGTCTGCTTTTTCTCTGTGTGCTTGATTTTTTGCCTGGCAATTTTTCGACTTGTATCACCATTTGTGAGAGTGCTGTTTGGTCTTCTGTAGCCAAACCAGCCACATCAGCATCAATAGTAGTTAATAGATAATCAGATCCTCAGAATTTCCATGTGGTGCCGAAGAATGTCGTCTGATACTGAATGTAACTTTAGCAGGAATGAATGGGATTTGATAACGAATGGGTCTGTGTTGATGGACACTGGGGACAAGGTAGCTTTGTGATCTTCTTTGTTTCTGTAAGAATGCCTCTGCAACTGAATTCAGCCCATTTCTATGCCAATGTGCTAATAGTTGTGGAATCTCATTCATCTCAACAGAGGCCAGTTAGCCCTGGAATCCCATCTGTTTGAGTGGATGCAGTAAAATGTCATGGAAATGTGGCCATTCATTGACATCACTAGTGAATGCTTTCTTGCTATTAATTTCCCTTCATTTTAACTGACTCTAATCACACAAATTCTAGCCCCAACTGCAAAAAAAAAAAAAAAAAAAAAAAAAAAAAAAGGCAGTTAGACTTTTCACTTAATTTTTAATCCTAATTTTTAAAGTGCTTGTCCACAGAGAACAAAACAGTTATTTTAAAAATGTGCACAGAGTCTAAATGGAGATGCTCTCGTTCCTACAACACATTAAAAAAATGCTTCAGCCAGTATTTTTGAGTCCTTCTTGGCATAAGATGTCCAAGGCTGTATTTTGGCCCAGAGGAATTTTTAGGCTGATTATTTTTTTCCCTCCTGAAAGAGTTTAAGAAAGAGAAACAGGCTGAGTCTTAGCTAGAACAAGGCTAAAAGAGGTGCTGTCTCTAGCAGATTGCTCCAGTGACACAATAGTTAGGAATGTGGCAGGCCTTTCAGTTAAACTTCTGGCTAACTGGACAGCTGAAATATTGGAGCTAGGTCAGGCTAGAGATCGTAGCAGGCACTTGTAAAACCTCAGTCAGCGGAAATAATGACCACGTTCATACGTTTGTCATTTTCTTAATAAATCTCCTAAATTGATTTTTAAGTCAAGAAATTTGACTTCTAAAAAAGGATGTATGTATGTGTATGCATGTAAACATACATCTGATATAAATAAATGAATGGATAAGTAATACAGGAAACAATAAGGTATCTGTTCAAAACAAATATGGGAAAAAGTGTTTTGTTCTGTTTCCAGCTATGTGTGAATGTGAACTGGCTTAAACATGCTTAAACTTATCAGGTATTTTCATGGAGTCAACAATATTAACAAAATTAACAATGTTAACAATATTAACAATAATTAGTGCTTCCTTAGTGCGAGGCACAGTTCTGAGTGTGTGTGTTTGTGTGTGTGTGTGTGTGTGTGTGTGTGTGTATATATATGGTTTTTTTTGTTGTTGTTTTTGTTTTTTTTTGAGACAGTGTCTCATCCTGTCACCCAGGCTGGAATGCAGTAGTGCAATCTCAGCTCACTGCAACCTCAGCCTCCCAGGTGATTCTCCAGCCTCAGCCTCCAGAGTAACAGGACTACAGGCGTGAGCCACCAACACCCAGCTAATTTTTTATTTTTAGTAGAGATGAGGTTTCACCATGTTGACCAGGCTCGTCTCAAACTCCTGGCCTCAAGCGATCTGCCTGCCTCCGCCTCCCAAAGTGCTGGGATTACAGGTGGAAGCCACCATGCCCAGCCCTAAGTATCTATATTAACTCATTTGATCTTCTTCACAAATTTGTGTGCTAAGTCCTGTTATTTTCTCATTTTTTAAATCAGAAAGCTGAGACTCGAGATTTTACTCTTTGCCTCTAACAGAAGCTTGATTGCTATGGTTTGTTTCCTTGAATAAGACTCACCTCTTTATTTGCACGGTGTGAATTCACAAAGCAATGTGCTGACCAACTTTAAATCAACTGATGCAGCAGACTATTGTTTATCCAGAATGTCTGTAATTTAACACAGTTTGAATTAATAACTTTTCCAAAGTGTGGTTATCTTGACTTCAAAAGAATGCACGTGTATAAATAGCAATTTTCTCCATAATGTGATATTTGCACCAATGAAGTTAAACTACTTTAAACATAATTTCCGACCCAAACACATAAGCAGCAAAGAAACATTACTGCTCACGTATTACCAGCCAGCCTATCAAGATAATACTGCTCTGTTTCCTTACAAACTTTCCTTCCCATATCTTTATCCTGGGGACTGGCTACCATAATTTTACCTGAGAGATCACACCATCACCTTATATCATATAGAAAACCAAATCACCCTTCAATTATTAGAATGCTATAATTATTGAAATATTAATCACTTAGAAATATTATTTTTCAATAGTTCCATGGCTTGCATTCTTTGTTACAATTGCTTATAATCTCTCCCATAAATTCAAGTGAGTGCTGTTGGCTTTCAAGCTGATCCTTGAAGAAGCTGTAGACCTATTTCAGTGATGCTACTAATTATCAGATTGTCATTTGAATTCTTCTTGTTTTTTAATTGCCTTTGTAGCAAGTATTGGTTTTAGGGGGGAGGTGGTAACTCTTCTTCCTTAAGATATATTTGCTTTAAAAGAATAATTTCAGAAGAAAGTCTAGTCAATAGGGGCAGAGAAGATTTGGGAATCAAAAATTGAAGTACAAATATAAAGTCATGAAATTATTATCTTTATGTAATTAATGACTTTATTTGTCCAGTTATAACATAGATCTGCACATTTCAGCAACTAAATACAATAAAGATTTATTTCTCACTAATGTCATCATCCAGTGCAGGCACGTAGGAAGGCTGTGCTCCATACAACTATTCAGAGACCCAAACTGCTTCCCAGTAGAGGTTCTGAGGTTTTCTAGGTCCTCAGAGTTCTGTATTGAACCCTCTGCATTCAGTCAGCAATAGAGAGAAGAGAGAGCCTGAAAAATTCTGTAGGCGATTTGGGGGACTAGGCCTGGAAGTGGCAGACATCACATCACCCACGTTCTACAGGCCAGAGCTCGGTCTTATGCCCCCAGCTAGATGCAGAAGAAGTTGGGAAATACTGTTTGGCTGTGTAAGTGAAAAAAAAAGAAAATGATATTTGATGAGAATATAGTAATGTCTCTGCCACATTTCCTCTAGTGATGATTTCTCCCAAGAAAACTGTTCCAAATTGTCTTTTTTTTTTTTTTTTTTTTTTTTTTGAGATGGAGTTTTGCTTTTGTTGCCCAGGCTAGAGTGCAATGGCGCGATCTCGGCTCACCACAACCTCCACCTCCCCCTCCCCGGTTCAAGCAATTCTCCTGCCTCAGCCTCGTGAGTAGCTGGGATTACAAGTATGCACCACCACACCTGGCTAATTTTGTGTTTTTAGTAGAGACCGGGTTTCTCCATGTTGGTCAGGCTGGTCTCGAACTCCTGACCTCAGATGATCCACCCCCCCCGCTCCCCCTCAGCCTCCCAAAGTGCTGGGATTACAGGCGTGAGCCACCGTGCCCAACCCAAAAGTGTCTTGAGTAATAGCGTCATCTGAATAAGTTGTGAGCCACATACTATGACTGTCTGGAAGGAAAAGTGCCACTTGGAAATATATTCTGGTTGATTTCTTATATGATCGTACATTTTATCCATATTGCACACATGGCTTCATTCAGATGAATGAAGCAAAACAGCTGTATCCTCTTTGATCTCTTAGTCATCTTTTAGAGGTTTTTCTGACAACAAAAAGGGGGGCAGGTCTCAGAATGGGAGTGGAGGCCACACAGCCAAGCTGCCAGAGTTAGGGAGAAGAAGGCATTGGGATAACTTAAAATGTCATTTCCTAATGTGAGGAGGCCAAACTTCAGTATTCAAATGAGGTTAAACTTTTATTTTTCTTCTAGGTACTAACACCCCAAACACCCACAAAGAGAATAAGGGAGATAATTCAGACACATCTTTATTTTGGGGGAAGAGAAAACTACCCATTCTTTCTCCTCCCAACTCTCTTGAAAACCACAGGCTAATTAAGACAGCAAAGGAAATTCTTAAGTACAAAACGTTTAAAAAACAAAACACTGAGATTTGATATTTTTGTTTCAGCTTCTCTCTATAAACTCACACACTGGTGCAAGAACCCTGTCATTCTTTCCTGTAACTGTTTAACTGTCTCCATCATATCTATTTGAAATAGATGAAATAGCTCTATCATATATTATCTCTAGGCTCTGGTAATTTTCAGGACAGCTCTAAGGCTGCAGATAAATAAATGACCTTACATAATTTCCACATGGCAAAGTGGAGAAAGCGAAATAGCCAAATGAACATTTTAACATTTTAAAGACTTTTCTAGGAAATGTTGCACTTTCCCAATAAAATTACTGCACTCTTGCCTTACCTCTTGACATTACTTTGACCCCTGGCTTCTTCTAGAACCCACGTCTTTTATAGAACTGACATCATGTGGCTTTGTCCCTGCTGCAGCATTGCAGGGAGTTTTCATAGCCAGCAGTGAGCATCTTCAAGTTTCTCTCACTACCCAACACCACACATTGGATTTTCCACTATGTGTGAAAAACAACAACAACAAAAAACCTGGCTACTGAATCCAGGAGAAATAATTGGTCAGTATTTGTGGCTCATGCTCTTGATTAGGTCCTCTAAGGAGGCTCAGCATGGGTTGATGTATTAGGTTTTTATTGTTGTGATAACAAATTACTACAAGCTTAAAATAGAAATGTATTATCTTATAGCTCTGGAGGTCAGAAGTCCAAAATCAGCTTCCCTGAGCTAAAGTCAAGGTGCCGCCATGGTTCGTTCTTTCAGAAGGATCTGCAAGGAGAACTTGTTTCCTTGCCCTTTTCAGCTTCTAGTGGCTTCCCCATAGGCCTTGGTCTTTGGCTCCTTCCTCACCTTCAAAGCACATCACCCCAAATTC
The DNA here is from genome assembly GCF_000001405.40 of Homo sapiens. Lineage (NCBI taxonomy): Eukaryota > Metazoa > Chordata > Mammalia > Primates > Hominidae > Homo > Homo sapiens. Next base: position 25,160,893 of record NC_000003.12, read on the forward strand.
TGCTTCCATCACATCACCTTCTCCTCTTCTATAATCAAATCTCCCTTTGCCTCCCTCTTGTAAGAATCCCTGTAATTACACTGGGCTACCAGATAATCCAGTATCATCTCCTTTTTGTTGTTGTTGTTGTTGTTGTTGGAGATGGAGTCTTGCTCCGTCGCCCAGGCTAGAGTGCAGTGGCCCAATCTCGGCTCACTACAACCTCTGTTTCCTGGGTTCAAGCGATTCTCCTGCCTCAGCCTCCTGAGTAGCTGGGATTACAGGCACCCACCACCATGCCCAGCTAATTATTATTATTATTATTATTATTATTATTATTATTATTTTGTATTTTTAGTAGAGACAGGGTTTCGCTATGTTTGCCAGGTTGCTCTGAAACTCCTGACCTCAAGTGATCTCCTGCCTCAGCCTCCCAAAGTGCTGGGATTACAGGTGTGAGCTACCACGCCTGGCTGATGTCAAGATTCTTAACTTTAATTACATTGCAAAGTCCTTTTGCCATATGAGGTAATGTTCTCAGGTTCTGGGAATTAGAACATGGAACCTGTGGGGGCCATTCTGCTGTCTACCATTGCTGGCTCTGTTTCACAGAGACCTAACTCCATGTCCTTTTAATGTTAATGTAGAATTGTAAATTAACGATACTTCTGCTTCTCCATACTTTCATCGTGGTCTCCACTGGCTCACAAATGTAAAACACTCAAGATTCTCTTCCACTGGCTCACAAATGTAAAACACTCATCATTCTCTTCCACCATTTTGCCTTCCCACTTTTCTTAGTACATATTCTTGTGCATATCTCTTTGCAGAGCTAGTTTTGTGTGTGTATCTTACTCACTTCTTTTTTCCAAAATGTTGAATATATTTTAAATAACAGATGCAAGTTTACAACAAAATGTCTTCTAGATATTCCCTGAAGATGAATAGGGGAAGGGGCCCATGGAATGTATGCATGGTGAGGACCACGACCTAACCCTGGCAGAGCCCCCTGGATTATGAGAGCCTTCCAGGGAAAGAGGCTGCATGGTACCCATAGAAAGGCTAGACCCTGTGCCCAGGGTACAGAGACCAAGACAGACAGACACACAAGACAATCTGGCCTCACACCTTGGGCATGTATCAGCAGAACCTGTGTGGACTGAGGCCTGAGATCCCAACCCCAGGAATGGGTGTGTGGGTTGGTTTGTGTATGTATATATGTGCCTATTTCTTTTTTAAGTTTATTTTTTAGAGACAGACTCTCCCTCTGTCACTCAGGCTGAAGTGCAGTGGTGTGATCATAGCTCATGCAGCCTCAACCTCCTGGGGTCAATCAATCTTCCCCCATCAACCTCTCAAGTAGCTAAGACTATAGGCAAGCACCACCATGCCTGGCTAAATTTTTTATTTTTATTTTTGTAGAAACAGAGTCTTGCTATGTTGCCCAAGCTGGTTTCAAACTCCTGGTCTCAAGTAATCCTCCTCGCTTGGCCTCTCAAAATGCTAGGATTATAGGCACAAACCACACGCCCAGCCATTCTTTTTAAATTATCAAGATATAATTCAAACAACAACATTCACCATTTTAAGATGCACAATTCAGTAGTTCTTCGTATATTCACAAATTTGTGCACCATCATCACAATCTAATTGCAGAATATTTTCATCACTCTAAAAAGGAACTCCACACTCATTAGCAGTCACCCTCTATTCTTTCCTCCCTCTAGCACCTGACAACTACTAATCTACTTTCTGTCTCAAGATTTGCCTATTTTAGACATTTCATATAAATGGAATCGTATAATATGTGGCCTTTTATGTCTGGGTTCTTTCCTGTAGCATAATGTTTTCAAGGTTCATCCATGTAATAGAACAATCCCTACTTCATTCCCTTTTTATGGTCAATCAATATAATTTTGTATAGATGGACCACTTTTGTTTATTCATCAATTAATGGACACTTGGATTGTTTTCACTTTATGGATGTTGTGAATAATGCTGCTATAAACATTTGTGTACGAGGTTTTATGTGGACATGTTTTCAATTCCCTTGACTGTATACAGCCAGAATTGAAATTACTGGGTTATATGGTAGTTCCATGTTTAACTTTTTGAGGACCTGCCAAACTGTTCTTTAAAGTGGCTGAAACATTTGATATTCTCACCAGCAACGTTAAAGCATTTCAATGTCTGCATATCCTTCCATTGCAAAACCTTGAGAGAGGGAGAAAACCCTAATAGTGGGCTGAATGTCCTATTATGTGTCAGGATAAGGATTTAGAGTCCAGTCAAATCTGGATTAAATAAAATACAGAAACTAGACATTTCTTCCACACCTGAAAAATAATTATTTGTGGTGTGGTGGCTCACGCCTATGATCCCGGCACTTCAGGAGGCTGAGGTGAGCAGATTGCTTGAGTCTAGGAGTTTGAGACCAGCCTGGGCAACATAGGGAAACCCTGTCTCTACAAAAAAAATAAAAAATTAGTTGGGCATGGTGGTGATTTCCTGTAGTTCCAGCTACTCAGGAGGCTGAGGCAGGAGGATTGCTTGAGCCTGGGAGGGCAAGGCTACAGTGAGCCAAGATCATGCCACTGCACACCAGCCTGAGCAGAATAAGACCCTATCTCAAAATATATATATATATATATATATATATATATATATTTGTTTATTTGGTCTTGCCTTCCTTATGTAATATCATAATTCTAATGTAGTGCTTTCTAACATTTTTCCACATCAAGGAACACACAGAAATTAATAATATTTGCATGGCCCTTGGTGGTCAATAAAGAGTCTGCTAAGGGATGGACTCATTGAGTCAAGGACCCCGTTCCCTCACTCTCAGGCCCCACCAAGCCACTAGACGCTGGGGAGACCAAAGTCACAGGCATACTTCTAATCCATATTCTGGAACACCAATTAGAAAACTCTATTCCACTAAATTCAGTTGTGATGTTTCTTTTGACCTTAGGAGGTAAAGGTAGTGGGGAATGAAAAGAGCATGGAATAGGAGAAGACCTGAGTATGGTAACTTTCCTGGCCATAGGTCTTGTTCTCAAAGGAACTAACTGCGTCTCACACAGTATGCAAAATGGGTACTGATTCCTCTCCAAAGAGCTTGGTATGGTGGACAAAGAACAGACTACAAGGAGTGCAGACAGAGGTGTAGGTCAGGGTTGTGTGGTGACATTCCCAGACTGGCTGCCTGGCTTGATAAAAAAAATGCAGCTCCCAGAAGCATGAGGATACAGTCTGGCCACTGGGGAGAAGGTAGCTGGAAAGAACTAGTTATTATATCTTTGACCTCAGCCAGAAGGTAGTAGGGGTGGGTGTTGGAGGATGGTCAAGTGATCTCACCCGAGAAACTGATGAGAATGGGTCCAAATATCACCCATAGCCCACTGGATATTGAGCAGCAAGACTATTAGAGATCCTGATTGCCATTATAGGAAGGTCCTAAGGTGTCCTTAACCTGCTTCATATAGGTGGGAAGGCCAGCGTTAATGCTGAGCAAGCATGGGCAACCCATGTGTGCAGTGACCTGACATTCTGTGGCAACTCTGACAGTCCTGACCTACTATGGAACCATGTGACCATCTCATTTATTTGACCACAAATAACTCAAATGTACCTTGAAAATTCTTGCTTTTTTGTTGTCTTGACTTTTAAATTCAAGTGAATGAACTTGTTAAAAATACATTTATGGCTAGACTTGATTTTCTAGAATAGATATACCCCTTCAAATTATAGGTATGTTGTAATATTTAAATATTAAATACTTATTTAAATCTGCTACTTTGGGGACCCTATTATGGTTTCAATTATGTGAATTTTTCTTTTATAAAATGAATAAATGTTCCATAAACTTATTTTCAAATAGAAATGGGTACGCATACATGCTGAGTTTGACTATAGCAAGTATGCTGTGTCTGTTTTTAACTCTCTATCTTAAATTATAAACTACAAGAGTTCAGGAATCTCAGCTGTGTCTCTGTCTTGCTCTTTTCAGCACTGTGTCATTCATGAATGAACACTTCCTAATCCCACTCAGTAACATATCAGGCTTAATCTCAACGTGCAGGTCGACCTTCAGCCATGGTCTGTGATCACAGTCAACTCAAGATTGGGCACCTTACTCTTCTAAAAGGGGCAGTTAAGTACTGAGTTAGTATGGTCCTTCTGGGATCTAAGGCCTAGAGAGATAATTTGGGAGTTTTTTTTAAGAAAGAAGAAAGAAAAAAAATACAAACCAGTTTCAATGGTTAAAGACACCGGCCTCACAATGTCTAGAATGCCGTTCTTGACACTAAAGCCAAACTCAGAAGCACAGTTGTAGCTACTGTGACTCTTTTTGTCTCTGTTTCTATCAGTACATTGCTTCTCTGCTCTCTCTCATGTCTCTTGTTTACACGTGGTTTCTGTAGTCTCATGGCTTCTGCCACCTTGCTTTTCTGTATACATTTCCATTTCTATGCCAGTCTTCTCTCTCTGTCTTTCTAGGTGTCTTAGGCATTCAAAACCAATCAGCAGTAAGACTCTGATAGGATAGATGGGTCAACATCCAATGTGGAGACTCCCACTGGGCACACTACTGCTTCCAAGCTCTCTCTCAGGCATCTGCCAGCCTGTAGATCCTGTAGATAGCTGAATTTCCCTTGAGAACCAAATCCTAGGCCAGTCATTCGCTTGGCTTGGGAGGATTCCATAATATGTAGCATGGAAACTGTTGTACAAGGAGTTGCCTACCACCGCTTTTCTCAAAAACAAGCAATGGTCCAAGCAGACCTTTAGTCCAATACATTTATACCTTACGTTTGGGAATATACATGAAAAGACCTTAGGTGAAGCCTGACTTCAGCATGTGTGTGCATTGCTAGCAGATGTAACAACTTTGGGTTGAGCATTGACTCCCTAAAAACCCCTATTTACATTACTACTCTCATAGTTTATAGAAGTAAAATCTCAGTGTTTTATACATTGTAATATATGTGCATTTCTGCCTATTATTTTTTCTGAAAGTCATATTTGAACTCTGTTTCTTTAGCAGATGGAATCTTACATATTTCTTTTTAAAATGGCCTAAAAAGAAATACAGGGACATTCTTTCTAAGCTTCTTAAAAAAAATTTTACTGTATTAAATGACCCCTCCTGATGCAGAGGAAGCTATTTAGATTTCATCCTCCCTCACTCGGTGGTCTAAGACTCCTTTGACTGCATTATTTCCTCTAAATTACTCTCTTCCATCTCCTTTATTCCCAAATTAAAAGGAGGTAAGAAATGCCTCTTTTTGGCCAAATTCAAGTTTTTCCATTACGGCTTCTCTTTAAGTTGAGAGTAATTTTATCAGCAATATTTATGATAAGGATGCTGAATATACGAGAGGTTGCAAAACCACCAGGCATGCAAAACTGACTTCTTTACATCCATGTTTCTTTTCTATCAAGAACAGCAGCAAAAGCAACTGACAGGATTTGTGCTGAGCCTGGTATTTTTGCTGAAAACAGGTACTTGGCTGGATGCATCTGAGAAATTTGAAGTGGCATTACCTGGAACCAATCTCTTAAATAGGGAGGCTTGAGCTAAAATACATTGGGAAAAAAATGGCAATATATATGTAGTGTCTGTCAAAGCAAAGATTTCCCCACACCAAGTTCTAAATCAGCCAAAGAAGTACAAAAGAATTTGTTGTACTCTATCACAAGACATTGAAAAAATCTCTCTTTTTCACTTATTTCTGTTTTTTATGTTAGCCACATCAGCCACATTGTGAGTAAATTGCAGCCAGAGGAAATGGATACGTTTTCTCCAAAAATCTTGTCTGTTTTGTTGCTTGGATCACTCTTGAAGGAAGCACAGTGTAAAACTAACACTTCTCACCATTTCAAAGTGTTTAACTCCTGTGTCTCAAGGCCAACTCTAATAAGGGTCCTGTCTCCAAGCTAGGGTCTTCAAGAAATCACATATCAAGTCATCAATGCATTAAGTGGCATTTCACATTATCCACTACATTTGCAGATGTGTGTCTAAGGCAAGCCAAATCCCATCTATATTTTATTTATTATTTGTAGAAGACATTTGACACATCCCCATGGCATGTCCATAATGGCAGGTCAAATCTCAGTTTTTTATTGTTCAATTTCAGATTGGTGCTGTTACTGCCTTTCTCTTGCCACAAGGGAATGCCAATTTAGATATTGATTTAATCTTGTCTCATCTGTGGTCTTGAGTGAACCGTTTCCTCATAGTTAAAATATTATTTAACTCCCTCTTCAGAGAAGACATGTAGAGCTGAAAAGGTTAAGGAATCATCCAGTGTAGGTTTCCCAAACTTATTTGACCACAGAGCTCTAGTTTTTAAACTTAATGAACATCCAGTGAAATATAATGGATTAAAAGACGTGCACTTTTTCCTGTTCTCAAATCTTCACTAAAATGACAGGAGATGTAAAAAGTATAAATCATCAAAGATAACAAGAATATGAGTGATGCTAATCACTGACAAGAAATGGCACCAACTTTTTTGGAAGATGGACAGCAAATGTGCAGTGTCAAATAAATGAACAAAGTACTGAAAGCAGATTGCTAGGTGTCTAAAGAAGAAGATGAAAAGGGGATGCAAGGAGATACTAGCAGTGGAATCTTGGCCAGTCCCAGAGAGCAGAGGCACCAGCTATCCTGAAACAAGGAAGTGATGATGGAAAGGAAAATTGGTTGTTGTTGTAAGTAAGCAGAAGATAAATTCACTCCTCTACCAATTTTATCTTGATTATTGTAACCCATCCCTGGTAAGAAAGGTAAATCTACTCTTTGAAGAAACTAAATCAGAGGGGTTACTGAGTTCTAGACACCAAGCATCAATATACCATAGGGTGGTAGTGGTGGACTGAAAACTGGAGGAAGATGTGAAAGGCCACATATTTCATAGTAAGTCCACCAGCAGCCCCAGCCTTATTCCTCCATTCGAATACTAGAGTCTTTCATAAGGTTTTTTTCTTTCCACCCTACCCTGGGCAGATGCTTACAGGATTGCTCAATGGAGTTATCCAAGAGTCCCAAATAAAAAGCCCATTAATCTGACATTTGGGGAGTCCCACAATGAAATAAATGTAACAGTTATATAACTTTTTATGAAATTCACTCATTTGACAAGGTTCAGCCATGGAAACAATTTGCAATAAACTTCCTCTTTATAATATGAATGGACAGACTAGAGAATTTGGCAGACAATACAAATGAGAAATACATCTAATGTTAATGGAAATAAAACAGAAAAAGTAAAGAGAAAGAGTCTATAATATAGTAAGCAGAATAAAACACTGAAAAGGACATTTCTCTTTTTTTTGTCTTTTTCTTTTTCTTTTTTGAGATGGAGTGTTGCTCTGTTGCGCAGGCTGGAATGCAGTGGCACAATTTTGGCTCGCTGCAACCTCCGCCCCCCAGGTTCAAGCAATTGATTCTCCTGCCTCAGCCTCCCAAGTAGCTGGGATTACAGGCAGGTGCCACCATGCCCGGCTAATTTTTTGCATTTTTAGTAGAGACAGGGTTTCACCATACTGGCCAGGCTAGTCTCAAACTCCTGATCTCAAGTAATCCACCCACCTCAGCCTCCCAAAGTGCTGGGTTTACAGGCATAAGAAATCACACCCCACCTAGAACTATTCTTAATATCCTAAAAAATATCAGAAAATACGTGGCAGTCATGACAAAGAACAATGTATAAATAAGAAAAGACAAGAAAAACTTTTAGATGTTAAAAATATGTTACCATAAATGTAAAAATCAATAGAATAATTGGAAGTTAAAGGTGAGGATATCTTCCAGAAAAGAGAACGAATGGATGAAGAAGCGGAAATGGAGAGAAAATAGAGACAATCAATTCTGAAGGTCTACCATCTAAATAAGATTTCCAAATGGAGACAACAAAACAGAAGTTAAGGAAGATATTATCAAAGGAAGCATAAAATAAAATTTTTCCTAACAGGACTTGAGTTAGCAGATTGAATGCATTTACTAAGTGCATAACACAATGAAGCAGGGAAAGGGATCCTTGAGATTAAAGAGAAGAGTACAAGAAATGGAAGAATTTCACACACACAGGATCAGAAATCTGAATAATATTGGACTTTTCTAAAGCAATGTAAAAAGCTTGGGGAAATGGCACAACATACTTAAAACTCTGTTTAAAAAAATGACTTCTAATCCACAATTTTATACCTAGCCAAACTGTTAAACATATGTGAAGTGCAACACAAAAATATTGTAATTCATGCAGAGTCTCAAAAAATTTACCTCCCACATAACATCCTTCAGAAAACTCTTAGGAAAAAAGCTACCCAACTGAAAAAAGCCAGTAAAGAAAGACATGAGTTTCAGGAAATGGGGATTCCGAAAAAAGAGAGAAGCAATAATAGAAAGTCCTAGTCTGACATCAGTGCATGTGGCTAGGAAAGAAGCCAATCAGCCCTGGAGCAGGAGGAATGTCTCCAACTGTGGAATTCATTTATCACATGACATGCCAGACAAAATTGCTGGAGACTTAGCAAAGAATTATTCACGGATATAAAGAAGACTAATCAAATTATGTAAATAAAGCTGTTAACTCCAGGAAAGAAACAATTTTATAAGAAAACTATAAATGCAGTATATCACGTAACTCAACTGTAACAATATTTATCTGGTCATAATATAAACATAATGTAAATGATTTTTATTTTTAAAATTGTGATAAAATTATGTTGGGAGTAAGGAGAAAGAGGTTTCTATGTGTGGGCAATAGTTTAAGAGAGTTATATCATATTTATAGTAGGAACCAATAGATAAAAAAAATTTTGGCTGGGCACAGTGACTCATGCCTGTAATCCCAGCACTTTGGGATGCCGAGGCAGAAGGATCACTTGAGTCCAGGAGTTCGAGACCAGCCCAGGCAACATAACAAAACCACGTCTCTACAAAAAATACAAAAATTAGCTGGGCCTGGTGACACACACCTATAGTTCCAGCTACTCTGGAGACTGAGGTGGAAAGATTGCTTGTGCTCAGGTGTTTGAGGCTGCAGGGAACTGTGATTGTGCTGCTGCACGCCAGCCTGGGTGACAGAGCGACACCTTATTTCTTAAAAAAAAAAAAAAAAAAAGAAAGAAAAAAAAAAAGAAATTGAAGTACTTGCTTCTGAGGGGAACTCAAGAATGAGAAGGATAGAGAGCTGTTATTCTTTATCAGTCTCAAGCAGGGGTCAGCAAACCACGGCCCATGGGTCAAATTCATCAGGCTGTCTGTCTTTACAAATAGTGCTTTATTGGAATACAGCCACACCAAATCATTTATGGATTCTCTGTGGCTGCTTTTGTGCCAAATTAGTTGCTACAACAAGAGAGTTTAGCAGTAGTGACAGAGACTGTATGAACCACAGTCTCAAATATTCACTTTCTGGCTCTTTACAGAAGAAATTTGCCAACCTCACGTCTAGAGCTGTGGCTCTCAAATGTTAGCTGCATCGGAGTCCTCTGGAGGGCTTGTTAGAATGCATGTGAGGGGAGGCTCTTCCCAGAGTTTCTGATTCAGTAGGTCTCTCCGGTGGGGCCTGGAGAATTTGCATTTTTAACCAGTTTGCTGGTGATGCTGATGTTGCCAGCTGAGGGACCCACTTTGAGAATCACTGATCTAAAGAAACTATTTGACTTTTAAAAATCGTGTTGTAAGTATTATGTTTATAAAATAAATTTGAATTGTCGAGAAGTATAAGGTTGGAAGCTTACATGCAAATTTGAGCTAAACTTAATACAAAAATGACCTCTCGTGAATGAAATGCAACAGAAAATCATTCAAATGTTATTTTAAAAATGTTTTCATAGAACAAAAATAATTGTGGAATTGATTTCCACAATTATATACATACAGAGAAAAATTATATACATATGTGTGGAGAAAAATAGAAAAATAAATTATTTTGTTAATAAGATATCGTAGATACAGGCATAAATATTAAAATTTGTAAAGATTACCAAGACCCTACCACTAAATGTGCATGTGTGATTCAAGTGGTTGACCAATCATGCTACCTCCTGTCTGGCGTTTTGTTTATCAAAGGCAGATTATTGCATAACAATATCAACTATACCGACAATTATTATTTTAATCTTTTTTTTTTCATTTAGTATGTTCTTGTAAAACACTTATTTTCTGGAAAATGCAGTTTGAGAAACTTGACATAAAGCCTACTTCTCTTCACTTGACCCCTTTTACAGATTCTGAAACTGATACCCAGAGAATCTCTTGGCTGGTAGATCCAAGACCTTCTAACCCAGTCCCTACTTCCTTCCTGTCTTCCACTCAGCTCCTGTTTGCCTTGCCTGAGGTGGTGAAGGAAAGAACCCCAGATGAGCACAAACTCAAATCAGACTTAAAGAAAAAAGAGCACTGCTAATCTTTTTTTCTAAAAGCCTGAAACAAAGGAAATTCTCTGCTTCCAGGAATAGCCTTAATCAGTCACATATGTGAACATAGACCCAGTGACTGCTCAGACAATTTTCCACCAACCTAATGTCGGGATTTTCTCGACACATTGATTTTTTTTTTTTTTTTTTTTTGCCTATTATCAGTATAAGCAGTTTAAAAAAAAAAAAAAAAAAAAAAAAAAGCCCAGACATGATACCAGACCTCTCAACCAGACAGGCAAGATGCTGACAATCTGCAGCGTTTGAAAGCAAAGAGAAATGAAGGATTATTGAGGGTGGAATAATGGTTTTTTCCCAACCAGTCCCTGGTTGGTAAAAAAAAAAAAAAAAAACAGCTTTAAAAATCAGAATTGTGCCCTGCGGGGGTGGATTTGCTGAACTGTCAGCTCCACCAGTTAATGAGGTAGTTTGTCAAATGGAGATAGAAAGACCATTTATAACAATGCTATGCTTTGTGTGTGATTTAAAAATCAAATTGAGTGGAAACTCAGCAAATACTAAATTGTATTGTTTATTTTCTAATTAATTTGCTACAAACTACAAAATAAAACTATTGAATATATTGGATAACGTATGCTTTTTTGAAGAAAAAGCACCAAAATCATCTCTGAGATGAAACCGATTCAGAGGCTGTTTACTTTCTTTTCATCAGAGAAACAAGTTGTAGTTTGAAAGTTTGAAAAAGGCATTGAAATTTTGGGTGGGATTTTTAGAATTAGTGTGTTGTATAAGCCAACAGGCAATGTCATCTCCTTTGTAAGTTCAGCGGAGTACTAGGGGGCCTGGGACCATATGGTCTCACTGTTGACACTGTTCGTTTTTAATATTAATAGGCCAGGGATTCAAGGCCCTGGGGCAGATGTCATCTAAGTGAGGACAGAAGCAAATATCACGACTGCTCACTGAGTTTTTCCTCTGTAGAGTACAACCAGCATAACAGGCGTTCAAAATATATAAGCTTAGCTTGGCAGAGGGGCAAGAGCAGAGAAGGTGATTCAAATTCTGGCTTAGCGAGGGCTTACTCTGTGACATTGAGGGGAATTCATTGAAACTCACTGAGACCTACTCTTCTCATCTGGAAAATAAAAAATATCTGCCTTAAAAAGGGTTAGAGCTTATAGTGAGGTGCCTCACATATGGTAAATAGTCAATGAAAATTATATTTGATTAGAACATTGTAGGGTTTATAAGAATCAAACTGACTCACTTCAAAAACTGAAGTCAAGAAGGCTTAATGAGTGATTGTTCTCAACCTTACCCAGATCCCTCGTTTTCTTCCTTACTTCAAGGACGTAAGCTTTAGTCCTAACATTGTTTTCCTGGGATTACTATAATGTAGTCTCCCTGCCCTAACCCCAAAACCTCTTGTCTATTCCAGCAAGCTTGTTGTGAGAAGCATATTATTTTGATGTGATAACAAATATGTTAATGTTAATAGAAACTCTTACCAAGCGTTTACTATTTACCTAGTGTTTACTATATACCAGGCACTGTTTCTCTGTTGTATTACTTCATTTAATCCTCACAATACCATTCTGAAGTAAATTCTATTATTCTTATTTTACAGGAAAAAAAAATAACATTGAAAGGACAAATAATTGCCAGAGGGGCAGAATTATTTGAGCTGGACACACTGGCTCTAGAATCACGCTCTTAACAACTACTCTATTCTGGCCTTGAAGTACTCTTGTTTCGTGCCACATGAATCTTTTTTTGTGCCACATGAATACATTCAGAGGTTGCCATTCAGTGGGCAGAGTTTGGGAGCTTCTACTTAATATTGGTTATCAGGGCCAAGGTGAGGCTATGAAGTTTACAGCCAGCCCACTCTAGAATTTAAGCTTCTTCTATTCCCAGTCTCAAGGAATCCTAGGTGTTGAGCATCTCTGGATTGTCCTTCATGAAGCATGGGGCAGTTTAGACTTCTTTAACAATATGACCTCAATCAATAGTTGTTAAAACTAGCAGCTCAGGGCAGAAATCACATTAGTGTTCTTTGGCACTGTGTATATCTCTAGTTCTTACATTAGTGCCTGGCACATAATAGTGAGATTTGATTGGTGAATAGGTGACTGGATAGGCAGACAGACAAATGGGTCAACAAATGGATGGATGGATGCACAGTTGTGAAAGATGTTGATAATAAAGAAGTGATACATAATATTTTACTATCTCTCTCATTAGGTTATAGTTTCTCCCATAATTTTATTATCTTGGCTATGTCACTCCAAATAGCCACCGTAAAATCCAAAGTTACTCATATAAAAGAAGTAAAATTTGGAAGCATATCAGTTAGAATAGCATTAAATAGTTTCCCTAAAAAAGCAAGAAAAAAAATTTCATTCATTCAACTAATACATACTCAGGGTCTATCCCTTGTCAGGTACTCTTCTAGGAGCTTAAAGCATAACTGTTAACAAAAACACTCTGCCCTCCTGGTGAGTGCATGCTAATGGGGGAGACAGACAAAAACAAACACTCCCACATGTAATGTATCAAGTCGTTTAACTGCCATGGAGAAAAATTTAGCAGAGTGATATAGTCAAATAACACAGGAGTGGAGGTTTTGCTATTTAATATCAGATGGCCAGTTATTTTTAAATTGAGTAAAAGTTGTAGTCTATGTTAGAATGTGAGAAAAGAAAATTAACACTCTTTGGGAAGCAGTAACTGTAGGAAGACAAGGAATTAGGAGACCTGGATTAGTATTAGAGACGTTTTGTATAGTAACTTGATAAAAAGGGAGAGATTTTTTGTGATATATATATTTTTTTCATTTTTTCTTACAGAATTAACAGCTCTGAAATTTGAAGGTGCTAGTGTCTCACTGGTCTTAAACTGCGAAGCTGAACGACGAAAGCATCCTTCCTGTAATCAGTGTAGCAAAATGACAGGCAGAGAAACCATGCTGGGAAGAAGCAAGGTCATCAGTTGAACCATCTTGACTTTGGCCCAGAACACAGCTCAGCCTCAACTCCTGCAGTGCATTTGCCTCCCTCACTTTGGTTTAAGACCTGGAGTGATGTGTTCCTGCTCCAGAGCACCTTTCTTTCTGTGAGGCCCGAAACATGACCACCAGCGGCCACGCATGTCCGGTCCCAGCAGTGAACGGACACATGACTCACTATCCAGCCACACCCTACCCGTTACTCTTTCCACCTGTCATCGGAGGACTTTCCCTGCCTCCCCTCCATGGCCTTCATGGACATCCGCCTCCGAGTGGATGCAGCACCCCGTCGCCGGCAAGTAAGTCCTGCTGGAATTTGCTCTCTTTTCTCTGGGTTGATTGGATGAAGGGACCTGAGAAAACGGAATGGTTGGTATCCAGGGCAATTTCTTATTTCATTGGGTGCTGGTTTCTTTTGGTCTTGAATTCTACTTTTAGTTCTGTGGAAAGAGATATGATTTGAAACTAGACAAGTGGCAAATTTTAGAATTCAACCCGTTCAAAGCTGCTTTGGTATTTTGCTCTGTTTCATAAAATGCAAACACAAAAAGTGATGAGCATGTGTGGTTAATATCTGTGATCAATATCTAAAGAAATTGGCCATATGATAAATAATGGAAGCAGTGAATTAGGAGATGATACCATAAAAATCACTAATGATAATACTAGAGTTAAAAGCTATTTTGGTTGTGAGATCTTCTCTGAATCTTTTACTTGTTTCCTGTGTACAAATGATATCTGTAATTGTTCTCAACTTCCCATAGACCTTTGCTACCAATTCATATCACATTAAGCTTTTTTAGTGTCCTTGGCACCTTTTGTTTCTGTACTAGCTATTTCTTATCCCAGATCTTCCCTTAAATTTTCTGTATAAGGTACTATAAAATAAAAATAGTCAAAGTTAGAATTCTCCAAGACTGATATGACTTCCACATTGAAACATCTATATTGTGCAATTTTTAGAAAGTTCTGCCTGTTTAAAGACAAACTGTGGTAGCCAGCGAGCTTTTCCACCTGTTAATAACAACTTACTTGGTTTAGCATCTGGAGGTGAAAAGGCATATTTATTTAACAACAGGCATCCACAGCATGTTCTCCAAGTCCTTTCTGGCTCATAGAGCAACAGTTCTTTGTAACTCTTCCTGGTGATTGTTTTGCATTTTGCTTCTCTTCAAGGACTTCCCCCAAATATTAGCATGGTATCATTGGGATACCACCTTAATCTTTCTATATTGTGCTCTTCGTGCCTTCAGTCATTCCTTCTACTACATCCTTAGCTCACCGAAAGCAGGGAGCTTGTTCTACCTAAGTAGAATCCCCGGTACATTGCCTTCAAAAATAGTAGGGGATGGGTGTTTGGATGGACGAACAGACTGACAGATAGGCAAACAGATGATAGACTTGCACTTTTGGGATGTTGATTGCAATCATAGTACTATATCATTCCTGATAAACAGTGACTCGATTTGCTGATGAGTCTTTCCTTCTGTGTTTCGAATTTCTGGCTTGAACATTTGACCCTCATGTCTCTGGAATTGCCTAAAAACCTCCTCCCATGCTTCTGAAGTTCAAACTGAAAGTTGAAGCAGCCAAAGCGGCGTATTGACTATCCAGAGAAATGGACATAGTACCAGTACTCAAAATATCTTGCTGACCCAAGTGCTGTTTCAAATCATGTTCACTCAATATGCAAATGATATAATGAAGTTACTTTTAGCTAACAAATGAGGAGGTCTAAATGATTGATAAAGCCATTAAAATTTTACCTATGAGCCTCTGTGTCTAATTCCGTTGCTCAACTGGCCTGACAGCACATTTTAACAGGTTTCTTTCCTGAGATCAGAAGCATATTTTGTAGATGTAGCCAAGAAGTTGAGATATGAGTAGGATTCCCATGCTGAATGATCAAATTTGGCAGATTGAAACTCTAAGGCAGCCTGAAACCTCTAGGTTCCCAAAAGCAACTTTGGGCTTTGGGCTTCTTTGGCTACTGATTTATTTTTATTTATATTTATCTTTTCTTTCTTTCTTTCTTTCTTTCTTTCTTTCTTTCTTTCTTTCCTTCCTTCCTTCCTTCCTTCCTTCCTTCCTTCCTTCCTTCCTTCCTTCCTTATTTATTTATTTATTTATTTATTTTTGAGATGGTATCTCGCTCTGTCGCCGGGCCAGAGTGCAGTGGTGTGATCTTGACTCACTGCAACCTCCACCTCCCGGTTTCAGGTGTTTCTCCCACCTCAACCCTCTGAGTGACTGGGACTACAGGCACGCACCACCACACCCAGCTAATTTTTGTATTTTTAGTAGAGACGTGGATTCACCATGTTGGCCAGAATAGTCTCGATCTCTTGACCTCATGATCCAGCCACCTCAGCCTCCCAAAGTGCTAGGATTATAGGCGTGAGCCACCGTGCCCGGT
Source organism: Homo sapiens (assembly GCF_000001405.40). Taxonomy (NCBI): domain Eukaryota; kingdom Metazoa; phylum Chordata; class Mammalia; order Primates; family Hominidae; genus Homo; species Homo sapiens. The sequence goes on from NC_000003.12 coordinate 25,176,693, forward strand.
CTTGGCTACTACTGATTTTAAGGAAAATGCAGAGCATATTAAATGGAAAAATGGTTGAGATATATCATATCTAAGCCTCTTTTGCACTCAAAATACAAGGTAATTATTTTTATTTCACAGTTACTAATAAAGTACAAGATGCCATTACTGTTAGATTAAACTATAATGCAGTTGTCATTTTCTAGATCAAAACTGGTTATATAGTGGCAATTGAATAGATTCAACCTTTGAAAAGCGAGGGTTTGAAGTTCAAAAAAAGGGTAAATAGTGGCTGACTTTTTTCTTGAGGGCCTTGTAAGGAGAGTGCTAAGTAACTGCACCTTAAAAGGTGTTTGGAGAAGGGGCAGAAAAAGGACTAGGTACAGAAAGTTCAGGCTGGAACATCAAAGATTACTTACTTCATACCCTAATACCTTGTATTATTATTTCTTGCTACAGTCGAAGCACATGAAAGCTGCTCAGATGGAAATGATTAAAAGAAGCCACAATGAATATGACTCTGTTAGTTGGCCCTCAAAGAAGGAATTGTCCTTGTTAAAGCCCGTGTTTTCAAAAGTTCCTAGAAAAGGACAAAGACTTAAAAATTAACCACAGACTTGGCTAAAAATAAATTTAAGGTTTTTATCCATGTACTGAGATTAGTAGGAAGGTAGCCAAATTCTGTAAAGACTCAATAACTAGCAACACACATACTTGGGTGGAAAAGCTGACCAACGTGGAATAAAAAGGGAGCAAACATGTTGGAGAATGACTCTGTAAAGAGATTCATGTCATTGAACTGTAGGACTTACTGATATCTCTTTTGTAATCTGTACATGTCTTGATTCTGCAGCTCACTAGAAAGAATAAATTCTCCTGCCCCTGTAGTGAGGGTCTGTCAGCACCAAGTAATTGTAAAGGCTCAATAATTCTCTACCTCAAAAGCAAGTAAGAACAATTTCCATAGCAGCTACTGAGGTTATACCTGCTTGTCACTCTTCTCTCATTCCCTTCTAACTCTTGTCAGCTTTATCTCCTAGACCTGAACCTGAGCTCTGCATATTGAACTTCTCTAAGCCTACAGCACAATGGCTCCATTCCCACACATAAAGTTGTCCTTGATGCTATATCTACTTTGCAGTCATTTAACCTCTCTGAATTTCTATTCTATCAACTATAAAATATTTTTACTTACAGAACAGACTTTTATTATATATCTAAATCTTTTAAGAATGAAGTCGAAGTCTAAATTAGAAAGGAAACTTGTACTTTAAAGGGGTGAAATCAGATCATACCCAAGATCTTTTCAGCTCTAATAGGCAATGATTTCACGTAACTCAGGTTTCTCCCGGTCCACATGCCATTTACAGGGGGTGGGCCCTGTTCTTTTGCAGTGTGGAATAATTGGCTATTGGTATGATCATTTGTGACCACTCACAATTCGTAGGGGAAGATGTGGCCACTTTTCCGAAGGTCTGTTCTCAAGAACTTTCTACCTTAAAGAAGAAAAGTTATTTGCAGAAGAGAACTTGAAAGCATCTTCTGTGTGTACATGCCCTTGTCTTTGCATTCTGACTTAATTTTTATAGCATAGAGTTTCTGTAAGCTTAGAACACAGGGAACATACGAAAAAAGGGGGAGTTAAAATATGTAATTAGAAAAACTACCATGCATTGAGCACATTTTGGATTACTCACACAGCATTTAGTGTATGCCATTCTTAGTCTTTTTAATAGCCTCGATGTCACTGCCATTCCATTACAGAAGTTCCATTTTACAGATAAAGACCAGGAGGCTTAGAGAGAGTAAAGAGCTTACATAACCAGTTAATGTTGGAGTCAAATTCCAAATCCAGACCCCGAGACCCCAGAGCGCATGCCTTTCCCAGTGTTTTGGGCAATGAGGCCAGCATAATCCCTTGGAAAATTGACAGCTCCACCATGGACATCTTTTTTCCACGATGTTCCAGGGAGTCCTTGGAGATGATAGATATTTAAAGGACCTTGCAACCTCTTTAATTTAATCAACTACTGTGGAAGCCACTATCAGTTTTCGTCACAATGGAGACTTGAGAGAGTGCCGCCGTACTGCCTTTGATAAGCATGACTTCCAACAGGAGAAGAGCCTGATATGCTATGCCAGGGAACACTCAAAATATTATGTGGTAGGGCTCTCTGTGAGAGTTGGACAGCTGTCTGTCTGTCTCTCTTTATGTTCCTTTCATGGCTGCTTGTTCTGTTTTATTGCTGCACATGTGCTTTTTATAGGTTGTTGCAAGCTGGAAAATATTGTTAAGTGTTTTGGCTTCAGAATCTCTCTCAAAATGATCTTAGTTTAACTCCAGCATCTTAAAATGCGAATTCTTTTCCCCTTCTTTTTTAATGATCAGAAAGTGCTCTCCTGTCAAAATCACAAAATAGGGTATTTGCTTAAAAAATCCCAACCTTCTGGAGAGACAGGCTGTGCAATCTCAGAATTACCAATGATGGAACATAAAATGAGTCTTATTTCTATTTTTTGTCTTAAACTAAGAAGAGCTTTGTTACCTAGCTTGTCTAAAGCAGGGTGTGCTGATCGATTGAATTTCCTTATTACATGTTAGGGACAATTGGCTCAGAGGTGTGGATCCTGTTTTAAGTATATGCAGATTGATGGCAAGTAAATCCAACTCATTAATTTCTACCATCACCTTTTACTCCATAGTCTTGTCTTCTTTCTATTGAGTTATATTTGTCCTTAAACTTATGCAATGACTCTACTGGACAGGAATCACATTTGATTTTAAGATATCAGGGACTTAATATATTGCTGGTATTTTGTGAAAGTCAAACATAATAGTATCATTTATATCTATGTATCCTTACATTGTTAAACCAAATAAAAATGAATGAAAGTAAGACACTTCTTGGGAATTTGAGTAAACTCAGTTATAACAGTTTTGTCCATTTTACCTCCCTCATTGGCTTAGGGAGGTCAAAGGCTTTGAATGTTTGAGAAATAGAGTTTATACTGTTGACATGATGAAACTATTTTAGTGGACTTTCTTAGGCCCAGAGTCATGTGTATTTAAGAGGCCATTCCTTAAAGCTGAACAGGTATTGATTACTTTAGTGCCTCTTTTCCCCCCAAAAACAAGAATCTTTGTGTCTTCTTGATGTTTCTACAACTTCCCCAGACTCTGGTTGAGTATAACATGTATTAAGTAATCACATTGCCATTAAAAGTAATGGCAAGAACCACAATTACTTTTGCACCAACCTAATAATCCTTAGAAGAGTTCTAATGAGGAGCTGAGCTCATTCTGTTTTTTGATCTTTACCCCCAAAGGGATCAAGAATATATGAATATGAATTAAAAACAAAAAGAATATCATTCACTTTGATCAGATTAACTACAATGCCCAAAGGAGTGTCTCAATTGTGGAAGTATGTCCCTAAGTAGAGGTAGGCTTTCAGTCCGTAGAGGCCATCATAAAGACGGGAATGACTTTACCTTCAAGTTACTTCTGCCAATCACCTTTTTCCTAGGAAGGACATGACTGAAAGAATATATATAAAGAAGGACCAAGAATGGAGAAAAGATGGAGTAATGGTTTAAGAATTTGTATTAGAATTCCTTTCGATAAAGACATTCCGGTTGTATTTATTAGATAAAATGTAGACGTTTAAAAAGAGCATTTTGACCTTATAAAAATTGAACTTTGGAAAAGTTAGAATCATGACAATGGCTTTGAGTTGGCTGAGTTCATTATAGAAAATGAGACTTTCCATATCTCATGTTCTAAAGTTCTGCCTCAATGAACTCATCCATCTGCAACTCCTATAGATTTCAAATAGGTTATATTCAGATGGCCTTGAGCGATGGGAGATTAGCCTCCATGCAGGTAGGTGGACATGAGGTCAGGTGGAGTGGCCTGGGCCATCTTCAGGATATATCCCAGGAAGTCCCACAAAAGCTCTGGTGACTTATGCCTTGTCACTGACGTGATGCAGCGACTCATTCTGTCTTTGTTTCTCTGTTTTCTCCTTTAGTTCCCTCTGACATTTGAATGAATCTTTGTAATTTTATGTAGAAGGAGAGGGTAGGGGAGAAGGAAAGAGGAAGGGAGAAAAAGAGGGAGAGAGAGAAAGAATGAATCTAATTAGTCTTGTTATTTGAACACATCCAAAAACTTGGGGCTCCCAGACCAACCAATGGTCAGGTGGTACCATCAATTCCCTTGCTTTTTTTTAACCTTGCCATGAAAATTAATTGTCAAAAATAACATTTCTTTTGCTACATATATTACCTCTGTCTGCCAACTGGAAAAGGGAAATAGAGAAGGTAAGATCCAGGTAACCAACTTTTCTAAGGTTGCTCAGTGGTGGGGCTGGGCTTGAACTCTTCTTGTTATGACCAAAGTCAGTCCTCTTTTCATAACTCTATGTTTGCTGTGGATATTGAGGGGACACACAGGTTTTTAAAGCACTTTGTCTGTCTTTAAGGATATTGCATTCCTACTGAGAAGTCATAATCACTGAAAACCATTTAGATCTAAAACCCTGATTGCTCTTTGGCCCTTCAGGACCTAGATTTTATGAAGCTTATAACATTCCTTCCCACCCAGGTACCCACTGTGCATCGTAAGTACTCTGATTTACTATGCATGTCTTATTCTGCTGTCTTTAGTTGTTTTCATAACTTTTCCTTCACTGCTTATCTGGTGATCTAACACATGGGACATAGTAGAGAAACCCATTTCATCTTTGCGGAATGATTGAATCAATGGTTTTTGCTGGTGAGGGAATTTTGGAAATTTGTAGATGTGCTTTTGAGTGCCATGCTCATTGGGAGCGCTGTAGAGATTTAGTGGGCAGAAGCTAGGAGGCTTAATGTCCTGCAATGTATGCGATAGTTGCAAATAATAAAGAAGTGCCTCATGTTCTCATGACTTTCCGATGTCCCACCAGGCATTCCTGTTAAGAACCACCCCTACCCCCAAATAAATTATGATGAACTGATCCTAAATCATAACTTCATTTTACATATAAATGCAAAACATTGTTGTATGCTTTTATTATACCCTAAATTATTTAGGATTTTAATTGCCATGCAAGTCAGTAGTAGGTTGATCTTTGTTCTGTTGGGAACTCTTCTGAGAGTCATTCATCATTTTATAAAATCATGTCACCGATGGCAGTGCTGTTCTCGGTATTCAAGTCACCAATTCCACAAACTTGTGTCAATCTGCATTCATAACTAAAACATTCACTCTAATTCTGCATAGAGGGGCAAGCATCTTACCACTTCTTTATGCCTGAGCAATTACACATTGAAATAACCATTACTTTATTAAAAATTACATTTTTCTATTCATCCTTGGTATTGCAGTCAGAGAAATGTATTAACTTCTTTGGAATTACATGTAGGTGTAGGTGGCCTATATTACCTATGACTTTCATTTTGGAATCATACAGCAGGTGATATGTGTTGCTAAAAGAAGCATTGGTTCCAAAGGGTTGAGAATCTTTGGAATGAATGAGTGAATGAATGAATACATGAATGAATTAGTGAAAAAATAACAGTGTGAAATAAACTGACTAGAAAATAAATGCTCTAGCTGTTGAGAGGAAGGGAGTTAATAAGTGAGATGGACAAAGGAGGGCTTGCAACACCAGAACCAGCAATTATGCCAGCCATGGGGTACTGGGCATGGTGCTGGGAACAGCGATATGCAGAAGACCCAGGGAAAGCAGGAAAGTTTCCTGTCTTGGAAGGCATATGGGGTTAGGAAGTAACCATCTAGTACTTGCCTTCATTTCTTGATGTGTAGCCAATGTAGCCAATGTCCCCAAGGGGTATAAAAGGGACTCAAAAGTATTGTTATAATGAATTCACTCTTCTGATATATATTTAACACATAAGGGTTGTGTTAGGTATTGTGTCAGACACCTCAGAAGCTCTGTGAGAATTTTCTGGGTAAATCCATGAGAATGATGGGTTTTCACTTGTGTGTGGTGTCAGGTTCTATCTCCAATGAGACATTATATTAGTATTTACCAGAAAAATTGTAAAATTATTATGGATTAAATTGTGTCCTCTAAAGAGATGTTGAAGCCTTTACCCCCAGTACCTGTGAACATAGCCTTATTTGGAAATAGGATTAAGTTAAGATGAGGTTATTAGGGTGAGCCCTAATCCAGTATGACTATGTCCTTATAAAAGGGGGAAATTTAAACACAGAGATAGAGACACATGTGAAGATTGGAGCTAGCTGCCAAAAGCCAAAGACTGCTGGCAAGCCACCAGGAGCTAGGAGAGAGACATGGAGAACATTCCCCCCACAGCTCTTAGAAGGAGGCAACCCTGCCAGCACCTTGGTTTTGGACTTCTGGCCTACAGAACGGTTTGTGGTATTTTGTGACAGCAACTCTAGAAAACTGATACAGGGACCATAACTTCTTACTACCGAAAAAGAAAAAACTATGTTTTCGAAACTTTCTCCCTCTAAAAATATCCATTAATTTGTTTATTTTCTCATAATTTTGTCCTTATAATGACTTTCTTTTCCTACTTCATGTGGCTTCTTTGGCTTGGACTAATGAATAATATTTGAAGAAAGGACTTTTTTTATTACTGCATAGCCAATCTGTCTTTATCCTGACAGCTACAAGTCCGTGATTATAATTCACAATGTTCACAATTTTTCAGAATGAATTTCTTTCTCTTCCTCTGATTTTCATTTTGTCTTACTGGATGGCAAACTCCCATCTCCTTTCTTGACCTCAACATGTTCTCTTTAATATTCATTTTATTCTTCATTTTAAAACCTTTGCCTCAAAACCCTGCAGGATTACTCATCACTGTCAAATTGGAATCTGTGAGATTCTTCAGAAAAACCATTCATATTACAAGTTCATATTCAAGTTTCAGTCACCGAGGGATTATTGGTGGCAGTGATCTTATTATAATTATCAGTTCTGTATTATCTTGAACATCGCCTTATTGGCTTATCTTCTAGTCTCTCTTTAGGATTTGTATACTATAAATTTATCGTACAAACTTACATATTGACTTTGCCTCAGCTTCTAGTGTCCAGAATTCTTGGACAGTCTTTCAACAGTCAAATTGTAACGATTCCTCTGTCCATCCCTAGCATCTCTCCTGCAATAACACTTATTGTCTTCTCCCTTATATTTAGAGCTAATTTTGTTATGTAATTAGTTGTACACACTTTTGGTGTCCTGGTCTTTATATCTGTCCCCATTAGTTCCCCTTATCCAGGATTCTTTTAGTTTCTTATGGCCAAAAGCCTATGTAAGCTTCTTTGAGGTAACCTAGGGTTTCACCACATTAAACTTTACTAAAGGATTCTGGCCCTAACTAAATCCTTCCCTGGTTAACTTGGCCCCTACCATTGTCTTTTTATGTTAATCAGATGAATCAAACTTAATAATATGAAAATCTACAAATACAGAGTTTGTTGTTTTTTTTTTCTAGTTATTGCCCAAATCTGAAAAAAGCCATTGTACATTTGGTGGAAATGACTGCTTTTCAATGAGAATGTGCATTGTTAATTTAGTGCTGAGATCCTTTGCCAAATGCCCATAAGCTTTGCAAATGTTCAGACAAAATTAAAAAAATAGGGCATTTTGAGAGTAAGGCCAGAGTTTATCTGTGGCTTTGTGGGCACTGATGATAGCACAGAGTTACCTGGCTGTTGTTTCATGGTGAATCACATGTGGTCCCGCGAGAAGTACTGCTTGGAGACTGCCCCTAACCTCTGGGAGCTTATAGTTAACTCAAAACTAATCATTAGGAAAGGTTCATCTTGTTGAACCACAATTGATGTTAGTGTTGAAAATCTAGGGGAGCGGGGAGATGCAGAAAGATAGGAAGTTGAAAATGGAGTGAGAGAGGTGGCTGCTTCCAGACCCAGTCTGTGTTCTTGGACAGATTTTTAACCTCTGTGTGCCATTTTCTCTGTAAAATAAGGACAATTTATCTTTGAAAAATTATGATGTTGTTCATGATCAATTTACATCAATTGATACATGTAAGCTACTTATAACAGTGTTACAAGAGTAAAAAGTAGGCTAAGTATGGTGGCTCACACCTATACTCCCAGCGCTTTGCGGGACTGAGTCAGGAGGATCACTTAAGCTCAGGAGTTAGAGACCACGCTGAGCTGTGATGACATCTTGGCACTCCAGCCTGGGCAGCAAAGCAAAACCCTGTGTCCAAAAAAAGAAAGAAAAAAAAAAGTAAAAACTTAGTAAATAATAGCATTCATTATTATTATCCATGCTTTGCGGCCACAATTCATCCACTTACTAGCAAAAATCTTGTCACAGGACAATCATTCCATTAATTATGCATTCTAACTTCCAAAATGCAAAGGTCTTTCTACATGTGCATGTGCTTTTGCACATATTTCTAAAGTTTACATTAGGCATATGGAAGTTTTCACTTCATAGAGCTTATACCCTGCCAAGATATATTTTTTTTTAATTTCAGAATTCTCAAGGGGACAATCCTAAGTTTGGGTATTAGAAAAGACATTTTTTCATAAGTAAGCTTGCCCTGATGAATAATTTTGTATTTATCATGAAGAGTTCACATCCAAGAAATACACAACATTTAAGGCTATTTTTCATAGATGAGGATCCTTTAGAGTTGGAGAACTAGTTAAAGACCAAACTTCCTTTTCTCTTAGGACCTGCGGGGTCTGCATGTCACTTTGTCCTTTATAAACAATCTCTAATAATGCTTGACTTAATTTCAGTGATGTTTATAATAATGAACACTTTCTAACACTAATATTAATTGCTTAACGGTTGTGAAATTGGCCAACCAAAAAGAAGTACCTAAGGAGAAAAATTAACCTTGACATTTCATACAAGTGAATAGTGCTTTAATGATAACCACATGGTTAAAAAGAACTCTACACTTAAGAATATTTAGTAAATCATTTTTTTTATAATCAGAATGGCTTTTATTAGAATGCCAAAACAGGAATTTCTGTGAGTCCTGATGGAAATCTCTGAGACATAAAGTGACTTTCATAGCCACATTGACTTCTGTCCTGACTTTGTGTAGGCAATTTTAGAATTTGTCTTTCATTTTTTCTTCTATAAGAAATCTTATTCCAGAACTAAAGCCAAATAACAAATCAAAGAATTCGTATGCCACTATTGATGATAATATTTGGTGACTACATTAAACATGTAATAGAATTATATATAAATTGCTGCAAAGGCTAACATCATCTTTAGTACTTGTCACAGTTTTTCTGTCTTCACTTTAAGAACAGAAAACAGAGTTGTATGTCCAGTATTGGGTGAACAAAGGAGTATTATGGAATGGAAAAAGAACAAAATTTGACCCTGGGAATTCCAGCATTCCAATTAAAAATACAACTAACAAAGACAAAATATATAAGAGCATAAAGTATGTATATAGACTTTGTGCAAGTCAGAAAAAAAGACAACCCCAACGAAAAATAAACAAAAGATTTTATTTCACTAAAAAGAAATTCAGATATCCCATATCAACCTCATATTGGTGATACAAATCAAGACAACCATGGTATGCCATTTTATATCCAGTACAGATGAAAAAATTAAGAATTATGGCTACAATACCAAGTATTAGAAAGAGTGTGGATCATCAGATACTTTGAAACACACGGCTGGTGAGATCCTACACTGGTATAATTGTTTTGAAAATGACTTAGCACATTCTATAAAATTGAATATTCAGATTCGATTTCAACCAAACAATTTTACCTCTATGTATTATTCTAGAGAACCTCTTTAATATGAATTTAGGTTTAAGAATGTTTATGGTAGCACTGGTCATAGATTATAAAAAAAGGATGCTATTTGAATATGAGCAGATGTAGGCAAAATAAGTGGTATATTCACTAAATTGAATATTATTCATCAGTGAAAATTTATACACCACGAACATGGATAGATCATAGAAAGATAATGAATGGAAATGAATGAAATGATAATGAATGAAAAACTCTTTAAGTGCACATATAGGGTGCCAACATTTTTATAAATTGTAGAAAAGAAATGATTTTTTTCCTCACCCATCTCTAGATTCATGACTGAGACACCTATAACAAAAGACAGATTAACATCAGAAAAAACATACAAATTTGTTTAATGTAAGTTATATATGCTTGGGAACCTTCAGAAATGAAGACCCAAAGAAAAAGGTAAGCCTGTGTGTGTGTGTGTGTGTGTGTGTGTGTGTGTGTGTGTGTGTGTGTGTGTGTGTTTTCCTGCTAAGTTTGATGAAGAGTAGCCAGTCATATCAGTCACACGATGGAACAAAGGAAGTAGGATTTAATGGTAATACCCTGAGGGGTGCTTCTCAAAACCAGTTTGCTTAGATTCTTGTCTGTGTCCATGCTTCTTCAGAGATAGGGATGTGCCTTTCCTCCTCTTATTGGGAGGGAACCTCTCAAATGAGGGTCTTATGACCTGCAGGAGAGCATGGTGAGAGGAAGAAGACAATGGCCTCTTACCTCTGCTTTTTTCTCAAAAACCATGCTGCCATAATATAGGACTAGCATGTTCTGAACCCTGTTAAAATCTAAAATAAACATTGTTTAGAAAAATAGGTATTTGTAAGAATGCTATATATTATTTATTTGTTACACTAACCTCAAGATAACAGGTACTTCTTGGTGGTGCAGTGGGACAGGCAAGTGGGTAGGATAAAGAACACATGAGTAGACACAGCAGAAAGGATAAAGTTTTAAGTGATTAAGTATTCATCTTCCAGTATGCTTTGCCATATGCATATATGTTACATTTTTATAGCTTATTAAACGTACATTACAAAGATAAAATATGAATATATCCTTCATGTGTTAGAGACAGGAGAAAGGGAAAGTTTTTTTTAAGGCAAATGGCTAATAAAAATACTTTTAATCTTTGTCTTAAAAGTAATTGAACAAAAGCAATTTTAAAAAGAAATGCAAATGAAGATTTCATTTGTTGTGACGAGGCACAGATTTAAAAGATTTCTGATGGTGTTCAGGCTACAGAGAAATGAACACTCAGATACAGCCTTGTTGTGGAGAAAGAAAATTAATATCTCTTTTCTGTGAAATAATTTTGAACTTAGTAAAAAGGCCTTAAAATATTTTACCTATGACTTTACATTTTGTTACGATGAATTTATTCATAATAAATAAATGTTTTAGTGTGTTTGAGACAACACAGATATTAGCACAGACATGTTTGTAATTAAAAAACTGAAGACAACCTTCCTGGCTAATAAGAGGTGACTGATTAGAGAATGAAAATAACAAGCAGTCCTTTAAAATGTCGATGGAGAAATGAATGTATTGACATGGAAATATTCAATGGGATAAACAAGTTACCGAATTAATAGAATTAAATATTAAGTATCAAGACAATATTCTTACATTTTTAACATATATATTGTATATGTTTTGGGGTATCCATGTGGGTTTAGGACAAATTCTAGCAAGCATATTAATAGTCTTCATTTCTGGGTCAGGGAATCATCCCTGATGTTTTATTTATCTTTATTCAGGGACCATGACATCTTGCTCATCATTGAATACTCATTGCTCAGAGCTTGGTGCTTGGCACATAGTAGGTGCTCACTAAATGTTTGTTGTATAAATAAATGTGTTTAATAATTATTTATGGAACTAATTTTAAAAAGGGAGACCTTTTATTGGGTTAATTCAATTGTATTCGGCTGAACCAAATATCCTAGCTAAATCAAGATCAAAAGTATTCATGCCTGATTCTATTTCCAAGAAATTAACCCTTCAGAGGTTTATTAGCATTTTGAAGTGTTAACTTCTAAGCTAAGGTCCTGATCGTGCAGTGGTAAAATTTCCAAGGAGGTATTTTGGAGTAGAAAAGTTATTCTGTCAGCTTCTTTGAAAGCGGTATCATCTGATATCCATGTACTCTACCCATGACTAAGTCATTCTGTATTTTATTAGGCTTCAGCTAAATTATAAATGTTGTTATTATTACTATCTATAATAATTATAACTACCATTTGTGTGAGAAACTATATACATCATCTTGTTTTTTACCCACAATAGATAATATGAGGTATTTCTTGAATTCATTTACTTATACATACCATGTTTTATTTGGAAAAAGAAAGATTTTATGACCACTTGTGAAAAAATTATATGTGTAACTTTTTAAAATTGTAAATGAGGACATTTGGGGAAAGAGAAAATAAGTACAGGGAAACAGGTTGAAGCCCATTTGAGGCCAGTGCATTAAAATGCATCCTATGATATAGATAATAAATGTTGCTCAAACAAACTAAAAGTCTAACCCAAGAAGAGGAGTCACAAAGTCATATAGTTGACAGAGTTCATAAAATGAAGTCATCCAGGCATGCAGAGAAGCACAAATGACTGTACCATGAACCACATCCCAACTCTACCTTTATAATAAATATGATTCTTTATGTGTGTTTGTGTTTTTAATATCATCCCTCAATGTAGGCTAAATTAATCATTCCAAAGGTCAGTCAGCAAAAGCAGGTCCCTGCAGGGGTCCAAACCCTGTCTCCAGGTACATCGCTCTCTGACAGTCTAAGTTTAATCCAAAAATAAATATTAGAGTGTCAAGATAAATAAATGATCTTCATAGCCTTCGGGCAATTATCCATAAAAACTATTTTCCTTAGCCAAAGATTTTTGTAAGCATTGAGAAACCATGAATCTGAAGTAATACTCCCTTGACAAGGACCTGAGGAGCCAAAGGCCCAACCCTCCCCTAGGAGCAGGGGCCCCAGCAGTGCCCAGGAAAAGGCCAAAATGTTCCCTCACAGAATCATTTTGAATCAGCTCCAACAGACAACAGGTGATGGAAGATGTACAGCAGCATGTTCAAAAGCTTAGACCCTGGAGTCAGAAAATCCTCAGTTGTTGGGCTGGCATGGTGGCTCATACCTGTAATCCCAGCACTTTGAGAAGCTGAGGTGGGTGGATTACTTGAAGTCAGGAGTTCAAGACCAGCCTGGCCAACGTGGCAAAACCCTGTCTCTATAAAAACACAAAAATTAGCCGGCATGGTGGTGGGCGCCTGTAATCGCAGATACTCAGGAGGCTGAGGCAGGAGAATTGGTTGAACCCGGGAAGTAGAGTTTGCAGTGAGCTGAGATCATGCTACTGCACTCCAGCCTGGATGGCAGAATGACATTCTGTCTCAAAAAGGAACAGGAAAGAAAGAAAATCCTTCATTGGGGCCCAGCTGTGTGATCCCCGGATAAACTCCTCACCTTTCCTTTTTATGTGCTTGCAGTGGGGCCAGAGTTAGAACTGAATGAAGTAATGTTTAGGAGAGACTTTGCATAGAGCCTCAGTTAAGCCCAATTTATTCCTCAGTTTGGGTCAATTTATCGATTGTGATGCATAGGGGTTGGGGGAAGAGGAGGAATATGAAGAAATAAAGGTAAATTGTCAATGGAAAATCATAGTATCTAGAACTTTCCCATGGAAGGAGACCAGTAGAAACAAATGGATTCAAGAGTTAAATTTTCCTCAATCTAATTCTCTCTGGACATAGGAACAGTCAATGAGTGTACTCACATGTTCCCTTACACCCCCAACCAGGCCCATACCCCAGGCAGATACACGCAACAAAAACACTCAAGGGAGAGTATGGTTCATGTTTCCAAATGATAATGCCTTCTTTTGTGTACTGATATGTGCAACTATATATGCATATATATGTGTGTATATATATTTTGGGTAGAAGTGTAAAGTATTTCTAATCTTACTGTGGGTCTTGCATTATAGAGCACTCCAGGAGATGTTTAACTGGCATGTTCTGTTTGAGGTCACAATGTGCCAAATTTTTTCATGGAAAGCTTCAGCTGATCAACTAAAAAATGCATTTATTTAACAGGCAAATGAAAAAGAGACTGCCAGGTGATTCCTTGAGGTGTGGTTAATTAATTCCAATCTGTTTATGGCAACAGTTTTCTAGTTTCAAATGATAAATGCCCTTCCTCCAAAAAGGAACCTCAAAGAGAAAGGGTCTCCTCCCCACTTCTAGATTTTTTTCTTTGTCCTTGGCTACTTATGTCGCGTGCTGCTTAGAATGAGTTCACATCAGTAATAGTCATAAATGATTTACAAAAGTAATTCCTGTCTAATCACTTGGGACTTGGAGTTTTTATGATGTTGCCAGATGTGCCATCAAAAAAAATCATCTGGTTCAGAAACTTGTGCTAAATCAAGTCAGAGTCAATTAATTCCCTAAAGGCAACTGATTGGTTTGCATGGATCTGTGTTGGGGGCCTCGCCCATCATCTAACTCTTTTCCTCCTTAGGTTCACGTTTGTTTTGTAAAAAACAAAAACAACTCTGTAAACACAAAGTTATTGGGAGGCTGTCAGCATGGGCATGTATTACAGACTTTGATATAACTTCCATGTTTCTTTCATGTATTAAAAGGGCATTTTAGTCCATGAAAAAAATAGGGGAAAGTTTTCAAAACCCCAAGCAAACATATTTCTTATATAGACTCTGTTACTCACAATACTGGCAGCAATATTGCATAAATACTTGGACATTGCTTGTGGGACAATATTATTCCCTTTTGAATGAAAGCTCCCCTTAGAATCCATCTTTACTTCCTCTGGGCCCTTAACACATGAGTTTTATATCTCTAATAAAGAATTTTGTTTATTCCACCTTATAATGTGGTCATTGGTTTAAACTTTTATCCCTCCCATGAAATTGTCCCGTGCTAAGAGCAAGTGCCATATTATCTCCTACCTCACTTAGGGTGATGCCTTTGACCAGGGAGATTCTGAGTAACTTTGTTAAATGAAGGAAAGAATCCAAAAATGGACAGCTATGAATTTTCCTTCCAAAGCACATGGGGAAATAAGTGAAAAGATCCATATTGAGCTTTTAAATCACTTTGCTGGATTGTGTTACAGTAACTAAGCTGGGCAATAACTAAGTAACTTGCATTGGGGGAAGACATTAACTCAGTCTCTTCCATCTATGCAAGGATTTGAAATGGCACCTCCCAAACCAGAAATTCTCTGTTCCCAAATTATACTCCCTCAGTGGAGATTAAAATATCTATAATCCAGTGTTACAAGGCACAGTAGTTTGCTTCAATGACAAATTAAATCTTTGAGAAAAGGTTCCCCATGTTGTCTCTGATTACATAGTCAAGGAATCTTGTGAATTTGCTGATGCGTAAGTTTTCCTTTAATGTAAAGCAGGCAGACGAGGCGGGGGTGTGGAGAAGAGAGTCTCTTAGGGGAAGACAGTGAGTGTTGACATAATATCGAATCACGGCAGTTATTCTGGAAGTACTTATTTAAACAGCTTTGCAAAAGTGTAACAATGATTGAGAGTTTTGAATGTTCAAAATCTAATATTTACATGATTCTTCATCTTTGGATCTTGTAGGACATGAAGGTAGTGTCTTTGCTTAATGATGTTGTGAATATCAGAATATGAATGAGAAACCTTGTTGGTATGATTCTCTAAGTACAACTAAATAACCTCTCATAGTTAAATAATTTATACATAAGACTGAAGCATAGTAGCCTCTTGAGGCATCTCATAAGCTATTCTTCAGATATCCTGCTACAGTTAAAAGATTTTGATTGGTAAAGATCGTGTAATTGTTTTAAAACTATTGGTTGACAATTTTGTGGTACTAGCTATGTAAATATCCTCCCTGATGAATGGAAGGGAAATGATGGAGCATAAGATACACCTATTCAATAAAATACTACAGACACTATAAGTGAACTTTTAATATGCCTGTAATAGGAATTAAAAGTTTTTTGTAGATAACCTATCATGCTATTTATTAATTTAACATTTAGTACTGCTCTTTACTCATCGTGTTTTCCATCAGTGGTTCTCTACTTGGGGCAGAACTGTTCCCTAGCAGGCATTTGGAATTATTTAAAAGTTTTTGGTTTGCCATAATTAGGGGTTACCTCTGGCAATTAATGAGTGGCACAAGGATGTTTTGGCATCTGTACTGCCTCAGACAATCCTGAACCACAAAACACACAGACACACACACGACAAAACTTGTTCTGTTGAAAACACCAGTGTCACCCATCGAAAAACACAAGCATCTTTAGACATGGTCTTACTCATAATTGGGAGCAGGTGACTGGCATAGTATCTAGTCCCTCGTAGACAAACACTCCCTGAGTACCTACTGTATGTCAGACAACTCTTCTAGGCTCTTAGAATGTACATCTGTAAATGGAACCAAGAGCCAGGCCCTCATGAAGCTTACATTCTAGAAGGAAGCTCTAAATAAATGTTGCTTCAGACATTGTAGGTGGAAAAAGCAAGAGGCAAACTTTCATTCACTGTTTAACCAAATAGGAAATGAAAACTTTGAGTTACAGGCATGAGGGCCTCAAGTAATTGCTAACATTCCAAGCAATGGAAAAGCATGTAATCACTTGTCCCATCAACCTCCTTTTAATCTTAACTTTTTGGCTTAGTTGTGTGTCTCCCTTTTCCACTGATCACAACTTCTCTGAACCCTTTAATTCTGTTTACATTCTTCCCCATTCAAAGGAAGAATGAAGAAAGAGAAAATTGTATTCTCATAGAACAGAAGCTACCTTCCACTGGATGTTTAGAAATCTTAAAGATTGTTCCAATGCAGAGGAAGTCTGTTAAAAAAATTAAAATAAAAAAAACCTGTTTGCACTGAAGTAAAAAGATAGGAACATTAAAACCTTAAGTCCCTAAAAAGTTCAGAAATCAATTATCTGAGTAAGATACTTCATTGTACCCATGATCTGATTGTGCTTTTTATTGTTTTATATGTTTCAATTAGCTCAACTGTAATTGCTTGTCAGCATCTCATTCTAAGCAATAAACTTGTCATAAAAAATAGTAGAAATTATCAAATTTTATTGTTCATTTTAGTATTTGTTCATCTTATTTGTTGCTGCTACACTGGAATATATTCTTTGCTAGCAGCTGTTGTGATATTTTATAGCGACATATTTCAACAATTCTCATTCTAATTTTTTTCTATTGTGTATGTAGATTGTTGTTTTTCAGAGAAAGAAAATGTTCAAATGGAAAAGGAAAAAGGGAAATGGAGGCAACTATATAAACGTGCAATATTTACATTTTCTGTGTTTATATGACATATACACTATACTGACACTCAGTTTCAAAATATATACCAATAAATATTCAAAATTGTATATGTAATTAATCAGTTAGTAAGATGATTATTTAGCTACACAATTTAGATGAAAACATTTGTATTTTAATATTACACTATTCACAATAGCCAAGATACGGAAGCAGCCTAGGTGTCCATTAACTGATGAATGGATAAAGAAATCATGGTATGTATATATATATGAATATTCAGGCTTTAAAAAAGGAAGAGATCTTTCCATTTGGGACAATACAGATAAATCTGGAGAACATTATGCTAAGTGAAATAAGCCAGACATAGAAAAATACTTCACAGTCTCATTTATGTGGAATCCTAACACCATTCAATACATAGAAACAAAGAGTAGAATGGTGGTTACCAGGGTAGGAAGGAGAGAAGGTCAGAGAAGGCAGACTTGTAGTTGTGTAGCATGAATAAGCCTAGAGAACTAATGTACTGCAGGAGTATAGTTAATAATACTGTATACTGAAAATTTGCTAAAAGAATAGACTTTAGGTGCTTTTACCATATGCACATACACAAAAAGGTATCTATGGAAGGTGATGGATAGCATAATTTGCTTGACAGTAGTAATCAAATAGTATATATATACAGTAGTGTGTATATATATATATACACACACATAGTGATATATATATGTTGATATATATATATATAATGTATATATCATGTTGTACACCTTAAATACATACAATTTAATAAAAAGATTACCCGGAAGTAAAAGGCTGTCATAGGAGCTTAATTAGAGTCCCTTGAGAACAAGGTCTTTTTTTTTTTAATTTAAGTCTCCAATTCCCAATGCACTGAAGTTTTAAATAAATGTTTATTGACCAGAAGAATGTACGTATTTGTATAAGCATTCTGGAATCAAATAAATTAACACAATGCTGCTTTTATTAATTTTTAAAAAAGACTGTGGAATTTTGTTAATTTCTGTGAACCCCAGTATCAAGTTTCTATGATGGCCGCTCTGGTCTGTGCCACTTTGAACATTCAGTGACATTCTCTTCTTTTCCTGGCTCTGCTTTTCAAAGCATGCTTGAAAGAGTATGGTGGAAAAGGACACTAATTCATACTAAAGAGTAAAGGATTTATATGGCTTGCTTTCTTATACCTCCAATGGATATTTTCTTTTAACAGAAACAAAAGCTTTAACAAAAAAGTTTCAAATGTGTCTCTAAAAGTGTGTGCTTGACATCAGTCAGTAATTAGAAGGCAAAAGACATTTCATGGTACAAAAGGTCTTTATCATACTGCTGAAATCCCATCATACAAACTATTGCCCATCCTCTCTGTAGGTCTTGTTATGAAATTTTTTTTTTCCAAACAGTTTCACCTGAAGATATCCATTTCTTGGGAGCCTACCAATTCCTCATCAACCCAGGCCTAGACTTAAAATTGTATCACTTAAGAATAGGTAGTGTCATACATGCTCAATTTCTGACAACAGTTTGCAGAAAGTTTCGTATAGTTATTCATGGGCTAAGAGAATAGATATTTGATGACATTGGATTTGGTTGGTTAATTTCAGCAGTAACATGCTAAAGTAATATTTCTTAAGACGATTCAGACATTAAAAAATAGCACGTGACGTCAGCTTGGAGATCCCTAATATATTCAACTTCTGAATTTATTCCAGGTGAATTCATCACATCTTATTCCTTTAACTACTTTCCAACTTTACTGAATTCCCAAGCATTTTCTTAGGACCTTATAAAGTTCAATGAGTTTAAAATTCTTGTTACAGAACAAAGGTGCATTGAAAAATTAACTTGATAGTGAATTTTAGCTCAGTGGACTGTATTTTGCCATTAACTTATCATGAAATTACAGCTTCATTCCCAGAATGAAAAGGGAAGTTAAGTCTAAATTAAAATTCTATGTAGAAATTTTGTGAAGCTAATCAGATTTTAAAAGAAAGCCATGTCTTGAGTGATAAAATATGAAAATGTAAACATCTTCTATAAAATAAAGTTATATAAATATATCTGAAGTATATGTAATCTGTTAATTTCCTGGAATCAATGTTTATGGCTCTATTTTAAATCAGTTATTTGGTTAGTGAACTAATGCAAACAAGACTGGGAGTTTTGTGGTTATATTTGTTCCTCTGCTTCGAGTCATTTAAAAATTCTTCGTGGTCAGCATGTATCTATAGGTTATCAAGTATCTCATTAATAGAATCAGCTCTAAAATTTTTTTACTTTTATTCTTTATGTTCTAGGGTACCTGTGCACAAAGTACAGGTTTATTATGTATGTATACATGTGCCATGTTGGTGTGCTGCACCCACTAATTCATCATGTACATTAGGTATTACTCCTAATACTACCCCTCCCCCATCCCCTCACCCCACAACAGGCCCCAGTGTGTGATGTTCCCCTTCCTGTGTCCAAGTGTTCTCATGGTTCAGTTCCCACCTATGAGTGAGAACATGTAGTGTTTGGTTTTCTGTCCTTGTGATAGTTTGCTCAGAATGATGGTTTCCAGCTTCATCCATGTCCCTACAAAAGACATTAACTCATCCTTCTTTATGGCTGCATAGTATTCCACAGTGTATATGTGCCACATTTTCTTAATCCAGTCTATCATTGATGGACATTTGGGTTGGTTCCAAGTCTTTGCTATTGTGAATAGTGCCGCAATAAACATACGTGGGCATGTGTCTTTATAGCAACATGATTTATAATCCTTTGGGTATACACCCAGTAATAGGACGGCTGGGTCAAATGGTATTACTAGTTCTAGATTCTTGAGGAATCGCCACACTGTCTTCCACAATGGTTGAACTAGTTTACAGTCCCACCAACAGTGTAAAGTGTTCCTATTTCTCCACATCCTCTCCAGCACCTGTTGTTTCCTGACTTTTTAATGATCACCATTCTAACTGGTGTGAGGTGGTATCTCATTGTGGTTTTGATTTGCATTTGTCTGATGAGCAGTGATAATGAGCATTTTTTCGTGTGTCTTTTGGCTGCATAAATGTCTTCTTTTGAGAAGTGTTGGTTCATATCCTTCGCCCACTTTTTGATGGGGTTGATTTTTTTGTTGTAAATTTGTTTAAGTTCTTTGTAGATTCTGGATATTAGCCCTTTGTCAGATGGATAGATTGCAAAAATTTTCTCCCATTCTGTAGGTTGCCTGTTCACTCTCATGGTAGTTTCTTTTGCCGTTCAGAAGCTCTTTAGTTTAATTCGATGCCATTTGTCTGTTTTGGCTTTTGTTGTCATTGCTTTTGGTGTTTTAGACATGAAGTCCTTGCCCATGCCTATGTCCTGAATGGTATTGCCTAGGTTGTCTTCTAGGGTTATTATGTTAAGGTCTAACGTTTAAGTCTTTAATCAATCTTGAATTAATTTGTGTATAAGGTGTAAGGAAGGGATCCAGTTTCAGCTTTCTGCATATGGCTAGCCAGTTTTCCCAGTACCATTTATGAAATAGGGAATCCTTTCCCCATTTCTTGTTTTTGTCAGGTTTGTCAAAGATCAGATGGTTGTAGATGTGTGGTGTTATTTCTGAGGCCTCTGTTCTGTTCCATTCGTCTACGTATCTGTTTTGGTAACAGTACCATGCAATAAGACAGTAGAAAGAAAGGCATCCAAATTGAAGGAGGAAGTCAATGTATCCTTGTTTCCAGATGACATCATCTTAGATTTGGAAAAACCTAAAAACTCCACCAAAAAACTATTAGAATTGTTAAAGTCAGTAAAGTTGTAGGATACAAAATCAACCTACAAAATATCAGTAGCATTTCTATATATCAATAGCAAAAAAACTTGAAAAGGTAAATGGAATTACTTTCTTGATTTCAATAGTTACAAATAAAATAAAATACCTAGGAGTAAACCAAAGAAATGAAATATCTCTACAATTAAAAAAATGGATGTAATAAGTTGAAGAAGACACAAAAAAATGGAAAGATATTCCATGTTCATGGAATGTTTTAAAAAATCAATACTGTTAAAATCTTCATACTACGCGAAGCAATCTGCAGATTCAGAGCAATCCCTAGCAAAATACCAATGACATTCTTCACAGAAATAGAAAAAATAATCCTAAAATGTATATGGGACCACAAAAGACCCAGAATAGCTAAAGCTATCCTGAGCATAAAGAACAAAACTGGAAGAATCACATTACCTGACTTCAAATGTACTACAGTAACCAAAACAGCATGGTACTGGCACAAGAACAGACATATAGACCTATGGAACAGAATAGAGAATCCAGGAATAAATCCCATCATCTACAGTGAAATCATATTCAGCAAAGCTGCCAACAACATACATTTTGGAAGGTACAATCTCGTCAATTAGTGGTCCTGGGAAAACTGGATGTCCACATGCAGAAGAATGAAACTAGACCCCTTCTCTTACCATATACAAAAATGATATCAAACTGGATTAAAGACTTAAATCTAAAACCTCACACTATGAAACAGCTAAAAGAAAATATTGGGGAAACCCTGCAGGAAATTGATCTGGGCAAAGATATCTTGAGCAATACCCTACAAGCACTGGCAACCAAAGCAAAAATGGACAAATAGGATCACATCAAGTTAAACTTCTGCACAGAAGAGGAAACAATCAACAAAGTGAAGAGACAACCCACAGAATGGGAGAAAATATTTGCAAACTATCCATCTGACAAGAATTAACCAGAATATAAAAACAACTCAATAGGAAAAACTATTGTAAATAGTATTCCTATAAATAGGAGAAACTCTAATCTGATTTAAAAAGGGACAAAAGATTTGAATAGATATTTCTCAAAAGAAGACATACAAATTGCGAACAGGTATATGGAAAGGTGGCCAACCTTACTGAGCATCAGAGAAATGCAAATCAAAACTACAATGCTGTGTCATCTTACCCAAGTTAAAATGGCTTTTATCCAAAAGTCAGGCAATAACAAATGCTGGTGAGGATGTGGAGAAAAGGGACCCTCATACAGGGTTGGAGGGAATGTAAATTAATACAACCACTGTGGAGAGAAAAGTGGACATTCCTCAAAAAACTAAAACTAGAAATACCATATGATCCAGCAATCCCACTGCTTTTTGGTATATACCCCCAAAAAAGGAAATCGGTATATTGAAGAGATATCTGCATTCTCATGTTTATTGTAGCACTATTCACAATGGCCAAGATTTGGTGGCGACCTAAGTGTCCATCAGCAGATGAATGGATAAAGGAAATGTGGTATGTATACACAATGGAGTACTACTATTCAACCATGAAAAACAATGAGATCCTGTCATTTGCAACAACGTGGATGGAACTGGAGGACATTATGTTAAGTGAAATAAGACAGGCACAGAAAGATAAACATCACATGGTCTCACTTATTTGAGGGAGCTAAAAATTAAAACAATTGAACTCATGGAGAAAGTGAGTAGAATGACAGTCACCTGAGGCTGGGAAAGGTCGTTGAAGGTTGGGGGTGGGGGAAGTGGGGATGGTTATTGGGTATAAAAATATAGTTAGAATGAATAAGATCTAATATTTGACAGCAAAACAGAGCGATTACAGTCAACAATAATTGTACATTTAAAAATGACTAAGAGTATAATTGGAATTTTTTTATTATTATACTTTAAGTTTTAGGGTACATGTGCACAATGTGCAGGTTTGTTACATATGTATACATGTGCCATGTTGGTGTGCTGCACCCATTAACTTGTCATTTACATTAGGTATATTTCCTAATGCTATCCCTTCCCCGACACCACAACAGGCACTGGTGTGTGATGTTCCCCTTCCTGTGTCCATGTGTTCTCATTGTTCAATTCCCACCTATGAGTGAGAACATGCAGTGTTTGGTTTCTTGACCTTGCGATAGTTTGCTGAGAATGATGGTTTCCAGCTTCATCCGTGTCCCTACAAAGGACATGAACTCATCCTTTTTTATGGCTGCATAGTATTCCACCGTGTATATGTGCCACATTTTCTTAATCCAGTCTATCATTGTTGGACATTCAGGTTGGTTCCAAGTCTTTGCTATTGTGAATAGTGCCACAATAAACATATGTGTGCATGTGTCTTCATAGCAGCATGATTTATAATCCTTTGGGTATACGCCCAGTAATGGGATGGCTGGGTCAAATGGGATTTCTAGTTCTAGATCCCTGAGGAATCACCACACTGTCTTCCACAATGGTTGAACTAGTTTACAGTCCCACCAGCAGTGTAAAAGTATTCCTATTTCTCCACATCCTCTCCAGCACCTGTTGTTTCCTGACTTTTTAATGATCTCCATTCTAACTGGTGTGAGATGGTATCTCACTGCAGTTTTGATTTGCATTTCTCTGATGGCCAGTGATGATGAGCATTGTTTCTTGTGTCTTTTGGCTGCATAAATGTCTTCTTTTGAGAACTGTCTGTTCATATCATTTGCCCACTTTCTGGTGGGTTTTTTTTTTTCTTGTAAATTTGTTTGAGTTCTCTGTAGATTCTGGATATTAGCCCTTTGTCAGATAAGTAGATTGCAAAAATTTTCTCCCATTCTGTAGGTTGCCTGTTCACTCTGATGGTAGTTTCTTTTGCTGTGCAGAAGCTCTTTAGTTTGATTAGATCCCATTTGTCAATTTTGGCTTTTGTTGCCATTGCTTTTGCTGTTTTAGACATGAAGTCCTTGCCCATGTCTATGTCCTGAATGGTATTGCCTAGGTTTTCTTCTAGGGTTTTTATGGTTTAGGTCTAACATGTAAGTCTTTAATCCATCTTGAATTAATTTTTGTACAAGGTGTAAGGAAGGGATCCAGTTTCAGCTTTCTACATATGGCTAGCCAGTTTTCCCAGCACCATTTATTAAATAGGTAATCCTTTCCCCATTGCTTGTTTTTCTCAGGTTTGTCAAAGATCAGATAGTTGTAGATATGTGGCATTATTTCTGAGGGCTCTGTTCTGTTCCATTGATCTATATCTCTGTTTTGGTACCAGTACCATACTGTTTTGGTTACTGTAGCCTTGTAGTATAGTTTGAAGTCAGGTAGCATGATACCTCCAGCTTTGTTCTTTTGGCTTAGGATTGACTTGGCGATGCAGGCTCTTTTTTGGTTCCATATGAAGTGTAAAGTAGTTTTTTCCAATTCTGTGAAGAAAGTCATTGGTAGATTGATGAGGATGGCATTGAATCTATAAATTACCTTGGGCAGTATGGCCATTTTCACGATATTGATTCTTCCTACCCATGAGCATGGAATGTTCTTCCATTTGTTTGTGTCCTTGAACAGTCGTTTGTAGTTCTCCTTGAAGAGTTCCTTCACATCCCTTGTAAGTTGTGTTCCTGGGTATTTTATTCTCTTTGAAGCAATTGTGAATGGGAGTTCACTCGTGATTTGGCTCTCTGTTTTTCTGTTATTGCTGTATAAGAATGCTTGTGATTTTTGCACATTGATTTTATATCCTGAGACTTTGCTGAAGTTGCTTATCAGCTTAAGGCGATTTTGGGCTGAGACGATGGGGTTTTCTAGATATACAATCATGTCATCTGCAAACAGGGACAATTTGACTTTCCCTTTTCCTGATTGAATATCCTTTATTTCCTTCTCCTGCCTGATTGCCCTGGCCAGAACTTCCAACACTGTGTTGCATAGGAGTGGTGAAAGAGGGCATCCCTGTCTTGTGCCAGTTTTCAAAGGGAATGCTTCCAGTTTTTGTCCATTCAGTATGATATTGGCTGTGGGTTTGTCATAAATAGCTCTTATTATTTTGAGATAGGTCCCATCAATACCTAATTTATTGAGAGTTTTTAGCATGAAGCGTTGTTGAGTTTTGTCAAAGGCCTTTTCTGCATCTGTTGAGATAATCATGTGGTTTTTGTCGTTGGTTCTGTTTATATGCTGGATTATGTTTATTGGTTTTCGTATGTTGAACCAGCCTTGCATCCCAGGGATGAAGCCCACTTGATCGTGGTGGATAAGCTTTTTGATGTGCTGCTGGATTTGGTTTGCCAGTATTTTACTGAGGATTTTTGCATCGATGTTCATCAGGGATATTGGTCTACAATTCTCTTTTTTTGTTGTGTTTCTTTCTGCCAGGCTTTGGTATCAGGATGATGCTGGCCTCGTAAAATGAGTTAGGGAGGATTCCCTCTTTTTCTATTGATTGGAATAGTTTCAGAAGGAATGCTACCAGCTCCTCCTTGTATCCTGGTGGAATTCAGCTGTGAATCTGTCTGGTCCTGGACTTTTTTTGGTTGGTAAGCTATTAATTATTGCCTTAATTTCAGATCCTGTTATTGGTCTATTCAGAGATTCAACTTCTTCCTGATTTAGTCTTGGGAGGGTGTATGTGTCAAGGAATTTATCCATTTCTTCTAGATTTTCTAGTTTATTTGCGTAGAGGTGTTTATAGTATTCTCTGATGGTAGTTTGTATTTATGTGGGATTGGTGGTGATATCCCCTTTACCATTTTTCATTGCGTCTATTTGATTCTTCTCTCTTTTCTTCTTTATTAGTCTTCTTAGTGGTCTATCCATTTTGTTGATCTTTTCAAAAAAAACAGCTCCTGGATTCTTTGATTTTTTGAAGGGTTTTTTGTGTCTCTATCTCCTTCAGTTCTGCTCTGATCTTAGTTATTTCTTGCCTTCTGCTAGCTTTTGAATGTGTCTGCTCTTGCTTCTCAGTTCTTTTAATTGTGATGTTAGGGTGTCAATTTTAGATCTTTCCTGCTTTGTCTTGCGGGCATTTAGTGCTATAAATTTCCCTCTACACACGGCTTTAAATGTGTCCCAGAGATTCTGGTATGTTGTGTCTTTGTTCTCCTTGGTTTCAAAGAACATCTTTATTTCTGCCTTCATTTTGTTATATACCCACTAGTCATTCAGGAGCAGGTTGTTCAGTTTCCATGTAGTTGAGCAGTTTTGAGTGAGTTTCTTAATCCTGAGTTCTAGTTTGATTGCACTGTGGTCTGAGAGACAGTCTGTTATAATTTCTGTTCTTTTACTTTTGCTGAGGAGTGCTTTCCTTCCAACTATGTGGTCAATTTTGGAATAACTGCAATGTGGTGCTGAGAAGAATGTATATTTTGTTGATTTGGGGTGGAGAGTTCTGTAGATGTCTATTAGGTCTGCTTGGTGCAGAGCTGAGTTCAGTTCCTGGATATCCTTGTTAACTTTCTGTCTCATTGATCTGTCTAATGCTGACAGTGGGGTGTTAGTTTCCATTATTATACTGTGGAAGTCTAAGTCTCTTTGTAGGTCTCTAAGGACTTGCTTTATGAATCTAGGTGCTCCTGTATTGGGTGCATATATATTTAGGATAGTTAGCTCTTCTTGTTGAATTGATCCCTTACCATTATGCAATGGCCTTCTTTGTCTCTTTTGATCTTTGTTGGTTTAAAGTCTGTTTTATCAGAGACTAGGATTGCAACCCCTGCCTTTTTTTGTTTTCCATTTGCTTGGTAGATCTTCCTCCATCCCTTAATTTTGAGGCTATGTGTGTCTCTGCATGTGAGATGGGTTTCCTGAATACAGGACACTGACAGGTCTTGACTCTTTATCCAATTTGCCAGTCTGTGTCTTTTAATTGGAGCATTTAGCCCATTTACATTTAAGGTTAATATTGTTATGTGTGAATTTGATCCTGTCATTATGATGTTAGCTGGTTATTTTGCTCATTAGTTGATGCAGTTTCTTCCTAGCCTTGATGGTCTTTACAATTCGGCATGTTTTTGCAGTGGCTGGTACTGGTTGTTCCTTTCCATGTTTAGTGCTTCCTTCAGGAGCTCTTGTAGGGCAGGCCTGGTGGTGACAAAATCTCTCAGCATTTGCTTGTCTGTAAAGGATTTTATTTCCCCTTCACTTATGAAGCTTAGTTTGGCTGGATATGAAATTTTGGATTGAAAATTCTTTTCTTTAAGAATGTTGAATATTGGCCCCCACTCTCTTCTGGCTTGTAGAGTTTCTGTCAAGAAATCTACTATTAGTCTGATGGGCTTCCCTTTGCGGGTAACCTGACCTTTCTCTCTGTCTGCCCTTAACATTTTTTCCTTCATTTCAATTATGAATCTGACAATTATGTGTCTTGGAGTTGCTCTTCTTGAGGAGTATCTTTGGGGAGTTCTGTGTATTTCCTGAATTTGAATGTTGGCCTGCCTTGCTAGGTTGGGGAAGTTCTCCTGGATAATATCCTGCAGAGTGTTTTCCAACTTGGTTCCATTCTCCCCATCACTTTCGGGTACACCAATCAGATGTAGATTTGGTCTTTTCACATAGTCCCATATTTCTTGGAGGCTTTGTTCATTTCTTTTTACTCTTTTTTCTCTAACTTCTCTTCTTGCTTCATTTCATTAATTTGATCTTCAATCATTGATACCCTTTCTTCCAGTTGATCGAATCAGCTACTGAAGCTTGTGCATTCATGTAGTTCTCGTGCCACGGTTTTCAGCTCCATCAGGTCCTTTAAGGACTTCTCTGCATTGATTGTTCTAGTTAGCCATTCGTCTAATCTTTTTTCAAGGTTTTTAACTTCTTTGCCACGAGTTTGAACTTCTTCCTTTAGCTCGGAGAAGTTTGATTGTCTGAAGCCGCCTTCTCTCAACTCGTCAAAGTTATTCTCCGTCCACCTTTGTTCCATTGCTGGTGAGGAGCTGCATTCCTTTAGAGGAGGAGAGGCACTCTGATTTTTAGAATTTTCAGTTTTTCTGCTCTGTTTTTTCCCCATCTGTGTGGTTTTATCTACCTTTGGTCTTTGATGATGGTGATGTACAGATTGGGTTTTGGTGTGGATGTCCTTTCTGTTTGTTAGTTTTCCTTCTAACAGTCAGGACCCTCAGCTGCAGGTCTGTTGGAGTTTGCTGGAGGTTCACTCCAGACCCTGTTTGCCTGGGTATCAGCAGCAGAGGCTGCAGAACGGTGAATACTGGCAAACAGCAAATGTTGCTGCCTGAATGTTCCTCTGGAAGTTTTGTCTCAGAGTAGTACCCAGCCGTGTGACGTGTCAGTCTGCCCCTACTTGGGGGTGCCTGCCAGTTAGGCTACTCGGGGGTCAGGGACCCACTTGAGGAGGCAGCCTGTTCATTCTCAGATCTCAAGCTGCGTGCTGGGAGAACCACTACTCTCTTCAAAGCTGTCAGACAGGGACATTTAAGTCTGCAGAGGTTTCTGCTGCCTTTTGTTTGGGTATGCCTTGCCCCCAGAGGTGGAGTCTACAGAGGCAGGCAGACCTCCTTGAGCTGTGGTGGGCTCTACCCGGTTCGAGCTTCCTGGCTGCTTTGGTTACCTACTCAAGCCTCAGCAATGGCGGGTGCCCCTCCCCCAGCCTCTCTGCCACCTTGCAGTTTGATCTCAGACTGCTGTGCTAGCAATGAGCGAGGCTCCATGGGCGTAGGACCCTCTGAGCCAGGCGCGGGATATAATCTCCTGCTGTGCAGTTTGCTAAGACTGTCAGAAAAGCACAGTATTAGGGTGGGAGTGACCCGATTTTCCAGGTGCTGCCTGTCACCCCTTTCCTTGGCTAGGAAAGGGAATTCCCTGACCCCTTGCACTTCCCGGGTGAGGCAATGCCTCACCCTGCTTTGGCTCACGTTCGGTGCGCTGCATCCACTGTCCTGCACCCACTGTCCAACAATCCCCAGTGAGATGCACCTG
This sequence comes from Homo sapiens, assembly GCF_000001405.40. Taxonomy (NCBI): domain Eukaryota; kingdom Metazoa; phylum Chordata; class Mammalia; order Primates; family Hominidae; genus Homo; species Homo sapiens. The sequence continues at coordinate 25,205,472 of NC_000003.12, forward strand.
GTACCTCAGTTGGAAATGCAGAAATAATTTGTCTTCTGCGTTGCTCACTCTGGGAGCCATAGACTGGAGCTGTTCGTATTCGGCCATCTTGGAACAACCCACTGCAATGTTTTTAACCCAAAAAAAATAAATGCTTGAGGTGATGGACTCCCCATTTACCCTGATGTAATTATTATGCACTGTATGCCCATATCAAAATTTCTCATGTGCCTCATAAATATGTGCATCTATTATGTACCCATAAAAATAAAAAATAAAAACAAATATTAAAAACCTTTTTTTTTTTCTTGAGACGGGGTCTCACTCTGTTGCCCTAGCTGGAGTGCAGTGGTGCAATTATGGCTCACTGCAGCCTCAACCTCCTGGGCTCAAATGATCCTCCCACCTCAGCTTCCTCAGTTAGTTAGGACTACAGGCATGAGCCATCATGCCCAGCTAATTTTTTTTCTTCTACAAAAACAACTTTAGTATAAAATAGGCTTTATGTCAGATGATTTGGCCCAACTGTAGTCTAAGTGTTCCAAGCATGTTTAAGGTAGACTAGGCTAAGCTATGATGCTTGGTAGATTAGCTGTATGACGTATGTTTTTGACGTATGATATTTTCAACTTACAATGGGTTTTTTGGAACATAACCTCATCATAAGTCAAGGATCATCTGTATAGATGATGATAATATGGCTAAATGTTTTCTCAAGTTCTATTTTCCAGCTGTAATAATATTTCATCTCAAGTGAATCCCCTCCTTGGTTCTGGTTGCCCATGCAGTTTAAAACAGCTTTTAAAATTGAACTAGCTAGTGTTCTTACATAAATTTGATATTTTTAAGGCATTGCCAAGTGAAATTTGTAATTCTAAAGAGGAAATCTCGAATGTTTACTTGTTTTTACACCTAAATTACTCAGGTGACATTTTAAAATTCCAGGGAAAAATGTGTAAATCACTACTGCTTTACACTGAGGATTTTGCTGGCTACTCAGGGCAGCATAATGAGGTCTTTTGACTGAAGATATAGTTCCAACTCAGATCTACTAAGTATGTTTTCATTTTGAACCTTTCGAGAAAATCTTTTGAGGTCATTCCCTGTGCCCATCTACCCATTTCAGATCATTTATCTTTCTAAGCTTCCCGTGTGCTTGAGAAACCCCTTAAAGACAAGTCAATTACAGAGTTAACAGTATTTGCATGAAATACAGTAGCTCAATGAAACACACAAAAATTATGTTGGGGTTATTCTTTCTGGAAAAAATGTGGTAGGGTGAGTACTGCTTCAGTGCTAGCGTACTATGGATGCTTATTCATGCCCGATAGCTTCCAAGAGATTTCTCCAAACCCTGACTACTTTTTCTCATCCATGTTCACCACTTACACCTAGACTGATGACTACCTGAGTGCTAGAATCAATTGTTAGTGCCTCTCCAGTTGTCAGTCACAGGTGCACCCACAGCTACTTGACCACATGAAAGTGGATTACAGTGAATTTTATGAAAGTGGGGACTTTGCAGAATTTACCCTGACATCTGCTTTTTCCATGGTTATTTACTTCTCTCCTAATAAGGTAATGATTGATTCTTAGAATCACAGAATCATGAGGTTAAGATAATAACTTTTTAGAAATAAATTATCAGTCTGGTCACATTTTGAAGCTCAGGGGAAAATGTATAAATCACTACTGCTTTTGATTGAAGATTTTGCTCCTTATTCAGGGCAGAATAATGAGGTCATTTGCCTGGAGATATAGTTCCAACTCAGATCTACTAAGCATGTTTTCATTTTGAGTCTTTACTGAGAAAATCTCTGTGATCCTCCCCTGTGCCCATCTACCCATTTCAGATCACGTATCTTCTTATTCACTTAACGTTCAATGACATTATCTTAACAATGAGAAATTTGAAAGTGGTCTGCTTTTCCCAAGGAAACACAGCTTGTTTGGGACATGTAGTCACATCTTATCTTTCCTGTTTTAATGTGCTGCTTATATATTCTGAATAATAGTAGGAAGGTTATATATCAAACACAGGTTATATATAAAAATTGACCATTTTTGACAAGGGATGATAACTAGTAAAATTACAAAACATAAATAAAAATGCCAGTATTTCCCTTCCCTCCTCATTTTTTCTATACTAAATGTTTTATTATACCAAATCATTTACTTAATTATTTAATTTCTCTCTCCCTGCGGGAATAAAACCCTGTAAAGAGTTTTGTTTGTGCTGTTCCCTAACATACCCCAAGTAGTTAGAGCAGTATTAAGGTGCTCAGTAAATATTGCTTGAATGAATGAATGAACGAATGCAATTAAGACTCTTCAGAGGGATAGAATGTGTGTTAGGCTGTTCTTGAGTTGCTACAAAGGAACAACTGAAACTAGGTAATTTATAGAGAAAAGAGATTTAATTGGCTCACAGTTCCAGTCCTGTAGGTTGTACAAGCGTGGTGCTGGCATCTGCTTGGGTTCTGAAGAGGCCTCAGGGAGGTTTTACTCATGGCAGAAAGCAAAGCAGGAGCAAGCATGTCACATGGCAAAAGTGGGAGCAAGAGAGGGCAAGGGGGGGAGCAAATTGGGGGAATGCTACGCACCGTTAAGCAACCGGATCTCATGAGTACTCACTCATTATTGCAAGGACAGTGCCGAGGGGATGGTGCTAAACCATTCATGAGAAATCTGCCCACATGATCCAATCACCTTTCGCTAGGCCTTACCGCCAACACTGGGGATTACATCTCAACTGAAGATTTGGAGGGGACATCCAAACTATATTAGCATATTTTATTGTTCTGAATGAGACGCTAAGGATCCAAGGATTTCAGTTTCAATCAGGGGAACAAATTTTTTCTTATTCTAATATTCTGAAATTTTGAATATAAGTTCATCAGAAGTCTCATCCACTTATAGACAGTAAAATGCTGATTTCTCAACTTCATTCCAGTGATTCTGTTGAATTTCTCCTGTTGACCTTTCAAGCAAGTCATTTGCTCTAATTTTGCGTTTCTTTGCTATATTTAAACATTCTATCAATAAAGCCCATCTTAGGAGAATAGCCCCAAAATCTAGGATGTTGTCTCATCCTAAATATCAGTGCCATTCTGTGTTGAAATAGGATACTGTTCCCTTCCGCTCTCTTTGTCTATTCTTTTTTTTTCTAGAAAAGAGAAAACATCTCACTGCACCATACATTTGGCCCAGCCCTCTGACCTGACAATGCTGTCTCCTTTTGTTATTTGTTTTACAGAAGAAATGTATTTCCTTTCTTAAAGCAATGAGATCTCATTGAGCCCCTCACATGTTGGCTGCCAAGTTCCCAGCTGCTGAGCTTGTACCTTTTGTAACTCACCAGGGGAAGGTGACCTGGACTCAGGGCCCATCATACTCCTGGGAAGCGCCTGCCTACTTCATTATCTTTAGAGTTCATCAAAAGGTCTTTCCTCTTACGAAGGAACTCTTTACTTAATAAAGTGCTCCACACGGAATACATAAGCAGCAGACTACCCTGGGTCTAGGCTAATGTTTGCAAACAAACATGAAGCATGGCTCCCTGTGTTGCGACGACGAGGGATTTAGGTTAAAAGTGAAACAGAAGGCTGAAGACGTGTCACCTATTCTCACTGTCAGCATAACAAGTGGCCACTAATATATGTGAGTCCACAGACCACAGTTTAGTCAAAACTTGGCTTTGCGTTTTCATGGGTCCCAACCAGTTGACCCTTCGTCGGTCAGTTGGAACTCCATTTTGCTGGTGACTGAGTCAGGTTAGTCATGCAGAAGATCCCTGGGACCAGAGGAAGTTACTCACTCCTCCTCTTTGTTGTTTCTGAGCTATTGTGATTTTATTCAACTTTGGAAGCATGAGCACCTTTTTAGGTGCACAGTCATCCCATAGGTGGGTGTTGAAGACACTACAGAGTTTATTCTTCTCTTTCAGAAGCATATATAGATGTGATGAAGTCCTGTAGTCATGTAGGCTAGGATGAGTTCATACTTCATGTCCATGAAGTCACAACCCAAAGATTTGCCAAAGTCAATGTTTTACAGCACCATAGGATGCTTTTGTGAACATTGTTAAAGGAATCACCCTGAAGGGAGGCAGACCCATGGATACGTGGCTTGGAGAATATATTTCGGCTCTTTCACCCTTCTTAGCTGGACCTCTGCTTCTGCTGGGTGCAACATGCACGGTTGTGCAGAGCAGACCTCAGTTTTATGTCTCTCCTCCATCCCTAGCTCTCCTGCTCCCTGCCACCATGTCACTTTGAAAATAAAAAAAAAGACCAAGTTCTCAGACTTGCAATGCAGTCCTATTCAACTGAAAACAACTTCTTCCCTTAGGTTGGAAGGTTAGTTGGCCTTCAGAATGCATTTTGGAAATTTTGCACCTGTCTGTCCTGTGATGTGACCGAAACTACTGCTGGGAAGCTCTCCTCTGCCATCTTCCTACATTTAACTTGGATTTCAAAGTTATAAAACTAAACATTCTTAATAAGATAACTTTGATAATCCCTCTTCTGACATATTACTATAGCCAACATCTTACTGAAATTACCCCACAAGACATTCTCAGGTGTCTTTTTACCAACACTTTTCTCCTGAGCTGGTTCTATTTTCTGGAGATGAGGTTTCAGAATAGGCTCTATTGCTTCTCAGATTATCAATTTAAGACAGAAAATAATAGAAGTAGATACTAGCTAGCAGAAAAGATTTGTGAAGTAACAAAGCTAGGCATGGCCTGTCCGTTATGGTCTACACTGGGTTAGTGAATTCTGGAGAAAATTCTCTTCATATCATTTCTCCTTCCTGTCCCAATACACCCTGTGCAGCACAGTGCTAGGCATATAAATAAAATTTATAGGTTAGGAGTATCATCTTGACCACAGGCCAGCAAATTATGACCACAGGCCAAATCCATTGTGTATGCAGCCTACTTGAGTGAACAAGATTTTCTTGAAACCCAGCTATGCCCATTCACTTATGTGTTATATATGGGTGTTTTCTCACCACAGGGTCAGAGTTGCAGAGACTTCATCTGACCCCTGAAAGCCTGAAATCTTTATCTGATTCTTTTTTTTTTTTTTTTTTTTTTTTGAGATTGAGTCTCACTCTGTTGCCCAGGCAAGAGTGCAGAGGTGTAATCTCGGCTCACTGCATCCTCCACCTCCTGGGTTCAAGAAATTCTCGTGCCTCAGTCTCCTGAGTAACTGGGGTTGCAGGGCACACCACCATGCCTTGCTAAGTTTTACATTTTTATTGGAGAAGGGGTTTCATCACATTGGCCATGCTGGTCTCGAACTCCTGACCTCAAGTGAATCGCCCACCTCAGCTTCCCAAAGTGCTGGGATTACAGGCATGAGCCACCATGCCCAGCCTTTGTCTGATTCTTTACAGGAAAACGTTTACTGACTCTTGCTCTAGACCTACCACATAAAAGTCCACTCAATATTATTTTTTAATGTTGATATGGATTCTTCTGGTCCAGACACTTATTTGCGATGTGACTTTGAGTATATTACCCTTCTGTGCCTCAGTTTCCTCATTGTGATAAAATAAAGTTAACAGTACCTATCTGATAAAGTTGTAAAGATTAATTAATAAAGTTACAGCTCTCAGAGTCATGCCTGGGACATAGTAAGCTGTTAACAAATATTAACTTTTATTCATCAGATCAATTGATATTATTGATGTTGAAAATATGGTCTTGTTACCAAGGACCAAGATAGACATGTTCAAGGCACTTGACTATATTATTTTATTTGAGAGTGACAAAAACATAAAGTAGACAGAATCCTAAAAGTGAACTGACAACAGGGTGAGTGCTGAGCAGGGGAAAGGAATAAGCCTTCATGATTATAAGCCTTCATGATTAGTATAGATTTGAGCCATTTCTACAAAGACGCAGGAAAGAATGTTTTTAGAATATATATATTACTGCAGTCATTAATTTTAAAAGCACCATTAGAAGAAATAGTTCCCAGAATATAGTATGTTTTGCAATATATTGCAAAAGCATTATAGTCCTGTGGAAATTTATTAATAAAGATCAATAACACCAAAAAATACATAGAACATTTTCTTGTAGAATGAAAACTCCAGCATCAAGGGATGGAGCAGCTGCCTGGTTCAACTCCCCATGATTCAAATCTGAAATTCAAAATGTAAACTTTATTATTTTTATCAGAGATTGACAAACTTTTTTTTATTAAGGGCCCAACAGTGAAATTTTTTGGCTTTGAGGGAGTCATGTGGTCTTTTGTAACTCTGCTGTTATAGCACAGAAGCAGCCATAAACAATATATAAATGAATATGTACATCTGTGTTCTAGCAAAAATTTATAAAATAGGTGATGGGCCAGATTTTGTCCATGATCCATAATTTGCAGACTCATGATTTAAACAATTACAAATCATGCAAATCATGTTTTCTTTTTCTCTTCTTTCGATCACTTTCCCTTTCTTGCATATACAACTTTATTTCCCCACTTAAAATATTTCCATTTGCCAATAATATAAGGTCTATCTGAAGGAAAAGAGATATATTTTACTACCTAAATTTCACTTTGTTTGGCTGGGTATTTCTGTTTAGTGGGTTGGAGTGGGTGGTGAGCATTGTCATTTTCTTCTAATAAGTTGAAGTGACATTGTCAAAGACATTAATGAACAACAAACCAGCAATGGGTTGTGATTAAAAAGTTTACCTAAACTCTATTTTTATTTTTATGTTTCTAAAATGAAACTGAAAGGAAAATGAAAATGTACCTAAGTAAATAAGCTCAATGCATAAATAAATAATATAGACTATGCTAAATTGAGCATCAATAATTTTAACAACTTTCTATTTACGTGACCTATGTTACATTAGAAAAAGTGTACTTGGCTGGGTACAGTGGCTCACGCCCATAATCCCAGCACTTTGGGAGGCCTAGGTGGGCAGATCACAAGGTCAGGAGTTCAAGACCAGCCTGGCCAACACAGTGAAACTCCTTCTCTACTAAAAATACAAAAATTAGCCAAGCATGGTGGCACATGCCTGTAATCCCAGCTACCCGGGAGGCTGAGGCAGAAGGATCGCTTGAACCCAGGAGGCGGAGGTTGCAGTGAGCTGAGATCGCACTACTGCACTCCAGCCTGGCAACAGAGCTAGACTCTGTCTCAAAAGAAAAAAAGAAGTGAATCTCATTAATTCTGAGACAATGTGCTATCCAGACCATTGTGTCCCTAAATCTTTATATCACCTATCAAATTATCTCTCCATCTGATGCTATTTCCATAAATGTGCCAGTTATTTTCCACTTTTTTTGTGAGTATGAAAAAAATATATTACAAACCTATGATTGTTAGCTTGAACTCCATTTCCCCATGAACTAAAAGACCAAAGCAATTTAGGGAAACTCCAAGTAAAGCTATGTAGAGTAAAAATCTTAATTACCAAAGGTCGCTCACTTGGGAGCCTGAACTAGGCCACGGACGGGAAGTAAGGAAGGTCCCTGAGCATTGCGGCACGTAATGTTCTCATATTTCACTCTCAGGAGAAGCTCTCAGGTTTTCTTCCAAATTCGCGTAGTCTTAAAGACCATGCTTTGCTTTTTTTTCCTTGCTCACAACAGTATTTTTTTAACTGTTAAATGAAGCATGCCATCCATATAAGATACTATATATATAGTAAGAATATAGTTGAAAGAATTCACTGGTGTACATAATGCTTGGGTCAAAAAAGAGAAAATTACCAGCACCTGACGAGCACCTTATTTTCCCACTTTCTTCCCTATTCCCCAAGTCCTCGCTGTCCTGCCTTCTGACAGCATAGATCTGTACAGCTTTCTTTTGTACACTACATACTATATAATCACACAGTTTGAGTCCTTTTGTGTCTGACATCCTTAGCTCAATTTTATGTTTTTGGGATTTATTCATATTGTCCTATGTAGCTATGGTCGGTTCTTTTTCACTTCCCGGTGGTATTCCATTGTATGAATATACCACATCTCATTTATTCATTCTATTGCTTTGACATTTGGGAAGTTTCCATTTTTGAAGCATTACCAATAAGGCACTCTGAGCATCCTTGTACATGTCTTTTGGTGACCACGTGCACATTACCAGAGTATCTACCTAGAAGTGAAATTGCTGAGTTGTAGGGTATGCATAAGTTCAGCTTATTAGTTTCTGCTGAACAATTTCCTTAAGCCCAAAACAGCTTTTAAACAAAATGGAAGTCAGTCCTGCTGAAGGCAGGCATACTGATGGCAACGGCAATGAGAGCTAGAATAATGTTTAGGAGTGCTTAGCTTTCATTCACCAAAGATGTCAAACTATGGTCAATCATGCCTATTTAAAATGGCAAGGGAGGGCACCTTCCATAATGTAATGATTAAAGTCTGGACTCTTATGATAAGTTTCTCTTACTTGGCAATGTTATTTTTGTAAACCATTCATTTCCCACTATAATCTGCTCTTATGAATGAATATAGATTTTGTTATATATTTCTAGACATGCTGATGGCCAACCAAAGCATAGAAATACTAGTAAAAAAATAATCCAGAGATGCCAACTCACCAAAGCCATGCATACAGAGCATTTTCATACATTTCTGTGAAGATGCAATACATTTGATTCATAGTCAGCATAGATAGATGGGAGTTTTGAGGTCAAATATAAAGCTTGTGTGCTCCCAGAAAAGCAGCATTTTGAAAGTTTGAAACTCAGGCCAAAGCACTCTAGTGGGGCCCTATCCTTGGCTTCTTTGCTTTCTCACTCTGTGCTGGCAGGGCTCTTGTTGACTTCAAAGGGAGAGGCTCTGGCTGGGTAAGAGAAGTTCTCTTTGAGCGATTAACTTGAGCAAATGAGCTGCATTGGAGGACTTCCTACCAATAAGATCTTGCCTGTGATAACTAGGAGCACATTTCTAACTTTGAAGAATATGAGTGCTTATAATAAGTATTTCAGCCACACACCGGGAGACAATATCTGAGGTAGGTGGGTTCAGTAGCTTTTAAAAATAAATTTAAAATAACATATCAGTAAGTATGTATGTAAATATAAATACATAAAATATGAACATCCATTTGTATAAGTCTGTATTTTTCACATCGAATAAATGGGACTGCAGAAGAAATTTTCCTACTGTAAGAATCCTCAATATTTTAACAGGGCGTCCTGAAATGCCCCTGAAGGGACTTCAGCACTTGGGTGGAGCTGGCTCAATTTACACAGTTCCCAAGGGAATTATAAGATGAAAGTGTCCTGTTCTGAGCCCTCACTTTGGGCTAGGTTCTTTTTGAACATTGCTTCCCATCTTTGAGATAACCCTGAAAGGATAACATTGCTGTTCCCATTTTATGTATGCAAAAACAGAGGCTAAGCCTTTTCCCCAGTGTCATGTAGTTAGCATAGAAGAAGACCTATGACCTTCACCCATCCACTTTCTCCATTCTTACCTCAGGGAAGAGTCACAGAAGCTATTTTTGAGGGTGCATGTGAACCATACACAATAGCAACATGAATGACTAGGGAAGGAAAGAATGGGAATCAATATATGTCCAGTGAGTACCAGGTGGAAAATCGATGAAGACATAAAACACCTATATAACGGGGCTGATTGATTTCACTCAAGTTAGTAAAAATCCCAGCCAGTTGTTCTTAATCCCAACTGTACACGGACTCACCTGGGGCCCAAGTGTCAGTACCTTAGCTTCTGTTTCGTTTGGTTTTGGATGAAGCCTGGGCAGCAGTTTATCTGAAAGGATTCCCAGGTGGTTCTCTGTAGCCAGGGTTGAGAACCACAGACTAAGATGAAATGTCTTTGTAGACAGAAAAATTAAACCTAAATCATTAATGTGACTTTTTTTTAAGAAAGCATGGAAATAGAAGTGTTTGTGGGAAAGGGTTTGACAAACTGTTGACTGTTGTACCTGTGACACATTAGTGAAATGTTAAATGGAAAAGACCATAATTTATGGAGGTCGTCTGACATGTCCATCCACAGTACTGACCATTCACATAGTTGTGAATATGGACAAGAGAGAGAGTGAGCACTCTGGCGGGGTCATCTGTATTGCCTCTCCAGACAGGGCAAGAAGGCCTGTGGTTGAAGTGCAGCAGGAGGAAGTTCTGCCTTGGGAACCCGTGCCTGAGGAACTTCATGGGACCACCAGAAACAGCATGTTGGAGGGTATTAAGGGGATCCTTTCTCTCGATGATGATTTGAAACCAGCCTTTCCTGGTAGCTTGCCCATCACAGTTCCTCTGGCCTTCTGTCTATGGAAAGGAAACTCGGAATGAAGGGAGTCATTCAAAAGTGGAAAAAATAAGAGGCCACCTGGGTCTTACGAGGATCAGGACTCTTCTCTGGAATGTTCTACAAATGGAGCCACACTCTGTGATTCAAGAAAGTAATGTCTGGCGTATTTTGATGTCAGACTCTAGTATTTTTCATACCAAACTGAAACTGGCACTTTACAGGGGAAGAACTTTAGAATTTTCATTTCAAATAAGCCAGGTTTTAAAAGAAATTCTTCCCAGAAGTGCCTTTCATACTCAAGGGCATGGACTAATGCTTTCAGAGCCCTAAACTTAAAAATATGTGCTTGAAGCAGTCAGAGAGGTGCAGGTATACATATGTACTTATTGTTAAAATAACGTAAATGTGTAGTTTCATTATTAAAGGTGGACACCTCAAACCACCACCCATGGAAGAGGCTAGATGTTACCAGACAGCCAATGGGCCCCCTGCTTGCTGCCTCCTAAACACAATCCTCTCCCCCACAAGAGGAATCACTGATTTCTTTGGTAATTCATTTCTTATTTTTTTCATTTCTTTATACTTTTATCAGCCAAATGTATATCCATAAACACTAAATGTTGCCTGCTTTAAAAAAATATTTATTGATAGACTGGATAAAGAAAATGTAGTACATATACACCATAGAATACTATGCAGCCATAAAAAGGAATGAGTTCGTATCCTTTGCAGGGACATGGATGAAGCTGGACGCTATCATCCTCAGCAAACTAACACAGGAACAGAAAACCAAACACTGCATGTTCTCACTCATAAGTAGGAGTTGAACATTGAGAACACATAGACACAAAGGGGAACAACACACACCGGGGCCTATTGGGGGGTGGGGGGTTGTGAGGGGAAGGAACTTAGAGGATGGGTCAGTAGGTGCAGCGAAGCACCATAGCACATGTATACTTATTGCAACAAATCTGCACATTCTGCACGTGTATCCTGTTTTTTTTTTAGAAGAAACAAAATATAGGTACTACATATATATATATCTAGTACATATATATATATTTTGTTTCTTCTAAAAAATATATGTATATATTATTTAGAGCTCTTTTAGTCTATAGTTTTGCTCCTCCATTGCAATTTATTTGTTGAAGAAATCAGATCATCTCTTGTTTCCCTTGGCTGAGATTTTGCTGATTTCATTCCCACACTGTAGAGTCCCATCTTTCTCTGGCCTATGTATTTTTTACAAATTGGTAGTTGGATCTAGAGACTTAATGACATCCAGATTTGATTGTTTAAGGATGGCTTCTTAGGTGGTGATGTGTTCTCATCAAGAGGTGCGTGCTATCTAATTGTCTTTCTTGGAAGCAGCCATTGATTCTCAATCCTTCCTTCATTAGGAGGAAGCGGTGATATTGCAATTTTATTCTTCATTACTTTATTAGAATTTATTTCTATACAGAGAAACTTCCTCTCATCTACAATTTGGTTACCTGTTGGTACAGTTTGTAGCAGAACAGGATAAATGTTTAAGTATTTAATTTTACCAGTGTTCAAAATAAACCATCAATTCCCTAGCATCCTTTCAAAAAGGTGGCCATTTTATTATTTTTGTATCATTAGGAGCTTGGGATTATAAGCATATATGACTCGTTTCAATCTATCATAATTGTTACAATACCTCTTAGGAGAATGTTTTTATGGTTACATTATAGCCAATATTATGCCTGTATAGCCATTACCCCAGGAATGATTGAGAGAGGACAAAGGGGGCATGAAAAGGCCTACTCCCACCCCCCCCAATTCTGATCCTTGAAAGTTGTATGGCCAAGGGAGGCAAGATGGCATAGTAGAGAGAGTTCGGGATTTGGAGTCACTGCCAGGAGACCTGGGATTGAATCTTTGGTTTGTCAGTTACTAGCTGTGTGACCTTTTGTCTCCCCCTGAACCTTTCTGAGACTCCCTTTCCTCATCTGTGAAACTGAAAGTAGTAATAACTTTTGTTCTTCGCTCAGTGTAATGTATTAATTGAGAATGTGCACTAAGCACCTAGCACAATGTCTGCTGCAGAGTAGGCATTCAGTACAAGTTCCCTTCCTGTCCTGAGCTCCCTTTGCAAAGCTCTGGGGATATGCACCAAACCCTAAAGGCAATGAGTTCTAGACCTAGCCATAGGCAAACTTATGAGAAATGGAAGCGCTTTAAGAATGGGGTCATCCATTAGGCAACATGTTCAAAGATTTAAGCCCCATGAATCCATATGGTTCTCTCTTTTTTTAAAAAAAATTCCCTCTACTCTTTTTTGTTTTCATCTACAGGAAGTTTTCATTATTGCCATTCAATAAAGTTTATTTTCATTCCCTTTGTTTTCTGAATAAAGTTAACTGGTATTTCCTATAAGCCTTTTATTATAATACAAACCAGCTCCTCTAGCTTTTGAAAGGATGCCCTTAGCTACAGTGCTGTGGGCTCCCCAGGCAGAGGACAGTCACCCCCACTTTTATCTAGCTTGAAGGACTCCAGCTTCTAGGGAGGATGGTTTTTCCTGGCACTGTTTCAGGAATGTGAGAGTCGCCAGCCTTGCGCCCCCACCCAGTGTGTGTGCGCGCGTGTGCACACACATATCCGCCCCCTAGGTTACTTTTTTTGTTACTACCCACCCCCCAACAAGGCCCCTTTAAATACCCAGGGTGCTGCTGTATAGTTCCCAAGTTGTTCCTTTTCACTTGTGAAAAGTGTCATTGTAAAATAGAAACATGCTCAGCATTGCCATTTATTTTCAAAGTGGAAGAAATTCTCCTCTCTGAATGCTGTGGCTGAAACCAGAAGAAGTGAGGCCAACCTCAACCAGTGGTTTCTTGAACTGGATGACCTCTATTTACCCAGACAGAGAGGAGGACCCTCAGGAAACAAAAAACTTCTTCAACTGCAAGAGAAGCAGGAAGTCATTTGCTATGACCTTACCTTGCTATAGGGTTTGACCATATCTAGCAAAAGTCTTTCATGTGCCCTGCTCCCTGTGATCCTTATGATAATCCTGGGGAAAGCTATAGAGAGTTCTATTCCCATTTCAAAAAATAGGAAATCGAGGCTCAGAGAGGTGACTCAAGGCCTCAGAGCTGTAGAGCCAGGACTAACACTCGACTTTGCTTACTCCCCATCCAGTGGTCTTTCTGCTACCCCACCCTGGGCTTCCATTTATCTCAGAGCAGTGTGAGTTTCTACCTTCACGCTTGCCTTGCTCTCCTGGTGAGATGGATCTTGGCCTTTGCACCTGGATTTCCAGCTGATACAGGCACTTGAAGCTTATTTCATTCCCTTTGTCAACCCATCATGTGGGATCCATTCATTCAACTATAAGTATTTATTTAGCATCTACTATGTGTTAAGCTCTGTGCCCTCATTCATGGGGAACCAAAGACCCTTAAACTGCTTATAGTCAAGTGGAAGAAAACATTTTATATATAAAATTTAATAGATAATATCTGAAGTTTCCTATTAAAGTCATTTTTAATGATCCTCTCTCTTGAAAGGAAATTGATAAAGGAATTACCTCTAGGTTAAAAAAAAAAATATGTATCCATACACCATCTTATAGCAAAGACTAAGGAAGTCTCAACCTACCCTATTCTCATTTTCTGGCTGTTCCTGTAAAAGAGAGAGAGCATAGAAGAGGAGGCAGAAGAATAACTACGTAATGGCTCTGAGTTCCTGCGCTTGAACCACTTTGAGTGTTTCCTAATTTGAAGTAATACTAACTTATTGTTGTGGTCAAAAATCAACAATTTGCTTTATAAAACCTAATGCATCTCTTGGTAACAAAAGCAAGGATCTAGGGAGAAGAAGGGAGTGGGGAGGGAAGTGCCTGTTCCTTTGTTGCTGTTTGATCACACTTGCTGAAGGGCCGCATGCTGCCCTCCCCACCACTCCCCAAGCCCAAACCCCGTCTTATCAGCATCTTCAAATTAAGCATGTGCTCACTGTTGTGCTATTTTCTGGACAATTGAGTTGGATCATGAACCACAACTTCTAGGCTTCAGGAAGTCCCGTTAGATTTGTCAAAGAACCATACTACCAAATGGTTTCAGAATACAGGCTCCTACACACTCACCTTGCCAGCTCCACAGAGGTTTTTAACTCATCCAAAGAGAGTAAAGCGTGAGCCTTGATACAGGAAAAAATAATCTAAGAGCAGAAATGGAAGTAAATCTGCATAATGTGGCACACATACCTCATTTTAAAACTATTATTACTGTGTAGAGTAAAACACTTGAGAAAAATGAGTTTAATTCCTTTTGTTCTAAAGACAGTTATTGAATAGGGATATAGGATTATCTTAAAGAATGCATCTATATCACCTTACATAAAATAACAAGAAATCCACTATTTAACATGTTTCATAAAATTCTCACCTGTAGCCATAAATTAAATATTGTGATTGAACTGCCTTTGGACTATTTCATTGCTAACTCAAAGTCAACCAGTCAGCTTGACAGCTACATTTCCCTAACTGTATGGTTCAGCAGACAACAAGTAATAGAAAATTTCCTTCTGTTAGGAAAACAGAACAATTTTTCTGTATGTAGGAATTCATCTTGCAGTAACTTAGATGTTGTGTTTTTAACCAATATTTAAGTTATCACATGTCATTTGATTAGTATTGTGATTATTTTTGGAGAAGGCATGATATCAAAGAGAACTAACACATTAGGGGTTATAAGACCTAGTTTCAAAAGCTAACTTGCATGGTTAGGCTTTGTGTCCCCACCCAAATCTCAAAATTATAATCCCCATAATTCCCACGTATCAAGGGAGAGACCACACGGAGGTAATTGAATCATGGGGGCAGTTTCCGCCCTGCTGTTCTTGTCTTAGTGAGTTCTTACGAGATCTGATGATTTTATAAATGTTTGGTAGTTCCTTCTGCATTCATTCTTTCACCTGCTGCCCTGTGAAGAAGATGCCTGCCTCCCCTTTGCCTTCCACCATGATTGTAAGTTTCCTGAGGCCTCCCAAGCCATACAGAACTGTGAATCAATTAAATCTCTTTCCTTTATAAATTACCCAGTCTCGGGCAGTTCTTTATAGCAGTGTGAAAATTGATGAATACACTAAGTCAGCCACTTACTTCTTATGTGATATTGGGCAAGTCATCTTTTAAGTGGAGATGGTCTTTCATGGTCTTGGCTATCTAATGGGGTCACTGATGCAAGTCAAGTGAGATGAACAAATAGCACTTGCAAAAGTGTAAAGCAATGGATTATGTATGACATTTTTCTTTTGGTTTTGTTTTTAAGGCTCCCTCCCCTGCTACACACACACACACACTCAACACCTTTGCAAATCTATTCTTTCTTACTTGTAATTTATGTTCTACTTTCCAAAAGACAAAAAAAGAAGTGGATTTTCATACAAGATACAGATATAATGGAACTAATCAAACAAGGATGTATAAAAAGCAGCCAGATACTAAAGGCAAAAGGAATTAGGAGGAACTACCAACACTGAACATAAAATTCCCTAAGCATCATAGCAGTCAAGGGAAAAAGGAAAAAACATTTTTGCAAGGTTCTCCCCGTCTAATTGAGACAACTCTCTGTCCTTACGCTATGTGCTAAGTTAGTTCATAACTGAGTGCTACTAAGGTAGCTTTATGTCTTACATAACACAGGTTTCATAAATCATTACCACTTTTTAAAGAAACCACTGTGTCAGGCCCAGTACCTTGCCTGAAGCCTGTAACTAATAATAATCGTGGTAGTGATTATTCTTAGAAGTTTAATAAATAATCCTCCTTTGTCATCATGTTTTTCTCGCTTTCCTAGACTGATACAAGTACTGTCAAAATTCTGCACTAGCCTAAGACATTGGTGGGTATAAGTCTAATCCCCCTAAAAGTAATCTGTCATTATGAAGATACAACTTGTATAATATACCGTTTCTGGCAGTCTTAAAGAGAAGTCACTTCTCCTCTTCCCTCTCCCATCTCTTTTTAACCAAATGCTGCTTCTAGGAGAACTTGATTGACACAAGCTCTCAAACCCGCATCTTTCAGCTGTCAATTTAGAGATCTACAGTGGAAAGTGTGTGTTTTTAGCTTAGAAACTAAGTGGATTCCAGAGTGTCTTCTCATCTTGAGACTGTGCATCCTGTTTGAACATTTCCAAGTGTATAGGGTACAGCAATAAATCATATTTTGATCAGTGCCAAAAACATGGTGCCAAAGAACATCTTGACATTACTATTAGCACATGTTGTATCCTGTAATTAAGCAGAATCAGCTTAGAGATGAGTTCTTCTGAAGACGGAGCCCTCCTTTCATGGGAGCGTAATCGGAACGAGCTATCACTCTCATTAAGTTACTTGGTAATACATCACTGGCGTGACCTGTCATTCTAATGATGCATTAGTGTAATTCATCAACAGGGTAAATCCCACTAATAAGGTGTTACTCCGGAGGCAGGACTACCCAGTGCAGAAAGCATCGAGGGGCAGATATATGATGACTGCAACCTAAGGCCCAGGAGGCCTATATAATTGAGCCCTATCTCCTTCTTACTATTTAAAGTTGAGCTATTTTTAAGCTATCAAAACCAGTGACCACCTGCCCCTAAACTCTTCTAAGTTTTTCTTTCTTATTGCTGATGTTCTTACTCGTCCAAGGATGTTTGACTTTCATTTCTTCGGGTACGTAACTGAGTCACTTGGTTCTTTCCCAAAGATTTATATTTTAAGAGTCAGTTTCATAGTTGTCAAAGTGCTTGTGGATTTCTATATGATTCATAGCTGATATAATTCTCAAATAGATTAAAAAAACTTACACAATGATGCCACTCCAATAAATAGAAGATAGAAAAAAAGATATTAAAAACAAGGCTAATAGAGTTGGTATAATTGAGTATTATATTCATCTCTGAGAAAGCAAAATGAAAAAGATGATAGATGGAAGGAATGAACACTATTCTGTTTAGAAACTTCACTTCTAATATTCTAATTTTTTATGTAGATCCTTGTATAAGAGATGCTAAGAACTTGATGGACTTTGCCTGCAATGGTAATAATACTGGAAATACAGTAACATTCTTCATAGTGATTTTTTATTCTCACCTTCTGACAAAGCCAAGGATCTTAAAATATTGTCTGTTTAAGGCATTCTTGTGAAGAGCAAAGCTAACGAAATTCAAGTATATAAATTACTTTGCAAAAAGAGTTCGAAAACTTACCAGAATGAATAGGATTTTTTTCTACCGTTTAATATCACTTCTGTCTTCTGAACTTTTTTAAGAAGGTAGATAGAAATAATATATTATTTTTTAGCTTTATCGAGGTGTAATTTACAGGCAGTAAACTTTACCCTGTGTGAATAAATTTTGATAAATCTAGATAACTATATATAATCATGTAACTACCACAATTAAGATATTAAGCAGTTCCCTCATGTCCCTTCTCAGTGGATCCCACCAACTGGCCCCCAGCCCTAGGCAACCACTCAGTTCCTTTCTGTCACTCTAATGTTACCTTTTGTAGAATGTCATACATATGGAATTATACTTGTAGTCTTTTGACTTCTTTCATATGGCATCTGTGTTGTTGTATGTATTCATATTATGTTCGCTTTTATTGCTGAACAGTATTTCATTAGGATTTATTTTTATGAGGAAAAGGCTTAATGAATATTAAGTGTAGAGGCTAGAAGAAATATCCATATGAATTTGATAACAAGCATAAAGGTGGCAATTTGTATTCTTGCTTGAATAGAGAACAAATGCCTTCTATTCCAATATATTTTTTTAATACTTTACAATGACAAGCTTGAAAGCTGAGTGATGGCTGGAACCATGCTCTCTAGCTTCCCATTATGTCTGCAATATCTAGCCCAGTACCTGCACTTACTAGGTGCTTAATAAATCATTGTTAAATTAGTGAATGAAGACATTAATAGATGTTCATCATCCATGTACAGTAGTCATATGAAGAGAGCAGTCCCTCAAAATAAGAGTAAAATATAAAGAGAAAAGTTCCATTAGTTACCAGTTATTGAGCACTTATAGAAGTGCTTGTAAAGTGACTCAGTTCTCTGCACATATTTCAGTTTCCTTTCAGATCTATTTTTAGCACTATCACCCGAGTATTTTAAATGCTTTTCCTATCCAGTGTATTTTATTCTAAATTCCCAGCTTTGGGATAACCAACTTAGTACATTTACTATGCACTGTCTTTTTATTTACTCTGAGTATTTCTAAATATTTAAAAATTTTTTGAGTTATACATGCTCTTCAGTTCCAAGGGTTTTTCTAAACACATAAAGCATAATCAAGAAATGGTACACTTGGAAACACAACACCATAGAATGTTAACACTTGAAGATGATTTAGTCTAATGTCCTCATTTTGACAGAAGAGGAAACTGAACTCTTGAAAATGGCCTCAATTCATACAACATTTGGTAGAAAATTTTGTGCAGTTGAAGATAATTTTTAATAGCCTATTAATGCCCAACAAACAAGCAGTTAATTTACTGAATTGAACTGAAAACAAAAGATAGATCTCTTAGTTTGCTTGCTTGTTCATATCTAAACCTAAGAGGACTGCTAGTATGCAGTTTTAACATGTTGAGTGATACTTTAGAGCATATCAAGGAAAAAATAACTTATAAGGTGCCAGCTACAGAGCTTAAAATAGAATTGATGCCAAAGCAAGAGAAACATACAAATAAAGAACAAATTCTGTACTGGAAGCAGACCAAGCCTCAAGTCTCCTGGAAATCACAATGAATGGCAAAATCTATTAATTATATGCCTTAAATGAAACCTTTGGCCTTTAAGATGTTTTCTCTCTGCAAAGTCACTAAATATTCCAGAAATTAGGTGTTCAGGTAAGCTCACCTGAAATCTTAATAGATTAATTTTGCCTATTATTATTTGAGACAGGGTCTCACTCTTTTGCTCAGGCTGGAGTGCAGTGGCATGATAATGGCTCACTGTAACCTCAACCTCCTGGGCTCAAGCAATCTTCTCACCTCAGCCTCCCAAGTAGATGAGACTACAGGTGTGCCACCACACCTGGCTAGTTTTTGTATTTTTAGTAGAGACGGGTTTTGCCATGTTGCCCAGGCTGGTCTCGGACTCCTAGGCTCGAGCAATCCACCCGCCTCAGCCTCCCAAAATGCCTGGATTACAAGTGTCAGCCACAGTGCCAGCCACCTCTTATTATATACTGTACCTAAGCAGCTTAACGTTCACAGGATTTGTATTCAGAAGATAAGACAGCTTTAGATGTAGTCCTCTATAGTACTCTAGATTTTATAAATTTTATAAATCTAGATTTATAAAACCATTAAAATAAAACTGAATTGTGTTTTACAGATTAAGGTGATACCTAAACTAGTGCTTTCGGGGTGCCCTTACCACTAGATTAAACTCTGACTCCCTTCATCTCTCCATTAATTCAAAAATTATTTATAAGATGCTTACTACATGTTTAGGTGCTCTATAACACAGGAATAAAATACTCTGATAGTACAAAGGGACAAACAAAGGATTTCAATGTGGAAAGTTAATTAAAGAAGACTTCAAGAAGAGGTGACTTGTGAGCTAGGCCTTCTGAGAGGAGAGGCATTTTAGTAAGTTAATATGATAAAGGTGATTCCTGGGGCTGCAAATAATCTCTATGAAAAGGGTAATATCTGAGTATCTTCTCTCTGGATTCCATTTTGGAGGAATATAAATGCTTTCAAGGTGTGATACACATCAGTAGGTCAGAATGACTTTGGCCATATTTCAACACCAAATAAATGGAACTCAGCATCATTGTAAGACCTTATGCTTTCTAGAATCTTTAAATTCCCAATAATTAATATACCATAATAAAAATGTTAAAGTCTCTCAAAATAGGATATTGATAGAACAGAATGTCATGACTTGACATGGAATTTCATGAAAAAAATGTTAAAAGTGAGAGAGAATTTTACATGCAATATGACAACTGGGTGATATAAACACACAGGTACACTCACATATACGCACACGTATTTGTGATGGAGATAACCAACACCAATATTGACAGTAGTCTTTTTCAATCAATAGGTTATTTTAATTTGCTTAAGTAGCATGATGATATCTTTGATTGGACCTTAAAAAAGGGAAGTTAGAGTTGAGCAACCTGATAATTCACCCAACAACCTTGCACCCATTACAGATTTTTGCGTTGCAAAGTTTGTTTGGTCATCTTCCAAATAAGGATGCATTTATTATCCCTAAAATCAGAAAATAGATATATAATAACAGTGATTGTTAAATCTCTTGCAGTTTGAATATTCATAGATAATTATAATTGATAAAGGCAACCGTAGCCTTTTTAAGCAAACTGCCCATATAAAAATTCAGTGTTACAGGATGCATAAGGAAAGACGTGTCCACTTTTCTAAAAGATTTGCCATCAGTTTTTTTAAAATGTTGCCTTTCCCTTATTTACTTGAATAATCAGTTGAGTTAGAAATATTTTCAATTAGACTTCATGTTTACTCTATGAAATGAGGCACCTCAATATTACAGTATTGAAGTTTATTTTAGTAGGTATTACAAGAGCCTTTATTAAACAATGGAGCTAGATTACAATTACTTTAAAATAGCAGTGAACTTGCTCTGACTTCAAGATAATTTAGTTTTACCCCTAAATAGCTTCATTGCAATATTTCTCTCAGGAAAAAAAGCACTATGGCCAATCTCTTTTGAAAAGGGACTTAAAATCAGGTTTATTATGATTTTTCAAGTATGTATTTTGTTGAGCTTTCTACACACGTTTTCTTGTTTTCTGAGAATAAAACCTACAAACCTGCCAATCCTAATGTCTTAATATAATCTATACCACATATATGACAAGTGAACAAGTACAACATCTGCTGAGGGACATGAATTTGATTTTACACTCAACTTGTCTTCAAGCAGGTTGGCTGCTGTCTGAATTGCTGGTGGGTACTCAATCAAAAATAGTATCTCCCTTCACTTTTCTGGGAGATTCTCCCCAACTCCATGTCCTTTCCTATCAGGCTGCTCTGTGAATCAAACACAAGGAGACACATTAGAAATAGATCAAGATATGACAGGCTCAAGAAGGGCTGAATGTAGGGAGCTTGGAACTACCCACAGTTACCCATAATTGAACCTCAGGAAGACTTAACTCTGTGGTTTCTCTCACAATTGAAAACATGTCACACTGTAAGAGACCAATTATATGATAGCCCACAATGTTTAAGCATAAGATGATAATTGTTTATTTAATTAGATCATTTGCTTTCCTTAGTGATCCCATTTACTCTACTTACTGTTTCGAGTTGTAGTCCACTATTCCAGAACTGCTGGGTCAGACACTGTAAAGATGTTGCTTAGGAGACATGCAGGGCTGGGACAGCATGTTTGCCATTTAAGAGATGTTCTTTGATGGGCTCGTGGGCTCACTGAGGAGGTAAATATGTTTGCTGAAACGATATTGAAAAATGAAAAGCTTCAAATAAATTAATAAAAGTCTGAATATTTGAGTTAGGAAATGTTTTCAAAAGAATATGTTATATAATAAAATAAATCAGTTTGACATATTAACTAAGTGTAGTAGATGTGTTTATCCATTCAAAAGGGGAATTTATTTGATGTTCATTATGAAAGCACTACAGAAATTTCATACTGTTCATAAGTGTTAACAGGTCTCTTTTTTTGCTAATTGTATCTTCCCCCACTCTGCCAAAATTCACAATTGAGACTATATTACATATATATTTCCACAACTATTTTTTTTATTTCTCGTAATACAGATATTCTCTATATTGGTACATAAAATTCCTCTAGAAAGTAATTGTTGACAGCTTGCTGTGGAAGATGAAGAAAGTAGCTACAAGTTACCCACTTAATACTTCTCCCCATTCCCATCACAACTATATTATGTTTGCTGTATTATTACATTGGCATTATGAATGTTTATGGCATTTATACTCTTTTATTATCATAATTCCAATAGTGGTTTATCATTAAGTCTCTGCTATATTTACATGGGAACCAGTCTCAGTGACCATCCCTTCATTTCATAGATTCTCTTCCCTGAGTTGTACATCCCTTTATTCATTTCTTGATGGGCTGAGTTCCATTATCCCAGCCAGGTTTTACTAAGTATTCACTTGCTTTAGAATGACTTTTTTGTCTTTAAAAGTGACTGAACCCGTGTCTGGGTATATTAGTTTTGTTTTTCTTTTAAAAACCAATAGACATTGCCTCTATGTCTTTTGGGAGTCAATGTCGCTATGTGGAAGTTTGAGGCCAGCCTGAGTTTTATATCTTGCAGGTGATTTGACAATTTTTTGTCTCAATACTCTCACATTTCTATCCCTGAAGTTCAAAAACTTCACCAGAATATATGATTCTACTGATTATAACTATTTTTTATGAATAATAGCTGAGCCATTTGGATGTGCAGATACAGAACTTCCTTTTTCATTGGAAAGTTTTCATCTATGGTGACTTTGAGGGTTTTTTTTTTTTTTTTTTTTGGTTGTTCATTTGTACAGTTCTCTCTTTTAAGGATACTCTACTCTTTGTTTGCCATATCTTGTATTACTTTCATTGATTTTTAGTTTCCCTTTGCATTTATGTTATTTTCTCATGTCTGTCCTTGTCATTGCCTCTCTTTTTAGCAGTATCCATTCTACTCCCGTTTCTAATGTGTTTTCCTTTTCTTCAGTAATTTTATGGCTTTATCTTCTCGGCATGATCAGAGTGCCTTTTATCTCTTTAATTATCTCTTCTCTTCTATTATCTCCTGTATTGATTCTTTGATATTCTTCACACCTACTAAAGATTCCATATTTTCTTCCATTTTTTTAATCAGAGAGGAGTATTTGTCTGTAGTCCTTTTTATTTCCCATTCCCTGAAATTTACTGATTGCCTTAACTTTTTTTGGTGGGAGACCAGGAAATGCCATGGTAACCATGTGCAGGTGGCATATTTGATCCTTGCTAAGTTCTCTATGTGTGACTTTTTGTGTGCTAACCCTAGTTTAAGCATTAATAAAAGCACACATGCAGGAAGTAAGTTGAGAGTAGCATGGATAGTCTCTCACCAGTGTACCTTCTGCTCTAGATGAATGTTTCTCTCCTAGAAGAGCAAATCTTTGAAGTAGTCCTTGGAGTGACTCCTAGTGAAGATTCTTCACCAAGTTGCAATTTGTTTCTCTTTTTTCCTTGTTTCTTTGTTTCGCCTCCTCTACAATATGCTCTCCTTGTTGCAGGAGCCAGAACTCTACAAGGATGTTTTTGTCTCTGCTGTCCTATCCACTAACTCAGTCTTCACTCTTCTAAGGGATCGACTATTGTCTGAGTCTTTCAAGACCTGCTAACTTACCTTCAGAAAGATCTATATCCTGCCAGATAAATCTGCGATGATTTATTGCCAGTTGTTTTTACACCCCAACTTGGAGCAAATGTTGCTGTTTCAGGCAAACCATCTTTTTAGTCCATTATTTGTAGTTGTCATTGTTTCTTAGTTTGATTATAGGTTATATTTTCTATTCTATTTTTTATTCCTTTTATTCACTTCTACGCATTTTAAGAAAGATAATATACATAACTTTATTATCTTTTACCATATGAATTTCTTTCTGAAGGTATTCAAAAAAACAAATATTTCTAAATTGAATTTGATAAGTACAAAAAAGTTTTAAAATTCTTTCTCAAATTGACGGTAGGCAGTACAGCTCTCTGTAAACTACCACCATTTGCAATTATTGTTTACTAATTGCTATCTATTACTGATATTTATCTACTTTAATACATAAGTAAGCATTCTACCCCAACTGGGTATATTGTATACTAGTTAAAAAATGTGTGGACCTTTTGCTATTTCTCTATCAAAGATAAAATGATGGAGTGTACATCAGTGAAATTAAGTTCTATGCTTTGAATGGGCACCCTTTTTTTTTTCTTTAATGCAACAGACATCTCCCCACCCCCACCCCCAGCAGTCATTGTTAGAAAGCATTAAATTGAGCATTCAAGATTAATTCCTTGGCAGGTCAAGAGGAGAACAGTGTGTAGCCAATCCTACCTTCGTGTTCCTTCTTAATGGCTTCAGCACAGTGTGAAAAAGTAAACAGTTGTGACAAGAGAGGTAATGGATGAGCTGGGTGTGACAGGTCACCCAACTGAAGCTCATCCTCTCTTTAGGTACACGCTGTAATGAAGTGCACTCTAGCTTTTGAGATTATCAAAGACTTGTATGATAAAACATATTTCTAGAGTGGGGAAGGATCTTGAGTAAATATATTATGAATGATGATGCCTAGTGACAGCAAAGAAATAAAAATAAATAATGAATGAAGTATGCTTATACTGAAGTTTTAGCCTAGGAAGTTCTGGTATTAATGAGATTCCCTCTTCTGTCTTCTCTGTTTCTTCCACCATTCTATTTTATATAGAAACACATTCTAAAAATAACTATTTGGAGAGGAATGATTTTATAATGATTAAGAACAGCAAGATTATTGCATCTTCCCCCTAAAACCGAACATACTTATTCTCTGAACATGTCACACGCCTTTTTACACACTGGGAACCTATGGATTCCTAAGAAATGAAGTGAACTTAGTGGTCAAGCTGTTCTTTCCCCCATTTCATGAAATTATAAATAAAAATGGGACACTTCCCTTTTCTCCCACTCATCCCCAAATCTCAGGGAGCTAGAATGACATGAAGAAACAAGCATAATGTCCTATTCACCAACATAAATTGTTACTCAACCTTGGAATAGAGTATTTCAAAGAAAAGTTAAATTACCCCAGGTAGGTTATATTTTCCCACTGATCAGTTTCTAACAATAATTATCATTATAATTAATATTTATCTAGTATTCACGATGTGTCAGGCATTCTTATAGGCATTATATACACATCACCTGGTTTAATCTTCCCAGATAGGAAATATTCTTTGATTTATAGAAAGCTGGGGTTTACCTAAGGTCTTACATCCAGAATGGAAACTACATGCTTCCAAACTCCAGGGCCCACAGGTTTTGTCTTTAGACTTCACTGTTATAGTGCTGTTCAATAGGGTAGCCACTAGCCACTTGTAGCTATTGAGCACGTGCTCAATAATAAAATGTAGCTAATATGATTGAGAAACTATTTTGTTCCATTTTAAACTTAGCCACACAGGACTACCATATTAGACAACACAAATCTAGTTGGTCTTCTATAAGATTCATTTTTTGTTTTTTGTTATGCAGCACCAGATAACTAATACACTGAACAAAAACTATGATATCTCTAAAATATTAGGAAAATAAGAAAATCTTAACAAAATACAGAATGTGCTTTGTAAGTTTGTTTTATTGGCTTGGAGCTCCTGAGGATAATCCCTCCTTAAACAAGCAAATACTTCTATACCAAGAAGCCAAGAGCAAATTTACACATTGCTATTAACATTTTAAGTGTTATGCAAAACAATGATGTTTGAAGGTAAAAACTCAACACTTCTGGAAAGTTTAATTAAAGGGATTGTTCATCAAGACAGGGTCCAGCAAAGCAATGCTTGCTTTTCTCAGGAAATAGAAGCGTTTACACCTTCTTTAAAGTTAGCTTCTTTGAAGTTAGCTTGTATCACACTGACCTTTCCTGTTTAGAAGCACCAAGACAAGGTACCTGTGATTACTGGGTGTCTTCTAGCTGTCCAAAGTCAAACCAAGAAATCCTTATAGACCTTTAGCTTTATGTTCTCACAGCCAAGCAATACTCTTTGTTAAGAAGCAATCAGCTCCCAGAGATCTTTTAGGTTACTCCTCTAAGAAGTTAAGCTACATCAATGACTATCAACTTGTGAGAGTTCCAGTTGATCTATATCTTACCAACATTTGGTAATGACTTTTATTTTTTAAATTAGCCATTCTAGTGTGTAATGGTATCTCATTTTGGTTTAAATTTGCATTTCCTGAGTTACCGATAAAATTGAGCATGGTTTCATGTGTTTACTTGCCTTCTTTGAACAATCCATTCAAATATTTTGTGCATTTTTAAATTGGGTTGCCTCCTTTCTTGTTGAATTTTAAGAGTTTTTAATATAATCTGCTTATATGGGTTTTTCAGAGATAAAACTTGCAACTATTTCTTTTCACTTCATAGCAGATCTTTTCATTCTCTTAGTGTTTTTTACAGAGCAAAAGCTCCTAATTTTGATGAAACTCAATATATTTTTTTTTCTTTCGGTATCGTGTCTAAGATCTCATTGCCCAACAAAGGTCACAAAGTTTATATTTCATTTAAAAGTGATAAAGTTTTATGCTTAATATTTAGATCTATGAGGTATTGTTTGAGATTCTTTATTTGCATATAGATATCAAATTTTCTGAGGGGTATTTGTTGAAAAAACTAAATTTTTTACAAAACAGCCTTTGCACTTTTGTAAAAGGTTAATTGACCATTGTTTCTGGAATCTCTCTTCTGTTTTATTGATCTATGTGTTTATCCTTTTACCAATTTTATACTGTGTTTATTGTTATAGCTTATGAGTCTTGAAATCAGATAGGATGTTTGCTCCAATTTTGTTCTTCAAAATTGTTTAACAACTTCAGTTCCTTTGACTTTCCACGTAAGTGTTAGACTCAGCTTGTTGGCATTTACAACCTAATTCTGAAAGTCATTGCATTGAATCTATAGATTCATTTAAAAAGAATTGGCATCTTGGCAATATTAATACTTCTAATCCATGAATCTAGTATATCTCTATGTATTATATATTAATAAAAGAAAACCCAAATAAGCCTAATAAAAGAAAACTTATGATTTATTTAGGGTTTTTTTATTTCTTTGGCCAACGTTTTGTCATTTTCAGCATACACATCCAGTCCATATATTTTTTATATTTATGTCTAAGTATCAATGCTATTATAAATGGTACTTTTTAAAATCTTGACTTCCAAGTGTGCATTGCTGATATATAGATGGTCCCCAACTTATGATGATGCAACTTACAATTATTCAACTTTACAATGGTCCAAAAATGATTCACATTTAGTAGAAACCGTACTTTATCTATACAATCATTCTGTTTTTCACTTTCAGTATGGTATTCAATAAATTACATGAGATATTCAACACTTTATTATAAAAATAGTTTTATGTTAGATGATTGTGTCCAGTTGTAAGCTAATGTAGGTGTTCTGAGCACATTTAAGGCAGGCTAGACTAAGCTATGACGCTGGGTATGCTAGGTGTATTAAATGCCTTTTTTCTTTTTCTTTTTTTTTTTTTTTTTTTTGAGACAGAGTCTTGCTGTGTTGCCCAGGCTGGAGTGCAGTGGTGCAATCTCAGCTTACTGCAACCTCTGTCTTCTGGGTTCCAGAGATTTTGCTGCTTCAGCCTCCCAAGTAGCTGGAACTACAGGCACGTGCCACCATACCTGGCTAATTTAGACAGGGTTTCACCATGCTGGCCAGGCTGGTCTTGAGCTCCTAGCCTCATGATCCAATCACCTCAGCCCCCAAAAGTGCTAGGATTACAGGTGCGAGCCACAGCACCCAGCCATTAAATGCATTTTTAACTTGATGATATTTTGAACATATTATAGGTTTATCAGAACATAACCCCATCATAAGTCAAGGAGCATCTGTATAGTAAAACAAGTGATTTTTTTTTATGTGTTGACCTTACGTCCTGCAACCTTGCTAACATCACTTATTAGTTCTAGGAGGTTTGTGTGTGTGGGTTTATAAATTCTTCAAGATTTTCCATGTAGATAGTTGTCTCTAATGTGAATAGAGAGTTTTATTTCTTCCCTTCTAATCTGTATGTCTTTTATTTCTTTTAATTACTTTATTGCATGGCTAAAAATTTTAGAATATTTAATAAGGATAGTGAGAACAGACATACTTGTCCTGTTCCTGATATCAGAAAAAATCATTCAGTCTTTCACCCTTTAGCATGAAACCCATATAAGCTATAGGGGTGTTGTTGTTGTTGTTGTAGGTGCCCTTTATTTGGGTAAGAGAATTTATTATTACTGGTTTGCCAGGCGTTTTTGTTTGGTTGTTGTTTTTTTTTTTTTAATCATGAATGGATGTTGAATTTTGTCTAATAGTTTTTCTATATCTATTGAGAAGATCATATGGTTCATCTTCCTTAATCTGTTAATGCCATCATTAACTTCATTGATTTTTGAATGTTGAGCTATCCTTGTGTCCCCAGAATAAACTCCCAATTTTCTGATATATTATTCTTTTTACATTCAATTTACTAATATTTTGTTGGAGATTTTGAAGGCTATTCATGACAAATAGTGGTCTGCAGCTCTCTTGTAATATCTTTGTCTTGTTTTGCTTTAGGGTAATGTTGGCGTCATTAACAGAATTGAGAAATATTACTTTCTCCTTAATTTTCTGAATGAGATTATGTGGAATTGCTATTAATTCTTTCTTAAATATTTTCTAGAATTTACCAGGGAAACAATCTAGGTTTGGAGTTTTCTTTGTTGAAGGTTTTTAACTATGTATTCAATTTATTTAATATATGTAGACTATCCAAGTTACACATTTCTTCTTGAGTGACTTTTGTTAGTCTGTATCTTTAAAGGAATTGGTCCATTTCATCTAAGTTATTAGACTTTGTGTCTGTAGAGTCTGTAGTGATATCCTCTCTTTTATTCTTAATATTAGTAAGTTGCATCTCCTCTCTCTGTTTGTCAGTCTGGCTAGATGCTTAACAGTTTTGTTGATCCTTTTAAAAACACAGCTTTTGTGTTTTATTTTTCTCTATAGATTTTCTGTTTCAAATTTTATTCTATTCTATTCTTCTATCTATATCATTTCTTTCTTTCTTTGGGTCTATTCCATGCTTGGGGGTGAACCTGGAACCTGTGTCAATTTATAATACAGAGCTAGGGGATCTTCTGCTTCACTTCTCTTTTCCCTGGGACTTTTTTTTCATAGTCTCTCGTCCCAAATAGTTCCCTTTTCTTCATTCCTCTGACCAGAAACATGGATTTCTCCCCTTAAACTCTTGTACATTTCAGAGTGATTATCTGCCTTTGGGGTGGAAGCACAAGAGTAAATAGGGAAGAAAAAATTATGAAGATTTCATGCACACTCTTCAGCCCACAGGGACCCATTTTTCTGGTTCCTCTGGAGAGGCAGGTTTTTCTCTTGGGGTTTTACCTACCCATGCTACTTGCTGCTGTCACCACCACATCAACACGATTTTATGACTGGGAACATTCTTAGAGCAGGACTTGGGAGAAAAAAAGGAGGGAGAAATAAACCAGTTACTTCCCCTGCAACTTCCAGTTCATAGGGGGCCCCCTTTTTGGATCTCTGGCCAGAAATAGGAGTTTCTATCAGAGTTCTTACTGTGCATGATCACTACATTGTTCTCCAGCACAGGCCACTAAGCTTATCCTCAGTAAACCAGAAAACTTAGTGGTTCTGGCCATTCTTCAAGTTTTTACTTCCTTATTATCTGCCTGCAGTTGTTTACTTTTCAGAATCCTCAGACAGTTGCTTTTTATTCTGTCTGAAACTCTTCGGCTGTAGTAAGTAGAGGGAGTGGTTTCTAGTGGATTTACCCCATCTTGATCAGTACTGCAAGTTCTCATCATCAAATACTATAAGCAAAATTTTGCTCAGAAGAACAGATGCTTCTGGAAGTTGGGATTAGAATAATAGTAGATTCAGAATTTGGGGGATATTTGAAGTGAGAATACCAAACCATAAAAAAAAGTATCTGTCTCCTCACCAAAAGGAGATCAGAGGTATTTTCAGAGTCTCAGCAAAGTTGAAAGGTGTTTAGTCTTCATTATGGTTGAATTTCAACTGCCTTTTTCCTGTGTGTCTGTGATAGTCATCATGCCTTTTACTCACTCAAATCACAGACAAAACATTCCATAGCTGAAATAAGCAAGTCTGCTGTTTCATGTGGTTAACTGCTTTTCTATTATCTATTACAGCTCTTGAGTGAGGTTACAGGGTAATAGGGCAGAATGAAGACATGCGTGCGAGCACACATACACAAACACAGGAGATGGAAAGGCTTTGCTATAAAACCCCTTCTTTGACTATTACTCACTTTTGTTTTGTGCATTAAAATAGAAATAGAAATGTCATAATTTTCCCCATAGTATTTGTATCTGTGAATAAACAGTGCCACATATTACTCCACTACTTATTTGAATACTAGAGATGTTAATCAACCCTGTTTTCTTATATTTTAAATCAACTCTAGGATTGTAAAAATCAAACATCTCTAGATACTTTATAAGATTTTAAACCTCAAGTCTATATATCCTGAAAAATAGTACATGTGAGTTATTTCAGAGGATCTTTTAACTCTATCTTCTTTGGTATTTGTAGATCTATTTTTGTGTATTCCTCAGAAATATTCATATTTCTGATTCATTCATGATGTAGTTATAGCTCATTGTATAAATGAATAACTTTATAAATATAGCCACAGGCCCTGCTGTATTCATTCAACAAATATTAATTGTGCCAAGAACAATGCTAATTGCAAGAATTGGAGCAGTAAACAAAAACAATGCATGTAGTGGATAATTGGGCACTCTGCCTAATTTTACTCATCAACAGATTTTAAGCTCCAGATAATTTCAAAGATAATAATACCCTGTTAATTCTTATCTCAGAATAGCAGATGATTAATTTGTTGCTTTACATATCTGTAGCCACATATTCACTCTGCTGACCTTCTAAAGACTAAGAAGTCCTCTTCTAAAATGTCCTGAATTTTTGAAACAAAAGCCATGAACAATACATAAATAAAGTTATCTTACTAGTACAAAGAAAGGAAGGAATTGAACATGGGATCTAGTGAAGGATGGAAGGAAAGAGAAGAGGAAAGAAAAGGAGCATCTTTTCTTCCCTTCACTATGCACTTTAATGCATATAAAAGCGCTGGTGCTCCGAACAATTAATATATACATGTGTAACAATGAAAATAAATGCTAGATTTTACATTAATGTATGTCTGCTGCTGTTTATTTAGCATTTCATATTGAATTTGGTGTTTGGTAGGGGTCATAAGAAAAATAGAGTGGAATTTCTCCTCATGCAATACATTTTATTAAGAGTGCTAGGAACTTTTTTGAATGTAAGTATTATTTATCTGGAAGATCTCGCATCATTTTTTTATGGTTAATAGAGTTTTCTAATATAATATTTATTTTAAACCCCGGAAATTCAGAGAATATCATTATTCTGATAATTCTGTTCTCTTATCCTGTTTCTTTACCTAACTCTAAACACAAGTTGTTGGTCTTCCAGAACTGAGTCAGTCAACTGTGCACTTGTATTTTGGTGTTGCTTGAAAGAGAGTATCTTACGCTATTATCATAATTGCTATCTTTCCATTTAATAAAGGTCTCCTTTTATCTGAAAAGATTTTCTTTAATAGTTAAAAGCTTTCTTGCATTAATATCTCAAAACAGAGGAATTCCATATAAAACAATACTCATTATGCTTTAGCTAATCCCTTTGGAGAACTTGGTTACTGAAGAACTGAGATGATCTCATTAAAAGTTGGTGGCATTTATTAGACAACCCCAAAGGGTGGCTTCCCAAAGCAGCATTATAAAATGATCTTAATGTAACCAGAATATTCTTTTAATAAATATTCTGCTTTTTTTCCTATCTGATCACTGCTGTCATTTATTTTTCTTTTTGCACTTCAATATTCTAAATGCCATATGTTATTTTCTAAATCTTACAGGAGAGAAAAATGTATCTTCTAAACAGTTTTTTGTTTTACATGAGCAGATAATATTTGTTTTTTAAAAAAGCCACCCTCCAAAAATATAATGTAAAACTTTTGATTAGAAACTCTTTCTGAAAATAACAGCTTTATTGAGATTTAGTTATATATTATAAAGTTCACCATTTTAAAGTGTACAATCCAGTGAGTTTAATTTATTAAGTTAGACACCCATCATCACTATCTAATTCCAGAACATGTTATATCACCCCAAAAAGAAACATCATAAACCATTAGCAGTTCTCCATTCTACTTCCCCTCAACCCCTGGCAAATGCTACTCTAGTCTACTCTACTTTTAATGCCAAAACCGCAATTACTTTTGCACCAACCCTATTTTGGATACCTCATATATATGAAATCATACAATATATGGTCTGTTGTGACTGGCTTCTTTTTTTTTATTGATACATAATATTTGTACATATATAGAGAGAGTACATGTGATACTTTGTTGCATGCATAGAAGGTGTACTTAGGATATCCATCACCTTGAGAATTTATCATTTCTACATGTCAGGAACATTTCAAGTCTTCTGTTCTAGTTATTTTGAAATATACAACACATTGCTGTTACCTTCTTCTGTCAAACATTAGAATTTATTCCTTCTATTTAATTGTATGTTTGTACCTATTAACCAACCTGTCTTCATCCTCCAGCGCCCCCCCACACATCCTTCCCAGTCTCTGGTATCTAGGATTCTACTCTCTACCTTTATGAGATCCACTTTTTTTAGTTCCTACATATGAATGAAAACATGGAATATTTGTCTTTCCATGCCTGGCTTATTTCACTTAACATAAGGACCTCCAATTCCATCCACGTTGTTAAAAATGACATGATTTTATTGTTTTGTATGGCCAAATAGTATTCCATTATATATACCATATAGACCAAATTTTCTTTATTCATTTATCCATTGGTGGACACTTAAAATGATTCCATATCTTTGATGTTGTGAATAGTGCTGCAGTAAACATGGGGTACAGGTATCCCTTTGATATACTGATGTTTTTTCCCTTGCGTAAATACCCAGGAATGGAATTGCTGGATTGTATAGTAGTTGCATTTTTAGTTTTTTGAAAAATTGCCATACACATTTGCATAGTAGCTGCACTACTTTACATCCCCACCAATGGTGTATAAGAATTCTCTTTTCCCTGCATCCTTGTCAGCATCGGTTATTTTTTGTCTTTTTAATAATACCTGTGGGCTGGGTGCAGTGGCTCATACCTGTAATCCCAGTACTTTGGGAGGCCGAGGCAGGTGGATCACGAGGTCAGGATCAAGACCAGCCTGGCCAACACAGTGAAACTCCTTCTCTACTAAAAATACAAAAATTAGCCAGGCATGATGGCGCGTGCCTGTAGTCCCAGCTATTAGGGAGGCTGAGGCAGAAGAATCTCTTGAACCCAGGAGGCGGAGGTTGCAGTAAGCCGAGATCACACCACTGCACTCCAGCCGGGGCAGCAGAGCAAGACTGTGTCTCAAAAAGTAACAATAGCCATGATAACTGGGGTAGGATGATAGCTCATTGTGGTTTTTATTTGTATTTCCCTGATGATTAGTGATGTTGAACATTTTTTCATACATCAGTTGACCATTTGTATGTTTTCTTTTGAGAAATGCCTATTCATGTCCTTTGCCCACTTTTTAATGGGATTGTTTATTACTATTAAATTGTTTGAGTTCCTTGTATATTCTGGATATTAGTCCCTTGTCATATGAATAGTTTGCAAATATTTTTCCTATTCAACAGGTTGTTCTATAACTCTGTTAATTGTTTCCTCTGCTGATCAGAAGCTTCTTGGTTTAATATAGTACCGTTTGTTGATTTTTTATTTTGTTGGCTGTGCCTTTGAGATCTTAGCCATAATATCTTTCCCTAGACCAGTGTCTTCAAGTGTTTCCCCTATGTATTCTTCTAGTAATTTTATAGTTTTGGGTGTTATGTTTAAGTCTTTAATCCATCTAAAGTTTATTTTTCAATTTGATGAGAGATAGGAGTCCATTTTATTCTTCTGCATATGGGTGTCCAATTTTCCCAGCACCATTTATTGAAGAGGATGTCCTTTTCCCAGTATAGGTTCTTGACCTCTTTGTCAAAAATCAGTTGGCTATATATACATAGATTTATTTCTGGGTCCTCTATTCTGTTCCGTTGGTCTGCGCATCTGTTTTTATGCCAATATAATGCTGTTTTGGTTAGCAGAGACTTGAAATATATTTCGAAATCTAATAGTGTGATGCCTCCCGCTTTGTTTTTTGTGTTCAGGGTTGCTTTGGTTATTCAGGCTCTTTTTTGGTTCCATACAAATTTTTTCTATTTCTGTGAAAAATTACATTGGTATTTTGACAGAGATTGCACTGAATCTGTAAGTTGCTTTGGGTAGTATCTTCATTTTAATGATATTAATTCTTCTGATCCACGAGCATAGATGCCTTTCCATTTGTTTGTGATTTCTTCAGTTTCTTTCATCAGTGTTTGGTAGCTTTCCTTGTAGTGGTCTTTCAATTCCTTGGTTAAATTTTTTCCTAGGTTGTTGGTGTTTGTTTGTTTTTTTTTTGTTATCGCTGTTTTGGGTTTGTTTGTTTGTTTTTGTAATTCTTGTAAATGGGATTGCATTCTTGATTTCATTCTCGGTTAGTTCATCATTGGTGTATAGAAACGCTACTGCTTTTTGTATGTTTTATGTATCCTGCAACTTTGCTGAATTTATTAGGTGTAAGAATTTTGGTGGAGTCTTTAGGTTTTTCTAGATATAAGATGATGTTCTCTGAAGAAAAGGACAACTTGACTTCCTCATTTTCAATTTGGATGCATTTGAGTTCTTTCTCATACCTGATTGCTGTGACTAGGACTTCCAGTACTATGTTGAATAGAAGTGGTGAAAGTATGCATCCTTGTCTTGTTCTAGTTCTTTTAGAAAAGGCTTTCAACTCTTTTCCATTTAGTATAATGTTAACTATGTGTTTGTTATATATGGCCTTTATTATATTTTGTGGTATGTTTCCTTCTATGCCTAGTTTGTTGATAGTTTTTTATCATGAAGCAATGTTGAATCTTATCAAATGCTTTTTCTGCATTTATTGAGTGATCATACAGTTTTTGTCCTTCATTCTATTGATGTAATATGTCAGGTTTATTGAGTTACATATGTGGAGACATTCTTACATCCCTGAGATGAACCCCACTTGTTCATGGTGTATTATCTTTTTGATGTGCTGTTGAATTCAGTTTGTTAGTATTTTGTTGAGGATTTTTGCGTCTGTGTCTATCAGGGATATTAGCCTGTAGTTTTCTTTTTTGTTGTTGTGTCTTTGTCTGGTTTTTGTATCAGGGTAATTTTGGCTTTGTAGAATGAATTAGAGAAAATTTCTTCTCTCCTCAACTTTTTAGAATTGTTTGAGAAGAATTGGTGTTCTTTGGAAGTTTGGTAGAATTTGACAATGAAGCCATTTGGCCCTAGGCTTTTCTTTATTGAGAAGTTATTTATTACCAAGTCAATCTCATTACTTCTTGTTGGTCTGTTCAGCCTTTCTATTTCTTCTTGATTAAGTCTAAGTAGATTGCATGTGTCTAGGAATTTATATATTTCCCCTGGGTTTTCCAGTTTATTTGTGTATAGTTGTTCATAATAGTCTCTGATGACCTTCTCCATTTCTGTGGTATCAGTTGTAATATAATGGGCATTCTGGAACATGCTGTTTCATTTACATATATTTGTACAATTTCCAAAGTTTCTCTAGTTACTGAGTTTTAGTGGTCTGAGCAGATACTTGTTATGATTTTGATTTTTAAAAGTCTGTTGAGATTTGTTTTATGTCTTTTTTTAAATTATACTTTAAGTTCTGGGATACATGTGCAGAACATGCAGTTTTGTTACGTAGGTATACATGGAACCATGTTGGTTTGCTGCACCCATCACCCCATCATCCACATTAGCTATTTCTCCTAATGCTATGCCTCCCCTTCCCTGCCACAACCCCCGGACAGGCCCGGGTGTGATGTTCCCCTCCCTGTGCCCGTATTTTCTCATTGTTCAACTCCTACCTATGAATGAGAACATGCAGTGTTTGGTTTTCTGTTTCAGTGTTAGTTTGCTGAGAATGATGGCTTCCAGATTCATGCATATCCCTGCAAAGGACATGAACTCATTCTTTTTTATGGCTGTATAGTATTCCATGGTTTATATGTGCCACATTTTCTTTATCCAGTCTAACATTGATCGGCATTTGGGTTGGTTCCAAGTCTTTGCTATTGTGAATAGTGCATGTGCATACGTGTGCATGTGTCTATATAGCAGAATGATTTATAATCCTTTGGGTATATACCCAGTAATGGGATTGCTAGGTCAAATGGTATTTCTAGTTCTAGATCCTTGAGGAATTGCCTCATTGTCTTCCACAATGGTTGAACTAATTTACACTCCCACCAACAGTGTAAAAACTTTCCTATTTCTCCACATCCTCTCCAGCATCTGTTGTTTCCTGACTTTTTAATGATCACCACTTTAACTGGCGTGAGATGGTATCTCATTGTGGTTTTGATTTGCATTTCTCTAATGACCAGTGGATGAGCTTCTTTTCATATGTTTTTTGGCCACATAAATGTCTTCTTTTCAAAAGCATCTGTTCATATCCTTCCCCCACTTTTCAATGAGGTTTTTTTTTCTTGTAAATTTGTTTAAGTTCCTTGTAGATTCTGGATATTAGCCCTTTGTCAGATGGATAGATAGCAAAAATTTTCTCCCATTCTGTAGGTTGCCTGTTCACTCTGATGGTAGTTTATTTTGCCGTGCAGAAACTCTTTAGTTTAATTAGATCCCATTTGGAAATTTTGGCTTTTGTTGACATTGCTTTTGGTGTTTTGGTCATGAAGTCTTTGCCCATGCCTATGTTCTGAACGGTATTGCCTAGGTTTTCTTCTAGGATTTTTAGGGTTTTAGGTCTTGTGTTTAAATCTTTAATCCATCTTGAGTTAATCTTTGTATAAGGTGAAAGGAAGGGGTCCAGTCTCAGTTTTCTGCATATGACTAGCCAGTTTTCCCCATACCATTTATTAAATAGGGAATCCTTTTCCCATTGCTTTTTTTTCTGTCAGGTTCATCAAAGATCAGATGGTTGTAGATGTGTGGCGTTATTTCTGAGGGCTCTGTTCTGTTCCATTGGTCTATATATCTGTTTTGGTACCAGTACCATGCTGTTTTGGTTATTGTAGCCTTGTAATATAGTTTGAAGTGAAGTAGCATGATGCCTCCAGCTTTGTTCTTTTTGCTTAAGATTGTGTTGGCTATATGGGCTCTTTTTTGGTTCCATATGAAATTTAAAGAAGTTTTTTCCAATTTTATGAAGAAAGTCAATGGTACTTTGATGAGAATAGCATTGAATCTATCAATTACTTTGGGCAGTATGGCCATTTTCACAATTTTGATTTTTCCTATCCATGAGCATGGAATGTTTTTCCATTTGTTTGTGTCCTCTCTTATTTTCTTGAGCAGTGGTTTGTAGTTCTCCTTGAAGAGGTCCTTCACATCCCCTGTAAGTTGTATTTCTAGGTATTTTTTTCTCTTTGTAGCAATTGTGAATGGGAATTCACTCATGGTTTGGCTCCCTGTTTGTCTATAATTGGTGTATAGGAGTGCTTGTGATTTTTGCAGATCGATTTTTTATCCTGAGACTTTGCTGAAGTTACTTATCAGCTTAAGGAGTTCTTGGGCTGAGATCATGGGGTTTTCTAAATATACAATCATGTCATCTGAAAACAGAGATAATTTGACTTCCTCTCTTCCTGTTTGAATACCCTTTATTTCTTCCTCTTGCCTGATTGCCCTGACCAGAACTTTCAATACTGTGTTGAATAGGAGTGGTGAGAGAGGACATCCTTGTCTTGTGCTGGTTTTCAAAGGGAATGGTTCCAGCTTATGCCCATTCAGTGTGATATTGGCTGTGGGTTTGTCATCAATAGCTCTTATTATTTTGAGGTATGTTTCATTAATACCTAGTTTATTGAGTGTTTTTAGCCTGAAGGGGTGTTGAATTTTATCAAAGACCTTTTCTGCATCTGTTGAGATAATCATGTGAGTTTTGTCATTGGTTCTGTTTATATGATGGATTACATTTACTGATTTGTGTATGTTGAAACAGCCTTGCATCCCATGGATGAAGCTGACTTGGTCGTGGTGGATAAGCTTTTTAATGTGCTTCTAGAATCGGTTTGCCAGTATTTTATTGAGGATTTTTCCCTTCGATGTTCATCAGGGATATTGGCCTGAAATTTTGTTTTTCTGTTGTGTCTCTTTCAGGTTTTGGTATCAGGATGATGCTGGCCTCATAAAATGAGTCAGGGAGGAGTCTTTCTTTTTCTATTGTTTGAAATAGTTTTAAAAGGAATGGTACCAGCTCCTCTTTGTACCTCTGGTAGAATTCAGCTGTGAATCCATCTGTTCCTGGGCTCTTTTTAATTGATAGGCTATTAATTACTGCCTCAATTTCAGAACTTGTTATTAGTCTGTTCAGGTATTTGACTTCTTCCTGGTTTAGTCTTGGAAAGGTGTATGTGTCCAGGAATCTATCCATTTCTTCTAGATTTTCTAGTTTATTTATGTAAAAGTGTTTCTAGTATTCTCTGATAGTAGTTTGTGTTTCTGTGGGATCAGTGGTGATATCCCCTTTATCATTTTTTATTGTGTCTATTCGATTCTTCTCCTTTTCTTCTTTATTAGTCTGGCTAGCAGTCTATTTTTTTAATCTTTCCAATAAACCAGCTCCTGAATTCATTGATTTTTTTTTTTTTTTGAAGAGTTTGTGTCTTTATCTCCTTCAATTCTGCTCTGATCTTAGTTGTTTCTTGTCTTCTGCTAGCTTTTAAATGTGTTAACTCTTGCTTCCCTAGTTCTTTTAATTGTGATGTTAGGGTGTCAATTTTAGATCTTTCCCGCCTTCTCCTGTGGGTATTTAGTGTTACAAATTTCCCTCTAAACACTGCTTTAGCTGTGTCTAAGAGATTCTTGTACATTGTGTCTTTGTTCTCATTGGTTTCAAAGAACTTATTTATTTCTGCCTTCATTTTGTTGTTTACCCAGTAGTCACTCAGGAGCAGGTTGTTCAGTTT
This sequence comes from Homo sapiens, assembly GCF_000001405.40. NCBI lineage: Eukaryota > Metazoa > Chordata > Mammalia > Primates > Hominidae > Homo > Homo sapiens. Next base: position 25,244,604 of record NC_000003.12, read on the forward strand.
TCATGTGGTTGTGAGATTTTGAGTGAGTTTCTTAATCCTGAGTTCTAATTTGATTACACTGTGGTCTGAGAGAGTGTTTGTTATGATTTCTCTTCTTTTGCATTTGCTGAGGCATGTTTTACTTCCAATTATGTGGTCGATTTTAGTATAAGTGCTATGTAGTGCTGAGAAGCATGTATATTGTGTTGATTTGGGGTGGAGAGTTCTGTTGATGTCTATTAGGTCTTCTTGGTCCAGAGCTGAGTTCAAGTCCCAAATATCCTTGTTAATTTTCTGTCTCAATCTAATATTGACAGTGTGGTGTTAAAGTCTCCCACTGTTATTGTGTGGGAGTCAAAGTCTCTTTGTAGATCTCTAAGAACTTGCTTTATGAATCTGGGTGCTCCCGTATTGGGTGCATATATATTTAGAATAGTTAGCTCTTCTTGTTGCATTGATTCCTTTAGCATTGTGTAATGCCTTTCTTTGTCTCTTTTGATCTTTGTTGGTTTAAAGTCTATTTTAAGAGAGACTAAGATTGCAACTCCTGTTTTTTTTGCTTTCCATTTGCTTGGTAAATCTTCCTCCATCCCTTTATTTTGAGTCTATGAGTATCTTTAAGTGTGAGATGGGTCTCCTGAATACACCACACAGATGGGTTTTGATCTTTATCCAATTTGCCAATTTGTGCCTTTTAATTGGGGCATTTAGCCTGTTTACATTTAAGGTTTATATTGTTTTGTGTGAGACTGATCCTGTCATTATGATGCTATCTGGTTATTTTGCCCATTAGTTGATGCACTATCTTCATAGTGTTGATGGCCTTTACATTTTGGTTTATTTTTGCAGTGGCTGGTACCGGTTTTTCCTTTCCACATTTAGTGTTTCCTTAAGGAGCTCTTGTAAGGCAGGCCTGGTGGTGACAAAATCCTTCAGCATTTGCTTGTCTGTAAAGGATTTAGTTCTTCTTCACTTATGAAGCTTAGTTTGGCTGGATATGAAATTCTGGATTGAAAATTTTTTTATTTAAGAATGTTGAATATTGGCCCCCACTCTCTTCTTGCTTGTAGGGTTTCTGAAGAGAGATCTGCTGTTAGTCTGATAGGCTTCCCTTTGTGGGTAACCTGACCTTTCTCTCTGACTGCCCTTAACATTTTTTTCCTTCATTTCAATCTTGGTGAATCTGACGATGATGTGTCTTGGGGTTGCTCTTCTCGAGGAGATACTCTTGAGGAGTATCTTTATGGTGTTCTCTGTATTTCCTGAATTTGAATGTTGGCCTGTCTTGCTGGGTCAGGGAAGTTCTCCTGGATAATATCCTGAAGTGTGTTTTCCAACTTAATTCCATTTTCCTCATCACTTTCAGTTATACCAATCAAACGTGGGTTTGGTCTTTTCACAAAGTCCTATATTTCTTGGAGGCTTTGTTCATCCCTTTCCATTCTTTTTTCTCTAATCTTGTCTTCATGCTTTATTTCTTTAAGTTGATCTTCAATCTCTGATATCCTGTCTTATGCTTGATCGATTTGGCTATTGATAGTTGTGTATGCTTCACAAAGTTCTTGTGCTGTGTTTTTCAGCTCCATCAGGTCATGTATGTTCTTCTCTAAACTAGTTATTCCAGTTAGCAGTACTTCTAACATTTTTTCAAGGTTCTTAGCTTCCTTGCATTGGATTAGAACATGCTCCTTTAGCACGGAGGAGTTTGTTATTACCCATCTTCTGAAGCCTAATTCTGTCAATTTGTCAAACTCATTCTCCATCCAGTTTTATTCCCTTGCTGGCGAGGAGTTGTGATCCTTTGGAGGAGAAGAGGTATTCTGGTTTTTGGAATTTTCCGCCTTTTTGTGCTTGTTTTTCCTCACCTTCTTGGATTTACCTACCTTTGGTCTTTGCTCTTGATCTTCGGATGGAGTTTTTGCATGGTTGTCCTTTTTGTTGATATTGTTGCTATTCCTTTCTGTTTGTTAGTTTTCCTTCTATCAGTCAGGCCCCTTTTCTGCAGGTCTGCTGGAGTTTGCTGGGGTTCCACTCCAGATCCTGTTTGCCTGGGTATCACCAGTGGAGGCTGCAGAAGAGCAAATATTGCTGTGTGCTCCTCCCTCTGGAAGTTTGGTCCCAAAGGGGTGCCTGCCAGATGCCCACTAGAGCTCTCTTCTAAGAGGTGTCTGTTGAACCCTGCTGGGAAGTGTCTCCCCATCAGGAGGCACAGGGTTTGGAGACCCACTTGAGGACGCAGTCTGTCCCTTAGCAGAGCTCAAGCCCTGTGCTGGGAGATCCACTGCTCTCTTTACAGCCAGCAAGCAGAAACGTTTAAGTCTGCTGGAGCTGCACCCACAGCTGCCCCTTCCCTCAGGTGCTCTGTCCCAGGGAGAGGGGAGTTTCATCTATAAGCCCCTGACTAGGGCTGCTGCCTTTCTTTCAGAGATGCCCTGCCCAGAGAGGAGGAATCTAGACAGGCGGTCTGGCTACAGCAGCTTTGTGGAGCTGCAGTGGGCTCCGCCCAGTCAGAACTAGCTGGGAGCTTCATTTACACTGCGAGGGGAAAATCGCCTACTCATGCCTCAGTAATGGCAGATGCCCTTCCCCCACCAAGCTTGAGCATCCCAGGTCGATTTTAGAGTTCTGTGCTAGCAGCAAGATATTCAAGCCAGTGGGTCTTAGCTTGCTGGGCTCTGTGGGACTGGGATCCACTGAGCATGACCACTAGTATCACTGTCTTCAGCCCCTTTTCCAGGGGAATGAACTGTTCTGTCTTGCTGGTGTTCCAGGTGCCACTGGGATACAAACAAAAACTCTGGCATCTGGTTCGGTGTCTGTCCAAACGGCCACCCAGTTTAGTGCTTGAAACTCGGGGCCCATGTGGTGTAGGCACACAAGGGAATCTCCTGGTCTGTGGGTTGTGAAGACCCTGGGAAAAGCCTAGTATCTGGGCCAAATAGCTCCATCCCTCATGGCGTGGTCCCTCACAGATTCCCTTGTCGAGGGGAGGGAGTTCCCTCACCCCTTGAACTTCCCAAGTGAGGCAATGCCCCACCCTGCTTCTGCTCATCCTCCATGGGCTGCACCCACTGTCTAACCAATCCCAATGACATGAACCAGGTACCTCAGTTGGAAATGCAGAAATCACCCGCCTTCTGCGTTGGCCTGGCTGGGAGCTGCAGATGGGAGCTGTTCCTATTTGGCCATCTTGCCCGGGAATCATTTTATGTCTTAACATATCTATTCTGAAGAATGTTCCAAGTACTGATTAGAGGGAATGTGTATACTGTAGCTGTTGGGTGAAATGTTCTGTAAATTAATGTTAGATCCATTAGTCTAAAGTGCAGTTTAAATCTAGTATTTCTTTGTTAGTTTTCTGTCTAGATGATCTGCTTAATGCTGAGAGTGGAGTGTTGAAGTCCCCAACTATTATTGTATTGGAATTCCTCTTCCTTTAAATCTAATATTTGTTTTATGTATCTGGATGCTCTGGTGTCGGATGAATATATGGTTCAGGATTTTTATTTCCTCTTGCTGGACTGATCCTTTTATCATGATATAATGACTTTTTGTGTCTCTTTGAACTGTTTTTGATTTTAATGTCTGTTTTATGAAGTATAGCTACTCCTGCTCATTTGTGGTTTTCATATTCATCCAATATCTTTTTTCATCCCTTTACTTTCAATCTATATGTCTTTAAGGTGAGGTGAGTTTCTTGTAAGCAGCATATAGGTGGATCATGTTTTTAAAATTCATTTAGCCACTCTATCCTTTAAGTGAAAAGTTTAATCTGTTTACATTCAAGATTATTATTGATATGGGAGGGCTTACTCCTATTATTTTATTAATTGAGCTATTGTTATTTTGAATATTCTTTGTTTCTTTCTCTCCTGTTTATCATTGTGTTTTGTTTTCTGTAGTTGTAACCATTGGACCCTTTCCTTTCCTTATGGTGTGTTTGCTCTACCAGTGTTTTTTATACTTTTGTGAGTTTTCATGATGGTAGATAGTATCTTTTTGTTTCCAGGTGTAGGACTCCCTTAAAGCATTTTTTACAGGACAATACTAGTGGTGATGAATTCCTTCAGCTTTTGCTTGTTTGAGAAATACTTTATTTGTCCTCCTTTTATAAAGGATAATTTTGCTGGATCCTTGGCTGGCAATTTTTTCTTTCAGTATTTAAAATGTATCATTCTGTTATCTCCTGGCTTGTAAGATGTCTACTGCTTATATGTCTACTGTTAGTCTGGTTGGGGTTCCCTTATAAGTCATTAGATTCTTTATCTTGCTGTTGTTTGAATTCTCTTTGTCTTTCACTTTTGACAGTTGGGCTACACTCTGCCATGAATAAGAGTTTTTTAATTATATCTTTTTGAAAGTCTTTGAGCTTTCTGTATCTTAATATCTAAATTTCTTGCTAGACTTAGGAAGTTTTCAGCTATTATTTTGTTAAATAGGTTTTCTGTGTCTTTCATTTTCTCTTTGCCTGATGGGACACTGGAAATTCAAATATTTGGTCACTTTATGGCATCCTATACATTATGTGGGCATTCTTCATTCTTTTTTATTCTTTTTTAAAATTTTTATCTGGTTTATTTCAGACAACCTGTCTTCAAGTTCCGAAATTCTTTTTTCTCCTTGATCTAGTCTGTTATTAAAGCTTTTGAATGTATTTTGTATGGCATTTGGTGAATCTTTGGTTTCAGAATTTGTTTGGTTCTTTATTATGATATCTGTCTCTTAATAAATTTCTTACTTATATCCTTGATTATTTTTCTGATTTCTTTGTATTGTTCATTTGTGTTCTCTTATATCCCACTGAACTTTTTAATATCATTAATTTGAATTCGTTTTCCAGAATGTCATAAATTTATTTTGCATTGAAATCTGTTGCTGGAAAATTGTTGTGATCCTTTGGAGGTTTCATATATCCCTGCTTTTTTTGTTTCTTGTGTCCTTACATTGATATCTGTACCTCTGATATAATAGTTGCTTCTTTCAATTTTTTTTAATTTGCTTTTGTAGAGGAGGTTTTCCTGAAGAGGTATCCATGATGTTGGTTGGGTAGGTCACTTCAGCTTTGATTCTGGGTATGCAGTAGTGTAGTCTCTGTATGATTTTTTTTTTTTTTTTTTTTTGGCTGTAAACAACATCAGTAGTGTCTGTGATTTCCTTTCTTAGTTACATAGGGTATGGTTGTTAGTGGAGGCTGTGATGAAGTTTTTCAGGGATGGGGATGTCAGGTAAGTCAGGTAAGTCAGTCCTGGGGCCCCAGTGGTAGCAGCAGCAGGCTGTGTGTTCCTGTTTTGGGGCCCCAGGGCGGCATATGCTTGCAGCACTATTGCCAGGTCCTGTTGGGCCAATTATTGGGTCACCAGGTGGCTTTCTCTGGTGCTGATAGTAACAGTGGTGGGCTCGGTGGGTGGGAAGATCTTCAGGCCCCTGGGCATCAGAAATTGCTTGATTAATGGCAGTAGCAGTGGTAGGACAACCCTCTGACTCCCAGGGAGTCCACACTGGTGCTGGTGGTGGCTGTGACAGGATGAACAGATCAGTACTCAGGCCTGCAGGTGGCATGTACAGGTGGTGCCAGCTGTAGTAGTAACAGCAGGTTGGATGGGCTTGTTCTCAGGCCCCTGTGAGGGATGCCAACAATGGTGGATGGGGCAGGGTGATCCCCAGGCATGCTTGTGCATGGATGATGCAGGGCCAGCCTGTGTGGGTCTATCCTCAGGCTCCATGTGATGTGTGCAGGCACTGGCTAGGGTAGACAGGGATAGGGTAATTCCCAGGACCCCAGATGAATGCTTGGGTGGGGGCAGCAGTGGTTGTGCTGCAGTCCTACTACTGAGGAGGGCAAAGTTGTTTTCAGTGGCAGCAACCATAAACAGGCAGCTGGGGAATGAACACATTGGTCTCAGTTGGTGGCTTCGGGCAGGATAGCATCTCATGGCACTTGTAGATGTGTGGTGTCCCCACTACTGGGGATTGTGGGGTCACTGACAGTGGCTCATGATTCACGCCTGGTGGCAGCAGCCAGAAGTGGCACCTGGCTGTGGGCAAGGGATGTCAATTGGGCTTCAGAAATGTGGAGATGAAGAGGCTGTTGGACCCCAGGGTAGGATGCAGTCTGGTAGGGGCTGGGCTCTCAAAGTGGCACCTTGCTATAGCTGCTTAGGACTTGGCGGCTGTATGGAATCCAGTGTGAATTCCCTTCCTCAAGCAATGCTGTCATGTGATCTTCAGGCAGCTCCCTGTGTTAGTCTCAGGACTCACAAGGGTTAAGAGACTCCACAGTGGCTAAGACTGCAGGAGTCTGTGGTGGGAATCTGTAGCAATTGGGTGTTGTTCACTTACCCTTTTCCCACAGTTGGGAACCTCTACAGGCTTCCAGTTGATCCCAGCAGAGCATGTTACCTTGCTTTTCTCCCTTTCATTGCCTTAGGTGTTTCCTGTTACTTCTCTACTGAAAGTGTTCTCTGTTAGGTGTTCCATTGTCTGCTTGCTGTTTAGGTTCTTTTTTGTGGAGGAGTGAGTACCACATTCCTCTATTCAGCCACCTTGAATATGCATTCTTGACTGGCTTCTTTAACATATGTCAATATATTCAAGGTCATCCATATTGTAGCATGCATTACTACTTCATTCATTTTATTATAATATTATATTTTATAGATATAGAATGTTATATGTATCCATTCTTTACAAGATGGGCATTTGGATTGTTTCTACTTTTTGGCTTTTATGAATAATGCTGCTATAAATATTTGTGTACAAGTTTTTTCATGGACATATGTTTTCAATTTTCTTGGGTATATACCCAAGAGTGGAATTGTTGGGCCATATGGTAGCTGTATGTTTAACTTTTTAAGGTCCTTTCAAACTATTTTCCAAAGTAATAAATTTTACATTCTTGTTAGCAGTGTGTGAGCATTCTAATTTCTCCATATCCTCTCCAAAAGTTGTCCATTTTGTAATTATATCCATCCTAGTGTGTGTGAAATGACATTTTATTGTGGTTTTGGTTGGCATTTTCCTAATGACTAATGATGTTGGACAGGTTTTCATGTGCCTATTGGCTATTTGCATATCTTCTCTTGAGAAAAGTCTATTCAAATACTTAGCCCATTTTTTAATTGGGGTATTTGTCTTTTTGTTGCTGAGTTGTAAGAATTTTTTATACATCTTGAATGAAGACCTTTTATCAGACGTATGATTCGCAAATACTTCTTTTCATCTTTTGGGTTGTCTTTTTGTTTTCTTGGTGATGTCATTTGAAGTACAAATGTTTTCAATTTTGAAAAAGTGCAATTTATCAAATTTGTCTTTGCTTGTGTTTTTGGTGCCATATTTAGGAAATCATTGCCTAACCAAAAGTCACAGAAATTTATGCCTGTGTTTTTTTCTAACAGTTTTCTAGTTTTAGCTCTTATATTTAAGTCTGAATAGGTTTTGAGTTAATTTTTGTATATGATGTGAGATAGGGGTCTAATCTTACTCTTTTACATGTGAATACACAGTTGTCCCAGCACCATTTGTTAAAAAGATTATTCTTTACTACCATTAAATTTTCTTGCCACCCTTGTCAAAATCATTTGAACAGAGGTATAAGTGCTTACTTCTGGACTACACATCTATTTCTTTGATCTATATGTCTATTCTTAGCCCACTGTCTTGATTATTATAGCTTTATAGTAAATTTGAAATTGAGAAGTGTGTGTCCCCCAGCTATGTTCTTCTTTTTGAAGATTGTTTTGGCTATTTGGGGACCTTTGCAATTATATATAAATTTTAGGATCAGCTTGTCAATTTCTGTAAAAAAACCAGCTAGGATTTTGATAGGGGTTGTATTGAATCTGTAGATCAATTAGGTAAATATTGTCATGTAATGATATTGTCTTCCAGTCCATGAACATGGTATATCTTTCCATTTATTTAGGTCTTCTTTAACTTCTTTCAGTAATGTTCTGTAGTTTTCAGTGAACAAGCCTTGCACTTCTTTTGCTAAGCTTATTCCGAACTATTTTATTGTTTTGGTTGCTATTACAGTCAGGATTGTTTCATTTTCTTATATTTTCAGATATTTCTTTGCCAGTTTATAGAACTACAATTGGCTTTTGTATATTGATCTTGTATTCTGCCACCTTGCTGAACATATTTATTACTTCTAATAAATTTTTTTGTGGAAGGACTGCTTCAAATTTATCTATATCCCCTTTTAACTCTTCTCCAGGAGAACAGTAGCATCCAGTCTAATTGATGAAAGCCCAACACACAAAGTGTGAGTCATGACTTATGGATCTTCTTTTATCTGGCACCGTGGCTTTTACTTTCCCTTCTCTTCAGCTTCTAGGTCCCATTTGTTGAGCCCAACTGAGCAGAGTCTCTATGAAGGGGAGGGTAATATGCACTCTCTCCCTCTCTGTACCAATTTATGTGTCTGTGACTAAGTATGTAAGTTAAGCTGAACTGTCTTCATAGGCACTAGGATTCACAAATCTTGATTACATGTGGGAGGTAGATGATAGAAGGTTTAATTATCCCATTTGCCTAATTTTTAATCTGCTTTCTAGTCCTGTCAACTACTAGTACTACCAAAGAGTTCTGGATTTGGGTGGAAAATAGGTACTTGTAATTGCTAACAAAGCTGACACTTTGATACACATGTGTTTTTTTATTCTATTCTCTATCAAAACCTGAAGGAAAGGAGGGCTGAGTTGTACATCCGTATTTTGCCTATCTTAAAAGAATAGTTTTACATAACCAGCATCAACAAGAAAATTTTACTATTCTGGGAAATTCCATCTACTTTACTTAACTTTATTTTGAAATACATAGAGACTCTATGGTGTGTCTGCCCACCCAATTACCCTGAAGGATCTATAAAATATTCAAAGAAATAGTTAATGTCCACATACTAGGTTTTCTAGAGCAGCAAACCACTTTATGCACTAGGAGGGTCCCCAGACATAATTTATATATTGCCTGGGTATAGATAATACTGAATTTTCAAAGGTAATAGAAAGGAAGAGTAGAGGGGAGAAAATGGACAGATGAATAAACAACTCAAGAAAGAAGAAAATAAAATTAATTTCTAGAATAAATACAGCAGGTCAGGATAATAGTCAAAAGCTATAGCTCACCACAAGAGATGATTTATCTATTCATTTGTATATGAGTTATCAGTTGTCAATAAGGCTATAAAGGTTACATTATTTGAAGCGTACTAAAAGACCCCTTTCTTTTCCATCGAGCCCTAGTGGTCCCTCAAATTGCTTGTATTTCTGGAACCGCACCTTTAGCTTAAAACGATAACTTGTGAGAACCTCTAATAGACACAAATGTTAGTTAGAAGGGCTAGGATATCGGTAGGGAACTGTGTCCTAAAAGAATAAAAGGATATCATTGTAGTTCATGCATAAGGGGTTCATATACAGTGCTTTCTAGTAATTGGCTACAAAATCTAGGAAAAGTAATATTTTGAGATTGAAAAATCAACCCATAATAAATGGACTTAACCAATACAGACCAATCTGTCTAAGAGAAGAGTTGAAATAAAATGTCAACCCTTTCAATTGCTTGACATAACTTCATGAGACATGTAATACATCATGGAATAAGGAGTTTAATATTAAAAATTTGTCAGTGTTTCCTATTATCCGAAAGAGAGCTGTGTGTTCCTTATGGACTTCAAGATTATTTCCTGTCTTTATTTACTTTCCATGTCCCCATTATTGAGAAACAGTTGAAAAAGATTTACTTCTCTACATAGGTAGCTTTTCCTCTTAATTTAGTCTTGGAGTTTCTGTATTACTAATTGATTTCTTGAAAGTTGAGTGAACTTTAGTCACCTAGAGCCTCATCATCTCTAAATGAACTAATAGCATTCCACTCTTGCTTTTACATAGCTGAAAAATGCATCAAGAATAATGGAACTCACACTGAAACAATATCATTATTGGGACACTACCTTAGCAGCCAAATGGTTTTTCTTTCTCTGACAGTTTTCCTTAACGGTATCACTTACAGCTGGGGGGTCGGGGGGTGCTATTGAAATCATGCCTAAAATATTTAAAATCAAGGCAAGGCCTTGTGGGTGTTGCAGTGAGAAGGAAGGAGAGGGAGGGTGCTGGATGACTTGGTCGGTCAGAGACTGTATCACAAAAAACTGGGTCCAAAGGGGGAGATAAAAGAAAATGAAATAGGATAAAGAAGAAGACAGTGTGATGATATTTGGACGGATATAAAACTGTCTTTGACTCTGCCATTACCTTGGACAACTTACATGTTGCTATCATGCTTGGTGTTCTTGTGTTTGGATTGAGAATATTATTGAGGCACTACCTTAGCAGCCAACTGGTTTTTCCTTCTCTGACAGTTTGGACTTTTTAGGGATAATCCAGCACAGTACCTGACACCTACGACATTCTCAAAAAATATTAGCATTCTTGTATTCCTTTCTGTGTCTAAACTAGGGGCTGCTCCCAATATTGGCCAAACATCAGGCTTACTGACCAGTTTAAATTTGGATTTGGCTTTAGGGTAACACTCACACATTTCTTTACTAGGCATGAGCATCAGATGAATGTCTACTTAGTTCTCTCATGCAGTCTTCCCCCACCTTCACAGACACAGTAGTAGATCAACACAAATATGAATTTTTTCTGGAGATCAGATCCTGGATATTTAATCTGTTTTTGGAACATAAAGTGGGTCCTTAGATCACAGCCACCCCAGCAGTGACTAGCGGTAAGTGATCACAGTTTGTTCTTTTTGATGAAAACAATTTCCCTCATACCTTGAACATCATTATGAATTCATGAGGCTCTGTTATTATCTGCTTTGTGTCACTTTTGTGAATTTCCTCCTCTGCCTTCTCCATCCCTCAGAAAGGGTACAATTACAAATTCAGAAAACAATTGAGCTTCGAGTTTGAAGCATTTCACCCTTGGCAACTAGAATCTTTAATCATTATGCACACTGTAAGTGAAAAAATAAAAGCTAATACTTTATCTTGGTGAACAAGAGTCAGTACTTGCCGTGTAGATGTCTCAAAGTACTGATAATATAGGTGAAAAACAAACTGTAATTTTAGTCTTTGATTGTAGAGAGACTTTGCGTTATATTAGAGTGGTTTATGCAGTACAGTTTTGTGGACCTTTTAGTCGAGTTGCTCAAGTCCAAAGACAACTGGAACCTCTTCTCCCTTAATGTATAATTTTTGAAAACAATAGTTTTAAAAAAATGATCATTTTTATACCCTTGAGTCAAGTGTGTATGCTTGTGAATGTACTTGTTAATTACTTTACGTCTGTTTATTTATATTTATTAATATGAAATGCTTTAATAATGTTTATTTCCCACAGGTTTACTGATTTTTCAGTGAGATTTCTTAAAAGTGACCTTTTCCCTCTTAACTATGATTATTTGTAACCATCTCTTAATGTATCATATCATGTAAATGTCTGTTTGACAATATTTCTATGTAGGAATGATGTCACACATTGAACAAATCTCCAATACCTTAATTACTTCAACAGGTGAATGAAAATATATGCCCATTTAAACAAGCTGTGTTGCTGCTGCTGTTGTTCAAAAATATTCAACACCTATTGTATACTCGTCATTGCACTGTTATAGAAGCAGATGAACCAATATTCCACTGAAAAGATACGGCCCCTTCCTGCCATTAAGAAAATTTTAATCTCCATCAGAGAAAGGAATTAAACATACATATGTGAAGAATCTGAAGAACACACTGTTACCTTTACTTATCTCCTTTTTCTCATATTGCTCCCTCAATCTAGAAAATCTATTTACCTTTATTCTTTCACTCTTGTTGACATAATGTCCTAGAATGCAAGAGAAGCAATAAGGGAAACATATATAAGCATTAAGAAGTAGTTAAATAAATAAGAAGAAATTGATTGAAGAGAGAGATCCTTTAAAGGATGTCCATGTTGTTTTAAAAATTCTTATGAAAACAAAACCCTGTGCTGCAAAGTAGCCCATAATCAAACGTATAACCATGAGTTCAGAATTTTTATTTGAGCAAATATAAGTAGAAATGTATGACCAAAACTCAAAGGACAGTCTTGTCATAAAGGATGGAAGGGTGTCATAAATGAAATTCTACGTAATCAGTGGAGCAGAAAAGATAAAGGAAACTCAAGAAACCAATTTGGCTACATATAGAGTTCTTTGGCAAACGTGTATAATGATGAAAGATGTTAAAGTATGGAAAAAAAAAATAAGAATATCCAAGAATGTGAAGATAAGAGGTGGCACAGCATATTTTTTAGAGGTCGTGAAGGATAGTTTATGGAGTTCTGTCTCAGCGTCTTCTCATTGAACATCATCAAGAACTTGGAAGAGAACATTAGCTTTGTGCTTGACATGCTTGCCCAAAATATCATACGATAAGGACTATCCTAAAAGCTCCTGACAGCCTCAGAAAAGGGTTAGATTTTACCAAGGGAAATGTAAGCTCATCAATGTAGAGTTATGCACACATTTAAAGAACATCTGCCCCTGAATGAAATAGGGAATGAACTTACCAGCAACACATATGATGGTTGACAGTAAGTTCAGCATGACTCAGTAATGTGGTATGTCTGCTTGGTGACTTAATTTGATGCTTGAATGCAGATCAAAGATTGTGCTGATGAACCACACTTGGAGGAGTGTGCTCCATTCCGGGTACCACATCTTAAGGGGCATGTTGGCCAACTGGACTGTGTCCAGCACAGAGGAGTGAGAGTAGAATGAAAAGGGAATTGCAAACAGCCTTGCAGAAAAACACGTATGAACAGGGCATTTAGCCTAGAGAAGAGGAGATACTCATAGAGATGTAATAATTGTCTTCAGATTCTGGAAGGGCTGATCTCTGGAAAAGTGATTATGATTGATCTCTGTGTCTAGGAGAAGAAAACCAGGACAGAAGAGTTGGAACTAGGGTGGGGCAGGTTTTGGATGAATAATGAGATATAACATCTAAAATAGTCCAGATATGGAGTCAGTTTCATCAGGAGATCTGTCTTGTTAATGATGTTTAAATGGAAAGCCCTGTGTCCAAGTTCGTCCAAGTCCTGCGGTCTACCTGATGCCTCCGCTCCTTCCTAGGCTCTATCTGCTCTCTATTTACAGAGTCTTCCAAGACCTCCCTTTTCCACTCAACTTCTCTTCATCTATTTTATTCCCCTTCTATCTCTTCCAGGCTCCTTATTTCTTCCCAAACCTTCTAAGCCCTCTTTGTTACCTAGTCCTTTAAAACACCCCAAATACCATCCGACATTCTCAGCCTGAAAAACTCAACCTTTCTCATCAAAGCACAAATCATGTGTCTACTCATGAAGTTAGTTGAGCCCCTTCATCATTTGTATTTCCACAGCACTCTCTTCCTGCCATAGCAATGGCATTTACTGACTTACGTTGTAATGATCCATTTGTGTACATCTCCCTTATAATGAAGTTAGGAATCCTGACTTCATCATTGTGTTGTCCTCAGCTTTAAGGCAGTGCCACAGAATACATGAATAAAGGTTGACGAATAGCTGGCAGAGGCATGGTAGAAAGGATTGGGGCATCAGATTGAACTTAGGACTGAGGAACCTCTGAGGTTCCCTTGAACTCAGTAATTCCATGTTTCTATGTGGCACTACCTCTAAAGATGATTTCCATATGGGGAGCTCCAAAAACATTTAAAGGAATGGTAAACTTATTACACAAGTAGCTAATCACCCCAAAGTGATGATTTTGAATGGTCAGCACTCTTCTGTGATAGTTGTATGTTGTTTTATGGTCGCAATTGATATTGTAAAGTAGGCAGAATGCAGGATTCCTCAGGGAAATGTTAATCAGAATAGAAGCTGCTGGGAGGTTTGCTTGATGAAATGATTCTGATAACATGATCTAGCAAGGGTAAAGAATTAGTCAACACCTTGAAATTCTGACTGTTTGTGGTCCTCAGCCCAGGGGAGTACCAACCCTGAAGTGGGCATTTGGAATGTATAGTGGTTTTGGTTGTCATGGTGTCTTGGTCTGTTTTCTGTTGCTGTAATAAAATACTTAAGACTGAATAATTTATAAAGGAAAGAGGTTGATTTAGTTCATGGTTCTGGAGGCTGGGAAGTCTAAGATGAGCAGCTGCATCTCCTGGCTTCTGGAGAGGGCTTTATGCTACCTCATAACACAGGAGAAGCAGAAGGTTAAGCAGCAGGCACCTGCAAAAGACACCAAACAGGAGCGGCAGCCTCACTTTAACACAACTCTCTCTTGCAATAATTAATTCAGTCTTAATAGAGGTCCCTGAATGTATTCTCAAGAGAAAGGCATAAACCTCTCTTAAGGACCCAAATTCCTCTCAAAGGCACTAACTTTCAACACCACCACACTGGGGACCAAACCTCAGCCTGAGTTTTGCTGGGGACAAACCATAGTATATGGTGTCTGAGACTGCTTCTGATATTAGTAGGCAGGAACCAGGAATGTGAACATACTTCAGTATGAGAAACAGTACAGCAACCAAAGAACTGTCTCATTCAAAATGACAATAACACACCTCTCAAGAAACACTATTTAATAATATAGTAAATAGATATGGTAAAGTAGAGCAAATCCACTGTGGAAGAGACATCTCGTTTCCACCAATGATTAGCATTCCCTTTCCATAATAGGGAGTTTTTGCTGTGAAGTGGCTGCTCAGACAGAGACTGGATCTCCCAGCATTCTTCATATTTGGATGTAGCCATGTGTCTGAGTTCTATCTGGCCAATGATATGTAGGCAAAAGTATTTATGTACTTTTGTAAATGTAAAAAATGTAAGAAAAATATTTATTGGGTCTCATGTATCACTTGTTGACCTGGTGAATAAAAATCTTCTGTATAATTCTCCATTCTCTCTTCCCTTTATACTAGCTGGATGTCAATGTCCAAGGTAACCTAGGAACCTACCTTTAGCCTAGGTCCCTGAATGACTGCCTACAGCAGAGCATTGCAGTTCTTCCTCCCATCTACTGACTGGACTTCACATGAGCAAAAAGTAAACTTCCATTGTGTGAAGCTAATGAAGTTTCGGGTTTATCCGTTACAGCAGCTAGTATGAGTATAACTAATTCATACATTTTTAAATAAATGCATCAGTTAGGCAAATTTCTACATATAAATAATATTGAAAATGTTAAAGCATTTCTGAGTTTTTCTTCAGCAAAACCCATTTTATTTTATGCATGACCCAAAGTCATCTTCTTCCTCAGTAAAGTCAGAGCTCTTGGTATCTGTCATTGCTTCCCAAATAAGTCAAGAGATTTGAGCTTCTTTCCTGGACAAGATTAGGGAAGGTTTTCTTTCTCAGGCTTTGTCTCTTTGGCATTCATGGAGGGGAGGGGGGCAGTCAGTGTGGAGCCAACTTCTCAGCCAGCCTTTTACTCTCCTCAGTTTGTTTTTGAAACGTTTTTCCCCTTTCTCCTTCCCCCATGGTGTGAGTTCGTGTGTGGCTGGTTTTCTTGGGCACAAGGCCCAGATGAGTTTCAGCTTTGTTTGTTGTTTGTACTGACTCTGTTCTGAGATCAGCCTCTGATACCCGGTGGGCAGTGTTCCCTGGAATAGGGCACCCTGGTTGTATTCCTTTAAGCCTGGTTGGAAGACAGTGAGTGCAAGAACACCAGGGTTTTGCAAGGCTTTGTTCATAGACAAGAAAGCTGCAGTATTTTGTATAGAATAAGAAATACATATATATGTGGTTTTGGAACCTCCATGTTCTGTTTTAAGCCAATAAAGAATTCCTAAAAGAGAACTGTCCCAGATTGTGTTAGCCTACCATGCATACAAAAACCAAGCAACTGAAGAGTTTAATTAGTTGGGATTTGTTCATACTCCTTATTAGTGAGAGAAGACATTAACAAACCTCCAAAGGGCAGAAGAAAATCTCACACAAGACAGGGACCCACTGAGTTCTTAATCAAAAATCCGAGAAGCCATATCCAAGGAGTAGAAACAAATCAGAATTGAGCCAAGTCTTATAAACTGCAACCCAACCCCAACCCAGCTCTTCATCTTACCTGCCCACTAGAGGAAAAGGGGTCCCATCTCTTTTCCTCTAGTGCTCAGATGAGAGATGTCATCTGCAGCCGCCTGTGTTCAGTTGAAGATTAACTTTGCTAATCTCAATATTCATACCACTTAATTCAGCCTGATGTCACCCATTCAGCCTGTCACTGGGGCTGGGTGACCTTAGGCAAGTTGATTAACTTTGCTGATTCTTGTTTTATCTGTTTAATTAGTATGGTGGCAGAACGTACTCATTGGCTCACGTATGGAGAAAATTAAATAAAATAGGACATGAGACAGCAAAGCTTAGTAGTTAGGAAAATAGCCTCTGGAGAATGTTGGCCCTAATACTCACTGAGTAATTTTGGACAAGTCACTTAACCTATGTTTC
Organism: Homo sapiens; assembly: GCF_000001405.40. Classification (NCBI taxonomy): domain Eukaryota; kingdom Metazoa; phylum Chordata; class Mammalia; order Primates; family Hominidae; genus Homo; species Homo sapiens. The sequence continues at coordinate 25,261,004 of NC_000003.12, forward strand.
TATTTCTTTATCTGTAAAATGAGGCTAAGAGTAGTATCTACCTCCTAGGGTTGTTGTGGGAATTAAATGAGTTAAACCTTTAAAAACACTGGGTTTCTGGTAGGGAGTACATGTTCTACATGTGTTACTTAAATAAATTGTAATATTTAGCACATAATGAATACTCAAGAAGTGCTAGTTGCTATTGTCATCATTATTGTAGTTAGATGATGGTCATCATGATCACCACCATAATTGTCATCACATCATCTAATTATTCTCTTTCTGGACCCTGCTACATTTGACCCTATTTATCCTTCCCTTCTTCTTGAAACTCTCTATTCCCTTGGCTCCTAGAACACCATACTTACTAGTTCTCCAGGCTGTTTTCTGCTCATTTCTCACCCACCTTTTTCATGAGCATCTCTTTTCTGTAGTACCTGTAACATGCTACTGTCCCCTGAGGTTCTATTTTCAGCCTATCACTCTTCTCATTCTGGAGTGATATAATTCAGTCTATCAAATAGTCTATAGTATCAACATTATCTCTCATCTGCTGGTAGAGGTTGCTCATTTCAGATGTCAAATCCACCTCATCAGTTCAGGCTTCCACTAATTCAGGTTACAGATGCTGCTATTTGGCTGGCAGCTGCATGTGTCCATCTGGTCATCCCAGATCATCCCAAAGGAAAGTTATCTTTCGCCTAAATGAATTCTTGTTCCTCCATTCTGTATCTCACTCGAGGGCACCTTCATCTCCCTGGTCACCTACTCTAGAAATGCAGAGGTCATTCTGGATTCTTTCTTTACCTTCATGCCTTACATCCCAGCCATCACTAATGCCTGCTTGTCTTATGGGGCACTATTCCCAAAATTCGGTGCTTCCTTTCTCTTCTGACTCTCACTAATTCAATCTCCACCATCTCCCATCTCAACCTCTTACATGGACTTCTTTCTCTCATTCTGCCCTCTCCAAACCCATCCTATATCCTCTAACATGCAATGATGTTTTCAAAACATAAACCTGACACTGTTACTCTCTGGATTAAAGGCCCTCTGGGGCTTCCTTTTTTAATAGACTAAAGGCCAAAGACCAGACTCCCTACTATGGGAAGCTCTCTATGACTAAACCTCTGCCTGTCTATGCAGTCTCATTTTTAACCATTTCATTTCTCAAACTGTGTTCACTGGACCAGATCAATGGAACTTCACCAAAAGGTCTTTTTCCAAACCAGAACCTGTGCCCAGAGTGAGTGCCCTCACTACACGTAATGACTATTCTCCCTCTAACGTTCAGCCATGATCCCTCCCAGAAGATGCGCTCCTCCCCATCACTCCTCTCCTTTTTCACCTGCAAGTTAGGCTCTATCCTGTGTCGATTTTTCGTGTCTGCTATAACAAATTCCCACAAATTTAGTGTCTGAAAACAACACAAATTTATTACAGTTCTGCATGTCTGAAATCTAATATGGATCTCATTGGGCTAACGTCAAAGCATCAGCAGGGCTCGTTCCTTTCTGTTGACTTTGGACATGATCCTTGTCCTTAACCTTTTCCAGGCTCTAGAGGCCATCTGCATTCCACGTTCATGGTCCCCTTCCTTCATCTTCAAGTCCAGCAATGGCTGGTTGACTCCTTCTCACACTATATCAATCTGATCTATTGTTCTGCTTTCCTCTTTCACTTTTGAAGACGCTTGTGTTTACCTTGTGCCCACCTGGGAAATCCAGGAGAATCTTCCTATCTTAAGGTCAGCCGGTTAGCAAGCTTAATTCCTATATCCTATAATGAAGCATGTTTATAGTTTTTAGGAGGTAGGACTTGGACATCTTTGGAGAGGATGTCATTCTGCCTGTCACAATATCTCTCAGTGTTCCTATAACATTCTGTGCTTACCTCTATCATTCCACATTAGTAAATATTGTCATAAGCATTTGTATGTTCTCTCTCTGACTTAATTTTGACTGTCTTAAGGTCTTTCTCATTTTTGAATCCCTGCCTTAAGAGTAAATAGTAGACTTTCTATAATATAGGTAATTCAAATGTCTAGTGATAACCTGGGACCCCTCTAGGGATCAGCACAGAAGGGGGATTAACCTGTGCCCAGTAATTTGAGTTATGCATGTTAATGATTCCATTTCTATGAACGTTTGTCATCCAATGTGATGGTAGTCATGTAAGTTGCACTGGTCTGCTTGCTCTAGCCGATAATAAAATTATATATTGTAATAAAATTACATATTGTATATCACTTATCAGACCTTTTTCTTGGTACCTTCATGTGTTAATTCATTTAGTCTTTACAACAGTCTTCTGCTGTAAGAACAATTAGTATTGCCCATTTTATGAATATGGAAACTGTGGCATCGGGCATTAAATAACTTGCCTAGTGTCAGACAGCTTAGTATACAGTAACTCTGAGTTAACTAGTCTATTTTGCCAACCCAAACAATCCCTTCTGTGACCAGTCTACTTAAATGAGAGGCCACTATAGTTAATTTGAAATGTTGTTTATTTCTCATGAAACTCAATAGTCTTTAGCCTCATGGGTTTAAGAAGAGAACTGAGTGAATTAGCTGACTCCATCTGAGATTTTTCAGCCAGCCAACCTCTAACACACACAGGCTATGGGCCTCAAGTGTAAAAAATGAGCCATGTATTGTCTTTCAAAGCCACCTTGGTCTTTGGGAAAATCCTTGGTCCTAACCATGAGTCCATGGATGATCATTTTGTCAGTTTGATGAGAGTCAGTGCTAGGGGAAGGCCAGTGTGCCAGGGAGGAAAGATGGAGGGACGAAGCACATTAAATCTGCAGTTGCTTACAGCATCTGCCTTTGATGCTGTCTCTGGGGGACACACTGATCGCCTCCTCCCAGTCAACAAATTCTGTGTCTTCTCAGCAGTTCTGAAGGGGGAGAGCCCTTTAAGGCATTTTGTACTGACAAGCGTATTTCTCTTAGAGCTCTAGAATGTAATAGAAGCCATCAAAGGCAAGGGATATCAGGAGGTTGTTTTGCACAATGGCAACAGAATTCATACGTTTTCAGACGACTCCCATGCTCATATCAGCAGTTCAATTAGTGGCAGGGTAAACTAATAATATATATTTCCCACTTGGGGCATTGTTGATTTTTTTTTTTAAAAAAAGGTTGATTCTGTTTTATCACAAACAACTTTGTTTAGAAAGCCAATGATATTTTTCACTGAATTCAAAGCTCTTGCTAAACTGTAACCTGAATGGTTTGTAATCTAAGGAGGAGAGGAAGAAAGTGTGAACAACGTTAAATGGATACCGTCATCCCAGTATGCCTTCAAGAACCCTGGGGTGAAAAGGGAAACTGGTTTTTCTCCACTTAATAGACATGATGGGCAAGATCTACTATTTTTTTTTATATAAGGCAAAGGCTAAGACCCAGTCTCCAGCAAAACCTTGAACAATGCCACTTGAATTCAGTGAATTTGGTCTTTCTCTGTTTTCTGTTGTTGGATCTTCAAGTAGCCTGAGAAAGGTAAATTGAATAGCTTTCTTAAGATTAACTTATTCTTAATTACTTCGAAGCCAAAATTGCATATTGCTTTATTTTCAGTACAATTTTATACAAATACCTTTACTTTTTAAATATCAGACACTAACATTTATTAATTTTTATAAAGTTTAAACAATATAAAAACATATAATTATGGTAGAAATTGGCATTTTTCCTAAACTCTTACCCATAAGAATCCTACTAATAATATGGGAATATAACTTTTCAGATGGTTTTTCCTTCTGCATGGGTGTATACACACTTTTCTCCTTCTTCAAAACTGAAATCACTGGGAACATACTTGTCTGTAATTATATTCAGTGAAGAATTTGTACTCCTTGAAGACATATTGCCCTTTTTTTATTCTTAGTGCTATACACTGAATGTATACCCAGAAATTCATATGTAAAAACATTCCCAATGTGATAGTATTTGGAGGTGAGGCCTTTGGGAGGTACTTATGTCACACAGATAAAGCTCTCAGAAATAGTATTAGCACCCTTACAAAACGGGCTCTGTGAAACAGGAAATGCGCCCTTCTCAGACACAAAATCTGCCAATGCCTTGATCTTGGACTGCCCAGAAAACTGTGAGAAATAAATTTCTGTTGTTTGTAAGTTACCCAGTTTATGGCATTTTGTTATAGCAGCCCAAATGGACTAAGAGTAATAGCTTTGTATTCTGTGGTTACAATAGAGGCCACTCAAGCTTATATTCCGTTTTCTACTACTTGAAGGAAAAACAGAAGACCAATTGCTTAATTATTTTCATGGAATGAGTTTATAAAAGTTACAATTTTTCGGTACAAGAATATTTGTATTTTAGATGTTGATAAATACATACATAATTGCCCTCCAAAAATATTTGTATCAATTGACATCTCAGCAAGTTTTCCCACTTCCTCACTGTTTCCCTTGCTACTACAAAAAAACAACCACAAATTTGGCAGCTTAAACCACATATTTTTGTTGTCATTGTTTTGAGACAGAGTCTTGCTCTGTCACCCAGGCTGCAGTGCAGTGGTGCAACCTCAGCTCACTGCAACCTCCACCTCCCAGGCTCAAGTAATCCTCCCACTTCAGCCTCTTAAGTAGCTGAGACTACAGGCATGCACCCCCATGCCTGTCTAATTTTTGTATTTTTGTAGACACAGGGTTTCTCCTTGTTGCCCAGACTGGTCTTGAACTCCTGGGCTCAAGTGATCCACACGCCTCCGCCTCCCAAAGTGCTAGGGTTACAGCCGTGAACCACCATGGCTGTCCAACAAATTTTTAATCTTACAATTCTGAAGGTCGGAAATCCAAAATGGGCTTCACTGGCTAAAATGAAGGTGTCAGCAGGGCTGGGTTCCCTTTGAAAGCTCTAGGGGAGAATTCATTCCCTTGCTTTGCTTGGTACAAGCTCTAGAAGCCACCCACATTCATTGGCTCATGGCCCCAATTCCTTCACCTCAAAGCTGGCAACTCTCAACCTAGTCATCCTTACACTGCCATTTCTATAGTTCTCCCTTCTCATTCCTCTTCCAGCTTTAAGGACTCTTGTAATCACATTGGGTCCATCTGCATAATCCAGGATCAATTCACTCTTAAGTTCAGCTGATTATAACTGTATCTACAACCTAATATGTTAAATATCATATAACCTAACATATTCACAGATCCTGGGTGTTAGGACATAAATATCTTTGGGGGCTAATATTCTGCCTAACACAATATTAGGCTTTTAGGGGCTAATATTTTGCTTAATACAACAATAGGGGTTCTAGCCCTTCGGAATCCAAAATGGAAATTTTTTCTATCACTTAAATTTAAAATTATGATTATACTATGCAGGCATCCTTTCTAATGTTTTTCTGTCCTTTTTCAATGATTGAATTATTCACACCTTTTCCCCTTATCTTTGTTGACCTCAATTATTTATTGGAGTTTTTTATATATTAAGAATATTATATGTATGTTGCAAATATTTTTTCTTAATTTTACATATTTTAAAATTTATGGTCTCTGTACAGAAGTTTAAAATTTTTATGCCCACATTCCTTGATCCTTTTTATCAGACTTTGTTGTCGTATCTTTGAATTTAAACCATCATGGCTATGGATTCAACCGTGTCCCTGCAAAATTCCTGTGTTGAAGCCCTGACACCCCTGTGACTGAATTGGAAATACGGACTTTAAGAAGGTGATTAAGGTTGAGTGAGGTCATAAGGCTGGAGACTTATCTGATAGAACTGGTGTCCTTTTAAAAGAGACAGAGACACCAGAACTTGCTTTCTCTCCCTGCCATATAAGGAAACAGTGAGCAGGCAGCCCTCTGCAAGCCAGGAGAAGAGCCTCACCAGAATCTGACCATGCTGGTCTCCGATTGCAGAATTCTAGCCTCCTGAAAAATGAGAAATACATTTCTATTGTTTAAGCCCCCAGGCTATGCTATCTTGATGTGGCAGCCCAAGCAGACTAACACAATCACCAACTTGGAAATACTGAGCAACCACAAAGCTGCCTGTAGTTCAATTTTCCCCCTTTCTAAATGCTCTGTGATTCTGACCCCTTCCCTGAAGCTCTTTAGGCATAAATATGTAAGAAAACTTCCCACAAGTGATCTGATACAACAGAGGCCTTAGCTAGCTACAGCAGATTGTACCGAGTGTTCTACAGGGAGATATTCTGAAGACAGAAGACTAAGTGGACTTTGCTTCTGTGTTTACTAAGCACCTTCATTTTAACCAGACTTTATTTAGAGAGTATATCATTTTGAGCAGCTAGTATACAAGGCATTGTAAGGAAATGGTGGGAACACAGCAGACAATGGAAAGCCTTTAAATGTTAAAGCAGTGAAGGCCTCTCTTAGAGGCCAAATAATGCCCCCAGCTCCACTCTGGCCTTCCGCAACCCCCGTCTTTCACCTCACATTACCGCTGCCTATTCCTTATCCAGATGTCCTGAAGTCTCTATTTTTTAGTCTTTTCTGAGTTTAAATTGTTTTCCTAACTCTACCACTTACTTCTTTGATCTGTCTTTATCACCTCTTGTTCAGTGTCCTCTTGTTTTTAGAATAACTTTCTGGCTTGAGAGTGGTGTTTGGATGCTGGAATCCTACAGAACCTTCTCTTCCCCATGCTTGAGTGAGGTTATTTTTATTCTGTAGCAAATGTGCCAAGTATTTTTAGTGTTTGGATATTATTCTGAAATAGTCATTTAAGTTACTCAAATTTGGGAGCTATCTGGAAGTTCATTTTATGTGACTGGAGGGCTATAATTTATGGTTACTCCAGTATTTGGTTAAATATACAGTGAAAATCAGAACATTATATATGATAATGTCACAGAATTAAGTACTTTTATTTTCCACTGTTTCTGGGTTGAGCTACTCAGGAATGAGCATAGAAATCTAATATGGAAAATTGGCAAATGTGTACGCATAATGTTGAAACTATATTCTTAATTTGGATAATCTCTCTCAAGGTATTTTCAAATGCTAGGAGGAGAGTTATATATTTCTTAAGTCATCAGTGGTTATAGTGTCAAATTTCTTGGAACGTAGAATAGTAGAGATTTGTAAATAAAATTTTATAATCTTCCCAAACAAAAAAAGTGCTTGAGGTCACAGTCTAACATGAACGACATCAACCTTCCTCTTTTAATCTTTTAACAGCTCTCAGCGGTAGATTTCTCCATCTCCATTAGAGAGCATTTGGTGACTACCACTGATACTTTTTTTCTTTTTTTAGGACCAGGTAGATCCACCATTGAAGGGCTGGTTCATTATTTGATGTAGAAGAAATGAATGTTAATGTTGGACCTATTCAGGTGTGGCTAAATGCACATCTGTAATCTATTTTGTGTTCATGGCACTTCTGATTCACAGTCCCCCAGAAAATAGAAAAAAAAAAAAAGTCAAGATGCCATGTGGCCTACAAAAGTGGATCTGTGTTTTTCATATTATTTTCTCCAACTCAGATTTTAGATATGGTGTATTTCGACCCTGGTCCTCACCAGAGTTTAGCATTTGATACATTCCATTGTTATCATGGAGAATTCAAGGAATGGAAGAATTTATTAATGTTAGCCCCTCTTTTACTCTGTTCCACTCACTCTGCCTTCCTTGTTGTACAAACATTCCTGGGAGGCTCCTGCCTCAGCACCTTTGCACTGGTTGTTCCCTTAGTCTGAGATCCACTTTTACCCATTGTTCACTTTCTCATTTCATTTTGGTTTCTCTCAAACATTGTCTCATTATAGAAACCTTGCCTGACAACTCTAACATGTCAGCCTCTCTGCGCTTCTTAGGACCTTTCTCTCCTCTTACCTGCTTTTTCTTCTTCCCCACTATGATTTGGTATCAAAATATTTGTGCATTTTGCAATTCAGTGTTTACAGCCTGTCAAACCACCCAACACCATAACCCATTAGAGCAGAGATTTATCCATTTGTATTTCCAGAAACTCAAATAGTATCTAGCACATGATATGCACTCAATAAAGATTTGAGCAATAAATGGATAAAGTATAAATATTCTCTTCCAATAGTATATAAAGAATGTTGAATACCAAAAGTAATTATGACCTTATCTTTTACCCTCCAATAAACTGTCAAACCAATATGGCATGGTACAGTAGAATATAATTTTTCAAGTATGTGCCAAAATATGTCTCAACTTTGGGCTGTTAAATAATAGCAAACAAATAGTCATATTGCTGGCTCATTTTAGAAGTCCCTTGAATAGTCATAGAAATGAGTCCATGAATCTCCTTAAGTATTCTGAAATGAAAGATCATGAGCAATAACCTATTATTTATTATTCTTTAACGTATATGCCCCACAAAGCTTATCAGTGGATCATTCAGCACCATCCATCATTGAGAGGTAGGAACGTGTGACAGCTGAGAACAAAAACTCTGGAGTCCAACTACCTGGGTTCAAATCCCACTTCTTCCACTTACTAGCTGCATGACCTTGGGCAAGTTACTTTAGCTTGTTTATACTTCAATTTCTTCGGCTGTTCAATGTGGATACTAACAGGAAGAGCTGCTTCTTCATTGAATAGGTGTGAAGATCCAGTAAGTTAATACATGTGTACTGCTCTTCACAGTACCTAGAAAATAGCTAGTCTTCAATCATGTTAGATAAAATGGCAGTAGTAATTATAAATGATACAAATAGCAACAATAATAGTAAACTCACTTAACAGCTAATTTTAAGGGCTTTATGACTTTGCTGTTATATCCTAAAACATCTTTTTTAACAAAATGTGTATATTTATAGCCTAAAACATCTTTGTTAACAAAATTTGTATATACTCATTTTATGCTAAAAATGTCATGTTTAAGTGGCCAAAGAACTTAAATAGACATGTATCTAAAGAAGACATACAAATGGTCATTAAGCATACGAAAAGATGTTCAGCATCACTAACAATTAGGGAAAGGCAAAATAGAACTACAGTGAGATACCACCGCGTACCATTTAGTATGGCTATTATTTGGGGGGCAAAAAGAAAATCATATTGGCAAGGATGTGGATAAATTGGAACCTTGTGTCTAGCTGGTGGGAACAGAAAATGCAGCATCTTCTATGAGAATAGTATGGCAGTTCTTCAAAATATTAAAAATAGAATCACATATCATCCATTAATTTCACTTATGGGTGTTAACTAGAGACTCAAACAGATATTTTTACACCAATGTTCATAGCAACTTAATAGCCAAAAGTTGGAGTAATCCAAATCTCCATTGGTGCATGAATAGATAAGCCAAATGCGGTCTGTATGTACAACAGAATATTATTTTGCTTTAAAAAGGAATGAAATTCAGCGACATACTACAATATGGTTGAACCTTAAGGACATTAAGTGAAATTAAGCCAGACACAAAAAGACAAATAGTATGTAATTCCACTTATATGAGGTACCTAAAGTAGTCAAATTCATAGAGATCTGTACACCTAAAAATTGTTAAAATGGTAAAAATGTTATGCATATTTTACCACAATAAAAAAGATATATTTTTAAAACCTGTCACATTCGAAGCAAATGGAATGTGTACATGTTTGTTTAAATTCCCTGTAGACCTAAAAAAGAAGGTTTATATGCAAAACTTAATGGGGAGAGAATAAGCCGTGTTATCCCAGCCTATCACTGATAATTAATACCTGGGTAATATTATTTGTTTACAAAGCACACATATCACCTTATGATGTTCTCACGGTATCCCTTGAAGTAGTGCTATTTTTATCCCTCTAGTGCAGATGAGGAAAATGGATCTCAGAAAAATTAAGTGGTGTGGTGTTTAAGGTTGTAACAGGTTGGTGCAAAGGTAATTGCGGTTTTTGCCATTAAAAGCAATGGGCATTACAAGCAATGGCAAAAACCGCAAATACTTTCGCCCCAATCTAATATTACTGGTAAGTTTTGTGTCGGGGCTTAAGCCCCCAGTCTTCAGGCATTTATTCCTGTGTTCTCTCCTTGAAATCATACCATCCCTTGACCAGATCTTCTTTTATTCCATAAGTACATCACTCATTCCAGCTTCTAGTGAAATACAAATGATATTCACTGGCATTAGCATTGGCAATTAGAACATAAGTCTCTTGTAACCTCTAATTTTAGCATCAAAATGAGGTTGGTCAGAGATATTACACCAACCAATTACGATGGAATATGGCTTTAATTTTTCTCCCCTCAATTTTTATTAGTATAAATCAAGAAATACTGTCAGGTATTTAAGAATGAGATAAAATTGTAAGATGGGGTGGCTGCAGGCTTGCATTTGCACAGGCATGCTATGGTTTTTCATATAAATAATAGTGTGCTAACCAAAAATAACTAGCTCTTGAAATGCCATATAGGATAAGCATACCAATGTCTCAAGAATCGCGTCTCAAATGCAAGGCCTACACAAGAGTATTTGTTTCTTGAGCTGAAAGAAGTGACCAGAAAATTTAGTCACGTTCCTTGGCCAAAGGCATCTACATTAGGAAAATTAGGTGCTTTCTGCGTTTCTGGGAGAATGAGTTGATATTGGCATACAACTAACTTTCTTTTGGAAGAGTTTCCATGGAAAGGTGGTCATTAGATGAAATGGTAGTTCCGTCTTTCCTGCAACATAACTCTTGGGAGCATCTGAGAGGAAGGTTAGGAGATACTTGCTATTCCCAAAACTCATTCTCATCAGAAACTTTAATATTCCAAGGTAAGAATTTTCTTATTCAGTAATCTTGTTTATAAAAGAAAACCAAATACACTAAAGCACTTTAAAAAAATCAATGCTATCTGTACCTTTATTGTCAAAAACCATTTTCTAGTAAGGCTTTTTTAAAATGTTCAATCTTGCTGAATAAGCTAAAGGCATGTATAGAGTAAGTAGGCAACAGCATAGTTTAAAATTAAAATACTTATCTTTGTCCTTTACAAATTCTTTGTCTCCTGCCTGGTTGGGAGAGTTCTGAGAACTTCCTTGCATTGTGTGATACAGCGGTCAGTAATCACATGTGGTTATTTAAGTTTAAAGATAAAATAATTAAAATGAAATAAAATTTAAAATTTATTTTCTTAGTCAAGCTGGCAATATTGAGTACTCAGCAGCCATGTGCTAGTGGTAACCATATTAGAAAGTATAGATATAAAACATTTCCATTGATTGCAGAAAATTCTATGGACAGTGTTACACCTTTAAAAACTGAATATGCTTCCTTTAAAAAGTTGTTCATCTCCGGTTGTGTACTGTGCTGGCCACATGACACTGATGTGAGGGAAGCCACTTTTACACCAACAAAGCCATCGGCTGGTCAGGGCTGGTAGATATGCCATGATCTCCTTTGGACAACATTAAGGTGACTTTGCAACTCACCATTGTCTGCCTGCCAAACAAAGTCTTGTGGTCTAGATAATACTGCTAATTTGATCTCTGCCTCCTCTATAACAGAGGCCTCTGGATGGACCCGGACATGGTAGTCATCTGAGGCAGGTGATGCCCTGCCTTTGAAAGCTGGATCCGTTCCTACATCACTCAGGTATCCCCTTAGGCAGTAATTCTCAACTACATATTAGAATAACCTGTAGAGCTTTTAAAAATACAGTATTCTGGGTCCTGTCTCCATAAATTCTTTATTAATTGCTCTGGTGTGTGGCCAGAGCAATTTCTTCAGATATTCTGAAGTTCAGCCAGGGTTGAGAACCACTGCCCTAAGGCCTGTTCTCAACGCCTTAAGTAGTTTTACTGCAAAGGCTTCTGTGTCCCTGGGTCAGCCACAAGTATCAAGTCACATAAGAGGACTGAACAGTGATACAGGAGACTCCGGTTTGATTTCCAGCCCTCTTGCTGACTAGTTGTGTAACTTTGGATACATTCGTCCCACCTGAGCCTCAGTATCTTCCCCTGTTAAACTACAGGGCTGCTTATTACACACCTCCAAATTCTATCAGTTTTTGAAATACCCATTCCTATCTAAGCCAGTACAACTGTTCATGTCAAACTGTGGAGGGAAATCTTTTTTTCTGTTCACATCCTAACTCATTCATTTGCATTTTACATTCCCCATAAGCTGATAGTCTGCAAGCACATAGATAGCCCTGAGCCTACACAAATAGCCCCAAGCTTCCTCAATGTATTGGGGGAACAGGATGACAAATTCTAAACACTGAGTTTAGAGTCCAGCGGAATATTTAGCTGCTTCTATGTGGATCTACATGTCATATTAAGTGCAGAATCATTGCTGATATTTCTGTGTCTAACAAAGGACTCGAACTGGCCTCAGCTATCGTGCATGAGAAGCTCATGCTTTCTTTTACATCTCAAGTCTTTTGAGCTGCTCACTTAATCATTATATTGCCTACTTCAGAAATGTTTACAAGTAACCTTTAAAATCATCACCTAATGGAAACTAAGGTGAAAGTTATATTTATCATGACATTCTAATCCGGTTATGACGAGTTTCTACCCTTTTGCCTTTTCCCAAAGCAGGCTGGCTTTCTTAGAGGCTGCCTAATATGTCTCCAAATGGGCCCATACTTCAAGGTGCTGTTAGAAGTGACATCTCCCTGCTCAGCTAGTCAGAGACAGTGATAGGATAGCACCTTTCAAGGTGACAGTGTTTGTGACAGCAGGCAGAAGGGAAAGTCTGCTCACTGGCAAAGATAAGGAATGCGATATCATTTGGTTTGCATGTTTCATCACCAAAACTGCTTATGGTTTCATATTGCCCATGAATCAACCTGTAAGTGCCTTAGAATAGGAAAGCAGTTGCTAGCTGGCACTTGACTCCACTGTGACAGATATTTCACTTCCTCAGTGTCTGCCAGTCTTCTCTTATAACCCACCACCTAACATCAAGGCATCCTGCTTTTAGCAACATCCTTTTCAGGCACCTCCAGGTTATGGGTGCAGGCCCCAACTTGGTGTTCAGACCTCGTAGCCCATTCTCTATGACTCCCACTGGCCTGCCACCCCTGCACTGTGCACCCTGACTATTGCTGCATGCGGCAGCCTGTCCCCACCCTGGGATGGTTCTCACTCTCAACTTTGCTTATGGCCTGGAAGTCCTTCTAGCCCAGAGCTGCCTAGTAGATGTATCCTCTGAGACATATATATAATTTAAAACCTTTTGATCACCACATTAAGAAAAAGTAAAAAGAAACCAGTGAAATTAATTTCAACAATATGTTTCATTTAACCCAGCATATTTAAAATATGATTTAAACACGAAGCCTGCATAAAAATTAACTAGTATACATTTTGTTTTTCATACTAAGTGTTCAAAATCCAGTGTGTATTTATACTAACAACACCTCTCAATTTGGATGGGACCGTTCAAGTGCTCAGCAGCCACACGCAACTAATGGCCATAGGCTACCATACAGGGTGGTGCCCTTCCAGTCCCTTCACAAGCACCTCACATGCTTATCCCGATTCAGCCTGAAGACTCAGATCAGGTGTTACCTTTATGAAGCTGCCAATTTATACAGGGTGATCAGGAAGGCCTCTCCTACTCGGGACTGCTGAGTAAAAAGATGGGAAAACTAGTACAAATTTCTGGAGCCTGGCTCCCTGGAAAGGGGACCTAAGACACATCTCATGTGTATTTGCTGTAATAATGCTGTGAAACAACCCCCAAATCTCATTAGTTTATAATAACAACTATTTTTTTTGTAGGTCAGCCTGGCTCTGCAGGGCTTTGGAGGGCTTAGTGGGAATCAGCTGGACTTGACTTTCTTCCGCATGTCCCCTTATTCTGGGACCAGCAGCTGCCTCTTTATATAGTCTTTTCATTATAGCGGCAAAAATACAGGAAGGGGAGAGGAAATACATAAGGCATCTTAGGGCTCAGGGTCGGGACTGGCAGACTGACATTTCTACCCATGTTCCTTTGGCCAAAGGAAGTCACATCACCAAGCTCAACAGCAATGGGGTAGGGAAATATCCTTGCCCACAGTGGAGGGAAGGAAATGGTGTGAGCCAGTAATCAACTGTTTATGCTATGTAAGGATACTTAGCTGATCAGCATTTGCTTGGAAGCTCAAAAATACTGTTTTTTAAAAAAGATCTTCGTCTTCTCTTGGCCCCATGCTCTTATGTGCTGCCCCATCATGCTATCAGAGGTCACTGCACAGTCTCAGTCATAGTGGTGACCACATCATACCCACAGACTCTCCGTGAGCACCTCTTAACCCAAGTCTGGCTAGGCGCGGTGGCTCACGCCTTTAATCCCAACACTTTGGGAGGTCAAGGCAGAAGGATTGCTTGAGCCCAGGAGTTCAAGACCAGCCTGGGCACATGGCAAAACCCTGTCTCTACAAAAGATACAAAAATTAGCTAGGCATAGTGGTGTGTGCCTGTAGTCCCAGCTACTCGGGAGGCTGAGGTGGGAGGATCGAGTGAGCCTGGGAGGTGGAAGCTGCAGTGAGCCGTGATTGGGCCACTGCACTCCAGCCTAGGTGACAGAGCAAGACCTGGTCTCAAAAAACAAAACAAACTCAGGTCTGTATTTTTAGCACCTGGCTTACTGCCTGCACCATCCGGAAGCTACCCCTTTGTACTGTTAGCCATACGGCAACCCTTTGATAATATGTATCACCTTAGAATCCTGCATATTCAAGAACTATCTGTCCTATAGCCGAGAAGCCCTGTAAGGGAAGTAACTAAGCCCATCTTGGTCATAGCTGAATCTCTAATGCCAGGTTCAGTGATGGACATCATTGCCCTTAATAAAGACTTGTTCAAATGAGAACACTTGGACACAGGAAGGGGACCATCACACACCGGGCTTGTCGTGGGGTGGAGGGAGGGGGGAGGGATAGCATTAGGAGATATACCTAATGTAAATGACAAGTTAATGGGTGCAGCACACCAACATGGTACATGTATACATATGTAACAAAGGTGCACGTTGTGCACATGTACCCTAGAACTTAAAGTATAATTAAAATAAATAAAAGATTTGTTCAGTTGAAGGAAATTATCTTAGAATGAGCAGCAAGGTAAGAGCCAAATACAGGGTTTACATGAAGCTAGGATATCCCTAGGTCACTTAACCTCTCTGAGGCTCAGCTTCCCCTTCTGTAAAATGAGGTTTATAATGTGATGTTTACATCATGGGGATAGTGTAAGAATTAAATGAGGCAATTCATGTAAAAGCCTTAGAATATGTGTGAATCATAAAAAATACTTTTTTGTCTTTTTGATAATAGCTATTCTAACTGGGGTAGTGTGTTATCTCTGTGGTTTTGATTTGCATTTCCCTGATGTTTAGTAGTGATCTTGAGCATTTCATCATATTTTTGGCCATTTGTGTGTTTTCTTTTGAGAAATGTCTGTACAGGTCTTTAGCCCGTTATGTAAGCTAACTACCCTGATTTGATCATTATACAATGTATACCTGTGTTGAAGCATCACACGATACTCAATAAATATGTACAATTGTTGTGTTCATTACAAACAAAATACTCAATAAACCTAATTTGTAGAATAGGAACATAGGAAACCAAAATGAAGCAAAATATAACGGAAGGAATTTAATTCCGTATTTCATTTTCTCTCCCTTAGTAACTAGGAAACTACTCAAAGAAATTCTCAGACCATCAACTGTGACTTGTAAAAGTTTTGAAAGAAAGAAAGGATGTTAAAAGACATTATGCCTCTAATTTTACAGAGTGATTATAGACATAATGGGCTGAACACTTAGCATAGGAAAGGCCTAAAGAAAAGAAAAGCCAACTTGTATTCCATTTGCAAATACCTAGAAAAGAGCACAGTCCTTGGTAGTAAACCCAATGGCTGTGTGAAGACCAAGTTTTGTCAAACCAATCGCTTCATAAGACTGGTTGACAGGTCTCGGGATCAAAAGCACTTGACTAATACGGTATATATTGGCAGTAATCTGTATAACAGCTCATAAAATTTAAACTTAAATTCTAGATCTAGGACTGGTCATCTTATCTCATTGATGAAAGTTGAGACAGGAAAGGAAGAAAGAGTGAAAATAAGTGAATGCATGGATAGATGAATGAATACTTGGATGATTAAAAGAAATAGGAATGAGGAGTATCTCTCTTCAAGGTTAATAATAACAACAGCAAAGCCTATACCCACGTATTACTGGAAAAGTTAGCTAACTATTTATCCAAGGAGTAGAAAAGAAGCTCAAACCTTCAAGGCATGATTTAAAATGTTACTGGTAAGGAAGAACTCTAGGTAGGTGTCAAATAATTGGTAGATTTGCGTTGTGGAGGCCAATATAGGGGGAGGGCAGATAGGCCAACAAGAGCCAATGAAGCCACCTAGCAGCGTAGCCTGGGACATGGAGTCCAGAACCTTCTCAGTCACCCAAAAGTCATCCTAATCCACTCCAGGAGCTCCAAAGAACTCCAGTGAATCACTATTAAAATAAGCTGCTCACTTGCAGAAGTGGAAAGACACAAGTGAAATCGCCTATGGATCATAAATAAAAAGGGGAGTTTTTATCTACATCCCAAAGTAGTGGTTCTCAGAGAACAGTTTGCAAATTGATTTGTCCTCAGAAGACTCTCATGGGCCTAGAGTAAAATGAGCAAAATAAGGCTAACACACAAATTGTTTTTCATAAACTTAACTTATGCAATGTTATAGTTGTGTGTCCTTCCTATATTTAGTGCAATTCTATTGTCTTAAAATGTTTAGATTATGATAACAGATGGCAAATAGAGTTTGGTTTACTTTTTGCTTACTTAGCAAAATAGAAGTTGGCCATTCTGTGTGGGTCCCTCTGCTTTTTTAAAGTAAATTTGTATTGAAGTATAGCACATAAGTGCACTTTTTACAAAGTGAACACACAAGTAACTCAAACCTAGGTCAAGAAACACAACATGTCTTGTACCTCAGAAGACCATATACCTCTTTATAGTCACTACTCTCCCATAAACATGACAACTCCTGACTTCTGACAGGCTGCTTTTCTGCTTACATAAATGATGCCACACAATATTTTCTCTCTTGTGTCTTCTTTCATTCGATGTAATGTTTGAGAGACTCATCCTTTCATGCAGATAGTTGTGGTTGGCTTTTCTCATTGCTAGACGATATAGTGCTCAGTTCATGTGTATTTTTTTGTCATACTGAGAATGAGCATTTGCAACTTTTCCACTTCACGGCCATTATGAGCATTGTAGCTACAGGTTTTCTTGTACATTTTGGTGTGGTGTGGTGGTTGGCGGTACATGTGTACATCTTCTGTGGCTTACCTCTAAGTATCTGCTTCTAGAGCTGGGAAATGAATGAATCTCACTGTTTTGTCGTAAAGATTAAATGAAATAATGTATGTGAAACTTTTGTGAGCTTTAAATATGATGCAAATATGAGAGTTGCCCCTTGGAAGACCCTCTTCTGTTTCACTCTCTACCCATTGGACAGTCCAACAGCGTTCTTGAAATAAATATTCTCTAGCCACTTTCAGGCCTTCCAAATCCTTATAGAACATGTGGTCTATAACAGTGGTTCTTCACTCTAGGTCAAGGTACATAGGTACAACAGTGTCTCTATACAGGGGTACTGCCAAATATCTATGGATGTGTAGATTTTATTTGTGCCACAGCTAAGAATTCACTAGCTGTATCAATTGATTTATGGATTCTTAGCTTTGATAGATACCTTGAACTGGTCATCTAAATGGGTAGAAACCCAGATATAGCTTCTTGAAAGTAAGCAGAAAGAGATAGCAAAATAGCAGCCCCGTTACAAGGCAAATTTGCATGTGTACCATATTATGTGAGAATTTGGCCTTGTGAGCATATGAAAGAACATAGCTGGGCCAGCACATTCTACTCAGTAACACTACTAAAGGATAACACAAATGGGAGCTAAGAAGGCTTTTGTAGATTTGGGGAGCTCTTGAGGTAGGTGGCTGTGGTTTCATTGTAATGATTCTCAACTTATTTGGTGTTTAGTTTCTTTAGTCCCTGTAAGCACAGCACCAACATATTTAGCATTTAAACCCTAAAAGATTGTGCAGCAGTGGGGATTTGCACTCATAGCCAGTTACTGTGTGTTACTTTTCAAGTGGTGATCACAGAAATACCATACACTCATGCAGGGCTTTATGATTTTTATAACCCATCCACACACATCGTTGCCTTCTATCCTCTCAGAAGCCCCAGAAACGGTGCAAGTAATGGAATATTCACAACATCAAAATGCAGAAGGTTACTTGTCTTGTCCAGGGACATATTATTGTAAAATCAACACTGAAACTTGGATCTTCTGCCTTCAAACTTCCTTCTACTCACCACACAGCTTCTTGGGTGCATGGCCACTTCCCCCACTGCATCATAAATGCCTTGAGAACAAAGGATACCTCTTGTCCTGTTTTCTTTTTCTCTCTTGCACCCACTGCTGCATCTTAAGCATAATGGGTGCTTAATGTAGTTGAGATAATTGTGTTTCTTTATCATTTGGTTACAATTTTAATAGGTTGTTCTAGGAGTTCAGATGCTTCTAGGGAAAGAAAGGGACTCTTGATTGAGAAAAGTTCTTAAGGGATCTTTTAATTGTACAAAAATAGATTCCAAAGCAAATCTAGGGAAGAGATAGTTACTACTGATCTATTAAAAAAAAAAAAAGTTAAATGTTTTTCTCTGACAGCTTGGGAGAAAGATTGGGACCAAAAGGGAGAAAATGGTAAAGAAAGTTAGAGTGGTTTTGAGAAATATGGTGGATGGCCAGAGCCAATGAAGAATGAGAAGGTCTTGGTGGTGAGGATGGTTGAGGACTAGTGATATATTAGCTTTTAGGCATTTCCTCCTCTGCTCTGTGTTGTAATATCACTGTGGGTAATTTTGTCCCAAACTTTGGTAATATTATATTATACATCCTGTGTCAGTGGTACTTTAGGAAAGAGAGGTTAAGTCAGTCTTTGGTCTAAAGGGAGAGGTCAAGTGCCTCAGGAGGCAAGACAGGAAGAGAGGATTGAGAGGTGGAGTTGTAGGGGAGGGAAGATTTCTTCTCCTCACACATTGCTAGATTTGCGGCTGAGGCTTCCATAACAAAAGGCAGATTAACTAGAGAAAAGCATACAAATTCATTTAATATAAATGTTTTATGTGACACAGGAGCCTTCATAAGGAAATGAAGACCCAAAGAAACAGGTACAGTTGTGTAATGTTGTGCTTAGGTTTGACAAAGAGTAGGCAGTCATGGAGAAATATGATTGGAGGACAAGAGGGTATAATCTAATGCTAATAAACTGGGGGGAACTTAGCAAGGCCTGTTTGTTCAGATTCTTTTCTCTGACCCTGTGTCTCCAGAAATAAGAATATTCCTTTTCTCTGAGTATAGGGAGGGCAACTCTCAAATGAGGGTTTTTTAACCTGCTTCAGGGGAGAAGGATGAGGAGAAGGTGAGAGTGACTTTGCTGCTTCTGCTGTTTTCTCAAATGCCAAGGTGCCATAATTTGGGGTAGCATGTCCTGAACCCCATCAGAGTGAAGAGCTGAAACGCTGAGTGAAATGACCTGGACATAAACCTCCTTAGGAATGCTTAGAAATGTTGGAAAGGTCACTAGACTTTTCACAGAACATGGGGTATTGGGTGTCAAATAATTTTAGTTGGATATTGAAAAAACAGTGCCTCCCACCCACCCCCACAAAGATGGAGGGTACAGAGACACAGATGTTACGTCAACGTTTATTGAGTTCTTCAAATTAGGATCCAGGTCCCTCATTCTTTGAAAAGTTAATGGAGTTTTGTTTTAGCATTTTTTCACCTTCCGTTGTATTCTTGCCATTATCCCATATCCTACTAAAATGTGACTTGATTTGCCATTTTTTGCTTCCTTGCTTAATCAACCAAGGACATGTGCAAAGCCAGAATTCCAGTAGCATGGGGTCTTTTTGTCCTCTGCCCCATCTTGGTCTCGGAGTGGGTTTATGGGGAAGGGTGTGTCTGTGTATAAGGGCAGGAACAAGCAGGGTCACAAAAAGAAGGAAGATCACTTACCAGCTTAAGAACAAACTTGTTTACTCTTAAACACATACTTTTGTCAAAGTCAGCAAAAGCCAGAGCCATTGTGCCTATGAAACTGCATTTGCATTTATAGTACAAATAAGAAAAATGAATCCTCACTACAGAATGCTCTTAAAGAGATTATAAATCCACTCTCTTGACTGGAATCCTGGGCAGTATTTTGATTGGTATGTGAGGATGTGTGTTGCACTTGAAAGTTAAGGCAAGCAAGAAATTTGGGAATGGAGCCAGTGGGGACATTTCACCCTGGGAACAGTTTAGTCACAAAGGGCCATCTCGTCTATTGAAACTGCCTACACCTTGCTAACTTTGTAGACTTTCATTCCACAATGAAGCCTGGCTTATGATGGGTTAATAATTAGATACTCCTTGTGTATAGTTCAAGTGAAGGCCACTAGCTATGACTTCACTTTGGCTGGGGTTTCCCTGTAATCCATTTAGCAAATTAAGGAGATTACTTTGATTGGTGCCATTATCTCCTATTCTCTTACGGGTGAACCACTTAACCTGTGCTTAATTGAAAGAGATAGAGAGGGTACAGTAACAAATACAATCAAAAGGAAGGGGCAATAGGATCTGTAGGCCAAACAAATGATCAGCACTGGGCTAACAATAGCAGATTAGAGGTGAGATCAATTAATTAGAAGCTATTGTAGGCGTTGGGTGGTTGCCAGGGTTTCTAGTAGCCTAAGCGTCATGCCAGCTCTGTTGAGGAGGATTTTAATGACTGGGAGTTGATGTGGCTATTTCAATAATTACTTACTTTTATAATTACTTCATTAGAATACTAAATGTATTACTTCAACCAGGAAGGTCTTTATCCCCCGACATATCCAGCCATTTTGGAAGCTGCATCCTCCTACAGGGATATCTCCTGTTTGGAAGGGGCAGTAGTTTGGAAATAGCTGTGCTCATGTTGTGTTACTAATCATATATTTAAGTGCCTGCTCTGCAAGGCCCTGGGCTAGGGGTTCAGAGTACAGAGATTAATGAGGCACTGTCTTTGGGTGGGTGCAAATACAAAAGCATAATTTCAATGCAATTAGATAAGAGCGAGTATAAAATTATGCAAAGGCAATATATCAGCCCTAGTTTAGTAAAGGAAAGAGAGAACATTGTAGTTGTTTCATGCAGGAAGAGATTTAATCTTAGGAATTAGGTGCCAGATATGGCCCTGTATTACCCTACTGACTATATCTTCTACCACCTCTTCCCTCCGTTGCCTTGCTTCAACCTCACTGGACTGCTTCCTCTTCTTCAAATTCCCCAGTCACACTCCCAGTGAGGGGCCTTTGCACTGACCATTCCCTCTGTCTGCAGTATTCTTCCCTCAGATACCACATGGCTTACTCTTGAATGTTTAAATCATTCTTCAAATGTCACCTTTTCGGTAAGCCCTGCCTCTACTACCCTATTTAAAATTGTTACCCACTCTCACTTCTAACACTTTTGATGCCCCTTATACTTTTTCTACTTTTCATAGCACTTTTTATGATACAAAATACTTAATATATATATCATGTATTCCCACACATAGTAGAATCTAAGCTCCATAGGTAGGATTTTGTGTCTCTTGTTCACTGATAAGTCCTAAATTAGTCCCTGGAATATAGATGGTGCTTGATAAATATTTGCTGAGTGGATCACGCGCTCACAGCATCACCAGAAGAGCTGGCAGAGAGGAAGCCAGGGCATTGCTGCTAGGCTTGTGAGTTCAAGGTCACACCACCATAACTGTGATCCATCATTTAGAAACTGTTGCTGATGTGTTTGTCAGTGCACCCACTGGGACTGCTCACCACCACCACCACCCACATCTTTGGAAGCTTTCTCGTAAGCCTTGGATACCCGATGGCTTCTGCTTCACTTCCACCTTCCAAATCTCAAGGAAGACAGCCTGGTAAATGTAGTGTTTATATTTTCAACTCCTCCAAATAGAAGGGGAGGGTAAAATGAAAGCTGTGGAAACCAACCCAACTCTTTGTCACTGGACATTGTAAGAACACGGAGGAGCGACACTGTCTCTTCCCTTTTCGGATGAGCAACTGGCCACGCAGAGTGGTTATGTAGCTGGCTGTAGGTCTCACAAGTAAATCTCTAAGTCACATTTACCCATCTGAGTCTCCTGATTCCAAAGCCCTTGTTTTACTCCAGATCATTCCTTTTGGCTGCTCACAGGATAGTATTAATAAGGCCAAAATCAAAAGTTTAAGTCCTTGGGAAGCTCTGTCCTCTCTTAGAATGATGGCAATGACCTCTCACTTTTGCCAGCCTGAACCAGGCAAAAGAGCAGAGCTGGGCTTGTGGAAACCAGTCAGAGCTCTGAGAATAGCAACTCAACGTGTGGGCCTCTTCCATGGCAGGTCATTTTTGCTTTCTTTCATACCCAGTCCACTTAGGTTGCAGAACATTAAATGACTTCCTTCTCTATCTCGGGCCTGACCCCAAGTGGAAATTCTTCAGTTCCTCTGTATCTCAACACCAGTGCCACATCAATCTGACAGGAGGCCACGTAATTGCTGAAATTAAAACATAATACCTGACACCTTAGAGGTGGCTCATTGGAGTCTATGAATATTTATTTAATGGAAATGGAGTAACTGTGACCTTGCTGGGTCAGACTGACTGTTTCTCTCCCTGACACACCTTGTGAAGAAACAGAGAAATTTTAAGCTGCAGATCAATACGGTCATCTGCTGTGGGGCTGCTGTACTGAGCTGGATTATTCCATCATCAGGAACAGCCACAGGCCCTTCTAAGGGGGCAGTTTGTGAATGGCATTCAGTTAGGGCCCAGACAGGATTACAGACATGTCGCTAAGCAACTCTACTTTTGGGCATTTGGATGAGTGGGGCAGGCAGCCTTCTCTAGTAGCGCTCAGTGATCCCCACCTCCTGGCATTCACTCCCTTGAATAATCTCTTCCCTTTGTACACATGGAGTGGACCTAGTGACTTTCTCCTAACAAATAGCATAAGGCAAAAGTGATGGTAGGTCATTTCCAAGCATAGGTTATAAAAGACTATGACTTTTCTCCTGCTGGCAATCTCTCTCCTTCCCTTCATTCCTCCCTCCTTCTCATTTTGCTGCATTGATGAAGTAAACTGCCATGCTGGAGAAGCCCACATGGAAATGAGTTTGGCCTTTGGCCAACACCAGTAGAGGAACTAAGACCCTCCATCTAACAGCTCATGAGGAACTGAATCCTGCAAAGAAACAGCTTGGACTTGAAAGTGGACCTTCCCCACTCAGGCCTGTAGATGACTAAACCTAATCAATACCTGACTACAACCTGTAAGAGACCCTGAAGGTAAGGGCCAGTTAAGCTAAGCCCAGATTCCTGACCTGAAGAAACTATGAAATAATAAATGCTGTTGTTTGAAGCCATTCAGCTTTGAGTAATAAAAATATTTGAGCAATAAAAATATTTGAGCAATATTTTTATTTGAGTAGTATTACTCAAGTGTATTTTTATTTGAGTAGTATTACTCAAGGAAAATATTACTCAAATATTTTTATTACTCAAAGCTGAGTGGCCTCAAACAACAGCATTTAGCAGTAGCTAACTAATATAGTGAGGGAAGCAGCATTCTAAAATATAGGTTGTCAGCAACCCATAAATCCCTGCAAGGTGAAAGGTAGGGAAAGTTCTCAAGATAAAACCATTTGGATGTGCACTCAGGATTAAAAGTCAGAACCTCGACTCACATTTAAATAACAATTGCAGTTGACTTTTTAACAACATGAGTTTGAACTGCGCAAGTCCGCTTATATATGGATTTTATCAAGCAAACACAAATCAAAAACACAGTATTCACGGGATGCCAAAGCTAGGTACACAGAAGGCTAACATTTTGTATATGTGGGTTCCACAGGGCTCGCTGCAGACTTGAGTCTGCACAGACTTTGGTATATGTGAGAGTCCTGGAAGCAACAAGGGATGACTCTGCAGTTACCAAATGTCCTTATAGCAGCTCTGTGAGATAGGTGCCCTGATATTGTTTCATTCTTGTGTTTGTTCATCTATTCACTCATTTATTCCCTCTCTTACTCACTTTTGCATTTCCAGGTACTGTGTTAGATAGAGGGAGCCCTCATGGGGCTTCCAGTTTAATAGCTGAGAGCATCATTACCTCAATGATCACAACAGTGAATATATAATTAAAACCTGAGATGAGTTTTCTGAAGTAAAGAAATTGTCCTAGCAAAGGAGTTTGACCCATACTGAGGTAGAGTTAGACAAAGCTCCACTGAGAAAGTGATATGATGAATTCTGAAGAACAAATTAAGTGAATTGGAAAAGGAAAGGCTTTCCAGTCAAAAGTAGTGTATTCAAAGGCCCTTTGTTGGGAAGGCTCATTGTTTGATGCTCTAGGAAGAGAGGAGAGAGAGAGATGGGACATGTGGATTTTGGGCAGGCTGTGCAGGGGTTTGTAGGGCACATGACAATAGGAAGACATTTAAGGGGGCTGTTGGTAGTGACATGATCACTTCAGAAAGGTAACTTTGGCTGCAGTGTGGAGAAACAGTTGGAGTTGAACTTGAATTGAACCTGACAGACCAATTAAGATGGTCTTGGAATAACCTAGGTGAGAGGGGAGGGTGCCTTATACTACTAAGGTGATGACCAAGGGTTGGAGAGAGGGGAGTATTTCAGAAACTTTTCAGGTGAAATAGACAGACTGGGTAACGAATTGGAGGGAATGCAGAGGACGCAGTGTGACTATGCCCATTTTACCAATGAGAGGGTTCTTAGAGAAGGTGACAACTTGTCCAGAGTTGATGGCAAAGCCAAAGGAAGAAAGAAGATTATGTACAATATGTTCCATTTTAGACAATTGAGCATGCTACTTGGCTTTCTCTTTCTCTGTCTCCATCTGGTTGGTGTAACCACCAATATACACATACAAATACATCTACACATGCTCAGTAACAAGGGTGTACACATAAACACAAACTCAAAAAATTGTTAAACCCCATCACTTTTTCTGCCTCCCTATTCTTATTTTCCTTAAACCATTTGTGTCAGTCGGAGGCTGTTATCTAGCCACCCACCCCCATTCAATTAATTGCTAGTCTTGATCTTTCTCTTTTTTTTTTTTTTTTTTTTTTTTTTTGAGACGGAGTCTCTGTCACCAAGGCTGGAGTGCAGTGGCATGATCTCAGCTCACTGCAAGCTCCATCTCCCGGGTTCACGCCATTCTCCTGCCTCGGCCTCCCAAGTAGCTGGGACTACAGGCGCCCGCCACCATGCCCAGCTAATTTTTTGTATTTTGAGCAGAGACGGGGTTTCACCGTGTTAGCCAGGATGGTCTCGATCTCCTGACCTCGTGATCCACCCGCCTTGGCCTCCCAAAGTGCTGGGATTACAGGCGTGAGACACTGTGCCCAGCCCAACTTGATCCTTCTCTTACAACCTCTCTTGAATATGTTATTTTCCTTCCCTCTCTACTATAATCCCTCTAGCCTACTGAGAAGCCCTCTGATGTTTCTCCTCCTCTCCAGACTTTCTTCTTCAGTGTGTCCTATACAACATTGTTGAATTGACTTCATTCATCATTATACACCCTGTTCAAAAATGTCAGTTGCTTCTCACTACCTAAAGTCTCACCTCCTTACTCCTCCATTCAGGCCCTTTGGAGGAAACTCCAAAATTATTTTTCTTTATAATCCTTCCCCCCAATTGATTTAATCTTTATTCATTCTTACCTTCCCATTTGAACATTTTAATTGTACTTTGAGAGTTGACAAAGTCATGTGTAATATTTACAACAACCTTGCGAGGTTGGTATTTTTATTTTTACATTTCACAGAGGAATGAATAGATCCATTATCAAGGAGAAAAAGTCCACAGCAGAGTACTATCACTCTCAACTGTTTAAATAAACCTGTACTTTTACTTCAAGATATCTATTTTACAAGAAAATTTATGTATCATGGCCAGAAATGAAAAACTCCCGATCACTCATGATGCGCTCTGTCTTTGTTAAGGGAAGATCAGAGTAGTAAAGACACAAAGATGAAGGCTTTCTCCTGCCTGTTATTACGAACAATGGAAGAGGCAGTTTGTTTCTATGTGACTCAATTTTGTCATTTATACACCACATAAACTAATTCACATTCTAGTGATACAGGTTTTATAACTTGGGGATGAATGCATTGTTGAAATGCATAACATCTTGAACAAAGTTAACAACCTATGGTGCTTGTCTTGAACTCTGGTGTCGCTCCCTTTCCAGCAGACACTACTGCACTTATCCTTCTTTTTTCATCCAAAATTCATTTCTGACGTGGTTTTATTTTTCCCTTACACTCTGCATTCCAGACCACATTTCTTCCTATGTTTCCATATACAAGGGAGAGAAAGAAGCTAAATTTTTGGAATAAGCAATTTCTCTACAGGGAGTCTCAAGGCTGTACTCATATCAAAACTAAATAACCTCTCATTCTAAGGGATGTTGGTCCCTCAGGCCAGAGCTTAGGTCATTAGGAGGGCAGGAGGGGGAAGCATAGAAACTGCTTCCATCCATCCTATCCTGGTCCACACACAGACAGACACTCTCGGCCTCCTTTAGTATTGGGCCAAGCAGGCTTCTCCAGCTTCAAGAGTCACCTCACAAATTCTGACTTCCTTTGTATGGGTTTCAAAGAATTTAAGGATCTTCCCCTTTGTCAACTGATGCAATGCATGGAAAACCCTTTGTCAATGGGAAAGTGGCCTAATCAAATATGATGTCTTATGTATTGCATATTTTCCACTGTTCAGTTTTTATAAAACTGTATCCAGGAAGGATCCAAATAGACATCTTGAGAAATGATTGCAGCTTGTGATAGATACATTTCTCTTCTGCTTGTTGTCAGCCATATTCACTTAGAGCTTGATAAAAGTAGATCGACTGTGATCTTAAACATTCAGACGCTCTATGTAAGATCACAAACTTAATTCAATATGCATTATAAAGGGGAGGAGTGGAAGAAACTTTTCACTTATTAGATTTTCCACAAAGCTGGTAGATTTTTAAAAATAAAGTTCATATTTAATAGAAATTAAATATCTAGCATGTTCATACAATTTAAAGTATCAAGCTTAGTATTAAAAGTAAGTACCAAATATAGCAAGATATTGTCAAAGAAATTCAAGCTGCAAATACTATAAAGAAGCTACAGGGAATTGTCCAGGGTAGGTTATAGGTGATACCACATTTAGCAGTAAATTTTGTTTGCACTGTAGCCTTAGTCTGGAGAGAAAGGAGGAAAATGGCTAAGACATTCTGGATATTAAAAATAAAAACAGCAGCAAAAGAAATCATCTAGTGAAACTTTGGAACTGAGTTCAAAAGCAGACCATGAAGCAGTTAATCGCTTCTTCTCTCCCTAGTCACGCTAGACTGTAGTGAGAATTACTGTAAGATTTTTGCAGCTAATTGAAGCAAAGGGGACACAGTCAATGTGCTGTTTTCTTTGGTGCAGAACGTTCTTGGTATTTTTGCTGCCACTTGAAATCAAATCCCAGCTGCATTCATTTAAATAACCCATGAGCCCAGGACACTATTTGGGCCAATTTGCATGTGTGAGTGATTCTACCCCAGGTGGTATCCATTTGGTGAATGATTACCTGGCCACAGACTGGCTTTCACCACTGGAGATGCTTCCATTCTTGATCATCCATTGTACTCCCTGTACCAGAAACAATAACAGAAGAGAGCCAAGCAGAACTGTCTCAGAGCTGTCACCTTCTAAGAGAAATTATCTTTTGGAACTTTCCTCTTCTGTTCTTTTTTTTTCTTCTCCCCTACAGATTGAAATTTCTGCTTTGAATTGTCCCTGTAGAAATTTGAGACATTGATCTTCATTCCACTTGTTCTCTTCTTCTTAGCCCTCCCTTTTATGCAAGTTTCAACCAACAACTATTTTCCAAAAGGCAGAAGACCTCTACTATTTCCCAGCCCTCATACTTCACCTATATTTGGAGACCTTAATTTCTGGAACAGTACTCCCATGAACCAATGATGATAACTCATTCATACTGTTCCGCCACTGAGGCAACGCTTCATAATGTCAAAGGGCATGCAGTTGCCTGGACCAGCAGAGAAGCCTTTTCAGCTGTTTCACGTAGTGGATTAGAGCTCAGATTTAGAGCCAACTTCAATTTCAAATATCAGCTTCACCCACTGTAGGCTGTGGTATCCCATTCAGGTTCCTTAGAGTGTCTCACCCTGTTTTTTCATTCACCAAAATGGTTAGTAAGACCTCCCTCACGGGGATGCTGTGAGGTTGAAATGAGATCTGTGTGTAAAGCACTGAGCACAATGGTGGACACTTGGCAAATGCTCAGTGAAGCTGGCTTTATTAACAAGGGGCTATCCAAGAGACAGAGTATCCTTTTTCCCTGTTACCATCAGTCACCTCTCAATCACAAAGAGTTCCCTTTTCCAAAAGGCCAGGTCTGTCCACAGATGTCTTTATTGTGTTCTTGTATATGTTGTCTGACAAAACCAAGCTGCAAGGAGGTTTGGCTCAACAAAATGGCATGCCATCATTTATTAAACTTTGGCAAAAGAGGATTCTGTTCTCCATAATTCACATCCACTTGAAATAATTTCACTTGACTTCATTAAGCTTGAAGGATTGCACTTTTCCTTCACCCCTTTCTTCCTCGTAGTTACTTAGCCTTTACAACTCAAAAGATAATTGCTGTATTAACAAATGTTTATAGCATAATAAAGGAGTGGGAGGAAGGCGAAGGATTTTTTTTCTATCTGGGCTATTCCCTTTGGTTTCTTGGAAGTACTGGATAGCAATGGAATAAGTCATAGATAATTTTTGGAAATCAACCAAAGGATTAATTTTCCAGCCACCAGTAAACAGTTCTTAACCGGAGACCCTAAGACTTTGTGGGGAATGAGGCTACCAGGAATTCCTAGTGGCTAAAAGGATGTCACCACAACTCTGAGCTGGGAAGAAATCCTGACTTTACTGGAAATCAGGAAAAGACTCTGGAAGGTACTGGTAGGGCCTGTGGAAATCCCCCTCTCAGTCCTTGGGTTGGGGGATTTAAGAGAACCTTCTAGAGAATGCTCCCCTTTTCTTTAGGCTAATGAAGCATTGAGCTATTTACATAGAAATCTCATTTAACTGTGTGTTACAGGCTGTAATGTCCCCCTTGCCCCAAATTTATATGTTGAAGACCTATCCCCCAGGACTTATGAACATAACTACGTTTGGAAATATGGTCTTTAAAGAAGCAATCTAGCTAAAATGAAATCATTAATCCAATAGGACTAACATCCTTATGAGAAGACAAGATTAGGACACAGGCATGAACTGGGGGAAGACCATGTAAAGACACTCAAAGAACTGACCCTACCACCCCCTCGAGAGAGGCCTCAGAAGAAGCAACCCTCCTGGCACCTTGATTTCACACTGCTAGCCTCCAGAACCATGAGAAAATGGATTTCTGTTGTTTAAACCACCCAGTCTATGGTGTTTTGTTATGGCAGCCCTAGCAAACTAATCCACTGTGTGGAGGGACACAGGAAACACGCCTTCATGACTGGGGAAGATGATTCCTTCATGGTCCCTTTAAAACGTTCAAAAGGCTTTACAAGGAGTATCTCTGATACTAGGAAACTCAAAGTGGGTACATGGTAAAAAAGGTTCAGGAGTCAGAAGTGATCCTGCTCATGCAATTCACCTCCTTGCAGTGACTTTGCTCTATTGGTTGATAACTGGAGTCCTGGGCTGTCTTTCCTCTCTCTGTATATATAAGGGCCATTGACAGTGAGGGATGCACTTAGCGCTCTGCTCAGTCCTTGGCTTTTCCCTCTCTCTCCCCTCTTCTCTTGCTTTCCCCAGAACATAAACTTTGATTAGTCTTTGACCCAGCCATAATGTTTTCCTTGTGAATTATAAGTGAAATTATATCATCGCCAGTGTTCGAGCCCTCTCCTCACCTCTCTGACCCTGAAGTTTTCTATGAGCTTGCTCACATGATAGGGAAATGATGGCAAGAGCTTTGGTAAAGAGACAAATTTTGCCCTACAACAGATCACTTATGTCATACTTGGGCAAATCTTTCTGAAATCCCTCAGTTTCCCCTTCTGAAAAATATAGAGTTGAGGCAAAACTATCTTTAATATCCCTCCAGCATTACCATGCAATGATTATAATCCATCTGCTTCACAAAAATGTACACAAATATACTCATAGATACACACATATATATCTTCCCTCAGGTCATGAATGCATAGCTCATTCTTGAAGATCAGTTCGAGTTCAAGCATGGAACGCTGTGCATTCTGTAAAATAATGTAAGCAATAAACTGCACTTGCAGAAACCAGTCATTAATGGTCCCAAATAGAAAAATAAACTTTTCTTTGTACTCATGTTTTCAAGTGCTGTAAAAATGCTTGCCCTAAGTCTCAGATATAATAAGTCATAATTTAAGAGATATGGGTAAAAATGCTTGAGCCAGATGTTTGCTTTTTTTTTTTTTTTTTTGAACACACACGGCTTGTTTGCCTTTTACCCACTGCAGCAGTTCAGCCTCAGAGGATAACTAAGAAAAACCTCTGAGATTGTTAGAGGGGAGCTTCACCTGCCAGTCTGGGCTGCAGGATCTCTATAGCAACCAAACATAAATCAAGGAAATGGCCCCTTTTGTAAGTTGGTTAATAGGCACAACATGCTTCTTTAGAAAATCCAACCATTCTTTCAATAGACTTTGATTGAAAGTCAGCCTTTTCTTCAGACACATTCACATTCACATCTAGTAGCAGCTTGTATGGCTGTCCACGGGCTAATTTATTACCCTTTAAAGATCTGGCAAAGAAAAAATGGCTCTCAGAACAATGTTTACATTCAGAGGCATAAGCACAGAGGCACAAAAGAACATCCTTTTGTTCTGAACTTGGAATATTAATCTTTAACCCAGGACTTTAACTTTCCCTCTCTTATGGGGATTGACAGAACCACTCCTCTCACTAAAATTTTACCAATTTAATACAACGTTGTTTCTAACATGTGAGAAGGGGGTAGTGAGTCTTCCTCCCACTTTTTTTTTTTGCCAAACCTTGATAGAGATTAATTGTTTCTCAAACTCCCCATCCTTTTCTTGAAGAATACCCTGCTTCAGGGGTTGCTGATGAGCAGAGTTGGCTCTCTTGTCCCCAGTAGGAGAATTTGACAAATTAACAAAAATACAAAGACTGTTCTTCACTGCTGGCGATGCAGCGAGTTTAGGGCCATTGGATGGTGAGATAGCCCCTTCCCACCCTCACCCCACCAAAATGTAATTTGGAAATGTGTCCAAGAAATGTCCCACATTGAGCAAGTCCTCCCCGATGTCACAGAGTCTAAAGGCAAAGTGGGGCACACACAGCATTTTCTTTCATGTGGGCAGGGACATGTCACTAAGTGAATGGTGAGCTTTCTCTCAAAGAGGGGAGCCAAATGCTATGCCCCGTCTTCCTTTGAGGTGGGAAGAAGAGATGGGGAAAAGCCTATAGAAACAAACCTTTGTAGTTTTTGTTAAAGTAGATTATAAGATGAAAAAGTTCTTCTAAAACAAGAGAGAGCTTGCGTTGCTCTATGTAGCTTCATATCCCTGACAGAGTTAGGCAAAGAAAGATTTATATTAATGCCTTCCTCTTTAGCTTTCTTAATCCTCAGAAACCAAAGTCTCCAGAAGCTAGACTCCTCAGGAGCTCCTTTCCCTTTGATATGGTCAGCTGTCCCCACTGGCAAGTGGGGAAGAAAGAGCCCTGCGTTGGTTTCAAAATGGGCATGTTTAAACGTGCCCTTGATTTTAGCTGCAGGCCTGTGTTATGAGAAAACATGGTCCTGCCCTATTCGAGGCTGGTCACTTAGAAATAGCTTTTGCCTTAGTGTCAGCCTGAAAATACCTTTGGGGTCTGTGAAACTGAAGACGCTCCCAAAATTTAATGCAAACTAAGCATGATGTGTTCTCCGCGAGAGCCAAAAAGATCCTAGACACTCAGTAAAGGAGGTTGGTTTTGTTTTTTGTGTGTTATTTTTAATTTTTTTCCTGTGGCTGAGAATCCAATGCAGACAAAAGATTAGCTCTCCTAGTTATTCACAGCCTGGCTGTGCAGTCACGCAACCAGATCAGACACGTTATGTAGAATTTTTCGCCGTATACCTGTATCTGTATTCTGATACGTTACGGAGAAGCAGTACAGTACTGTAGTTAAAAATGTGGGCAAAGGCTCTGAATTTTCAGTGTTCAAATGCCAGTTATGCCACTTACTGGCCGTGTCAGTCTGGGCAGTGAGCACCTATCTGTACTCAGTTTTGTCATTTGTAAGATGAGGCTATAATAATACCTACTTCATAAAGTCCTTAAGAGTTGATGTTTTATAATGAACCACTTAGACCAGTGCCTGGCATATCACAAGCCCTCAAACGTTCATTGTTATTAACATTTTTAATGCTTCTTTTTGTAGTTGATGCTATTGTATTGTTGACGATGGGAAGAATGCCTATTACCCAACATACAACACAGCATTTTCCAATTTCAGATGATATTTTGCAGAACACTGGACAAGAGAAAAAGAATTTCCCGAGGCTAGAGTTACTCCATTTAAAAAAAAAAAAAAAAAAAAAGTTCAGAGATAGGAAGCAGCTGTCTATGACAATAACTAATCCCATTTTCCTAAAACCATCATCACCTAGTATCTCTATCTTTGCTTTCGTCTGATTAAATGGAAATGTCTCAGGTTTAGGAGTTCTGGCTAAAAAGGTGGTATGTGTTTGTCTTCTGCCTGTTCTCTGCCACCAAAATGAAGAACTGGTTCTGCTCACCTACCCTAGCCAGCCTCACAGGGTCACAACCTAGTTGCATTTTTGAAATTCAAGCCAAGAATGCTGGAGCTCAATTTCACATGTGTCGTAACTGGGAGTGGCTACTCATGGCTCATCGGTTGTCTGCACCCTTCTCATTTGTTCTAAGGGCTTTGTTACTTTGAATAAGCCTTCTTAGCTTCAGCCCAAGTATCACAGAGACAATAACTTCGGAGGAGGTAAGGAGGGGATGTTCACCGAAGGATTCACCGAGGAAAATGCAGCCTGTTTCCCAGGAAAGAGCTCCACATCTGTAAGAATTCCATGAACAAGTCAGAACTTGCCAAAAGGATCAGCATAATCAAAAAACCAAAGAGGACTGAGATAAACCAAAAAACACCATATGTTGATTATGTTGTCATTCGTTAAGAATTAAGTTTATAAACCTTGGGTACTCACTGAGAAGCAGCATATTCTAGTAGGAAAAGTCCAGGTTTTGAAGAGAGACATTTGAACCACAGGAACTTAACTTTAGTACTTACCGCATGGCCTTAGGCAAGTCCTGGTAGTGAATTCATTCTCTCTACCAGTCAGCATCCAATAAGGAAAAATAAATGCCATTCCAGCTATTTCTAGCAGAAGGAATTGAATATGGGGAGTTGGTCATACAGTTGATGTAAGAGCTAAAAGAGGAAACTGCAGAATGGGGCCACCCAGACATTAGCTACAACAGAAAGCCACTACCCCTCTCCCAACCCAGGCTGAAGGGACTACAGGAAGAGATGGTGCTGTTGGAGGTTAAGATCTGGGGCAGACAGTGGGAGCTAAAACCACAGAGGAAATTCAGTCACTGTGGGAGAAGCCACCTAAGGCAGAGGGAGAGAGGAGAGAGACCATAGCTTCTCTCCTTCCAACGGCCCGTTGGCGGAAGCTTCCTAGAAGTCATTTGGCAATGTATTCGTGGCCTCCCAGTCTTTTCTCCTACTGTTTCTGTAAAAGAAGAGAGAGGAGGAAGAGGGAGTGGAGGGGGGAAGGAAGAGGAAAAATCACCAGCTTTGCAGATTTGCTCTCAGATTCATTCCCTGCCTTTACCCTGCTCTGGTCTTTATCACAGGGTATCGAGGTGTATACACAGATAATAGTGCCCCAGTTAGCCCTTTACTATGTGATTAGTCCTGCTGTGTCTCATGGAAAAAGTATTTCTGCTTTTTTCTCGAAAGACAATCTGTCCATTTTCCCAAAAGAGTAATATGTTACCCAAATTATATAGACTATGTGTTACCACTTACCGTGTAACTCTCATATGCTAGAGGGGCAACATGGTACAGTAGTTAAGAGCAAGAGCTCTTAAGTACTTGTGTTCAAATCCTGGTTGTGCTTGCTTTGTGACTGTTGGGCATTTTAACTGCTATGGTCAGAATATTTGTGTGCCTCAGAAATCCACATGTTGAAATCCAGTCCCCAATGTGTTGGTATTAAGAGGTGGAGCTTTGGGGAGGTGATGAGGTTCTGCCTTCATCAATGGCATTAGTGCCCCTATAAAAGAGGTTTGAGGGAGACCCCTTTGTCCTTCCACTATGTGAGGATGCAGTGAGAAGATACCATCTATGAAGAACAGAACTTTACCAGACATCAAATCTGCTGGTACCTTGATCTTGGACTTCCCAGGCTCCACGACTGTGAGCAATAATTTTCCATTGTTTATGTATTACCCAGTCTAAGGTATTTTGTTATAGCAACCTGGACAAACTAAGACATTAACCTCTCTGGTCTCTTGTTTGTATGATGGG
The DNA here is from genome assembly GCF_000001405.40 of Homo sapiens. Taxonomy (NCBI): domain Eukaryota; kingdom Metazoa; phylum Chordata; class Mammalia; order Primates; family Hominidae; genus Homo; species Homo sapiens. The sequence goes on from NC_000003.12 coordinate 25,295,586, forward strand.
ATTAAAAAGAGTCCCAGCCTCATGACACTTTTATTTTATTTGCCTAATATGTAGGGCTGTGTTCTTTTAAGTATTAAATGAAAATTCTCCCAGGCCTAAGATTCGATATGTCAGTGGCCCACTTTTATTGCTGTGATATGTGGACAAGATGGGACTATTTCTCCTTTGGTTTTGACTAAGACACTCACATGCTAGATAATGAATACCAATCTAAATGTAAGGCAGATCACCAACAGCAGAAAATAATATGTTGAGAACAAGTTCCATGACCCTTAGGCCCTTTACCACAGCAGCTAGACGGAGAATTCTGAAGTATCAGGACGGGAACAAGGATATATGGAGATGGAGGATTTATTTAGAGAAAAGGGAGCTTTGCCTCACACACCAAATGTGTTTCTCAAAAGTGCATCTTGTTGGCTCAGTAAATTTTCATGGTTTTCTATATTAGAGACTTAGGATCTAGTTGAATCAACTGTCTAAGCAAAGTATGTTCAAGGATGCCTAATCTTACATAATAGAATGAGCCCTAGGGACATCCACCAAAAGAGGCAAAACTTGAGATGAGCCTTGAAAGAAGAAACTTAGAAGAGGGTAAGAAGACACATACATCATGAAGTATTCCAGAAACAAGGAAAGATCCTCTCAAACCCACAGTAGAAAATTCAAAGGGCAAGGCAGCCTGGAGTCTGCCAAAAAGGCTTTTTTTTCCCCCAAAGAAGCTGGTAACTAGGGTTTTGCTGGAAGTTCCTACTTAGAGGAAAATTAAGCTATCTATGTCCATGGGAAATGAAAGGTGGGAAGTAACTTCACTATTTCCTAGCTTTCTGGGAACTCGGGCAAATTATCTCTGTGCTTCTGTTTCATCATCTGTAACATGTTGATTTTAATTGTACCTACCTCTTGAAGTCGACATGAGGTTGAAATGAGTTCATACATGAATATATTTAGCATGGTAGCCAGCAGGTAGTAAACATTCAAAAATTCTTAGTTTAATTATTGTAATTATTCAGTGGTAAAGGTCTGGCAGAGAAAGAATGAAATTATCTGGATTACTGGAGGGGGAAAAAAACCCTCACTCTAACTGGGAGGGTCAACTTATTCCCTGTCCAAATTGTTTACTGTTTAATTCAGTTCTCAGAATGGATCTCTAACTCTGACCCATGAACCGGTCCATGTATTACTAGTTAGAATTTGGAAGTCCCATTGCTTTTGTTCACCTGCCTGAATCCATAATATATTTAAGTGAGCCAGACATCTCACTTGCATGCTATCCTAGCAGTGCTTTACTTCTAAACTGCCCTGGACAAGATATTTTGCAGGAGTGAGAAGATATGCCTTCAGTGTCATGGGCAGTCCGTGAGGCTCGTGGACTGAGAAGATTCCTAGAGACTTTGAGTTTTGTGTAGGGCTCTCATTTCCTACCTAGATAGTGTCTGTGAAAGAGCTAAATGGATTCTACAATGGCTAAAGACCGAAGTCTTTTATCTGGCCTGTGTAGACTTATAAGAGTTCCATGTATATAAACTTCAGGAAATCCATGAACTCTGTGATGGTATGCAAAATGGTATGTTCCCACACAAGTGTACATCTTAGGAGAGGATTAATTGCTTTCATCATATTCTCAAATGGTTAACAAATAACTCAGGATAAAGTAAGGGAATTAAGGTCTAGATATTTTACCAGCAGAATAATTAGACCTATAACTGAAACATAGAATTAGAGGACAAAAGGAGCTTACAATCAGTTCACTTAGCCCTACAACCTTTCCCTCCCTATTCCTGATGTTGCTTGAAAAACTGAGTACTCAGAAGGTATTCTTTTTTTTTTTTTTTTTTTTTTTTTTTTGACTTACAGCTTACTTTTAATTTTGTCTTGGATTTAGACTGGTCAAAGGTATTCCTGCTTCCTCCACAGAGATGTAACATTATATGAATTCATAAGAATCATGGTTTGTTTGTTTTCTTGTAATCTGAAACAGCTTTTATCAAAAACCTAATTCATAAAGAAAAGCTAATCATGTACAGGGAAAAGCAGATCTTCGTGGGGATTTTTTTCCTTTATCAGCGTAATTATAGTCTTATTTTTTCTTTTTGTTTTCTCCCCTGTTAAAAGCAAGAGATGGTCCCATTTTTTCCCCTCATTCCCCAGTCTAGTCTCATGCATGGGACTAATTTGACAAGACAAATCATTGGAAGAACATTTATCTTTATCCAGGAGGTTGTTTTCAGAAATTTTTTGATGTTGTCCTAGATTTCTACTTTTTTAGAGGCTTTTTGAAATGACAGATGGGCTCAACTGCTTTTAATGCCTGGTGGGGTGAGGAAGAATTGCATTCACTTATGTGTGTGTGTATACATATGAGAAACATTAATTTTTAATTTACTCTGTTTACCTTGAGAAACTGCCAGTGAATGATTCAGATATTCCACAGAAAGGGACTTTCTTTTGTAATATAGGACAAAAGACAGCTAAGCATGTGTTCTTTCTTCAAAGCAGAGGTTCAGGGTAGGGGGAATAGTATTTATTTGTGCAGCTTACAAAAGGACTACTTTGACTATGTAAACACTCACGTAATTTTATTAAGAGTTGCTACCAAATCTTTTTTTTTTTTTTTTGAGACGGAATCTCGCTCTGTCACCCAGGCTGAAGTGCAGTGGTGCGATCTTGGCTCACTGCAACCCTTGCCTCCCGGTTTCATGCAATTCTCCTGCCTCAGCCTCCTAAGTAGCTGGGGTTACAGCCACGTGCCACCACGCCTGGCTAATTTTTTATTTTTAGTAGAGATGGGGTTTCACTGTGTTGGTCAGGCTGGTCTCCAACTCCTGACCTCGTGACCCACCTGCCTTGGCCTCTAGTACATGCTTAAAAACTCAGCTTAGATACAGAGATAGAGAGCCAGAGCAGGCTGTGCCGACATTCCTTTAATTCAACAATTCTTTGTGTGTCTGTGTTTCAGAATCAAACCCCAGGATGGTGATTTGCATAGTGGTGAGTTAAGCTGGCCTCTAATTTTTAGTCCCGGGTATGACACTAGCTTTGGGGATTCCAGCAATCTTCCTCCTCTGTCTTGTACTTGGGTGTCTCAGGAGGTCAGATGCTTGGGGCCTACTGATTCCAAGGAGGAGAAAAACTTCTCAGCTTCCCTGAGGGGGTTGAGGATGAGAATTGGAGCATTCTAAAGGGATTTCTAATAACTTACGTTTACAACCTGATTCATGGACATGGAGGCTTAACTCTGCCCAATTGTCCAAGAACCCCTCAAGGATTCCCTCAGAGTGAAGGTGGGGTTGGGAGCCAGATGTGATTCCAAATTCCTGGAGAGACCTGGAATACCTGAAATACCCATATTAAGACTCCCTTGTATGATTATGCTAACGTGCATTCCACATCTAAGGGGTCACTGTTCACATCACAGATATCATAGACTTGCATAGTTATTTAAACAGCTTTCTGGCAATGGCATTAAGGTGACTTGTTCTTACAAGGTCAGTGTATTAGCCCAGGTTTACATAATGTAAAAACTGTTTATTATTAGTTTGGGGGTTTTATAATAAATAAGTAACGTTTAGTGAGTATTTACTGGAGAATGGTGGTTGACCTCTCCCCTCAGGACAGACTTCTTAACCTCAATTCAGAGAATCCCTCAACTTTAATAGCAAAAAAAGAAAGATCCATCTTCATTCTCACTGCAGCCTCGACATTTTCAGGCCCAGGTGATCCTCCTACCTCAGCCTCCCAAGTACCTGGGACTACAGGCATGCACCACCATGCGTGGCTAATTTTTGTATTTATTTTGTAGAGAAAGAGTCTCACCATGTTGCCCAGGCTGGTCTCAAACTCTTGCACTCAAGCAATCCTCCCACCTTGGCCTCCCAAATTGCTGGGATTACAGACATGAGCCACCACACCTGGCCCACCTCACTCGTAAATGAAATTTGAAATTATGAATGGAAGTAACCACAGTATTACAAGCAGTGCCTGGTATGATTTTCTTCATATCACATTTAATTGTTGCAATATTTCAATTTTTTAAAAAGACGGTTATTTTTAAAAGTTTTTAAAAGACCATACAATTGGTTTTCTTTATAATCCAATATGTTTTATTTTAGGAACATTATTCTGAGAAGAAGTTTACAACCCTCAGCAGCCTACTAAAAGGTCTGTGGCACCAAAAAAAATAAATAAATAAATAAATAAGTTCAGAGATTCTGCTGTAGGAAGTTAAAGACTAGAAAATAGTAATTTCTTTATCTTTCCTGTTCAAGAGTAATTTGCTTTTGCCCCCTTGCAACTGACTGTGGAAAAGTCAAATAATTGCATAAGAATCTACCTGAACAGTTTGCTTCCTATGTCTAATTGCCAGGCAGTATAATTACAACTGTGCATAGCATTAAATATGTGTTAAATTGATTTTTTTAATTCATTTGATTCGATTTCAACACTAAGCTCTGTTCATTTAAGCATAGTCTTCGTAGTTTATACCTTTGTAAGATATGGTTGAGGAGTAGATGATATCACATGAAATAATTTGAGAACCACTGCTCTAAATTTAACCTGTGTTTCTGTTATCGCTGCTGCCATGTGTCTGATAAACACTGTCTTATATGACAAAACATGACACTGCTTTCTACAAAATGTCCTTGCATTATAATTTGTTCAGCACTGATGCATAACTCCTCAATGTGGAAAAATGAGTAAGATGCTGTAAAATGTGGCACACTGTCTAGATCATGTCTTTGTGGAGGAAGGAGAGTATGTGCTGAACAATAGTTTTTCACAATGTGCAAGACTCTTGGTCTAACCATTAATAGAGACAATCTAGTCTCTGAATCATTAACTCCAAATTCTAGAAGAAAGAATATGACTGTCTACTTCTGATATCCTTTTTGATCCATTGAAGAGGCACAGGGACAGGGTCTCACAGTACAAACAGTTCTGCAGGGACCTTTGCAGGCAGAGGGCAGTTTTCTGAGAAGAACAGAAGGAACCAAAGCTTTCTGTAACAGGATCATAAAGCCTTTAAAAGGAGAAACCATAATGGTTACTCAGGGAAGCTAGGACTGTATGTATCCCCACCGTTTGAGTCACTTTTGGCTGCTGCTGTAATAAAATACAAACCACTGGTCAGGAGTGGTGGCTCACACCTGTAATCTCAGCACTTTGGGAGGCCGAGGCGGGCGGATTGCCTGAGCTCAGGAGTTTGCGACCAGCCTGGGCAACATGGTGAAACCCTATCTCTACTAAAATAAAATAAAAAAAAAATTAGCTGGGCATGGTGGCGGGTGCCTGTAATCCCAGCTACTCAGGAGGCTGATGCAGGAGAATTGCTTGAACCTGGGAAGCAGAGGTTGCAGTGAGCCAAGATCACACCACTGCACTCCAGCCTGAGCTACAAAGCGAGACTCTGTCTCAAAACAAAAATCTCTGATTTATAATGGTTCAACTTAGATTTTTCGACTATACAATGAGTTTGTTGGGATGTAACCTCATTGTCAGTTGAGAAACATTCGGATTTATGGCAGTTTGACTTAATTTTTTTTTACTTTATGATGGGGTTATCAGGGTATTAAATGCAGTTTTCACTTCTGTTTTATTTATGGTAGTTTTTACTCACTATGGGTTTATCAGGACATAACCTCATTATAAGTGGAGGTGCATCTGTACTACAGTGTGAATACCAATGGGGTTAGTCTCCCTCAGCTACCTGGGGACTCTCCATTTTGTGCATATCTTCTGTAGGAGGATCCTCCCTTGCATGTCTTGGGCTGTTACAGACTGATGTTGAGGCAGCCCTAGGGCACTGTTGGCTTCAAGCTTTTACAGGAGGTATGGAGTTACTCACAGCTCTGTGCTGGTGATATAACCATGGCTACCTTCTCGTTATAACCATAAGGTCCTGTATGTTCCTCCATTTCTATTTAGTGCATTCATATTGTGTTGTAGAGCATGGATATGTACTTGTTAATTATATCTCTTATTTCTGCATTTTGTATGGAGGTGGGCCTGGGTGTTGATTCTGGCAGGTGTTCCATCTACCATCTTAAACTGGAAATCTAGCAGAGCTTTAGAACACTGAGGATTCTAGAAGCAGGACTTAAAGTGCTAGTCTTGACAAGAACAAAGACCCTGTGCTCCTGTCCCTAACATCTGAGGCTCTTGCGGTGGCAGTTTCCATTATTTATGGCTTCAGCCACAGTGGAAAGTGGCACTAATATCACATCTGAGAAAGTATCTTTGGCATAGATGCCAGACCATTGGTGTCAGCACTGGGGTCATAGTGCTAGAGACACACCAGTAGCCCCACAAATAGCAGAGGCCCAAGTAATTGCCACTACTAAAGGGGACCTAGCAGGAGAAAAGGACAGTGGCCCACAGGAGTGAAATCAATTGATACAGATGAGAAACTAACAGCAAAACCATGGCAAGTCCTCACACTAAGTTCACGTTAATGCCAAGAAGAATAAATAAAAGTGAGTCATAATCACAGTGAGATACTACTTTATACTCACTACCATGACTAAAACCAAAAAGTCAGACAGTAACAGGTGTTAGCAAGGATGAGGAGAATTTGGAAGCCTCCTACATTGCTAGTGAAATTATAAAATGCTGCAATAGCTTTGGAAAACAGTCTGGCATTTCTCAAAAGGTTAAACAAAGATTAAGCATATAAACTAGCAAGTCCACTCCTAGGATATACTCAAAGGAATGAAAACATGTTCACACAAAACCTAGAATGTGAAAGTTCTTGCAGCATTATTCATGATTGTAAATAACCCAAATATTCAACTGATGAATGGATAAACAAATGTGTTATATCCACAAAATGGAATATTATTCAGCCATAAAAAAAATGAAGTGCCGATACATGTTACAACATGGATAAACCCTGAATACATTATGCTGAGTAAAAGAAACCAGTCACAAAGGCCCTATATTGTATGATCCCATTTAGATGCAATATTCAGAATAGGCTAATGTAACAGAAAGTAGATTAGCAGCTTCCAGGGGCTGGGGACAAGCGACAATGGGGAGTGGCTGTTAATGGGCATGGGGTTTCTTTGGGAGATAATGAAAATGTTTCAAGATTAGATAGTGGTGATATTTGCCCACCTTTGTGAATAGACTTAAAACCACCAAGTTGTATACTATGAAAGGGTGAATTTTATGTTATTGTGAATTGTATCTCAAGCCATTTTTTAAAAAGCCTCCACCAAAGCTGGGCTGTGCCCCCATGGAAATCAAACAAGGCCCTGTGAGTAAGGTTCCACTTATCCACACTTTTGTGGTTTGGATGTTAAAGTGCTATTCCCCATTTGTCACAGAATTTGTGTGTATGTAAGAGAAAGGGAGATAAATTGCTTCTTTAGTATTTTTCTTTACATATGAGCTTCTTTATTTCTAAGGGGGCTAGACTAGACAATAATCTGAATGACAAGCTCAATGCTCTCTTTAGAATGTTCTGACCCTTGATGGCCATCAGAGCCTGTATTTATTCTCTTATTTCCTTGAGTTCTTTCTCAGTAGGCTCCTTGGTCCTTTATACAGACAACCTCTTGACATGCTCAGCAGTTCCAGCCCCAAAGCCTATATTATATTCTGAAGAACTTTGGGAGGTATTATTGTCTCCATTCGCAGGTGAGAAAACCCAAGTCAGAGAGATTGTGACCCAAGAAGCAAAGAAAATTGATGCTGATTTTATCCTCCCAAGTTTGCCAAGCCCCTTTAATCTGATTCTTCAAGTGCTTTTAACAGTGAACTCCTGTTGACTGCATTTGTCACAGGACTTTCTGTTTAGTAATGACTGCAATTAAGCTAGAACATAATATTTGACAACAATAGCAGAGCTGAGCTCCCATTAATTTTTTTGAGCTGGTGCAAGGAGTAAGTGAAGCAAAAGGCCATGACCGACTGAGTGCCAAAATGAAGACCCGTGTCCCCTCTGACGTTAGCTGAATGTCTCTCTAATCTCCTGTGATCTTTTGCTGGGCAGATACCAGCAGACATTTGCCACATGGTTGAATCTTCATTGAGTAAAAATGAATTCTTTTCTGCATGGTGCTGTTCATCAGCTCTCTTCCCTCAATAAATGTGTTATTTAGTTGCTCAGGTTTCCTTCTTTGTGAAACTGGGGGACAATAAAAACTTACCACAATCACTGGAGGCATTTCAGTAAAGCTGCTTTGAGCACCGTAGAGCCACAGCCAGCCGGGCAGAATGTTTTTATTTTATTTTGCTTGGTCTGGGTTTGTTTCTTAATTGCAAATTGCAGAGTCCAGGGTTCAAAGATGAAATGCAACTGTGGGTGGCCCACAGGTTTAATGAGGCTTGTGAATATGGCCAGATCATATCCAATATACTCCTGAGGCTTGGTGATGCCTGCTATGAAAAAGAACACTGAACGGCCCCAAAGCTCCAGAAAAAATGGAAAACATGGTAGATCCTCCTAGACCCATCTTGACTTCAGTAGTATGAGTACATGTACACCTTTTCTTTGCTAACCTTAAAAATAAAACATATATGCACAGATTATAGCTGAACCCAAAACCCAAGCATCCACACTCCCATTCCATCCCTAAACAGAACTGTCTGGCAGATAGTCAAGGCCTTCCGAATCCCAGCTGTACTGGGCTCCTCTAACCTTATTTTCAGTGCTTTCTAAGAAGGCTTCTTTATTCAGTTCTGCTAATCTCCTCTTTCTTTGGCATTAAACATTTGCTCCATTTCCACATCTTTGCCCAAGCTTTTCCTTCTGCTTAGAATGCCCTGTAAGATCCCCTCCACTTGCTGATGATCCCAAATCTTCCCACCTCTATGACATGTCTGCCGTAACTGCTATGCCTAGTATTGCCCTCTTAGATGGTCTGTTTCTTCACTATTCAACTTGTCTCTATCTTCACTCTTTCAGACTTTTTCATCGGCCTTGATCAATTCTAGTTGGTGATCCCACATTTGGAATAATCTTTGACTCTTCTTTCATGCCCGAGATCTAATCCTTCCACAACTCTGTGGGCTTTATCTTTAAAGTCATCCAGAATCTAACCACTGATTCCGACTTCCACCACTACCGCGCTAGTCCACGTACCATTTGATTTCACCTGGGTTATTATAATAGTTAATTAGTTTCCTTGCTCCCACTCTTGTCCTTATAGACTGACCTCTGCACAGTAGCTATAGTGATCCTTTTACAATGCAAGTCAAGTCATGTCCCTCCCTATTCAAAGCTCTCTAATGGCCTCCATCTCCTTTAGAAGAGCACCTAATCTCACCAGGTTCTGCCAAGACACAATAACAATTCAAACTTACTCCAGTGGTATTTTTATTTATAATAATAACAGCATTTAACAAGTGTTTACCCTACAAGAGACATTGTTCTAAGCCTTTGACATGTTCAGGGTTGCTGTACCCTACAGGTGCCATTACAGTTCAGAAACTGAGATACAAAGAGGCCAGGAGATTTTCACAGTGTGCACAACCAGAACTAGGATTTGAACCACGAGAGAGCCCATCCTCTACACCACTGCCCCCTCCTGCCTCTGGACGTAGGATACACTAGGATGTGCTGCAACCTGCATAATTAGACCTTCATTTTAATTTAAAACACTTCAGTAAGGAGCCCAGTACTCTATTTGTTTTCTTCTGTTTGCAAATGTATCAGTGTGTGAGTTTAACTGTAGGAGGAGAGGTTTTAAGGAAAAAGAGAAAAAGGCTGGAGCCTGCATTAATTAGGTAAACCCATGTCCTCAGACAGCAATGCCCCAGAGCCAAGATGGAAGCCAAGAAATTTGTTTTAAAAATATGATATCTCCCAAGCTGAAGATTACGTCAAATATATAGTGATATACCACCCAAAAGGCAAAAACCACAGTTTGCTTGTTTAAAGGCTTATTTTAAATTGGTTTGGCTGTTTCTCAGAGCTGTACCACAAGCAACAGGCTGTAGTTTCTGTGCAAGGGTTGAAAAGTTGTCTTGAGAAAATGAATTGTGGTCTTGCCCAGAGGCTCTGAACCTTTAGTAGAATCACCCCTGCCCCACAGATATCAGGCAGGCCAGCCAGGCAGCTGGCTGTCATATCTGTCACACCTGAGCCATGGTGTCCACGACACTCCTACCTAGTGGGGGAGAAATTCCATTTGTTGAAGAGCAGAAAGAGCTTGGGCCTCAACAAAAATTTCTTCAAAAAGGGCAAAATGTCACACAGTGGTATAAAAAATAAGGAAAAGGGACTTTGGGTGTTATATTAGTGGTATAACTCAAGATTGAAGAGTAAAATGTAAGGGATTGGTTATTTGAAACATATAAACATTCAGGTGATGAATGTTTGCAGCCTGTCTGGTACCCATCTTGTCCCAAGTGCCAAGCTCTTCAGTTGTTTCTGCTACTTAAGAAAGACACCATCTAATCTGCCATATAGAGAGCTTAAATGGAGCTGTAAATATTTGGGGGAAAGAGTTTGGTAGTGTTAGCCTGGCCTGTCCTCCGCTGTATTATAAGTAGCTGTTATCTGAAACAATTGAGAACACAGGGGGAAAAAAGACCCAATTATGCACCAGGAAGTCCAGTGCCCCATTTTTGGAGAAGGAAAGTGAGAGGGCATTGAGTTTCATTGATTGGGTCTCCGTGGCAGGCCAGCTGCCCCCCAGGAAGGCCTGGTATTCCTGTCCTCTCCGTGAACCTGCCTGAAAGGGATATAGGAGTTATTGGGTAATCAGGACTTGTCAGCACCTCGGTTATGCAGGATGGTTCAATCCGATAATGTGAATGGAACCTGTAATAGGGCTGATGAAAAGCACTCCAGTTTCAAAAGGGCCTTGAATGATTTTTTGTTCATTTTCTGTTTACATGTAATGTGTTATTGATGTCATTACCTTATAATACGGCAGCTTGTTTCATAGAAAAACCAGGAATTATTCATTCTTTAAAAAAAAAAAAGACTTAGAAGAAAAAGAAGAAGAAAGGAGGAAAGAAAGAAACCCTGTTACGTGAGGAAAATTGCATTGGAATGCTGCAACTGAAACATATTGATTTTCTGGCACTAGACTTTTTAGATTAAAAATGCCAATACTAAATCCTTTCATGACCTATAGTTCATGTGAAGTTCGCATGTCATTTACTATTATTCTGGGGGAAAAAAAGCTGAATCTTTAATGAAAACATAGTTGGAAAGAATGTCTGCCGTTTCCACAATTTGCATACCATTATAATAATGCCTGATTATGAGCTAAACATGCTGATAGTGGGATGGGTTGAACATTTCTCTTACTTCAAATCAGAAGTCATTTGTCTATTTGAATTGTCTGCTTGGCTTGGCTCCATCCTTGGTGGGAGTCATGGGTGTGCACTCTTTCCTTGCCCAGGCTTGTTAGGGTTGGTGCATTAAGCTCCCCACGCTAAGAGAGATACATTCCTTCACATTCTACTAGTGCCAGAGACTTAAGTATGTCTGGTCTTACTGTAGTCTAGAAAACACTCATGATACCTATTAGGTATTTATCCAAATTAGTTAAAAATTATAATATAGATCAGGTGCGATGGCTCATGCCTGTGATCCCTCAGGATGAGGCAGGCGGATCAATTGAGAACCGGAGTTCAAGACCAGCCTGGACAACATAGTGAACATATGTGAAACCCCGTCTCTACTAAAAATACAAAAAATTAGCCGGGTGTGGTGGTGCACACCTGTAATCTCAGCTGCCCAGGAAGCTGAGGCACAAGAATCGCTTGAACCTAGGAGGCGGAGGTTGCAGTGAACTGAGATCATACTACCACACTCCAGCCTTTGAGACAGAACGAAACTCTGTCTCAAAAAAAAAAAAAAATTGTAATATGGCCATGTAAGTTCTTGGCATAGTCTTGATGTGATTGCATGGTTACTGCCAATCTCAGAAGTCCCTTAGCCAACACACAAATTCCTCAATGGCATCTCTGGTCACAGTTTTTGTTTTCCAACAGTGAGCCAGGTTTGAAGGTTATGCAAAAACATCTTCATTTCCTCCTTTGTATTTTCAAGGTATTATCACAAATATTTGTACTTTGATCAGAGCTTTCTGCACCCCCTGCTAAGTCAGGAATTATTTAGTTTCTTTGTCGTTGGACAGAGATGAGTAGGTCCTATAACATTTTGGCCTCTGTCACTAGAATGAGGACGAGGCACACAGAGGGTGTAGATTTCTTAGATAAGCAGCTTCTCCAGCTGGAATCTTTCTCAGTGTCTATAGTAGGGGGTTGCAAACTAAGGTCCAAAAACTAAATGCTACCCCAAACCTGCTTTTCTAAATAAAGTTTTATTGGAACACAATCATGTTTATTTGTTTACATATTATCTGTGGCTGGTTTTATACTACAGCATCAGGGTTGAGTCGTTGGAATAGAGACCATATGGCCAGCAAAGCCTAAAGTACTTACTATCTGGCCCTTTACAGAAAAAGTTTGCCAATCCCTGCCCTGTAGGATTGTGTTCCTCTGAAACTGTCCCCTAAATTATGGTGCCCATGAGTAGGTACAGATGTCCAGCAGTGAGTGCAAGAGTAGATACTATGGAACTTAAAATTATGTGTTTGAGTGAGATGGAGTCTTAGAAATCAACTCATCTTAATTTCCACATGGCTGATGTTTGATTATCACAATAATCTTTTTGCTATTGGGGAACTTTTTAAGTCTCCAAACATGCCATTCTGTATTTTGATAGTTCTGTTAGGAACTCTTCCTGGTAGCAAGTACAAATCTATCTCCTTGTAAGTTCTTTCCCTTGGTCATATTCCTATGCTTTGCAGCCATACAGACTAGGATAAATGCTCTTCAACACAGTAATCACTCAGATATTAAAAATTATTGTCATTTTCTCCCTGACTGGTTTTCTTTCTTTCTTTTTTTTTTTTTTTTTTGAGACAGAGTCTTGTTCTCTTGCCCAGGCTGGAGTGCAGTGGCGTGGTCTTGGCTTACTGCAACCCCTGCCTCCCAGGTTCAAGCGATTCTCGTGCCTCAGCCTCCAGAGTAGCTGGGATTACAGGCATGCATTGCCATGCCTGGCTAATTTTTGTATTTTTAGTAGGACAGGGTTTCACCATGTTGGCCAAGCTGGTCTCAAACTCCTGACCTCAAATGATCCACCTGCCTCAGCCTCCCAAAGTGCTGGGATTACAGGCATTAGCCATTGCACCCAGCCTCCGTGAGTATTTTCTTATTCAAGTTATATATTCCAATTTACTTTTTTTGTTCCTCTTGTGGCAGAATGTTGAGCTCTTTAGCAATCCAGTCATGTTCCTCTGTTTGCACTAATCTGTCACCGGGCACTAACATGATATCCCAGATGTGGTTCTACCAATGTGGAGTTAGGCAGAATTATCACCTCCATCATTCTAGAAGTTATATTTCTTGTTAATGTAAACTAAAATTTAATTCACCTTTGGGGAAACCACATCACTGTTGATTCAGACTCTGCATGAAATCAACCAAAACCACTTTGTTGATCTGTAGAAAAGTACCTTGCTGATTTCCCTTTCTCTTTTTTCCTGTCCCCTGTCATTTCTGCGTGGACTGTGCCTCCATTTTTTTTTTTTTTTTTTTTTTTTTTTGAGATGGAGTCTTGCTCTGTCACCCAGGCTGGAGTGCAGTGTGGTGCAATCTTGGCTCACGGCAAGCTCCACCTCCCAGGTTCACGCCATTCTCCTGCCTCAGCCTCAACTGAGACTACAGGCACCCGCCATCATGCCTGGCTAATTTTTTGTTTTTTTTTTTTAGCAGAGACGGGGTTTCACCGTGTTAGCCAGGCTGGTCTCGATCTCCTGACCTCGTGATCCACCTGCCTTGGCTTCCCAAAGTGCTGGGATAACAGGCGTGAGCCACCATGCCCGGCCTCCTCTATTCTTACAATGGAGTCTGATTCCTTAACATCTCATAGTTGCTTTTTTTTTTTTTTTTTTTTTTTTTTTTTGAGATAGAGTCTCGCCCTGTCGCCCAGGCTGGAGTGCAGTGGTGTGATCTCAGCTCACTGCAACCTCCCCCTCCCGAGTTCAAGCAATTCACCTGCCTCAACCTCCTGAGTAGCTGGGATTACAGGTGCGCACCACCACACCTGGCTAATTTTTGTATTTTTAGTAGAGATAGGGTTTCATATGTTGGCCAGGCTGGCCTCAAACTCCTGACCTCGTGATCCGCCAACCTCGGCCTCCCAAAGTGCTGGGATTTCAGGGATGAGCCACCGTGCCCAGCCTCATAATTGCTCTTACCTGAGAAGTAATGAAACAGATGTCTCAAATTCTCTTTTACATTACCCCTACACATGAAGGATGGCTTCTTCCAGACTGTTTATTCTTCTTCAACCTACTTGATGGCTTTAAAGAAAACTAAAGGCACTGAAAGCAAAGATTCTTCTTGAAAGTCCCGAAGGCTGCTCTACACATATTTCTTGCCCCTTCCCCTGTTAGCAGCATGGTAGTATTGTCCTTGCTGGCTCCTTATGGTTGAGCAGGCCATGTGATGAAGTCTGGCCTGTGAATTTGGAGTGAAAATGATGTGTGTAGCTTCCAGGCCAACCATTTGTCTGCAAATTTGAAACCCTCCAGTGCTCTTTCTTTTTGGCACGGTGACGAGCAGCACTCATGATGGTGGCTGTTTTACTAGTCTGGGTCTCATAGTAAGGTGAGATAGAGCAGAGTTCCCTGCTAACTCATAATGGATATGGAGCATGAGTGAGAAATAGTCCTGAATTTTTTAAGTGGTTGAGGTTTGAGCATTGCTTTTGCAACACAGCCTAGTCTGTATGACTGACAGTCAGATTTCCTAGGCACTCATTCATTCAACATTAGGTCAATATTTTTTGGTACCTAGTATGTGAAAAGTACTCGGAGTTATCACAATGAACAAAACAAAAGTCTCTACCCTTGTGGAAATAGGGGGTTTGGACATTTCATGTAGTAACCACATGAGACCTGGACCTCTCTAGATACCATGTAGCAGACAAAATGCAGTATGTTCAGAGTGATTCTTCAGATGTGATTGTCCATGAACACTTTAGAAGGAGTCCAGGCTGGGAGCTGGAATGCCAGGGTTTAAGTGCTACTTTGACCACTCATCTACTGCGTGACTATGGGCTGACAACCCTCCTTGTCTGGGCTACCATTTTCTTTACCCCTCTCTGTTCACACATGATTCCACTCTATACTGTCTGTGCCAGTGGTTGTTCAACAGCTCCTTGAATGTTTTTGGAAACAGCATGTACAGCACTTCCTCAGGCAGTGCCCGTGTCAGTGTTTTTACTCTGAAGCACTTAGGTTCTCGAAGCCATGAGATATAGCCAGAATTTGCATGTAAATAAATTTGTTACTCGGTTTATATTCCGTGCCAAGCACTGCCTTGAACTGCACACTCTGGAAATTAAAGGAGATGTATACATAATGGCCCTGAACCTTCAAGTCCAATGGAACAGATGAGACTGCCACTTAGGTACCAGAACACAACATTTGATGCTGAATTGTGGGTCAAGGTCAGAAGAAAAGAAGTTTAGGGGAGATTAGTGCAATCAAGGAAGGCTTCATAGAGGGTGTCGGGTTTGTGCCAAGCCTTGAAGGACTTTAGATTCTAAGTAGGTGGCAGGCATAAAGGAGAGGCATATCAGACAGGACAACCACCTCAAGGAGGGGAAAGAGAGGATGCACGTGGTGTATTTGTGAAAACAGAATGGAGTCCCAGCTGGCAAGTACAAAGAATGGGAGTGAAGACCAGATTCTGAACCGCCCTGTGTGGACAATTATTAAAAGAGTCCGCTGATAGGAATTTTAAAAGATACGGCACTAGCCATCCATACTGTTTGGGTCGGTACTAAAGGATATCTTCATATCCTCCTCAAAGAGGCCTCCTGTAGCTAAAAAAGAACTTTGCAAATCTGGACCTTTTCCTTTTGTCACATATTCTCTGTTTATAGTTTTTATTTAATTAACAATAGCTATACCATTAAATATGTAGATGTTCCACCCAAACATTCCCTATTGGTGGCAGATAGTGCCAGGTCAGTATTCACAGCGGGGCAGCTGAGGGCTTCCTCAAAGGAAGCAGGGTGAGGTTTATGCCTGTCTTTGCTCTGTAACAAAATGTTCAGAGAAGGGAAATATGGAAAGGAATATCATTGCCAAATGGGTTCCATTCTTCATGTAAGTGATGGCTTTATTTTGCCTTTCAATAAGAATGGCTTTCCCCAGGGCACATATGGTACATAGACAGTTCAGGCTCATGACACAAACTCTCAAAAAACACAAGGAATGACAGTGGGGGATGTGGATACTCACACTCAAGCTCTGCCTCCTGGTTGACCTCCTAAGAAATCCTGCCTCCTTGCTCAAGTCAGTTACCCTGAAATCCCAATACAAAAGTTCAAGTAAAACACAACTCATTAATGTTGTACTTGGTTAGAAAAAAAAGGAAAAAAAGTATGTGAAAAAATAAATGCTTATGTTCAAAATATGGGTTCTTTGGGGGAGATGAGTTGTTTCCTGCGGTGTTTAGGGAAGTGGTTAATGAACTTATTGACTACAAGGCAATCATTTTTGAAATGCCAAGGATGATGGGGGTAGAATCAGAGACGGAAGAAAAATTAATGTGTTATTTTCTATAAATGGAAAGGAGGAATTTTGGCTAATTACTTTTCTGAAAATTAAGGTTATCATTAAAAGTAATATACTGACTTTTCTGTAGATTTTGATAGCTTTCAAAACACATTCATATTCACTGTTTGATTTGATTCTCAAAACAACCCCGGGAGGGAGGCAGAATACATTTTTTTTTTTCCATTTTCCAGATAAAGACCTAAGATTTTGAGAAGTTAAAGGACTCATTCAGGATTATACAGCTAATAAGCAGCACGTCAGGACTGAAACTTCAGACCTTCTAACTCCTCTGGTCAAGTATAGAGGAAAAGTAAAGCCTGGGAGTTAAAAGTGGGTTTGTAAAATGCGGTTAATTGAAAAGAAGAGGTATAGTAATGTAATTTAGTGAGTGAGAGCTCACTCTGGAGCAGACATTGCAAATAGAAGCCTGAGATAATAATGCAGCAGCAGATGAGCTTGTACAATTATGGCCCAAACAATAGTTACAAAGTTTTTTTCAATTTTTAACAACATTTAAAAATTGGGACATTTCACAATAAAAATCTAGATTTCTAACCTCTGTTTTACAATCTGCATAGATGGCCCCACTGGGGAACATTCCCACGCAGCCACAGCCAGGAGGAACTTGGGAGCAGCTGTCCCTCGCGGATAGACATGAGCTCTCTGGTTCTCCTCAATCTCACCATTCCCTGTTGCCGCCAGTCCTGGTGACCAATGATCTGTACTTTTCATCACACTACACTGCTGCTTTTCTCCACCCATCTGTATCACACCCTGGATTCTCGAGGCATTTGAATTTGTGTCTTCAAGTCTGGAGGCAGCATCCTGGCTCTATCCACTTCTAGCCATTTGAATGTGGGCAGATTACTTTCCATGTTAAGGCTTCCATTTCTATTTCCATTCTGTAAAATAGGGATGATGGTGGTGGAATGTAGTGGATATCTGTTTGTTGTTTTTGTTTTTGTTTTCCCAGCATTAATCCTTTCCTTGGAAGTTCCCCTCTTATGGGAATAGGAAGACCCGCTTGTTTTTTCTCTAGGGTGAGTGACCCTGGCTACTCCAATCAAATGTAGATAAACCAGACTTAGAATTAAGAGTTAGTGACCCAAACAAACATGCATATGTGGTTCAGGTTGCAAGATCTACATCAAGTTTCTAGGGACGGCCCTGGCAGATGCATCAGTGGTTGATACCATTCAAAATTCATTATCAGTACATTGGTGGCTTGAACTGTAATGCTTATGCCTAATGTAGGAAGTAACTAGGCTTCCCCAACTCCCTGGTATGATGTCAGCGAGTATCTCTGGTTGTGAAACTTCTTTGCCTGGTTCCCTGGCCCTTCCAGAGATTTTGCAAGCTCTTTAATATACTGTAGTGCTTGTCTTTTGCTAATTGGCTCCCAGATCTCTTCTCCACCTTTCTCCTATTGTACTCTGTGTTGCTTTAGGTAACTGTAAAATTCATTTCCTAAGCTCCTGTGTCAGCAGGTTTGGAGGATCTAAGGTTTATGCAATTTGGGGGCCATCTTTAGTCATAATACAAAATTATACATACAAAATTATGTACAAAAGGAAGTATTTATTTTCTACGAGAAAAAAATAACAGTCCAGGCGTGGTGGTTCACACCTCTAATTCTAGCACTTTGGGAGGTCCAGGCAGAAAGATCGCTTGAGCCCAGGAGTTCAAGACCAGCCTGGGCAACGTAGTGAGACCTCATCTCTACAAAAAAGAAAAAAAATTAGCTAGGTGTGATGGTATGCATCTGTAGCCTCAGATACTTGGGCGGCTGAGGCAAGAGGATCCCTGGAGCCCAAGAGTTGGAGGTTGCACTGAGCTATGATCACACCACTGCACTCCAGCCTGGGTGACAGAGCCAGACTCTGTCTCAACAACAAAAAAAAATTAATTAATTTTTAAAAATCACAAAAAATTACAAAACTTAAAAATTTACTCCAAATTTTAAAAATCAAGAACAAATAAAAAAGAAAAAGCTGGAAAAATAAGGTCATATTTTATTAGTTAACTGTTGAGATATATCTCATAATATTTTCCTAGAATTTTTAGCTTCATCATTTTTGTTTCTTTTGATAACAGTTTTCTATAGGAAAAGCAGAAATATAATTGTCTTTCCTCACTATGCTAATTGGAATTTACTTTTTTATTATTGACAATTTAGAAACATTCCCATTCATAACGTTATTAATGTTACATAAATTGTTAGGATCATTGTCAATTGTGGGAAAACCTCTATCAAGCTATTTTCACAGGAGAGCTGTAAGATTTTAAGATAGTTTAAGTTTCTTGTGTTGCAACCAATGAGTCTGTCATCAGTTTCTTGGGGTTAAGACATCTGAGGTGAATGCCAGGTAAAATGGCACAATGGATGTGTGTGGATTACTACAGTCCATTCTAACACCAAGACATCAACAAAAACCTTTTTTTTCCTCCTATCTAAATGTCTGGTGGAGTATTTTTTTATATATATACTTTCATTTTTTAATTTTTTAAAATACTTTCAACTTTTATTTTAGACTCAGGTGGGTACATGTGCAGGTTTGTTACATGGGTATATTGTGTGACACTGAGGTTTGGGGTATAATTGATCCTATCACCCAGGTGGTGAGCGTAGTACCCAGTAATTTTTCAGTCCTTACCTGCCTGCCTCCTCCCCTCTCTTGTAGTCCACAGTGTCTGTTGCTTCCATCTTTATGTCGCTGAGTACTCAGTGTTCAGCTCCCACTTATGAGAACATGGATGTAGCTGGAGGCCATTGTCCTAAGCAAATTAACATGGGAACAGAAAACCAAATAATGGCCTCCAGCTACATCCATGTTGATGCATAGGGCATTATTTTATTCTTTTTAATGTCTGTGTAGTATTCCGTGGTGTGTAGGTACCACATTTTCTTTATCCACTTGGTGGACATTTAAAATTCATGCTGAATGTGGAAAAATTCTTAAGAGTACGGGGCAGCTCTCTGTCTATAGGCTCTCTGGCATCCCCAGTCTTCACACAATGCAAAAAAAACTGTGAATGAAATACACACATCCCACTAGACAGAAACTAAATGAGTCCTCAGCTCAACTCCCCCTAACCAGTCCCTAGATAGGGGCTTACTTGAGAAGTATAATGCAGGGGATAGCAAAGTACAAAAAGAAAGCACTCGTAACTATTTAAATTAAAATACTATACTTTTTCGAATTGTAGACATACGACCATGTACACAGTTTGCTAGCACCCCTCCCAGGTCTTGGAAGGGGTCTGCACAGTGAGTGGCTCAGAAGCTTGAGACTTCCTAACTTCCCTCTCAATCCACTTATCTTTTTACCTAATTTGGCCAAAAGGAAGCACTGGCAAGAGATGGAAGAGCTCCTGGGTTTTTGGATAAGACCATTTACTTCTCCAGCCTAGGATGCATAGTGCTTCCTGCCTCTGTTAATCTTTTTTTGAGACAGAGTCTTGCTCTGTCGCCCAGGCTGGAGTACAGTGCCGCAGTCTCAGCTCACTGCAACCTCTGCTTCCCGGGTTAAAGCGATTCTCGTGCCTCAGCCTCCAGAGTAGCTGGAATTACAGGCATGCACCACCACACTCAGCTAATTTTTTTTTTTTATTTTTAGTAGAGAGGGGGTTTCACTATGTTACCCAGGCTGGTCTCAAACTCCTGACCTCAAGGGTTCTGCCCGCCTCAGCCTCCCAAAGTTCTGGGATTACAGGCATGAACCACCGCACCTGACCTACATTAATCTCTGTCACCATACCATTTAGTTTTCAGATCGTCTAAAATATTTGTAACTACTTGCCACATTAAATTCATTCTGTCAGTCACCTAGATCCACTAGACTGGACTCTGGTTTATATTTGTTTTTTGATCAAAGAATATGCTCAGAAATATTTTTATATTTCTAAATTTGGCCTAAAGATTTTGTACAGATAGATGTCTATTGTCTGTATAAGCTTTTTTTATGAGGCACCTTGTTAAGCCCACAGGTTGATCTGAGGACCATTGTATCTATGTATCTTTATTACATATTTATGTAATTTTTATTCCATCTATCTAGAGGTAGGGAGTGTAATTTTTCTCCATAATTGACAGAGCATGCCAAAGGTGACATATAGTATTAGAGGAAAGCCTTAATTATGGGTGAGCACAAACCACAACCCTCTAAAACACAAGATAAAATAAATACATGCAATAAGGCCAAATTATTAAAAATGGTACAAAGTGGAGTCTGTAAATATTTTAAGCCAAGTCATCTAGTAGGATTAAGGCAAGAAACAGAAAATGAAATTTTATTTAATTTGGAAAAGCATGCCTGGGGGAAATAATGTATAATTCAGATATATCTATAGAAGAGAAAAGCCAGGACGATACCGATGCTGAAAGAGGATTCAGAAGAGTGGGGACAACAGATTTGGTGTTCTCATTGTCATCAGATGGTAACAATATTTTATGGGCATAAATTAGACCACAAACTGATGAGAGAACAGCACATTTGGTATTAGCAGTTGACAGTAAAAGGAAAAGACGTAGCAGTATAGACTGGATTGCAAGGGACTGACAAATATGACAATGACGAGATTTTCTACTTCTTTAAATTTTTGTCCTTTTCTGCATTGGAGACATTTTAATAAATGGAACCGATGACTATAAAGGACAGAGAAAATGATTTAAGTCCTAAAATTCAAGAAGGAACTCTAAGAAACTATCCAGTTAACCGTCTCATTGTACGATGAAGAAGTGAGGGTTAGACAGAATAAATTATTCACCCCAGGTCATTTAGCCAACCAAGGTCCTCTGCTTCCCCTCAGAATTTGGTTTATGTATAAATTTACAATTCTATAAATGTTGACTGAGGGAAATCTTATAACTAACTGTTAAGTATTTGATTATTATAAGTCGTGTAAAAGAATACAACATTTTTGCATAGATAAAAGCAATAATGTAATCATAGAAAGTATCTTATTATAAGTGTTAGGTGCCTTGTCTTATTCTTTGTGTTCTTGGTGCCCGCCTTGTGTCTGGCACAGGGAAGGCATTAAATAAGTAGGATAGTCACTAAATGGATCATTGGCTGATGACTAGGTGGTTGGATGAAAGGGAGGGAGAGAGGAAGGAAGGGAGGAAGGAAGCGAAGGTAGGTTAATAAGGACATACAAATGGGAAATGTAATCTGGTCCCTAATTTCCTGAGGAAGAATTAACTATGCCAGTTCTGGGTCATGCTATCTCAGATTGACACAGCAACAAATACGTATTTTAATCTTGAACAGCAAAGACTTCATATCCAGCATTATAATAAAGCTAGTCTCATTTCATGGTCAAATCTCAAAGACTTGAGATCGCCGAGTGAGCTATCTAGGAGTGTCAATAACATGGGTAGTAACCATTTACCTAAAATTACAGAGACCTCACAATCCATGACTAAGTGGAAGGATACCAAATTAGTGAAGAATCTGAATTACAGGACACAGTTTTCTTGCTTTTAGATACATATAGGAAATGGGAGTAGGCTAATATTATCTAAAAGAGATCATTCGAGAAAATAATTTTCATTAATTGATAAGAATTTATAATTATCATCTCAACTATTAGTAAAAGAATGTCTCCTACAAACTTAAGGCTATTTTGAAATGCTTTTCTGGTATAAAAACATTATTGGGGTACCTCTTTTACACTATGAATCACATGTGCAAACCTTGTTCTTCACACCACCCAGCCTGTCTGAATTTTCACAAATGCGGAATTAGTGGAATTAGTCTGAATTGATGAAGCTTTCCCAGACACTGCTGTTGTTGGAAACAACAGGCATCCTATTGAATAGTTAACTAGAGATTTTGAATATGTGTTACTTAGAAAAAGTTTCAACTGAGCATGAGTTCCTCCAGCAAAATTTGTCCGTCTCACTGATAGTGTAATAATCTAGTACACTTTTTAAATTAACGAACAGAAAATTAGAGGAAGGTCTGCCATTTCTTTTTCTCTTTCCTCCCTCTTTATGTATAGCTGAGTTCAGTCACCATCAGCACTAAATTCCATTCAGAGTTCACAGCCATCACGATAGCTAGTGCAGTTTTAGGTTAAGCATATTTTATCCATAAATTGCTATATTTGGTTCTCGAGTTATTATTGCAGTTCCTTGGGGTACATTTAAATCCACCTTATTGTAATAGATTATGGAATATAGTGGCTAATGTGTCTAATGTAAAATAAATGACTATAATGATTTATGATGCGACACTTCAATTTTATTGAACATAAGGATCATTGTACTAAAATGGATGGTGTATTGCTGGTTTAGCATAAAATACTGAATAACATATTCAAGAAAATGAATGGCTCGGCCAGTTCATAATATTCTGCCCCTTCAGCTGAGAGGTCTTTAATAAGCAAGAGTGTCATTACACTTGGAAATGTATGTGTAGGTAATCCATTATCTAGAACAATGACAGGGATCTGCTCAAGTCCTTATTAAAGAAGGAAATCTTTAGGAGCAAATGTAGAATTCTTTGGTCTTCTTGAAAGAATGATTTTCTCCCAACCACACAGCCACCATAACAGTGCTTAGCAGAATTGTAAGTGGCCTCCACATTTAAAAATTACCACCCTGAAACTCTCTCATGACCTGCAAGACAGAAGGGAATTTCAAAAAGGTTTTGATTTTTTCAGCATTGTCATCAGACAATATCCTTAATGTCCTTTTCTCTGTGTGTCAATTTACCAACCTTTTATTTTAACTCTTGTAGTGCCCAGCATAGATAGTAACTCATGCTCTGTCTTTCCCCGGGACTCCATGTTTATGTTTGATCACTGAATAATTAGATTTAAGAAGACGTAATTTAGCTGTTAATGCTTATTAACTATAATATTAAAGATGATTTTCAATAATATATTGGACCAATTTATTTGTGTTCTCAGACCTGAGGAGATGAAAGAAAATTCTTATATGGCAAATGATGTGTTTAGATTAATGGTGAAGTTTTATCCTCCGAATAGTTGGGGGACATGAGGAATAAGGGAAGTGACATGCATGTTTTCTCACCCTCTTATCCTGGTGATTCTGAGATCCTGCCATCAAACCCTCAGGTCCTCCCAGGATACAGTTTAATGGCATAGACGATGCCCACATAATAACTAAATCCTTGTGGGAGTATCTTAATAGCATCCATTTCATTCCCTGGAAAGATAACTAGTTTCCCTTCTGTGGAATGGCCATGTTGAGACAGGGTGAGGGGGCTTTGAGTATTTTGAATCTGACAGCTGCATTATGGGTAAGACTGTCATCAATTCTCCTTCTCAACACATTGTTAGTTTATGCCTATTCTCCATCTCTTAGCCCAGACAATCTCATCTGACCAACCAAAATTAAAGAGCTGTCAGGTACCATAAAAACCCACGAATGAGGGTCTTTTCCTCACAGGCCTAAGAATTCCGTTCAACATGATTGCATGCGTGCATGGCAGTTTTGATTTTTTTTCTCCTGAATAGCAGACTTCACCACTTCCTGAAAAGACACAGATCTTGATGAGAAAGTGATCTGATGATGAAACGAACCCTGCATTTGTAGAGTTAAGGAGTTTTGCCATCCAGAAAGGAGAGATATTCACAGTGGATTCTGTACTGTGTGAGTTGCAGACAGACATTTATTGATTCAGGATATACTCTCAGTCACTTCTTTTTATTCTTTTGAAAAGGTGATCTAGCCTAGAACTATTCATGAGAAAAAGTAACTAGCACTATCTCAATGTCACAGCTTAATTTGGGTGGTCAAAAGCTTGCCGTAAATCAGTCTTTCTGGAACAGTGGGGACATTTTCTCTGTAATGAACTAAAAAAAATAAGGATCATCTTTTTTTTTTTTTTGCTAATGGATGTTTTGCCTTTGGATCTTTTGATGCATCAGTCTAGACCAAGGCAAGCGCTGCTAAGGAACCTCTGACCCCAAAAGTCACCCCAACCTCTACAACATCCCCATACCCACTTCCTCATCTTTAGGATTCCTCTCCACAGCAAATTCTATGCAGTCATTGAACATTGCCAGGATGTTTTCAGAAAGAATATTAGGGCATTTTCTTTTTTTCCTTACACCTTCATTATCTTCCTCAAAATATTATAGTAAATTTAAATGGCTCATAATGTCTTATCACCACCCCATAAGATATTATTTTCTCTGTAGTAGTACTTTCACACCAGCTTCAGATTGAAACTCTGGCTGATCGTCTTTAGAGCTGATCCATGCTATTTGACTGCAGAAAAGGAGCTTTCCAGGGCCAGGACATACAACCGAAAGTTTGGCCAATGAGAGGCCTGTCTGCCCTGACTCCATTACTAATTCACCAGTCCCTGACCCAGGATTTCCAACATTTTTCCCTTCTGCCATTTTCTTGCATTTTACTTTGTTCCTCATGTCAAATATTTACTTTATTATTGCTTCTAAATGCTACATCTCATTTCTAGTACCAAAGTGATATTTAGAATCCAAACTTCTATATATGTGAATTCATAGGTAGAATTATTCATGTTAACATACCTCTCAAAAAAGTGCTAAAGGAGCTTTTTGTGAAACCTGGGGTTTACTTTTGTTTGTTTGTTTTTGACCAGAGATATGATTTGGGTTCTTTCCCAGTGAACTCATCGGCTCCTGCTTCCTTCAGTCTTGCAGCGTATAGTCAAACCCCAGGCAAAGCCTCAATGTTCATCACTTAATCCCTTTCAAATACTTTGATTTATGGAACAGAGGATAGAACCTGGAAAATTCTGAGGTATCCACCCAACATTGATATTTAAGCATGCTCATTCTTTATATCCTTCTTTGAATTATAGGCCTATAAGTCCATCAAAGGAACTTTGGGTTTCCCTTTCGGAGCACTTTTTTTCCAAGTGGTATAACCCCGGTGTGGAACTCTGTGTTTAACAAGCAGATCTTTTTCAGTACAAGGCACAATAAGTTTAGGATAAGCTTAGAAACCATCAGGGTTTTCCAGTACAATTATTCCTGAGTTAAACAGGACAATGACCCATTACAAGTTATGTGTGATGCATTCAGACTTTGGGAACTTGACCAAAATGACTTTGAAATGTACAGGGAAAAACCATGATCATTTACCTGGATGGAGTAGTAAGGTACTGCTTCCGCCAAGCCAAAGGTAACTGAATATTGGTATAATACACTGTCTTTTTTGTTGACCAAAAAATTTAAAATATCTAGAGGAAAATTTAACAGAGATAAAAATAACATTTTTAAATTATGCTATCAGGTCGGTCACGGTGGCTCACATCTGTAATCCCAGCACTTTGGGAGGCCGAGGCAGTCCAGTCACCTGAGGTTAGGTGTTCGAGACCAGCCCAGATGACATGGCGAAACCCCTTCTCTACTAAAAATTAAAAATTAGCCGGGCATGGTGGCAGGTACCTGTAATCCCAGCTACTCGGGAGGCTGAGGCAGGAGAATCACTTGAATCTGGGAGGCAAAGGTTGCAGTGAGCCGAGATCATGCCACTGTATCCCAGCCTGGGTGGCAGAGTGAGACTCCATCTCAAAAAATAAATTAAAAAAAAATTGTGCTGTCAGCCATTTGAGTCTTGAATCAATGCAAAGAGACCTTGCTCTTTGGTAGAAAGCTCAGTGTTGTGAAGTTGTAACTTCTCCCCAGAAGAAGCTATAATTTCAATGTGATGTTCTCTAAAATTTAAAAAAAAAAAAAGACAAAAAGATTATTTGGGGAATTTGTGGAGGCAGGCAGTAGAAGGATGGATGCTAATTGATGTGATGATTCTGAAGTTCATCTGAAAAAATTAAAAGATAATAGTTGAAGGAAAAATGTTTGTAGAAAAAAAAAGACAGAAGGAAAGACCACCTTTCCATGAAATAAAATGCATTATAAGCAACAGCAATCAAAACAGTAAGTTACTGGAGTAGCAAGATGAATAGCGCAGCATTGGGTCTGGAGGTATTCCCAAATACGTATGGAAATTTGGTATATGAGGTGGGCATTGAAATGAGTGATGAAAACATATACTATTTAATAAATGTTGGGGGGCGGGGGGGAAGCAAGCTTCCTACCTCATTCCTTCCACCAAAATAAACCTCAGATAAGCCATAGAGGGATAAGTGATTGTGATGAAGAAAAAGAAAGTTGAGATTGCAAAGTTCTAAAAGAAATATGGGTCTATTTTATACTTAGGGAGAGAGGACCTTTTTAGGAGTGACATGAAATGCAAGAGCTAGAAAGTAAAATATTGACTTGACCACAAAACAAAAGTAAGTTCTGATTTTCTTACTGGCCAAGTACATTCATTTATATATCAGTATACACATTGGCACACATATATAAATCATATATACCATTTTAATTTCTCCAAATAGATCCCTAATACTTATGTGCTCTGGAAGGATACAAACAAAATTTTTTACTATGACTTTGGGACAATCTTTTAATTAATTTTATAATCATATTTTTATAATGGCATAAGCATGTATTGCATAAACAGTAAAATCTGTTGATATTGTGTTTAACTTGTAATGGCCCATAATTCAATGGTTCTTAGTTTTTTTAAGATAAACACTACTTTAAGAATCAGAAGCTGTGGCCCCGATCCTCTGACAAGAGCACATAAGCACAGATACCCAAAATGCAACATGAGTTGGAAATCCCTGCTCTAAATAGTTCTAAAGAGAGTTGGTCAGTGATCTATTGCTGTATAACAAACCAACCCCAAACTTATTTGCTTAAAACAAGAACCATTCTATTGCCTATGATTCTGTGGGTCAAAAATTTAGGCAGCACTCAGCTGGTCCAGTTTGTCTAGGCTTCATGTGGGGTTGTCTGCACATTACTGGGGTCAGAGGATCCAAAAGGGCCTCACCTACATGTTTGGGGCCCTGGTCCTATCTGTTGGCAGGTATGCCTCAGTGCTCCTCCATTGGCCTCTCTCCAACAGAATACCCGGGGCTCAAGGCAAAAACATGGAGGCTCAAGGCAAAAACAGAAGCCATGTGATCTCTGAAGCTCTGGGCCCAGCCAACACACAGCATCACTGTCACCACATTCTGCTGGTCAAAGCAAACCACAGGACCAGCTCAGAATGAGGGGAAATAGACCCAAGGTGGGAGGAATGGCACAGCCACATTACAAAAGGACATGTGGGATAAGAGCAATTGCTGTGGTCATTATTAAAGAACAGCCTACCACAATAGAGGTCTCTGAAAATGTGCCACTTTTAGCAACAGGTGAATTTTTCCATTTGTGCCCTAACATTCATACGCAACAAAACATAGTAATCTGAGTGACTGTACACTATAATAGTAGTCTACTCAGTTTAAATTCCCAAGGATTTTCTTATAACATATTCAAAATCTTCCAAAATGAAAACTATGAAAGTATGCATGGAATGGGAAAGTAGATGCCATAACTTTGGCTTGTATATTTCATCCATTTTGATATGAAACATTTTCCATAACTTAGCTCTAGTTTAGAACTCTTCAGAAAACCCACACTGTCCTAGATAATGAAGGGCCACACATTTTTATAGTGGACCTCTATGCCCACACGAAGATGAAGAGCTGGAGAAAAAACATAAACCACAGCCCTAAAATGGATGAACATAGGGATAAGATTTAGAAATTAAACTAAATTTATGACTTCAAAACCCAAGAAGACTTCCAGTTAAGTGTGGTCAGCTTAACTACAAGTTTATCTCCCTTCTTAAACACCATTCACATTCTAGTACCTCAATATTAAATGACAATAGGCAATCAAGGATCACCAAGCACATGAAGAAAGCTCTGCTAAACTAGAAAGCAAAAGTAAACAAACAAAGGTGACACTCAAGGAAGCAGAGATAATAAAGGAAGTGGAAGAAAATCAAGAAAATCATTGATTTCTAGTCTCGGATGAATTAGAAGATACTGTGTACTATTGAAGAGCAGGTTCAGTCAGATCTCCTCCTCTCTGGCTCTCTTTGTCATCTCTTTTTGACTTCTGGAAATGTAGATTCCTGTGTGGCTGTCTCTGATGGCATCATCAAGGTATCCAATGACATGAAGGTACACAAGTTGTTGACACCAGAGGAGTTGAAGAAGCTCAAGAAGGTGGTACTCTTCTGCCTGAGTGAGGACAAGAACTCATCCTCAAGGAGGGCAAGCAGATGTTCGTGGGTGATGTCAGCCAGACTGTCAGTGGCCTCTCCACCACCTCTGTCAAGATGCTGCCAGACAAAGACTGCCATAACGCCCTCTGTGACGCAAACTGTGAGACAAAGGAGAGCAAGGAGGAGGACCTGGTGTTCAGCTTCTGGGCCTGAGTCTGCACCCCTGAAGAGCAAAATGATCTATGCCAACTCCAAGGACACTATCAAGAAGAAGCTGACGGGGATCAAGCATGAATTACAAGCAAACTGCTACGCGGAAGTCAAGAACGACCGCACCTTTGCAGAGAAGCTGGGAGGCAGTGCCATTATCTCCCTGGAGGGAAACCCTTTGTGAGCCCCCTTCCTGGAACATCTGGAAGCCCCAGACCTGCCCACAGGGATTCCATGCTGCCCTATTCCTAACAGACAGGAAGGGGCTGGAGAATCTCAGCAGTGGGAGAGCAATCCTTTCACCCCAGCTGCCAAACAGCTCCCCACCAAGCCCTGCCTTTTCCTCTCCCCTCCATCCCTGACAGTTCCGGCCTTCCCAAATTACCTTTGATCTTCTGATTCTTCTTGGGTTGAAGTGTTAACAGAAAGGAGTCCTGATCCAGACCTCAAGAGAGCGTTCTTAGATCTCATGCAAGAAAGAATTTAGGGCAAGTCCACAGAATAAAGTGAAAGCAAGTTTATTAGGAAGTGAAGAAACAAAAGAATGGCTACTCCATAGGCAGAGCAGTGCCATGGGCTGCTAGACTAAGGATACTTAGTTATTGCTTGATTATATGCTAAACAAGGGGCGGCTTATTCATGAGTTTTCTGGGAAAGAGGCAGGCAATTCCCAGAACTGAGGATCCCTTCCCCTTTTAAACCATATAGTGTAGCTTCCTGATGTTGCCATGGCATTTGTAAATTATCAGGGTGCTGGTGGGAGTGTCTCTCAGCATGCTAATACATTATAATTTGCGTGTAATGAGCAGTGACGACAACCAGAGGTCATTTTCATGGCCATCTTGGTTTTGGTGGGTTTTGGCTGGCTTCTTTACCACAGCCTGTTCTATCAGCAAGGTCTTTGTGTCCTGTACCTTCTGCTGAGCTCCTATCTCATCCTGTGACTTAGAACGGCTAACCTCCTGGGAATGCAGCCCAGTAGCTCTCAGCCTTATTTTACCCAGGCCCTGTTTTATGATGGAGTCGATCTGGCTCAAACGCTCTGACAGAAGCAGACCAAATACCCCCCAGGCACTTCATTTTGTGGGGGTTTTTTTTTTAATAACACCCCAACTCCTCATCTATTCCTTATCCTTCCTCTGCTGCCAACTTCTAACTGCAGTGCTTACTCGTGCTTGTCTGTTGAGTTGTGTGTATAAATGGAATGTTGTGGTGATGAGCCCTCCCCATGCCACTGGTTCTTCTCCCTTTTTTCCTGGTCATGGCCACTTGTGGAAGCAGGACCAGTAGGGTACCTTCAGTTTGGGGGTTGTTGGGGGAAGCCAAAAACAAAGTGGGGGGCGGGGGGAAGAAAGAGCTTTTGGAAATAAAGATAAAATTACCAAAGTGAAACAACTTGTTAAATGCCAGTTTTCTTATGGACTCAGTTTTAGCTAAGTCCAAGACCAACAGATTCCAAATCACCTGTTGAGACCATGCAAGAGAAACGGAAGCTGACTGTACATCCCCTATCATCACCTACCTGAAGCATATATGAAAGAAGATAAGGAGATTTATTGAGGAAGGCTGGTCATGAGAATTTCTTAAAGAGAGTTACCAGTGTGTTCTTCCCTGCTTATCTCCCCCTTGGAAAGAAAGGGGATTGTCCCCTCTACCCCAGAAGTGAAGTGAGTTGACTTTTAGAGAAATACTCAAAGATATTGCTGTATATCTCCCTAAAATTCTGAGGGGCAGTGTGATTGGTATCCAACTGGACCTGCTAAAGTCAAAAGTGGGAGGGAGGCTGTCTAGAGTTGCCTCTAACAGTAGAACAAAGAGAAAGGGGTGCAGTGAGGGCTTGCTGCATCTCACTGATAGTTGGACAAAGGTTTATATTTCCTGAAGGTTGCATGTGGAAAGGAACAGAAATTGAGTCATCCTGAAAAGGACCTCTGGAAAGACAAGATGTCCCCAGTTGTTTATTAAGACAATTGTCTAATTTAGACTATTTTTAATACTTGGAAATGGCCCAAGTTCCTTTCAAGGGTAGAGAAAAAGTTAAAAATAATATGGTTGACAGGCTATGGTATTAAAAAGTAAATTAAATAACTTCTTTTCATGATTTACACCTTAAAAGTCCAACTGTTTTTCAGCAAAGTAGTTACCTTGGTGGTTTCATCATTCTTTAGCATCTCCCTAGTGGATCTGTTGGCACCTTTTGTTGTCAATCCCTGGAATCTCTCCTGAAACATTGGTACAATGAGAAAACTCCCAATGAACATCCTTTTATAGAAATGAAAATATTTAATAGGTAGGCTGGATGACAATATCAAGAAACACTCACAAAATGTAGGATAAAAAGACACAGGGATTTTTTTTTTTAATTTTATTATTATTATACTTTAACTTTTAGGGTACATGTGCACAAAGTGCAGGTTTGTTACATACGTATACATGTGCCATGTTGGTGTGCTGCACCCATTAACTCGTCATTTAACATTAGGTATATCTCCTAATGCTATCCCTCCCCCCTCCTCCCACCCCACAACAGTCCCCGGTGTGTGATGTTCCCCTTCCTGTGTCCATGTGTTCTCATTGTTCAATTCCCACCTATAAGTGAGAACATGCGCTGTTTCGTTTTTAGACACAGGGATTATAAAAGTAGGAGGGAGCAGGGAAGAGAGATTTAGATCAGCCCAGAACGTTTAACATTTGGCTATTAAGAATTACAGGGAGAAATAAGAGAAAACGAATGGGAAGAAATTATTTTTTTTTAAAAAAAGGGAATTTCCTGAGAACTGAAGAATACAAAATTTCAGACTAGAAGGGCAAGATGTCTGGGTACAGTTATTGAAAAATTTTTTAAAAAGATTCACATCAAGCAGCACTACTACAATATTTCAAAATAATAGATCCAAAAAAGGAGGGGGAACATTATAATCAAAGCAATTGGAATCAGAAAGACATCAGACTTTTTAATAGCTACATTAGAAGAGAGAAAAACAAAAAGGCAATATTTTTATAATTCTGAGAGAAAATGACTATCGACCTAGAATTCTATACCTGCCAAAACTTTTAAGTTTGAGCATGGAATAGAGACGTCTTTAGATACGTAAGGTCTCAGAATGTTTCTCTCCACTGTACTCTTTACTAATCTGATCTTGAGGTTTGGCTTTGACCAGATTAGGCAGTTAACTCTGAAACAGAAAGGATTCATGAAACTAAGTGACCAACATAAATCAGAAATGTAAAGCAATAATGAGATGATGAGAAACGGTAAAGTCTCACATGACAGCTCTATGATGGCTCTAGAAAGAAACAAGCTGAGATTGGATGCAAACAATGTAATTGGTATATTATCTGGTCTATTTGACTATAGGCAAGTAATACTAATAATGAGGTATATGAAAGAAAATTAAGAGTAGGTGTATAAGCAAGTTTAAAAAGAGAAGCAACTATCGACTTGCAGAAAAATAAGCATTTGTGTGAGAAATAAAACAAAGTACACTAGTTGGCTTTGCAGTAAAAAATACACAGTACTTATAAACACTATTTAACAAAAACCTTATCAAGAATTATAAATATTTCTAAAGAATTATTAGCAATACAAATTTTCAAATGAAGTAAGCAGGAGGATGGTATAAGAGAGCTAATTCCTCTTGTCCCATAAAGAATATCAATATGCAGTATAAAATTGGTGTATTAAGGAATGGCAATACAAGATATTTGGCAACCTAGAGATCAGGATAAACGGATGAGCGATTTAAGTAGTTGCCTCTAGGCCGGGTGCAGTGGCTTACGCCTGTAATCCCAACACTTTGAAAGACTGAGACGGGCGGATCACCTCAGGTGAGGAGTTCAAAACAAGCCTGCCCAACAGGGCAAAACCCCATCTTTACTAAAAATACAAAAATTAGCTGAGCATGGTGGTGCACACCTGTAATCCCAGCTACTAGAGAGGCTGAGGCAGAAGAATTGCTTGAACCCAAGAAGCAGAGGTTGCAGTGAGCTGAGATCATGCCACTGCACTCCAGCTTGGGCAACAGAGGAAGTCTCTGTCTAAAAGAAAAAGTAAAAATAAATAAGTGAAATAAGGGGGAGGTTCCAAGATGGCCGAATAGGAAGAGCTCCAGTCTACAGCTCCCAGCATGAGCGACACAGAAGACAGGCAATTTTTGCGTTTCCAACTGAGGCACCAGGTTCATCTCATTGGGGCTTGTCAGACAGTGGGTGCAGCCCATGGAACATGAGCCAAAGCAGGGCGGGGCATCACTGCACCCGGGAAGCACAAGGGGTCAGGGAACTCCCTTTCCTAGCCAAGGGAAGCTGTGACAGATGGTACCTGGAAAATTAGGACACTGCCACCCTAATACTGTGCTTTTCCAATGGTCTTAGCAAATGGCACACCAGGAGATTATGTCCCGTGCCTGGCTCGGAGGGTCCCACACCCACAGAGCCTCGCTCACTGCTAGCACAGCAGTCTGAGATCGAACTGCAAGGTGGCAGCGAGGCTAGGGGAGGGGCGTCCACCATTGCTGAGGCTTGAGTAGGTAAACAAAGCAGCCAGGAAGCTTGAACAGGGTGGAACCCACTGCAGCTCAAGGAGGCCTGCCTGCCTCTGTAAACTGCACCTCTCAGGGCAGGGCATAGATGAACAAAAGGCAGCAGAAACTTCTGCAGACTTAAACGTCCCTGTCTGACAGCTTTGAAGAGAGTAGTGGTTCTCCCAGCACGGAGTTTGAGATCTGAGAATGGACAGACTGCCTCCTCAAGTGGGTCCCTGACCCCCGAGTAGCCTAACGGGGAGGCACCACCCAGTAGGGGCTGACTGACACCTCATACGGCCGGGTGCCCCTCTGAGACGAAGCTTCCAGAGGAAGGATAAGGCAGCAATATTTGCCGTTCTGCAGCCTCTGCTGGTGATACCCAGGCAAAAAGGGTCTGGAATGGACCTCCAGCAAACTCCAACAGACCTGCAGCTGAGGGTCCTGACTTTTAGAAGGAAAACTAATAAACAGAAAGGACATCCACACCAAAACCCCACCTATATATCACCATCATCAAAGACCAAAGGTAGGTAAAACCACAAAGATGGGGAGAAACCAGAGCAGAAAAGCTGAAAATTCTAAAAATCAGACTGCCTCTACTCCTCCAAAGGAATGCAGCTGCTCGACAGCAATGGAACAAAGCTGGATGGAGAATGACTTTGATGAGTTGAGAGAAGAAGACTTCAGACGATCAGTAATAACAAACTCCTCCAAGCTAAAGGAGGATGTTGAAACCCATCGCAAAGAAGCTAAAAGCCTTGAAAAAAGATTAGACAAATGGCTAACTAGAATAACCAGTGTAGAGAAGTCCTTAAATGGCCTGATGGAGCTAAAAACCATGGCACGAGAACTACGTGATGCATGCACAAGCTTCAGTAGCTGATTCAATCAAGTGGAAGAAAGGGTATCAGTGATTGAAGATCAAATGAATGAAATGAAGTGAGAAGAGAAGTTTAGAGAAAAATTAATAAAAAGAAATGAACAAATCCTCCAAGAAATATGGGACTATGTGAAAAGACCAAATCTACATCTGATTGGTGTACCTGAAAGTGACGGGGACAATGGAACCAAGTTGGAAAACACTCTGCAGGATATTAATGAGAAGAGCTTCCCCAAGCCAGCAAGACAGGCCAACATTCCAATTCAGGAAATACAGAGAACTCCACAAAGATACTCCCCGAGAAGAGCAACCCCAAGACACATAATTGTCAGATTCACAAAGTTGAAATGAAGGAAAAAGTGTTAAGGGCAGCCAGAGAGAAAGGTCAGGTTACCCACAAAGGGAAGCCCATCAGACTAACAGCGGATCTCTCGGCAGACACTCTGCAAGCCAGAAGAGAGTGGGGGCCAATATTCAACATTCTTAAAGAAAAGAATTTTCAACCCAGAATTTCATATCCAGCCAAACTAAGCTTCATAAGTGAAGGAGAAATAAAATCCTTTACAGACAAGCAAATGCTGAGAGATTTTGTCACAACCAGGCCTGCCCTACAAGAGCTCCTGAAGGAAGCACTAAACATGGAAAGGAACAACCAGTACCAGCCACTAAAAAACATGCCAAATTGTAAAGACTATCAATTCTAGGAAGAAACTGCATCAACTAATGAGCAAAACAACCAGCTAACATCATAATGACAGGATCAGATTCACACATAACAATACTAACCTTAAATGTAAATGGGTTAAATGCTCCAATTAAAAGACACAGACTGGCAAATTGGATAAAGAGTCAAGACCCATCAGTGTGCTGTATTCAGGAGACCCATCTCACGTGCAGAGACACACATAGGCTCAAAATAAAGGGATGGAGGAGGATCTACCAAGCAAATGGAAAATAAAAAAACAAACAAAAAAAGCAGGGGTTGTAATCCTAGTCTCTGATAAAACAGACTTTAAACCAACAAAGATCAAAAGAGACAAAGAAGGCCATTACATAATGGTGAAGGGATCAATTCAACAAGAAGAGTTAACTGTGCTAAATATATATGCACCCAATACAGGAGCACCCAGATTCATGAAGCAAGTCCTTAGAGACCTACAAAGAGACTTAGACCCCCACACAACAATAATGGGAGACTTTAACACCCCACTGTCAACATTAGACAGATCAGCGAGACAGAAAGTTAACAAGGATATCCAGGAATTGAATTCAGCTCTGCACCAAGCAGACCTAATAAACATCTACAGAATTCTCCACCCCAAATCAACAGAATATACATTCATCTCAGCACCACATCGCACTTATTCCAAAATTGACCACATAGTTGGAAGGAAAGCACTCCTCAGAAAATATAAAAGAACAGAAATTATAACAGACTGTCTCTCAGACCACAGTGCAATCAAACTAGAACTCAGGATTAAGAAACTCACTCAGAACAGCTCAACTACATGGAAACTGAACAACCTGCTCCTGAATGACTACTGGATACATAACAAAACGAAGGCAGAAATAAAGATGTGCTTTGAAACCAGTGAGAACAAAGACACAACATACCAGAATCTCTGGGACACATGTAAAGCAGTGTGTAGAGAGAAATTTATAGCACTAAATGCCCACAAGAGAAAGCAGGAAAGATCTAAAATTGACACCCTAACATCACAATTAAAAGAACTGAGAAGCAAGAGCAGACACATTCAAAAGCTAGCAGAAGGTAAGAAATAACTAAGATCAGAGCAGAACTGAAGGAGATAGAGACACAAAAAACCCTTCAAAAAATCAATGAATCCAGGAGCTGGTTTTTTGGAAAGATCAACAAAACTGATAGACCACTAGCAGGACTAATAAAGAAGAAAAGAGAGAAGAATCAAATAGACACAATAAAAAATGATAAAGGGGATATCACCACCGATCCCACAGAAATACAAACTACCATCAGAGAATACTATTAACACCTCTATGCAAATAAACTAGAAAATCTAGAAGAAATGGATAAATACCTGGACACATACACCCTCCCAAGACTAAACCAGGAAGAATTTGAGTCCCTGAATAGACCAATAACAGGGTCTGAAATTGAGGCAATAATTAATAGCTTACCAACCAAAAAAAGTTCAGGACCAGACGGATTCACAGCCAAATTCTACCAGAGGTACAAAGACGAGCTGGTACCATTCGTTCTGAAACTATTCCAATCAATAGAAAAAGAGGGAATCCTCCCTAACTCATTTTATGAGGCCAGCATCATCCTGATACCAAAGCATGGCAGAGACACAACAAAAAAAGAGAATTGTAGACCAATATCCCTGATGAACATCGATGCAGAAATCCTCAATAAAATACTGGCAAACTGAATCCAGCAGCACATCAAAAAGGTTATCCACCACGATCAAGTTGGCTTCATCCCTGGGATGCAAGGCTGGTTCAACAAACACAAATCAATAAACGTAATCCAGCATATAAACAGAACCAATGACAAAAACCACATGATTATCTCAATAGATGCAGAAAAGGCCTTTGACAGAATTCAACAGCCCTTCATGCTAAAAACTCTCAATAAACTAGGTATTGATGGGATGTATCTCAAAATAATAAGAGCCATTTATGACGAACCCACAGCCAATATCATACTGAATGGACAAAAACTGGAAGCATTCCCTTTGAAAACTGGCACAAGACAGGGATGACCTCTCTCACCACTCCTATTCAGCATAGTGCTGGAAGTTCTGGCCAGGGCAATCAGGCAGGAGAAAGAAATAAAGGGTATTCAATTAGGAAAAGAGGAAGTCAAATTGTCCCTGTTTGCAGATGACATGATTGTATATTTAGAAAACCCCATCATCTCAGCCCAAAATCTCCTTAAGCTGTTAAGCAACTTCAGCAAAGTCTCAGGATACAAAATCAACGTGCAAAAATCACAAGCAGTCCTATACACCAATAACAAACAAACAGAGAGCCAAATCATGAGTGAACCTTCATTCACAATTGCTTCAAAGAGAATAAAATACCTAGGAATCCAACGTACAAGGGATGTGAAGGACCTATTCAAGGAGAACTACAAACCACTGCTCAACAAAATAAAAGAGGACACAAACAAATGGAAGAACACTCCATGCTCATGGATAGGAAGAATCAATATCATGAAAATGGCCATAGTGCCCAAGGTAATTTATAGATTCAATGCCATCCCCATCAAGCTACCAATGACTTTCTTCACAGAATTGGAAAAAACTACTTTAAAGTTCATATGGAACCAAAAAAGAGCCCGCATTGCCAAGTCAATCCTAAGCCAAAAGAACAAAGCTGGAGGCATCACGCTACCTGACTTCAAACTATACTACAAGGCTACAGTAACCAAAACAGCATGGTACTGGTACCAAAACAGACATATAGACCAATGGAAAAGAACAGAGGCCTCAGAAATAATACCACACATCTACGACCATCTAGTCTTTGACAAACCTGACAAAA
The DNA here is from genome assembly GCF_000001405.40 of Homo sapiens. Taxonomy (NCBI): domain Eukaryota; kingdom Metazoa; phylum Chordata; class Mammalia; order Primates; family Hominidae; genus Homo; species Homo sapiens. The sequence goes on from NC_000003.12 coordinate 25,333,413, forward strand.
ACAAGAAATGGGGAAAGGATTCCCTATTTAATAAATGGTGCTGGGAAAACTGGCTAGCCATATGTAGAAAGCTGAAACTGGATCCCTTCCTTACACCTTATACAAAAATTAATTCAAGATGGATTAAAGACTTAAATGTTAGACCTAAAACCATAAAAACCTTAGAAGAAAACCTAGGCAATACCATTCAGGACATAGGCATGAGCAAGGACTTTATGTCTAAAACACCAAAAGCAATGGCAACAAAAGCCAAAATTGACAAATGGGATCTAATTAAACTAAAGAGCTTCTGCACAGCAAAAGAAACTACCATCAGAGTGAACAGGCAACCTACAGAATGGGAGTAAATTTTTACATTCTACCCATCTGACAAAGGGCTAATGTCCAGAATCTACAAAGAACTTAAACGGATTTACAAGAAAAAATGAAACAACCCCATCACAAAGTGGGCAAAGGACATGAACAGACACTTCTCAAAAGAAGACATTTATGCAGCCAACAGACACATGAAAAAATGCTCATCATCACTGGCCATCAGAGAAATGCAGATCAAAACCACAATGAGATACCATCTCACACCAGTTAGAATGGCAATCATTAAAAAGTCAGGGAACAACAGGTGCTGGAGAGGATGTGGAGAAACAGGAACACTTTTACACTGTTGGTGGGACTGTAAACTAGTTCAACCATTGTGGAAGACAGTGTGGCGATTCCTCAGGGATCTAGAACTAGAAATACCATTTGACCCAGTCATCCTATTACTGGGTATATACCCAAAGGATTATAAATCATGCTGCTATAAAGACACATGCACACGTATGTTTATTGCAGCACTATTCACAATAACAAAGACTTGGAACCAACCCACATGTCCATTAATGATAGACCGGATTAAGAAAATGTGGCACATATACACCATGGAATACTATGCAGCCATAAAAAAGGGATGAGTTCATGTCCTTTTTAGGGACATGGATGAAGTAGGAAACCATCATTCTGAGCAAACTATTGCAAGGACAGAAAAGCAAACACCGCATGTTCTCACTCATAGGTGGGAATTGAATAATGAGAACACTTGGACACAGAATGGGGAACATCACACACTGGGGCCTGTTGTGGGGTGGAGGGAGCGGGGAAGGATAGCATTAGGAGATATACCTAATGTAAATGACAAGTTATTGGATGCAGCACACCAACGTGGCACATGTATACATATGTAACAAACCTGCAGGTTGTGCACATGTACCCTAGAACTTAAAGTGTAATAAAAAAAGTAAAAAATAAATCCTTAATGTAAAAATAAATAAATAAGTGGTTTCCTCTAAAAAGTGGAGCGGGAAGGAAAAAAATGAGAGTTCATGTGTGTTGGGAATTTTCTTAAATTGTTATCTTTCTTTTGGCACCGTTTTAATTATGTATGTATATTACTTTCACAAAGAAATTTAAAAGAAATATTCATCATGGCTTCATTCAATTCAAGCTAGCATTATGTGTTGGTCACCTTCTTTTTTCAGATCAGTGTGAGTTGTGGAGAATGTGAAGATAAGAAACAATTTGACTTTCTGTTGGGGTTACTTAGGGATGGGGAGAGACAGAGGTTAGAGGAGTCAAGAGCATGGGCTCTGGTGTTAGGTGGGGGTGTGAATTCCAGCCCCCACCCATGCTGGCTGGCTGACCCTGGGCAACTTCTCTCTGCCTCTGTTTCCTCAGCTATAATATGGGGATGGTAATAGCACAAGCATACTGTATAGGTTTGGTGGGAGGCTTAAGTGAGTGAATGGATGTTCAGTGAGTGCTTTGGTGTGTGGCACATACCAAATGTTCAATAAGCAGCAGTTATCACTCTCTTATGTCTCTCATGATGACACACACATCATGAAATTCTAAGCACAATGCTAGAAGGCCATCCTAAGTGCCTAGAAGGCAGAGCCAGTGGATTTTTAAAAATTAATTCTTGGATAAAAATAATTGTCAGTTGCAGGGCACTGATTATGAACTGAAAAGCTTTGCAGAAGCAATCCACTGTGTGAGAGACCTCTGTGGCCCGGCATGTTGGCATGTATTTTATTGGCTTCTGTCTCCTGCCTTGTGCATATCAGGCCAGGTTTGGCACCTCATTACCTTCTCTTGGCTTCCCCAGTTCCATTGTGCAGTCACCTCTTAAATTTTCTGCCCTAGGGTAACTGCTAACAGCATTCACCCCATCTTCTGGCTGTCAACTGAAAGGCCACTGTGAGTTCACTTCCTGAGAGGGGCCTTGCTGGAGACCAAATAACCCAACCAAATTGCCAGAATTTCACATTTACTTTCTGCAAGAGTGGACAGGGAGACTCTGTTTCTGCCTCTGACAACCTCATCTATTATGATCTCTGCTATATTCTCTTCTTGTACTGATATTTTGTCACCTATGTGGCCAGGGAACAGTCCACAGGAAAATACAGGAGAACATGTAAAGCATTTAAATGGGGAAATAATTTAGTAGTATAGCCATACATAAACTTTCAAAGTCTCATTAATAAATGTTCATTTATTTGAGTATTATCCATCCTCTAAAACACAGGTTTTTAAAACATATATAACAAGTGTTAGAGTTCTTTTAGAATTTTCCTAATAGGTTTTTTTCAGTTTTCACCAGAAGACACCCCCACTGGGGAGGGAAAAAAAAAAAAACATTCAAAGCATGCTGTGATCTTAAGAGGAAAAAAGGAAATAAAATTATGTATTCCATATGATCTTATCTATGTAAGAAGAGAAAAATAAAGACAACTGGAAGAATATAAACCAAAATGCTAAGAGAAGTCACTCTCCTAGAGTTCAGAGATTTAGTAGTTTTTCTTTCTTACACCTTTTCTTTTAGAGATATAGTCTATTATGAGAATGACATACATGCTTTAAAAATAAGTAATAATAGCCTCAAGATAAATAACACAATTAAATTCCACAGATAACTTCAGTACTTACTATTTTCTAATATTTTAGGTGCTTTTAGAGTTCAAGGCACTTGTTAATAAAATGTATTTTATTCATTTAGTATTTGTTTAATGGCTTCTTATTGTCATTATTCCTTAGTAGATTTTAAACCTCTTGTGGGCAAAAATCAAACGTTAGACTTCTCTGTAACACAACTTCCTGGCCCAATTCTTCTTTGAGGTTAAATGCTTATAAGTATTTCAGCTTTGGAGCGGGATAAGGAGGGATGTTCCTTCCTCTCTGCCCAACAACATATGGTACTTGAAACAAATTCTCAACAATGACATTTGGACATTTATGGCCACCTCTCTCATTAGCTGGAATTCCACTGAACTAATCCTAGGTTTAGTGCCAATTACCTAAAGGTTAATGTGGCCAAGCAATACCGGGAGAATTGGGGTTTTTCCAAGAAATGGTCTGTATCACATTATGTTCAGGATGAGAGAGTGATTGACGCTGTAGAACGGCTCACTTGGGAGACCCAGAGTGTCCTGCTGTGCTCCTCTCAGAACAGGGTCCTACTCTGAGGCTTAAGGGAGGAAAGATAAAGGACAAGGAAGTAAATGAAGCTGGGCAGAGTGTGTGGACGAGTTCAATAATTATTTATAAATCGCCATGGATGCAGTGATGAACAAGTCGCTGCCCTCACAGAAATTACTTTCTAGTAGAGCTAAACTCCATTAGATCTCAGCATCAGAATGGGATGCCCCTGAAAAGTGAGAGATTTGAGGCCATGTACTAAATTAGAAGAGGCAGGAACAAGAAATGTACATTTTGCTCATCTATGGATATGTCAACCACTATTACCACCATCCTTTTTCTTACCAACCCCCACCCCCACAAAAAAGTTAGAATACATTCACTACAGAATAGCAAGGCAAAATATTCCATGGATCAACAATAATTTAAAAAGTATTGTATGTATAAACATGATTCTCCAATTCAGAATCCTAATCACAACCATTATAGTTAATTTAGGAAGCTCTTAGTAATTCAGAGAGAATCTACAGCATTTATTTGAAAAGTTCCCTCAATGTGTCAGAAGACCTCATCTTACAGGGCTTTACCAATAGCTACATTTAGCCTCACTTTCTACATTTGCACCCTCATTCATTCTACTCAGGACAGTCAACTTCTTAATGTGTCTGAAATGCATCGACATCATTCCCATCTCAAGGCTTTTGCTTTTATTGTTCTCTCTGCCTGAAATGTTCTTCCACCAAATCTTTACGTGGCTCTTCCCCTCATATTTTTCAATTACTTCTTCAGACACCACCTCCTTACAAAGGCTTTCCATGATCACCCTCATTAAGATACCCTCAGCCACCTCTAACCCTTTACCCTGCTTTATTTTTTTGTGTGCAGCACTATTACCTGAAATTATAAATACCTTTTTTGCCCTAGAATGTACATTCCAGGAGTATACGTTTCTTGTTTGCCCTCTTCCCTGTCTACATCCCCAGAGCCTTAGAAGAGTAGGTGATTTAGAGTGGATACTCAATAAATATTTGTTGGATTAATAAATTAATGAATTTAGTTGAACTAAGTTTACCTAGACAGAATAATCAAAAGCGTAGGTCAATTAGATCTAAAAACTGTAATTTATCTCTACAAACATTCAACACTATATCTTTCACTGAACCACAGGTTTCACAATAAAATCACCGTTATTGAGCATTGAAGCATGTGTATGTCACCCCCCTCCAAACCCCCAACACACACACACACACACACACACACACACACACACACAGAATTAAGCAAAGTACCAAGACATAAAAGTTTTCTGAAACTCATGAGCTACATTTTGGTCACTTAGACCATAAAAGCCCTAATTTCCTAATCCATTGCATTTCAGCCTCTTTTGCAGCAGGCATCCCATGGGAGAGCAAGAGATAGTATCTAGAGGCTGTATTTACAAAAGGGATGCTCTGCTCTGAAAGTCCTCTGGCTATTGTCACACCATTTGTTTTTCATGATTGGAATGTGTGGCATTATTGAAGGGTGGGCTGTTGTCTAAATTGAATGGGTGAAGAGAAACAGAGAGACATTCTCTTTGCCACCTTTGTAGATAGGCGGCTGGAGAGTCTATGTACTGAATTACCCACTGTCAATTATTGATGGTTTGGCTGGAATCATTTACACTCTCTAGTTACTTTGACATCTAGCCAAAAGGCAGCTGCCAGCCTGCTAGGAACCTCCCTTTTAACCATAGGGAAGTTCAAAAGAAAAGATTCAGCAAACCAAACTCATCTGCACAAGCTTCTGTGGGTTTCTGGAAGACTCAGGTCATGTTGCTTCTTCATAAGAGTTTAAGTCATTTGTTCATTCACTTATCTATTTAATTTTATACAGGAAAGGCTGACATTCATCAGTTTGCACTAATACAACTCTAATGGTTATTAAAATACTGAAATATTTGTGTAGTCCTTGGTAAGTGGCCACTACCCTGAGCCTTTCCTCACCAGGGTCACCACACCAGACCTTCCCAAAATCACCACTCAAAGGTTAGCACTTGGCACAGCAGGGGGCCTTCAAAATCGGGTCTCTGAGAGAACAGTTGAGATCCATTCTGAGTAGTAGTGCTCACTACTTTCCATATAATAAATATTTGATTATCACCTCACCTGAGACTGTAATAGCAATAAAACTTGCACTTGAAAGGTCTATGTTCTTTACTTCATAATAAATTCAAGACTAGCTTAACAGAAATGGAAGTCACATAATCTGAAAATATTAAATTGTTTTGAAACACCCTTAAAGGAGAAGTCTCCCAGGATCAAATTGTATTGCCTTGTCCTACCGAAACAAACCTCACTTGCTAAATGAAGTTTAGCCTAAAGCTGCCTCCTTCCATATTTTAAGTTTGGCCTGAAGGTTTCTCTGTACATCGTGAAGTATAACAACTGGAAGTGTAAATACTCTGTAGCCTCACTTGTGCCAGTCACTGAGTTTGGCCAGTCAAATGTAGCCAGCTGTTTGAACCATGTTCAAGTAGGGCAAACACTGAGCTGTAACCAATTCAACGCTTTCTGTACCTCACTTCTGTTTTCGGAACGTCACTTTCCTTTTTCTGTCCATAAATCTTCCACCACGTGGCTGCGCGGGAGTCTCTGAGTCTACTCTGACTCAGGAGGCTGCTGGAATCGCAAATCGTTTGTTTCTCAATTAAATTCCATTAAATTTAATTCAGCTGAAGTTTTTTTTTTTTTTTAATCACACTGTTTGCCTAATTTGAGAGCATTTCCCCCAAAAAAAGGCATTCTGGTTTTAACACATACACCCACAAAGGCACAGGGATCTTGCTCTCTTGGATCCTGTGTTATAGCCGTGGTTTGGATGTTAAGAGTCAACTGTATTACATTCCCAGGAGCCATAGCATTGTACCTCCAGAGAAGGTCTGAAGACTGGGCTCAACTAATCACATATACTGCAATGCTTGGAAACCTATTCATTTTCTGGGAAAAGATCATCCTCAACAGTTTCCACAAAACTGCATAAAACTTGCACAACTCTGGCTGCAGTTTTTATATTGCAATTTAAACAATTTCTAAAAAATAAGTAAGAGGCCTACTGTGGAGGTGACCCAAGTTTGAGCCATGCAGAAGGTCCTGAATTGGTTTAAAGACCCTGCCATGGACATATGAAAAAGAAGACTGCAGCCTACTAGCTATTGGTACAGAGCATGTAAAGCGAAGGAGAACACGTGGGATGAACATCACTGATAGTAAAATGCAGAGACCTGCTGACATGTTTCTCCCTTTCAAGAAGAATGAGGAGTTTGGTGCTCATCAGTCACTGCACTGGGCTGACTACAAAGGACTCTGAAAGACTAATGGAAAAAAAACAGGTGACTTTATTGTACTTCTATACTTACCTCATCATGTTGTTTTAATAATTTTTGTTTCTGTAGGAAGCTTCCCTAGTGAGTTGCTTCTGCCTCCATGGAATGTAAGTTCAATTTCCCATTTATGTGAGGACTAGATATAACCATCCCTTCATGCTAAGCCCTGTTTTCTTTAAAATTTTGAGTCCATTGTTCACAAGTGATGAGCCACCACCATCAGGCTTTCTTTTGTAGAGAGAGGAAATAGGAATGCGTATTCTTATCAGTTCTTATGCCTCTGGTTTTATTTTACAAGCAGCATGGACATGTGAATTAATGTGTGGCTCTGACCAAAACAAAACATTACTTAGAAGCAAGTGAGGACTTTTTTTCTCCATTTAAAGTATCTGGCTCTACAAAGCAGGAAATAAATACTTTGCCTCACTTCAGCATTCCTATTCTTGGCAGTTGATTTGGCTAGACAGGTGAAAAACAAGAGAGATTTTAGGGGGAAGCTCTGTCTGGAGAACAAGAAGGAAGTAGGTCAAAGCCTGGCAAGGAATTTTAGGGAGGATCTCGCTTTGGAGAAGCCATTGACAGAGCTTGAAGCAAATGAAAATCAAGTCTCAATTTATTCAGCAAATAATTATGAGGAATGAAGCTGAGTAGAATTGCCTTTCCAGGTGAGGTTATCTGAGTGAGTACAGAATCATTCTCATTAATCATTTTATATCAGGATTATCAATCAAATCTTCTGCAGATATTTTCTGTATAACCTCCTAGGTGCTGAATTGTGAGCTAAATAGGCGTTGTCTTTGCCTCTCAATCTGTGTTCATTGGAAAGGACATGCAGCCAGCAGAACATAATTAACTGAACACTCAACTTTGCCTCTACAGCTTCTTCTGTGTTGTACCTGAGCAAAGCAATACGATGAGTTCTTGGAGACCAAAAGTCTTCTGTTACTCATATCTAAACTGTGGCATCTAAGACCGTGCCTGGCATGAAGCAGACCTTTAATACTTGTCTCTGGAGTGCTCAAAAGAAAGAAGTACAGAGGCTGTCCATAAAGTCTGGAAACATAGGTGAATATACATAAGATCACCAAGGACATCTTCCATCTGTGAAAAAGTGAAATAGCATTATATATGTTTCCAGACATTGTGAAATACTGAGTAGAAAAAGGTTGTGGAACTCATGGTTTATTCAGGGTGAGAGCCAGAGAGAATTTGCCACCTATTTTGTCTTCAGCAAAGACTTCCTAGAAGAGGTTTTAAAGCTCTTTGAATAAAGCAAGAGGGCTTAAAAGTTTACCAAAGGAAGGGTTGGGGTGAAAGATGGACAGGAATTGATGACTTCTCTCTGTGGTGTGACTGACTCTCCTATTCATCTTCCAAGTCTTTATTTAAATCAGTAGTTCTCAACTGGGGATAATTTTGCCCCCAGGGATATTTGACTATGTTTAGAACTACTTTTGGTTGTCACAACTGGAAGGGGAAAGCCACCGGTATCTAGTGGGTAGAGGTCAAGGGATGCCACTAAACCTCCCACTATGAGCAAAACAGCCCCCCATAACAAAGAATTGTCTGACCCAAAATGTCAAAAGTGCTGAGGCAGAGAGGCCCTGGTTTCGTTGAGCCTTGGGAAAGCTTTTCCTGACACACCTCAAACTACGCTAATTTCCTGTAATATCCTCATTTTACTTTGTTCTTTCCCTACATAGCATGTATCACAATTATAATTAAATACATTGTATCTGTCTCTTCCACTAAAACAACACTTCGTAGAAGAAGAAATGTATGTATCTTGTTCCCCATTGTATTGTAGCACCTATTACAATGCTTGACACATAGTAGATCCTCAATAAATATTTACTGAATGAATGAATCCATCAAGAAATAACTAATATGGAAAAATAAGAAAAAGAGATACTCAAGTTGTTAAGCAGACTGCAGTTTCAGGAATCACGTGAAGTTTGACCAGTGATCTTGGATTTCTCCATTTCAGTTCAAGAAAGTGATGAGTTTAGTCACAGTATGAAGGGAAGGTAGAACTAATAAACTCTATGTATAACATTTTTAATTTATAGACTTATTGCAGTATTTCAGCATTTTAGTTCTTTATCACTAAAGGAACTTGGATGCCAACCCTTTCAAAAAATCTCTGGGAGTTGAACCAGGATTGATCTTGTGGCAAAGAATCTTCATCGGCTGCTAGGACAGCCATTCAGTCTCACTTTCCCATTCTCTCTTACAGCCGTATGACACCATTTTGGTCAACAGGATAAAAAGCAGATCTGCTGAGACAGGATTTCTGGGAAAGCTTTTGCTTTTCTGTTAAAAAGGAGAGGCAAAACAAGTACCAACCTTCTTTTTTTTATTCCTGGTTGGACCCAATATCAGCAAACTGCCTATGCCTGCACTAATTATTAAATGAGAAAAGTATAACCCACCTCTATTTAAGCCACTGTAATTAGGTTTTCTCTTACCTGCAGCTGAACGCAGCCCTACCTATGATACATTTTTCTGCCTTGGTAGCTAATCTTTTTTTCATGGTCTTTTTAATGATGCAAAAGCAGAAACAGAGACGGTAGGTAGCACAGCTTGGCCTGGGCTTAATCTCATCTGAAGTACAAAGAAAATAGAAGGATCTAAAGTGGTAGAGGTTGTAGCCTTGAAAGATTTGTGATGGAGCCCAGTGCTGCTTTGTGGTGAGTATCAGAAAAAGAGATGCCAGAGCTCATGGTTTAAGAGGGGGGAGGGGAAAAGTATTCATAACACAGTGTGGCTGATTTCCTGTTTACATTTTGCAAGTACTTTGTGTGTGTGTGTGTGTGTGTGTGTGTGTGTGTGTGTGTGTGTGTGTGTAATGCTGAGGCAGTAGTTAGAATATGAGGGTTTTAGGTGCAGTTTTAAAGGTTCTGCATGGAGGGAAAGACCTGAACACAAAGTGGCTACTCTACAAACTCTTGTGGATACAGGTTTCAAAGCACTTCTACCATCTTCTGCTCTTCTCTCTGCTCTTCTACTCTAGGCTATGAGAATCTTGGAGGTAAGAACCATGTCTTGTTGCTCTCAGTTTCTCTGGTCCCAGAAGAGTGCCATGCCTATAGCATATTATCAGTCAATATTTTCCCAATTAAACACTTACAGTTTTCTCCCCCTTTGTCTTTAATGCATAGTTGTAAAAAAGAAGAGATGTAATTGAAGTCTGGAGGAGATTAATTTCATTTCTTTCCCTCATTTCTGGCTTTTTTTTTTACAAGCAGTATTTCCTATATTTTGAATAGAACATGAAGCCCTGAGTTAGCCAAAATGCTTAAGAAAAACTTTTTTCCAGAAAAAAAAATTGGAAAAGGAAATTTTCCCAAATTTATGTTCCACAGAACCCAGTTCCTTAAAATAAATACATTCTTTAATTTGAGCAATATTGGATTAAATAGTTACAGTGTTTGATACACTAATGTATGTTGTATCTTTCTAAGAGGTATATGGTTTGTTACTCTTCAAGTCCGTATTTAACTATGTAACCCCAAAAGGATTCCAGGACAAAAAAATCAGGGAATAATGATTATCTAATTATTAATACATGTTCAGGTGTGGCAAAGTTTGGGAGCTGCTGTTTTCGATCGTAAGTCTTGTCATGAGGAAAATACAAGGGCCTTGGTGAAGAAGGAACTAAAAGGAAAGAGGATGGCAGCTCAGAAAAAGGGAAATTGAAGCAGACAAAAAGACCCAGAAATTATGACAGGAAAGTGTAGTTTGATGCCTGCCATCATGGTCTCTAAATGTGTGGCATATCCATTTGGCAAATGGAGACCAAAGAATTTATGTCGGCAGAAGTGTTAGGCTAAGGATCAGGAGCCTGGCAATGTACTCCAGAAACTTTCTTTAAATGACTTGTGTCACTTCTCCAAACTAATTGCCTCAGGGGTGATGGGGCATATTAAACTCTTCATTTCTTCTTTCATGCAATCTTATTTGAAATGAGTTACAAGCTAAGTTGCTGGAGAACTTTTGAGTTATTTCAAGAAGATAGTCACATCATACGTATGAAAAAATTTGGTGCTTTGTTTTTTTAAAAAGTTATGTTTATTAATTTTTGTCTGAGGTCCCTGAGAATCTTAGGCAAGTTTTCATACTAACAAATTAAGAGCAATTAATTTCTAAGTAGTGTTTATGTCTGAGAGATTGGTAAGTGGTTGAGCTAATTAACAAAATAACTTATCAAAATGCATCTGCCACACTCTACTGCGGTATGCCTAATGATCATTGTGTCAGTGGTAAACTGAGTCAGGAATGGGCCTACAATTCATGTTTCAGAAGTGCTCAGTTTGGTATTTGTTGACAAATTTTAAAGCACAAAAAGACAAACACATGTTTTTTCCTTTTGACTGAATTTGAAAGTTCCAAGATGGGACCCCTAAAGCCATGAACATTGACACAGCTTGGCAAGCTCCTCATTATGGGAATACTTTGTGAAAACAACTTTGGTCTGTAAAGTATTAACACTATTTGATAAAAATCAGTTTTTATTTGGTGTGTCTTTTGAAGCTAGTGTAACTCCTGGTCATTCTATATAACTATAAAAGCTTTTTGGAATCAAATCCTAATCCCAGCATGTTTTTCTTGTTCATTTAAACCTTTTATACACATGTGGGAGCTAGAGAGAGTGGAAAGTTTTTAGGGCTTAAGCTTAAATTGTCATTCTCATGCACGGTCTCTGAAAAGTATTTGGCATGTTTGTAAGTTAAAGTATACATTTATGGTCTTAAGCATTTTCTTTTTTCTCTTTATGCTTGTTTTTTTGGTTTACAAACAAAGACTGTCTTAAAATGAGAGAGCAGACATGCTGAAGTTTGGATTGTTTGACTTACCGCCTTGTAGAAAATATCTGTGGGTGTTGATTTTCTAGGTCAAGCCCAGACTCAGGGTCCTAAAGAGAAAAAGTGTTCTCAACCCAAACTCACAAAAGCTGAGTTCAGTGCTGTAAGAGTCAAATGTAACCTCTGGAGGTTTTTTGGTTTGGGTTTTTTGTTTGTTTGTTTGTTTTTTCCATGAAAAAGAAGCAACTGAGGCTGCTGAGCAGAAATTCATAGCACTTTATTTTTCCTTTTCGGCTGTTGTGCCCAATAATCATAATATTGGCAAATAGAGTTAAACTATAAGCAATTCATCTGGCTGGGCATGGTGGCTCACGCCTGTAATCCCAGCACTTTGGGAGGCTGAGGTGGGTGGATCACAAGGTCAGGAGTTTGAGACCAGCCTGGCCAATATGGTGAAACTCTGTCTCTACTAAAAATACAAAAATTAGCCGGGTGTGGTGGTGCATGCCTGTAGTCCTAGCTACTCGGGAGGCTGAGGCAGGAGAATTGCTTGAACCCAAGAGGTGGAGGTTGCAGTGAGCCGAGATCGTGCCACTGCACTCCAGCCTGGGTGACAGAGTGAGACTCCGTCTCAAAAAAAAAAAAAAAAAAAAAATTCATCAAAGGACTAAATTTAAGTGGAATTTAGGAAAAGCTAAAAAGATATTGTTAATCGTTAATCCTGTAAAGCTGAAGATTGAAGTAAATAAGTTTCTCAGAGTGATTGTGCATGAAATGAACTGTATCAGTTAATTTTTGCTACCTAAGAGACACCTCCAAAATTCATTTCTTAAAACAACCACCACTAAATATGTATAATTATCACATGTCAGTTTAAAAAAAGAGAGAAAAATGTTTAAACCACCATTTAGTTTAGTTCATGATTCTACAAAGTCTGCAGTTTGGGGCTGGCTCCGATGAGTAGTTCTTCTGACCCGGGCTGCGGTTGACTGATCGCCGCTGGGTTCACTCATGCATCTGTGGTGGGTTAGTTGTGAACACTCTGGTCTAGGATGGCCAAAGCAAGGACAGCTGAGGCCTCTCTCCATGTAGTCTCTCAGTCTTGTCCTTATTCAGATACAACTTCCATACCTTTTCCGTTTATTTTTAATCTCTCCATGTCTCTAAATTCTTTTTTGCCATTTCCTTAATCTGGATCTTATTAGAGCATCCCCAGGGTCAACATCCTCTAGCTTGGTTGCCTGAATTTTCTTGAGACAGGGAGTAAAGTGAAAGCCAACATTTCTCCTGACTTATTTTTAATAACCTTTAGGGTTATTGTATTTGTGTCTTTTATAGTCATCAGCCCCAAATGCTTTCAGGAAGGAACTACAGTCCAAACAAAACTAATTAATTAATTAGGTGGTCAAATGATTAAAAATTGATGGCTAAACAAATTAACATTTTTATTGAATTTATTGCTTTTTATCTCTACTCCCTGTTTCCTGTATGTCTCAGATGAGCTCACCAGTCCCTGGCAATTTTGCCCTTAGAAACTTCATCCCATGGCTGATGTGGGACATCACTTAAACTGTGCAGCCACTGCAGAATGTGCCCTGATTGTCTCTCACCAATTAATCAGGAAGCTCGAAGTGGCTGATTGCTGCCTCCGTCAACACAGGATGTTTTGACATAGCTGTTTGGACAAGGCTGTTTGAGGCCCCCTACAAGACTTGCTGGCAGTTGGGAGGGGGACATGGCCCACTGGTCAAGTTTTGAAAGCAGCTACTCATCTCGCATCAAACAGCAAACCCTCAATTTTTGAGGGCCTATTGGGGGATCTACCCTGTGCCAGGCCCCCAAAAGGAGGCTCTGGTGAGCAAAATTGATATTAGGTCTGCCCTCATAGGCTATAGTCAAGTTAGTAAGAGGATTGTTCATGAGTAGTCTTCCATGTAGGTATACAAACTCTAACGAGTGTTGTGAAGAGAAAGCATTGGGAATATAGGTTTCAGAAGAGGGAAGCTTTAAAACTGTGGTGGTTGAGAATGAAGGAGTAGGTTGACCGGGAAAACATACCAGATTACCAGGTGGTAAAACTGACACCATGGATTTTCCCCCAGCAAGGTTTAGCTGTCCACATGCAGACTCTAAGAAATTGAACAATTAGGTATATCTAGAGCTGGCTGGCTGACTGGCTTCATGCTGGTTGGATCTGATGAAATTACTAAGGTGTAAGGGAGTTCTGAAATGATGCAATGTGGAATGCAAATTCAGTAACGTAAGTGAAAAATGGATGAGGCTTTCCACCCTTCATGGCGGACTTGACCAGCTATCCAGCCTATGACAAGGTAGAGCTGGCAGTCCTGAGCTATGGTATATCCCATCAAAAGGTAGTCATTGCCACTCACCTAAAAGCTGTATTTGATGATAGTGTTCTACAAAAATTATCAATTATATATAACAAAGAAAATTGCCTTTAGGCACCCTTAGATTTTTAAATGAAGTTTTCTCTATCTTATTATTACTTTCTTATAAAGTTCACTTTGTGCAAACTTATTTTTCCAAACGCAGTGACAAAGGAGCCCAAGTTAGCAGCCAAAAGGCATGGAAAGGTATCATGGTACCAGAAACTTCAGGTTTAGACATTTTGTAAAATTAGCAAAGGGCCCGAAAGCTCATGCTATTTAAATCCATACCAGTTTTCAGGATTTGTATTTTATGAAGAAGGGAATCAATGTGACAGGCGGAAGAGTGAATGCAATGAAACTCCAATCATTCACACATGTTCATCATTGCCTGCAAGACACATGGCAAATCCCAGCACTGGTGATAACGCAGAGCACTTCCAGCACTGGTGATGTTGCAGGAGTATGTACAGCCCTGGTAATATCACAGAAGACTCTACTCAGGAAAGTTTATCTGATCTGTCCTTACTACTTCCAATTAGTCTAGATTCCTTGAGGGCAATACTGGCCCTGTCTTCCCAGAATCATTGCAAACGTACTGATTAATGCACATTTTTCACCTGTTCCAGTCTTGTGTGGCCAACCTATATCTTCCATAATGATCTTCATAGGCTTCATGGGCTAATACACCACACAGCTGATAGCAACAGGCTGTGAGATCCAGCAGAGTTCCAGAGTTTAAATCTTGGCCTTACATTTTTGACAAATTTAGGTAACCCCACTGAACCTCAGTTTCCTCATAAGCCTCAGGTTTCTTTTAAACTATATAAAAACAGATATATAAAACTAAAACATAAAATGAAATAATTGCTTAGATATTTTAAATTTTATTATCTTAAATAAAAATTTATTTTGGTACTCACTAAAATATTTGCAATAATAACTATAGTGGGAGCAATGTGGTGGTGTGATTCGGAAGAGATTATAAAAGTGTCAGCTCTGCCCATTTTCTTATTTGCTTAGGCTTGTTGGCTTCTTTGCAGGAATCAAGCCGCTTGGCCATTTGAGACAGGTTAGTGAAATTAAAAGTGGGTAATATAATTTGTAAATCCACCAGTGGGTTTAAGTAAAAAATACTGCAAGCTGAAAGTGAATGAACAAGTAGGGATAATAATTGCAAGTCCTTTGGGTTGTGGAAATTGCACATGACACATGACCCACAACTTACAGAGCAGATAAGAACACAAGAGTTAATGTTAAATGTTAGTAAATTTAAATGTCAGTAAATCTTAACGTTTTTTCTAAAAATTAAAAACAGAAGTTCTAATCTTTTCTCCCTGAATTTCAACACATTTAGTGGTTCCCAAACTTGAGTACGCATCCAAGCCAACTGGAGGGTTTGTAACTCCCAAAGTTTCTGATTAAGTCGGTCTGGGGTAGGACCCAAGGATTTGCATTTCTGATGAGTTTCCATATGAAGCCTATGCTGCTGGACTTAGGGACCACACTTTCAGAAACACTGCAGTAGAGCATCTTGAAGACTCCCCAGGTTGCATTCTCCCCCAGATCTTTGGTATATATAATACAAATCTCGTTAGGATCAATGCCATCAAGAAGTAATGTTCCCTTTACATTCCAGTTTATATTACCCATTCATGTCCTACATTTCCCTTCCATCCACTCCACACTATCCGTTACCCTTCCCCCAATGAAGGCGGAAAGGGCTCAGAGGACAGGGGAAGGATGGTGCATCCTCTTTGTGAATGCAGCTGACAGTGACTTGCACTACCTGGTAAATTCATGCCCTCAGCATGTTTCCCCAGGGTGAATTAATTGCTTTGCTTTTCCTTTTCCTTTGCATAAAACTAGGCAGATTTGTCCGTCTGTTTGAACAAGACTTTGTTGCCAGCACTTTTCGAGGATGGCCAGCATGTGGCTGCTGTATGAGGTTGATAGTGTTGTCAGAAATTCCAGGGTGGGTATTGTCACTTGCGTTGGGAAATGCTAACTGAGGTCAATTCTAGTTCAACTTCCTACTTACAGAATTATGGCAGGACGTTAAGTTTGGCCCATGTAAGATGAATAGGTCAGCAGAAACATATTGTCCTCCTAATCCAGGCATCTCTACTTTTAAGCCTTAAATCAGAACGTATTTTTCCTGTATTTGAGATCCAGCAATTCATGTCCTCAAATGAGATATTTTACAATCAAAAGCACAGACAGCCAACAAAAAATTCTAAACAAACAAAAAAAAATTTAAACCAAAGTTGTACATTTAAAAGTTCTATGTGTTTTGTGTCTTTTAATTTTGAAATTGAAAGTCATTTTTTTTCAATAATTATTGCTGAGTAACAAAACTACCCCCAACATTCAGTGGCTTAAAACAACCCTTCTGTTTCTTTGCTCATGAGTCTACAATTTGCACCATTCTTGGTAGGACTCTGCTCTGTGTAGGGTCAGCTAGGGTGGCTCAGCTAAGCCAGAACAGTCTATTTCCAAATGGGCTTCACTCACTTTGATTGACAAGTTGGTACTGGAGCTGTTGGCTGGGGCCTTGGTTTTCCTCTCTGTGGTCTCACCACATGACTGGATTGGGCTTCTCACAGCAGGTTGGTCTCGGGGTAGTAGGGCTTCTTACAAGGTGCCTGGCTGTACCCAGCATGTAAAAGCAGAAACTACCAGACTTTCTGTAGGCTTAAGCTTGGAACTGGCCCATCATTGCTTCCATTACATTCTGCTGGTTAAAATGAGTCACAAAGCCAGCCCAAACTCAAGGAGACAGTAGACACAGGGGCATGGACACCAGCAAGTGTGGGTCTTTGGAGCCCACCAAAGCAACCGCCTACTGAAGTCATGATGATGCTGGATTTTCCACTCCCTACTGTTTCGGAGCTCTTTGCATTCCATACCACAATCAGGCCAGCTCAGCATAAACAGAGGCAGGTTGTTAATCTCAGGATGAACAATAGTGCTTCCCAAAGAGGGAATAGTGGCTTTGACTTTAGTTGAGAGGGAATTGTTGGAGTGCAAGGACATGTGTCTGCTGAATAGGCATCTCTATTAACTTTCTGCCCAAACACTCTTCTAGCTACTTTATCTCCCCTTATCCTGCCTCCTTTTTTCTTCATAGCACTCACCACTGCCTAATGCTTTATTAAGTAGTTGTTTACTTGGTTATTGTCTGTTTCCCTCCAGTCAAATGTAAAACTCCCAGGGGAAGACACTCGGTCTCTTTTGCTCTACGCTGGGTGCCCAGCATCGAGAGTGCCTGGCACATAGAAAGCTCCTCATAAATATTTATTGCATGAATGATTATATAAATTTCATAACTGAGAATCTGCATATGAGAATACGCAGACATGACAACTTCAAAATAAGCTGCTATGATGCAGGGGCTATGGCTGAGGTTTGTCTCTCTCTGTAGAGCCTGGGCTGCATGTCCCCTTGTTGCATATGGGGTGTACCCTCTGCCAGTTCCCATGGTGTCATTGTTTGGAGGTGTCAATGGACATCAATCATGGGGTTAGAGGCTTTTTCTGTAGAGCCTCCAGTTCCTTTATTTGGCCAATTAGGCTTTGTGCTCCCGTTTCCGAACACAGAGGTAGGAGAAACATGAACCTGGCTTTATCTAACGTCTTAGTTTTAAGGAATAAGCATCTGGTGCAGCGCTATATTATTTCCAATTAAAACTTGGATATCCTTATCCTTGCTAAGACTGGTTAGTGAGCATTAGCTATTCATGCCTAAAAAGAGGCTTAACCAGGTAGTTTTTCATTATATTCTGTCTTTCACTTGATGGAGAGGGGCGGGCAGGCTTGCTGGCTTGCTTTCTTTTTCTTTCTTTCTTTTCTTTTTCTCTCTGGTTTGCTTTCTACTAATCCATATATTTTTTCTTTTTTTCTATAGCATCCCTTTGAAAATTCGGTATAATTTGTTAGAATCCTCATTTGTGCTCATCCTCCTGTCCCTGCACTCCTTTGATTGTTTATCGATCACAGAAAAATCGGATTTTCTTAATGAATATTATGTGCTTGCATCTCATTTGGTTACAGGTCACCTAGATCTGTCACTTGTGGGACCTCGCCTTTGAATGCCCAGTCTATTTCTTATCATTTATGGAGTCTTTATCTGAAACCCATTTATTCTGGCTCTGTGCAAAGTGGTCCTCAGTGCTATGGTTTCCAACCATTTTACCAGCCCGGAAGACACTTGGGCGTTTTCAAAAGAGGTTAAAAAAATTGCTTTGAAAAAGCATTTTAAATATTTCTGTTGGATTGTGTTCTGGTTATTTTCCTCCATGTCTTTTTGTTTTCCCTTGTTCCATCCCCATCCTCACCCATATTCATGCTTGTGTCACTGAAGTATGGCTACTCTACTCACAGCAGCCTCAGCCCGGTCTGGCTGCACAAGGAGGCCATCTGGCTAAGAGTGTTCCCCAAGAGCTCTAATGTGAGTGTTTCTGATTATGCTAACCTTAACCAAGTTCTTCAAAGATGCTATAGCTGTCGGAGTTTTCTGAGCCATTTTAGATCCTAGGCCTAGAGATGCTAGAATATCAAATGTGTTTTAAGTCGAAATAAGAAACAACAGTGTCCTGTGAGTTTGCACCCTGAATGCAAACACTGCTCCAAGGCACTGTCCCAAAACCAGCTGTGAGTTAGTGAATTTGGAGTTCTGCGTTGAAGTGGCCCAGTTGAACTTCTGAAAGTGAACCAAGGCGAGGCCATGGGTATGTTGGGACCTAAATGAAAGACTGTGAACACAGTTCCCTTTTTCATCACCCCAGCCTCCTTTCTCTCTCTCTTCACCTGAATCCCCATCTTTTCTGATATGAACTTGTCCCCTGGCTCTCCAAAACTAGGAGAGGAAAACAATCTCAGATTCTCTCCTGTCCAAGTACTAACCAGGGCCAACCCTGCTTAGCTTCTAAGATCAGATGAGATGGGGCACATTCATGGTGGTATGGCCATACACCAATCTCAGATTCTCTTGGGTTTGGCAACAGCCTTGAGGCCTCTGATAATGGGAGTCTACCAGAAGCAAGTTTAAAACCATTTGTTATTTATTTTCTTGGCTTCTCTTTGTCAAGCAAGTCTGTTTTTAGCATTACTCCTTAGATTTTTGTAGTATTAACCTGCCCCAATTTGTAAGAAACTTAATGTTTTTCTTGTCTTTTTCTTTCTCACTTTCTGTTTGCAATTTGGTTAACTAATTAGCTTATTGCTCATTTTTCTCAAAATGGACCTATATCATGTCAGCAGGACAAAATTATTAGGAAGCTCTGAACAGAGCTCAACTCAAATTTGCAAACCTTCTCTTCCATTATTTACTGCATCCATTTCAGGAATAAGTAACATCACTCATTACTTTCCACTTCCTTCTTGAGCTGTGTGTATAGTGGGAAGAACACTGAACTGAGAGCTGAAAAGACTTGAATTCCAGATGTGACTCTGCAGCGTATGAACTGGACTGTCCTTGGACATTCACTTCTCAAAGACTCGGCTTTTCTCATCTGTGTAACATAAATGATCATGACTATCCTGCCTATTATGAAGTCATTGAAAAGCCAAGTGAGAAGTCATCTTCTGAGCAAACGCTAGTTGTGCACCTCTTATGTGCCAAGTAATACGTGAGGCACTTAGAATACAGAAATCAAGTGAAGTTTCTAACTGCCTTTTGGAGATGTTTTCATCATCAACACACAGCTGCCTTTACTTTAAAGTTTAGACCCATGATAACAGAGTTCCTATAGTTTGGCTTTTAGTTGTCTCATCACCTCTTTCAATGGTAAGTGGTGATTAAGTTGATGGCAGGAGGCAAGAAACCCAGCTCTGAATTCTCACAGTACTGTAGTGGCACTCGTGGACAGAACCTGCTGAATTAATTTTATATCACCATACTATAGAGTCTGCCACGTAGTAGGGTGTCAGTGGAAACTTGCTTAAATTAATTCATAATCATGAATGAGTGAATCAATGACAAACATTACACTGGACCCTTTAGATTTGTTTTCTGCGCTTGGCAGTATCAATACAGATTCCTATGAAGTTTTTATTTTTTTCTTGTCTTATCTGAGTCCAGTTATTTTTCACTGGTAATTTTTTCTCTTAACTTGTTAAAATTAACCATAAGATTGATATCTTTTGTGGGAAAACTGCTGCTGAGATTTTTTTTTTTTTTGTCTTACCCCAAAGTAGATTCAGTAATGTTGTGAAGAAATAAAGTAATTAAAACCAAAATTCTGATAACTCTTAACGTTGTAGGTGGCCATGATTGACAGATACTTCCATACTTCTTAACCCTAAATTTTCTTCTTTGGCCAGATAATTATGGTGAGGCCAGAGAGGTCCTAAAAATAGGCCCAGCGGTCTTTGACCCAGTTGTGACAATAAACCCAGACTTCAAGTGGTTCTATACTATCATCTTAAGCTGTCTGTGGAATTCTTTTAGGGCCTGAATATATGAAATGCTTTCTAAGGAGAGAGAACAAGAGTTTTGCAAATCTCATAATATAAAGTGCAGTATATTATGACTATATGTTCATGCATTTTTCTGGGGGAGCACATTCATAGTTTTTGTGGGATTCAAGACCCTCTCCCCATTCCTTTCCACCCCAAACCCCCCACCCCCACCAAAAATAGTTAAGGATACTTGATTGAAAGATTCTGGTCCACTTAGAGAATGTGATTTCTTAAGACTAACATAGTTTCCTTTCCCAGAATTGTCATGTAGCAGTTACAAAAATGTAACCCTCCAAACTGCCTGGCGGTAAACTTCAAGTTAGACAAGTCTATAATGTGACTCATGGAACTTTCTCATGCTTTTGCATTCAATAATCAGAAAAATCCCCTGTAACTTTTTCATGCTTCTGAAGACAGTAATCAGGAAAATCCTTGAGGAGACTGTGGTTTTATAGGATGCTAAATCAGGTTATGATTGTGTGTACCCTGATGGTATGTTTTTCCTGTCTGGAATTTCCTCTTGGGGGTGGTCTGTTCTTCTCGTTTCTAAAACTTATATCAACATCCTCTTGGACCCAGAAGTGTACGCTACTCATTTATTTTATGTTACGTTATTTTGGATAAAGGAGAAAAAGAACTATCATAAGCCATGGAATACCTTCCCATGGTACAAGCAAACCGAGTTGTTATTCTTCCTCATACATTGAAGAACTGGAAGCTGAACTTACTCGGCTCCCCTCAATGCCCATCTTTTAGGCACTCAACATAAACCAAGCTGTGCACCCCACTTAACTATTCTGAGTAAAATGCCTCAGTATTTCATCTTGCTTTTGTTGGGTTTGATGTATTGGAGACAGGGTTAGATACACTGAGCAATCATAGCTAAAAAGCAGCCTGCGCTTTGCTGCTATTCAATTGTTGAAGGGGTCCTCCCTGGGGTTACTGAGTTTCATGAACTGGGAAAAGGAGGAATTTTGAACCACATACATTTGTTTGCAAAGTCTTTTTTTTTTTTTCTTTTCCTTTTCCATCCAGCATAGCATAACACAGAAACCATGAAACCATGAGCACACACTCTGCATTCAGGCTATCTGGGTTTGAATCCCAGCTCTTCCACTTCATAAGCTGTGCAACTTTGGGCAAGTTATAGCACCTTGCTGGGTCTACAGTCAACATCCAGAGAATAAAGATACTATTACTGCTTACCTTATAGGATGTACAGGAAAATTAAATAATATTTGTAAACAGCTTAGAATACTACCTGGTGTGTTCAAAGTGCTACATGTGTGTTTTTAAATAAATCTGAGTACCGAGGGTAACAGTGGAGATTCATGTGGGGACATCCTGTCAGAATCAAGCATGAGAAGCCTGATTGCCACCATCGGGCTGGTTGTTGTGGTTAGGTTTGGGCGTGTTTTTTGTTTGAGGGGATTTAAAAAATCTTTTCCATCCATCTCTTCTAAGGGCAGGGTTTTCCTTGGCTGATCTCCCACTCTCCAAGGACTTTAAGATCTGAGATAATCTGATGGAATCCTTGTATTTTAACCCCTTTGTCACACAGTGAAGCACTTCAGTCATAGCCCCTTAGCCTCTTCTTGACAGGAGTTTATTTGGCTGGAGTTTGTTTGTTTGTTTGTTTATTTGTCACTTCTCCAGCTTTGTTTGACCTCTACTACTAACCACTGAGCCTGATTTAACCTTTTAAAAAAAAATTGTCATTATTCTATAGATGGCACTTGCAAATCAGTTTTGAGAAGAGCTGCTTGTAAGTCATCAGGATGTTCATGATTAAATATAATCATGTGTTATCAGACTGAAAGCAAAACGAAAGCAAGACATTGTGACCACAGCATTTTCCAAACCTCATAATTAGCTAAAATAGTTTTAATGTAAGAATCACAAGATCCATTTTAGGCATGCAAATTGTATCCTAAGTCTCATAATACATACTTGGGCCAGAACATAGAAAATAATTTTATTTGCTTTGTGAGTAAGTCTCTTATTTTTTTATGGGATGCGTCTATAATGAACTTAGCTGTCACTAATTAGAAAAAAAAGTTAAGCAGGAACTTGGAAAATAACTTTTTTATTACAAAGAAAATGCTCATATCATTTTTAGAAATATTCTTTTATTTTTAAAAATTCTCTATTTGCAAGTTAATAGAAAGGAGATGTAGTAAAGATCGCTGATTACAAGATCTATTTCTTGCTGGTATTCTGATTACACTTAGCTTTAAGGAGAGTAAGTGCTGTATCTATAGCGATGTTAGTGATTTGACAGAGACATTCTGAATTTTTCAAAGAGAAGTATTTATGGAATTTTAGAATCTTCTAGCCTAGTTTCTTCCTCTTCTGGATAAGAAACTTGAGATCCACCAAAGCTGAAGTGTTCAGCTAAGTGAAAGCAGAGTACAAAAGCTAATTTTAACTATAGGAGGGAAAAAAAGGTTTAAACGTTGCCTTTTGACATTTTCTAAGTTTTATTTACATTAAATATTCTTAGTGTTTTGATAAAAGTCTATTTTTTATAATAGTCTATTTCTAAAGGGAAATTCTGCTTGATAATTTCATGATCTTTGATAATCTTTAATAATTTACATGAAAGAAAAAATAGAAACAGAGCTTAGATTTTTTCTTTCTTTTTTTTTATTATACTTTAAGTTCTGGGATACACGTGCAGAATGCGCAGGTTTGTTACATAGGTATACATGTGCCATGGTGGTTTGCTGCACCCATCAACCCATCATCTACATTAGGTATTTCTCCTGATGCTGTCACTCCCCTTGCCCCCCATTCCCTGACAGGCCCTGAAGTATGATGTTTCCCTCCCTGGGCCCATATGTTCTCATTGTTCAACTCCTAATTATGAGTGAGAATATGCGGTGTTTGGTTTTCTGTTCCTGTGTTAGTTTGCTGAGAATGATGGTTTCCAGCTTCATCCATGTCCCTGCAAAGAACATGAACTCATTCTTTTTTATGGCTGCATAGTATTCCATGGTGTATATGTGCCACATTTTCTTTACCCAGTCTAACATTGATGGGCATTTGGGTTGGTTCCAAGTCTTTGCTATTGTGAATAGTGCTGCAATAAACATACGTGTGCATGTGTCTTTGTAGTAGAATGATTTATAATCCTTTGGGTATATACCTACTAATGAGATTGCTGGGTCAAATGGTATTTCTAGTTCTAGATCCTTGAGGAATCACCACACTGTTTCCCACAATGGTTGAACTAATTTATACTCCCACCAACAGTGAAAAAGCATTCCTATTTCTTCACATCCTCTCCAGCATCTGTTGTTTCCTGACTTTTTAATGATCGCCATTCTAACTAGCATGAGATGGTATCTCATTGTGGTTTTGATTTGCATTTCTTTAATGACCAGTGATAATGAGCTTTCTTTCATATGTTTGTTGGCTGCATAAATGTCTTCTTTTCAAAAGTATCTGCTCATATCCTTCTCCCACTTTTTGTTGGGGTTGTTTTTTTCTTGTAAATTTGTTTAAGTTCCTTGTAGATTCTGGATATTAGCCCTTTGTCAGATGGATAGACTACAAAACTTTTCTCCCATTCTGTAGGTTGCCTGTTCACTCTGATGATAGTTTCTTTTGCTGTGCAGAAGCTCTTCAGTTTAATTAGATCTCATTTGTCAATTTTGGCTTTTGTTGCCGTTGCTTTTGGTGTTTTAGTCATGAAGTATTTGCCCATGCCTATGTCCTGAATGGTGTTGCCTAGGTTTTCTTCTAGGGTTTTTATGGTTTTAGGTCTTACATTTAAATCTTTAATCCATCTTTAGTTAATCTTTGTATAAGGTGTAAGGAAGGGGTGCAGTTTCAGTTTTCTGCATATGGCTAGCCAGTTTTCCCAACAATGCTTATTAAATAGGGAATCCTTTCCCCATTTCTTGTTTTTGTCCGGTCAAAGATCAGATGGTTGTAGATGTGTGGTGTTATTTCTGAGACCCCTGTTCTTTTCCATTGGTCTATATATCAGTTTTGGTACCAGTACCATGCTGTTTCAGTTACTGTAGCCTTGTAGTATAGTTTGAAGTCAGGTAGCATGATTCATCCAGCTTTGTTATTTTTGCTTAGGATTGTCTTGGCTATACAGGCTCCTTTTTGGTTCCAAATGAAATTTAAAGTAGTTTTTTCTAATTATGTGAAGAAAGTCAATAGTAGCTTGATGGGAATAACATTGAATCTATCACGATATTGATTCTTCCTATCCATGAGCATGGAGTGTTTTTCCATTTGTTTGTGTCCTCTCTTATTTCCTTGAGCAGTGGTTTGTAGTTCTCCTTGAAGAGGTCCTTCACATCCCATGTAAGTTGTATTTCTAGGTATTTTATTCTCTTTGTAGCAATTATGAATGGGACTTTGCTCATGATTTGGCTCTCCGTTTCTCTATTATTGGTGTATAGGAGTACTAGTGATTTTTGCACATTGAATTTGTATCCTAAGGCTTTGCTGAAGTTACTTATCAGCTTAAGGAGATTTTGGGCTGGGACAACGGGGTTTTCTAAATATACAATCTTGTCATCTGCAAACAGAGACAACTTGACTTCCTCTCTTCCTATTTCAAAACCCTTTATTTCTTTCTCTTGCCTGATTGCCCTGGCCAGAACTTCCAATACTATGTTGAATAGGAGTGGTGAGAGAGGACATTCTTGTCTTGTGCTGGTTTGCAAAGGGAATCCTTCCAGGTTTGCCCATTCAGTATGATATTGGCTGTGCGTTCTCATTAATAGCTCTTATTATTTTGAGATATGTTCCATCAATACCTAGTTTATTGAATGTTATTAGCATGAAGGGTTGTTGAATTTTATTGAAGGCTTTTCCTGCATCTAATGAGATAATTATGTGGTTTTCATCATTGGTTCTGTTTATGTGATGGATTACATTCATTGATTTGCATATGTTGAACCAGCCTTGCATCCCGGGGATGAAGCCGACTTGATCATGGTGAATAAGATTTTTAATGTGCTGCTGGATTCAGTTTGCCAGTATTTTATTGAGGATTTTCGCATTGATGTTCATCAGGGATATTGGCCTGAAATTTTCTTTTTTTTTTTTAATCTCTGCCAGGTTTTGGTATCAGGATGATGCTGGTCTCATAAAATGAGTTAGAGAGGAGTCACTCTTTTTCTATTGTTGGGAATAGTTTCATAAGGAATGGTGCCACTTCCTCTTTGTACCTCTGGTAGAATTTAGCTGTGAATCCATCTGGTTCTGGGCTTTTTTTGGTTGGTAGGATATCAGTTACTGCCTCAATTTCAGAACTTGTTTTTGGTCTATTCAGGGATTCGACGTCTTCCTGGTTTAGTCTTTGGAGGGTGTATGTGTCTAAGAATTTATCCATTTCTTGTAGATTTTCTAGCTTATTTGCATAGAGGTGTTTATAGTATTCACTGATGGTAGTTTGTATTTCTGTGGGTTCAGTGGTGATCTCCCCTTTATCATTTTTTATTGTGTCTATTTCATTCTTCTCTTTTTATTAGTCTGGTTAGTGGTCTATCTATTTTGTTAATTTTTTAAAAAAATACCACCTCCTGGATTCATTGATTTTTCGAAGGGTTTTTCAATTCTCTGTCTCTTTCAGTTCTGCTCTGACTTTAGTTATTTCTTGTCTTCTGCTAGCTTTTGAATGTGTTTGCTCTTGCTTCTCTAGTTCTTTTAATTGTGATGTTAGAGTGTTGATTTTAGATCTTTCCTGCTTTCTTCTGTGGGCATTTAGTGCTATAAATTTCCCTCTAAACACTACTTTAGCTCTGTACCAGAGATTCTGGTATGTTGTGTCATTGTTCTCACTGGTTTCAAATAACTTATTTATTTCTGCCTCAATTTTGTTATTTACCCAGTAGTCATTCAGGAGCAGGTTGTTCAGTTTCCATGTTGTTATGAGGTTTTGAGTGAGTTTCTTAATCCTGAGTTCTAATGTGATTGTACTGTGGTCTGAGAGACTGTTTGTTATGATTTCTGTTCTTTTGCATTTGCTGAGGAATGTTTTACTTCCAATTATGTGGTTGATTTTAGAATAAGTGCTATGTAGTGCTGAGAAGAATGTATATTCTGTTGATTTGAGGTGGAGAATTCCATAGACATCTACTAGGTTTGCTAGCTCCAGAGCTGAGTTCAAGTCCTGAATATCCTTGTTAATATTCTGTGTCATTGATCTGTCTAATATAGACAGTGGGGTGTTAAAGTTTCCCAATATTATTGTGTGGGAGTCTAAGTCTCTTTGTAGGTCTCTAAGAACTTGTTTTATGAATCTGGGTGCTCCTGTATTGGGTGCATATATATTTAGGAGAGTTCGCTCTTCTTGTTGTGTTGATCCCTTTACCATTATGTAATGGCCTTCTTTGTCTCTTTTGATCTTTGTTGGTTTAAAGTCTGTTTTATCAGAGACTAGGATTGCAACACTTGCTTTTTTTGCTTTCCATTTGCTTGGTAAATCTTCTTCCATCCCTTTATTTTGAGCCTATGTGTGTCTCTGCATGTGAGATGGGTCTCCTGAATACAGCATACTGATGGGTCTTGACTTTTGATCCAATTTGCCAGTCTGTGTCTTTTAATTGGGGCATTTAGCCAATTTACATTTAAGGTTAATATTGTTATGTGTGAATTTGATCCTGTAATTATGATGCCAGCTGGTTATTTTGCCCATTACTTGATGCGGTTTCTTAAGAGTGTCAATGGTCTTTACATTTTGGTTTGTTTTTGCAGTTGGCTGGTACCGGTTTTTCCTTTTCATATTTAGTGCTTCCTTCAGGAGCTCTTGTAAAGCAGGCCTGGTGGTGACAAAATCCCTCAGCATTTGCTTGACTGTAAATTTCTCCTTCACTTCTCCTTCACTTATAAAGCTTAGTTTGGCTGGATATGAAACTCTCAGTTGAAAATTCTTTTTTTAAGAAGGTTGAATATTGGCCCCTACTCTCTTCTGGCTTGTAGGGTTTCTGCAGAGAGATCCACTGTTAGTCTGTTGGGCTTCCCTTTGTGGGTAACCTGACCTTTCTCTCTGGCTGCCCTTAACATTTTTTCCTTCATTTCAACCTTGCTGAATCTGATGATGATGTGTCTTGGAGTTGCTCTTCTCAAGGAGTGTCTTAGTGGTGTTCTCTGTATTTCCTGAATTTGAATGTTGGCCTACCTTGCTGGGTTGGGGAAGTTCTCCTGGATAATATCCTGAAGTGTGTTTTCCAATTTGATTTCATTCTCCCTGTCACTTCCAGGTACACCAATCAAACGTAGGTTTGGTCTTTTCACATAGTCCCATATTTCTTGGACACTTTGTTCCTTCCGTTTCATTCTTTTTTCTCTAATCTTGTCTTTACGCTTTATTTCATTAAGTTGATCTTCAATCTCTGATATCCTTTCTTCTGATTTATCAATTCAGCTATTGATACTTGTGTATGCTTCACAAAGTTCTTGTGCTATGTTTTTCAGCTCCATCAGGTCATTTATGTTTTTCTCTAAACTGGTTATTCTAGTTAGCAATTCCTCTAACCTTTTATCAAAGTTCTTAGCTTCCTTGCATTGGATTAGAACATGCTCCTGTAACTCGGAGGAGTTTGTTATTACCCACTTTCTGAAGCCTACTTCTGTCAATTTATCAAACTCATTCTCCATCCAGTTTTTTTTCCCTTGCTGCCAAGGAGTTGTGATCCTTTGGAGGAGAGGAGGCATTCTGGTTTCTGAAATCTTCAGCCTTTTTTTGCCAGTTTTCCTCATCTTCATGGATTTATCTACCTTTGTTCTTTGCTGTTGGTGACCTTCAGTGAGTTTTTGCGTGGTCATCCTTTTTGTTGATGTTGGTGCTATTGCTTTCTGTTTGTTAGTTTTCTTTCTACCAGTCGGTCCCCTCTTCTGCAGGTCTGCTGGAGTTTGCTGGGGTCCATTCCAGACCCTGTTTGCGTGAGTATCACCAGTGGAGGCTGCAGAACAGCAAAGATTGCTGCTTTCTCCTTCCTCTGGAAGCCTCGTCCCAGAGGGGCACCAGCCATATGCCAGCTGGAGGTGTCCTGTTTGAGGTATCTGTCGACCCCTGCTGGGAGGTGTCTCCCTTTCAGGAGGCACAGGGTTCAGGGACCCACTGAGGAGGCAGTCTGTCCCTTAACAGAGCTTGAGTGCTATGCTGGGAGATCCACTGCTCTCTTTAGAGCCAGCAGGCAGGAATGTTTAAGTCTGCTGAAGCTGCACCCACAGCCGCCCCTTCCTCTAGGTGCTGTGTCCCAGGGAGATAGAGAGATGGGAGTTTTATCTATAAGCCCCTGTCTGGGGCTGCTGCCTTTCTTTCAGTAATGCCCTGCCCAGAGTGGAGGAATCTAGAGAGGCAGTCTGGCTACAGCAGCTCTACCAAGCTGCAGTCGGCTCTGCCCAGGTCGAACTTCCTGGCAGCTTTCTTTACACTGTGAAGGGAAAACTGCCTACTAAAGCCCCAGTAATGGTGGACGCCCCTCCCCCGACCAAACTCAAAAGTCCCAGGTCAACTTCAGACTGCTGTGCTGGCTGCAGTACTCTCATTCCAGTGGATTTTAGCTTGCTGGGCTCCAATGAGCAAGACCACTTGGCTCCCTGGCTTCAGCCCCCTTTCCAGGGGAGTGAACGGTTCTGTCTCGCTGGCATTCCAGGCGCCACAGGGGTATGGAAAATACTTCTGCAGCTAGCTCGGTGACTGCCCAAAAGCTGCCCAGTTTTGTGCTTGAAACCCAGGGCACTTGTGGGGTAGGCACCTGAGGGAACCTCCTGGTCTGTGGGTTGCAAAGACCATGAGAAAAGCATAGTATCTGGGCAGGAGTGCACCATTACTCAAGGCACAGACCCTCATGGCTTCCCTTGGTTAGGGGAGGGAGTTCCCTGACTCCTTGTGCTTCCTGGGTGAAGCAGTGCCCCACCCTGCTTTGGCTCATCCTTCATGGGCTACACCCACTGTCTAACCAGTCCCAGTGAGATGAACCAGGTACCTCAGTTGGAAATGCAGAGATCACCAGCCTTCTGCGTTGGCCTCTCTGGGAGCTGCAGACTGGAGCTGTTCCTATTCAGCCATCTTGCCCAGGAACAGAGCTTAGATTTTATGGCAAATGTTGATGAGTAAGAAAAAAAGTTATTACTTTCAATCGATTTACAGGTCCTGGCAATTGAAACATGAAAGTTGAGTGGATAGGAGCTTTAAAAAAAAAGCTTTGATTCAACCTAACCCATATGTTTTGTAGGCAAAACGAAGAGTGCAAAATTGGATAGGACATAATTTAAGGACATTATTGTCCAGGAAAGTTGATGAAAGAAGTATACAGAAAACTATAGTACAAAGAAAAATGTAAAAATTTTCACTAGGGAGGTATAAGCGAAGTGTTATAAGAGGTTAGAGAAGGAACGTAGGCTGTGGGGCTAGTCTGATGGCTCTCCATGATATCTATAATTGATGGCTCCCAAATGTTTACCTCCAGGTAAACATTATCTGGAGCTCAACTCATACATCCAGCTGCCAGCTAGGTATCTCCACTTAGATATCTAACGTAGCATGTCCAGAACTCAATTCCAGCCTTGCTCCTGAAAACCTTCTTTCCTACAACTTTCGCCATCTGGGTTGATGGCAACTTCATCTTTCCAGTTGCTTAGGCCACTTGACATCATTCTTGTCTCCTTTCTTTCTGTCTTATACTACATCTGATCTAAGAGGAAATTCTATTGACTCCACCACAGTATGGGTCTACAATCTAATGACTTCTCCACTACCATCATCCTGGTCCAAGCCACCATTGCTTCTCAACTAGATTATTGAAGTAGCCTACTAGACCGTTTCCTTGCCTCCACCCTTTCCATGCCTTATAACTTTTTCACAGCACAACACAGATCAGTTGACATCACTTGTATTTCCCAGTCTCCCTGTGGCCCCTCATTCCTCTCAAAGTCCTACATGATCTGTGGCACCCCTCAGCTTCATCCCTACTAACATCTCTTTCTCTGACTTGGCTCCAGCCACATTGGCCGCCTTTGCTGTTCCTCTTACATGACAGTAGACTCCCATCTCGGGTCCCTGGCACTGGCTCAAATGTTCTCTCAGATATCCATATAGATCTTTCCTTAACTTCCTTCCACTCATTGCTCAAACATCTTCTTAGTAGGTTCTATCCTGACCATTCTCTTTCAAATTTCAATGCCCTCTCCTAGCATTTCTGATTCTCCTTACAGTTTCTTTTTTCTTATATAGCACTTCTTATCTTTTAGCATACTATATAATTTATCTATTCTTTTTTTGTTTTATTTTGTGATTTATTATCCAGATTCTTCTGTTAGAATCTGAATTCCAAAAGGGCAGGATCCTTGCTTGTTTGGTCCACTGCTAAATCCCAAGTGCCTGGAACAGTATCTGGCACAGAGCAAGTACTCAATGAATATTTGTGAATAAGTAAGCAAGTGGACTCATGAGGGAATTGGGGTTACTCCAAAAAAAATGGAGGTGGTAAGCAATTTTTAAACAACACTGGCTCACAGCCCCCTATGAAAGTCTGTTGAATCCTATGTACCTCCTTCCCAGAATAATGCACATCTGCAAATTTACACAAAATGTGGGCTTCACACTCAGGAGGCTCATTCACATTCTAAGATTCATCATCCAAGGACCCAAGATTAAGAACCTATGTCCTAGGTAGAAAGAACAATATAGACAAAGATTCAGAGGCTGGAATGTGCAGTATGGGTTAGAGATTCAGCAGGAACTATTTGGCTTGAGTGTGTGATGAAGTAAGAGAGCAATGGAAGACTTGTTTGGGCTGTATCGGAGAGGGCCTTGAATGCCACAGTGAAGGTTGTTTCTATTTGACATGCAAGGCAATAGAAAACATGAGGAACCATATCCAGTAATTTTGTCTTTTATTTACCAGCAATTCAATATATAACTTTGCACAATTTATTTCTGTCTTCCTTTGCCTTTTAAACATGTGAAACGGGTAAAATTTCTGAAAGATTTGTACAAGCTGCCTCTTATTATGAAAGATATCGTTAAGTACTTCATTTTTGACAATTAAAATGCATCTTAGTTTATTAACTTCCCTTACACTTCTGACATATCTCAGTTGTATCATTATCCTAGAATCTGATTACTATTAGTATCATTTGATTCATTGACATCTAAGTTTTCAATTGATGCTTTGTTTTGATATTTGGGGGATATCTAGAAATTTCCCATCACTCAAAGGCCCTAAAAATTCTCCCAAATGTGGCAGTACAGAAAATGAGACCATTCTGGGCTTCTAGCTTCCTATCCAGAATGTCCTGTGTACCATGCAAAAGGTATATAAGCCAACCATGTTTTCTTTCTTTCTTTTTTTTTTTTTTTTTTTTTTTTTTTGGCTGGAGGCTCAAGGGATTCTAGCCAGGAATACAGGTGCATGTCACCATGCCCAGCTAATTTTTTGTGAAGGTGGGGTTTCACCATGTTGCCCAGATTGGACTCAAATTCCTGGGCTAAAGTGATCCTCCTGCCTCGGCCTCTCAAAGTACTGGGATTATAGGCATGAGCCACCATGCCTGTCTCATCCATGCTTTCTACTCTCCCTCCCAAATTAAAAATATGGTTCTATGTTCCAGTTACAATTGTTGTGTAACAAACCACCCAGAACTGAGGGGCATAAAACAACCATTTATTCTGCTCACAGAGTCTCTGAGTTAGGAATTTGAGCAGGGCACAACAGAAATGGCTTATCTCTGCTCCACAATACCTAGGGTCTCAGCAAAAAAATGTCCAAAGTCCAAGAGTGACTTGAAGGCCAGATATTGAAATCACATGAAGGATTATTCATTTTCGTGTCTGTTATCTGGGCTAGGATAATTCAAAGGTTGAGATTGTGGACTAAAAGCCTTACTCTCAATGTGGTTTTGGTTTCCTCACAACCATGGAGACCTCAGGGTAATCTAACTTGTTATGGGGGCAGCTCCAGTACAACTATTTCAGTGAACAAGGTAGAAACAGCCTAGCTTTTTGTGACCTAATGTCAGCAATCACATGGCAACATTTCTGCCATACCACAGTAGTCACAACTGTGCCTCCATTCATGGAGAGGAAACAGGGATCTCACAGCTCTCTATAGGAAGTCTGTCAATAGTGTAACCATTTTTTTAAAACACCACACTTGTGCAAATATGAGCATCATTATGGAGAGTGCAGGACACATTTCTTCCTACTGACTTTTTCCCTATAGGGATGAGACACAACTAGACTTGCCATTCGTTCAAGGCCTTTATGCATTATGGACTGTGCTAAGGCTTCACATCCATTTTCTTCAGTACCTGT
The DNA here is from genome assembly GCF_000001405.40 of Homo sapiens. Taxonomy (NCBI): domain Eukaryota; kingdom Metazoa; phylum Chordata; class Mammalia; order Primates; family Hominidae; genus Homo; species Homo sapiens. The sequence continues at coordinate 25,366,169 of NC_000003.12, forward strand.
TACAGCCTTGTAATATGGGTGTTGTTATTTCTATATTACAAATGGGAAAGTGTTGCTCAAAGAGATCGAGAAATTTACTGTGTTCTCAAGGCTAACAAGTAGTAGAGAAAAGATTTGAACCTACAACTGATTATTTCCCAGTCCCATGTTCCCCCTACTAGAATATGATGCTTTGCCTTCTACCCCTCAGGATTACTATTTTGTTAGTAAAATAATAGGTAGAAAAACACAGGAAACAACATCCGCACAACAATTGCAATTAAGTGCCAATTATGTGAAATAAATGATCAGGTTAATAGAAGTAACCTCTGTTTTAAAGGATTTTAGAATATGTGTGTAGATAGCACAAAGATTCCTAGAAAACTGATGAAACCAGAACTTTGAAAATGAGAGTTGGAAAACTCAACATAAAGGAAATAATATACAGGGCACAATCAAAATATTTTTAGCTCATGGTTCCTAAATACTGGTCAACCACTGTTTTCAAAAAGCCTACATTTGTGAGGGGGACTTGTTCTTATCAATCTATATTGAGTTATGTTATTGCCTACATGTTCTGGGTCTCTGTGAGCACACATGAACTCTCTGTGGCACAGAGTGAATGCATTCTTTGGATAGTCTCCAGTGAGAGCATTTCCTAAATATTATCCTTGCATTTGGAATTGTTCATGGGCCTCATTTTACCTCATGAGGTAAAGAGATTACTTGCAGAGTGGTGAACATATTGTTAGGCCCAAATTTAACCATTTTTTTTTCTTGTGACAGAATCCTCAGGATTGTAGCAACAGGCAGAATGTCGTAAAGAAATTTGGATTGAAGAAAGGAGAGGAAAGGATGACCCTTAAACAGGCAGCCTGTCTCATACCCTCCTTATTGCCAGCCAAGAGTTCATATTCCATCTTTTCTTTCTTGTCAATCTAAACATGTGAAACTAGAGATCTAAAAAAGATTCTCTCCAGTATTTCCTCAGGTTGGAATAACACCAGGAAAAGCAAAAGACAGACATGCTTATCAATGTTTACTTGAAAGATTGGGTTTTCAATGTTGGTACAGAGCATCATTTTGGCAGACAATTCCAGGCTATGGTAGCATTTGAGCAATCTCCTCTGGCACCCAGCATAATGGCATCAGTCACACTTTGACAGGAGAATTTTCTTCCCATGTTCTTGTTCTTGTCAGGAACTCCTTCCGTCAAATGGCAAAAGGGGAACACAGGAGTGGACATACCTTAACTTAAAAGATGGTATGTCTGCTTTTATATGCTTTGGCAAAGCATCTACTTTAGGGTCCAAGCATATAGCAGGGCCCCAATAAATGCTGGTGGGATTGTATCAGTCCCCTATCTCAGCTGAAATGTGGCTGTTCAGCCAGGCATGGTGGCTCATACCTTTAACCTCATTACTTTGGGAGGCTGAGGTTGGCAGATCGCTTAAGCTGAGGAGTTCGAGACCAGCCTAAGCAACATGGTAAAAACCCATCTCTATAAAAAAAAAAAAAAAATACCAAAATTAGCCGCATATGGGGGTGTGCATCTGCAGTCTCAGCTACCTGGAGGGCTGGGGCAGGAGGATTGCTTGAACCCAGAAGATCGCACCCCTGCACTCCAGCCTGGGTGACAAAGTGAGACCCTGTCACAAAAAAAAACAAGCAAAAAAAAAACAAAAACAAAACAAAAGAAATATGGCTATTCAATTTCATAGGAGAATTTCAGAAGAATCAAGGGGGAGTATCGAAGTAGACAGGCTGGAAAGATGATTCCACAATACTGTTTCATGCACTGGGGCGGACAGGCAATTAAGTTTTCGGTGCTCCTCTGTGAAATGAGAATATGTAAGAAAATATTTTTTAAGCCTAAGTTTTTTACAAACAAAAATTTCAAGCTAAAAGACTTTCCTTTATTCTAAGAATATTCTTTCTGACTTTTTTAGGGGGTAGGGGCTTGAAAATCTTTCCTTTTATGAAATGATAATGGCAGTAAATAATAGTTGTTTTTCCTTTTTAATGTCCTTTCTTGGCAAAGTGAAAAGTTGGCAAGTCATAGCAGAATCCAAATTTGTTTATTGGTTAGCTGTTTTAATTACTGCAAGAAATATGAAGGTCTGGGAATTTCTAGACTAGGCAATTGATATTTTTTCTCTTGAATTTTAGAAAAATGGAAGAATTCTTTAAATAGTACAATAGGTGATGGAGTTGGTAATGAATAGCTGTATCACCTACTTGGAGAAAAACTTAGTATTTCTCATTCATATATGTCATTAAGATGTATATTCCATATACAGCATTTATACACAAGCAGGCAAGTTCAAAGATGTTTACTGTAATATATTATTTGTGCACACACATACTTTCATTAAAGACTGCTAATATATCTATGCACCAATGAAAGAGGTGGCAATGTGCTTGTAAGGAATTATACATGTTTTCACTGAAAACCTAGGTCATGATAAGGCACTCCTGGTTCTGCTTTGCATCCTGAACTGCTGACACACAGTTCTAGCCTTGATAGATGAGTTCATTATTCCTTTCTAAAAGCAAGTAGATTTCCAGGTGTGTCCATTACATCTAAATGAAATTTGCCTAATGTTATCCAGTGCTGGCCTGGAGTCAGCCTGCAGGACCCATTGCTCCTCTTACTTTAGCCTGTGTTTCATACCTACAGATTCTAACAGATGATTTAGACCCGTTTGGATAGTCATTCCTTACTGTCAAATTGGCTGCCCGTTTGCACTGTTATGGGATTACAAGTAAGGAAGCTGAGCCACATCGTTGTTATATGCTCTTTATGAACTCTACTTACATGTAAAAAAATTACATATTTCAAATACTAGTGGCATTTTCTGTATAGGATATGTGAAATCCCCAATTATATAATTGTTGTCAGTGGTGGGAGAGAGGAGTAGGTCAAGATCATAGTTTCCACTTTTAAATTACATAGCAATTTCTTTCACCTATCCTGATTTTAATAAACATCTATGTGGTAATCACAGAGAACTCAAAAATACAGTATACAGTTATAGTGTTGAAAATGTTTTCATTAACTCAATAAATAAGTATTTTTGAGCACTTATTTTATATATGACACTGTAAGGCATTGGGCACACAGAAAGTGTGAGCCATTAATTCTGCCCAGAGGAAGCTCACATTCTACCAAAAGAGAGAAACGGTCATCCATTCTCAGACATTTACTGAATGCCTACCATGTGCCAGGCACTATTCAAGGGACCTGAGAATACAATAATGAAAAGAAGAAATAAGATGCTGATCCTCAGAGCAGCTAGATTCTGTGGATAAGTCAATGAAAAAACTAAAAAGTGGGTACCTTCATTCCAGTCCCATGGCAAAGAAATATTTGGCAGTATTTGCCAAAATTTAAAATGAATACCTATTCCAGAGATTTCACTCCTTTGTATCTATTGTAAGTAATGCTGTCACATTGGCATAAGCAAGCAGATTCAAAGATGTTCACTTTCATGGCCAGGCGCGGTGGCTCACGCCTGTAATCCCAGCACTTTGAGAGACCGAGGCAGGCGGATCACCTGAGGTCAGGAGTTTGAGACCAGTCTGACCAACGTGGAGAAACCCAGTCTCTACTAAAAATACAACATTAGCCTGGCATGGTGGCACATGCCTGTAATCCCAGCTACTAGGGAGGCTGAGGCAGGAGAATCGCTTGAACCCGGGAGGCAGAGTTTGCAGTGAGCCAAGATCGTGCCATTGCACTCCAGCCTGGACAAGAGTGAAACTGTCTCAGAAAAAAAAAAAGATGTTCACTTTCACATAGTTTGGAATAGTGATAAATTGGAAATAGCCTAAGTGTTCATCTTCTAGTAGGAGAACTGAGTGAAAAGGCACAGAGCAGAAAACAGAACAAAACACACACCCTATGTATACATTTACAGAGAGAGTGTGTCATGTATGTGTGTATGCATATATACACACACATAGATATGTAGGTATGACTTATATTTAAAAACAGGTATAAAATAATAGGATTTATTGTATATAAGATTTACAAGGAAAGCAGGATGGAGGTATGGTTAAAGGAGCACTTTACCTTTATAATTTTCTTTTTAAATAAGAATGTATGCATGAAATATACTAAATTAAAATTAGTAAAAATTGATCGTCAAAATACAATAGCATAAAAATTAGTGTTAGAGTAAGTGTATGTATTCCAAGCTATGCAAATTCCATAAGGAAGTAACTGGTACCATAAGGGTAGCAAGGTGCTTACACAAGTACCTTAAGGAAGAGTTGAGGAACCTGGGAAATCTAAGTTGGGCCTTGAAAAAGGAGTGGGAGTTTTCTGGCTTAACTAGAGAGGGAAGAGGTTGGAGGAACAGGGCAGGTGAAAATACCCGCTTAAATATGAGAGAGGATTGAGTTTTTGGAGAGCGTAACTAGTCCCTTCTGACTCCAGCATGGCTTAGGTAGTAGAGGCAGGCCTGGAGAATGGTGTGGCATGTGGGAAGTAGTTGCAGAACCTGGGGATGGGTAGGAGAGGAGGCAGAGGCCAATGCCAGGAGCCTTGAGTGACAGCTGAAGGACCAGGCGTGTATCATGTAGGTTCTTATGTTAATTTCCTATGGCTGCTGTAATGAATTATCCCAGGCTTGCTGGCGTCAAACAACAGAAATTTATGTTCTAACAGATCTGGGAGCCAAAAAACCTAAATCCAGTAGAGTTGCACTCACTCCAGAGTCTCTAGGAGAGAAACTTTCCTTTCCTCTTTGAGCTTTTGGTGACTGCCGGGGCACCTTAGCCCCTGGCTTGATAACTCCACTCTCTATCTCTGTCTTCACATGGCCCTCTTATCTTCATTCACGTATCTCCTCTGTGGGTCTCTCATAAAAACACTTGTCATTGGATTTAGGGCCCCCTTGGATTATCCAAGACGATTTCTCCTGCAGGTCTTTAACTTAATTACATCTGCAAGGACCCTTGAATATATCTCCCAACATTCATGTGTTGGAAACTTAACCCCTAATGCAACAGTGTTGAGAAGCGGGACTTTGAAGAGGTAATTCGCTCATGAGAGCTGTGCCCTCATGAATGGATTAATACCATTATTTTGGAATAATAATACCATTATTTAGGCCCTTTTTCCAAGCTAGGTCACCTTCACAGGTTCTGAAGGTTGGGATGTGGACAAGGCTTGGGGGAGGGTAGCACCATTCAACCTACTACAGTGCTGATGGGGCAAATCATAAGCAAGAAATAGTATAATCAGATTTAATTTCTTGGGAGATGGTGCTGGCAGGTCAAGCCTGAGGGTTCCTTAAGGACTGGAGATGTTTCTTGGTCATTATTAAGAGCAAAATATCTTTCATGGTTTCTGATTTGCTGATTATTGAATTAATGAAGAAATAAATGAATTTTCAAGCCAGTAGAAAAAATATTGCCAATATTTAGAGATGAGGAGGGCACTTTTCCAGTGGAAGTGGATCAATAAGTGTTTTAAATAAACGCTCGCCCTGGGGCAAAAATTATTCTCACATGTGGGTGTTCCTTATTAGGCCACTTAAAAACACACAAAGCCAATCAACCTTTACTGTACAAACATGAAGTTTATTCATTCAAAAAATATTTAGAGAGCATTTACTGTTTGAAAATGTTCCCAGCTCGCAGGAGCTAACAATATATAAATAATAGGTAAACCAGAAAATAGAGTCATAAATGCGAAAATAAATTCTGATGTGGTGTGAAAGAAAGTGTAGAGGAGTGTTGAGGTTGAGTGGTCAGGGAAGGCCCCACTGAGGAGATGGATTTGACGTTGAACAGTGGGAATATCGGGGTGATGGGCATTTCAGGCTCACAGCTGCCACCGATAGTCTTAAGGACTAAACTTGGCCTGTTGGAGGGAAAGTGAGAATGAAAAAGAGAGGCATAGAGGAGACCCAAGAAGCATGTGGGACCACATCCTTTGAAACCTTGTAGGCCAGGATAAAAAGTTTGGATTTTAAAAGCAAACAGAAACCACTGGAGGATTTTAAACAGGAGCATGACATGGTCAGATTTCCATTTAAATGGTTGTCTTTCAGCCTTGGCACTATTGGCATTTCATTCTGGATAATTCTTTGCTGTGAGGCCTGTCCTATGTATTGTAGGATATTTAGCAACATCCCCGGATTCTACCCACTAGATGCCACGCCCATGTCAACCAAAAATATTTCCAGATATTGCCAAATGGCCCCTGTGGGACAAAATCACTCCCACATGAAAACCACTGATTTTAATAAATCACTCTGCAACTACTTCAAGGAGAAATTTTTGCAGGAGACATAATAGTGAAAGCCAAAAGACCAGTTAGAGAGCTGTAATATGTTCCAGGCAAGAGAAGATGGTAGTTTTTAACTGCAGAAAGAGAAATGAGCTGGGTGCGGTGGCTCACAACTGTAATCCCAGCACTTTGGGAGGCTGAAGCAGGAGGATAGCTTTAGCCCAGGAGTCTGAGACCAGCCTAGGCAAACATAATGAGACCCTGTCTTTACAAAAACAAACAAACAAATTAGTCAGGCATGGTGGCGCATGCCTGTAGTTCCAGCTACTTGGGAGGCCAAGGTGGGAGAATCACTTCAACCTGAGAGGCTGAGGTTGCAGTGAGCTGTGATCATGCCACTGCACTCCAGCCTGAACAACAGAGGAAGACTCTATCTCCAAAAAGGAAAAAAAGAAAAACGTAAACTTAAAAAATTTTTTTTAAAGAGTGAAATGGATAGATTTGCAATATGCATTGTAGGTAAAGTCACAGGATTTACTGATGGATTGGCAATGTGGGTGAAGGGAAAGATAAGAGTCAAGGTTTGTGATGTGAGCAATTTGGTGATTAGGAGTGTTTTTACTGACAAGGAGAATGACTGAGGAGCAAGGCTGGGTGGGAATGCAGAGTGGACAAGAAAGGCACATGCTCTGATTTGGAAGCGTTTGTCTGTAATATGTATTAGACATCCAAGGGAGAAAACAGTCAAGCAGGCTGTTAGATACAGAAGTCTAGAGTTGAGGAGGATGCTCGGAGCTAGAGATAAAATTGTTGAAGTCTTTGGCATGTGGATGGTATTTAAAGCCATCATCAAGATGAGTGAAGATGAGATTTCTGAGAGAGAAAGAAAGACAGTACTAATAGAGAAGAGAAGAAGGAATCCCAGGAGACTTAGCTTGGAGTTTGCCAAGCTAAGCTGGATGAGAAACCAACCCAGGAAATGAAGAAGGAGAATGCAGTGAGTGAGGAGGGTCCAGAAAAGCAGTGAGGAACATGAGAATGCACGTGCAGACCCTTAGACTTCTGAGACACTGCTTTTGTTGAGCTAGAAAGACAAGGAATAAGAAGTTCCCAGAAGTCAGAATAAACAATCTTATTAGTGTTGAGAGATTCTAAATGTTTCTTCTCCTCTAATCATTTTTAGCTATAAAAGCCAGTCTGTAGGTCAGTCACCCAATGTTCTACAGCACTTAAATAATTAATTGCTTCATAGTCTTAAGATCTGTACTGTTGTGTATTCTTCTACTCTGGTAATTAAAAGGGGGCTGTAAACTCCCCTCTACTACCATGGCGGGGAATGGACCACAGAACCTCTCACACTCCCTTCTAACTTTAAGAGCCCATGTTCTTATGGGATACCCATCAGTGACTTGAACTTTAGAGAGGCCATTTGTCTTTGTCTTGGCTGATTTCCAGATCCAGGTAATGGGGGACTAACTGGCAGGAAAGGAATGAACCAAAAATCAGGGTAGCTCACACGTGAGAAGCCAGAGCAGTGTCTGGCTAGATAGAGTACATGGTTGGGGAACCATCATGTATTATAAAAAGCAAAATAAAATGAGGGCAGCTCATGATTACATAAAATCCCTAGGTATATTTCAATATTTCAACCCACTGACAGATAAAGTCATGTTCAAATTGGAATCCTACTTAACCTCCAGAGGCCCAAGAGTCATGAGCAGGGTGAATGGTGAGGGTAGGAGGGCTGAGTGGACGTAGCTGGATGTGGAAGGCAGGGACTGGGGTCAGTCAGCACCTAGAGAGCACAGTAACACACGCAAATACATTCACACACTATGCTCAAACCAGGTACCAGGAAAGAGCAAAAAACAGAAAAGAGGGTCTGAGGACTGGGAACAGGTACACAAGTCTCAGGACCAGTTATCACAAACCAGAATTTACATGGGGTAAGTTCCCAGCAGGAAACAGGTAGTCGAATTGAGGAAAATCTAAAGATATAGGTAGGGTTAAGAAAGACCAACAAGGCATGATGAACTGCCCTGATACCAGCAATAGTAAGGCTTTATTATCATGCCTAGCTTGAAGGGTGAAGGGAACAGTTACCAAATCATGGAGAGTATAAGGGTGAGCTACCCCCACAGAAGTTAGTGGCCTTTGGTAACAGAACACAGCTCCCTGCTGCTCCTAACTGGGAGGGAGCTGGGGAGAGAAGCATCTCAAGTCTCAATCTCCTTTTTCCTGTCAACCAGTCTCCAACCAGAAGCCAGAATAGATGTTAGCCTCCTGGGACAAGAAGAAGAATGGAGAGTAGATCATAGATCTAGAAGGGCAAATGGAAGCCATCCTCCATTGGCTCCCTCTGACATGAGTGGATTCAACCTAAACGTGTCTTCTTTTCAGAATGTACAAGGTTTCTTTCTTCAGGGCTAATGATTTTAACACAAATGTAGCTACACTGAGCAGTTTTAACCTTGACTTTGCCTACGAATGAACTGCAGGAGCACATCTAGAAAACACCACAGAGAAGACTCTAAGATTATTTTTTTTCCTTCCTTTTTTTCTTGGGTTCCTTTTCTGAAATCCATTACCTTTTATTTAGTGCAAGATGCACTGATCATCTTCCAGGCTCAGAATAGCCTTTACTGAAAACTTAAAGCGAGAGAAATAAACACAGTTGTCAACAAACAATGAAAAATCATTACTCCACGGTGCTAGCCACCAAAACTGTGTTACAGGAGATCTGCCAGGGAAAAAAATAAAGCCTGGAAAATTATCACCCATCAGCATATTCCACCTTTCAAAAATCATTAGCTTCAAACAAGGCAATAAATACAGGACCCTATGCATAGCAGGTGAGCCAATATCTTCTCACTGATAACAATGTATTTCTACCACCCTGTCACTAGGGCTGAATTACCTCATAATGATGATCTGTTTTATATCTTGAGGACAGTGGGTGTTGTAGGAAACACCACAGCCATCAATCCCTAACTCTGAAGGTTTCCTGTATTGGTGCTACTGTTGTGTTAATATCAGTGGTTACCACCTTACTAAGGAGCTTTGCAATAATATGGTGATTGTGGAGTCAGGCAAGGTGATCAGTTTCTTTTGGGTCCCCTGGCTCCCATCACTATTTGTTGGGATTGAAGAAGTACTCTTTTACCATTTTAATGGATAATGGGACTGTATGGGGCTAATATATATAGGTCAAACAGTGAATACATTTGTCTGAAGCAAACTTGGATTCTTGAGGGGTCTACGTTTCCATAGCTATCAGTTGAAAACTGATCACCACAAATTAGTTGAGAGAATCTCTACAGTCTTCTCCCTATAAATTCTCTGATTGTGTATAAACATGTAGATGTATGCTGGGATGCATGTACCATGATCAAAATTGAGATGCTATTTGTGGGCAGCCACAATCAGCCATACCAATTTTGTTTTGAAAGGGAATGATTAGAAGCTTGGACCCTGAAGCCAGACTTCCAGGATTCAAGTTTCCACCTACCATTTACTAGCTATGTGGCCTTGAGGGTTACTGAACCTCCCCATGGTTCAATTTCCTCATCTAAGAAATGGGGATAATGTTACATCTAACTCTTCAGGATTAATGAGGAGTAAATGAGCTAATACACGTAGAGCTCTTAAAACCATGCCTGGCCCATAGGGAGTACTCTGTAAATGTTAGCTCTTACAGTATTATTTTATTGCAGGTCTAATGATGTATTGCAGTGTTTATTAAGAAAACCTCAAAGTTGGGCTATTACTAACTGGTGTAGAATCAGTCACATAAAATGGCATTTTGCTCACTCTACTTTGGATATCTTACCATTCCCTTACCCACCATGCTCTTACCTACCTGGAAGCCCTTATTAACTCCCCAGAAAAGTGCCTAGTGCATAACACATAGGAGGGGCTCCATTATTGTCTGTGGGATGCATGTAGTCCACTAGGACACAAGTCCAATTTGTCTCAAAATACTATCTTTTGTTAACGTAGTATACATCAAAAGAAGAAGTTTTTGTCTCCCTGAGTAATTACCAGTCTTTATGGCCCCAGATACAACCTTGTCTTGACGTTACCTCATAACCCACTCCTTGCTCTGTAAAACCACCTGGGAGACTCTACGATACACGTGCCATTCCTGAGTAGTAGATTTTTAAACTTGGAAACTGGTTTTTGCTGACAGATGTGTAAAAGTGCACCTACCTACACAACTCCCTATCACCTTGACAGCTGTGAATAGTCAGTAAACCACACTGTTTCTTTTCTGTTGGCATTAATGGACACTTGAACTTTTCTCCCCAGGTCTACCTGTTTCTAATGGTATCAGGCTATCCCAAGAATTGTTTGGCTCATTGCATCCATGTGGATTCCCACACCCCTGGTGGAAGCAGTTCCAGCACAAATAGAAAAGACGTGCAAATCTGAATTTCCACTTCCTTTGCAAGGAAATGAGAACTACCAGGGTGTCCTCTGTTAGGCACAGGTCCCATTTCTAACCCCCTATGTCTCCTGGAGCCTACCCAGTGTGCCATGTGTAAAAGATGGTGTTAGTGGGACCTGGGTGGCTCATTTCATAATAAATGACAAATGCTTTGTTTTTCTTCTTTCAATGTATTAGTTTAGTTTGTTTGTTTGTTTGTTTGTTTTTAGTGTTTCTTGAGAAATACTGAGTGATTAATAACCCATCTTGGTTTTGCTTTTTCTATCACTGGCTTGTAGAGAAATAATGTGACCTACAGATGTTTGCACAAATAGTAAATTGTGTTAATAACAGATTCCTCTCAGACATGCCGCATGCTGTTAGGCTTATCAGCAGTCAAAGAACAGGTATTCCTGGACTTTGTCTAATTGTTTTTTCTTTGCTTTTCTTGTTAGGCTGAATACCAACCCATATTGAAAAGGGGACTTGAGAAAACAGTGTTCAGAACTGTGCATTGCTTTTGTCCTTTACAAGGCAGACAGAGGAAGAAACGTGCAGATAGACACATGTGCAGGTCTAATAAACAGTCCTAATGCAATGGCAGCATTCTTACATGCTGGGCATGGCACTGTGTAGGTCAGATACTTCTTTACAAATGTTGCTTTTTTATTTTACTTAAAGTACAGTAGTAGAAAATAGCTTTTCTTAACCAGATAAAAATTACCAACCAGAGTTAAATTAAGTCATCTTTTACACTAAGTAGTTTAATTTAAAATAGATGATTAATGATAACTGAAAATCTCTGAACTGGTTTATATAAGCATTTAGTTGGGATTGTAGAATAAAGAAAAAGTGGGGAGACACAATTTCCAAATTGGGTCATGTTCCATTGTTCCCTAGATCAGAAAATTCAAGCAAAGTTTGAGTTACCCGTGAGAGAATTTGGGTTAAAATTTAGAACCCAAATGTTAGAGCAGGCAGGGACCTTTGAGTCACTTAACCCAACACACTCATTTTCCAAATGGGGAAAATGAGGCCCTCACATGGCTCCTTAGTAACTAAGAAATAGCCAAAGCCCACTTCTTAAATCTGAGAGTCTCATATTATTCCCATATTACTGCCCACTACCTTTTTCTAGTCAAAATTTTTTAAATTCAAAAATATTTGTTAGGCACTTAGTAGACACAGGCACTGAAGTGTAGCAATTTAGATGAAAATGGAACATAAGAGTTCATCATATTAGCCATCAAAGTTATGTTTTTCATCTGTAGGAGAGAGACAGCTGCAAAGCATTTGATCTTAACAATGACAATTAAAATGAACCTTATTTGAAGTTGCAAAATCACCACATTGCATTAGCACAAGACTCGGGCATGCATGCACGAGGGTATTTTGCAGATGGTTTACAAAGACTTAGTTTATATAGGCACTTTAGGAAACAGATGGAAGCCACAGTGTTCCATGGTAAATGAGGATTTATGGCTCTACAGTCACCAGCAGAGTGGCTCCCTTCTACCTGATGGGACAGCTGAAGTGGCGTGATGCCTCTGCCTCTGGTTTGTAAATCCCTGGTCTAGGAGGCCCTAAAGGAAATTTTGTCCCCAGTGGGACCATTGGCTTCATCCTATACCCCTACAATGTATCATTAATGGACATTTGCTTTCAACAACAACAAAAAAATCTATTCTATTTAAACTTTGTAAAGGATAAATCGGCATCATCCAGAAGGCTAGAAGATTGAGAGAGAAACCTACATTCCTCTGTATGTTCTCTGCTATCATCATAAAACCCAACACGGTTTTAATTTTTTCTCAAACTTTTATGTTTAGTATCTATGGTACCTACCCACTACACCAATTTATCCGTCTCCAAATGTTTTAAGGGCTTGAGATTAGAGAATTAAAGGAAAACACATATAAAGCTGAGCTTCAGGAAGACTCAGCTAATAGGTAACTTCAAGGTCTTTGGTCTGTAAAATACTGATAAGAATGTGTGTCTTGGTTTCTTATGAGGTAGTATTTCAGTATTTCATAAAGAAGCTATCAGGGAAGATAGCAGCTTGAGAGGAAAAAAACCTGCACATAATATCAGACAAAAGGGATCAATGAGATGAATGCCAGAGCTATTACAGTGAATGTAGAATATCCTCTGTGTGATGGCATCTTCCCTAATTATTTAAGATTGCTTGTAAAATTGATTTTATGTAAACATAACAACACTCGGCAACAGCCAGCTTCTTGCAGGCAACATAAGTTGTTGGGGATTTATTGACCTGTCATTCACATGTGTTACTTTACTACCACTTAATGGTCTGTTTAGATAGCCTTGGTGTGTACAAACTCCCCACCCTCAGCTCCAAGCATCACACGTTGACAGGTAGCTGCCACAGAGATGAAATAAGGAACCCCATGCCAGAGCATACTAGGGCATGGAAACATTTGTTATTTTCTAATCAAATGCAGGGTTTTTCTCAGGAGCTAGAGTAGGAGGTGAGGAGTCCACATCTTTCTACTATTTCTTGAACATGGAAACAAAAAAAAATTACTAGACTCACACTTAACTGAAGGTCCTAATTTCAACTCTTACTGGTGACCTAGTGCCATGGGTATGTCAGATTATGTCTCTAAGCTTCAGGCTGATCATCTGTAAACAAGAAAAGCAGTGCCTGTCCCTTTCTTGAATTTCCTAGGAAGATTTAAGGATAAAATGGTTATAACGTGCTATGCAAATGTGTGATCAAACACTACACACATATATACACATACTTAATGCAGTCAGAGTTGTCAGCAAGTACACTTGGAAAATACAAAGAGCTATTTGCCTTGGAGAGGTTAGGGGGTAAAGAACTAGGGCACAGTTGCTACTCTCAGGGAGATTACAGTCAAATAGAGAAGATGTCACATTTTGTAGATCTGAGACATTGTTTATTTTACATTATAACATCTCTCAAATTGAGGTATATCTCATAGCTAATGGCATATCTTAGAATGAAGACTTTTTCTTTCTTAGTGGCGCATGAGTTAATGGTGCCTCTTTTTCATACCCAGTTGTGTCTTAGATTCCATGAAATTTAATAATATAGCCCCTCAGATAACTTTCCTTGGGGGTCAAGGGAACTGTGGGAAGAGGGAGGTGTATCCCCAGAGGAGAGATTCTGAAAGACTGCAGAAAGAATGACTGTGTAAGCTGCATGACTGGAAAATTCATGTTGGACTGGATAAGAACTCGTTTTGAGGGAAAGATAATACATTTTGCAAGCATACCATTTTAAAACCCAAGAATTTCCTATTATATCATAATAGAAATGTAAAGAGAAAAATCTGACAACTAATGGGAAAGGGAAAGAATAAACAGTGAAGGCTGGCCTCCTGTGCCCCGTTTAATGGAACAACCAACTCCTAAGGAGGTCCCAGAGTGACAGGATCCTCGCATGCAGGACGCCAGCCCTCAGACTAGAGCTGACATCGTCCATCCTCTTTCCCACTCCGTACCCGTTGGGTGAACCCAGCTCTTAATCTAAAACAGAACGTTCAGAGTCTCAGGCTCTGTGACTGGCCTCCAGAGTGACCCCAACTCGATCCCAGGGCAGAGCAAACAGCCTTAACTCAGGTTTAGTTTTTTAGCAGGACTTGCTTTCAGGAATGCAGTTATGTGACCATTTCCCTGACCCAGCCCTTGTCATAATGAATCTTTCCTTCCTATTGAATTATTTCCCCCTCTTTCCTCCAAAAGATTTATCCTGCATGCCAACCCTTAGTGAAACTTTTCTTGCTCAAGAAAAAAAATAAACAAGCAACCAGGATTTGAGTGGCCAGAGTTTGGACAAAATCAAATGGCGTTTCCTGTATTTTAAAAGATTGCGAAATATTCTAAAGATGAAGAAGAATGTTGATATAGCTTAAATGCCCAATTATAGCAACTGGAGTTCAAAACCCAATTAGTAGCATCTTTCGTCTCCCTCCCCCTGCTAATTTCCTCCTCTTCTCATGTCCTCTATTCACTCATCGTGACTGGTTTTGTGCTTAGGTTTTATATTTCTATTTTCTCAGTATGACATCTACTTGGACTTTAGCTATTTTGTCATGCATGTTTAGTTTTTATATTTTTCTCTCCCATCCTTATCTCCTGCATTTTATCTACCTCGACCTTTCCATCTGGTTATTTTTACCGTTCTTCCTATTGCTTTATTATTTTCTCTTTCCTGTTTATTGTTTCTCTTCCTTCACTCAGGCTTCCGTTTTTCTATTTGTCAAGTCTTTCTGCATTCCTTGTAAAATAATAATTATTGAATCAAGGATACTCCCAAAATGACAGGGTATAGGCAAATGAGAAACTGTGCTCTGTTATAGTTACTAGGTATTAAAAATAAACTTGACCAAGGCTAACGTCAGACAGCCTTGAGGTTGTTAACATCCCATTTAAGGGAGGCTCCCAAGGAGGACTCTCTGAAAGGAATGTTGTCATTAGCCCAGGGATGAGGATAATGTGGGAAAAGAAAGGGGGTTGAAGGGAGAGGCAATGTAGTACAGTGGCTGTAGACTCTGGTGCCAGACTTCCTGTGTTCCCGCACCAACCCTAGTGCACACTTTAGCTGTGTAACCTTAGGAAAGTTACTTCTCCGGATCACATTTGTCAAATAAAGATAATATAATATAACCTTTATACAATTTTTGCGAGGGTTAAATCTGTTAGTATATTTAAGCACTTAGAACAGTGCCTAGAACACAGTAAGAGCTATGCACGTATTAGCTGTTATCATTTGCTTTGGTCACTCAAGTTGGCATCACATTTAAGGAAACAGATGTTTTGAGAAATGCATTTCCCCTTGCATGTGTGCATATGGAATGAAGCTTGAAAAGGTCCTAAAGCCACAATTCTCAAGGTTGAGTCCTTGGACCAGCAGCATCAGCATTACCTGGGAATCTGTTAGAAATGCAAATTCTCAGGCCCTATCTCTGCCCTACCCCTGGTCAACTGAATGAGAAACCTGGAGGGTGGGCCAGGAAATTTGAGTTTTAACAAACCCTTCAAGTGATTCTGATGATGCTAATGCTTGAGAACTACCACTGTGGTGTGGATATCCCCTCTCTACTCTCAAGCTGCATTCAGAATATAGAATGTAGCCGTCTCCATCTCAATCCCTCACCACTACCACCAGCAACACCCCGAGCCATTGTAAAGTCCACGTTGTCATCTTCGAAGTAGCTTGAGTAGGGTGCAAGATAGCAATATTCTAACTGAGGAACATTAGCATCATATCATGTCTTTTTTTGGCCCCAGAAGGGAATTGCTTGTTTCTTTGGGCTCAAAGAGTAGGAGTCCAAAAGCATATAATAGGTGAAGACACATTAAAACAAAGAGATGTTCTTTATTCTCATGGAATAGGTAGGCAAGACTAGATGATCCAAATGTAGATTTAAACATGAGTGCTTTTCACCTCTCAAAATAATCAGGACAACTAGCAATAAATGTTCAATGACCTGTGTTTAGAATTTTCAAATTGTCTCCTTTGAGGCATGTTTACAAACTTTCAAAGTTGATACTCTTTAGGGCAAATCACTGTGTGCTCCTTTGGAGGCTCTGGGATGGTGGGAGAATTTCCCCTGCAGGGACATGGACTGGGTAGCCTCATCCATGGGTGTGATATTTGTGGCATTGCCTATGTCCTGAAGAGCACCAGGTAATTCACAGAACCTGTGAAACTCTCTGCTAAATATGGCAGAGGATTACGTATACCTCTCTTATGAAATGTTTCAGGAGGCTGGGTGCGGTGGCTCCTGCCTGTAATCCCAGCACTTTGGGAGGCCAAGGCAGGCGGATCACCTGAGGTCAGGAGTTCAAGACCAGCCTGGCCAACATGGTGAAGCCCCATCTCTACTAAAAATACAAAAGAATTAGCCGGGTGTGGCGGTGTGCACCTGTAATCCCAGCTACTCGGGAGGCTGAGGCAGGAGAATTGTTTGAACCCTGGAGGCAGAGGTTGCAGTGAGCTGAGATCATGCCACGGCACTCCAGCCTGGGTGACAGACCAAGACTCCATCTCAAACAAATAAACAAAAAAAAGTATCAGGATAACACAGCTGGCACCAGCTGCTGAAGACTTCCCAAAGCAACAGTAGATCGTGGGTCATAACTTTCCCTCATAGGCAAACTTCCCAGAAATCCTCATGGAAGAACTAGAGTGAGAACATCTAGATTAGGAGGCCCGTTGTTAACAATAGCACCTAAGAGCAATAATGTCCCAAAGGTATGCTATTGATGCATCTACTATGCAAGTACAAATTCCTGTGTTTGATCAGGATGTTATACCTTTATATTTAGCCAGATTGGTTTGGTCAGTCTCATTTCATTCATTCAGAGACTGAGGTTCGGAGAGATTGTAGGGGTGAAAGGCACAAAATGAGTCATAGAGCCAAGGTGAGAACCCATGTCCTCTGAATTGTGATCCTGAGCAATTTACACTTCACTGTGTGGCTCCTCTCTGCCAGCCCACTGCACAAGACGGTCTCTAGTTCTTCATCGTGGAAAGAGCATGGCTCCTCAGCAGGGAAGCCCCTTTCTGAACCTAAGAAATGAAAAGATGATTTGCTTATTAGATTTGGCAGCCCCTGTATTGATAGCCTTTGCTATCCTCCAATATTTTCCCAGATTTCAAGTTGGTAGAACTAGGAGGCTGAGCAATGTTAGAGAATGGTCACCATCAGCATCTGCACTGCTGTCCAATATAACTTTGTATGATGATGCAAATGTTCTATATTTATGTTATCTCATATGGTAACCACTAAAGAGCTACATTTTTTTAATTTAATTTTTTAAATTAAGTTTTTAATTGGCTGGGCACGGTGGCTCACGCCTGTAATCCCAGCACTTTGGGAGGCCGAGGCGAGCGGATCATCTGAGGTCAGGAGTTCACGACCAGTCTGGCCAACATGGTGAAACCCCGTCTCTATTTAAAAAATACAAAACTTAGCCAGGCGTGGTGGCAGGCACCTGTAATCCCAGCTACTCGGGAGGCTGAGGCAGGAGAATTGCTTGAACCTGGAAGGCGGAGGTTGCAGTGAGCTGAGTTCACGCCATTGCACTCCAACCTGGGGGACAAGAGTGAGACTTTGTCTCAAAAAAAAAAAAAAGGTTTTTAATTTTAAATTTGAATAGCAACATGTACATAGGTATTAGACTACACAGATCTGTAAGATCATTTTTTAGTTGGGTGTTTAGAGTGAGTTTCATTTGGAAGAAGAAAAAAACAGAAACATAATTTAACTTCTGTCCCCTTAACTTCTTGAAACAAACCATCAAACAGAATCCACTTTTCTGTCAAATATCTAGCATGTCTGATTAGAATGCTCTGGGGGTCCATGAGCCCCTGCACCCCAGTAGAGCCCCGCCCCATTACTACATGGCAGTTGTTAACTAGTTGTCTGGCTTTTATCTGAAAAGTCAGTATAATGTCTCCTTCCTTCCTTCTCTTTCTCCCTTCATTGTCTCTTCATCCCTCCCTCCCTCTCTCCTAAGAGCAAGCTTTATTTATTGTTGTTATTTCCTATTAACCGATAGGGTGGAATATGAGCAGCATGTAGAATAACAATGAGAGTTGTCCTCTATATTGGGCAAAAGGCTTGTGTTTAGAATTATAAACTGGACTCTCAACTCCTATCTTTAAAATGAAAAGGTATAGATGGTGATGGCCCTGCATCCCTGGGGACAGGAGGGGAGGGACCTGTTCCTCAGCCCTTTTTTTCTTTGTAGCATCAGAACTCTAGCTTTGAAATCACACCCACATGCAGGACTGGCTTCTCTTTCTCTAGAATGAGGCTGACATCCTCCTCACCTGAGAACATTCTTTTCTCTGCTACAAGCTCACCGTGGCAGGAGGTGGGCTGATGTGTGATATATTTGGCACCAGTGAGTTGCAGTTTATTTCAGTTGTCTACGAACATACTCCCAGAAAAGAGTATTTTCAGACAGTCCAACCTTCTTTATGCTTTCAAGGGTAGAAAACCAGCTAGCCAAATTCTGTTCGTTCAGAAAGCTTAAAAGAAGATAAGAAATAAACTGTTTACCCAATTAAGTGCATTTCTTTCCTTCATAGCCAGCTAATAATAAAAATTTGTATAGGTGTACTGGTTCCAAATTATTCCACTCTGGATGGCACCTACAGTCTGTTTTGTCATAAATGCATCATAAACTCTTATATGAGGTCATACATTGAGTTGTACCCCCATGGCCGTAGTAGATACTTAAAGGCAGAATAAAGCGTACACTCCTCCCTCCACACTTGTCCTCTCTTTATCATCTTAGCCCTGTAGTTTGCAATGCACTCCATATATTCTAGTCACATAGCCATTTTAAGATGTGCCCTCTCTCTGTTACACAAGATTCAGACTATTCCCTTTGTCTCAAGCACTTTTTCCTGACTTGTCTATTTGCCAAAGATCCACAGAAAGGACAATACAGCCCCCTTTGTGTCCCTGGTATGTCTTTATCAGACTATATTGCCTGTTCGTGTTTGGTCTCTGGATCCTTCAAGGGTTCAAGGGACAGAAACTCACCCATCAGCTCAGCTAAAGAGGAAGTTTATTGGACACTGGGTGTGATTACTCATTTATTAAATTCACTTTTATGAGGCACCTGTCCTACATGTCAGCTACTGGACAAGACACAGACAATGAAAAGGTGACATTTCTCCTTCAGTCGGAGGCCCCCAAATGAGCATCCCTGGAGTAAGCCTCAGTTTCCCCTACCACGAGGATCCTGGCTCAGCCAGACCTTCAGATTAAAGCAAAGCCATCAAGTCTGTATTAGTTGACCTCCTGCAATTGCATTTAAAATATATATATATATATTGCTGTTTGCCACTGAGGTTTTCTGATTGTTAGTTTTGCAGCAATAGGTGATCTACATACCAGCCTGCCCTACGCTCCTTCTGTTCTCCTTCATTCCCTTTCTGTTACCCAAGGGCTTGAAAAGTGTTCTGAGTGGGATTCTCTATCTTGTATCTTTCCTAAACCAGGGCCACGGTTCTTAGTCTAGGCAAGCACGTGACCTAAGAAGGAGCAATCAGAACTCTCACAGATACACCGTGATCAGTGCTTAAAGCCCTAATGCAGAATCCAGAGATCTGGGAGGGGCCCCAGTTTCTGCTTTCCTCAAGCTTGTTTGTTTGGCATTTCCGTCAGTCCGTGAGCTTACCCAGGATCCAGCACATTTCCTCTTTAGCTTAAGCTGATTTGAGCTGAGTTTCTGTCCCTTGTAACCTTGAAGGATCCAGAGACAGAACACGAACAGGCAATATAGTCTGATAAAGATACACCAGGGACACAAACAGAGCTGTGGAACCACAGAAAGAGGGCATCTAACCCACTTGAGAAGTCAGAGAAGGCTTCCTGGGGAAAGGAGAGGTTAAAGCTGAAACGTAAAGGTTGGCCAGAAAAGTGGAAAGGGAAGGGTGGGGAAAGGGAACAACCTCTCAAAGGCATAGAGGCTGGGGTGGAGAGGGGTGGGTCACGCTGAGAAATGAAGTTGGAAAGGTTAACAGGAGCTAGCATGGGAGGGCCTTGTAAGTCTATGTCAAGAAGTGGGATTGTTCCTGATGGTAGGTGGAGTTATTGAACGATTTTATAAGAAGGAAAAAAGTAGCTTTTTAGAAAGGTTTGTTTTTGTTTTTGCTTTTCTGGCTGCAGGGCAAAGACTGAAGTCACAAAACTACTCGAGAGGTTGTTAAAAGCATTCAGGCATGAGATGAAAGTATCCTGGATTCAGGCGGAGGCCTTGGGCCTTCATATAGGGCTTCTTCAGAGTCGGTGCAATATTTGTTGAATTAAAATGGGAGAATTAAAGTCATTTTCTGAGGTTCCCTTTGAGAGGAGTTGTACCTTCTACTTAAGATTATGAGGAACCATGCTTTGATAAGGGGGCGATTGTTTGGCCACTAGTTCCACATATTTCCTCCCAAGAGACTCTTCTGAACATGTACCATCTTGGGTGTCACCGCCCTTGGGCTGCCAACTCTTCTTATTGTTCAAGATGTGCTAGGTGCTGTGTTCACCCAGAATAAAATGATTCTCATTTACTTACCTAGCAACTGTCAAAGCCTGAAATTTCATTCTGTGGGCGTAGGCAATTTTTCCCCTGCAAATGTGGCTTCATCTCAAGTTTGTTGTCTGCCAGCAACAGTGAACAGAGGTGCTACAGTTGCTCTTCCTTTCTCCTGTGAGCAATAATTTAAGACCAGTTCTGCCAGAATACAAATGTAGAAATGCATCTGTTAGCAATTGTCACTCTTGAGTCATGTGCTCAAGAGGTTTAGTGAGTTTGCCGGAAGACCTTCAGATGAAGAAATGGCTTGAAGATGCACAACAGAAACCCAGCAGGAGAAAACAGTGGCTTAATTCCTTTTGGAGCCATCAGGGAAGAAAAATTCTGTTTCCTGGATGGACAGGAGGACACTGGCTTTGTTTGGGAGAATGAGGATCCGGGTCTTTATTGAAGAAAATAAATTCAAAAAGAAGACATAATGGGAAGTGTGTAGAGGAACAAAGGTGAATTTTACCCAGATCACCCTCTTTCCTACAGCACCTTATGGGTAGGAAACACATTGGCTAGGCTGTATTCAGAGAACCGAAGTGGGGAGGAGTTGAAGCAAAAAGGAGAAAAAACTGGCTTCTATGTTGTGTACGCAATCATTCCTTCTGTTTTTTATAGTATTCTTCTCTTATTTGTAGTATCTTCCACAACTTTCTCTAGTGTAGGCAGAATAAGATATGTCCCAGGCTCCCTCCCCACGAGTCTTCTGGACACAGGAGGGCCTTGGCTTTGAAATCCACTCTCAGCAGGCCCCTGTGAGTGTAAAGTGGCTCACCATCAGGTCCTCTCCCCATCTCTTGGGGTCTTTTGACCACACACATAATGAGGTCTCACTTCAGCAATGTCTTTGTTCGACCCTAAATGGCGTTCCCACCCTCCTGACAAAGCAGCTTTTGTGTTTTATGTCAAAATAATCACTTACCAAAAATGATGGCAAGGCTCAGAAATATCCCAGCTTTATCCTTAGGGAATAGAAAAAAAAAAAAGAGCATTAAATGTTTAACCTGGATTGATGAGGTTTGCTGAAACTATTGGATAAAATGAAAACTTTCTTAGAGGCATAAATCACTAAGGAGACTTCCCCCGTCTCATTGATTTTTGGATTCGGTTAGTGATTCAAGCACTAAGAACATAAGGCTAGGTGGAAGTTAAAGAAATGGAAATGCCACATTAACCTCTAAATTTTACCTATATGTTGATTTTTGACAGTGAAATACTATAATTAACTCAGACTATTTTCCAAAGCTTTAATTTTTTGCTGATGTTCAAAAGTATTGCAGAAAAGCTGATTCCTAATTATTACATACAGCATTGCATAAATTTCTTCTTAATTAAAAAGCCTCTAAATTCTAAATAATCAATTTACAAAGACATATGGTTTTGAAAAATTAGGCATTTAATTTCTAAAGATTTATTAGTAATTTGTACCATAGCTAATTAATTATGGTTATAAGACTATTATAGTCATAGTAGAGATTGATGTGATGATATGATTGTAAATTTATTTTGATATGTCTTCTTTAATATCAGAGCATTACAATATACTTAGTTTTCCAGTTCATTCTTCATTATGCTTGAAAGCATTAGTTTAATGAAAGATAAGTGGACTTGATAAGTGTACCATCAGAATTTATTTGAAAAACTGTTTTCAACATGAAACAAAGAAATTGTTTTTTTGCCCTGGCAAAATGAAATTTGTGCTTAGTAATAAATTAGCAGAAAGAAATGCTTAAAATTAAGTAGTATTTGATACAGAATTTTTTGTCTACCATTGTGACAATTCACAGAGAGCTTAGCATAAGAAAGTAGTTTAACTGTACAAGGGAAGCCTGCTGACAAAAGTGAATCGAACTCAACCTAAACAATGATGGTGTTGTAAATGTTCACAAGTGTGTGGGGTAGGTAGGAAGGCTTTTTTTCTATCTTGTTTCTCAGTGAATTTCTAGGTATTAAAAAAAAATCTAGAAACTGTTTTGAATGTTACTAGGTTTTTCTTCAAAGTTGTAAGAGGAGAGAGATTTATGATTTAGTGGTAGAAAATGCCACTGATCTGTTTCATTGAATAGAAACACATCCTTTTGAATACAATAGAGGACAGAAACATAATGCCGGTTGCAAGAAAGAAGGAAAAGGAAGATGATGAAAATAGCTTCATAATATATGTGGAGCTCAGAGAGCAGCATGCCACATTTAAGTTGGCTAAAGGATATATTTCCACATGCAGAGCCTGTGGAAGAGGTTTCTGGGGAGGTGGCAGAAACAATCTGTCCGTTTTCTTGATGGAATTCCAAGTACCAGAGTTGATTGGGTGACACATCAGGTCACCCACAACCTTACCTTCCTTTTTTTAGATGGTAATCATTTTGGATTATTCTGCTGCTTCTTTAGTGATAGCATTAGTGTACATTGCTGTGGGTATTGTGGCTTTTACCCAACAAGGTCCATTTTGTCACATGTTTCTTCCCTCATTTTTCCACAGCACCATCATTTGAGGGATATCTGTCACTGACTAGCTGTGTGACTTTGAGGAAGTAACTAAATGTCTCTCAAGTCTCAATTTCCTCATCAGTAAAAGGGTGCCAGCAATAGGACCAACTCAGCGGTGTTGCTGTGACATTAAACTACAGTAATACATGCTGGTCAGCTCTGCTTGGCACATAGGAAGTTATCATAGTACTTATAAGAGTAGAGGGCCAGCGCAGAGAACTGGGTGTTGGGGGAATGAGAAGCCTTGGTTTTCCATTCATTAATTTTACAAGTATTTACTGAGCATCCCTTCTGTCTTCAGTACAGGGCTTATTTGCTATGGACCTAAAAATCAATAGAATGTATGAATATCTGCTCTCTCAAAATTCACACTAATAGAAAGTGCACCTGTGTGCATAGAAATAATTAAAATAACTAGTTATCTTTGAAGTGCATTGGGGCACAAGGGAAAAGAGCATTAGCCTGAAAATGTCTAAAAGAAAGGGTAATAATATTTGAGTCTTGAACAAAAGTCAACCAAATGGGGAAGAGTAGTGATGTAGATAGCAAAAGGTTCCAAGACAGGTGGTAAGGAGACATAAGTTTGGATTGGTCGTGGCTCAAGAGGTAAAACAAGGCTGGCGGAAAGATAAATTTGAAGGGGCTGAGGTTATTTATCTTATCGAGTGCTGTTGTCTGAATGTTTGTATCACCCCAAAATTCATATGTTGAAACTTAATCACCGATATGATGACATTAAGAGGTGGGACTTTTAGGAGGTGTTTAGATTGTGAGGATAGGGCCCTTATGAATGGAATTCGCACCCTTATAAAAGAGGCCTGAAAGCCAGGTGCTGTGGTGCATGCCTGTAGCCCCCAGCTACTCAGGAAGCTGAGGAGGGAGGATTGCTTGACCCTGGGAGTTTGAGAATTTGACCAGGAAGCTTGTGGACCTTTTCTACCATGTGAGGACACAGAGAAGACTCTATTTACGAGGAAGAAGTCCTCACCGGACACTGGATCTGCCAACACCTTGATCTGGGACTTCCCAGTCTCCAGAATTATGAGCAATAAATTTCTGTTGCTCATAAATTACCCAGTCTAACGTATTTTGTTATAGCAGCCCAAATGGACTAAGACTGGGTGAACGACAGCCTGTGGGATATAAAAACACCAAAGGTAGCTGTGTGAATATTAGAAGACCCGTTCATTTTTTTCTCTTCAAAAAATAATAGTACAGGTTTTTAAATATGTAGTGGAAATCTATTCAAATAGAATAACCAAATGCATATCCTATCATATTTATCAAGTTTGGGCTTCACAGTAATAAAAGCTGTCATCAAAGGAAACAGTTAAAAATTACTCTTTTGGGATATTTCATCACATGCCTAATAAACTTTCAACCTGCTTGCTTCCATCAACAAATATTTATTCAGCTCTTATTAGATGCCCAGAACCCTCCTAAGCCCTGTATGTCTAAAGTAGTTTGACTTTTCCTGGTACTTTACAGTAAAACAATAATAACTTTGATAATTTTTGTTTTAATTTCAATAGGTTTTGGGGGAACAGGCGGTGTTTGGTTACATGAATAAGTTCTTAGTGGTGATTTCCGAGATTTTGGTGCACCCGTCACCCAAGCAGTGCACACTGTTCGCAATGTGAAATCTTTCATCCCTCACACGCCCCAACCTTTCCCCCAGGTCCCCAAAGTTTATTGTATCATTCTTATGCCTTGGTGTCCTCATAGCATAGCTCCTACTTATAAGTGAGAATATACAATGTTTGGTTTTCCATTCCAGAGTGACTTCACTTAGAGTAATGGTCTCAAACTCCATCCAGGTTTCTGTAAATGCCATTATTTCATTCCTTTTTTATGGCTGAGTAGTATTCCATGGTATATATACCATATTTTCTTTATCTACTCATTGTCTTATGGGCATTTGGGCTGGTTCCATATTTTTGCAGTTGTGAATTGTGTTGCTGTAAACATGCATGTGCAAGTGGCTTTTTCATATAATGACTTCTTTTCCTCTAGGTAAATACTCAATAGTGGGATTGCTGCATCAAATAATAGATCTACTTTTAGTTCTTTAAGGAATCTCCACACTGTCTTTCATAGTGGTTGTACTAGTTTACATTCCCAATAGCAGTGCAAAAGTGTTCCCTTTTTGCCACATCCATACCAGCATCTACTATTTTTATGTTTTAATTATGATTCTTGCAGAAGTAAGATGGTATCACATTGAGGTTTTGATTTCTATTGCCCTGAAAATTAGTGATGTGGGGCATTTTTTCATATGTTTGTTGGCCATTTGTATATCTTCTTTTGAGAATTGTCTATTTATGTCCTTAGCCCACTTTTTGATGGGATTGTCTGTTTTTTCTCGCTGATTTGTTTGAGTTCTTTGTAGATTCTGGACATTAGTCCTTTGTTGGATGGATAGATGATGAAGATTTTCTCCCACTCGGTGGGTGTTCTGTTAATTCTGCTGGTTATTTCTTTTGCTGTGCAGAAGCTTTTTAGTTTAATTAAGTCTCATCTATTTATCTTTGTTTTTATTGCATTTGCTTTTGAATTCTTGGACATGAAGTCTTTGCCTAAGCCAATGTCTAGAATGGTTTTTCTGATGTTATCTTCTAGAATTTTTATCGTTCCAGGTCTTAGATTTAAGTCCTTAATCCATCTTGAGTTGATTTTTGTATGAAGTGAGAGATCAGGATCCAGTTTCATTCTTCTGCATGTGGCTTGCCAATTTTCTTAGCACCATTTGATGAATAGGGTGTCCTTTCCCCACTTTGCTTTTGTTTGCTTTGTCAAAGATCAATTGGCTGTAAGTATTTGTCTTTATTTCTGAGTTCTCCATTTTGTTCCATTGGTCTATGTGCCTACTTTTATACCAGTACCATGCTGTTTTGATGACCATAGCCTTATAGTATTGTTTGAAATCAGGTAATGTGATGCCTCCAGATTTGTTGTTTTTGCTTCATCTGGCTTTGGCTATGTGGGCTTTTTTTTTGGTTCCATATGAATTTTAAGATTGTATATTTTAGTTGTGTGAAGAATGATGATGGTATTTTGATGGGATTTACATTGAATTTATAGATTGCTTTTGGCAGTATGGCCATTTTTACAATATTGATTCTATCCATCCATGAGCCTGGGATGTGTTTCCATTTGTTTGTGTTGTCTGTGATTTCTTTCAGCAGTGTTTTATAGTTTTCCTTGTAGAGGTCTTCCACATCCTTGGTTAGCTATATTCCTATGTATATTTTTTTTCACAGTTGCTGTAAAAGGGGTCGAGGTATTTATTTAATTCTCAGCTTGGTCACTGTAGATGCATAGCAGTGCTACTGATTTGTGTACATTGATTTTGTATCCCAAAACTTTACAGAATTCATTTATCAGATTTAGGAGCTTTTTGGATGAGTCTTTAGGGTTTTCTAGGTATACAATCATCTCATTAGCAAACAGCAACAGTTTTACTCCCTTTTTATTGATTTAGATGCCCTTTATTTCTTTCTCTTGTCTGATTGCTCTGGCTAGGACTTCCAGTACTATGTTGAATACAAGTGGTGAATGTGTGCATCCTTGTCTTCTTCCAGTTCTCAAGTGGAATGACTTCAGATTTTCCCCATACAGTATAATGTTGGCTGTGGGTTTGTCATAGATGGCTTTTATTACCTTAAGGTATGTCCCTTCTATGCCGATTTTGCTGATGTTTTCATCAAAAAACGATGCTGGATTTTGTCAAATGCTTTTTTCTGTGTCTATTGAGATGACCATGTCATTGTTGTTTTTAATTCTGCTTATGTGTTGTATCACATTTATTGACTTCTATATGTTAAGCCATCCCTACATCCTTAGTATGAAACCCACTTGATCATTGCGGATTATCTTTTGATAGGCTGTTGGATTCAGTTAGCTAGTATTTTTTTTTTCTTTGAGGATTTTTGTGTCTATGTTCATCAGGGATATTGGTCTGTAGTTTTTTGTTATGTCCTTTACTGGTTTGGATATTAGGGTGATATTGGCTTCATAAAATGATTTAGGGAGGATTTCCTCTTTCTCTGTCTTTTGTAATAGTTTCAATAGGATTGGTACCCATTCTTTGAATTTCTGATAGAATTCAGCTGTGAATCCATCTGTTCCTGAACTTTTTTTTGTTGGCAGTTTTTTAAATTACCATTTCATTCTCACTGCTTGTTATTGTTCTGTTAAGAGATTCCATTTCTTTCTGGTTTAATCAAGGAGGATTGTGTATTTCCAGGAATTTGTTCATCTCCTCTAGGTTTTCTAGTTAATGCACATAAAGGTGTTCTAGTTTGTGCACGTGAAGGTGTTCATAGTAGCCTTGAATGATCTTTTGTATTTCTGTGGTATACATTGTAATAGCTTCTGTTTCATTTCTAATTGAGCTTATTTGGATCTTCTCTCTTCTTTTCTTGGTTAATCTCCCTAATGGTCTATGAATTTTGTTTATCTTTTCAAAGAACTAGCTTTTTGTTTTTTCTATCTTTTGTATTTTTTTGTTGTTTCAATTTCATTTAGTTTTGCTCTGATCTTTGTTATTTCTTTTCTTCTGCTGAGTTTGGTTTTGGTTTGTTCTTGATTCTCTAGTTCCTTGAGGTGTGACCTTAGATTGTCTATTTGTGTTCTTTTTGATGAAGGTGTTTAATGCTGTGACCTTTTCTCTTAGAAATACTTTTGCTGTATCACAGAGGTTTTGGTTTTGTCACTATTATTCAGTTCAAATAATTTTTAAATTCCCATCTTGATTCCATTGTTGACCCAGTGACCATTCGGGAGCAGATTATTTAATTTCCATGTATTTGCATGGTTTTGAGGGTTCCTTTTAGAGTTGATTTCCAATTTTATTCTACTGTGGTCTGAGAGAGTACATGTTATAATTTCAATTTCCTTACATTTGCTGAGACTAATTTTGTGACCTAATATATGGCCTATCTTGGAGAATGTTCAATGTGCTGATGAATAGAATGTATATTCTGCAGTTGTTGGTTAGAATGTTCAGTAAATATCTGTTAAGTTCATTTGTTCTAAGGTATAGTTTCAGTCCACTGTTTCTTTGTTGACTTTCTGTGTTGATGACCTATCTAGCACTGTGAGTGGAGTACTGAAGTCCCCCAACTATTATTGTGTTGCCATCTATCTCATTTCTTGGGTCTAGTCTTAATTGTTTTATAAACTTGGGAGCTCCAGTGTTAGAGGCATATATATTTAGGATTGTGATATTTTCCTATGGAAGTAATCTTTTTATAATTATGTAATGCCTCTCTTTGTGTTTTTTAACTCTTGTTGCTTTGAAGTCTCTTTTGTCTGATATAAGAAAAGCTAGTCCTTCTTGTTTTGGTGTCCATTTGCCTGGAATATCTTTTTCCACCCCTTTACCTTAAGTTTATGTGAGTCTTTATGTGTTAGGTGAGTCTCTAGAAGGCAGCAGATACTTGGTTGCTGAATTCTTATCCATTCTGCCATTCTGAATCTTTTAAGTGGAACATTTAGGCCATTTACACTCAACATTAGTATGAAAACGTGAGGTACTATTCTGTTCATTGTGCTAGTTGTTGCCTGAATACTTTCATTATTTTTTTCCTTGTGTTATTGTTTTACAGTCCCTGTGGGATTTATGCTTCAAGGAGGTTCTATTTTGGTGTATTTTGAGGTTTTGTTTCAAGATTCAGAGCTCCTTTTAGCAGCTCTTGTAGTGTTGTCTTGGCAGTGGTGAATTGTCTCAGCATTTGTTTGAAAACAACTTTGTCTTTCGTTCATTTATTAAGCTTAGTTTCACTGGATACAAAATTCTTAGCTGATAATTGTTTTGTTTAAGGACGCTAAAAATAGGACCCCAATCCCTTGTGGCTTGAAGGGTTTCTGCTGATAAATCTGTTAATCTGATAGGTTTTCTTTCACAAGTTACCTGACGCTTTTGCCTCACAGCTCTTGAGATTCTTTCCTTCATCTTGAAGTTAGATAACTTGATGACTATGTGCATAGGTGATGATCTTTTTTTGCAATGAATTTCCCAGATGTTCTTTGAGCTGCTTGTATTTGGATGTCTAGATCTCTAGCAAAGTAAGGGAAATTTTCCTCAATTATTCCCTCAAAGAAGTTTTCCAAACTCTTAAATTTCTCTTCTTGCTTGGGAACACCAATTATTCATA
The DNA here is from genome assembly GCF_000001405.40 of Homo sapiens. Classification (NCBI taxonomy): domain Eukaryota; kingdom Metazoa; phylum Chordata; class Mammalia; order Primates; family Hominidae; genus Homo; species Homo sapiens. Next base: position 25,395,546 of record NC_000003.12, read on the forward strand.
GGTTTGGTTGTTTAACATAATCCTACATTTCTTGGAGGCTTTATTCATTTTTTAAATTCTTTTTTTTGTCTTTGTTGGAATGGGTTAATTTGAAAGCCCTGTCATCAAGCTCTGAAGTTCTTTCTTCTACTTGTTCAACTCTACTGTTGAAACTTTGCAGTATATTTTGGATTTCTCTATGCTATCTATTTCTCTGGAGATTTTTTCCATCCATATCTTGTATTATTTTTAAGTTTCTTTAAGTTAGCTTTCACCTTTCTCTGGTGTCTCCTTGAGTAGCTTAATAATCTACCTTCTGAATTCTTTTTCTGGCAATTCAGAGATATCTTCTTGGTTTAGATCCATTGCTGGTGAACTAGTGTGATCTTTGTGGGGAGTTAAAAAACCTTGTTTTGTCATATCACCAGCATCTTTTTTCTGGTTCCCTCTCATTTGGGTAGATTATGTCAGAGGGAGGATCTGGGACTCAAGGGCTGCTATTCAGATTATTTTGTCCCACAGGGTGATCCCTTGATGGGGTGTTCTCCCCCTTCCCCTAGGGATGTGGCTTCCTAAGAACCAGACTGTAGTGACTGTTATTTCTCTTCTGGGTCTAGCCACCCAGCAGAGCTACTGGGCTCCAGGCTTATAATGGGGAGGGTCTGTAAAGAGTCCTGAAATGTGATCTATCTTCAGGCCTCTCAGCCATGGATACCAGCACGTGCTCTGGTGGAGGTAGCAGGGCAGTGAATTGAACTCTTTGAGGGTCCTTGGTTGTAGTTCTGTTTAGTGTGCTGGTTTTCTTGAATGCTGGTTGTACTAGCCGTGGAGTTGTCATGTGGACAGACTCAGGTTAGCCAGGATGTTACAGGCAGTGGAATCAACTGTTGTTTTCTTTCTTCAAGTGGGGTTGTTCTTTTGTGAGTTGCTGAATGGCTTGAGTAGGTTGGCCTCCAGCCAGTTGGTGGCACTTTTGAAGAGAGCATCAGCTGTGGTAGTATAGTGGGGATACAAGCTTGCCCTAAGGTTACCTGGATAAGTATTCAAGTTAGTAGGTAGGGCCACAGAGCTCCCAAGAGATTATATCCTTCGTCTTCAGCTACCAGGGCAGGTAGAGAAAAACCATCAGGTTAGGGCAGGGTTAGGTGTGTCTGAGCTCAGACTCTCTTTGGGTGGGGTTTGCTGTGGCGCTGTGGAGATGGGGGTGTGGTTCTCAGGCCCATGGAGTTATGTTCCCAGGGGGATTATGGTTGCCTCTGCTGTGTCATACAGGTCACCAGGGAAGTAGAAGAAAACCAGCAGTGACTGGCCTTACCCAGTTCCCATACAGCCAGCAAGGCCAGTTTCACTCCAACTGTGCCCCACCAACAGCACCCAGTGTATATCTAGGCAACCAGTGAGTATGGCTGAGATCTTGCCCCAGGCTACAAGCCTCCCTGCTAAGAAAGAAACCTGGGCTTTCAGGCCCCACTGCTCTCTCAACTGCCATGGTTTCTTGCGCGCATATCTGCACTTCCCATTCACTGCCCCCGCAACCTCAGATTCTGCCCAGGAAGTTGAAATTATTACAAATTTCAGCTGGAAATTTTCTTCTCCATGTGTTCCTTCCCCAATTCTACTGGCAGCCCTCCCCAAGGGTCCCTGTGAGAGAAAGTCAGAAATGGCTTCCCTGGGGACTGTGTGCCCACAGGGCTCTTCCTGCTGCTTCTACCTTTATGTTTCACTTGGCTCTCTAAATTTGTTTGACTTCTAGGTAAGGTTAAATCCTTCTCCCATGATCTGGATTTTCAGGTTCCTCCGTGAGGATGTGTGTTCAGAAGTGGACTTCCCCCATCACACTTTGGGCACTCAGAGTTTTTCGGCTGTCCCACAGAGTTTACAGTGGCAAGCCACTTCCTTCAAAGGGTCTGTGAATTCCTTCAGTTTTTCTGGTATGTTTCTGCAGTAGTTCCTGAAGCAAAAGTTCACAGTGTGAGTCTCCACACACTGTTCTGTCATCCAAGTGGAACCTGCAAGTTAGTCCTGCCTCCTAGCCAACATTTTTGAAACCTCTCGATAATAATTTTATATTAGTTTATCTCTGTACTTTGCTTTTTAAAACCCCAATATTGAATTTATTTAAAAAGTATTGAGTATCCCTTCTGTTCCAAGCATACATATATTTGTTCACTTATCAAGTTCCTCATTATCATAATGTTTTCCATGTCCATGGTCAGGAATGAAAATTCTTTGTACAAATTCAGGTAATGCATTTAGCCTCAGTGGGCCTTAATCTCTTCATTTATAAAATAAGGCCACTTCACAGTCCTTTTCCAGCTCAAAAAATATGTGATTTGTGAAAATGTATGAGTTGTTTTGATTAGAAAAAAAAAAAATTCTTACATACATTTCAAGGGCTGGTCTATATATTCTTAACTGGTTATAATTCTTATATAACCCTTAAAATGATATAATTTTTCCTATAGTCTTTAAAATTTAGGCTGAAGCTAAGGTAAATCTTTTTGGGTGAAATTTCCCCTAATTTGGGGATTTGGATATGATATATTTTTACATGAAATTTGTTTTTATTCCATCTCAATTTATGTATCCAGGCACTAGTTTCCACCAAAATAGAAAGGCAGAGAAGCTCCACGTTTGGGGGCCAGCTAAAAGAGATGTAAACAGACACTTTCCCATCCCTCTGAGAACATAAAAAAAATGAGACAGGCTCCTGAACTCTAGGCCACGGTTTCAAGGCTGGTCCATCACCATTAACTACAGGACCCACATAAACACCCTGGATGCTCCAACATAACTCCCATTATTATCGATAAAAGTTACACTACTATACCAAGGGGAAAGAAAAGCCACAATAAGGCTTTTAAAAAGCTATTTAATATATCAGCTTTCACAAAGATAGACGGTATCACTAAGACAAAACAAGAAAAGATGTGCCCAACTTTACAAGGTATTGGCACTGTTAATCATATTTTGAAATATTGCTGGCATATATCTTAGAAAACACAACACAGTTGCCATATTTCCAATGGGAGAGATGACAGTTTTAATGTTGAGATACACTGATAATTCCAAGCCCTCTTTTTTGCCCTCATCTGGGATAAACCAAGCCCTGTTTCTTCTCCCTATATGGGAAGTAGATTGGCAACCAGGTGGGTTCCAGAAGCTTAAGTCCTTAATTTTAGAAGTGATATCCTAAAGCACATTGTACATTCTACCATATTCCATTACAAAGATATTATAAAATTGTATTAAACAAATAACTGTATAAATACATGCATGTGTATATAAATGTTCTAATGTTATAAAATTATCTACATTAATATATATTTTATGTCTGTACGCAATATGTTAAAATGTTATAAATTCATATACCTATGTAATTTTAGATCGACTTACACAAAGGAAAGGTCATTTTACTGCCCATTTTGCTGATAAGGAATGTGAAGTTAATATCTTGCCCAAAGTCCCCAGATTACATGTGGCAAAAGCAATATGTGGCCCTCTTCTTCTGCTTCCAAATTCAGGGCTCTTTTCACTCTACCATCCTGGCTTTGCAGCATGAGATTGTTTACAGATAGGAAGATACATAGACCTGATCCAGGAGGACACAGGTTTCTTATTCTAGCTCCGTGTATCACTATGATGCTTTACTGAGAAATAAACCCCCTGGGCTTGCTGGCTTTGCAGTTCTTTCCCCTGACTTCAGTTAAAAGTTTAATAACTATGGCAGATATTTTGGGTCGCTAGTCTCTCCTTAGTCCTTGCTAAAAGTATCTTTATTTTCTTCAGTGTAGCAATTTGCACATTTAAAGTACTCCATCTTCCAAATCCCCTTGCATCAAGGAGTAGCCATGTGACACAGTCTGGACCACCTAGATGTAAAGACAGTCACTGGATGGGGCTTCTGGGAAAACTGTTTGAACAGGAGCTGAATTGTTGGCTTTACTCTTTATCTTATCCACTTCATCCTTTTTCTTCTTCCTGCCTGAAATACACACACAATGCTGAAGAGGTAGCAGCCAGTTTGCAAACATGAAGGGAACTGGTACATATTTAATTAAGAGAGTAGGAAGGTAGCAAAAAGCCTCCGTGTGAGTCCTGAACTTCCTAACTTCAGACCTCTTGTTCTGGGAAAAACATAGGCCCTTGGCTTGTGAAGCTACCATAGCTGCTGTGATGGAACTCAATCCTAGCTGGTATATTAAAACCAACTAAAAGTGGGAAGAAGAAAAACGTTAGCTGGAACCAGAAGTAAATCCGAGGTTTGTCTCACAGGCAGAGACTGTTGCATATAACTAGCAAGTCTCCCATAAGCTATCCACCTCTGGGTCTCCCACCACGAATGCCTTGAGTTAGGGTCTCTGCTGATGTTTCTAGAGAAGTGAGCCTTATGGTTAGGTTTTTATAACTTTGTCACTCTATGTCTCTATTTCCTTACTTGCAAAACGGGGATAAGAAATAATAAGACTTACCTCTGAGGATTCTCCTAAAGAGTTAATGAGGTAATATATATAATATGCTTAGAATAATGCCAGGCATACTGGAAGCATTTAATAATGCTACCCATTATTACTATCATCTGGAAGAAGAGGCAGATCATTCTTGATTGTGCATAGCCAAGAACAACTAACTCCCAGAGACACAGTCCCAGCCATTCAATTCTCCTCTGTCCATAGACAGGATCCTGGAGAGAAGGACACTTCCTTCTCCCCATTCTTTCCCACACAAAAGTTACCAGGAGTTTGGGAGTTTGCCCAGTGATCGTGATGAAATAAGAATAATTATTATTATATGTATAGATTTGGAGGTTATAGCATAAGTATCAAACCTGGTTCTTCTATTCAAGGAACTCATGATCTGGTAAGGGGAAGCAGTGGGGAATAAGGAACTGTTTATTCCATAATTCAAGCATTGTGACGTGTTGTTCTGTGAAATGCTGATAATAATAGTATGAGGTTTCGAAGAAAGAAGGTCTCAATATTCTCAATATTTACCTAACTCTTTCATCAAAGATTTATTGGGAGTCTTGAACTAAATATTTAAAATAAACAAAGAAGAGAATAAGAATGGAACAGAGTCAAGTGTACCTTAGAAGAGTTCTGATAGGATGTGAATGCCCTCAGGATAGGAATATTATTTTATTCATTTGAAAACCCTAATAGAAATACAGTTCCTGGCATATAGAATAAAGTTTCCTAGTTGAGTTTTTTGGATAGTTTTCAGCCTCTAGGATTTTGCCTTCGCAAAAACCACAGTTATTCAACACTTTTACTTCTGGCTGGGATGGAACAGCTTGTAACAGACCAGTGCTCCCAGGAAGAACTAGAAAAGCCAGACAATATAAAATAAAATATAAATATAAAATAAAACTAAAATATAAATATAAAATGTAAATCTGTTTTTAAGGTATCAGAGATCTGCCAAAGCCTCCAAGATTTTGAGGGGTCAACCCCTCTGAAAAAGGAAATGCAAAACTCATGCCCCCTCAGGAACTTTCTCATTCTTAGTTTCATAAGGCAAGAGGTTAAGAAGCCAAGCAAAAGAAAAGTTGCCAAAAAGCAGAATGGAGTTTTCAGAATCTCATGGTGCCAGAAAGACAAAACTTGAAATTTAGGAGGAGAGGCTGTGGAAAACATTCAGGCTCCTCTTGGCATCCCTAGAGGACAACACCATAAGGGTAGGTGGACCCAAGGTAGACCTGGGCTGAGAAAGACGAAACTTTCTCTCCAGTCAGCTGAGCCCTTGATTCAATCGAGATTATGCACTCCCTACTCTAGATACCTAGATTTACCTTCAGAAAGGGTGAAGCCTCTCTGAAGAATGATAGCCCTTATAATTTTTTTCATCTAGAGCCTTTATAATTTTTCATATACAACGTTCCTCGCTCTACCAAAACTTACCAGACATACTAAGAAATAAGACCAGGAAAAAACAGATAATAAAACAGACCATAGGTGATCCAGATATTATAATCATCTTTAAAAGCAATGTGCTGAATATATTTAAGAAATAAATGATCAGATGGGGAATTTTACCAGAAAACTGGACTTTATTAAAGAATCAAATAGAAATTTCAGAACTGAAATGTATATTAACTAAAATGAAGATCTTAGGCTTAGTAGCAGATTGGACACCACAGAAGAACGGATTAGTGAACTGTAAGATAGGTCAGGAGAAAGTATTCAGACGGAAGCACAAACAGATAAAAGGATGGAAAATGCAGAAAACAGCAAAAAGACATTGAACATTTTCTTTTGTTTTTTTTCTTTTGAGATGGAGTCTCCCTCCGTCGCCCAGGCTAGAGTGCAGTGGCATGATCTAGGTTCACTACAACCTCTGCCTCCCGGGTTCAAGTGATTCTACTACCTCAGCCTCCTGAGTAGTTGGGATTATAGGTGTGCGCCACCAAGCTTGGCTAATTTTTGTTATTTTTAGTAGAGACAGGGTTTCACCATTTGGCCAGGCTGTCTCAAACTCCTGACCTCAAGTGATGCACCCACCTCGGCTTCCCAAAGTGCTGGCATTACAGGAGTGAGCCACTGCACCCAGCCTGAAAATTTTCAACATATATATTTTGATTTGTAGAAAGAGTAAAGAGATAAAAAAGCAATTTTAAAAAGAAAAAAGCCACAAATTTTCCAAAATTAGTGGGAGATATCATTACAGGTTAAAGAATACAATTTGAATTCCAAGCTGGATAAAACCCAATTACTCAAAGCCAGTTTCATCCAACACTATGAATTTGTTGATGGTTTAGAAGTGAAGCCATGTGCAATAGTGAATGCTGGCAAGGATGTGGAGAAAAGGGAACCCTTGTACACTGTTGATGGGAATGTAAATTAGTGCAACTACTAGGGAGAACAGTTTGGAGGTTCCTCAAAAAAACTAAAAATTGAGCTACCATGTGATCTAGCAATCCCACTGCTAGGTATATACTCAAAAGAAAGGAAATCAGAATATCAAAGAGATACCTGCACTCCTCTGTTTGTCCAGTGCTGTTTACAATAGCTAAGATTTGGAAGCAACCTAAGTTTCCATCAATAGATGAATGGATAAAGAAAATGTGATACATATACACAATGGAGTACTATTCAGCCATAAAAAAGAATGACATCCTGACATTTGCAACAACTTGGGTGGAACTGAAGGACATTATGTTAAGTGAAATAAGCCAGGCGCAGAAAGACAAATGTCGCATGTTCTCACTTATTTGTGGGATCTAAAAATCAAAACAATTGAACTCATGGCCATAGAAAGTAGAAAGATGGTCACCAGGGGCTAAGAGTGGTAGTGGGGGTTGGGGTGGGGCATGAGGATGGTTAATGGGTACAAAAAATGTAGCTAGAAAGAATGAATAAAGCCAAGCGTGGTGGCTCACGCCTGTAATCCCAGCACTTTGGGAGGCTGAGACAGGCCGATCATGAGGTCAGGAGTTCGAGACCAGCCTGGCCAACATAGTGAAACCCCATCTCTACTAAAAACACAAAAATTAGCTGGGCATGGTGGTGGGCGCCTGTAGTCCCAGCTACTTGGGAGGCCTAGGCAGAAGAAATGCTTGAACCAGGGAGGCAGAGGTTGCAGTGAGCTGAGATCGTGCCACTGCACTCCAGCCTGAGTGACAGAAAGACTGCATCTCAAAAAAAAAAAAAAAAAATGAGTGAGACCTAGTATTTGATAGCACAACAGGGTGACTGTAGTCAGTAATAACTCCATTGTACATTTTAAAATAAAGAGTGTAATTGGATTGTTTGTAACACTAATGATAAATGCTTGAGGGGATGGATACCCCATTCTCCATTATGTGGTTATTTCACATTGCATGCCTGTATCAAAACATCTCATGTACCCATAAATATATATACTTACTGTGTACCCACAAAAATTACAAATAAGAAAATTTAAAAAATAAACAATAAAACCCAAAACAAACAAAAAAGTAAGGCCATGTGAAGCCACTTGAATTTATGTTACTTAGGCTAGAGAATGAAGCACTAGTGTTAAATCTGACCTCAACTTTGCCTTTAAACCAGAGTAAGCCTAGGCAGTTCAGGCTAAGATAAAATTACCCTGGCTTAACTTTAGAACCAGAATAAAAATAAAAATTTCAGCTCTGCGATATTATTTTTTAATACACTCTGAAGTGACAAGAGACTGTATCTCAAACTGTATTACCATCTTAATAACTTTTTCAGCTTTTTGGATGAGTTCTGATATTTTCCTGGAAAAATCTGGCTTCTTTGACATTTGAGCGCTATTATTTAGCACTGTTACTTTCATTTTTTTCTTTTATGAAATTGGCCATCATCTTCATTAGAAAAAAAAAAAAGATGCCAAGTGTCACAAGCTGTGAATTTCTTTTTCTAAAAAAAAAAAAAAAAAAAAAATTGAGTATTTTTTTTTCCAGAAGCTTATAGTTATAGGCCAAAGCTTCCCTAATAACTTTTTACTGAATATTTCAGGATTTTTTTTTTCTGGACAAGATCCACCTGGAGCTTTTCAGAGGTTGCTGATAAGGGAAGAAGAGCCTAATCTTGGACAGTGAAAATCTTATTTAGAAATTGCTCATGCTTCAACTGCTCGATTCTGATTTGAGGAAAGCAGGGAGGAGTGATATTTGTCAACGTGTCAGTAGATTCTCAGGTTGCTTTACACTTTTTTCAGTGCTCTTTGTTACTTCATTCTTTCCAGGGGACCTTCTCACTGATGAGCAGTCCTGGCAAAGCCCTGACGGTTTCCTTCCACATTTCAAGGTGTTGGCTGCACTCTGTTTAACATTCCGACAGGGTTAGCTTAACTGGACTGGAGTGCTGTGTAGCCAACAGTAACTCACTCCTTGGTAGAAAGTTGACTTGCTAATGCTTATTTGCATTTAATTCCCTGGAGCCACCATTTTACCCAAGAGTTACTTCTGACTAGGCCAAAGGGAGACCTGATGGCTAATTTAATATTCTCCATTTTTATGAAGGATGTGATTCTAGGGAATAAATAATTGACCCAGGGTAGAGAAGGTAAGCATAATATTTTTCACTATCCAGGAATTATGAAAAGGAAAGTTTGAGTAGGTGCTCAAACATTTTTTGAGCACCTGCTGTTTGCAAGGTTCTTGGCTTAGGGACAGATAGTGGAAGCAGGGGCATGGCGGGGAAGAAAACGCCAACAAATTAGGCATGGCCTCGTATTTCAAGGGTTGCCCACAAAGAGAAAAGCTTCTTGTGATGTAGTTAGACTCACATTGCAGCTACATGAAACAAGTGAAGATTTTTGTGGTTTCTGTTCTGAAAGATCATACCAAACTCCTCTTTATACCTACTGAACCTCCAACCCAGTTGTTGATTGCTTCTGAAATAATTAAATTTACTCGCTACTTTTTTTTCAGTAACCCAGTAGGTCTCATGCCCAATCAGCATTTATTCTATCCTTTTTTTCTATCTGCAGAAAAGAAAATTTATTATATGGGGACCTGAAAGAGAAATGCCAGGAATATAATTTCTAAATCCCACCAGGCTAACTATAGATCTGGTTAAATGGCATTTGCAGGTTTCATGTCTCTGTTTGCTCCATGAGATGCGATCCCTGAGAGGCCAAAGCTATTTTTTAACCGTCTCTTAATCCCCAGAGACCGGAGCAGAGGCCTAGCATTTAGTGGAATGCATGAAAGTCATTGAAAGCTTTTTCTTTTGAGCCACAAGATTGACAAATAATCTACTATATTGGCTGGGCACAATGGCTCATGGCTGTAATCCCAGCACTTTGGGAGGCTGTGGAAGGAGGATTGCTTGAGGCCAGGAGTTTGAGACCAACCTGGGCAACACAGTGAGACCCTGTCTCTATTTAACAAACAAACAACTACTATATCAATAAAACAAAATGACAGCCATGAATATACTTGCAAACGTATTATAAGCATTGCTAAACATCAGGCCTTGAGTTTGGTGATGTGGAAATACAAACTTACTTAAGAGAACTCCTCTGCTCTCACCTGGCTTGTTATGTGGCTAGAGAATGTCATGTACAGAGATAAAACCATTCAAGGCAATGTGGAGTGAGGCCAGGAATGCCACAGTAAACACTCTAGATCTGTGTTGTAAAATATGTTCACCACTAACCACATGTGGCAATTTAAATTTAAATGAAATGAAATAAAAAATTCTGTTGTTCAGTCATAGTATCTTCACTCCTTGTGTTCAGTAGCTGCATGTGGCTAATGATGCATTATTATAGGGCACAGATATTTCCGTCATCACAGAAAGTTTTATTGGACAATGCTGCTCTGAAAGTTCAAAGGAATAAGAAAGCACTTCTGTTATCTTGGTCAAGGGGTTTCATGGCAGATGTGGCATAGGAGCCAGCTCTTGGTGGAGGGGCAGGACACTAATGAGAAAGGGGGAAGACTGTCCAGAGGGACGGCATGAGCCAAGGGCACTGTTGACACATGTTTGGTCATTAGTAGCAATAATACTGTGGTCACTATCCCGAGAGTATTCCTTCTCTTCCTGCCTTAGAGGACTCCCATCTCCTAACCATAAGAACTGGCCATCTTTTTTCTTATTACTTTCTTTTTCCTGTGATTGCTATCTCTCCATTCCCGTGACTCTGACCTTCACCAACATGACCAGGCATCTGTCCATATCCAGGGCTGGCCACATTCAGGTCATGGATATACATACCCACCTTTTGGATATGCTCCAAACTTTATTTAGAGGTTCCAGGAAGGGATCGCTGTGAGTCAGAAGAGTTGTCCTCCTGTATATAGGAAGGGCATTCACTCCAAAGAAGCACGCAACCTCCATCAGGGATTGTATTTGTCTGCTCAGGCTGCCGTAACAAAATTCCACAGACTGGGCGGCTCAAACAATAGAAATGTATTGTATCACAGTGTTAGAGGCTAAAAGTCCAAGATCAGGGTGCCAGTGGGGTTGGTCTCTCCTGAGACCCTTCTCCTTGGCTTGCAGCTGGCTGCCTTCTCACTGCCTTGTCCTCACATGATTGAACCTCTGTGCTTGCACACCCCCAGTGTCTCTTCTTCTTATAAGGATATTGGATAATCTGGTCATATTGGATTAGGACTCCACCCTAACACCCCATTTTAATTCAATCACTTCTTTAAAGACCTTGTTGCTAAATACAATTATATTCTGAGACACTGGAGGTTGGGACTTCAGCATATAAATTTTAGGAAACACAATTAAGCCCATAATGGGAATGAAGGGAGAAAGGGCGTGTGCCTTAAAGCCAGATCAGGCACAGTATCGAGCAGGATGGCAGAGGCCACAGCCACTACCATCACACCAGGAGCTTGTGCTCACGTATTTTACATTGCCTCAACCCAGGGTGAAAAAAATTGAGCTCATCATTCATACCAAAGCATCTTGATGGCTGCTAATCATCCCCACCAGCCCTTTGTTTTGATGCCTCTAAGTTATCTTTGCTTCCTTCTCTCTGCCTTTAATGTGGAATGATTTCCAAATTCTGTAACATTTTCTGGAGTAAATACTGTCTTTCACAACTGTCATTTTTCCTATTTTTACCACCCACAAATTTTTACAGTTACCTAATTGGCTGCATTCAGCCCGATCTTTTCGGGATATTTCTGCCAGCCATATCATGTGCTTCTCTCTTCAAAATGGCTTCGGCAGTTCCCCACTGCCTATAGTCCAGTATTTGATATGTTCCTCAACAGAACCTAACTTCCTGATAGCTTCTGTAGACGTCACTACAAACAAACAGACGGGGGTACTAGGCAGCATGGTAGTCAATAAACTTCAGTCTTTAGAAAAAGACCGCAAATTCTGGTTTGGCCATTATGCACTGGGATTTGGGACAATGTAACTAAAATTCAGTTTCATCATCATATTTAAGAATAATAATCCTTACCTTGAATGATGCTAGGGAGGACACTTCACATTTACAAGAGACCTGCTTAAATATGGTAGGTTCTCAATTAAAGGCACAATAATTATTATAATCCCTGATTCTACTTTGGATATTGTATTTCTGTCCCTTTGAGCACACTATCCCACCTGCTGGTTGTGACCTCTCCCCTTTTTATGCCTATCTTAGTTCTGTTCTTGAAAATCTACCTCGTTTTATATATTTGCACATGTGCACATGCATGCACGCACACACACACAGAATTGCAGATAACTGTCAGAGTCCCATTCATATCCTTTTACCCTCCCTTCTACATGCCAAAGGCTGCTTACTGTGAATACTTTCAGTTCTCTGCATGAAGGCTTTTTTTTTTTTTCCTGGCCATGAGAACAACCTTGATCCTCATGCAGCATAAGCTGGAAGTGTTAGAAAATTAAACATCCCTAAACAAGAAGATGGGAAGTTGGTGGATAAATCCTCAAGCTCTCTTGCCCTTTTAGGAGGATAAGTTCCAAGTGTACACTTCATGTCTCCCAAGATCCCTAGCAGGATCGAACTCCAGTTGCCCACAGCGGTAACGTCTCAATAACACATCTTTTATTGCCCCCATCTCTTTACTGTCTCATTTCCCCACTGACCTATCACTTCTTCCTTGGATCTTCCGTATAAACCACTTAAACTCAAAACCTTGTCTCAATGTCTGTTTCTGGGGGACCAAACCCAAAATAAAAATATAACATATGTCATCTTTCATTAACTACACTGAACAGGCTCTGTGTCTCATTTCTTGATTCCTCAGTAACATCTAATGATGGGCTATGTATTAATCCATTCTCACACTGCTATAAAGAACTACCTGAGACTGGGTAATTTATACAGAAAAGAGGTTTAGTTGACTCACATTTCTGCATGGCGGGAGTAGCCTCAGGAAACTTACAATCATGGTGAAAGACAAAGGGGAAGTAGGGCACATCTTCCTATGGCCAAGCAGGAGAGAGAAAGAATGAAGGGAGAAGTGCCACAGACTTTTGAACTCTCAGATCTCATGAGAACTTACTATCATGAGAACAGTAAGGGGGAAATCCACCCCTATAATCCAATTACCTCCTACCAGGCCCCTCCTCTAATTAGGGTGGGGACACAAATCCAAACCATATCAGACTGCAAATAGCTGGCACCACTCCACACAGTGACCACAAGAAAATTGGAGTTATGATTTATGCAAGGTTTCCAGTACTACCAGTTCTTTCTCCATTAAAGAATTGCTAAGGGAAGACTTCCCTGGCTCCAGGAAGCAGGCAAGTCAAGCAACAACAGTGTATATGCCACCATGGCACTTAAAAAAATAATAACAACAGGGCCAAGTGCAGTGGCTCATGCCTGTAATCCTAGCACTTTGGGAGGCTGAGGCGGGCAGATCACGAGGTAAGGAATTCAAGACCAGCCTGGCCATCATAGTGAAATGCAGTCTCTACTAAAAATACAAAAATTAGCTGGGCGTGGTGACAGGCATCTGTAGTCCCAGCTACTTGGGGGGCTGAGGCAGGAGAACCGCTTGAACCCAGGAGGAGGAGGTTGCAGTGAGCCGAGATTGCGCCACTGCACTCCAGCCTGTGTGACACAGCGAGACTCTGTCTCAAAATAATAATAACAACAGCAACAACAAAAGCTGTGATGCTATTAAATGCTCAAGTATGACAGTGCCAACGCAGCAAGTACCAATGACCTGGGACTCGCTGGCCTCAGTGACCTAAGCCCATTGCCATGAGCTCACCACTCCTTGTTCCTTAATACCAGAGAAAAATGTGTAGTTCATTAATATCTTTCACTGACATAAGAAAAAAAATTTTCACCTATGTTTTCTTGTTGTTTTCCCAAGAGACCATACAACTGACTTTTCTTTTGTCATTGAGCATCTGTTAGCAAAGGCTCTGCAAACCTTCTCCTCCTCATCAGCTCGCACACCATATGCCATCATCTGCTGGGGTTGCACATTTTCCTGGTTGATAGTCATTGCAAACTTTTTCATGTTCAGAACACATTCATCATAGACTCAGTTTATTCAAAATTTGTGTTAACTCTGTAGTGCCATAGGGTGTAAGAACCTTCTCCGGTCACCTTGAATATTTAGGGCTCAGAGAGAACGTGAAATCCCAGAATCTTACACCTTTTAATATAGGCCAATAATACATTTAATGTGGGACTGTGTTTGAATTTTCTGAAAATTTAAAAGCACCAAAGAGGTATACAGAGTGCAAACTGCAAAATTATTACAAAGGACTTTGTGTTGATGACCTCTCTAATAATGTGCAGAATTCACAGTAGTCAGTAAACCTTAGGTCCATGTGCAAGCCAACTGAGCAACTCTCCACATTTCCTTTCCAAAATTTTACCGCACATGTCACCATAGATTCCAAACGTACTTTAATGCCTTTTGTACAATGGTGTCTTACTTTTACCTCCCAGGAATCCTTCAGTGTTTAATCCTTCAGTGTTCTTTATCAGGGAGTTGTAGAAACAATCAAAATATTGCTAAGTTTTGTCCTAGACAAATCCTAAATCAGACAAGAGTGTGTGCATCAGTTTCTCATTGCTTTAGATCTTGACAATTTTTTCATGTCTTAGCACTGCTTATACCAGCCCAGTTCTTGTTTTCATTCATTGTCTTAGCCTATAATCCGTTCATCATTCCCTCTTGATGAGATTTTGTACTTTGGCCAAACAGATTCCCTAAGTTCTGAAAATGACTGATAACAGGACAACAGAGTGTGGGTTAGTCTGTCACAATAGCTGGCCCTTTCTTTGATTAGCAAATACATATAACCTAAGATACAAATGAGTAGGCCTAGTCTGCCTCCCATAAATTTCCAGTGCCTGGTGAATTAAATGGGGCTTCTCAGGTGCTGCCTTTAAACCATATCACAAATCTGTCTCTCTTACTTTCTTTTAAGCTGGCAGCAGAATAAATGTTAGGAACATATTGCCGTGTCCTTTAGTTCTCATCTGAACAAGGCAGTTCTTTTTATCCTAGAATCACAACTGATACCAGCTAACTTTATGAAGAATTATTTCATTCTTGTATTTATTCACTTTGAATCTTGAGTAGTGAACTCGCTGAGCCTAGTGACATCTGTGTTTCTTTCCCATATACATTTCAGACTTGTTTATTTTCTTTTTTGCTTAATTTGCCTTATAGTCCCCTAAGCCCTGTTACAGTAACCTAGAAAACACGGGGGTGTCTAAGCAGAAATTTAACATAAACTGAGTCCTCAGGTCCTCTCACCTGTTTAAGTTTATAAGAACTAATTTTTGGTATCTCTATGCAGCTTTTTGTCCAGTGACGCCATATTGTTTGATTCTTGAAATGGGCCACAGTCAGAGTATTTACGCCACAGAAATCAGCAAACACTGCATATCAGGGCCTCTCCCCTCCTTCCCTCCCAATTCCTGCTCGCTGCCCCAACCCCTGCTCTGCAGAGAGCCACTTGCTCAATGTTTAGGAGCATACTACTGGGCAAAGGTCAGCCTGTATTTGACATAAGAAGTCTAGGAAGTTAAAGCCTTACAGAAGCATTTGAAACATTTTCAGAGGAATTAGAGCTATTTCTTTAAATCAGTGGATTCCTGCCCTTTGAAGCTAAAGTGTCCCTTATACAGTAAATACTTTGTAACATATCCTATACCTTTCTGAAATCGAGTTCATAGATAATGTAATCTACCTTTTTTTAAATCAGCATAACATCTTAATAATATATAGAAAAAATGAAAGGAAATTTATAATAGTTTATGTTTTAACATGTAAATGCTTAGACATGACTACACTGGAAGATAAGATGAAGAAGTCACACATTCACACCTTTTTGTAGAACTGGCATGAAAGCAGCAGCTACCATGCAGACTTACAGAGACCAGGTTTTGGTGAATCAGTGATTTTATGAAATGATAAAAACAACTCTTGGTAAAATTCTACACAATACAAAACACACTTTTCCCTCAACTCACAAGGTAATCCCATCTTGGGAGATCCAGTGCATGTTAAAACCATACAAAAAATAGTATGTGGGGGTATGTAAGAAGAAATTAGGCTCTAGGCTCAGATTATTTCCCTACGCGAATCACCTACATTCTAAAGTCATGTGGGATGTGGAGAGTTCCTCACTGCACAGAACAGCTGACATCTCTGGCCTCACGCACTAAATGCCAGTAGTGACCTCAAGAAGCAACCAAGAATATCTCCCAGACACTCAAATCGCCCGAGGAATATTACTGCTCTGGTTGAAAACTAGTAATCTAAGTCAAGGCCAAAGAACCTGCCCTTGATGGTCATGGCTTGTGTGCCCCTTTGTCTTGGTAAGTTGGTATAAACAAGGACAATTTCCTGGCTGGAAAGACAGTGACCCTTGGACGTCCAGAGAGAAAGTCCCAGACTACCCAACTTCCAGCAAGTCAAAAGATGCAGGGACAACTTTGGGAGAGACAACAGGGGACCTGGACAAAGAGGGGCAGTGCAACAGGCCATGTAGGGACTGCAAGGCTAGGTAGGAAGAGGGCAGAAGCAGCTGACGTTGGGGAAATGGAAAACTGCAAGTGGAATCACCCATTCTGATTTTAAACATTCTCTTTCTTCCAGGAATTGTAGATAGCATGAGGGGCAGTCATTATGAGGTATCACAGAACTGGAGACTCCCTGGAAATGACTCTGCAAATTATCTAATGGCTCTTGGCTTCTAATAAAACTTGTAGTCAAAGTGCTTCATTTTGGGGACTGGACAGCAGACAATGAACTAGAGGACAATGGATGTTTTATTTTTCTTTTGTCTTCCTTTTTAAATTCTCGTCCTTATCCTGCACTTAATCACTCAGATCTTTATTTAAAAGATAAAAATTACATCTTAATATATTGAGGCTTTGGTGTTTTTTTAATTGAATGTTGCTATTAACCAAGGGGGCCTAGTTATATAGATATTGGCATGCAGTTTCATCCAAATGCTCTTTGTCCTTTAGAGTTAAACATAAAGCTAGTTCTATGGTGACTCACAGCTTCTCTTTTCCCAGCCCCCAATATCTGACCTGCTCATGTTGAGAGCTCCTTCCATTCTCAAGACTGTTGACCAGAGTAGTTGTTCTCCAACTTTCTCAGTTATGGGAACAATTGAGAGTTTGCTTGTTTGTTTGTTTTAAATCTGAGTCATCTGTCCACTCTATTTTTAACTAAAGACTTTTATTGAAATAAAACATTTATAGAAAGGAATACATAAATCATAAATGTATACAGCTTAGTTTTTACAACTGAACACAAACATTTAACCAGCACTCAGATCGAGAAAAAGAACATGACCATGGGCCGGGGGCAGTGGCTCATGCCTGTAATCCCAGCATTTTGGGAGGCCGAGGCGGGCAGATCACCTCAGGTTGGGAGTTTGAGACCAGCCTGACCAACATGGAGCAACCCCATCTCTACTAAAAATACAAAATTATCCAGGCATGGTGGCGCATGCCTGTAATCCCACCTATTCAGGAGGCTGAGGCAGGAGAATCACTTGAACCCGGGAGGCGGAGGTTGTGGTGAGCCGAGATCTTGCCATTGCACTCCAGCCTGGGCAACAAGAGCAAAATTCCATCTTGGGGGAAAAAAAAAAAAGAAGAAGAAGAAAGAAAAAATATGACCCGAACACCAAAAGCTCCTTTGTACCTTTTTTAAATCCTGACTAAAACATAACCAGTATCCTCACTTCTAACAACATAGATTAAAAGGTAACCAGTATCCTAACTTCTAATGAGATTAACTGAAACATTAATGTTTTTGAACTTCGTATGAATAGAATCAGAGTTGTACTTTTTGTGTATTTTTGTCTTTTTTCATGCAACATTATTTTTGTAACATTCATTCACTCTATTGCACATGGTTCAAGTTTGTTTGTTCTCATTGCTGGAGAGTCTTCTATTGTGTGAATATATCACATTTTTTATCCATTCTCTTGATAAATATTTGGGTAGTTTTCTCCTTGGGGCTATTATGATTAGTACAATTATGATTATGTTTTTTGTATATGCCTTTTACATGAACATATGTATGCATTTTTATTGGGTGTATACATAGAAATGGAATTATCAGCTATGAGAGTTTGAAGCTATATTAGGTTTCAGTAGATACTGACAAATGACTTTCCAAGATAGTTGTGCAAATTTCCATTCCCACTGGCAGTATATGAAAATTTAGATTTCTCCACATCTTCACCAACCCTTGGTATCTTGTTTTTTGTTTTTTGTTTTTTGTTTTTTTAATTTTAGACATTTTGGTAGATGTGTCGTGCTATTGCATTGTGGTCTTAAATTTTATTCCCTGATAACCAATGAAGTTGATCATCTTTGCAACCAAGGCTTGTTGGCATTGAGCTGCAACACACTGGCATGGTCTGCATTTATTCTCAAGGATTATTGTCTGTAGCACACTGGTTGTTAAATATTTTGCTCAATACTATTTTCCATGACAATTTATTGAGTTGTAATTGACATTCAATAAACTGCACATTCTTAAAGTGTAAAATGTGTAAGTTTTGATGCGCACGTATACCTGTGAAACCATTACCATAATCAAGATATAAACATTTCCACCACCACCACCACCCAGAAGTTTTTCCATGTGCTTTTGTAATCTTGCCCTCCTGTCGCTCCCTTTTCCCTAAGCCCTGTCTCTAGGCAACCACTGATTTCCTTGCTGCCACATATATTAGATTGCATTTCCTAGAATTTCTTTACTTAAATCAAATTATACATTAGCTACTATTGTATCCATCTTCTTTCACTCAGAATGATTATTATGAGATTCATTTATGCTGTGGCATGTATCAATAGTTCATTCCTTTTTATTGCCAAGAAGCTTTCCATTGTATGGATATACCACAATTTGTTTTACCAATTCACCTATTGATGGACAGTTGGGTTGCTTCCAGTTTGGGGCTATTACTACAAATAAAGCTACTATGAATGTTCATGTTATTGAATAGAAATATGCCTTAATGTCTCCTGAGTAAACACCTAGGCATGGAATGGCAGGATCACTTGGTAAGAATATGTTCACCTTTTTAAGAAATGTTCAAACTGGTTTATGATTTTATATTTCTTGCAACAGTATATGAGAGTTATAGTTTCTCCACAATCACAGCAATACTTGGTATGGCAGGCTTTTTAATTTTAGCAATTCCAATAGGTATGTAGTGGTGTCTTATTGTGGTTTTAATTGGCATTTACCTAATTAGCATTTACCTAATAACTAATGATGTTCAGCATTGTTTCATAGGTTTATTTGCCATATATATAATGTCTTCAGTGACATTTCTGTTCAAATTGTTTACCCAATAAGAGTTGGAAGAAGGGTGCTTGCTTTGTTACTTTTGAATTTTGGAATTTTTAAAATTCTAGTTACAAATCCATTATCTGATATATGCTTTGCACAATTTTTTGAGATGGAATTTTGCTCTTGCTGCCCAGGCTGGAGTGTAATGGTGTTATCTTGGCTCACTGCAACCTCCACCTCCTGGGTTCAAGCAATTCTCCTGACTCAGCCTCCCGAGTAGCTGGGATTACAGGCACCTGCCACCATGTCCAGCTAATTTTTATATTTTTAGTAGAGACGGGGCTTCACCATGTTGGCCAGGCTTGTCTCGAACTCCCGACCTCAGGTGATCTACCTGCCTCGGCCTCCCAAAGTGCTGGGATTGCGCTTTGCACTATTTTTATCCTACTGTATGATTTGTCATTTTATTCTTTTAGCAGAGTCTTCCAAAGAATAGAAGTTGTAAATTATAATGAAGTTCTAATTATTTTGTTTTTTTTATGTGTCATACTTTGGTGCCATATCTAAAAAATCATTGCCTGATGCAAGATCACAAAATTTTCTCCTATTTTCTTCTAAAAGTTTATGATTTTATGCTTTACATTTAGGTCCAGGATCCATTTTGAGTGAATTTTTGCATATGCTGTGGGTTATGGATCTTTTATTTTTGTTGTTTGTTTTATTTGTATGCAGTATATACCTCATTATTCCAGCACCATTTTTTGGAAAATACTATATTTTTCCTGGTATAAATCCTTTATTTTTGTTGTTTTATTTGTATGCAATATATACCCCATTGTTCCAGCACTATTTTTAGGAAAATACTACCTTTTTCCTGGTCTTAATGTAGGTTGGACTTCCCCATTCATGAGTTAAAAACACAAGGTCTGTGCCATAGGTTTCATTGTTTTAATGATGTCTTCTAATAATTAGTCCTAATTTTGTTTTACTTACAGTGAGGCCATTCTAATTGCCTTACAACAGTAGATCATAGTCTCTTCCAACTTTAAATTTCTACCAACTTGTACATGGCTCTGCTAGTCAGTGTCTTCCAGGAAGTACTATTCATTCATTCAGCAAATACTTATTGAGGGATTGTTATGTGTTGTATATTGTTCTAATTACTGGGATCATAGCAGTGAACTGGATTGGGTTGCTACCATTGAAGAGACTACTTTTTTTATGATAGACATACAGTAAAAAGTAGATACATGCCAGGTAGGGTTATAAATAAAAAATGCAGGGGCAAGGAACACACAGCAATGGACATGACCTAGAGTCCTATTTTAATTAGGGTCATCATTGTCTTAATTATGGCAACATATTCAAAAAGAACTGAAGAAAAAGATGCAACAAGGCATGCCAATATCTAAGCAAAGGCTGGGTGTAGTGGGTCACACCCATAATCCCAGCACTCTGGGAGGCATATCATTTGAGCCCAGTAATTCAAGACCAGCCTGGGCAATGTAGTGATACCTCATCTCTACTAAAAATGAAAATAAAAACAATTAGTCAGGCATGGTGGCACATGCCTGTAGTCCCAGCTACTTACGGGGTTGAGGCGGGAGGATCGCTTGAGCCTGTGAGATTGAGGCTGTAGAGAGCCAAGATTGCACCACTGCACTCCAGCCTGGATAACAAAGTGAGACTTTGTCTCATAAGCAAGCAAATATATAACTGCAGAGGATTCTTGGGGAGTTCGAATTGAGACTTTTAGACCTTGAAGAAACGTTTGATATTATCCAGTTCCAGGACTGCCGCTAGATTTCATCTTCAAAGCCAATTCAATGGATTGGTACTGAATGCTTACAGTCAGCAAGTTTTTTTCTCTAAAGGTACAGATTGTAAATATTTTCAGCTTTGTGGGCCATACAGTTGCCACTACGATCACGCAGCTCTGTTGTGCAAAAGCAGCAAAGACAATATGTAAACAAATTAATGTGCAATTGCTGTGCTCCAATAAAACTTTATTTTACAACAAGTGGTAGGCTGGATTTGGCCTTTGGAGTCTGCCAACCCCTGGACTTGAGTATGGTGTTGGGCAGCCTTACTCAGTTCTTTCAGAGGGGCACGTCACTCGTTTTGTCATGGACTTCTATGGGGCACTCAGCAATGTGTTTGGCACTGTGGGTCACAATAGCCTCCTCTGTTACTGTTGTGGTAATAGCAGTAAGACCAGGAAAGTTCTCACAAGCTGTTGGTAGAAAGTTATGCTCTGGCTCACCAACTTAGTTTTGCCACACTGGCCTTTCCTTACCCCTCCAGATGCATCAGTAATCAACTTCATATATTTGAAGACAGAGCTTTGGAGGCAGCCCCCTCTCCAAATACAGCCCACATAGCCAGAACAAGCCTAAGCCTGGAACTGAGCCTTTCCTTAGAAGCCGCTGGTAATGTTCAGAATTAGGGGTAAAAGTTTCTATAAAGTTTTGCTACATTCTGTTAATGCCACATCGAAAAACCAATTAAAAAAAAAAAAAAACTGCTGCCTGTCTCTGAATCTGAAGTGTGTGAGAATGGAAATTAGCTGTTCCCTAATTTCCTAATGTTCCCTGCCACTGACCAGTCCTCCCAGCAAGAAAGGAGAGAATAACCTGGCCCAACTAAGGAAGAAAAGTAGGTCAGTGATATGGTTTGGCTGTGTCCCTACCCAGATCTCATCTTGAATTCCCACACATGGCGGGAGGGACCTGGTGGGAGGTAACTGACTCCCCCCAAGGGACATGGGGGCAGATCTTTCCTGTGCTGTTCTCCTGATAGTGAATAAGTCTCACAAAATCCAATGGTTTTAAAAATGGGAGTTTCCCTGCACAAGCTCTCTTCTCTTGTCTGCCACCATGTGAGATGTGCCTTTCACCTTCCACCATGATTATGAGGCCTCCCCAGCCTCATGGAACTGTGAGTCCGTTAAATCTCTCTCTTTTGTAAATTGCCCAGTCTCAGGTATGTCTTTATCAGCAGCATGAAAATAGACTAATACAGCCTGGGAAAGTACAAGAGAAATACTATCTTTCTTCTTCTTTTAAATTTTAAACAAATTAGAGAGTTGATTAATTTGAAATAGACTAAACTTGACTTTTAAAAGAGACCCAAAAAATGACGGCATAAATAAGATAGAAGTGTACATCTCTCTCACATAATAGTCTAGAGGTAAATGCTCCAGGCTGGCACGACAGCCAGTACTCCACATGGACATTCAGGGAGCCAGGTTCTTTCCATCTTGTGGCCTTGCCTCCCTCTGGGTTGCTGTCCTCCTCTCTGGTTTATGTAGAGTTCTGCAGTATTCCACTTGGTAGGGAAGGGGCAAGATAGCAAGTGGAAGGTGGGAAATTAAGGAAGTGACATTGAATTTGCACACAACACTTGTGATCACATTGTGTTGATGAGAACATGGCCACACCTAGCTGCGAAGGAGGCTGGGAAATATGGTGTCTATCTGGATGGCGATATGCTCAGCTAGAAACCTATTGTAGGGGAAATAGAGAGAATGGATTTGGGAGAAGGGTCCTGGAATTAAGTTTGCCACAGAGTAGTAGAAAGAGGTAAAAATATAATTTTTTTTGTCTATTTCTATCGAATGTGTGAATACTAATGCCAAACATTACATGGTACCAGAGAATTTATAAAAATCTTTCTCATAAATTATTGCATTTAATTCTCCAACATTGTCTTCCATTGAAGTAGATGTTATTTTGAAGTAGACCTTACCTACAATTGCAAATGAAAAGAATAAATGAGACTCAGAAGGATTATGAATTTACCTAACCCGACCCAGCAGATAAATATAGAGCCAAGACTTGAATCCAGGGCTTCTTCACTCCAGTCTCAGAGGTCTACCATTTCTAGCCTCTGTAACTTGTCCATCTCAACAGGTGTGAAAGAAAAAAAAAAATGACACTTGTTAAAGGTGGTAAGGGGGGACCATGACAACAGCTATAGGAGAAGAGAGATTGGACTAACTCTCACTCCACTGAGGACAAGTAGGGATTCATAACCGAAGAGAAGGATGGGGTCAGTGGATGGAAAATCCCTAAGAGAAAACATCAAGCATAAGGAATTTCTGGCCAAACTGACTCAGAAAGGATTATTTCTGAAGGCAAGTTAGGGTGATAAGATAACAGGGGTGGTCAGTTACTATAGGGAATGAGAAATATATTTCTTTCCCATCCCTAGGTTCATGGCTGAGGCCACAATAACAAAAGACAGACTAACCAAAAAAAAAAAAAGGCATATAAAAATTGATTTAATGTAAGTTTTATGTGACACAAGAGCCCGTAGAAATGAAGACCCAAAGAAATAGGTAAGCCTGTGTATTTTTTTTGCTAAGTTTAATGAAGAGTGAGCAGTCCTGCAGAAGTATGATTGGCCAAAGGAGCATAATCTAATAGTAATAAGCTGGGGGGAATTTAGCAAGGCCTATCTATTTAGGTGGTGCTCTGTGTCCCTGTGTCTTCCGAGACAACGATGTTCCTTTCTTATGTATACAGGGAGGGCATCTCTGACATGAGGGTCTGATGACCTGCTTCAGGGGAGAAGGGCAAGGGGAAACTCAGAGTGACCTCCCTGTTCTACTGTTTACTCAAATGCCAAAGTGCCATATTTTGGGGTAGCATGTTCTGATTCCTATCACTACCAAGAGTGAGGGATTTTCCCTAAGCTGCCTTAGCAGGATTCTGGCTCACACTGGATTCTGCAAAGTTAGACAGGAAGCCCAAACTTGGGCCTCCTCAAGCAGAGGAATGAGAGGAGCCTGACTAAAGCTTTGGTCAAAGGAGAGAGTATCTGTCATACCAAGTTCTCTAAAGGTTCTCTGGTGCCTTTGTGTTCACCAAGTGGAATGTCCCATCAGCACAGAGAGTCTGACAGTGTAGTGTGCAGAATGAAAACCCGAGGACCTTGATTTAAATGCACCTGAATAGACCCCCAACCCCAGAAATTTGTGTGAGGTAGCTCTGGGTGTGAAGCCCTGGAAGCACCATGCCTTGGGAATCACTGCAGCAGATCCTACATTTTAGCATTGCATTTTGCTTAAACAGAGGGAAAGTATTTGATATTTCTGTCTATTCTTTCCCTTTCTTTACCTCCCATGCTTATGTGTTACCTTACATTTTGAAACTGTTGCCTTCTGAATTATCTTTGCTTATCTTTTTTTGAAGCAACTGTAACTTCATCAAGTAAACAATAACAAAATGCAAAAAACTAATTTTGGAAGCCACCATGATATCTTCTCTAAGAGAAGCTTTCGAAGCTCTTGGTTGACTAGATGTTGAGAAGGTGGGTTTATACCCTGATGTTTGAAAGAAGAGAGAAAAACTATTTTTTTAACCAAAAATACTTAACATTGTATTCACATTACCTGTGTGTGTGTGCGCGCGTGTGTGTGTATAATGTGCTTTTATGCATATCTTTGTTTCTCCAACAGAAATTTCACAGGGATTTCTATCTGGCTTTATGTTACCCTGACAATTCCCACTCAATCACATTGAGCTTTTTATTTGCCTTTTTCTCTGTCAGACACTAGGATGAATTTAAATTCCATTCCCTCTCCAACTGCCCCTCTGATGTGTTTGTACTTTTTACATTCCCTTTCCCTGTAGAATCTGAAGGAAATTCCTTTGGGCTTTTAGCTTTCCCTCAGAGTCAGAAACTTTTGTGTTGCTAATAGAACTTGGCTTCATTAGCATTTCAAATCCTGGGATGCTCTTAAAGATCAGAGTTAGATCTAAGGGGCTCTCTCCAGCCACAACCTGATTTATCAAACCTGTTTAACTGAAATCTCCAGTGGCCAATGCCTTTGACCTTATTTCTGCCAGCACATTTCATCAGAAAATTCTTTTCAAGGATTCTAGAGAAAGATACATGCATGATCTGAGAAGTTTTACTTTTGTCCCTCTCACTGCCTTATATATTGTCTGCAAAAAGCCATACTCTGCTTCATCACCTTTGGGGGTTTAGGTCATGGGTAGATGATGGATCAGAGAGTGAATGGATGGGTGGATAGGTAGATGGGTATATGAGCAAGTGGATGTGTGGATAACTAGAAGGGTGGATGGATTGGTGGATGGATGAGTAAATGGAGGGATGGGTGGATATCAGGTAGAAGAACGGGTAGGTGAATGGATGGATGGATGGATGGAAAGATAACAGATGATAACACAAGATAGATTAATAATGCAAGTCTTCCATCTTATGCAATACCTTTGCCATTTAATTAATTTATAATCAGCCCTAAGGTGCTGAGGCTCAACACCACTTATGCCAAAAAAAAAAAAAAAAAACAGAGTCATATGATCTATTATGATCTATTTCCTGTCTTCCACAGGGGCAGCAGGGTGGGGCTTGCCAATTATTTCATGGTCATTCTGACTCAGTGTGTGCTTTGTGAAATGAAAGAAACCATCTTCCTTTATAGTATATATAAATATAAAAATGCTTCAGTGTGGTAGTACTTAACTAGGTATATGCAGCAAATTCTCTTAGAGAACTTGCCCTAATTACATATTTGCAGCCCCTACCCCCTCCACCTGCAGCCTGAAATGTGCATTCTGGTTGAAAATGACTACTCTGACAGAAGATTCTCTGGTACAGGTAGTATTTGAGTGGTATTGAGCAATATGTATCGGACTTCATTTTGTCCTTGCAGACATTGCACTAACATTTTTTCTTCTTTTCTTTTTTTTTTTTTTTTTTTTTTTTTTTTGAGACAGTCTTGCTGTGTTGTCTAGGCTGGAGTGCAGTGGTGCAATCTCGGCTCACTGCAACTTCCACCTCCCAGGTTCAAGCAATTCTTCTGCCTTAGCCTCCCGCGTAGCTGGGATTACAGGTGCGTGCCACCATGCCCGGCTAATTTTTTTTGTATTTTTAGTAGAGACTGGGTTTCACTGTGATGGTCTCAATCTCCTGACCTGGTGATCCTCCTGCCTCGGCCTCCCAGAGTACTGGGATTACAGGCGTGAGCCACTGTGCACGGCCTTGCACTGACATTTCCTAAGTACTTGTATTACCTCATTTAATCTTTACCACAACTCTTTGACGTAGGTACCATTAATATTTACATTTTGCAGGTGAGAGAATATAGAAGTTAAGTAACTTTGCCTAGCCAGACAGCTAGTAAGAAGCAAAGCTGGGGTTTAAACACAGGTAGTGTCTAAACTCTGTGGCCCCACCTACCATGTTACACTGCCTCTCTAATCATTAAGCTGACCTTTGAGAGCACTATGCTGCAATAGAGCTTTCTGCAATGATGGAAACATTCTATGTCTGCACTGTCCTATTAATGTGAAAGCCACCAGTCATATGAGGCTGTTGCACCCTTGAAATATGGTTAATGTGACTGAGAACTCATTTTTAATTGTTTAATTTTAATTAGTTTAAACAGCAGAGTTTAAAAGCCGACTAACAGTTTCTGTTCATACATATGATCTCAAAAAATGAAGTGCTGAACTAGGAATTAAGGCAGGCATCTCAGTTGTAGACATTATCCTTTATTAATAATATTAACACGAAATAATTGCAAAGCACTCTTAGAATCCTTTGTGCTTCCTTCCATCCTTGAAAAGAGTCTAGCTGTTCTTCTAAGCACTCTGTCAACTAAGTGGCACATCTAATCTTAGCTTATTGGAAGATGTATTGAGATGAGACAAAATTCACGTGGAATAGCATAGGGAAGTCACAGGCAAGCTGCAGCATGGTAGTGCCATTGGCATTTATTCTCAGGAGTCACCATTACATTTTCCATCTCTCAAATGTTGCCATCATATATGGGACTGAGGTGGGGTGTTCGTGGAAATAATGCACTTTAAAGCAGGGTTTAATAGTGGAAGAACAGGGGTATCTGCACACATTTTGAAGGCAGAGATGTTACCCAAAACTCCTTCTTATGGAAGGAAATGAAGACAATAAGGTAGAAAAGTGAGAAATTACCAGCCAAGAGAGAAAGAAAGATGATTCTGGATGAAGTAATATAATGCATTCTAGATGAATAATATAATAAAAAGCCCTATTATTCTTCATGAGATACACAAGTTGAAACTGAATTAAGCTTTTAAAAGGGAAGGAAAAGTAAAGTGTTAACAAAACCCAAATGTATATAGCTAGGTTTTATAAGGATACAGACAAGGCAATGTAGAATTCTGTGAAATTGTTAAATGTTGGTTTAGAACAGAGGTGGACAAACTACAGCCCATGAGCAAAACCTAGTCCACTATCAGTTTTTGTAAATTAAGTTTTATTAAGTACATCCATGCCCATTAATTTATTATATAGTCTGTGGCTCCTTTATACTACAGTGGCATAGTTGAGCAGTTGCAACAGAGACTGTATAGCCTGCAAAGCCTAAAATATTTCCAGTGGCCCCGTACAGAAAATGTTTGCTGACCCCGGTTTTAGAACAAAAAGGTAACATATATTCACATAACTGCTTTGGAGTACAATTTTGTGCGTCCATCAAATTTTAAGATGCTCATAATCCTTGTTCTGGTAACACCGCTACTAGAATTTTATCCAGCAGACGTATTGGTGCACATGCCCACAGGGCTTCTTTGCACTAACCTAATAGTACTAAAAAAGTAGAAACAACCTAAATGTCTTAACAGCTGGCCATTGGTTAAATGAAATGCAGTGCATTGATGTACAGAGATTCTAACTTATTTTTTAAATGAGGTAGTTCTATATGTATTATTTATTTTGAAGGGATGTTCAAGAAATATTGCTAAATTTAAAAGTGTTGCAGAGCAATATGTATCATAAGACCATACTGGTATAATAGCAACAAACAGCACCCCCCCACACAATCCCAAAAAAATATACAGATCTATGCCAAGCACCAGTTAAGATGCCTGGCACATGGTAGGTATTCAACATTTAATGAATACATGTAGAGGACTTTTACTTTTCACTTTATATCTTTTGGACAAGACTTTGAATTTTTATGAGCATGTATTACTTAAATCTAGATTTATAGGGAGTGATGGAAAATGTGAAAATAAAATTTTAAAAAGGAAAAGAAAGAGTAAAGATCTAGATTTAAAAAAGGAAATGTAAACAAGATGAAATAGCCAAAGATAGGTCTCCCCAAAACTAATGTTGAGACAATGCCACCAGCAGTGACAGTCAGCTAAGAGATGGTTCGCAGCTCACTGCTCAGTACTGAGGCATTCAGCAGGGGTTGTATTTAACTTTCAAGTTGGAACCAACCGAAACTGTTGGGCTTGAAGAGCTGTCTTTATGAGTCATCGACGGCAGAAAGCACAGAAGCACTAAAGAAAATAATTCAGAAATGTGGAAAGAGAAAAGTATGCCCTTGTCTTGGGAGAACAATATTTGTGTGTAACCAAGTA
This sequence comes from Homo sapiens, assembly GCF_000001405.40. Classification (NCBI taxonomy): domain Eukaryota; kingdom Metazoa; phylum Chordata; class Mammalia; order Primates; family Hominidae; genus Homo; species Homo sapiens. The sequence continues at coordinate 25,424,070 of NC_000003.12, forward strand.
GGAAGACTTTGTGGAGGAAAGTCTGAAAAAGCAGAGAGCTGAAGAGAAAAGAGCCAAATGAAGGACACGGTGGCCAACACTCAAAGTAAAAAGACATTTTTGAAGAAGATGTGTTTCTAGGGTTTCTAAGAAGTCGCTATACTCATGCCCAGAGCCACCTTGCAAGTTCATTTGGAAAGTGCATTGGTGTCTTTTGGTATAAGATCCACGAACATCAACAGTCCTGTTATGTGAGCAGGTGTTCATACTGAAGGGCCACAAGCAAAGTTTCCATGTGTTATTACTGTTAGAACTTCCCCCGCTCCCTTCCAACACAAAAGCAGCTCTGCCTGCTAGTATGGAAGCCCTGGGAAGAGCCTCATACTTGCCTCGTGCTGCCAACATCTCTGCCTTGGCTTCCCTGCTGGAACACACAAGTCACTCAGTACTAGCCATTTATTCTTCTGGCAGAACTGTGGCAAGAGGGGATTAACAGGGAAAAAAAATTAAAAAACAAACAAAAAGCCAAAACAACATGAAAGAGCTGGGCATGTCTTTAAAACAATCAGTGTCCACCTCCCCCAGCCCTGTGCCTGTGTCTGCCTGCACTTTGCATGTCTGCCCCTGTGGTGGGGGGGGATATGTCTGCGCCTCTGAAAATCTTCTTATTTAGACATCACAAGGTATTAGCCCAATTTTGAACACAGCCGGCTGCAGTACGGTGCACAGACACGACTGCTCTTTCTTCAGAAAACTCTCCAGTTCAAACATGTTTGCAGAGCATGATTCATGGTGTTTCTTTCTGGATTGTCCAGTGGGTAATTGCTGTACGAAAACCAGAGAAACAGATGTAGACCCTGAACCCTGGCTATAAATTTTTGTTTTATGATTATGGGTTTCAAATGTGCTGTGTCACACTGACAAATATACAGTTACTCTGAAACAAAATGGATTTTACTCTCAAAGTTTTGCTTTTTGTTTTTCACTTTTTGTTTGCTTGTTGGTTGGAAATACATTTATTAGATCATTGATCAAACACAAAGAAAATAGAGATGACACATATCAGAATGTTATTTTATGCCATAACAAGAAGATATTTGGGAAAGTTTCTTCCAACCCTGTGGCTAATGTTTAAAATGGGTGTCAGTAGTTTACATTTCATTACGGACAAATCGGTCTATTTTTCACTTTCTACCCTACTCATTAATCTTTATAGTGCACGGATCTGTATTTAAAGAATTATGGCTTATTTATGTATCTTTCCTTCATTTTACTTAAAATGAAGAATTTGGAGACAGAATCAAGTTTTCAAGAAGTGTAAGCATTTACTGATGAAGAAATAATTAGCATGTGGCTAAATCATGGGTCTGTTTTATAAATTAATACTTGGATTAAGTAATAGCTCTAATTATTGCTATCAGCATAATTAATTCATGATGAGGAATGATTAATTGACTAGCGAATATTGTCATATTATAAGAAACCCATACTATTCCTTTCATGGGGATTTAAATACTGATTATTCATTTCAAGGCCCAAGTTCATTTCTCAGTTGAGAACTTCAAGGTAATTATATATTTTACATTTTCTTGCACAAAGAAAGAAAACATCGAGTCGCCCAACCTTTACCACACACAGAGAGAGACACACTAATGTTGTTATTTTTGTGCAATGATACAGTATAGAGGTAAGAAATTCGGAAGCAGTGGTCTCGCTCAATGAGGCTGATTCCATAGCTTAAGAAATGAGAATGAACAGAATTTTGAGGACACCCATCCCCATCTTCACTTCCCTGGGACCAGTGCATCTCTACTCTTTGGAGAGATGTTAAGCAAGAATGTGCAGCAGCCTCCCCTGGATAACAGATCCCTGTACACACATACCTGTCAGTGATGCCATGTTTCTCATCTCTAACTTAAGTTTCTCCTGCTCTACTTCCAATATAGCTGTTTCCTCTTCTCTTGTCTAACAACTTTTCATCCACCTCCACTGTCCGGTAAAAATGAACTCAGTTTCCAAGGAACTCTAAGGACCTTAAATAAGCATTTGGAGCCATAAGCCTCATGGACCAAGTAGAAATTGGCACATAATGTAGTGCTTTGTGTATCTTTACAACTACCTTAATGACAGTGTGTTAAATGTTTTGTAAATTCCTCTGTGTTCTCTTGCTTAAAATGTGTGTTTTCTTTGTAGTTAAAGGGTTTCTTACAATAAGTCTCTGTTACAAAATGATGGCCATATAAAAGAGAGAAGAGAGGCGCAAAAATAACAAACACAGATTCAGCAAAAATCTCACCCCTTTATTGCCCTGAACTTTTCAATAGCAAGAACTGAGCTTGCTGGGCTGAAAATTGTTTTAATGTACCTTCATAAAAGGATCTTTGACTTGGTAAGTGTGTGCGATGCATACTTTTCATGTTACACCACAAGTGCCACTTAGCAACTCCACTAGACAGGGCAGTGTTTCAGCATGGGGTGGGGTGCCCCCTGACAGGCTTTTAAAAGGCCCGGATGCCAATGCACATTCCAACACTATCCACAAAAAGGAGACTGGAGCAGTGCTCTTCCCTGCATTGGGCAAGGAGACTCTCCCTCCCTGCCTAACCACTTGCCTGCCCTGTTTTGTGGGAGAATTACAAGTAAATGCTACAGAGGCAGTGGAGAAAAAAGGGTGTTTTAATTCCTCTCCAGAGTTTCCTTTATTTGATGTATGTTGCATCCTTTAAACAAGTTGTGCAAAATGGCTGCAGGGTAGATTGGCTCTCCCTTTTAAAGCTCTCCATCCGGCTGGGTTTATTTGTAAATACTGCATCTATCCTTCTTAGTGTTTTAGGACTGGCTGGAAAGACTCTTCTTCCTGTAGGTTGGGTCAGTGTGAGAGATCTAAAAAATCATTTTCCCTTAAAATTACTGTATTTTAATAAAAGGATTGGGCAGGGGCTGGAATGAGAGAAAACTGGTCCTTCAAAATGTAAAACTGTCATACTTAAACCAGTTTACAAAATATGCGTTTAATTATGTGGTGGGATGTGTGTAGGTGTATGATGAGAGAGGCAACCAACATGGCTATTTGGGGTGCAAGGATGTGGGAACAGGCAAGTAATTTTCACATTGGACTTTCATCCTAGGGAGCTGGGTTCTAGTCACAGCTCTGAGCTGTGTGACCTTGGGTAGGTCTCATCTCCCCGGGGTTTTGTTTCACCAGTTGAACAGTATGAGGATGAGTCACAGCTAACATTTGTTCCATGATATTTACCCAGCACCATACAAGTGTTATTTCTGTCCTCCCAGTTAACACTGACGTGGGTAGTATTATATGCCCATTTTACAGATGAGGAAACTGAAGCCTGAAGAAGTTAAATACTTATCCCAGAACACACAGCTGGTAAGTGGCAGACCTGGAATTGGAATCTAGTTCAGTTTGATTCCCCAACCCATGCTCTTGACCACTATACTGTTTTTTCAAGTCCAGATCTGAAATCTCATTTTCTGTGTGGCTGTGTGTTTGGGACAGGGGTAACCAATTCCTGACTACTCTATATGCTGCATAGAACCTGGAGAGGATTTTTCAAAGTAAATGAATCTCGAAAGCTGGATTGCAGAGCAAACGAGTGCAGTCAATTCAGCCAGGGGCTTGCAAGAGGGAGAAAGAGAAAAAGACTGTGGAATGGAAAGTTTCCCAACCCAAGCCTTTCCCAAGGGGTAGCCATTCTCTGTTCTACAGTTTAGGGCTTGCATGTGCTTTTTCTGGAGTGGAAAAATACATAAGTTATAAGGAATTTAACAGACAGAAAGGCGCACAGAGGAATTTAAAGTGTGGGCTGGGGGGCGAGGCGGTGGGCGGGAGGCGAGCGGGCGCAGGCGGAACACCGTTTTCCAAGCTAAGCCGCCGCAAATAAAAAGGCGTAAAGGGAGAGAAGTTGGTGCTCAACGTGAGCCAGGAGCAGCGTCCCGGCTCCTCCCCTGCTCATTTTAAAAGCACTTCTTGTATTGTTTTTAAGGTGAGAAATAGGAAAGAAAACGCCGGCTTGTGCGCTCGCTGCCTGCCTCTCTGGCTGTCTGCTTTTGCAGGGCTGCTGGGAGTTTTTAAGCTCTGTGAGAATCCTGGGAGTTGGTGATGTCAGACTAGTTGGGTCATTTGAAGGTTAGCAGCCCGGGTAGGGTTCACCGAAAGTTCACTCGCATATATTAGGCAATTCAATCTTTCATTCTGTGTGACAGAAGTAGTAGGAAGTGAGCTGTTCAGAGGCAGGAGGGTCTATTCTTTGCCAAAGGGGGGACCAGAATTCCCCCATGCGAGCTGTTTGAGGACTGGGATGCCGAGAACGCGAGCGATCCGAGCAGGGTTTGTCTGGGCACCGTCGGGGTAGGATCCGGAACGCATTCGGAAGGCTTTTTGCAAGCATTTACTTGGAAGGAGAACTTGGGATCTTTCTGGGAACCCCCCGCCCCGGCTGGATTGGCCGAGCAAGCCTGGAAAATGGTAAATGATCATTTGGATCAATTACAGGCTTTTAGCTGGCTTGTCTGTCATAATTCATGATTCGGGGCTGGGAAAAAGACCAACAGCCTACGTGCCAAAAAAGGGGCAGAGTTTGATGGAGTTGGGTGGACTTTTCTATGCCATTTGCCTCCACACCTAGAGGATAAGCACTTTTGCAGACATTCAGTGCAAGGGAGATCATGTTTGACTGTATGGATGTTCTGTCAGTGAGTCCTGGGCAAATCCTGGATTTCTACACTGCGAGTCCGTCTTCCTGCATGCTCCAGGAGAAAGCTCTCAAAGCATGCTTCAGTGGATTGACCCAAACCGAATGGCAGCATCGGCACACTGCTCAATGTAGGTTTATTTTTTTCCCTTCTTCTACCAAGAAAAAAAAAATTGTCTCTCTTGCATGCAATAAAGACGTTGGAAATAAACTGCATTGGTAGCAAGACAAAGGATTTAATGATTTAATGCTGAAGGGGTGTGATATGCTGGCATGCATATTGATTCCCTTTGCTGAAAATTTCCTGTTAGATGTTTTCTTCCCAAATAACCCCTCCCGCCCCCATGCTCCTCTCCTTACCAACCTTATAGTCTCTTGAAAACAGTTTTTAAAATATGCATAAAAATGTGGGGGGTGGGGAGTAGAGGGTGACCACAAGACTTTAAAACATTCTTCAAGTAGGGCAATTTGACACATTTTGCAGTTTTTACTAAAATGTATGCAGAGTGGAATTTAACTTTGCTGTTCTTTGGATTAGCTACTAGTTGTATAGGTCCCCCCACCCCTTGTGTATTCCAACAGTCCAAAGTAATTAAAATATGACATTTTCCTTGAAAGGAATTTAGTTTAATTAAGGTGGCTGCTGCTCCCGAAGTTCATAAACCACCAGTTCAAGCTGCCGCTTCCAATGTTTTCCTTGCTAAGGAAAGGCAATATTTCTTAGCATTGACCCTGCTGCCACCTTTCCAAGTCACTTTGTTGGTCTAAGAAGTTGCTGTTTTGCTAGAAAACTACTGGCAATGAACACCCCTTGGACTGAGCCATCCATTATTTCCATATCTTGCAGTTCAGCCCGGAACGTGGACATCAGTTAAAGGAAAGGAAATATAAGTGGGGTAGCCCAATTTAAAAAAAAAATATTGACTATTTTGTTATCTGATGCTGACACAGTGCCGAGGTACGCACCTGGTCAACAGTAGCCTGGCTGCAGGCTTGAGAAATGATCAGGAGTCCCAGAAAATCCCACCTTCGGGTGGCTGTAGTGGGAGCCTGCAGGATGCTTCGCCGCCCTGACAGTGATTTAGATAAATGGCTCAGCTATCTATCAAAATGTTTTTAGTACTTTATTTGACAATTCATTGGAGCATTAGCCTGAAAATGACATTTTAAATCTTTGTTTTCAAAGAGGTCAAAGTTTAACTGGAAGAAATTGAGTTTTCCTAATAACATGGTGGCTTATCTAAAGAGAGAAGAAAAAGGGGAGAGGGGACAATGACAGGATTTAAATTGCCCTCTCTGAAACTTTTTCTTAAGAATAAAGACTTGCTTCTTGGGCCGGGAAATCAACAGGTTTGTAGCTGAAAAATCAATAACCATTTGATGCCAACAGCCTGGCTGTCTGACTTAACATTTTGTAGAGCCATAAGCAGGGCAAAAAGAATATCGTTTTCAGAAGGCGCCTTAATCTTCAGCTGCTCCCCAAATGCCTTTTCTTTTTTGGTGCCCATTTTATTTCTGGAGAACTCAAAGAAACTGGAGTGTTACAAAATAATTTTCTAATCCAAGAAGAGACTTTTCAGACCTGTCCTCTTTGTAGCAATTAAAACAGTATGAACAATTTCTGTTGGAATCCCAGGGAACTGGGGCTCTCTGAAACTTTTTCTTGTTAGAGAAAGTGGTAATGAAACATGTTTTTTAACAGAAGGAAAAAATATGCTCAGGATCCTCGCCAAAAGTTATTAGACCTAATAGAGTTTTTACATGTAGACATTCTTCCTTTTGTAATTAACCTTCCAAAGATGCCTATTAAGTTGTAAGAGTAGGGGGAAAAGCTTTGTTTGTTCTTGGACAAGTTAAACAAGGGATTTGCTTTATCTAGGGAGAGCGAGCGGTGAATGTGTCATTCGCCTAAAACTACCCGATAAGCAAGAAGTGTTGATAACAGCAAAGTTTAGCTAATCAAAGAAACTTGCATTAGACAAAGTAAATAAAGGCATTTGACAAAGGGATTTCAGAAATTCCAGTGTCTTATTTTTGTAAGCAGGGCAATTAGTTCTTATTGTGGTCAGTTTCACAAGAGTTTGAATCCCACACCCCAACTTTAGGTTAAATGAATAAAATGTAAATATTGCTTGTGCCCTTGCAGAGTTGCTTTACCCTCATAAACCACTTTATGATGGTCAGTTGTTCCAACGATTTTTTTTTTTTTTTAGCATAAATAAAACTAAAACTTTTTTTTTTTTTTTTTTTTAGAGATTCTAACAAATGTCTTGTGCCATGCAGTGTTTGGTTCAGGGTGGTACAGCTAGTTAGGGCTATTGAAATAAAAGTATATTAGGGCTACATTTGTGTAAGTAAGAACATAACCACAACCTTTTCCATTTTACTTAATGGCTATTTTGACGAGAAGCAGATCTGTTTTTGCTTTTAACACAGAGGAAACAGTGGGCAAAGAAGAAAAAGTACTAAATTCCAACCAAAACTATTTTCTGCTTTGAGTTTTTTTTATGGTGTGTGTGTGTATGCATAGTAAATAAAGTAAGACCTTTGAACATGGAGCACACCATCACAAGCTCACTTTGAAAGGTGTTAAAATATTCCCTTTATTTTCTTTTTAATTTTAAAGGCAGAAAAATGATATGCCAGCCAGCTGCCATTTGTAGTAGTGTCTGTGAATTGCTTCTTATAAGCATTCAAAGTCAGGATTAGGGGACTACTAAGGGAATGTGGTCTAAATATTACGATTGACGACTGCCCCTGGAAGGTATAGGAGTCACTAAATTTCTGTTCAGATGTCTCCAGGATTATCTTGGTTTTAGGCGGCTCCAGATGTTTTCAACATTAATTGCTCAGTGGGTATAGGATAAATCTTAATATTTTGTGGTCTAAATATAGTTGCTTTGGTGAAATAACGAGTGTGACAACTTCTTGGCCTTTTTCCCTGTCTTTTCTCCCTACTCAACACATCAAAAGGAAAAAGAAAAAAATATTTTCTTTTTGAAATAGGACTTTGCCCATTAATGAGAAGAAATTATTTTTAAAACAACCAGTAGTGATGTTTGATTAGGGAATGAGAAAAGGCCTCTTTTCAAAGCCCTGGGACCCAAATTTTAAGTATTAAACAGTATCTAAATCCTCTCCTAGTGAGATATAAATTGGGGTCAAAGTGGCAAAATCAAAGATACCCTCTGAAAGAAAGACTAAATAAAGACTGACAGCCACCGTATGAATTGAATGGGGTTTTGAATAAATATTTCAGTGAAAAGGCCCAATTGTTTTTCTAAAGTAGGACATAATTTTCTGCTTCTCGGGCACATGACGGTGGTAACTAATACCATCAGAAAGAAGAGAAAAAGAGGGACTTTTCCTTAAATCGCAAAGAGAGTACAGGCAGGGTTGTGGGTTGTTCGAAAACAAGTGAAAGATTCACAAAGTTTTCCTTCCTTGTAGAAAAAAAGAAATCATATTGTGAATATTGGATAAATTGGTACATTTGACAAGGGAGTGAGTATTGATGTGCAACTTAGAAAAGAAAAAGCATGTGTTTAAATTTTATTGCCAGAAAAGGATGGATTCAAAAAACTAAACAGTAGAAAGGTAGACATCTGTTTGCCTAAACTTAAGCTATGGAATTGACTTGGAAGCTTTAGTTAGAATTTGATTTGCCAGCCAATAATGTAAAGCCCTTGCATTGAAGCAGGTCTTTTTTCCTTAATAGATAAATGACCAGAATGGCTATTTCTGATAGGCTAGCTGACCTGAATCAGAAGTTTCCTTCTCATTTCTAGAAGCCTGGCGCTGATATATACAACCGAGGGTATTGTTATGCACTTTTCTCTAAAGCGTAAGAATAAAAAAAAGTTCTTCTGGATATCAGATGTTTATAATTTACCTTCGACATATGTTAAGCTCTGAGGTGGCTGAAAAAGAAAGAAAACCTGTTTTCTCCTTTACACATTCCACAGATATCATTAAACTCTATCTGAGAAGGGAAATACATGATAAATAACAAAGATTATAAATTCTACTCTCAAGGAATTTATAATTTTTTAAATCAGTAATTTAGAAAAAGCTGAGAATTTTAAGTTACTCTTTGGGCAGAAGATGGAGATGTAAAAACCAAGATGCAAAATACAAAACTCTGTTCAAGTCACACAGGATTTTAACAATAAATGCAATGTTCATTTTAGAACATCTTAGAATCTTCTATACAGTTTGAGTTATGTGTAAGTGCCATACATTTATCCTTAAATGACATTTTTATACTTTAAATGTTCTAATATAAATTCAGTTAACTATCAATTAAATAGATTATTTCAGAAATGGGAGTTTTTGATGAAGGTTAATCAGAAAAATCTTGGCTGAAAACCTTTCCAAAGATATTAATGTAGATAGAATCTTGCCTTTCAAATTACAGGGTAGTTATGACAATCATGTATCTCTGATTTTCTAGAATAACCCACTTTCAAATATCCTGCACAGTTCCCACATAAATCATTGAAATATGCCAGATATTTAATATTACAACATCTCCTAGGAGTGGCACAGAAAGTCTTTGTTTGGATTCTATAGTCAATATAAGTAGAGCTCTCACAGCTTAATTTTTTCATTATGTCTGAAGATCGCCTTGTGTTTCTGGGTCATTCTTATGAACATGAATTCCTTTCGTAGCAAACTATAGATCTGTGAATAGAAGGCATTCCTTGCAAAATGGACTGGGCTGTGATTCTCACTCTAGCACCTGTGTGTGCGTGGACAGGGTGGGGAGGAGGGAGTAGAATTAAATTAAATTGTTATGAACAAATCTGTATCAGCCCTTGCCAGCTTCCTCTTAAAAAGTTGGAGCTGGGGTGATGGAGGGAGAAGAGTAGAGTTAACTCAGGTTTCAGATTTATCAGTATCCTGCTTGTAAGTGGCTTGGTCTAAGTACCTCTTGTTAAATAGGAGATGAGATAACCTGCCCCATCTGTAAGATCTAATAACACAACCTCATCAGTCAATATGTTGCTCTGAATTCTCCTCTTTTCATTCCCAGCTTCCTTACCCCATCATTAAAAAGCATGATCTCTGTCCCATCCCACTCCCCAAACCCCTTTAAATGAATGAAAAATAAAGTTGCAAAAGTTCTCTCTACCTAGGAAGCAGGAGAGCCTAAGTCTACTGGCATTTTGTCTTGAGCTTTCAGAGCTTCTTAGATGGGAAGTCAAACAGGCAATGGAACTGCTGACTTGCTCTTTCTCTGGCCCTGTAGGGTGGGGGAGCTACAAGGGGACCATTTAGTAAGATAAGACTCTCTGCCCCCTGCGCGATAAGGCGAGGATAACAGGAACTGACGTCAGCAAGGCGACTCAACCTGGCCAAGCATTTCCTCTAGTCAGGGCTCAGGGATTCCAGGAGTCTCTAGGCTTCCCCCAGCAGCTGAAGAACTGAACCAGCTCAGGGGAGGGAGAAAGAAGAAAGCTGATTTTTACAGGGGTGATAGTGGGTGATGATGTCCCTGATTTCCAAAAGCAGATTTCTTTGAAGAGAACAAAGAAAAACTGGGAGGAAGAAAGTCGTTTAATAAAAGTGGATTCTGAGATTATAATTGTCATTTTACATTGTCATAGAATAGATATTTGTGTTCCAGCTGTTAACAATTCACTGCTGATGTCTCATTAGACAGTCTATCCAGCGATCACCAAATATCATCCACTCACAAACCTCGCCAACTCTCCATATAGAACAAAACGTGAGGGATTTCACGTTGTCAGAGTTAATCCTTGGTACTCCTTTTTTTTTTTTTTTTCTTTTTTTTTTTTTGAGATGGAGTCTCGCCCTGTTGCCCAGGCTGGAGTGCAGTGGTGTGATCTCAGCTCACTGCAACCTCCACCTCCCAGATTCAAGTGATTCTCCTGCCTCAGCCTCCTGAGTAGCTGGGACTACAGGCGTGTGCCACCACACCTGGCTAATTTTTGTATTTTTAGTAGAGATGGGGTTTCACTATGTTGGCCAGGATGGTCTCGATCTCCTGACCTCGTGATCTGCCCACCTCGGCCTCCCAAAGTGCTGAGATTACAGGCGTGAGCCACCGAGCCCGGCCTTGTATTTACTTTTGAAAGTACAAAGTTCCCATCCCCATCTGCATCAGATGACAACATTGCTAAAGCCATTTCATTTGCTACCAGCCCTGAAACCACTTAGCAGTTTTCCTCCCCTTTTTCCTTCTTCCCTTTCTCTTAAACCCAGATTTATTTTCATTTTATTTTATTCTTTGCCTTCCAAAGTATCTGATTTGAGATTTGGAGGAGGAGAAAAGTCAAACAGAAGGATTTTATTTCTTAAAATTCACAGATTCTCCTCAGTCCACTGCTGTCTTAAAGATAGCTTCTTATTTTTTAAGTTTCAGTGTTTGACAAAGAATCACTGTCCTAATTTGACCCATATTTAGTGGAATGTTTGCTATGTTGTTGTTGATAAATTACTATTCATCACAGAATAAAATTTTGTCAAGTCAAAAAAATAGCTAAATTCAAAATAATGTGCAGGTAAAAGAACAAATAAGATGAGTGCATCGGTTAACTAGGGAGAGAAGATCTGGATCACATCCCAATTTTTTTCCCATTTCCAGAGCAAATGAAGACCTCATGTAATAAATTTGTCTTCTCAAAAATATTAAAGCTTTCAACGGCTACAGTACCTTTGTCATGTCATCAAAGTCCATAATTATAAAAAGGCCGATGATCTGAAGGCCATTTCAGCTTCAAAAGATTTTTTTAGGGGCTGGTCTATTGGAAAGCTTGGGGGTTTAATTAACTAAAATGGAAATGGAGGCAGCGAAATTCAGTTCCTGATGTTTTAATTTAGCTCAGTACTGCCATGTGTTATTGAAGAGAATTCTTAAAGGCAAACATAATTATTTCATTATGGTCCTCAGAATGCTTTCATTGGCTTTAATGACAAGAAGCTGTATAAAAAGGCATATATTTTAATTAGTCCTTTTTATATTTACATCAGATAAACAACAAATAATTGATGAAAAACAAGTCTTTGGAATGGATGATTTCACATAGTGCACTGGTTACAGTTTAATGATGAAACATTTCTCTGTTGCTTTGCATTTTAATTATATATACATTATATTACAGTAGTCGTGCCATGGAGCTACTAAAATACCGTTGTTGCCATTTTATTACAAAAAAAATCACGATTAATGCCTAGAAATTGAAAGCTGAAAAATGTAGCTAGACACATCTCCAAGGAAGTAAATTACCGGTTCCATTAATTTTACTACATTTGTTAGAACTCATTTTGATCACTTTTATCTTTTACGCTTCATCTTTTTGGATTAAGATCGTCAGGGGTTTCATATGCTTTTTTATGGCCACATCTTCTCCTGAGCACCTTTCTTTCGCTCTTGCTGCCTGTTTTGAGGATTTGCATGTGAAAGTGCCTTGCCAAATGTGCACTGGAAATTCAGAGAGCTTTTTTTCCATGCTATCGGCTTGCTTTACCTTTGATTTTATATGAAAACCCATTTCACATGATTCATCCGTTTTGGTGTACAGAACACTAATTGTTATTATTGATTTTAAATTCCGTGACCATTACAAGTAACCCAGATGACTGGCAGATAAAGGGTAATAATCCATGGAGTTCTGGAACTGTTTCATGTTTGTCTGGAGTACTTTATGTGATCAATATTAACTGCCCCATTGAAACTAACTGCTGTATCAAATAACAGTCAATCAAATGAATGTGCTTAGAGATTATTTATTGAAAGCTTTAATTGTTCACTGGGGCCCTCCTTATCAGGGGAAACAATACAAACTAGAGGTAGGATGAACAGGTTTGGATTTGCAGGGAAAGTTGGGGGATGCAGATGAACAAGGCATCTCTCTGCTTCTCGGGCAAGAGTTTCCAGAAACCCATGTTGGGCTTATAGTTCAGGCAGAAGTTGTGAATACTCTTCCAGAGCTTATCCTATCACCTGTACCTCAAAGGCTTTCTAGAGAAGGGGGTATAATAATTTTCTTGCACTCAGCAGAAGCTGTGAAAAGTTCTCCCTTTCCAAGAGTTTTACTGCTGCTTCTCCCTGGTCCTCTCAGAATTACCCTTCCATGCATCTCTCCACCTCTGCTTCCCCATCATGGCCTGATGGTCCAAGATAATGCAAGTAGCCTGCCTTGACACAGGATCGGTTTCTACAGCTATGAAATGGGAATAATAGTGTCTACATTGCAGGATCTGTAGAAGGATTAGAGATCATGTAAATTAAGATTCTATTCTTGTCTTGAAAACATATGGAAGTCACCAGGTAGGCCTTCTGCCCTGATTTTGGCATGACACCTGTGGCTTACGTGCCTTTGCTAAAAGCAAACTTTTTTTTTTTTTTTTTGGTCATATCTAAATTAGGTATCTCTTTTCTTTGGTGAAATGATCCCTCGGTCTATAGCTCATAACCTAGGTGGCAGTCCTTTCTGTTTGTCAGGTAGCACTGTGCCCTGATTCAGGGGCATCCATTTACCAGATCCCCAGATTTCTTGCAAATGATTGACTTTTACAAGTGAGCATTGTCACCTTCAAAGTTGTCACAATACACTTAGCCCAAAGATGCTGTCGTGGCACAGTACATTTTTATTGCTCATTGATGGATTAGTTTTTGCAACGTGCCATTCAGCAAATGGCTCTTGGGTGTCTGCCATGTGCCAGGCTCCTTGATATGATCTGTGGGGGACACCAAGATGAATCAGACACTGTCCCTTCTCCCTCTGAACTCATGATATAATGGGAAGAACTTGTGACACAAGTCGTTGTCACATAACCCCCTTATAACAAACCCAAAAATCTCCCCATGTCTTTGAACCTAAGATTGATAATGGAAAGAACTAAGAACTGCCAAGAACCACAGCTGGTTTATATGGTGGGTGATCAAGTGGATTATACATTTTTGTCACAGTGGAGCGGGCGTGAAGTTTTTCTGTGTGCAGGCCTCATAGATCATCTCTAAAAGTAGTTCACAAAGGAGTTCTAAACCTATCTTACACAGTGGAATAAGTGCACACCTTCCAAACTAGCTTCTTGAAGACTTTCATGTGGATGTTTCTGGAGCGTGTTAAGTAATCATGTTCCTTGGGGATGGGTTTGATTCTATTGGATTTTTAAAAATCACTTATTTCTCTATGATTTCTGTGACTTATTCCTGTGTAACAAACCATCCCAAAACTTCCTGGTCTAACAATTTATTATGACATTATTCTGTGGATGGGCTGGGCTCCGCTGGGCAGACCCTCTGCTCCGCATGCTGTCAGCTGGGGCTGAATCATCCATGGCTAAATTGGGCTGGCAATCCAAAAAGTCTCACTCTCATGGCTGGTGGTGGATGTTGGTTGTCGGTGAGAGCTCTAGGGGATCTGCATGTGACTTGTGCATGTCACAGCATGGCAGCAGTATTCCGAGAGAGAGTGTTTCGAGAGTGAACCTTCCAGGAAGGAGGCAGCAGAGGCTCCCAGTCCTCTTAAAACCTAGACCCAGAGAGTGGTATACAGTCGCTTTCACTATATTCTGCTGGTGAAGCAGACACAGGGCCAGCCCAGATTCAATAACTACCTTTCAGTTTGGGAGAGAAAGGCAAAGAATGTCCACCATAACAATCGTAGCGTATATGCACTATAACAAGAAAGAAAGTATTGTCTTCTGAAAATGATTAAATTAAAGAACAGTTGTGGGGCTTTTAGTTTTTTGGTTGGTTCCATGTTTAATGAAATGCTACTCTAATGACAACATACATCATTTTCAGTTAATCCTCACAACCCTATAAGTGAGATGTCATCTTCATTTTACAGATGAGGAAATGGAGGCTCAGGGAAGGTGAATAACACGGATTGTAAGGGGCAGAGTGTGGTTTCAAGTCCCATGAAAGGCTTTTCTCTAGGCTCCATGTGCTGTTACTCACTTGGGGGTCCTCAGCTTCAGGAGTTGTCATCCTGTCAGCTGAGTGAAGAATTCCTGAAAAATGTTTCATGCCCTAATAATCCCAAGAATAAAACACCATCGAGTGTTTTGGTTAAGGGGAAAGGTAGGAAAAAGAGAGGTAAAGAACTGTAACTCGCATAGCTTCCTCTGATTACATTATTTTCTCTACTATAAACCAGTCTTTTACATTGTGGAGGAAACTCTGCCCAAACTATGAGGCTATTTTACTCTTTTGCCCTTTTGTTTTTACATCCTGTTTGCTGTTGAAGTCTACGCTGGCCTAGTCACTGCTGTAGCTCAGGGGGTTCAGACCAGGATTAGTCTGGTATTTACTGAAGAGTCACAAGAAGATGAGAGATGGGAAACTGGGCTTTTCATGTTACTCTAGTTTACTGGTAACCCTTATCTAAAGATGGGTGCTAAGTGTTTGTGCTAGAGAGTGTCTCTTCATTAAGTGGAGCTATTTTGTCTTCCACTACCAAAAGCAAAAAAGTAAAAGACAAAGAGGAAGAAAGAAAACTTTCTGATAGTAAAGTCGAATTAATGTTTATTTGCTAGGTATTTTAAGTATCTATTGTGTGCAGAGGATCCCAAACCTAAGTTAACCATTACCATTTAGTGAAACTTACATGAATCATAGTGCATCTAATTGGCCTCTCAGATAATGCTCTCATTTCAGTGACTTCAAACATGTCTTATTTTTTATTTTTTTGAGACAGGGTCTCGCTCTGTTGCCCAGGCTGGAGTGCAGTGGTATGATCTCAGCTCACTGCAGCCTCAACCTGCTGGGCTGAAGCAATCCTCCCGCCTCAGCCTCCCATGTAGCTGAGACTACAGGTGTGTGTCATCACACCTGGCTAGGTTTTTGGAGAGAGAGGGTTTTACCATGTTGCCCAGGCTGGTCTTAAACTCCTGGGCTCAAGCAATCTGCTTGCCTTGGCGTGTCAAAGTGCTGGAATTACAGGTGTGAGCCACTGTGTCCCGCTCAAATATGTCTTAAATGGAATGTATTCTGTATTTTGAATTTTCATATACCGTATTCTACCTGTTTCTTTTGTTTGAAATCTAATTGTTGCTGAATTATATATTTTGAGGAAAAAGAGACAGGTGGACAAATTGAAGTGACTTGCTAGAAGTCGTGTAGTGGGTTCTAAGTGGAAGCAGATCTAAATCTGTAAGACGCTAACATGTGATGCAGTGAAATACAGCATGGTACCCTGCAGTGTGATACAGTGAGGTTGGGTAGACATTCTTCGTGCACTGTACCTGCTGTGGAAGCTTGAGCTCCAGGTTTTGTTTTGGTTTTTTTCTAATCTTTAAAATGAATCCATAACACCTCCCTTGAAAGCCTAAGATCAGTCTTAAAGCCTTAAATAAGACAATGTATTTGACACATGATGCTCAGTAAATAGATTGTTTTTACATATATACATAGTTGTCAATAAGAAACTTGTTTTAGGCTTGCATGGCGACTCATACCGGAAATTCTAGCACTTCAGGAGGCCCGAGGCAGGCAGATCACTTGAGCCTAGGCACTTGAGACCAGCCTAGGCAACACGGCAGAACCCTGTCTCTACAAAAAGAATTATGTGGCCGTGGTGGCACGCACCTGTAGTCCTAGCTACTCGGGAGGCTAGGGTGGGAGGATAATCGGAGCCTGGGAATGTTGAGGCTGCAGTGAGCCGGGATTGCACCACTGCATTCCAGCCTAGGCAACAGAGGGAGATCCTGTCTAAAAAATAAAAAAAAAAAAAGAAATTTATTTAAAAAAAAAATCCAGGCCAGGCATGGTGGCTCACACCTGTAATCCCAGCACTTTGGGAGGCCGAGGCAGGTGGATCACAAGGTCAGGAATTCGAGACCAGACTGGTCAATGTGGTGAAACCCCGTCTCTACTAAAAATACAACAATTAGCTGGGCGTGGTGGTGCCCGCGCCTGTAGTCCCAGCTGCTCAGGAGGCTGAGGCAGGAGAATCGCTTGAACCGGGGAGGCGGAGGTTGCAGTGAGCCGAGATCGCGCCACTGCACTCCAGTCTGGATGACAGAGTAAGACACCGTCCCCCCCAAAAATAAAAAATTAAAAAAAAATCCAAATGCTAGCATTGTCCAGAAAAATTTAACAGATTTATTTATAATTATTATAAAGTTGAACTACTGAACCTTGTTCACTGAAACATTTTGATTTGCATTAATGCTTTACATCCCCACATTTATATTAAAAATTCACACGCAAATGAAGATGGAAAAACTGCCAATACCTAATTTCTGTCCTCTATTTTTCCACTTGCAATCATATACCTAGGTACCTTTTGACTGCATTAGAAAAAAATACCTAATATTCAGAACTACCAATAACAGGAAGAAGAAATTTTTTTTCGGGGGGGTGGGTGGGAATGAAATGTTTCCCATCATAGTGGACTCCTAAGCACGTTCTCTACGTATGCAGTGTGCTGATGTCTTCTGGCATAATTGTTAAACGTTTGATATGGATAACACACAGGTTAGTGCCCTCAAAAAGGCCAACCAGATAGGCCTCACTTGGCTCCTGCAAAGCACCAGTAGCTGCGCTCTGGAAGCTCAGATCTGTTTTAAAGTCCTGAGCAATTTCTTGCACCACATATTGGAAGGGAAGTTTGCGAATCAGTTCACTGGACTTCGTATAAAGCCTAATTTCACGGAGTACCCCAGTCCCAGGCCTGTAACAATGAGGTTTCTCCACCCCGCCAGTAGAGGGCGCACTCTCGTGAATGGCTTTTGTGGCCAGTTTCTTCCCGGATGCTTTTCCACGGGTTGGATTTTCGAGTAGTGTGCTTTGTAGGAACCGTGGTATGGACACCTCCTTACTTTCCCCCTTCTCCTTCGCCCAGAGCTCGGCGAACTAGAGGTGGCGCTGGCGTCAGAGAGCCCCAACTGCAAATCCAATTCCCCGATATTTTATGAATTTTTTTTAATGCAGAAAAGTTACAACAGCTTTACTGCAAACACCTGGATACCTACTGCCATAGCTACCATTAAAATTACCAGGTTTCTTTTCTGTGTTCTCACCCTTTTCTCCTTTTGCATATGTTTGTTTTGTTTTGTTGACTGGGTCTTCTCACTAAACTGAGAGTCTTTGAGTTCAGGTATTGTGCTTTTTACCTCTGTTTTCCCAGTGCTAATATAGTACTTGGTCTATGATCCTCAGTAAACTATGGTTGAACCCACATGTATGTTCTAATAAACAACCCTTTAATATACTCGATATCAGTGCCCTTCAATAGAACTTCCTACAATGAAGTTTCCAATGATGGAAAGGATCTATAATTCTACATTGTCTAATATCATAGTCGCTAGCCATTTATGGCTGTTGGAATTTGAAATGCGGTTAATACAGCTGAGGAAGTGACTTTTTAATTTTATTTTATTTTTATTTATTTATTTATTTATTTATTTATTTATTTTTGAGACGGAGTCTCACTCTGTTGCCTAGGCTGGAGTGCAGTGGTGCTATCTCGGCTCACTGCAACCTCCGCCTCCCGTGTTCAAGCCATTCTCCTGCTTCAGCCTCCTGAGTAGCTGGGATTACAGGAGCGCGCTACCACGCCCAGCTAATTTTTGTGTTTTTAGTAGAGACGGGGTTTCATCATATTGGTCAGGCTGGTCTCGAACTCCTGACCTCATGATCCACCCGCCTCGATCTTCCATAGTGCTGGGATTACAGGCGTGAGCCACCACACCTGGCCAATTTTATTTTATTTTAATTAATTTAACTTTCAATAGCCACACATGGCTAGTGGCTACTGTATTAAACAATTCACTTCTACATACTTCAGCTATTATTATTCTTTCAGTATTTGTTCATTTTCTTTATTTCCTTTTTCCCTTCAGCCTTTACTCTTCTCTCCTATGGCTATTAACAAGCTCTAATTATCCCTTTATGTAGCAGGTAAACAGACTGCAGGAAAATGTAAACAGAATGCTGTAGGGTGGTGATTTCAGTCATTGTTTAACTCCTTTTCCTTCTGGGTGGAACTATTTTTCCTGGGGCCTGGCAAGTATTTAGCACTTGTTTTGCTAACATTTAGTTTGCACAGCTAAACCAAGATTTTTGCAGAATCTCAGTGGGCGGGAATTACATTCCCTGTAGCAATCAAATCATGGAGACATACGATGTCTATTCCCGTGCTCCACACCTGCTTGGTTTTGAGATGGGCAGAGTATCTCCCAACATTTTCAAGCTTTCAACTCAGCTTGAACATTTCAACAAACTTCAGGGAGGCAGAGAGGAACTGGCCATATTCTATGGAAGCCTCAGTTTGCCTTCTGGGAAATACCATGAGCTCTCCCCCGGGTGCCTCCTCCTGCTTACGTGTGTCCTCTGCTCATAACCCAGAGTGCGGCACACAGTAGGTGCTCAGAAATATGCTGAGTGTAGTTCAGTGAAAACGAAATTGAGAACATCTCAAGTGAGCTAATATTTTTTGGTTATTCAAAACACCTCTAGTAAACTTGATGGGGGCTGTCAAAAACTTGGGAGGTTCAGTTTGGCTGGGATGGCAAAGTAAGTAAGCCCTTATAAGTGCATTTGCTGGCAAACTGGCCTGAAAACATGAGAGTGGAATATTTCCCTGGGCTACTGGCACTTACTTTGAGGTCACAGAAATAGATTTTCTGATGGTACTTCCTGTTAGCCAGGACATTATTGCTCCCCCTTGTCCCCCCCACCACCCCTTTTTTTTTGGCCTATCCCTAGAAATGGTGTGAAGAAAGTAAATAAAAATAAAGCTAAAGCGCGCCGGTAATCTCAGCTACTCAGGAGGCTGAGGCAGGAGAATCGCTTAAAACCCGGGAGGCGGAGGTTGCAGTGAGCCAAGATTGCACCATCGTTCTCTAGCCTGGGCGACAGACAGACAGTCCATCTAAAATATATATAAAAAAAAAAAAATGATAAAGCTAAAGGACCGGTTGCGGTGGCTCATGCCTGTAATCCCAGCACTTTGGGAGTCTAAGGTGGGCAGATCACCTGAGCTCAGGAGTTCAAGACCAGCCTGGCCAACATGGTGAAACCCTATTTCTACTAAAATACAAAAATTAGCTGGGCGTGGTGATGGGTGCCTGTAATCCCAGCTACTCGGGAGGCTGAGACAGGAGAATCACTTGAACCCGGGAGGCAGAGGTTACAGTGAGCCGAGATAGCACCACTGCACTCCAGCCTAGACAACAGAGCTAGACTCTGTCTCAAAAAGTAATAATAATAATAATAAAATAAATAAATCGCTAAAACAACTCTCAAGAGAAACTTTTGAACCACGGTTTGCTTCCCCACCCCCATGATTTAAAGTTGCGATTGATTTTTATTAAAGTAAAACAATCACTATCATAATTAATATTTATTAAGTGCTTATTATGTGTCAGGTGCTTAAAATGAACCATGTCATCTAGTCCTCAGAGCAGCCTGAAGAGAAAGGCCCTGTTATCCCCACTTTGCAGACGCAGATTCCTAGGCACTGAGAGGTTCAAATACCTACCTTGAATCTCCCGAGTAGGAGAAAGTGAGTCCAAAGTTCCCAACTCAGCTTTGTATAATGTAGGGTTCCTTTTCTTTGCCAACGATATAAATTTCTATTTTGTTTGCAGGGAAGAGGGATGGGGAAGATTAGAAGCCTCAGAACCCACAGAATAATAAAAGGGTTAACAAGTGAAAGCTGGAAATAATACGTTTTTAACAAAATGGGCAGTTCTTCTAATTGCTGTGCCCCTACTGTTCAATTCCTTTTTATGTCCTAATTCATTAAATTATGTACACATCAGGCTTATTATTTACAGATGTATACACTTCCAAGTGGCTCATATGAAACAGATGTTTCATGAAAGGTAACAGAGAACAAGTGATCTAAACCCTCCTTTAGTGGGTATCAAGTGAGTATTATGGCCTATTACCTGCAGGTCTTTTGCTATTATTTTGAACTGCAGTGTCCAGTACGGGCAGGAAGATTCAATGTATCTCCTGTAGGAACAAGTAAAAATACAACAGCACTATAAGCAAACATCTGCATCTCAAAATAAAAGAGGGTATGTGCAAGTGATAGGCAGGTGGTATTCACATTTGGGCTCCGGTAGATGTGTGAGTCAGTTTTACAAGCAATTTGAGAAAAAGAGACCCATTGCATTACAGGAGGTGAGGTGTATTGAGCAGACCATCTTTAGAGACCAGTGTTACCATATCAGTTAGCTGGAGAAATGAATGAACACCTCTTTTCTTTTTTCTTTTTTTTTGGAGACAGAATCTTGCTCTGTCGCCCAGGCTGGAGTGTGGTGGTACGATCTCAGGTCAGTGCAACCTCCGCCTCCCGGGTTCAAGTGATTCTCCTGTCTCAGCCTCCTGAGTAGCTGGGATTACAAGCACACATGACCACACCTGGCTAATTTTTTGTATTTTAGTAGAGACGGAATTTCACTGTGTTGCCCAGGCTGCTCTTGAACTCCTGAGCTCAGGCAATCTGCCCGCCTCAGCCTCCCAAAGTGCTAGGATTACAGGCATGTGCCACCCCGCCCAGCCAAACACCTCCTTTTCAAAACAAGGTTAACATGGCCTAATTAAAATAAGCATGACCAGTTCACCACGTTGCCGTAAACTGGGTGGCATATGTCAGTAGACAGTTATTTCATACTTCTTCAGAATATCAAAGAGCAGTCCGGACGCATAGCTCACGCCTGTAATCCCAGCACTTAGGAAGGCCGAGACAGGTGGATCACTTGAGGTCAGGAGTTCAAGACCAGCCTGGCCAACATGGTGAAACCCTGTCTATACTGAAAATACAAAAAATTAACCTGGCATGGTGGGGGCACGCCTGTAGTCCCAGCTACTCGAGAGGCTGAAGCAGGAGAATTGCTTGAGCCCAGGAGGCAGGGGTTGCAGTGAGCCGAGGTCGCGCCACTGCACTCCAGCCTGGGTGACAGGGTGAGACTCCTTCTCAAAAAAAAATAATAAGGAATATCAGAGAGCAATAATAATTGCCTCTCAAAGTCCACAGTGAGAGTTATTATTTATAAATTGTCAGGAGTTCTCTAAACAAGAACAAAAAAGCAATTGGAGCGAAAAGATGGCTGGAATTGTGTCATTTTGGACGTTGAAAGCTGGGAACAGTTACAACTGAAATATTAAATGGGACATGAAATATTAAGTGACATACCAGGTTTATTGCATATATGACCATGAGAGTGCATTTCATTTTGTCTTATGGAGCTCTAAAAAAATCCATGTAATGGATTAAAGGTATTAAAACTCCCATATTCTCCCTGGCTCTACGCCAGGGAACAAAGCATGATAAATAATCCCAATAGACAGAATATGTGGGAAGGAATTTTAAAATGTATTTATGGCGGACATATTGACCTCCCTAACTAATAAAAATGTATACATGAGGTTTTGAAGAAAATGTGTAGCCCTTACAACACACTGTAGTGTTAGTATCTTTAAAATATTACCCACGTCTCTGTGACATATGGCTGTCATCCTCTGTCTTTACCCTGGAAGTGAGGAAATGCATGAATTTTATAGTAACATGTACAGTCACTGTTAGGAGGAATAGTTTTTATTTCCTTTATCTTAAAGCTGGGCTGAAAACTACACCAAATCTGGATTTTGTAAATAAAGCTTTCTTGGAATGTGTCACACCTATACATTTACATTTTGTCTGTGACTGCCTTCCCCCATGGGGGGCAGAGTTGAATGACTGTGACAGAGACCAGACAGCCCACAAAGCCTAAAGTATTTCCTATCTGACCATTTACAAAATTTGCAGACCCTGCCTTAAAACATTAAAAAATGGGCCGGGCGCAGTGGCTCACGCCTGTAATCCCAGCACTTTGGGAGGCCGAGGCGGGCAGATCAAGAGGTCAGGAGATTGAGACCATCCTGGCGAACACGGTGAAACCCCATCTCTACTAAAAATACAAAAAATTAGCCGGGCGTGGTGGCAGGCGCCTGTAGTCCCAGCTACTTGGGAGGCTGAGGCAGGAGAATAGCGTGAACCCGGGAGGCGGAGCTGGCAGTGAGCCGAGATTGCACCACTCCACTCCAGCCTGGGTGACAGAGCCAGACTCCGTCTCAAAAAAAAAAAAAAAAAAAAAAAAAAAAATTAAAAAATGAATAGGACTGTTAGGAATATAAATGTGTACTTGGTTTCTCATTTATACTAATCTTGCGTGTGGATTCAGGGGATGAACTCACTTTCAGTTCATTTCCTAACTGTGTGACCTTGGCCAAGTCATTTAACTTCTCTAAGCTTCAGTTTCCTCAGGTGAATAACAGAGATTTAAAAAAAGAAAAAAAAAAACTGATCGTGTTAATAATCCTTGCTCTTCACACTTTTGTTAGGAGGCAGCAAATGGGGTAATGTGTGTGAAAACACCCCTCAAGTTGTCCCCCGCCATATAAAGTGTGCTGTTGGCAGATTCTGCTGAACTGGCTGAAAGTATTTATTTCACATCACATGTAAGGATTTGTATGCAGATTTCATTTTTTTAATTCTTTTTTTTTTTAACCAACACTGATTGAACTTTTGATATGTACTGGACACTCTTTTAGCCCTGAGTATTTAAAGTCAAGGCCGCCAAAATCTTTGTGTATGCTAGTAACACACCCACTCATGACAGCCTCTGACCCCCATCAGATCCTTTTTCTAGCTGGGGCCATGTTTGCCTTGTGGCATTTTTCAGTTGTCTGTTTGCGTGGGCAGGAGATAGTGTATTCTAACTTCTTTATAAACCAGCATGTATCAAGGGGTCTGGTCCCTGGCAGGTGCTCAATAAATGTTTGTCAGCAGTTGATGTTGCTGACTGATAATCACTGCCTTCTGCTCCCCAAACCACCTTGGTCCTTGCAATGATTTGGGACTTTGGGTTTTGAACAGCAATTGAAGGCTCTCCAATGAGAGATCGCTGTGGTAAAGAGGGGTTTAAAGAAGCCATTTCTGAGGGGGCTAGGCAGCCTGGATTGGGGATTGGCCAGGAAATCCTACGAGGAATGAGAGCACTTCTGATTAATGCCTGTGGGCCTGGGAAGGAAAGGACAGCTGAGAGAGGGAAAACTGACATGACTTGCTTTCCTCACATTAGTTTTTAGAGAATCTCTTAGGTACATCAGAAGGGAAAATTATTTTGAGAGGGAAAATGGAAGTGAAGGTCACCAAATCAAGATGGGGAAAGAAGGGAAGGTGAATAGCATTGAGATTCATCAGCATAAGCATGATACAATAATGATAATAATTGCTTGTGTAACACTATTATGTGGCAGGCATTGTGCAAAGTACTTTAAAATGATGTTATTTAATGCTCACAATGATGCAATGAAGAATATACTATCATTTTATACAAGCAGAAATTGAGGCTCAGAGAGGTTAAGTAACTTTCCAAAAGTCACACAGCCAGTAAGTAGGAGAGTGAGGATTTGAATCCAGGAAGGCCGACTCCCGAGTTCATACTTCCAACCATATGCCTCAGACAACTTGCCTATAAAGGTGGACAAGTTTCGGGAATATCAAAAAAAGACCTGAACCTTGGGGGACTGCTCTCAATTGGAAGGTTGGTGAAAATGTCTTTGAATTATTTTTTCAAGATTTTCTTAACATTTTTAAAAAAGAAATAATGCTAAAGCACTTTGAAACTCTTAGCTTTCTCATACCTAGGAATCACTGCTCTGAAGGAAAAAAAATAACCAACAATGTAGCATTCCTGTAGTTTGAACAGTTCTATATAGAAACTTGAGAATCTTTTCTTTCTTTTTGTTTTTTGAGACAGAGTTTCACTCTTGTTGCCCAGGCTGGAGTGCAGTGGTATGATCTCGGCTCACCACAATCTCTGCCTCCCAGGTTCAAGCAATTCTCCTGCCTCAGCCTCCCGAGTAGCTGGGATTGCAGGCATGCACCACCACACCCAGCTAATTTTGTATTGTTAGTAGAGATAGGGTTTCTTCATGTTGGTCAGGCTGGTCTCAAACTCCCAGTCTCAGGTGATCCGCCTGTCTTGGCCTCCCAAACTGCTGAGATTATAGGCGTGAGCCACCGTGCCCGGCCGAGAATCTTTTCAAATGAAATATCAAGTGCATCCTTTGAACTGATGCATTATGTATTAGCCAAGTAGAGGGCACAGTAAGGATGTTCAGTGTCTACTTCAAGTTACTCCTCTCACCCCCCTCCACCCCCGCAATCCCCAGACATCTTGGGAAAAGAGTCATTCAGCCCCTCATTTGGGGCGTGCTAGTTCTGTAGACAGTGACAGAAAAGCTATTGCACAACCAATTCTGGATATTGGGTTCATTCTTGTGCCAAATAAATTTTGGTTAAGGGAGTATATGTGGCCTTCAGGTGAGGGAAGGAGAACCTGCGTAGGGGCTGGGGGCTCAGAGTCCTCTCCTCCTCTGCCTCCCCGAAGAGCCCTGGAGCTGGTGGTTGTGCAGACTCCATTTGGCCTGAGTGACTGCTCCTGACAGTGTTCAGCCACACGCCGTTGGACTGCCGCCAGAGGCCTTTGGAATCTTGGTCTTAGCTGCTGCCATTCTCCCTGCTGAGGGCTGGGTTCTCAGCAGGGAACATGCAGAAGGGGTTAGTGAGTGTGTTTGTGTGTGCCTTCTAATTCCTGTGTTTGCTTCTGGGGGACTTTCCTATTTTATTGCTCTGACTGGAAAGAAAACAGGGCATTATTTCTGTCTCCTTAACTTCTTTCTTTTGAATTTTCCAGTTTTACTTTTGTTCTTTATGCTGGGTTAACTGTGTGTCTGTCTGTCTGACTTAGACGTACCCTGCATACTCTAAAACTTCCTGCCAGGGACAGCTGCTTGTGACAGGAGTTCTGCACAGTCCTAAGAGGGGATGTCATAGTCTTCTCTCAACATGGGGGTCAGACCCATTCCCTTGAACTTAAGACCATTTAAGTTCAAATCCATGCTTTTTATTTAGCAGCTGTATGGCCTTGAACAAGTTACCTAACCACATTATACCTCTGGTTTCTTCTTGCCTGTCAAAAAGAAATAGTAAAACTAGACTAGCAATCTCTTTCTCTCTCTCTTTTTTTTTTTTTTAGACGGAGTCCTGCTGTGTTGCCCAGGCTAGAGTGCAATGGTGCGATCTCGGCTCACTGCAACCTCCACCTCCTGGGTTCAAGCAATTCTCCTGCCCCAGCCTCCCGAGTAACTGAGATTACAGGCGCACGCCACCACAAATTTTTTTTGTGTGTATTTTTAGTAGAGATGGGGTTTCACTACGTTGGCCAGGCTGGTCTCAAACTTCTGTCCTCAAGTGATCCACCCGCCACAACCTCCCAAGTGCTGGGATTACAGGCTTAAGCCACTGCGCCTGGCCAAGACTAGCTCTCTTATTGGGTCACTCTGGGGATCAGATGTACTAATAGATGAAAAATGCTTAGAGTAGAGTGAAGGAGCATGACTAGCCTACAGTATATGCTCCATGAGTGTTAGTGATTACTATTGTTGAAATGTTTGACTAGACTCTGGAGATGGTTCTGTTGTTTTCTGTGGTGACCATATTAGTCGCATTATTGATACGGACTTAATCCACTTTTCCCCAGATAATAAATAATAATTAATAAATTTCTAATAATAAAGCATTAGCTATTATTTTTACATGTTTTTATACTTTTTATAGTTTACAAAGTGTAAATCCTGCAATGTAGTAAGCGTGGTTGTCATCTCAATTTTTCTGAGGATCAGGAAGGATAAGTGACTGCTAGTAAGAGGCAGAATTAGGAACTGAGCTCATACCATCTGCATTGTAGGACTCTGCAGTTTCCATTTCTCCAGAGCTGTAGTATTTTCTTTGTTGTCCCCACTCTTTGGTCCCAGAGTCTCCCCACCAGTAGTATCCTCAGCCTAGATCAGTGTTTTTCAACCTCAGCACTATCTATAATTGGGGCCAGATAATTCTTTGTTGTGTAGGAGGGGCCTGTCCTGGGCATTGTGAGATGTTTTGTAGCATCCCTGGCCTCTACCTACTAGATGCCAGGAGCAGCCCCCAATTGTGACAGCCAGAAATGTCTCCTGATGTTGCAGAATGTCCCGTGAGAGACAAAATGGTGCTGGCTAAAAACCCCTACCCGGCCGGGTGCGGTGGCTCACGCCTGTAATCTCAGCACTTTGGGAGGCCAAGGAGGAGGATCACCTGAGGTCAGGAGTTCGAGACGAGCCTGGCTAACATGGTGAAACCCGGTTTCCACTAAAAATACAAAAAAATAGCCGGGCGTGGTGGCGCACATTTATTAATTCCAACTACTTGGGAGGCTGAGGCAGGAGAATCTCTTGATCCCGGGAGGCGGAGGTTGCAGTGAGCTGAGATCGTGCCATGGCATGGCTGCCCATGCCAGGTTGGGCAACAAGAGCAAAACTCCATCTCAGAAAAAAAACAAAAAAAACCCTGCCCTAGATTAAGGAAGGTGGAAGGGAAATGTGTTTGTGGGAGGAGGGGAAAAGTGGAGGTGAAGGTTGGCTATCATTTATTGAGCACTTACTGTGTGTCAGGCAAATTGCAAACGTTGTCTCTGGTTTACCAACAGAAATCAGGATTATCTGCATTTTCAGCAAAGAAGGACTAGGGCTCAGAGAAATAAAACTCTATGGCCATTTGTAAGTGGCAGAAGAGAGATTCAAATTCAGGTCCACCTGGCAGCAAAGCTTACCACTTTCCCGTCACCTCCTCCACACAATTTTATGCAGGCTCATGGCATTTTCTTTCTTTTTAGGAACCAAGAAAACCCACACAGTGAGGATTAAATCGGTTTCAAAGTTATTTTGAGGCTGTTCATATGGTGCATACCTGTAAGAAACAAAACAGAAAAATTTCTTTGCAGCAAAATTCTGAGTAAGCCAAGCATTATTTTATTGAGAAAAAGAGGGTTTTGGCTAAATTCTAGTGTAATCAATCATACTTGAACTTCCTTAGATCTTAGACGAGTGGCAAGGTATGTGACAAAGCATAATTTCATTGTTGTCTTCCAAGTATTTCCCTTTTGGTTTTCTGTCAGACTGGTACTAATGTGGTTTTCAAATAGATATATAGTACATAAGCAACGAATGTGTGTGTGGATATCTGAAATGAATGTGAATGTGTGTATCTGAAATGATATACATGTTAATGCTCCTGTTTTAATCTACTCTGTGTGCAGGAAATTCGATCAGATAAAATAATGTCATTTATTAGTGTGATAGTTCCTTTTGTAAATATTATGGGAATCCCGATAGAAGATAGAAGTGAAATATGGAACTGAGTGAGTTGATGTTGAGAAAAACTCTTCAGGGGACCTCAATATTGCAAAGCAATTAGCTTCGTCTACACATGACTCCCGAGACCTGTTCTAGCATTTGTTCACTTAATGCAGTTTCATTTCTGATGCCTCCACGTTCAGATCATTAATAAGCAGTTAGATGTGTCGGCCTGTTAAGTGACTGTAAGAGAGGATTTATTTGAACACTGGCATAAGCTATCTTAGTATGTCCTAGAAAATAGTGATAGAAAACGTGTTTAAAATGTCATGCAAAACAACCTATGAGATATTTTTGAATATATTCCTTGTGGTGAGAACACATATTATCAAAATGAAATGTTGGTGTTGAACGTGTCATGGTACCTTATGAAAATATGACAGCACTTCCCGTGGTAAAAGCCAGTCCCAGGAATAACTTCTATTGCTGGCCGTAAGCCCAGACAGGTGTAGCTACAACACAGAGTGATTAGTGGGTCCTGAGTCTTACTCTCTTTCTAAGGCCCAAACTATCTTGTCAAATTTAACCATATCTTGAATGGAATCAGTGTTTGGAAAGTTATAACCGTGAGTTAAAAGCAAGAGAATTACAAAGTTCTGCACTTCTCAAATTTGAGTAAGTAGGCCTGACCAGAGCAAACCCTGTGACCTTCCCAGACTAGGAAACAAATCAGGGAGATGGAAAATGAGAATTTAAAAAGCGGGGGGGGTTTGGTGAGATAATAGTAAACATATTAAGTCATTTACATCTCATTTATAAAGTCTGAAAGGATTGTTGTGTTTTAAATTTCCTAATTCTAAGGTGCTCAGTTCTCCCTCTCCTCATGGTATGGGGGAAGGAGTAAATGAACTAATGTCTATTAAGCACTTTGCATGGTCCCTAACACAGTAGGCGCTCAGTAAATAGTAATTACTATTAGTTCAGGCTCTTCTGGTACAACTTTGAACACACTGCCAACTAAAAGCCACTGCCAAAGTTCTGTGAGAGTGAACGAAGACTTCTGGTTTATGGTAAGCATAAACACACACAGCCTGAAGATCTTAATGCATTAAGTACTTAACAAGGTGGAGTATTTAGTAAGGACCTGTGCAAAGGGCAAGTTGACAGAGTTCTGATGCTAAATTAACTCAGCAAAATGGGATTACAGGAAGGTTAGGACAATAACAAGACATTTTTTATGTTAGGGTGTCTCAGACATCAATGTGCGTAAAAATGATCAAGGGGTCTTGTTAGGATGCCTATTCTGATTCTGCATTTCTGGGGTGGGGCCAAGATTCTGCTTTTTTTTTTTTTTTTTTTTTTTGAGACAGTTTCGCTCTTGCTGTGCAGGCTGGGGTGCAATGGCACGATCTC
Source organism: Homo sapiens (assembly GCF_000001405.40). Classification (NCBI taxonomy): domain Eukaryota; kingdom Metazoa; phylum Chordata; class Mammalia; order Primates; family Hominidae; genus Homo; species Homo sapiens. The sequence continues at coordinate 25,453,317 of NC_000003.12, forward strand.
GGCTCACTGCAACCTCCGCCTCCCGGGTTCAAGCGATTCTCCTGCCTCAGCCTCCCGAGTAGCTGGGATTACAGGCATGCATCATCACGCCTAGCTAATTTTGTATTTTTAGTAGAGATGGGGTTTCTCCATGTTGGTCAGGCTGGTCTTGAACTCCCGACCTCAGGTGATCTTCCCACCTTGGATTAAGTGCTGGGATTACAGGCATGAGCCACTGTGCCCGGCCAAGATTCTGCATTTTAACAAGTTTCCAGGTGATGCTGATGCTGCTTGTCCAGGACCACACTTTGCTGAGCAAGGCTTTATTAAAGACTCAAAACCAAATTCTTTCCCCCAGCCCTTCCTTTTGTCTCCTGCCTATGTTCAGCACCTGTTTCATATGTGGTCAGAATAGCAGAGTTTCTCACAACCCAGCTCCAGCCCTCGGCCAGGATCCCTGGTGACCCCGGCAAACACACACTTCTTTAGGGTCACGGGCAGGTTACTGAGTCAAGACTGCCAAAGCCCAACAATGATATTTTCCTTCACTCCCCATCGTCCTCCCTCTCTAGCCACCCCAAACCCGGGACTAATCTTGGAGCTGCTTAATAATAACAAAGCCAGCAGCAGAGTAAGGCAAGATTTCAAAGCAGAGTTTTTCTTGTTTGGCAATTACCTAATTCAGGATGCGATTCACAGATTTGCAAAACCCATGTGTGTGGAAACCGTTTCTCCTGAAAGATGATTAAAAGCAGATCCTCTCCTGAAAAGGCGACATAAAAATTAAGTGAGTGACAGTATGGAGTCTTCCCGTGCCCCAAATGTTTGGATGCATATAAATTACATTTTACTAAAATGTCTACACACGAGTTCATACACGCATGCGCACACGCAAATAGCGGAGAATCTGGTTCTAATTACTTGTACTTTAGTTGAACTTTGGCGTTTCCTTTGAATCTCTCCCTAATGTATGTGAGCTGTAGGCTTTGCAGTCCTGCAGTGAATCCACAGAAAAAGGGAGAAAAAAATCCAGATAGGCTCTCTTTGGTGCCAACACAAATGAAGTCCAAACGAACATTTTGACCAAACGCAACTTTGCTCTTCTTCCTTAATTAGCTGAAATTACTCCCTTCCACTGGGATTCGGAGCTCTGGGCTCAAAATTCCCCTGGGGCCATGCAGGAAATGTCTTTTGCTTTATAACTCCTTTTTCTTTTAAAGCTCAGCTGCCCAGAGAGTGCATTAAAATACTGTCTTAATCACAGAAGGTTCTAGTAAAAAGGCTAGGCTTTCCTAATGCATGATGCCTGCCTGCCTGTAATCAGGCCCAACCTAAAATCCTGAAATCTGTCAACATCGTTTTAGCCAGCCGTAAATTAGCTCTCACAAAGAAAAAAAAAAAAGTATACTGAGCTCTCTTAAAAATGTTATCTGCTACTTAATCTAACCTTTAGAAAAATGCCAAGCATGTAAGGAATTGTGAAGGGAGCTATTGTCGAAGACTTTCTGTGTGTTTAAATGACACTCAGGTGTGTTGTAACAACAAGGACATTTATACTGTGTTTTCTCAGGTGAGTTAAATTCGTAAGTGCCAAGTCCTCTTAACAGGCAGCAATGTTAATTTCTTTTCTTTTGGGAATGAATCAACCCAAGAGCTGTGGCAGTGTTTAAGAAAGCTTCGTCAGTGGGAACTCGGGAATTCTGCTTTTGTACCATCCCAGTCGGTGGAGATTTTGTTTAGCTTTGTTTTTGTTTTGTCTGCAAACAACCTCTGAGTTTGAAGTCCTTTTAGAGGACTGTTTCTCAAAATGCAATCCGGAGACCTGTGCCCGTCCGCAAGGAGAGAAGTTCAGACATTGAGAGCAAGTGTTTCAAAACTTTTGGAGCAATTTGACAGGGTAATTTTATGTCCATTAAATCTAATTTTTTTTAAAGAGTTGGAGCTTGTGCTTTGGACGTCGTTGTTTTTCCTTAACTCCTATTTCCTGGAGATTCATTTGTATTGAATTTGATCAATCCATGAGGGATTGGGGGAAAGACTAAGAAATGGTGCTTCACCATTGATAGTCTGAAAAGCACGAATTTAAAGCAAATGTCCTTCTCCCTAACCTCAAGAATTCCCCTGCTGCAGGCCACACTTTGAGGAACATTGATTTAAAAGCAATGAGTCCCATGACTAATTTATTGTACAAGGAAGGGGATTCTAGCTTTGTTTTCCTTAGTGATAGTTATCTGTATGTTGTGGGGGTGGAGATGTCTAAAATAGGGGCTAGCAGCTTCCGAGGACAATGCTGCAGATTTGGTTCATTCTCATCTTCCCTGAGGCTCACTGTCTCCACTCATGTGCGCAGTTCAGAGCAGCCCTCTCAGCATCACTGGTGCTGACTGTGCTCTGGGCGGGGACCCACAGAGCCAAGCATCCATCTCACCCGAGTAGCAGAAGTTCCTCTGACTTGCCCATTCCCTGACGAAGCAGGGAAGCCCATCTGGTTAGCAGTTTGGATGCCACATTGGAGGCTGCTGCTTGTTGGGCATTCAAGCAGCAAACAGAACTGAGTAAGTCCATAAGTAGGCAAGGAAATAAATAAAAGCAGGAGACAAAAAGCAGATCCGAATTATTCCTCTAAGACTGCTTCTCCAAACTGAAATCACATCAGGATGGCTGCAGTGTAGTTGTTTTATTGAATGACACAAGCCTCTTTTCCCCCTGGGAAGTCTAAAAACTGCTTTTTTGGCCTGCCTGAGATCGCTGAATGAGCTAATACAGAACACATTGTCTGCTGAGCCGGCAGAGTTTTCAAGCAAAAATTTTATCATTCCATAGACTGATTGTGCTTGCCTGCAATAAGGAACAAAATGTTTGAGGCCTCTCAAGGGCATTTGATGAATCTAACTCTAATTTAAAGGGACTAATAGATTATTGATTTAAGCAGGATGACAGTGAACAGATCAATGGCTGAGCACTCTGTATCTGCCTTAAATACCAAAAATGACTGGTAAAAGGAAAGCCATGGGCTGTCCCCCTGCTTATTTCCCACTGACTTTCTTGGGGGGTGGAGGAAGGCAAAAAAAGAAAAGGACCTCTGATAAACTTTGCCAAAGTATGTTTTTGCTACCTTACCAAAAAGGCAAGAGATTGCATTAAAGTACAAATCTTTTATATTGATGCCATATCCTGGTTTCCTGGTTGTAATTCTAGAATTTGTCTTGGCATGTTCGCCTGAGGCTAGCTTTGGTGATCTGACAGACTATACCACTGATTTTTTTTTTTTTTTTTTTTTTTTTGCCTTGCATTGTTCTCAGTGTTATAGGCCACATAGAGGAAATAAAAGACCACTGACCATCAATTCTGAGGGTGATATTTGAATATATATATATATATATATATAGAGAGAGAGAGAGAGAGAGAGAGAGAGAGAGAGAGTCAAATACTTAATTTTTTACTACCAGTGGGAAAATTTTTCCAAAGATGATTTTTTTTGGGGATCGTACATAACGTTTTTCCCTTTCTGTTTTTGTGGCATTTGTAGCATTCAAATTATGTTCATTTATGGCATTTGCAGGATTCAAATTATAAAAACAGTAGAAAGAACCAATTTATCATTTAAAAACATAGCCCAGTCACTTCCTCTTGGAAGGCTCCCTTGATTTCTCCTGGGATAAATAAGGCCTATAGTTCACTCTGACATTATATTAGTGGTTCCCAAACTACTTCAGTTTGGATTCGCCTGGGAATACTTTTTATTATTTTTATTTTTTGTTTTGTTTTTCTGTTTTAAATCTTACAGTCAGCCAAAAGGGAATTTTTTTTAAAATGGCAATTCCTAGCTCCATTCTCAGACATTCTGGCATAATAGATCTGGGATACAACTTGGTCATTAGGACGTTAAAAAGCTCCCCAGCTGGTTCTAGTGTGCAGCCAAGTTTGGAACCCACTGTATTATCATTGTTGGTTTATTCTCTATTAGGCCAAATTTGTCAAGGATAAGGGATTATGTACTATCATTGCCCATAGCGTATAACACAATGCCTGGCATGTTATGTCACTCAGCCAAACAAATGATTGAACACATGAACAGTCTGAGAATCTATTGTACTCACATGAGAAAGTTCCTAGAATTATTGGTGAAATCACCACCACCTAAATAAAAGGCCAGGGCTCTCACTATTGATTACTTACAATAGAACATTTTCGTTCATGGCAACTGTTCAGGAAAAGCCTTCTGGATTCATTCATTTGTTATAAATGACTCTTATCCATAGGAAAAGATCCAATCTTTGTAAAATGCTTTGGGATCTTTAATGTCCAGTAGACTTCCCGTTTTTTGTGTGCTTTGCCCCAAGTTTCTTGGGTATTAAATTATGCACAATTTTGTTTCCTTTCTTTGGGAAGGTGAAATGCTGGACTCCCTTCAGTGCATGTGTTTGAAGTGGCATATTTATGGAAATTACTACCCACTTTTGAAATTCAGGGCATAGCTCTGACAGCTGATTCCAGCCCTACCAGAATTCTATTTACAACTTTCCTAGACAGGCCAGATTAGCTGTTCTACACGAACGAGTAGGACCTTAAAACACACCGCTCCCCACCTTCCTTCTGTGAAGAACTCAATGCGAGATTGATCATAGTGGTGATGACATGACTCTGTCAGTTGTTGAAGCACATGGATGGAAGTAGAAGCACACAAATCAAACCACTCCAAAAGGTTTGAGAGGCATCTGGGGAAGGGGTCACTTACGTTGATATCAGGGAGTGTAAATCTACACAACCTTTCTAGAAGTCAGTTTATCAACATGCATTAAAAACAAAATATTTTTAAAATAACAACCTTTGAACTGATAATTACACTTCAGTAATGTATTTGAAGGAAATAAAGATGTGGTGAGATTAGCTACAAAGTTGTTCATCACAATGGAATGTTTTCTGTGAAAAATATTTATCGACAAGGAAATAAATTGATGACATCATAGGTTAAACAAAGTCCTCAGCAGTGTCAGTATAATTCCACCTTAGTAGACAAACCCAAAACATTTATGTGCATAGAAAAAAATTCTGGAAGGTCGTACACAGTGAATTTCTCTGAGTGAAAAGATTGTGGGTGAGTGATTCTGTGTGTATTTTTCCTTAGATTTTTAATAGACAGTGATACATTGTTTTCTAATTTTAACAAGCAGTGTTTTCTTGTTAATTCGCTTTCAGTGAAGCTGATTAGTTCCGTGTGAAGAATGCTTTTGCATCTACTGCTTGATAGCTGATAAGCTTTAGTGACATCTCAGATACCAGCCCTTCTATAAAACAGTTGCTGCCACTGTGCCAACTTATTCAAAGCAAGGGCTTCCTATCTGCCAGAAATAATGTACTCAAGATTGATATCTTCATCCCAGATACCTTGGTTCTAACCAGTAAAGACTATAATAGATTTATCTACTAGGACCTGTACTACTCAAATGAATTCATTCCAAGATTCTTCTGAATTATGAAAATACTATAATTATAGTTGATTCTGTTCCAAAGGGCTAATTAATTACTTTTTTAAGGAAGCAAAGGAGTATAAGAGCTATTTGGTTTCTAATTTTATCATTTAACAACTTAGAGGGACTCTTAGTGCTCAAAATGAGGAAGAAAAAGGAAAAGGAAAAAGTTCATGTGCTAATTCAACAAATATTTATTGATTATCTGCCATGTGCCAGGACCTCTACTAGTCCTGGAACACAGATGTATACAATGCAGGTGAGTTTCTTTCCCTTATGAAACTCAATATTTAGAGTATAGGGGATGGCAGATGTAGAATATAAAATTATATACAAACATCTAAAATTTGAACACTGGTTAGGGTTTTATGGAAATAAAATAGTGAGACAGAGTGACCAGGAATGGAGAGGGGCATTTTAATGAGAGAAATCATCTCTGGGAAGGTAGCATTTGCTTTGTGATCTAAGAAACGAAAAACAACCAGATATTTGAAGGTCTGAGAATATCTAGAAAGGACAAATAGTTATCACAATAGCCTCAGTTGGTATGAGAGCTTGGCCTATTCAGAAGACAGAATAGATGCCAATTATATAGAACTCAATAAATTAGGGGACTCACTGAAGGAAATGATGCTGCTAAAATGCCGTGTGATGAAAAGTCTTGTAGAACATACTAAGGAGTTTGACTTTGATCTAATTGGTGACTATTGGAGGGCTTTAGATAGGCGAGTGAAACAGATGGATTTTAACATTTGAACAACTATCTTGACTGCTTGTTTGAAGAATAGACACTAGGTAGGAAGAAGGGGCATGAAGTGACCAATGAAGAAGCTATTGCAGCAGTTGTGAGAGGCGATGGTGGATTATTAGCATGGTGTGGTAGCAGGATAGTGATGTGGGGATGGATTAACAATAAGTTTAGTGGGTAGAGTTGACCTGACTTGCTAAAAGCTTGCCTGCAGGATAATCCAGTCAGGAGAATATCTACTCTGGGAGATTATAAGCAGTAGGGCAACTGGAAACTTTATATTCTGGGAAATACACTGTGTATTAAAAAGCAATTTGGAGACTAGAAGATTCTGGAACATTATTTAACCACTTTTAATTCTCCTTCCCGATTTCCATCTTATTTTATGAGCATATTTACCTGTGATAGAAGTACAGCCAGTTCTTGCTTTGATTCTGAGTACAATCCTGGAGAATTAGGGGTAGGAGAACACCCCGTTCTTATATTTTGTGAACTCCCATTTCCCATGGAATTTGGGTGGTTAGATAACAGGATGGAGGATTATTATTTTTTTAATCTAGAATAAAGAGTAACATGACTTAAAAGTGAATCGCACCACTCTGTGTCATCATTAGTTTTAACCTACTGCTTCTCAAATGTTAATTGTACATTTAGTCATCTGGGGATTTCATCAAAATGCAGATTCAGATTCCACAGGCCTGAGCTGGGACCTGATACTATTTTTCTAATAAGATCTTAAGTGATGCCGATGCATGTTGGCCCAAGGAGCCTTCTTTGAGTAGCAAGGATCTTACCCATATTGTTATTAATGAAGATCAGTTATGGCTGCATCATGCTAAAGACCCTCCCAGTACACTTGTTGAATGAATAATTTGGGCATTTTCTTCATTTGTCCAAAGGAAAATTTTAAAATTTTTATTTATTTATTTATTTATTTATTTATTTATTTTTGAGACGGAGTCTTGCTCTGTTGCCCAGGCTGGAGTTCAGTCGTACGATTTCAGCTCACTGCAACCTCTGCCTCCTGGGTTCAAGCGATTCTCCTGCCTCAGCCTCCTGAGTAGCTGGGATTACAGGCGCACACCACCACACCTTGCTAATTTTTGTATTTTTAGTAGAGATGGGGTTTCACCATGCTGGCCAGGCTGGTCTCAAACTCCTGACCTCAGGTGATCCCCCTGCCTCAGCCTCCCAAAGTGCTAGGATTACAGGTGTGAGCTACAAAGAAAATTTACTTTTGGTTAAGTGAGCAACAAGGTCAAGTCGTTTGAGATTCTACATGAATCAGAAGCTACTGGGGTTTGTAGTATGACTATCTGAATTTGTGTCTTGGCTCTACCACTGCTCTGCTGGTCTTAGTTAGACAAGTCACTTCCTTCCTTTGAGTTTCTGTTTCTGTTGTGGCTAAAATTGTGATAAAAACCATGGCCCTCACAGTTCTGTGTGAGCTGTGGACTGCAAGTGAGAGATGTATGAGACTGCTTTGTAAACCGTAGAGTACCACATCAATGTCAGTGTCACCACTGCTGGGCCTACAATGACAGCTGTTTTTATGAGCCCATTCTTGCTAGTGTTATTGCTGAATTTGGGGCAGAAGCATATGAATTCACTGTTGAAAAAAGTAATGAACTAAAATACATTTTCTCTTTTTTCTCCCTCTACCCCATCTCTATTATAGCAATTGAAACACAGAGCACCAGCTCTGAGGAACTCGTCCCAAGCCCCCCATCTCCACTTCCTCCCCCTCGAGTGTACAAACCCTGCTTCGTCTGCCAGGACAAATCATCAGGGTACCACTATGGGGTCAGCGCCTGTGAGGGATGTAAGGTGAGTATTCACACTTCTGTGCCTGATGAACTCTCATTCTCCATGTACTTTATGGAGGTGACCTACCCAGTTCCAAAAATGGGCTGGATGTGTAACATCACCTCCCATAAGTGTGGTGAATTCAGTTATATTCAGTGGTTTTTATTACTTCCTTATATATCTTTGGTTTAAAATTCAGAAACTTCTGCAAATGACTGATGAGGGTCAAAGGTTCTAAGGCCCTTAAATTACCCCCACATAATAATTCCTTTTAGATAATAAGAACTGGCTAGGCCAGGTGTGATGGCTCACGCCTGTAATCCCAGCACTTTGGGAGGCCAAGGTGCGCAATCACTTGAGGTTAGGAGTTTGAGGCCCGCCTGACCAACATGGCAAAACCTCATCTCTACTAAAAATACAAAAATTAGCCAGGCGTGAGTGGCTGGTACATCTAGTCCCAGCTACTCAGGAGGCTGAGACACGAGAATCACTTGAAACTGGGAAGCAGCGGTTGCAGCCAGCCAAGATCACACCACTGCACTCCAACCTGGACAACAGCGAGACTTTGTCTCAAAAACCAAACAAACAAAAAACAAAGAACTGGTTGGAAGAATCTTGAAAAGCATCGTTCTTTTTCTCTTTAGAACATGCCGTCTGGTGTCTGTAGTTTTATCTTATTTTTGAATATGACTGACAGTCCACTGAATCAACTTGCAGGGAATTCAAGGTTGAAACTGGGATTTGTCTGCTGGCTGTTTTCCTCAGCTCTGTGGCCTTTGAATTACAGTTTGATTTTCAGCCTGTAGGGACTTGCTACTGTATGTGTGTCATAAATTCAGGGGAGCTGGATTTAAAATTCCTGCCTACGGAATACTGGAGGCTGAACATGTGTCAGAGAGTAGTATATGGCTGCTTTGAATCAAGCAAGACAATTGTTTTCAAGTCCAACAGTCTTAATTGAGTGAAAGAGCTTCTTCTTTTTTTTCAGGAAAGAAAAGAAACATGACTTCAAAGGCAAATACAACTAACTCATCCATAAAAAATTTCTCAAAGGAACTATGGCTGTTTTGAACTAGCCCTTCCCTAGATATATAACTTCTTTAAGTCCTCTCTGGATGGTTGTTTACATCTGTTGTTTATACATCTAAATTGCATGATTCATTTGTAATTGTTAACATGTTGGAATAATGTTACAGGTACTCCATGGCATTTTATATTTGGCTTAGCAGAGTTAGCACTTAACTGTATATATTGGTCAGGCACTGTTGTATAACAAACCATCCTAAAACTAAATGGCTTAAGACAACAATTCTTTATTTAGCCTGCAATTCTGTGGGTCAGCAGTTTCAGCCAAACTCATCTGCATGGTTCACCTGGACTTGGCTAGGCTCCACCATGTATCTCTGGGCAGTTGTAGGTTAGCTAGTTGGCTCTGCTTCTAGGGGTGCTGACTGTGGGCTGGGGAGACTCAGCTCTCCTCCATGTGATCCCTCATTCCCATCAGGCTGGCCCTGGCTTGTTCGCAGAGGCAGGGTTCCAGAAGACAGAACAAAAGCACATAAGGTCTCCAGAGGCTTAGGCTAAGAAGCATCTCATTACTACTTCTGCCACACTATTGGCCAAAGCAAGTTATAAGGTCAGCCTAGACTCAGTAGGTAGGAACATCAACTCAACTTTTGTTCTTCTTTTAAATAAAATAAAACGAATCTGTCAACTTGAAAAAGCTTTTTTGTAGAGATGGGGGTCTCACGTATGTTGCCCAGGCTGACCTCGAATTCCTGGGCTCAAGTGATCCTCCCACCTTGGCCTCCCAAAGTGCTGGGAATACAGGTGTGAGCCACCACGCCCAGCCCCACTCAATTTCTTAATGGGCAGAGCTTCAAAGTAATAAGTGATATAGATATGGAGGGGCCGGGGGAATGGGTGTCATTTTTGTAATTAGACCACTGTACTGCATGTCTGATTGCCTATGAACACAAAGTGGTTGGGGACCCTAGCTCCACTGCCCAGCATGTCATACATAGTCTGGCATATAGTGGGTGCTTAAAGATTGAACAAATTTGGCCAGGTGCAGTGGCTCACACCTGTAATCCCAGCACTTTGGGAGGTCAAGGCAGGCAGATCACGAAGTCAAGAGATCGAGACCATTCTGGCCAAAATGGTGAAACCCCATCTCTACTAAAAGTACAAAAATTAGCTGGGTGTGGTGGCGCTTGCCTGTAGTCCCAGCTACTTGGGAGGCTGAGGCAGGAGAATTGCTTGAACCCGGGAGGCAGAGGTTGCAGTAAGCCGAGATCGCGCCACTGGACTCCAGCCTGACGACAGAGTGAGACTCCATCTCAAAAAAAAAAAAAAGATTGTACAAATGCGTAAATGTCACTCAGCCCCTCAAAGTAATTTTGTGAGTTTTTCCCTTCTTTTCAAACCATTTAAATAAACATATGTATTATGGTTTATGAATATAATAAGGCCAGTTTTGGGAAATTCATTAAAGGCTTAGGAACATCTCTCTGCCTCTGGAATTGTGCTATTTTATGGCAATTCTCTTTTCTCCAGTAGATTCTGACATGGTAGTCAGGAAAGTTATATGGGCAACCAGTTGGCAGCTGACTAAAAAGGAAGACATTTGTTCATTCAATTATTGCTTTATTATTAGTAACCCCTAGCTGAACCTACTTAAATTTATCCTGAGATTTGGAAAGGTTTCAGTGGAATAGCTAGTTCATTTTGTCCACTTGTTGTGCAATATATAAATAAATGATTTTCTAATGTTTATTTGAAAAGTAAATGAAAAGATACTTCTTTATTTCTGAAAAATGTTAAGTCATCTCATGTCCAGAAATCTGAGTGAGGTATGCTGTAACTCAGCGTACCTGCTCTCATCATTATCCAACGTGTCTCTGTGGCACATACTAGGAGCTGCATATGAAGCTGTTTCATGATCTGTATAGCACAAACTGCTTTAATCAGCTCATAGTCAGTGAGTTCTCTGAGCTTAGTTTGGGATTCTGACTCCTTTTTAGGAAAAACCCCAATAAAAACAAAACCCATACCGGCACAAACAACTTTGATAAGCTCAGTTAAGTGATACAGAGTCATATTATGGTGTATCTTTTTAACAGAGCTATAAACCCAATAAGGTCAGGTGAGTTCGGCAGCCAGTTGAATTTGATAATATTTTTATATTGTGGGTGGATTGCTCTTCTCCCTGGTCATTGGGAAAGACTTGGTCTACATTTAAGCTTGCTGGGAAAATACAGTGACAAAATTCACAGAACTGAGAAACATGAGGAGGTAATGGTAAAATACAACAGCCAAAGAAAAAGAAATATAACTTTAAAAAAATTAAATATAATTTTATTGTCATTTAAAAAAATTATCAATACAGTATAGAATTTATTGTATAAAAATAGAAAATTAAAACAACCATTATTCTACCCTGGGAGGGAACCCCTGTAAAACTCAGCTTTTCTGTAAGTATATGCATATTGTTATTGTTTCAGAAAAATGGAATTTTGTGTTGTATACTGGTTTTAACTTAATCTTTAATAATATTTTATGACCCAAATTTAAGCAACTGCATAGCTTTTATGGTTATACAATTAATATAGTAGTTTACGGTTATGTCATAATTTATTTAACTGATTAAGGTGCTTACAGTTTTTTTCGATTATAAATAACACTTTAAATTATGGCCTTTAAGTATATCTCTGAAAATTTCCTTAGGATAAAATTTTCCTTAGGATAAATCAGTATAAGTGGAATTTTTAGATCACTGGCTTTGTATATTTTTAAGGCTTTCGAATCAGATTGCCAGAATACCCCGTAGAAAAGATTATTGTCTAGTAGTCTGTAAAAAGTAAATCCTTTCGGAAAGTATCTATTATCTCCCTTGTGATATAATAAGGTAATGAATCCAGAAGCAACTTTTCTTCTTGAATTCTGCCTGTATTTAATTTGATATTTACTATGGGCCCTGTGTGTGGTATCATTTTAGGATACCAGCAGATGCACCATAGGCCCCTTGTTGACCGGTAGAAACTGGCCCAACCATTGGCTGGAAATCAAAGTTTACTACTGTAAGCTGAGAACCTCTGCTCTAAAGTAGGACTCCCAAACAGAGCCTGGTATATCTTCAAGAAGTAATGCCTACGGTGGCTTCTGCCTGTCATAACCAGGATGACCTAATTGACTATTATTTGGGGAAGAGAACTTTCCATCCTCCTAGGGACTGGGTGACAGTCTCAGCCTCTGCTGCAGCCATACGATGGTGGTCAGAATTTAACAAATGGGTGTGGTCCATCTCTGGGAATGAATGGTCAGCGGCTGCTGTATTGACACAGCATTACCATGGCAGTATAACCACTAGACACACTGTAGGGATGCCCTGTTTAGGGGGTTTCCAGGTGAGCGATGGCAGTTTTTGTGTAGGGGACAAAGAGTACACAAAAGGAATGTGCAGTGTGGTTAGCCAAGAATGTTTAACAGTATAAAATAATAAAGCAATATTAAAAAAATAATAGGACAAAATAAAATAATGTCTTTGGAAAACAGTCTTATTGCTCATAGCTAAAATTTAATGCAAAATTTTGGCCTTAATCATATTTTACATTTCAACTTTTGTAGCTTTTGAGGAATGTGAAGTCTAGAGTGAGAATGCTGGGATGTGAATTCTAGCTAGACTACTTATAAGCTTGGTGCAACTCTCTCTTTTCTCATCTGGAAAAATGGGGGTGATATTACCTACCTCATGGTATTGTTGTGAGGATAAAATGTTTTTACTATGTATAAAGCATATAGAATAGTACCTAGCACATAGTAAGTGATAAGTACTAAGTGGCACATACATGCTTAGTTATTGTTTTGTTTTGTTTTGTTTTTGTTGAGACGGAGTTTCACTCTTGTTGCCCAGGCTGGAGTGCAGTGGCGCGATCTAGGCTCACTGCAACCTCTGCCTCCCGGGTTCAAGCAATTCTCCTGCCTCAGCCTCCCGAGTAGCTGGGATTACAGGCTTTACAAGCATGTGCCACCACACCCAGCTAATTTTGTATTTTTAGTAGAGACGGGGTTACTCCATGTTGGTCAGGCTGGTCTCAAACTTCCAACCTCAGGTGATTCACCCACCTAGGCCTCCCAAAATGCTGGGATTACAGGCGTGAGCCACCGCTCCCAGCCTATCGTTTGTTTTATCATTAAGTTATTATAATGACTTTTGCACACAGTGATGTAACATCAATTATAATCTTAGTACTGTTCTTGTAGTGTTCTTTCTGCAGTTCTCCATTCTTTTCTATCAAAATAACACTGCCTCTTTCCTTCAAGGCTCACATTAAGACCCTACTACTCCATGGAGCCTCCCTGGATTACCCTAGTACAGAGGTTGCCAAATTGCTTCTGCAAAGAGCCACATAGTAAATATTTTAGGCTTTGAGGGCTATGTGGTCTTTGCTGCCATTATTCAACTCTGTCACTGTAGCATGAAAGGTGCTGTAGATAATATGTACAAAAATGGGAATGGCTATGTTTCAATAAAACTTTGTTTACAAAAGCAGTGGACCAGATTTGGCCCTTGATGATGTTATTCTTCTTACAACTTCTAAAACTCAGAAGCTGGTGCCCCAAAGCTCTCATGCCAAAAGTGGCAAGCCCGCTGGTTTTGCTGGGCTATGGGCCTGGGTCTGCTGCTCCACTTCCACACTGCTAAAAGAAGTTCATGTCCACCTGCCCAGGGCTCTGTGGCTTAGAAGCTTTAAGCCATGTCTGGTCATTCCTCCACCCTTCCAATCACACTCAAATCCCACTTTCCCATCATCCAAAATCAGAGAAATTAGAAGTATCCAGGTAATTGAGCTACGTCCAGAAATACCTGACGTCACACCTTGGAGAGGTTTCTGGAACATAGTCTATGCTGTTGTATCAGTTAGCTTCTTCTGCTTAACAAATAACTCAAATGCTTAATGTCTTAAAACAATAGACATTTATTATTCATTATAATTCTGGATAGGTCTTCTTGTCTTGGCTGACTTGGCTTGGGCCAGGTGGTCTAGGACGGTCTCACTCACATGTCTGGGGCCTTGGCAGGATGACCAGATCCTCTCCCCCTGTTGTTGCTCACCATTAGCCTAGCCTAGGCTTCTTCACGTGGTGGATGGGTTCCCATCAGTAAGAGAAGACAATCACCATACAATCATAGCAAGCCAACGCCACTTATCCAGTGAACCAGCTCAAACAAACACTTCTCACCCTCTGCTTGTATCACATTTGCTAATATCCCCTTGGCCAAACAAATTGCGTGACTAAGCTTGGATTCTATGGATGAAGAAATAAACTTCACCTCCTAAGGGGAGAAGTGACAAAGTCACCTTGCAAAAGGGAGAGCCTACCAGAACTTGCATTTGGTTACATACCGTCTTCTATTATTCCCTAGTTTGATGGGCAAGTCTCTTCTGACAACCTTATTCACCAATCATTCATCCTTAAGCATATGTTTGTTGAACACCTACTAAGTTTCAGGCCCTATGCCGGGTGCTAGAGATACAACAGTGAACATGACAAAGTTCCTCATGGAATTTAGTGTCTCACACAAGGGACAGATGATAATTTAAATTTGGAAAACAATAAACAGAATGGTCTAATAAAGAATAATTTAGGGGTATTCTATTTCACAGGGGTCAAGGGGGCCTGATGTGATGGGGGTCAGGTGGGATCTCATGGCTGAGGAGGAACCAGCGGTGTGAGTCATAGAGAGAAAGCATTTTAGGTCAGAAACCAAACACTTGGATTCTCGGAGCATTTCTACTTCTTCTGGCTATGTCCATTGACTTCTCTGGGCCTTAGCCTATCTGTAAAATGAAAGCAAATCCACAAGTTTGAACCCAGTACCATGTCAAATACAGACATAAAAGCAGTGAACCTAATAATGGCACTGATTTCTTGTTAGGGCTGGCTTACGTGGAGTAAGAGGTCTCCAGTGTTTGTACGTCCAAGTGTGGAGTAGAGGGAAGAAGAAAACTACCCTTGTTGGGTGCCTTCTGTACACTAGGCATTTGGGCTTTTTTTTTTTTTTTTTTTTTTTTAACCCATAGCGCTTTTATTTCTCACAACAGCTCTGCAAGGTAGGCTCCGTGACCCACATTTTATAGATGAGGTAACAGAGGGTCCGAGTAGTTAAGGAACGTGGCCAAGGACACACAGCTAGCCTTTGCTAGAGCTGGGATTCAAATCCTTTTCCTGTTAAAAAAAACACCCCACTGCTTCAGCCACACTTAGACAGAAGGTCTGAAGCAGTGGTGTGTTATGGTCTAGAGTGGGGGTTTCATAGGCCACCAAATTTAAAACTAACAGATAGGGGCATATTTTTAAAAAACATATTGTCTTGATCATTTCATAAAAGAAATGACATCTCTGCGACAAAAAATTAAAAAAGGAAGCGCTTACAAGGCAGTCAGTCTTTCCCAAGAAGGGACAGTTAGCAGGCAGAACCCACACATGGGCATGTTCCCAGATGCAGCTTTGTCCTTGCTCTCTACATTTTGCCTTTGATGGGTGGAAACTTCCTATCCCTAAGCCAACCTTTGGGGGCCACAATCCAGCCTGTCCTGCAGAAGGCCCCAGGGCGAGGCCTGGCACAGCCGTGATGGCGTGTCTTCTCCACAAGGGCGCAGAGGAAATGCTTGCTGAAGGTCACATTGGTAGCCTTCTATTTAAAGCAGTCTTTTAAGAGTTTAAACTCCACTAGCCCCCTCAGTCCCTCAGGGCTAATTTTGTCCATTTTTCTCATCTGCCTTTGTTTTGCTAGCCTCTGAAGAGAGGGAGGCCCTCATCTCCATGACAGCGTTCGGCTGCTGGGCTGGGTTTTCCTGGCAGACAGCAAGCAGAATGTTCAGTCACAAAAAGTTTTGCAATCAGGAAGATGGATGTCTGCACTTAATTTTAGAACTTCTATTAAATACTTTAAATGAGCTTAATGATTTTATTTGACCAAGGCCATTTAAAACCACATTGTTGTTTTTAATTGGAGTGGATAAACATGAACATGATGCTGTCTTTGGAGAATATTTTTAGCTTTCCTCACTCTGATAGTTGCTTCTGTTTTAGGGGTTTGCTGCAGTATTGATCCCAAAGAACAAAATAACATATCCAAAACAATAACAAAAACAGGACACTCTGTGTACCACTCTGTGATAGCTGAATGAATTATGAAACCTGCCATAAACTTCATTACTATATTGGATCACACAGAGTAGTTTCCCTCATAGACCCAAAAAGCGTCCCTCTGTTCCCTGTTGCTATAATCTGCCAACCATGGAGGATTTACATGTTTCCTCATTCATTCATCAGACATTTATTAAGTGCCTTCCATGAGACAGCTCCAGGATATAGAAATGAAAGTTTTGTGTATATTTTTTCCAATGCTGAATCCCATTGCCTAAAAAATACAGAGAACCAGGCCTGTCCAATAATAGGGATGTAACTGGCTCAAGCCCAGCTGCTGGCTGCTTGGAGGCAGAAAACATGAGAAGCTAGGTGTGGTAAAAGGATTTAAATTCTGGCTTTTGGGGAATGACCAGGCTCAAGTCTTTGAAAGACCATTCCAAACTTTAGGCTGTGGAGAGGGGCTTAAAAAGGGGAACGTGGAGGAGGGGTGGGAGCATGTGGGAGTGGTGCTGGGTGCAAGGTCTGCGTGTTCAGTTCCGGAGGCCGTGTTGAGTCACGGTCCACCTGAAGCACAGCGTGCCATCATTTCAGCAATGCCCGGGTTGTAGACTAACCCTTTTGAGGTAATCTCTGCAATTTCACAGCTGGGTCTCCATACCTGGTTTGTTTAAAAATTAGCTCCTGGAACTTCTAAGTAAGTGCCTAATTAGATAAGCTAGTAGTTCAAGAGAGTGTCTGGTAGGAAGGGAGGAAAACAAAAAGTTTTTAAGTACGTTTTAATGCTGAGAGCAAGAAAAGAAAAAAAAAGTTTTAAAATGCAATTTTAAAGCTAAGCTCCTCGATTACAGGTAAATGGTAAATATTCATTGGATGGATGAATGAATGAGCAAGGAAACAGTGTGGCATGTGCTGTGACAATTGTAGCTAAGGGTTTGATGGGCACAGAGAAGGAGTCTCGGATCCCTCTGACACATTCATGGAAGGCTTTTATAGAAGATGTGATTTTATAGATGTGTAAGCATTTTCCAGATGAGGAAGGGGAGAGGAGTGTTCCAGGCAAAAGTTGAAGATGGGGCTGGAAGGCAAGAGGACTCAGAATAAAATTGCCTATATAGAGTTACATGGAAAAATGGAAATCTATCCATTCTGTTAACATTTATTTTGCATAACCCTATATAAACAACTAGGGATCCATAGGATATTAAAGACACTCAAAAGGACTCAATAAATACCATTTCCTCAGAGAAGCCTTCCTTTGGAACCCCCAGGTTAGGTCCCCCTCTTTTACATTTGCTGTTGTTCGCCTTTGTAGCACTTAACACAATTGAAATTAAGTCATTATTACCAAGTCATTATTACCAAGTCATTAGTTTAATGTCAGCTATAAACTCCAGGAGGGCTGGGCAGGTCTCTCTTGTCACAGCCTTATTACTAGGGCTTTGCATAGTGCTAGGGAGGCGGCACATAGTAGGACGTTAATGTATATATGCTTTTATCATAAGTTATATCTAATTATACAGTAATTAGTGTAGTTATAAATAACGCATAATAAGATATAATTGTATAATAATGCAAATAGTATATTACTTTCATACATTTTATCTAATTATATAATGAATTGCATCTAATTACATAGGGCTTGGGATGATACATTCATGTAAACATTCATGGAATTATATATAAACAGGACAAGGTCTTTGGTGACCAAAGTCTAGCTCATTTCTTAGTAATTTCTGCCTTCTACCTCAGTTAACCTTCATTGCAAAACGTATGTCCTCTCTGATACTATCTTTAGGCAAACTCTTAAGAACTAGTGCCTGGAATGATATACTGACGTGGAAGAGTACTGAGGGCTGTTAGTGCTTTAAGAAAAATCTCAGCTTAGAGAATCTACCTCCATATCGAGGAACCTCAAGACAGCTGAAATGACAATCTACCTTTTCCTAGTAATAATTCCTACGGAAGGAGAAAACACTTTTCTTCTTCTAACAAATTGAGAACTGATTTTGGATTGAAAAAGCAGAAAAATCTGTCTTTTTTTTTTTTTCCTTCTGGTGTATGGATAAACAGGAAGTTGGGGGCGGGGGGAGTGAATTCTGAATTAGCCCGCAACTCTGCGTGTTTTTTTTTTTTCCTTGAGTTGGCGTGGTAAAAATAGTTTATTTAATTTGGTGGTTTTAAGAGGCTTATAAATTTTTTAATGGTTAAACGTTCAGGAATGCTTGTGTAGATGCTTACTTTGCTTGTTGTTTGAAAATATCTAGAACACTTTCATTTGCTGTTTTTGTTATAACAAACTAAAGGTCTGCTATTATTGCAATTATCCTCTTTGTTTCTCCACCTTTTACTAGAAAAGTTAAGAGAGCTTTCCATATTTCCTTCTCCTGGGTGGATGCCTGTAAAGAGGTGATATGAAATGAAATTGTCTGGAAAGGCTTTCCTTCTTCATCAGCCCCCCTCTACCTTCTCATTGTCAGGGCAGGGCTCAGAGCCCTTGGTCTTCCCACTCTCTACAGTTGCCTCTCTCCCCACCCGCGTACCTATGTAAAACCATGGAAATAATAAAACTGTCTTATATCTTACATTCCTATAGCCTTAGTGTTTCTAATGCATTTTCATGTATGAAATTAAATTAAGCCAGGCTTAGCTGAAGTAAAAGTAAACCCCCACAAGGTACAATGTTTGCTACAGGACTTTTTTCTCACATCAGCTCTTGACTGGCAGCCTTCTCTTCTCCACACAGTGATTAGGACTCCTGCCAGTGCTGCAGCTTGTCATCCTCTTAGGTTCTTAGCATCATCTTATTCTAGCTACTGGAATGAAAAGAGAGCGTGGGGGAGGCAGTACACCTGCTTCTTAAAAGCCCCGGCCAAGAATGGCATACCTCATTGGCTAGAATGGGACACGTGACCAAAACCAACTGCAAAGTCGACTCAGAGATGTAGTCTAGCCATGTGCTCAGGTACAGACCTACTTTTAGGGAAAGAAATTATGGATTTGGTGAAGAGCTAAGTTTCTACCATAGGTTTTTTTTATTTGATCCTCATCATATTTAGAGAAGTAGGTGGAATCGATTGTTTCCCCCTCCATTTCACAGATGAGGAAACTAAGAATTTATGAGAGCAGATTCTACCATCTGTGGTTTTGATTTATAATGTGATTCTGTTACTGAAATGGTTACTGTGAGAACCTCCTTAAATACATTTCTGTAAGGTTCCCTGAAATTTATCAAACTATCTTTTCAAGGCCTCTGATTCTAAACATCCCCATATTCCTAGTTCATTCAGCTTTGACATTTTGAGAAACTGGGAAAGCCTTACCCAATAGAGGTAGACCTTTATCAGGGGTTAGATTCCAGTGTCATCACACAAGGCAAAGATTACACGTAGACAAAATTACCCCAGAAAATCCCTTTGAAAAGCACACTGCTGGAGACTGACATATGTCTCTCATTAGGACCTACAAAGCCAGTTCTTGCCATAGCTCTGGAAACAGATCACTCCATGGAACACCAGATGAAACAGTTGTTTTCTGTTCTCTTGTTGTATCAAATATGTGTCCTTAAGCACAACAGTCATACCAGCACAACGCAATGCTTATGTCCTGAAAACCACGCATCCCTCTCATTGTCTTCTTGTCACTATCTCCTACCATAATAGTTTCTTTGGGATTAGAATTTCTCTTGTGCCTTTTAGGAACTATGTCTTTTTGTTGTTGTTGTTGTTATTGAGTATTTTTCCACTTCAGAAAGGAAGATTAAATGTGTCATATGGATAAGCAACACCAGAAGGGAAAATTTTGTTCTATGGACCCTAGAACTCATCCCTGAAAAAAAAAAAATAGAGGGAAATAAAACTCTGTGTGCATCTCTGCCTGTACAAAGCTAGCATTGTCTGGGGTGAAGGGGAAAAGCTGGGGTTCTGGCAGGCCGGCCCCATTAGAGCCTTGTTTCTTGTTCCATATTGAAAAGATGACATTCCTTTGCTAGCAGCGTCCTGCCTGGATTTCTGGCAGCAGTTCTGTGGCTAGCACTATTCCTGGGGCATTTTTGTTGGGGTTGGTTTTGTTTTATTTCAAAAGCAGCAAAATGCAGGCTTTATAAATGTTCAAGGTAGAACTGTTTTTATAAAGCTTGTCACCAAACTTGTCAGTACAGTCAAGGTGGCCCGTCTGCCAGGGTGTCTGCTTCCTTTTCACTGGTGTCAAGATGTATGAGAAGGCATATATATAGTGAATTTCACTTCTTAACTTGTTCTCAAGTGTTTCTGAGGCAGCCCTTGTGTTTTCACATGGGCTTCTCCTCCCTCTCAGGGCTTCATGTAATGTTTCATTTATAACAGAGATTGGTGGATTTGCAAAGTAAATATTTCAATAAGAAAAAAGCAAGATCTTCGGTGACCCTCTCGGTTCTGCTTCTATGGAGGTATTTTCTATGTCTGGCAGGAAAAAAAAAAAACCTTTATCTTGGCTGCAACTCTGAACTGGAGCGTGTAAAATGTACTTCTCAGGTTCTGTGAGCCTTAAAATAATGAGCAGTAGAAAACTCTGAGGTAGGTCAGCGATGGGGAGAATACCATAGTTTTATAAAGGATTTTCATGGTTAAACAAATTTGGAGAAACTAGAATGACCAAGCAATGTTAATTCTCCACTGGGCTTTTGAATCTGAAAATAGCAGCAATTCTAAGTACACAACACCACCATTCATACAGCCCTGGAAAGTCCCCCACATCAGGAAAATTATCCTTATTAGTCAAACCCAGTAGGGATCATCTGACTATTCCTCAGGGAAATGAGAATTTTTGTTTGGATCTTACTTCTCTGTATTGTACTCAAATTGTACATGAGCTATGCCACATCTGGGGACTTTGCGATTATGGTCATGTTTTCAATAAGAAATACTTCTGAAAGCTGCTGCTCTAATTTATATGTGTCATTCCTCATTAACATAAATAAATTCAGAATAATAGCATGAGGTGGTGGTATTTTTTTTTATTTTTCAGTTTCCAGAGTCATCCTGCTCTGTTAGGTGTTCCTTCAGCTGGCTGGGACCCTAAGCCAGTTTACAGTCCCAACACTTGCTAAGATATTGTTTGATGACATTTATTCTGTTTGGCTCTACAGTTTGTCAATCTCATGATTTCATCAAAAACGTTATGCTGAAATGCTTGAATATCTTTTAGTATGTTTGTTGTGTTGAGCTGTGATAAAAAGTATGAAAGTTTTCATTCCAATACCAAAACGTAGAAAGAGGGTATCAGAAATTAAGTGATTCTGCTAATTCTTGTTATTTCACTAAAATGAAATTAAATGTATAATTTCTAATTCAGTTGTATTTTGCTCTTAAATTATCATTTTCTGCTTTAAGAATTAGGTGGAAAGTATGCCCTACTTAAATGCATGTTTGGTGCTAATTCTTGCCTGTTGACCAAAAATTTGAGTCTCATGTTGTGTACAGTATACATACAGATATCATTTTTTTCTCTAAGTATTTGTGACAGGTAAGATCTGTGCAAAATTATGAATTACATTACAAATCGTAAATGGGTCTTACTGTCCTCACTGAATATATTTGGTTTTTAAACCCAAATTCATAATGCAGGCACTTCTTTTGCTATGCTCACGTGTATGATGTTTGCTGTTAGAGAGTTCACAGGATTGATATCCCAGACTTTGGTGGTTTAAGATACCTAAAAGAGTATTTTTGAATTATTGAGTCTACATCAGGTATTCCTTTGTTATTTGATTATTTTTATCTGTCTTATTTCTTATGAGCTCTGGGCCTCAGAAAGAATATTTCTGTTCTCCACTACGTACACTATCAGAAATATGAGCATTGGATGAGGGATGGTAAGAGTGACCTCCAAGGAACTAAATGTTTACCTGTATTATATCGGGGTGGATAAGCTATTATCCAAATAACAAAGGGGGGGGGATCCCCTGCAAAAAATCACTATAGATAAGTTATGTTGAAGTATATTACTATTAAGTAATTAGTATTTTAGTAACTTATTTTAAATAATAAAGCTGACATTCCTATAAGAATATATAAAACAGAATTTATATAGGAAAGAAAAAATAACAGAAAAATTTTGGGGCTTGATATTTTGTGACACTTACTTCTTTTTCTTCAAGCCATCTGGGGAGCACAGTCAATGGATGTGGGTAAATGTTTGTTTCTGAATCCTTGCTGGAACCCAAGTCACCTCTCCTCTCATGGAAGTCCTCTGCCATATCCACGCTGACCAATAACATTCTAAAGTAGGCTTCAAGATCAGTCTCCTTGGCTCTGCAGTGCTATTACTCCTGCAGGAAATGCATCTGGCATTTGTTACTCTCACAGTAACATCCTTTCTTCCATTCACAGTTGAGGCCCTAACTCTTCCCATTTTAGTTATGGTAAGGCCAGGTTATGCTGCAGGAACAAACTCAAAATTACAATGGCTTCAAATAGTAGTTGTGTATTTGTCACTCACACCATGTGTCCATTTTGGATAGATAGTTCTACTCCATGTTACCTTCACTCAAGGACCAAGACTGATGGAGTCACCTCCATTTAGAAAATCACTGGCCCTTGAATTAAGGGGAAGAACAATGGAGAATTGCCCACTTGCACTGGTATCTTTCTACTGAATCTCAAACACATCATTTCCACTCACAACTCATTGACTAAAGCAGTCCTCTTGGCCTCACCTAATCCAAATGGAGTAGATGAAAATGCAAACATACCATGTGTCTAGAAGAAGGAGAATGGGCAGTTGCCAATGTTTACTCCTTTCTTCTGCTCTAAGAATTACAATGATTTTTTGTTTTCCCATAACCATGTGGTTCTCAGTGTACTTGTCTTGCACAGCTGCATTTATATGCACTGGATAAAGGGTCCCCTCCCCAGCAATATCAAACTCTTTGGGGCCCTTAATAAGAGGTTTATGTAAAACCTTTTGAGTAGAGATACTCTTATTTGGCTGTGCCTTCTATTTTTACACTCCATTCTCTGCAGACACTTTTTACAAGTTTCTTAAGAATAGTTTATAGGGTAGATTTAGGAAAAAAAATTGTGTGGCACCCCAAATTGCCTCCCTCCAAACTGAATATGATCATAACGTATCTTTCATTTTATCTTTCTACAGTCTCCCCTGCCTTTCTGGGACCTCCCCAAGCAGTTAAAGGGCACCTGCTATCCTTGTCTTTATGTGAGAGACCCAGTCGTGGGCCTACAACTGTCCCATTCTGTGTAAACACCATTTTTTCCACAATGGCTTGTTGAGTCTTCCCTGGAGTAGAAGTGCTGGCAGCCATCCTGAGGTTGCAAGTTTCCTGTAGTGGAACTTTCATTGTGGTACTGATTACTATTTGAAACTCTTTCATGAATAGTTTACTTAGTCACTGTTTTTCTCTCCCACTAGTGTGTAAGTGCTATGAGAATAGGAACTTTGTAAGTCTTGTTCACTTCTGTATTCTCAGCACCCACAGCAAATCTTGGCATGATGTAGGCACTCAATAAACGTTTGTTGAATGACTCAATAATAAATAGTATGTAGAAGAGGTGGGAGAAAACACAGAATTAGAGCACATTTGTACTAGATCCAAGTTATCACAGGACAATAGCTATGGGGCAAATGGAGGAGATGTTTAGGATACTGTTGGCCAAGTATGTCCTAACAGATCAGAAAGGAAGAATGAAAATGTCAATAGGCATCCTTTATTCATTTCATTTTTAGTTCTAGGAAAGTAAATGCTCATCTGAGATTCAGAGGTATGCAGAGGTGCCTGCCCCATCTGTCTTGCTGTATCTTCCTAGCTGCCTATTGCCATGCTGCTCTTGGGCATGGGGTAGGTGACTCAAGAACAACATTGGGGCTCAGTATGCCACCTGATGAGATGGCTTTTTGGTGTCTGCCAAGGGTGACTGTTTCCTTTACACAATGGTTGAACTTATCAATTATTCAGGTTACTTCTTAGCCCCAAGTTGAACTGGTTTTGGGTTTCAAATATTGGTCTTTCCCTGTTTGTCATATACAACAGTGAAATAACAGATGCCTTCTGTTCATTTTGAAGTGATAAATCCTATAATTACTACAAGTACTTGCATACTGCAGTTTATTGAGGATGTACATATGCAACATCTCCTTTTTATAACAGCTCTATTATGTAAGTAAGACAGAGAGTGGAATCCCTTCTCCCTTAGGGTTTAACTTCTAGAATAAGCATATGAGGTAAATATTGTATATGGTTAAAATGACCCTTAAATCACCCAAGACGTGTCCCAGTTACCATTGCTGTATAACAAACCATCGCAAATCTTAATAGCATAAAACTTTTTTATTTGGCTCACAGATTGTGGGTCATGAATTTATGTAAGCATAGTGGGGATGATTTGTCTTTGCTTCCTGCTATCTGGGGCCCAGCTGATGACAGTCAACATCTGGAGTAACTCAGTGTCTGGTAGGTATTGGAGTTGTCTTCAGTTATAGGTCTCGTAGTTGGTGTTGCCTGCTAAGTCCTCAGCTAGAACTGCTAACTGGAGCATCAATACAAGCAGCTTCTTGATGTGGCTTGGGCCTCCTTACAAAATGGTGGTCTCAGAGTTGTCAGACCTATTACATGGGGGCTCAGAGGTCCAAAAACGAAGGTTGCAGAGGACAAGGTAGGAGCCACATGGCCTTTTATTCCCTAGCCTTGCAAGTCCCATAGTGTTCCTCCTGTCAAATTCTATTGGTTAAAGCAGCCACAGATCCATCCAGGTACAAGAGGAGGGGACATAAACCCTCCTTTCATTGGGATAGTGCCATAGTCACTTTAAAAGAGCATCTGGGAAGGAGCTATTATTGTGGCCATCTTTGGAAAATCCAAGCTGCTGCAGACTGAGTTTAGTTTTGAATCACAGGCTCTTTCTTCAGTTAGATGCCAGATGAAGCAGGTGGCTTGTTCTTGAGAGCCTGTTGTAGGAAAAATATGCATCTCTGTGCCCTCGGAAGACTAGTGGCTCATTCTGAAAAGCAGATGGGAACTGAGACAGACTGAGGGAGCTGTGGGTTCCCACCACCCATCTTGCCCTACTTCAGGGGACACACTCACTCAGTTAAATGGCGGATGGACATGTGGCTACCACCCACCTTTAAGCTGCTGTGAGTGCGTTCTGGCTTTCCTGGTGACTGAGAAAAATGCAGTACCCTTAGTATCGACATGACGTCTATGGACACAGGGAGAAAAAGAAGAAATCAGAAGGCCCATGTGACACCTGGCTCTGCCAGCTTTATGGAAACAGACCGCAAGCTGATCTCTCAGGGAGTGGTCTCAAGTTCAGGCCCCCTGCTTTCTCCTGGCTTGCATCAGATCATATCACTATTCTCATATTGATTCTAGGCCACTGGGTGAATTTTTTATTTTTACCAAATGTGGGCTCTAATGTAAGCTGCTCCAGTCCTTGCGTTTTCAGGGTGCTGCCTGCCAAAATAGTTATTTATTCCTTTTGGGGAGAGCTATTCCTGTGCATGGTCAGGGTGGTGAACTCCTGTTGACTCTGACCAAAATTCTCTTTGGCCTCCATTTGGAAGTCGTCTATGGGCCTTTAATTGTACCCTCTGGGAAGGGAGAAAGAGCACTTGAAACAGGCATGAATTCTGTACATATTTCTAAGGCTGGGCTGTTTTAAAAATGTTGTCTGTCTGTCTGTCTTCTTTTTTTTTTGCCTTTGAACTTGGATGTGAATTTTCGTGAAGTACAGTGTGTCAAGGGAAGGGCAATGAGAAAATATGCAGGGGTATTTACTTAAAAACTACTCAGTGAATCTGTCATGGTGTGTTCATTGGTTTCAGTATGGTAATACCATATTATGAAATGAAAGGTGTCTTACTCTATGTTAAATGGCTGCTTTGTAAAATCTCAGCCTTGTTGTGCATGGTATTATGCAGTCCATGCCTGTCTCTGACCATGAATTTTATTTTTCTTTTTTACATTTCAAATTAGATTAAAACCCCAAAAGCTATTTATTAATTTGTTCCTATTTAAAATTTAAACACAAAATGAAATGGAATGTGCTGAATTTTGTTCGAATCCTTATAAGTACATGTGATGACTTTTGAAAGAATTGAATTTCATGGATTTTAAGGAGATCTAAAGAATGATGGAAGTGTTTTTGACAGCTCTGAATTGTTACTTTGTTAGTCAGAGTTGAAGACTTGGAAGTCTTCAAATCTCATACTTGGTTCAAACATTTCATTACCACCTACCAAGGCTTTATTATCTCTCATAAAGGAAGTGGATTATCACTGATCACAGAAACAACAGGTCATGTTAATTCTACTGCATCTTTCAACCCCTCTTCTACTGGATGTTTTTGAATAACAGCCACATGGAAGTGAAACAGACTGATAAGACTTCCTCCCTCCTCTTGCTCCCATGCATACATTACCAGCAGTGCAATAACGAGGAAGCTGGAAAAGAACTTGAATGACCCACAAAATGCCCATTACCCTTGAATAATAATAAATAAAAAACTTGGTTATATTTGTTTGGAAGTGAGAGATTTGCATATTTCACAACAGACTCAATTTTGATGAGGCGGAATATTGTAGAGGTGTGTGGATTCTGCTTTTCCTATTACTGGTATGCAGCCCCTTAGCCTAAACCAGTAATTTCCATTGGATTGGGAATCACATAGCCTGGGTTCAAATCTTGGCTCCATCGTTTGGACAAACCACTGAAATCCAGTTTCATCTTTTGTGTAATAACATGTGAGCACTGGAATAATTTTGAGAAGTAGACAGTGTAGTATATACACAGTGCTTCTTTAGTGCCAAGAGCACGTATCTAGAATTTGCTATATTCCAGACCCATGTTTTTAACTCATTTAATCCTCATAACAGCTCTATAAAGTAGTTGCTGTTGCTGCAACATTTTCCAGGTAGGGTGTAGCACCTGGGCCAAGTCTGTGAACCTCCCGGTTACTTCTCTTTCCCTTTCCCTTTAGGAACATGATTTTCTGCCTATGTCATGGGCCAGGTTAGGTTCAAATGGTAGCTAAGGTAACTAACTCCCATCTTTAACATTATCTGATTCACTAGTCCTTGAAAGTATGGCAAGGATGCATTTTGGTGATGTTTCATATAATTCTAAAGGTGAGAGTCAATCCTTTTAGTTGTGTTTAGATAAAAAGATACCTGATCATTTTCTTCAGAAATCAGCCCATTGAGAAGTTGTTATTTATTTTTTCTTATTAGAGTTAATTTTTATTATTGGATTTGAGAAACCAGGTGCTTTATTGGGAGGGCAGGGCAGGTAAGTAAATAATGCAGGCTGATTTGTTACAGTAGAGGGTGGTGGGGAGTGTAGCAAAGATAGTAGCTGTCTTCTAATTCTTTGCTACTGCATGCCTCAATGGAGTACAAGCTTATAATGATGAGAATCACCTGGATGGCTTGTCAAAGGATCGATTAATTGATCCTATTCCCAGAGTTTCAGGTTCAGGGGGTCTAGAAATGTGCATTTCTAACAAGCTCCCAGGGAATGCTGAGTGCTAGCCCAGGAACCACATTTTGAGAGCCACTGCCCTACAGGAATGTGGAACTAGCACTGCCAGGTTTTTCAATATTTCAAGAGAATTCCTCTATTACTTGAGGATTATGGCTTTTTCAAGGTATTTTTTGGTTCTCCAGACATTTCACTACTAAAAACCACTCAGATCATACAATGATTAGGCAAGAAATATTAGGAAAGAACATTAAGTCAATCTCTTGCATATTTTAAATCTATTCTTTAAGTATTGGCAATGTATTTAAAAGTTTTTAAAAGACTGTGTCGGCCACCACTGAGCCAAAATAAACATGTCTGTTAGCTCAATTCAGTTTGGAAATTAGCAGTTTGCAACCTCTGCCTTAAATGCCAGGAAGAAATAATGGATGAAAATAAAAGAATTATGTTTTTTGAATTTTTCTGCATTTAAAAATTTTTGAAAAACACTGGCCAAATATTTTTAAAGCTAGCCCAGAAGCTAGTCCAGAAATGTGCTTTCCTTTTATAACCTAAAAGGCAGATCCATAAACTGTTAGAATTAACAGATTGTTCCCTCGGTTAAGCATGCAGAGCCTGTCTGTTATGGTCACTGAATCAGCCTATCAGCTGGTGGCAGGCATGGTTTGTGTGAATGATCCTAGCAGGACAGTGCTTCTGTGCATATTGTACATATTGTCCCTGTGGTACATTGCAGATATTTTTCCTCTTCACCTACATCCAACTTACCTTCTTTCCTGGTCTCACCTTACTCTTTGTTTTTAGCTTTCTTTGCACCTTTTACCACTTCCATTTGCTTTGTGAACACTTCTGTCTGTCTTTAAAGGCAGTAAAGACTAGTAATCATAATAACAGCAAATATTTTTTGACTGCTTATGCTCTGCCAGGTACTGTTTTAGGCTATTAACAAATTTAATATTCATAACAATCCCACAAGGTAGAAAATAGTACTATCCCCATTTAAAAGACAAGGTAAGGCACAGAGAGGTTATGTAACTTGTCTGAGATCACACAGCTAATAACAGGCAGAGGCCGAACTTGAACCTAGGGTATCTGGCAGCAGGACCCAAGCCCCCAACCACTAGACTACCTCTGCAATAAGAAGCCTCTGCTTTCAGCTCCCTTTTTTTTCCTACAGAACCTGGCTGGACATGTGGGGATGCTTAGCACATAGCAGCACATAATGCTATGGAAACAGTCATTTCCACTTTCCTTCTATATTCAAGTGGTATGTCTGGCTTATCAAACATTTGTCGCAATAAAAATATGACTGTATGCAGGCTGAGACAAAGATTACTGCTCTTTGAAATTTCTGGAGTTGCCTGATGACACTCATGTAGGATTTAGTTGATCAAAAGCTTTACTTGATTTGGCCTTTGAAAAATAATCATTTTGGTCAATAGCAGAGCATGTACTCAACAAAAAGTTTCAGGCATCACTGCATTTAGAACCCAGTAGACCAGCACTGTTCAACAGAAATATGCTAACAACAAATGCAAGTTACACATGTAACTTTAAATTTTCTAGCAGCCAAATTTTTTTTTTTTTTTTTTTTTTTTTTTTTTTTTTTTGAGACGGAGTCTCTCTCTGTCTCCCAGGCCGGAGTGCAGTGGCGTGATCTCGGCTCACTGCAACCTCTGCCTCCCAGGTTCAGGTGATTCTTCTACCTCAGCCTCCCGAGTAGCTGGGACTACAGGCGCGTGCCACCATGCCCGGCTATTTTTTTGTATTTTTAGTAGAGACGGGGTTTCACCATGTTAGCCAGGATGGTCTCGATCTCCTGACCTCATGATCCGCCCAGCTCGGCCTCCCAAAGTGCTGGGATTACAGGCGTGAGCCACCCGCCTAGCCCTCTAGCTGCCACATTTTTAAAAAGAAACAAATGAAGTTAATTTTACTAATATACATTATGTACTGCAATATCAAAAATTATTTCAACAATTAATATAAAACTATTGAAATATTTTTACATAGTAATTTCATAGTTAGTCTTCAAAATTTGATGTTAACTTTCACACTTCCAACACATCTCAGTTTGAATGAGCCACATTTCAAGTGCTCAATAGCTACATGTGGCTAGTGGCTACTGTAGTGGACAGAACAGCCCTGGATCAAAGAGATGTGAGAATTACAGCCAAGCGACACAGGCAGAGAACCCCAAAATGTCAAGTGCAAACAGACATGGAGCGAGAGGCAGAAATGATTCAAGAAAGCATCGGGACACAATTGTTTTAAGGGAATTGACTTTCAAGGAAGATAATGGGAAAACTTGGGGAAATTTTGCTAATTGGTAGAAATTTTAGTTGAAAAAATATGTGTACATATATAGTCTTCACTAGTTTATTTAGTTGAATTAACATTTATTTGAACCTAGAAAAAGAATCACACATACTGTGGTAGAGGATGTCAGATGATAATGAGAGAGAACTTTGGAATTATTTGAGGACAAGAGTGATTCCATTTGAGTGACTTAAGCTTCTTGACCTCTAGACCCTGGTTTTCTAGATCAGAAAGTCATAAATTTTAAAATCATATTTCTTCTTTTTTTTTTTTTTTTTTTTCACTCAAAAAAAGAGAGTGTGTGGCTTTAGTTCCCATAGAGCTTCTGGTTCAGATGGTGCAAATGAAGCACTGGCTTTCTCAGCCTTGTTTTGGTAGCATAGGAAAACAAAACAAAACCCAGAGATAAGAGCAAGGGAGACTGGAGGATGTGATTATGAGTAAAACTTCTGGGTGCATAATGTCAGCAGCACAAACTGTGTTCATTCTCCATGTTAGTTAATGGCTAATCTAGAGATTGTACTGCCATTTGCTGATAGAGCACAGTTTAAAATATTTTATCATTAATGTGACAGGGAGTCGGATAAAGAAAATGAAGCGTGATTATAAAATGCTAATTATCGTTCTCAAGTGCATATTGGGCACTCACAAATATTTGCAGCGTAATTTGCTTTATTTATTATTTCAGTTTGGTTATAAATGTTAATTCAATTGCAGATGGTATGTTGGCAATTTACAGAGCTATAAAGTTATTTGGAAATCCTAATATTTTCTACCAAAATGTTCCGTTAGTGAAGGATGAGCTAAATTAAAAACTCCTGCTCTTTAGAGTTAAATACATTAATTGGCAAGTAGGCTGTAGGGATTTCCAGATCTGTGCTGGCTATGTTAACTCCTTAAAGGAGGGAAAGACATGATTTCTAATTTAGAGTGGGAATTTTCTTTATGAGAAAGGGCGAGGAGGAAAGAGGTGTCTTTTTCCTACCACCCTTGTAACATTTCTTCAAGGCTGAGGTTTTCTTCATGTCCTGGTTCATAGCAAAAGAGACATGCTTGAAGCCACATTTTTTCTGTAGTACATCAATAGTTTCTGAGACCGTGATGTTGATAATTAGGGTGTATGTGTACGTGTGTGCATGTGTGAGAGAGTGAGAAAGAGACCGTGTTTTCTCCAACCTCGCTGATTACTACAAAATATACATATGTTTTAGCCAGGGGTTGTCAAATTATGGCCCATAGGCTAAACCGGGTCTGCTGCCTGTTTTTGTATGGCCAAGAGCTAAGAATTTTTTTTTACATTTTAAATGCTTGAAAAAAAAATTAATATAACATATGAAAATTATATGAAATTCAATTTCAGTGTTTATAAAGTTTTCTTGGTACACAGCCAATCCATTCATTTCTGTATTGTCTATGATTGCTTTCATTCTGTGATGGTAGAGTTGAGTATTTGCAGCTAAGTCTCTGGCCCACAGCTTAAAGAGTTTCTATTTGGCCCTTTATAGAAATCTGCCAACCCCTGGATGAGGATATTTAAGGTGTAGTTTACAAAATGGAAGCTTTAACCTATTTTTTTTTTAACCTCCATTGTCATATTTATGGAAACACACGAATGCTGGAGTACAACTGGGTTTAAAACATGACTTTTCATTTTTGAAAGCTGGGAAGGTTATAAATATGAGTCTTAGCTTCCTTCATTTATAGTCATATTAATAATTGAAAGAAGTGATATTATATTACTAATGTAAATAATTTTGTGTTTCACACACACACGATACACTCAAAACACTCTCTTTGCCTCCAAAATAAGGATAAAAGTAAAAATTATTTTCTTTTACTGTCAAATTAAAAACATAAACTAAGCTGTGTTCCTGGAATATTCTATTTGTGTTAACAATTAGGAATTGTACATAGAAGCACAGTAATATCAGAAAATGTGGCCACCTTATATAACTCGTTTGGAAAAATGTCATTCTTTACTAAGAAATACTGTGCTTAATTAATTCTTGCTCCTAGGAGGTCAACTTGGGGCACTCATTATGGCCTTAATTGGTGATATAAATCCTCAGACCCCAGAGGAAAAACACATTGAGTGGTTAGTGGTCTCTGGCCTTTTGGGTGAGTGTGCACTGGTGCCAGCCTCATCTCAGAGAGTGACAGCTTCTGGTTTCATGGCTTCAGGTCTAGCCCCACTCATATTAGGTTTAAAGGCCAATGTGCAACAGCAAATAAATGCAATAACTTGTCCTGGTGTTTTGCATTAAACAGTGTGAGACAACCCACTACCTTCAGACTTGGAAAAATGTGTTTCTGTGAACTCCGGTTCTTTGTATTAAATTATATTCATTACACGGCCCATCTGGAGTCTCCTGCCAGGCCAAAAATCATCTTACAGACATTAGCAAAAGGAAGTTAAATGTAATTTTTTTTAATTGTATACTTTTCATTTCCATTTATTTTTTCCCTTTTATTGGAGAAAGCAGATGGAAAGGAAAGCAGGATCCTCTCTCACTCTGGTTCCCTTCGGGAACAGAGGCAGAGCATTCCTGGCTGCTGCTCCTCTCACACGTTGGCTTGAGGTGATGATGGGGCTGTCTAGATTCTGGGGATAATTGCTGGAAAGGTCAGGAGTTCAATTTGAAGCTCACACTGGTTGGGGTTGTGGAGTTTGGAGGGTAAGAACAGTGCAGTGGCTTACATTGGGCTTTCACTGAAGTGGGTTGCCACGAATTATATTTGACAGTGTGGAAATGAAACTCACAAATATCAGATATGATGCAGTTCCATTTTGTGTCTGGTTATTGACTTGAGTATTTTGCTGGGAGTTGTCTTTTTGCTGGATTTTGAGTCAATGCAAAAAGGGCCCATATTTGGGAGACTGGGCTTTCTTTAGCTCGTTGGATCTTACCAAACCAGCCATGTGTCACAAAAGGTATAGAGCTAAGGCTTATGTTGGAGACATGCTGAGTGTGTGTTCCTTTAATAAGACACGTGGAAATCTCAAATATCAGTGCTAGAAGGCATGTAGAGATCATTTCAGACTTGTGAAATGGAACTACAGAAATGGTTCAACTGTTTGCTTAGAGTACAAAGCCAGTTAAAGGAAGAAAGTAGACTAGCTTAGAGCCCTTTGGACTTCTACTTGGGTAGAGGTAGAAGTCACTTAAGCCACCCTACAGCCCTGGCAGAGGATATTTGGCCAACGAAGTCACTCTCCCATGCAACCTTCCACCCATCCATGTGAGCAAATACTTACTGAATGCCAGGCAAGGTGCTGGATTTGGTGCTGAGGATACAAAAAGCTAGAGTTATGACAGGTCTTCAACTTAATAAACTACATCAGAACAATTCTATAGTCATTATCTGTATATACCCTACCATCATCTGCCACTTCACCCAAATGAATTGCTAAGTTGCTGAGTTTGGAAGGGTCTTTTAAATTCGGATAATGGTGAGGTACTTTTTTGGCTACATTCTGATATATCCAGCACATATATGCATTTCCTGATGATGGTCTTCACGGACAATGGGAGAAGGGCTAATTTTGAATTTCTAATAATGAATCCTTGTATCCCTCTGTATAATTTTATTTCAATCAGGTTCCAGTCACAGATTATTAATTTTATTATCTAAGTATATTCTTCTTACTCTAAATATTTTTCTTAGATTAGGACAAGGTTTGGATTAGGTCAAGTATACCTATGATGACCTCTGATTTACATTGCTTTACAACACACCTGAGACTTGGAGAGGAGAGAGAGGAGGGATGCTGGACTAGTTCCCCTGCTCAGTCACACACTTTCTCTCCTTTTGTGCTGGGATGGTGATGTGAGGTGTCTGGTGTCCCTGATGCAGTCAGCTAACAGCTTCCTTAAGAAGCCTGGCCCTGTGCTACCCTCAGTCGCGTTTGACACAGTAATAGACACACATTACAGACGTAAATAGCAACTCCAGGTTTTCGCTTCCATGGAAGTGTGTTAAAGTTATGTCCACTAAATGGGTTACTTTGGCTTTAAATAATAGACCCCATTGCTTCTCTGTTCCTCAGCGTGCGATGTGGTTTCACCTACCACTCTCTGCTTTCAACAAAGCAGATAAGGTATCAACACAATTAAAAGTGAAAAATAATCTGTCTGCTTTGCCGGTAGTGAATGCTTACAGAACACACACTGATACAATAGATTTTAAATAATTTATGTCCGGCACTTTTTTTTTTTTTTTCAATCTGTAAATGAGGACACCTAATGCGGAATGGTCGGCATGATACTCTATCCTTCCCCCATTAAGATAACAAGATGAGAGGCAATGATTCAGATCAGTATATTTTTGGAGCTTTGAGCGGATAAAAATTAAAAATTAAAAGAGATGATGTTCTGAAATACTTTGGGTAAGCAAGCTCATAAAAGCCATTTGGAAACCTGAAATTACACATTAATTCAGAATCTCCTTCTGAGGGGCTCCTAAAACACCTTTCTGTTTTCTTGGCAGGATGAAAGCATTACTTTTGTGTCACTGCCTGGTGCTTTCACGGGGTCTATTCTAATGCTCACTAAGGCGTCATGCTCTGTTCTAATGTGCCTCTTGTAGCCATCTTTGGTTTGAACCAACTAAACTTCAGGTGATGTTGAAAACAAATAGGAATTAATACATGAAGCTTTATATCTTCCCTCTATAGATATGTTAAATCTCAAGTTACCAGGATAATGTGATTCATGGCTTATTTTCCAGCCTGGAGGGAGTGGTTGGTCCAATCTGGAGGGATTTATTCAGCTGCTATAACTACTGTTGACAGTATGGGGAATTGGCCCCACAATTCCCCAAAGTCTAGGGACTGTGCTATCCCACAGAAACAAAACTGCTAAGCTGTTAACAAGAGGTGGTTCAGATCTTTGGTGGTTAAATGTAGTTTAATCATGATTTACGGGGGCCCGGCTCTTTTTCCTACACCTGCCTGTGAACATCTCCTAATTATTCATTTGAGAAAACTCTGAATAAAAATATCAATCTTGAATATGTGTGTGTTCCGAGGAAGAAGGCCAGCCATGTCCAAGGAAATGTTCAGTCCTGTTTCATCTAAGGAAAATAATTCCCAAATTTCATCCACAGGCTGATGCTTAGGAGAGACTGAAGTGCTTTTGGATGAGTTCAAAATAAACACTCCCTCCTAAGTTATCTCTTTTGTCCTTCTGGAGAAAATGAGAAGGGTAAATGACGTTCCATGGAATGATCACCTGAGGAAAGCAAAATTAGGCTGAAACACCCCCAAAGCTCCTAGATGAGGCTTCCTGGCCTGGGGGCAGGGTCTGACACCCCATCTTTTGGAGTGGGTTATAGCATCAGGGACCACCATCCGTTAACAAGCCCATCCTGGGCAGCAGAAAGCTTTGTGGGCCAGATGGGAAGTAGCCACTGAGGAGAAAAATGTAATTTTGATACAGGAAATAGAAGAAGAACAGTACAGCTTTTCACTCAAGATATATGTTTCTTCTGTCTAAAGCCAGCAATTTTGGAAAATGAAGCTAAGAGTTTAAAAATAAGGGCTCTGTCAGGGAAAATAAAACAGGTCCCCCTACATCCATTAGGCTGCCTTTAATTGAAAACTGGAGAACAATCTAACTAATTGGCAGGTACCTCTTTTATTACGGAGACTGTTTTTCCCCTTCTCTCCAGTGTAATCAAAAGGCTGCTCCTCTTTTTATCAACTAAAGTCAGGTATGAAATGGAAAAGCAGAGAGGTAACACTTAAAAAATTAATTGTGTGTGTTCTGTTAAATGTTCTCCTACAAAACAACTTCAGAAAGTGCACAGCTTAAGGTCTTTGAAACAGCAGCAGCTCCAGGAGTGTATTTTCATATAGCATGGTGCTTAGGTGGAAGCTATAATGTGCTAATTGCAGACAAGTTCATGTTGTTTAAAAGAACTTTTTCTTTTGCATTGGGGACCTATTTAATTTCAAATCTTGGCACTGTGCTGACATAATATAGCTACTTTAATTTTAAGGATCAAGAAAGAGGAGCCTGTGGGTGAAATTTGAGCCTATTTTTTGCTAATTTGGAATAAATCAGTAAGTTAACATTGCTGCCTGAATTTATGATATTAGAGTTTTACCAATGAAAATATAACTTCCTTCTTCCTTTCCTTGCATATAAAGTATTTTGGTTTAAATTTACATTTCTTTGCTGATCTTCCTTTTCTTCCTTTTCCTTCTACATGGAATATCCATATGATATTATTCTTTAATTATAAAAGTTGCATATACTCCATCACAAAAAAAGATTGTTACATCCCTGCCTGCAAAGGACTCCGGTTTCAAAGAAGAAAGAGACACAAAGATCAATTGTTGCACTGTTGTAGAGAGAATGTTCCAACAGCATATGCTGGTAGTGGGGGCTTGGCGGGAGCCTGACCCCTCTTGGGGGCTGTATTTTGGAGCATGAGCAGTCCTGAACCAAAGAACAAGGCAGGGAAAGGACTTTCAAGTCCTAGGGCCTGTGGAAAGGCACTGAGCAGAGAGAAAACACTCTAGGTTTGGGGGGCCTGGGTAAGTATGACTGGACAAAGGCATGAGCAACTTTGAGGGGCAGGTGGGCTTTAAACCATTTCATTGCTGATCTCAGTGTGTAGAGGTCGATACTCTTAGCATTATCAGGCGTCAGCCTGGACTCACCACAGCTTTTCCATACAAGGACAGAATCCATTTTGAGAGCTGGAGCTTAAGTAATATTTTCTCAATAAACTTAGTGAGATTTTTGCACTGTCAGAGCAGTGTCTGTGGTGAAGAGAAGCAGAAGGCTACATCCAATAAATCCCTGTTATTTTTCAGTTGTCAGACTTGACTTAAATGTAAATGCCTGACTAGCTTTCCTTCTCCCATTCTCATAGACTCTATGAGTTTTTCCTTTTTACTCCAGGTTCGGGATGGAACCATGTATAAGCGAGAAAAATTCCAGTGAGAAGATTCCAACATGGCCCTGAAAATTAAATAGACTTGGAAAAAATGCACCAAGCTCTAGACAAGCATTTATTTTTCTGTACTAATTTAGGTCCTTAACATTATAAAGCAATACAAGTACATCATAATTATTTGGGTCTGTGAGAGGCCTTTGAATTATGCAATATGCAGCATCGCCATGGTGATGTGCCTTGCCGTCAACCAGCATGTTATGGTAGAGCCATGTTCTGGTTTTGTTAATGGCCAAATGTTGCATACCAAACTTCTAAAAGAGATTTTAAAATTCATGCTCTTTGGTAAAGGGTTTCAGTATATATGAGCATGTTTTGGCTCTCTCTCCTTCTGCTTACCTTTTTCTCCCCCGCTTCTCAGTACAGATGAGAAAATTTAATTTGGGTCCAGATGAGATTTAGTAATTAATGTACAAAGCAGCTGGGGTCCGCTAACTCCTGGGCTGTAGCTGAGCAGCTATTTTGTTGCATTTTTTTTTCAATAAAATAATTGAAAATTTAAAAACTTAAAATTCATTGGCTTCTTGCCGTGTTATACTTAGAGTAATCCTGATAATAGATCGGTAACTATGGATTTCACCAAGGAAGGGCACAAAATAACTGACCTAAGTAATTTAGAAAACAGATGTCTTTAGTTGGTTCAAATTCTCAGAACCAGATTTAAAGAAAGCATGTGGAGAAGAGCGAAATCTTGCATTTTAGAGGCTTCGTTTCCCCTTGTCATACAGTTTTTCTTCCTACCACATCTTAATTCAAACTCTTGAGAAGAGACAAAGTAGTCCGCAAGATATCATATTTATGATATTTAGCCTACTGCACAGAAATTCTTTGGGTAACTACTCAACCTCATACTCTTCACCTTCTTTTTAAGTCACCTTTATTTCAGTGGCTTCCAAGTAGTGGTCAGAGACACCTAGGGGATTTATAATGAACTTTAAGATATCCTCTTGAAACCGTGCGTAGATATGTGTGCTGTTTCGAAGGAAATTTTATCTAGTTTCAAAGAAGTTCTTTGTGTTCTTTTGGCTTCTCCCACTCCCCCTGCACCCCCACCCCCAAGTCCCTTTTACACTACAAAAATAAAGCCCAGTAGTAAAACATAAAACCCCTCCTGTAAGGTTTTTCTTTCTAGCTTTTACTCAGGTCGTGGAATTTCTCAGAGGCATCCCAAGGGGATCCTGTGGGAGAATGAGTGTGATTACAGTGAACTACTTAATTCTGTCTGATCTACAGTCTTTAAACATAAGGTCAACCAGAAGAGAAGAGAGACTATCCGAGACTATCCAAGACTGCCACGTCCTCATAAAGGAAAAAGAGATTGAACACTTTTGCTGTAGATGGTATTCTGTAGCCTGGACTGACTACATAATTTGCAGGACTTTATACAAAATGAAAATGCTTGTCTCTTATTCAAAAATTATTTAGGGCTGGGCGTGCGTGGTACCTCATGCCTGTAATCCCAACACTGTGGGAGACCGAGGCAGGCAAATCGTTCGAGGCCAGGAGTTCAAGTCCATCCTGGCCAACATGGTGAAACCCTGTGTCTACTAAAATTACAAAAATTAGCCAGGTGTGGTGGCAGGTGCCTGTGATCCTAGCTACTCGGAAGGCTGAGGCACAAGAATCGCTGGAACCCAAGAAGCGGAGGTTGTAGTGAGCCAAGAATGCACCGCTGTACTCCAGCCTGGGCAACAAAGTGAGACTCTGTCTCAAAAAAAAAAAAAAATTATAAAATTATTTTGAATTTTAAGACAGTGACAGCAGAGCAGTAAACTAAGCTCTGGGCCCTTCTAGATGCAAGGCCCTGTGGGACTGCACAGTCACATGCCCTGCCCAGAACACAGCTCTTCACTTTTTGAAGACAGTTTAGCAGTGTTTACTTGCCTTATGAAACTTGCTCCCTGAAAATTTTGTTTTGAGATAATTGGTCACAAAACCTGGTGGACTTGTTGCCTACCAATTAAAGTGGGGTTTTGATAATCAGACCTATATGATACCTGGTCATTTAAGAAGTATGGTATCCAAGGTCATGTTTTGGAAATAGAAAAAGATATATTTTCACCTAAATTAAAGGACATTTTATCCAACTGAGTAATCTCTCCTTACTATTGGTTTCCAGTTTACGTTACCTAGTAACATTTCTTCCCTGGCTCATGTTCCTCTAAAATAAAGAACATTGTGAACTGAATACATTGGCTTCACGCCCTTCCTGGGACATCATAGACTTTGGAAGTTTAGACCTTGATGTCTGATGATGTGAGTTCAGGTTCTGAGTTAAGAACATGGGCCACCTTTTTGTTGGTATTCTCAGGGAGTTTTAATTAATTGGGGATTAAAAGGATTGAGAGCTGTGGTCTCTGGGTCTAACAGAGGTTCAGCTCTCAAGGATTCACCTGACAAAATCCAGGAAAATGCTGTAATCATATTCTTCTCGAAAGATTAGCTTTACAGTGATGATGTTTTGCTAAACCTGTAATCTCTGCCTTCTTTAGAACCATTTTTCTACGCATATTTTCAAAATTCAGGCTTTCTTTTCTAATAGTAAGTGTGCCGAGGAAGCTTCTAGACCAAGGGAATTGAAAGGAGACTTTTAGGCCTAAAACACATGGTCAGATTCTCAGTGAAAGACCAGAAGATACCCTCCAAGTTAGCAGGCAAGAGGTGCTATAGACTAACAGATCTTATAGAAGCCATGGCTACACCTTTACTAAGTCCCCAGCACTGGGACCATGTCCTGATGGGGATTTATTACCTTTTTTTTTTTTTTTTAAACAAAAATAAACAACTCTCAGCTTTTGCCCTTGAGACAACTCAGCTTTCTTGTTTGGAGTATGGATTTGTGGTCTTTTTCTTTTTTGTGTCCTGGAGTTTGGCCCCATCTAACTTGACTTGTTCAATGTTCTTTTCATTACATTTATGCCCACCCTCCCTGCCTAGAAGGAAACTCACTGTCATCAAAATAATAGGGTGTTTTTCTACTTTCTCCCTCCCTCTCACCCATTGTCTTTCAGTGGGGTGAAAAGGTCTTCACTTTTCTCTTTCTCCCCCCAAATTTTGCTATGAATAACTTCTCAGACGTTGTCACGCATAGACTTCCACTCTCTCCAGAGGGTGTTTTTTGTTTGTTTAAGGCAACGTGTTTCCTGGTTTAAAAACCATGTTTCCCAGAGTAGCTGTGATGGGATTATTCCACACTCACCTCCTACTGGCAGCATTTACTACTGGCTGGAAATGAGCATTATTGGCAGCTCTCTGCTGGCCTGGGGTCACACTGCACAGAGCTCCAGCCTTGCTGCATGGCTGAATGACTACCTGGGCTGGTCATTTGGTTACTTTTTTATTCAGATGAGGTTAGAGTCTTTTAGTGAGTGAGGAAAATATGACTAAGTAATGCTTTTCCTTCTTTTGCTCTAGAAGGAGAAATTATCCTTTTGAACTTTGCATGGGATAGAAATTAACTCTGCAACAGCCCAGTTCACATAGATGTACTTTCCACACCACTTTTTGGGTGGATTCCCCTGATCCAATGCTTTTTACAACTAAATATAGTGCCAAATTGCCTTTAAAAATTTTTTAAAAAGCCTTAATTCCTTTCTTCAAACAATCATGACACATTCCACACATGTTAAACCTGATATCAATGGCTCTAAGGCTAAAAAATAACTTCCATTCAAAACACCACAGTATGAATTCTCACAAGCAAATGTATGATTAAATATGAGTCAGCAGATTGCACTGTTACTTTAGAAAGCAAGGATTCTTGGGCTACATTCCTGCCTAGACCCAAGGGCAGGCTCAGGGGATTAGGTATTTGTATTGATACCCAGAGCTCAATATCTACTTCAGATAGATGCATGACGAAGTCAATGAATCACAGCTTCCTGGACAATCTTGGCAGAATATAATTCTGACTCTAGCCCTCTACTGCACAGAAGAGTACAGTGTCTCTCTAGTAAACACTTTGCATGGCTTTAAGATCTTCCCCAGTTTAAACATTAGCCCCCTTTTCCAGCTGTATCTTACGCACACACACACACACACACACACACATGCCATCATTTACATCTCTGCCAGCCTGGACCACTGGCTGTTCCCTGCACTTTCTTACTCCTGATCTCTGTTGCTTACCCATAATATTCTTGGGGGAAAGCCTGCCTTTCCAATTCTACTTTTTCCACTAGAGCTGAGATCAAGTGCCAGTTTTCCTCCCTTCTAACTCCTTTGAATTCCTAAGGCCTTTATTTGCTCAGTAAATATTTTATGTGTCTGCAATATGTGGATCAGGCACTACAGTGGATACTTTTTCACTGTCTGCTTCCATAAAAGTTCTTATCGCACTGCTTGGTGGCATCTTACATAGTGTTCACTTGACTTACTGTTTCTTCTGTACTGAGAAAGGACAGGAACCACCTTTGTATGCTCCAAGAAAGCTTACCACATCTACTCTAATTGGCATCGAGTGAATGTATCAAAAAGTGAGCAATTAAATATAGAGATGGCCTTTGGTATCATGAAGTTGTCCATCCCCAAGAGCCTATATTGTTTAGAGGTTGGACACTGTCCTATACTATTTGGGGATCTTTATTTTAAACATAGAATGTGTATGGGAAATTGTTCAGAAAAAACTGAGGAAAGAAGTTTTGTCAATAACAGTAGCTGCTATTCACTGGACGCCTGCTATGTGGCCAGACTGTGCTAACACTTTGCATGCATTCCCTCTTTGGATACACAAAGTTCTCTCAGGAGGTACTTTGTCATCATTTTTTTACAGGTGAGGAAATTGAGGTCTTAGTATAACTCACTTAAGGTCATACAGATAGTAAGTGGCCGAGTCACAGTTCAAATCCACATGTGCCTGAACTAGACAATTCACCAGGCCAGTATCTAAACCAACAGAAATCACCCCCTGTGGAAGATAGTGGAGATTATTGTGTGTGATAACATCTGAAAATTAGAAGGTGAAACGGGGTTCATGTGTGAAGAAAAAAAATCTAAAGCAATAGTTTGAGGGTATCAGAGGAGGGAAGATGGCCTAACCCAATTCCATATCAAAATATGCAGGAGGGAGGGAGATGAACCACTTTTTTCCATGTCCTTTCTTGATTTGTGATTTAAGATATGTCCATCAAGAAAATTATAAATTTTATGTATTTGGGTAGAGAAGGATATTTAGGTGTAAAAAAGACAGTTATCTTGCCTTTTGATTTTTGCTTCTTTCTGCACTGTAGATAATAGGAATGATTGGAAACAGTGGTACTTCATACCCTCAGGGAGACAGAAGTAATCTGAGTCAGATGTGGGCATTCCATAATTACTGCTAATACATGAACCAAATGGCTCTAATGCATATATAGCCTTCTCCACCATGTGAGTTTTTCTTTTTCCTTTTTGGTTGTACCTCAGTTCTTTGGTAACAGCAGTCAAAGAGCATGAGGTAGGAAGATTGAAAAATCCACGGTTAGAAAATGCTTGACTCAGTGTGTAACACAGATCTGTCTTTCTGATCTCAGTAATTGGTGTTCATTGTGTTACCGGCTTAACTATCATAAACAACAGAAGTCATGACTAATCAAGCCATGGTTAATCAAGAAAAGTCATAATTAACCAACAAGAATTAGGATTAAGCAACAGAATTCATTATTAAGCAACAAAACTCAAGTTTGACCAACAGAATTCGTGATTAGCCAGCAGAAGCTATGATGTATAACAAAAGACATAGTCAACGTGCACAAGTCACAGCCAACAGAGGCCCTGACTGAGCTGATTCCAACTCAGATCAGTGTGTCTGCTACTAACAGCTGAGAAATCTGATTGTTTAATTGCGTAAATACAAATGATATCACCCTCAAGGAATACATTTAAGAAACTAAGGTATAATCCAAGACGGTTACTATGGCTCTGGTTATAGCTAGGACTTCATCAACAATTACAATTACAATTGACTAACAGTTGTTAGTCAACAATTATTATTTGAATATCTTCTGTGTGTTGGGTTCTGTCCCAGCCCTGAGCTATTCAGCTGGTGTGTCCCAGTACAATTTATTAGGTGTTGAAAAATTGAAACATTTTCCTGCCAGTTTTTGCCTGACCGTTGCCTTGGGTCTTCCCTTCCTCCATCCAACTGTACTGTCTTAGTTCCAGGGGTGTCATATTTGGCACTGCCTGGAGGCCACCTTGAGTCCACCAACTTGTCAGCTCAGGTTCCTAGGAACCAGCCTTTATACCTATCCTACTCCCCTGTCAGGGAGGCATGAGTATCGGCAAGGAAGGTGGCACACTTGATGGCACTGAGACACCTTAATGGATAAATGCACAGTGCCTATTGGGCTCCCTGAGGCTGGGGCCACCAGCCACAGGTTGGCATTCCCCCATGTCACCTATGTAACCTCTAAAGCAGACAGTGGTATTGTTTTAGACTTTAAGTATCATCCTTGAATAGGTATAACATGGAAGGAAAAGCAAAATACCATGATTGCCTAGGAGAGGAAGCATCCATGTATGCTTAGATCAGTCAGAGAAGGCTTCCTGGCCAAGTGACCTCATAGAATTTTCCTGGGTTTACTGAGAAAAGGAAGTTCCCAGAAAATGAAAGAGTACCATTACGGTGTCAGCAGTTCCAGAGTTGGTAGCAGAAAACCAGGTGTTGTTTTTTTGTTTGTTTGTTTGCTTTTTGAGACGGAGTTTCACTCTTGTTACCCAAGCTGGAGTGCAGTGGCACAATCTCAGCTCACTGCAACCTCTGCCTCCCGGGTTCAAGCGATTCTCCTGCCTCAGCCTCCCGAGTAGCTGGAATTACAGGCATGCGCCACCATGCCTGGCTAATTTTGTATTTTTAGTAGAGACGGGCTTTCTCCACGTTGGTCAGGCTGGTCTCGAACTCCCGACCCTCAGGTGATCCGCCCACCTTGGCCTCCCAAAGTGCTGGGATTACAGGGGTGAGCCACCGCGCCTGGCCGAAAACCAGGTCTTAAGACTTCTAGCCACAATCTCTTGGGATAGTATTGAAACATTCCAACTTCAGTGCAGCACAGATACCTGCCTGAGGCCCTCAGAGGTGTTACGATGACTCAGTTCTAAGATGAATATAAAAGCCCTCATGATGGTGTCCTTTAAGCCACAGGCTGGTTTCCAGAAGTTGCTATTCTTGCCCATGCAGATAGACAGTCTCTCTTTCCTTAGTCTGCAAATACCACCTCTTCTTTCGCCAAAATACCACCTCTTCTTTCGCCAATTTCTTTGCCCGCAGAAACTCCCCAAGTCTCACTCTCTAGGTACCCAACTCATCACTTCCTGGTGTGATGACACACTTGGAATCCCAGAAATTTGTGGCTGGAGAGGACCTTCCAAGTAAACTGCCCAATCCCTCATTCAGGGGAAGAGAGAGCTTAGTCCCAGATGGTTGTGACTTGCTCAAGTCCTCTCAGTGACCATGAGGAGCTTGCAGCCCAGGCGTTCAACTCCTAATCCAGGGCTCGACCTATGCTACCTCCACTCTCTCCTCTCAGGTTGCTCCTCCAAATGGGACTGAATTCATCCTCTGTACACGCTCAACTTTTGAACCTCCTCTTCTCCAGATGTGTCTAACCATCCCTTGGCTTCAATAACTGTCCCAAACTTTGTCCTGAAGTTTGGGGGTTCTAATTTTAGGTGGGAAAGATCCATGGCTTTAAATCAGTCACATAGTAAGAAGCTTATTTTTTTTCTCTGAATTCCTCAAACAGAAAATCTTGAGTCAGTGCTGATGTGTGTCTCATGCT
Organism: Homo sapiens; assembly: GCF_000001405.40. Lineage (NCBI taxonomy): Eukaryota > Metazoa > Chordata > Mammalia > Primates > Hominidae > Homo > Homo sapiens. Next base: position 25,497,987 of record NC_000003.12, read on the forward strand.
GGCCAAGCTCCCTTTTCAGCAAGAAGTGAGGAGGGCTGGGGCTCCTGGCCTGCAGCAGACACAGTGTCCAGTATGAGTGAAATGACATCTGATTATTGTATTATTTGCATTTCTCTTATTTCATGAGTACCTTCTAATATTGACAGTTGGTCTGGTTTTCCAAGTAAGCCAGAGATAAATGGTTTCCACTTTAAATAGTGTCAAAAATAGAAGGAGGAGTCAACCTAAATTGAAATATTAGCTAAGTAAACTTTAGGTGTATGAGGATAACTGCCCCCACCCCCTACCCGCCACACACTCTGGGTCCTCAAAGCAGTGGTCTACAAGGGAGTGAGGTTTGTATAAACTCATAATATCAATGAAGGAGGAGGAGAATTTTTATGATGCAAACCTCTATTCGGCTTGGAGGGCACGTCTGTTTACTCAACCCACGTATAAAAATACCTCATAGCATATATTTTAGCCAGCAAGTATTCTAGCATGGTGGAAATGATTTACTGAAACTTAGACCTTCTCCTGAAATCCAGCCAAAAATCTGATTTGGAAAACCAAGAAGTCCTATTTAGTTTCTGCCATCATTGTTACTGAATCACACTGACTGGGCAATTAGTGACATAAAGTTCTTTAATTCTCTGGTCTTCTTTCATTTGAGCATCGTGAGATTGTTCTTCTCTCCTTTCTGGTCACTGACTAAGTGTTTGCTGAACTAAAAATTTGGTTTTTAATAAAATAAATGGAGGGGGTCACCTTTGTCCATACCTCATTTTCTTCCCACGTATATAAAAGACCATGTTTTCCATTGTGTTAATGTTTCTCGGCAGAAGAGCGATGGAGGTTTCTGTAAACTGAGTTTCTACATCTGGCAGCAGAAAGTGGCCCACAGTTATATTTTTTGTAGGGAAAGATATGTTTTTAGATGACCACTCTGCACAGATTCTGGGAGGATTTCACAGTATTTGTAACCTGTTATTTTAGATTCTAAGCACATTTGTAGTTCCAGTGGCACAAAAATAAACTGTGTTTTCTTGGAAAATGTGTGTGTCTGGGATATGTGACAGGACTTGCAACCTTAAACAAGATTTCCAGGCACTTATAGTTGAACCATGCCAGTAAAAATATGCTTATTTAGACATTAAAATCCTAGGGTGCCCACGTAAGTATCCTAAGCAATGTGTGTTACATGAGCATTCTTTGCTAATGTGCTTTAGCTTTGAACGTTCTTAGCTCTGGCTCCTGCAGTGTTAATGTACTGCAGGGAAAGTTGAACTCAGATGGTGGGGCTTAGTTTCTGTTCAACACATTTGATGATGTGTTTCTTACATTCAAGAGAGTAGTTTCTCGTGTAGGTATAAGTCACATCACAACTGGTAAAGTAGACTTCCTCACTCTTAATACTCATAGCAATGTGGAAGTTTTTCTTGGGCATTCAGAAGAGAGAAAAGGCAGCAGGTATACCCTTCATCTGTGTATTCGGCAAGCATCACTTGATCATCCATTGTCTGCAAAGCTGTATGTAGAAACGGGGAAGACAAAGAGGAAGTTGGGGACCCTTTCTTCTGGAGCCTGAAGTCTGCTTTATTTCATCGGTGTTTCCCAGAAAATCAGGATAAATTGCTTCTTTTGTCAAAATGTGATTTTCAAAAAGTTAAAAAGCAAAAAACTCTTTCAAGTGTTTGTTTAGTAAACACATGCCAAAAATTTATTTAACTCATTGATGAAGGGAATAGTAGGATGACAAAGCTGGTTTAAAGGAGGATATGAGAAAGATATTCAGGTAGATAGAAAACGAGAGAGAAAGGAGGGAAGGAAAAGAGAATACCGGAATAAGATTGCAAAGCTAGATACAAAATGGTTCATTTCCTACAGGGCAATAAAACAATAATATTTGGGGTTATTGTTCATCTGGTCAGAAATGTTTTGCACCTACACTAGACAAAAATTATGTGTAATTTACCAATTTTCTACAGTCTGTATAGAATCTGGGTCCAATCAATAGTAAAAAGTAAGTCAAACAAAGTTATATTTCCTGTGAGTGTTAGATGACACTTCGATGGGCTTGTCAGTCAGTGCTGTAGTACATTACTACCCGGTAACGCTTTCTGCAATGATGAAAATATTTTGTATATGTGGTGTTTAATATGGTAGCTATGGGCCAGATGTGGCTCTTCAGCATTTGAAATGTAGCTAATGTAACTAAAGAACTGAATTCTTAATTTTATTTACTTTTCATTAATTTTGATTTAAGTAGCCTCATGTGACTAATAGCTACCATGTTGGACGACATAGCTCTAACATGCCATTAAATGGGCAGACACTCATTTTTATTTCTTGTTTCCAATTTTGGATAATTTTTTTAAATTGTATTTTAAATGTTGTGAGAGGAGCTATGTAAAAGAACTCAGAGAAGACTCCTTTGAAAAAACTAACTCTTGCATTAGGCAAATAATTTCTTTTTCTTTCTTTTCTTGTTTTTTTTTTTTTTTTTTTTTTTTTTTGGTTGTTGTTGTTGTTGAGACAGAGTCTCACTCTGTCACCCAGACTGGAGTGCGGTGGCACAATCTCAGCTCACTGCAACCTCTGCCTCCCAGGTTCACGCAATTCTCCTGCCTCAGCCTCCCAAGGGCTGGGATTACAGGCACGCACAACTGTGCCTGCTAATTTTTGTATTTTTTAGTAGAGACAGGGTTTCACCATGTTAGCCAGGCTGGTCTCAAACTCCTTACCTCAAATGATCCTCCTGCCTCAGCCTCCCAAAGTGCTGGGATTACAGGAGTGAGCCACTGCACCCAGCCAGTAATTTCTTTTATTGGGTAAAAATCCTCATATATTGGTTTTCTTGGTAGTGCGCTCATCTGAAATTGTTCTCGTCAGCAAGGGAGCCAGTTATGAAGCTAAGCCTGTTTGGAGGGAACCCAACTCTGGTGTTTTCCAAGTAAATCAGCTTGGAATTAACTTTCCTTTAGCAAGATAATAATGGTCATGTCTAGTTTTGATTAAAAGGGGCTTTTGGGTTTGCAACAAAGGAAGAAACTATTGATATCTCACGAGGATTTTAAGGTTTATGTAAGTTAACTTTTCTGCTGCCATCACTTCGTTACTCAAAAAGAGCAATTAATGCATTGATAAGGTTGGCTTTGATTTCTGATGAAGCTCATTTGCTTTACTGAGTTTTTTCATCTTCTTGCTTGCTTGCAGGGCTTTTTCCGCAGAAGTATTCAGAAGAATATGATTTACACTTGTCACCGAGATAAGAACTGTGTTATTAATAAAGTCACCAGGAATCGATGCCAATACTGTCGACTCCAGAAGTGCTTTGAAGTGGGAATGTCCAAAGAATGTAAGTGGAGTCTCAAAAAACTTTTTCCCTGTTTTCCTTATCTCTGTGATTTGCTCACCTTCCACAGTCATGTGGAATTCACACACGACACTAACGAAATCTTGCCAAGGGTAGGTGTGAATAGAGATGACATGAAAATGGGGATTGATATGGAGATTTTGAGATGAAACTTGAGTGACAGTTGGTGGAAAGGCAGGAGTTAGGCGTCGTGGATGTCAGATTTGTATTCCAAAGCAGTGGCTAACTCACTGTGGATCCCAGAGCCATTAGCAGTAACTCAAGCATATTACACAGTCACACGGTGACTCCATTTCCCCTATCTTGACAATGGGTATAAGGATCTTCGCCTGTATCGGTGAGGATAAGATAAAATGATAGGCATGAATGTTAACAGTAGTCATAATTTGCCCTTTTTTAGGAGGGAAGGATTGTATAACTTGTGGAAGAAACATTTCAAAATCTGGGACACTGGCATTTTTCCAAACTTGATTTCGTTTTTCTTCTCCAAGCCATCTTTTCCAAACAATAATGCACTTTATTAGTGCAAAAGATATTTTAAAAATACATTAAAAATTGGCTACTGGTCCATAAATATCTGATGATGGGGATTTGAAATATACCGGCTTTAGTATAAAAAGAGTATGTGTACACTGCAACAAATTTCGCTCTTTCTCTATTTGATGTGTACAAATGTAGGGAATAAGAAAGTATTAGGTGGATGGCTTGGCTCAAGCAGGCATAGGGAGGTCATGGGGCTATGTGCCCAGTGATGCTCTTGTGGGGCTGCTGCTCTTTCTGTCACTCCATCATGGGGGGATTTTGGTGATGGCGTGCTGTGCACATGTGAGCAGTGGGCTGGGTGCTGCGTGGGGACCCTAGAGATACCTGAGACATGGCTGCTGCCCTCCAGGAGCATAGGATAAAGAGCCAGGCACCCCAATCATGATCCTCTAATGGAGTTGGAGGAATTACATTATGAATCAAGGGCTCTTAGATGTTGGAACTGGGAAACGTGACCCTTGGGTGAAAACTGATTGAAGAGGTAAAGCCCCTGTAGCCAACCAGAGGCATTACTCTGAGGGTGCTCAGCTGGGAATCTTGCCCTCTGCTGGGAGCTATTGCTCAGGGATTGTAGCAGATGTTTGTTGGTAGCCCACCCAGATATCTTTCCTAACTGTACTCCTGCCCCTTCACCTTTCCTAACTGTACTCAGATTTTAGTTTTCTTTTATACCCCTTAGGTTTCAATGTTTCAGAGAAAGCTTCACAGCTGGGATCCACTCAGTCAATTAAAGCCAATCAGTGTATTTTATGTTCCAGCCGCATGCGTGAACATGTAACCTAGGCTGGTTCAATGAGAGGGAATTCAAGACTCGTGCGTAGAATATCAGGACAGGAGTACCCTTCCCTCCATCCATGTGAACAAGGAAACAGGTAGCCACAAGTACCCCTGGTGGCCATCCTCCAATCCCCAGGGAAGTCAGCTGTAGGACAAAGCATGCACTGTAGATGGAAAAGTGGAAAGACAGAAATCAAGCCCTTAATAGCACCATTGAATTACTGAACCAGCCAACCCTATGAAACCACTGCCTCCAGGTCGTTTTGTTATATCTGCCAAGAAGAACCCATTACAGCTTTTGGAATGAGTGTCTTGTTAATATTTAGAGTCCTCATGAATGAGAATGGACTGGGTCATCAGACAGGAAAGCATCCTGCATGTGCCATTCCTTCTGGGAAGCTCTTTTTCCTCTGGACAATTCCATCTGCAGATCATGGGTCACTTTTCATCCAGTTCCTTTCCCTCTCTCCAAATTTTAGAGCCATTGAGTTACTCAAAATCCATACATTTGAAGATAGGAAGCTAACATTCAATTGGCTCAGGCTCTAAATCCTTCCACTGAAGAGAAAAGCAGGATAACCTGAAATAGCCAGATTATTCCTATGTGTGAGATTCACGGGATGATCACCTTCTGCTCTAGTTTTGGTCTGATGTTCTGTAGACATGGATGGCACACAGCATTTCTGTGGGAGAATTTCAGTTCAGGCTGAAATTATAAATGAGTAAGCCAGATGTGGACTCAGGGAAAATCAGTACTTTTGCATTATTTTGTGTGGGCTGGAGACCCATTTCCTGCTTACATTACTTAAAACCCATATCCTGCTGCTCTGTAAAAACTGGCAGCTTGGTTGGCAATTAAAAAAAATAATGTTTACACCCACAGGAAAACTCCAGCATCAGCCCTCAAGGAGCTTATCACCTTAATTAGATTTAAAAATATAGAAATGGGAAGAAAATGGGATCATTATGTCCAAGTACACAAAAATAAATGTATTTTTGTTAGAAGGAAATTGAAGGGAAAGAAATAAACACTTGGAATGTAGAGATTGAGAGTCTAATTGGATATTTTTAAAGTTGAAACAGAAGGAAGCAGGCAAATATGAGAATCAGTAACCAATTATACCACAGTATACGCAACTGAAATGAAACCAAGAATAATAGATACTCATAGAATGTTAGAAGTGAAAAGGGATCTTAGAGATTGATTTTCACTCACCTCTCTCATTTGACGTACAAGTACACTAGGACTCAGAAAGATGACACGGTTCTCCCAGCAGTCCCAACTGGCTGAAGACATAACCAAGACTACAGTGAAATCGGCCACCTCTCCTCCCCATGCCTTCTCTGAAGTAGCGAGATTAGCAAGATTCACATTCCATTCTAGCCATAGGACATGTCAGTTCATCTGTATGTGTCAGAATCCTTTAGATGAGAGTGACAGAAAACCCAGCTCAAACTGGCTTAAGCTACACAACTCTACGCATGTCACTGAACAGTCCAGAGTAATATGCTGGATCCAAAGGCACATGTTTGTTTTTGGGGCATTGTTTCTCTTTGTCTCTCACAGCTGATTTTTGCTGTGCTGGCTTCATTCCCAGGAAGATTTTCCCCATGTCTAACAAAGAAGGGCACCAACAGCTCCAGACTGTTAATCTATTGACCCAGCAAAAAGAGAGACTATTAGATCCCGATTGTTCCATCAAAGCCTAGGGACAGATTCTCATTGGCCTAACTTGGGTCATGTGCCCTTCTGTGAACGCATTGCTTTGAGCAGGGCATTGCTTTGGGCAGGGGATAGAATATTGTGATTAGCCAGGTCTGGATCATGTGTCAATATCTACAGCCCAGGATTGAGGTTGACTTCACCCAAACCATGTGGGTGGGGAGTGTGGAAGAAAATGTTCCTCAGAGGGGAATCAGAAAGACAGGAGGCAAAAATGACCTCATGTCCACCATGATTTGTCAGGTCCCACAGTGCTGTTCCCAAGGCACTCTTCTTTATGCTGTGGGAGAAAAAAAGAAGGATAAAACTGAGAAAATTTAAGAATCATTATAGTAATAGCTAACTGGACAGGGTATTTTCTATGTGCCAAGTATTACATTAACCACTTTTTTTTTTTTTTTTTTTTTGTGTCACCCAGGCTGGAGTGCAGTGGCGTGATCTCAGCTCCCTGCAACCTCCACCTCCTGGGTTCAAGCGATACTCCTGCCTAAGCCTCCCAAGTAGCTGGCATTATAGGCGCCTGCCACCACGCCCGGCTAATTTTTGTATCTTTAGTAGAGATGGCGTTTCATCAAGTTGGCCAGGCTATTCATCATGTTGGCCAGGCTGGTCTTGAACTCCTGACCTCAGGTGACCCACCCACTTCAGCCTCCCAGAGTGCTGGGATTACAGGCGTGAGCCACCGCGCCTGGCCTGCATTAACCACTTTTAATGCTTTATCCCATTGATCTTCATAACAACCCTATGAGATAGATTAGTTACAATTCCTCCTTCCCAGGTCCCACCATTTTTTTGGCAGATGTGGAAGCTGAGACACAGAGACATTAATTTACTCAAGGTAACACAGTTAGTAAGGGGCAGTGCTGAGATTTGGAACCAGGCAGTTTGATGAGAAAGTCTATATTCAAACTGAAATATATACTGCGTGCCATAGGAAGCAGCGTTTAAAACTCCGAGTTCCTTTTTCCACTCTATTTTATTGCCAGTGGTTAATAAAACAATAACCATGCTCCTTGCTCTATATTAGAGATGTATCCCCTAGAAAATCATGTGCAAATTTAATTTTTATAGATCAAATTTGATTTTACATGTGTAAGGGGATTTACAAGTAAAAGAAATCCTTTAACGTGGCCTATCAGAACAGTATGCTTATTTCTTCATTTTTTTTTTTTTCTGTTTTGTAAATGCTGCTGGGTATACCTTGTATTTTCCAAGGGCTTATAGGACTAGGGAAGCCTTTTTGCAGAGAAACAGCTGTCTGTCAAAGCATAGAATAATGGCAAGTGAAAAAAAAACTCGATTTTTAGCAGCATTCTAAAGAGGTGGTACAATAGTTTATGAAGAATTGGAGAAGGAGGCAAAGGAAGCAAACTGACTCGAATGATGAACTTCTGCTGGTGGCGTGGGAGGTTTGTAATGATGTCAGAAGAGGAAAGCATGTGGCAAAGCCCTGAAATAAAAACAATTAATGAAAAAGAGAAACAATAAATGAAGGCATAACATTTGGATTATGAAAGAAATGTCCAGACAAGCTTACGGTATAGATAATAGCTAATGGTCCATGATGGGAAAGAAGATTTAAGATGATACTGTTTAGAAACCATGGGAGTAAAGCCCTAGAAAGCCTGATCATATGCATTTAAGTCAGTTACAGAAATTCAAATGAATAGTTCAGATCTTTAAGCCAAAGGTCAGCAAACCATTTTTTAAAAGAACCAGCTCTTCAGGCATGGTAGCGCGCTCCTATAATCCCAGCTACTCAGGAGGCCAAGGCAGGAGAATCGCTTGAACTTGGGAGGCGGAGGTTGCAATAAGCCGAGATCGCACCATTGCACTCCAGCCTGGGCGACAGGGTGAGACTCCATCTCAAAAAAAAAAAAAAAAAAAAAAAACCAGCTCTTTTTTAAAAGATGTTAGAAATTTTAGAAAATATTTTTGAGGCCCTGTGCAGTAGCTCACACTTGCAATCCCAGCAATTTGTGAGAAGGAGATGGGAGGATCTCTTGAGCCCAGTAGTTTGAGACCAGCCTGGGCAACGTGGCAAGACCCCAACTCTACAAAATTTTTTTAAAAATTAGCTGAGAGTGATGGTGTGGACCTGTGGTCCCAGCTACTCAGCTAATCGGGAGGCTGAGGAAGGAGGATCACTTGAGCCTGGGAGGTTGAGGCTGCAATGAGCCATTTTCATGCCACTTCACTCCAGCCTGGGCAACAGAGCAAGACCCTGTCTCACAAAAAAAGAAAATATTTGTCCCTGTCTTCATTACTTAACTCTGCCATTATAGCGCAAAAGTAGCCATGGAAAATATAAACAAACAAGTGTGGTTATATTCCAGTAAATCTTTATTTACAAAAGCAGATGAAGGGCTAGGTTTGGCCCACAGGCCATGGTTTGCCAATGTCTGCTTTAAGTGGCTCATCCGGTGGCCAAGGATGCCACTTAGGGCTGCTCTGTGATCCCATCCCATGCTTCTCCCCTACCAGTAGACACACCCAGCTTCCAGCCACACTACACCATGCTGACTTATGAGCCGTATGTCTCCATTTTTCTGAGGATTTACCTCCTTCTCCATCAGTTGAACCCCAGGAGCCTGATGAAATGTCATTTCCTCTTTGAAGCCTCCCCTAAGCCTCATTCCACACTCTAGGCAGAATTATTCATTCTTCCCTCCCCAACCCTGTTTTCTCACAGTGCTTCGCACAAAGCTCCATGAACCGCAAACTTATTATATTATACAGATAGTATGATTCTTCACACACCAGTGAGTCTCCCTGGCTGGATTATAAACTCTTAAAAGGCATGCATCATGTCTTTCTCACCTTGTAGCCCCTGAATATAGCATGAAGCTTTGCTCGGTGAAGTTAGATTGATCAAGGGGTTAAATGTGACCAGTTTTAAAGGCAAACCCATCTTCTCCCTGGCTTTACTTTCTGAAAAGTTGTCAGAGGCAAAACAATTCTAGGTGTGTATTCAAATCGCAGTCATTCGTTTATCTGCTAGGGGCCCAGAACAAGTTACTCAACTTCTTGGAGGCTGTGTTTTCTACCTGGATGAGAGAAACATTGGTATTGACTAACAGCCCAGGCGTGACATGAGAATTGATGCTTTTAATCCTGTTTAGACAGCAGTGTTTCCATAAGCTGCTTCCTCTTCCCAGTTCCCTCCCCCAGAAGACATTAGATCTTCTAGGGCTTTTGCCAGTGAAAAAGGCTGAGCTGAGCAGGTGTCTTGGGGAGTTGTGCATGACAGAAGCCCAGTTAAGAGGGAGAAGCAAAGATGGACATGTATTGGGGTTTGGACCTTACTTTTGCCAAACCTTAGCTATCAAAGAAGGGGGTCCAGGGATAGGGGAGACACTGGGGTCAGGAGGTCAGAAGGAAAATGGAAGACAAGAAGTAGGCCAGAATTATGACTCGGGTGCTGTGAGGAAGGGAGAGTAGTATACCCTGGATGCCCCTGAGGTTAGGCTAGGTTCCCATGGGTCATTGGCCTCCTCCAAGACTGGGTGCCCCTACCCTGTGTCTGTAACAGAAACACCATGGAAGGTACTGTTGCTGCCACCCCCTCATTCCAGCTCCTTTCTTTCTGAAAACCACTGGCCGTGAATTCACACAGGGAGCCTCTTTGTATTGCTCTTTGAGGTTATGTTTATGTGCCCATGCCCTTGAGTGATGGGCAAAACATGTCTTTGATTTTGTTTGAGAATGCTTTTTAATGTTTATTTCACAGCATTTTTTTCCTATGACAGTTTCATAAGTGTATTTGTAGAATAGAGCAATTGAATAATCTCTGAATTTAAAAGTCCCTAAGCACTCATTGACACCTTCTCATTTGGGGCATATTGAGCTTAAAAACAGCTTTTCATAAAGTCTCTAAATTCCAATTTATACTTTAGACATGAACGTCCCCATGGGTCGATTGGATGGAATGAATGTGCTTTGTATGGACACTTAGATACTTCTGTGGGAGGATTTTGTTGCTCTGTGTTTCTCTCATTTCCCCTTTACTGTTAAACTTAGATTAAAACAAACCTTTTGGACTAAAGGCACTTAACCTCAGTTAGAATCACCTTTGCTTGTGCACAAATTATATTGATGTGCTCATTGGTTCTACTGCTGGATTTTACTGGCTTAATAACAGGGAAATTCATATTGTAGGTTGCACTGTGTAGTTGGGAAATTACATAAAAATCATCATCAGGGCACTTAATGTCTTTCTAATTTTAGTTTATTTCTTCATTTGTTCCCGTGTTAGATCCCAGCCTGTTACTTTGCTTCCAGGGTTCACTGTGATCATTTTGTTCTGTTCACCAGAAACTACCATTAACCCCCACCTTCTCTTCTTGCTCTGTGGCACACAAATCCCTGAAGAGCCCCCCAAAAGTAAGTGAAAGGCTGGAAACTTCCTACTTTTATACCTAAAAATGTCCTAGAAGCTGGAAAATAAAAATCTGCTGCCCCTTTCTACTTGCCAAATATGAATATTTGCCTGCATCTGTTTAGGAGATTTAAAAAAAAAAAAAATTATGTTTGGGTACCAGCAGCCCGGTGATGTCAGTGCCACTGTGGGACTCAAAGCCCATTAACACTCAGACTGAAAAGGAAGTATTAAAATTCCTTCAGCTTTACTAATATATTTCTCCCCACTGCCTGTCTCCTGGAGAGGGGACACTCAGTACATTCTCACCTTAGAAAAATGAGAAATTTCCATTACACAATAGAACAGCACAGGGCAAAGAACAAAGGGCTTTGAAGTTAGCCTGAGCTGAGGTCAAATGCAGCCCTCGCCTCTAGCTATCTCAACTTGGGCACATGGCAAAATTTTGCTTCACGTGAAATGAACTAACCCATTGCGTGGAGATTATCACAGAAATGTTGCAGGATTGTTTTGTGGATTGGACTCATGGGGTAATGCATTTAGCACCGTGCTTGGCACATAGTAAGTGCCGAATGAGAGTGGTTGTCTGCTACTGCTTCTTTTGGTGACACAGTTTGGTTGCCGCTGTTGCTGCTGCCACAGCTGTGTTTTATTATAGCTACAGCCTTGATTATACTTCAGGAGAAAAGTTAAAAGTAGAGACTCTATTCATTTTGAATTGTTTAGAACACCACAGCTTAGAAGTGCAGCTCCAAATATTATGTCACAGCCTTAAAAATAAAGTTTGCAAGCATGGTTTCTAAAATAAATATCCACCTTTCTTGGCTACTTAAACCGGGAGCCAGGTGGCTCATTTGCCCAGAGATGCCGAGACATGTGTAATCAGAGAATGGGAGAGTATCCTGGTATCCTGGAACCCAACTCCATGGAGAAAACTGAACTGGGGTGTTAGAAAGGACGCCTGGCCCCCTTCCTTCCTCAGTCAGCTCAAGGTGAGGCCATCAGGGTCTTCCAGCAGTGCTGAGCCCAAGCTAAATCGCCACAGAGACAAAGTTGCCCTTCCCCTTCCCCGTCCTCCCAGCAGCTGCCTTTCTTTGCTCATCTGGCACCTTCCATCTCTCCTCTGCCTTATTTGGGACTCTGTGGCCTGCCTTCCTCCAGATCCGTCATGTCCCTTCTCCCAACCAACTCCTGTCCACCCTGTGGCCTCCTCAGCAAGACTGCTTTTGCTGTTAGCCACCTGAGAGGAAAGCTGGGGAGGATATCAGTGGTGCTGTGGTAGTTCATGGTCATGAGGGGCTTTACTAATGGCAACAGCCCCAAGACTTCAGGTTATCCCATGCAGCAGATAGGACAGGAATCATATTCTGATTCAGTTTCCTGAGATTGAGAGAGGGTAAGAGACCTGCCTGAGGTCACACAGCTGGTATACACCCATGGGTCTTAATTCTAATTCCCAGCATCCTTTCAACTACCCTTTGCTTCTCTAAACAATGAAGTTCTTGCACATATTTAAAGCTACACGGTTTTCAGTATCTTCACCTGTATTCGCTCCCACATCAAATATTCTATAATTACAGGCCGGGCACAGTGGCCCACACCTGTAATCCCAGCACTTTGGGAGGCTGAGGTGGGTAGATCACTTGAGGTCAGGAGTTTGAGACCAGCCTGGGCAACACAGTGAAACCCTGTCTCTACTAAAAATACAAAAAAATTAGCCGGGCATGGTGGTGAGCCTCTGTAATCCCAGCTACTCTGGAGGCTGAGGCACAAGAATTACATGAACCCAGGAGGCAGAGGCTGCATTGGGCCAAGATCGAGCCACTGCACTCCAGCCTGGGCAACACAGCAAGACCCTGTCTCAAAAAAAAAATCTATAATTATGTGGTTTGATTTAACGTGTATACTAGTTTAATGCAGTATTTCCCTAAGTGTAAACTGCACACTGTGATATGAAATATAATTTTAGGGAATATTGAACTTGGCATAAGACAGTATGAACTCATTTAATGATAAAGATTTTCCTTTCCAATATTTATTGTCTTTTTATTACCAATGAGAAAAATCTCAGTTTGATGCCAATACAGCCTTAATTAATATTTCTTGAATCTCTGCTAATCTGTCTTTTTAACAGATGGCAACAATCCCTAGGTAGGACTGAAATGTATTTATTTCAGATGTCTGCAAATTTTCTTAAAAGGCCAGGCAGTAAATATTTTAGCATCTGCAGTCCATTTGGTGTTTTTTTGCAACTACTCAACTCTACTATTGCAGCTTCAGAGCTTCACAATTGAGCATGGCTTTGTTCCAATAAAACTTTACAAACACAGTCACTTGACCTGAAAACCCTGTTTATTTTTTGTTTTTTGTTTTGGTTTGTTTTTTTTTGAGATGGCGTCTTGCTCTGTTGCCCAGGCTGGAGTGCAGTGGCACGATCTCGGCTCACTGCAAGCTCCGCCTCCTGGGTTCACGCCATTCTCCTGCCTCAGCCTCCCAAGTAGCTGGGACTACAGGCGCCCGCCACCACGCTCGGCTAATTTTTTGTATTTTTAGTAGGGACAGGTTTCACCGTGTTAGCCAGGATGGTCTCAATCTCCTGACCTCGTGATCTGCCCACCTCAGCCTCCCAAAGTGCTGGGATTACAAGTGTGAGCCACAGTGCCCAGCCAACCCTGTTTATTTTTTACCCTACCTTTCTATTTATGGCAAATGACACCCCTTTCCCCTTTATAGTAGTAATACAAACATTTCCTCTAAATTTTATTTAAGAAAAAAAATCAATTGAGACAGAAATCGTTAAGTGTGTAGCAGCCTGTGAATATGTGCAAAATTGTGAAGGCAGTACTTCAAAGGACTGAAGTTTGAGAAACACTGGTTTTATATGTTCTTGTATCTTAGGAATAGAAGCAGAGTCTGCAGCTGTGGCCTGAGCCCTCTCAGAGTCTCTGTAGTGCCTCAGTTGCTGGTCAGATCCCACTGACATGCCCCTGCCTTACTGCCTGCCGCTAACCCTTCCTCACATGCTGAACTCTGTGCACAACTTGAGGATGGGAAGGAGGGTCTTGCTTTTTTGCATCCTCAAGGTTTAGACCTTTCCTGATAAAACAAGGGGTCAATGAATGGGTGGATCTGTCACAGTGGATTTTAAGCATCCGGGGGAACTGATGGAGGGATGCAGTATGCTGCTTAAAGCCTGGACTTAAGGGGGAGTCAGATTCATACCCCAGCCCACCACTTACTTAGCTCTGTGTGATCTTGGGCAGGTCACTTAACATCTGTGTACACCAAGTTGCTTGTCTGTAACATGAAGAGAGTAATAGTACCTACTTCATGTGGCTATTGTGAGAAGGAAATGAATTAATACATGGCAGGGGCTAAAAACAGTACTTAGCTAAGCGTTAGCTCCTGTTACTGTTCCGGTATCTGTTATGATACTGAGCCATCCTGGTCTCTAAAGATTGGTGTATTCATTCATCAGCGGTCCTTAGTGATTGTACAGGACAGCTAATGCTCCTTCCGACCCAGTGGTCCCTTTACTCAAAACAAGAAGTACATGTCCTTGGGACTCAAATCTACCCCCACAAAGCAAGGTGATGGGTAGATGGGGCCAGAAGCAGTTTCAGCTCTGAGCCAGGTGATCTGATGTTGGAATTCATGGCACTTCATCGCTTACACAATCAACTCCAAATGTCCAAATGTGTTAGCATGGGCAGAGAGCCCTGCACAGCTGCCCCAGCCTGTCCAACACTGATCTCTTGTCATGTGCCCCCAAATGTGCCACACACTAGCCATCACTGACCACTCGGTGTCCTCTCATGTGACACAGCATCCTTAGGCGGTGCCTGCTGTTCTCTCTGCCTGCAATGCCTTTCCCTCCCTACTCCTCCTTGAAGCCACCTTCTTCCTAAATGAGCAGGCATGCGCACATACACGCGACACACTTTTCTAACAGCAAGGAGTGTGTGTGGGTCACTCTTGCCTCTCCATGCTATGAAGTGTTAGTGGCACCTCTATTGAGATGACTTTCAGAGTCAAACTGTTTTTTGGGTGGTCCAGGAGCTTTTGGTGTCTGTGTGTGTGTATAGGTGTTGAGAGAGGGAAAACTCATCGCACAGAAGGTCCCTCACTGGCTGGGGGTGCTTCAAGAACAAGTATGGAGTTTGGTTTTTATTTATATCTTTAATTGTGAGCCTAGTGCCTTGTACTTAATAGATATTTCTGGAATGAATTGAAAGCAAAGGGTACGGCTGGGTGCGATGGCTCATGCCTGTAATCCCAGCACTTTGGGAGGTGGATCACGAGGTCAGGAGATTGAGACCATCCCAGCTAACACGGTAAAACCCTGTCTTTACTAAAAAAAAAAAAAAAAAAAAAAGTAGCCAGATGTGGTGGCATGCACCTGTAATCCCAGCTACTCAGGAGGCTAAGGCAGGAGAATCGCTTGGACCTGGGAGGCGGAGGTTGCAGTGAGCTGAGATCGCGCCACCGCACTCCAGCCTGGACAACAGACGGAGACTCCATCTCAAAGAAGAAAGAAAGAGACAGAGAGGGAGAGAGAAAGAAGGAAAGAAAGGAAAGAAATGAAGAAAAGAAAGAAAAGGGTACCTAAGGACTGGGGATTCTGAATCAGGAACTTCTGTCTGATCTTCCAA
This sequence comes from Homo sapiens, assembly GCF_000001405.40. NCBI lineage: Eukaryota > Metazoa > Chordata > Mammalia > Primates > Hominidae > Homo > Homo sapiens. Next base: position 25,513,415 of record NC_000003.12, read on the forward strand.
GAGTTAAGAGATTTGAACACGTGAACTTAAAGTGAAATACAAGCCCAAGAAAACATTAGGTCTTATTGATATCATGAGCCCATTTTTACCTTTCCCATTCTGCCTCCTCTCCCACTTTGCACCATATGAGTGATAGCATGTTACCCCTTTCATGACATGACATCCCAATGCTGTTTTTTCCATGGTGGATGTAAACAGATTAAGCTTGTAAATAGGTCCTAACAGAGATTTACTTTCTCTCAAAACTACACACACACACACACACACACACATTTCATCAAATCGATCATTTCTTAAGGTGCACTATTATTTTGTATACCACTAAAAGGGAAAACGGTGCCTATTAAACCAAGACACACTCAGATTGTAAGACAGGTGGCAATTTCAGAAAGGGGGAGAGGAAGGGAGAGAGGGAGAAACCAGATATCTGGTTTCAACCCTGTAAGAAAAAAGGAAGTGCCTTACATTCTAAACTGGAAATATTGTATGTTTTCATCTTGAGCTATTTTTTATTCTGCTTTAAATAGACATTGATAAAACCTTAGTGCCCAAAGACAATCCCCAGCAAAGAGAGTTGGCTGAATAAATATGCAAGTGCTTCTAAAATAGCTGGCAGAGAGCCCTTTGTTTGGAAACAAATGTCTCCCTAAAAATAGCAACCTGAAATTCTCCTGCAGTCCCTGTGTTCTGGAGCAATGAACATGGCCCTTTAAGTACCTTCTCCCAGTGACAGCAATTCTCAGGAGAGTGGCTACCTAAATCGCTCAGTAAATCCTTGCATAGAGTACAGTCTGGAATTTGCTCCTCCTGGAGTGGTATCAAGGACTTAAACTCTATCTCTTCTCCCTCTGCTATCACAAAATATTAACTGTCATGGTTAGGTTATTTCTTTCATCCTTCTCCCTTTACAGCTGGAAAACAAAGAGTTGAGCAATTATCTGATGAATTAGATTAATGAAGACAGGCATCTTTTAGTACTGGGACCAAGCAAAGCAAACACCCTGTTTTCTCAGGAGAAGGAAAGTTTTTGTCCAAAATACACACTTGATTGTTCCGACACTTCATTTTACCAAGCGTAAAATACCTCCATGATTAAAAAAAAAAAATCTGCTCCTTTCATTTTCAAAATGATTTTAGGACACAAATATTTTATTGATATTGGAAAATGCAACTCCTCCATTTTTCTTTGCTTGTTTTTTTGGGGGAAGGGGATTATAACGTCAGTTGGTCTGACTTCTAAACAATATTTTGGTTTAGCAACATTGTTTAAATCTTAAAATAAAACTGAGGAACTTAACTAGTGTTTGAAAATGGACCCATTTAGGAGCCAGTCATGATATGGCCCTTCCAAAGGGAAAGATAAAAGTTGCTTCTAGTAAACTCTGTGGACTCAAGAGATTTAAGGAGGACAGGAAGAGAATCAAGTGAAAGGTAATAAGTGAAGGAGTCCCACTTTATGTCCTGAAAGTGTCCAGACACAATGTTTGAGTAGTTTTAAACTGAATGGAAACTTGGATATTGTGTCCTTGGACTTTCAGCTCTCAGAAATCTGCAAATATGCAGTCTCAGAATGTACTCCCACCCTACTCTAATGGATGCAGTGAGTGAGTTATTTCAGGAAGAAAGGCATCAGGGCTTCCTCCTGTCTCTTGGGGCTGAGGAAACTCTTGGAGATGGCCTTCCCCACATTCTTAAGGATAATAACGGTGTCCAGGTCTATGGAGTGCAAAGCCCCATTTTGTTTTTACAAATAGTGCCTTCTGTGTGGCATTGTATTCCTTAAAAATAGAATTGCATCCATCAGATTGAAGTGTGGTGCTTTACTCCACCAGAATGGCTGACACTAAAAGGACTGACAATAGCAAATGTTTGTGAAATGTGAAGCAACTGGAACTCTCATGTGTGGCTTGTGGAAGTATAAATCAAGCCAAAGTTTGGAAAACTCTTTGGCAGTATCTCCTAAAGCTAAACATACCAATATGACTGAGTGGTTATATTCCTGGGAACATACTCAATAGAAATGAGAATATGGACCCACCCAAAGACACATACAAGAATGTTCACAGCAGATTTATTGATAATAGTCCAATCCTGGGGGGGAGGGGGAACAAACCCATATGTCTGTCAACAGTAGAATGTGTAAATAAATTGTGACATATTCAAATCATGGAATATGCTTAGTAATAAAGAACTAACAGCATGGATGAACTCAAATGACATTGAGTGAAAGAACTTAGAACAAGAGACAAGAAACAGTCTATATTATTCCATTTGTTTAAAGATTTAAAATGAGCAAAACTTGTCTATATGATAATGAGAAGAATGGTGGTTACCCTCAGAAAGGAGGTATTGACTCAAAAGAGCCACATGGAATCCCTGTGGGGTGCTGGACATTCTAAACTTTAATCTGATATGTACATGCAAAACTATGTGTGTATTTTATACCTCGGTGAAAAGGAAAAAGATTAAAATATGGAGTAGTGGAACGGCCATTTCTTCCTGTGCATAGAGAAATTGTGTTATCATCAAGAAGAGTAATACCTCTCATTAGAAGAATCTTCCTTCCTGTTAATACCTTAACATTTCTTCAGGCAGTGTTTTAACATCTTGGCATTTTGCCTTTTCCTCTGGTTTGAGACCCTTTTCACTTCAGCTTTGAATGTGTAAGGAGCACCAGAAATGCACTATGGGCCATGATCTACTCCTAGTTCCCTGACTATGGTTATCTAATACCCCAAATTGCATCAACCCACCTAACTAGCTTTTTCTTTTAGGGCTATGCACTCCAAATTAACAGGCCAGGGATTTCTTTACAACTTGTTATATTTGAAAAATTATTTTACCCATCAGATAATAAACAGCTAAAAAAAGATAATGTAAGAATTGTTATTGCTAAGTGTTAAATTATCAGTAGTGGCAGTATGTTCCTTTTAGAAATATAGTGTTCAAGATGTGATTTATGAACTTATGTGGATTCCAGTTTAATAATTAGCTAATTATTCTTTTTTCCATAATTAAAAAAAGCAAGGTGCTTTATATTTTGATTCATTCATTAAAGGGAACTGGGACTTCAAATGAATAATCAAATTGAGACTGGCTTAGGGAAGTTAACAAAAAGTTTTGGCTGGTACAATAGGCAACCTAGTTAAAAAAAGCCATCAGAGTAATTTATTTGTGAGTTCTAGATTTATCAAAGGTTCATCTTTATTTCCTTGTCTTTTTTTTTTTTTGAGACAGGGTCACACTCTGTCGTCCAGGCTGGAGTGCAGTGATGCAATCTTGGCTCACTGCAATCTCTGCCTCCTGGGTTCAAGTGATTCTCGTGCCTCACCCACCCAAGTAGCTGGGATTATAAGCATACACCTCCACACCCAACTAATTTTTGTATTTTTAGCAGAAATAGGGTTTTGCCATGTTGGCCAGGCTGATCTCAAACACCTGGCCTCAAGTGATCCACACACCTCGCCCTCCCAAAGTGTTGAGATTACAGGTGTGAGCCACTGTGTCCAGCTTCCTTGTCCCTTTTATTTTTATTTTTTAAAAGTGTTTAATATATACTGACGGCAGAAAAGAAAGCAGTAAAAATGACAAATTCTTCCCTAATGCCAGTTTGCAGAGTACGAGCAATTAATCCAGCATTCGAAATTTAGACATAAAGACATACAACTTGTGGTTTCATGAGATGGTATTTTAACAAGTTGATTGAAAATATGTAATGTCACTTCTAAAATATCAAAACTAATGGGGTTGGTTATCTCTGCAAGAGCAAATATTAGGAAACCCTCACCCTCTTTATAGAAATATATTTATCTCTTGTTGCTGTCTTCAATGAATACAATGAGGCTTACAAAAGTAATGTGAAAAAAATGACAACTCAACAGTAAAAAGATAAATAGCTCAATTTTAAAATGGGCAATGGATTTGAGTAGACATTCCACCAAAGAAAATATACAAATAACTAATAAATACATGAAAAGATGTTCAACATCTTTAGTCATCATGGAAATGCAGGTCAAAACCATGATGAGATGCTGCTTCACACCCATTAAGAGGGCTGTAATAAGAAAGACGAGCAATAACAAATGTTAGGAAGATGTACAGAAATTTGGACACTCGCACACTGCTAGTGGGATCATAAATGGTACATTGCCACTATGGGAAACAGTTTGGCAGTTCCTCAAGAACTTAAACAGAGAGTTATTATGGGACCCATTCATTTTACTCCTAAGTATATACTCAAGAGAAATAAAAACATGTATCTACACAGAAAGTTGACAGAAATGCTCATAGAAGCATTATTCATAATAGCAAAAAGCTGAAACACCCAAATATGCATTAATTGATGAATAGACAAGTAAAATATGATATATCCTTACAACAGAATATTTTTCATCCATAAAAAGGAATGAAATATTGATATATGGTACGACATGGATGACCTTTGAAAATATTACGCTAAGTGAAAGAAGCCAGACACAAAAGGCCCCATATTCTATGAGATCATCCATACAAAATGTCCAGAAAGGGCAAATCCATAGAAACACAAAGTAACTTCAGAGTTGCTAGAAGTTGTCAAGCAGTGGTGAATGGGGAGGGCTGCTAATGGAAATATTCTGGACTTAGATGGTGGTGACTGTTTCACAATTTGTGAAATTTGTGAATATATTAAAAACCACTGAATAACACATTTTAAAAGGGCAAATTTATAGCATTTGAATTGTATCTTAATTTTAAAAAACCGATGATTTTAAAATGTTAGGTTAATTGATGTAAGGGAAAATATAAAAGTAAACCTTGGAGTCAGATTCGTATACTAAGTTGTGTATGTGCTAGATGAGGGCTCTTATTTGGTAAAAATTGTTTCTGGTAGTCAGAGCTAAAAGGGGACAAGTTCAGTGACAAGACTCTCGGTGTCCACAAGAGGAAAATAGCCTTGTTGTTCAGAAGAATCACAGATTTTCTAGATACTGATGTTTGAGATGAATGTTTCCCACAGGTCTTTATAAAGTGAGTACTGGGAGACGTCATTTAGGATGTCCTTGACATTTTTCGTTGCTCTTCCTCAGGACATCCCTCCAGGTAGTTAGTTATTCAATCTCATCTGTTTTCCAAATTGAAATAAAAAGGCATGCAAAAGCAAGGCAATCCTTATGACCTTAGACCCAAAAGAAATAACGATGGGCATGAAATTGAGAGAGTACAATAAAGATGGCTTCCTCAAAACAAGAGTTGACTCTCCTCTTCATTCCATTTCAAATTCTATACTTTAAAATAGTTCTCCTTCAAATAATGCATTTATGGGTATTGTCTATTTCTGTTTGATTTGCCCTTTTAAAGTAGAAATCAACTTTTTATTTTAGAACATTTTTCTCTTTATTAAGGTATAACTTACATATCTTAATGGCACAGACTTTTAAGTGTACTGTTTAGTAAGTTTTGATAAATATATGCATCCTTCAAACTACCTCCTAAGATCTTAGAAGGAAGCATGGGGGAGCTTTCTGGGGTTGGAACATTTTGTATCTTGATTTGGGTGGTGGTTATAATTAAGGTAAACTCTTCCAATATCTGTCACCATAGGTTAGCTTTGCTTGTTGAACTTCACCTACACAGAGTCACAGTGTATGCTCTTTTGTGTCTAGCTTCTTTCATTCATCATTACCTCTGTAGGATTTTCCCATGTTGCTGCATATATTGGTTGTTTGCTCCTTCTGTTACTGAGTAGCATTCTATTTTATAGATAGGCTTTTCTCATGTTGATGGACATTTGGGTTGTTTCTGGTTAGAAGCTATTATGAATAACATTGCCTTGAATATCCTGTACATGCTTTGTGGGAGGCATGGCCACTTATTTCTCCCGGGTATAGACCTAAGAGTGAAATTACTCAGTCACAGGGACACGTGTTTAATTTTATTAAAAGCAGTTCGTTTTCCAAGTGGTTATTCTACCTGCCATTTTACCCTCCATCAGCAGTGTATGGGAATTCCACTTGTTCCACATCCTTGCCATACCTTGATATTTCAGTCTTTTAATTTCAGAGATCCTCCTGGGTCTGAAGTGGTAGCTCATTGTGGTTTTAATGTGCATTTTCCTGATGACTAATGATGTTCCATTTCTTTTTAATTTAATAAAAAATTTATTAAGTTAGAAAGTATAAAACAAAATTATGCACAGTTTGATCTCATATTTGTAACAACACATAAGATTTGAAAGATAAAACCCAAAATGTCAAAAGTTATTGCCACGTTTTTTAAGCTTACCTGTATTTTTATCACTTATCATTTTAGTGCACATTTGTTTGTGTGATTAAAAAAAAGAAAAGCTACTTTTAAAAAGCGAATTAACTCAGATTATTCTGAGATAAAACTTCAGTTTTCCTGATTTTCTAACACTAAGTAATGTTGGGCATTGACAATGCTTTAGATAGAAATGGTTGAGAAAAATTGAGGCCAATACTGTTTTTGCATTTACTTCTTTGTTTCCCCCAAGAGGATCAAATCCATTCCTAAACATTTAGAAATCTTGATATCTGAAGATAACATCCATATTCACCTCAGTGTAAAAGACCATAATCAGGGGTCAGCCTATGAGCCAAATCTGGCCTGCTGCCTGTTTTTATCAATAAAATTTTACTGGAACAGCCACATGCATTCACTTATGTATTGTCTGCTGCTGCCTCCTTGCTAAACAACAGAGTTGAGTAGTTGTCACAGAGGCCATACTGCCCACAAAACCTAAAATATCTACTATCTGGCCCTTTAAGGAAAAAGTTTTGCCAACCCTTGCCATATTCACTCTTAAAATTTTCTATTCTAATTCAAACACTGGTTATAAGAGTTTAGTTCCACGCCAAATATATGTGCAATTTGTAACTGCAGCCTTCATTTCTATCCAGTTCATAGAAGCTACTCAGTAGTTACATGCCTTACCATCCTATCTCAACAGTTCAGTAGGGACCTTCTGATTTCAGCTCTGGACTGAAAATTCTTAAACTATTCCTCTCCCAGTCTCCAAAATCTGGTCATTTTAGGTACAGGGAACATAAAAAGAGTTGGTTCCTAATACAAATGCAACTAACTATGAAGTTATATCCTTTTAAAAGCACATATAGATGAGAATTTAAACATCCAACTGATAACTCTTTTTTTAGATAAAATAAGTAGCGACTGTGAATAAATGAGCTTGCTTTTCTTATCTAGAAATTGCCTCAGAAGGCAGTTCCAGAAGAGGAGAGAGAAAAATGTAAGTGGTGACACTAGCGTTGGAACAGGTAAACTCAGGATGACTTTTCTTTGAACAGTCATGTATCATATAAAACCTCACTCATTTATAGCCACACATGATATATAGTGAAATGCTCTAACACTTAAGTCCAGCTCATGACAAACTTATTACCCTTCACTGAAGCCTTTAATAAACTACCAAAAAGGTATGTAAAGCAAATTCCCTTAAGCCAGCATGATGCACTGGCCCATTTTAAAGATGGACTTCAAGCAAGAACAGTAACTGCCTCTGTTTTGTCAGCTGTAGCACAAAAGTCCTCATTCCTACCCTTTATACACCTAAGGGAGTTTGTGACAATAAAATATCAAGAGTATCAAAAAGCTGTCAAAGTGCTTTGAGAAATCAAAATGCTTTAGAAACAGAGGATATAAATGTGGTTAATTTTATTAACTCAGAGCCTTCAGAGCAACCTATGTCTGGGTCTCCCCCATCAGGCAAGGAAAGGGCGTTACCTTTCTCCTGAAGTCCACATCACCCAAGACTTCCTATCTACAGAGCGTGTCTCCAGTGAAGAGATCTTTGCTATACATGCTCTTGTCACGGTAGAACTTCCCCGGCCTACTTAGCTTTCAAACTTTGCGCATCTAAAAGATACAACCATCTTTCTTAGAGTTCCTTCCTAGATCTAATTATACAAAACCGGGGGTGCCGCAAGCATCACCTCCCATCCAAACTCATCACACACGTTCCTGTTTCAAGGGTGAATCAACATGTGAACTTTGCTGCTGCAGAGAGCTGACAGCTGCTTCTGAGTTATTCCTGGTGCCTCTGACAGCTTCTAGGATATTCTGGGGGAAAAAATAAGATATGAGAATCCACTGGAGCTTTGGTTCTGCTGGCCTGTAATTCATTAATAAATGTGGAAGAGAGCTGTGCAGTAGGAAGGAATGAATATACAGTATCCACCTTAGTCTAATGTAGAAGCTGTCTATTAAAAAGCACTAGGCTGAGAACCCAGAATGTGACACCTAGGGGCCAGCCATGCCCAACTAGCTGGGTGGCCATGGGCAAGTCACTTAACCTCTCTGGGTAGTGCACGTCTATAAAACAAGGGCATTGAGGCAATAATTGGTAAGATCCCTTCCAGACATCACACAATCTGAGACAATAGATTGTAACATCCCTTTAATTAGAGTCAGTAAAACCTCTTCATTGAAAATCATATTTGCTTCCAGGACATAATTACAGTGAAACCTAATTCGTACTGTGCTCTGCTCCAAATACAGTAGAGAGAGAGCTGTTAAGTGGTTTTTGAACATAATGTGCCAAGATTGACTTCTCTTGCTGCTTTTTTCTCATATGTCACCTTTTTATATGGGGATCTCTGAACATTTTTGTCATGGCGTGCTATAAAAGAGTATCATCATTTTAGAGATGAAATACCTGAGACACAAAGAGGTTAATTACCTCACTCAAGAAAATATATGAAAACAAAATACTTCAAGCAGAAGTGGTGGAGAAAAAGACCGGTATTTGTGATATGGAAGATAATTGAAGTTGTAATTATCCACTTTACATTTTCTAAGGGATCTACCATGGACATGTAGACTTAAAAATCCATCAAAATTGTACTTTCTATGTCCCTTGCCAGTAAACTGCGGTTGGGAAGAGAGAAACTAAGAGAATGGTCTAAACAACCTTTCGGTAGGCGCAGGGGGCGGGGCACGTTTTACGAGTAGGTGGCAATATACACCCATCACCCTCCTCTGTATACCAAACACAGACCGCTTGTCTCTGGCTTTTCACCCTCAACATTGAAGTTTTCTTTATTTAGCAGTAAGGTTTCTTTATTATCCCCTGAAAATAGAAGTTGCCCAGGGAAAGGTGGCAGGTTACATCACTTCATGGTGCCTGAGAGGAAGTAAAGTGTTGCCTGCTTGTTTGAGAGCAAATTTGGAGGTGGGAGGTAAAGAGAAGGAAGACATGAGGGCAGTTTGCAGGAGGAGCAAAGACAGAGAACACTGGAAAGGCTTGGCCCAGACTCAATTAAGGCACAGAATTTCATTCTGGAAGCACAGCCCCGGGTAAGGGGGAGGTCTGCGGGTCCTCTTAGAGCCGTCGGGCATCTCCATTCCTGTCTTGCCCTCTTCAACCACACCTGAGGTATATTTTGAAACTGTATGTTATGGCCCTAGGTGCTTGGCTTAAGGTTCTGTCCGCAGAGAAGGAGACCCAGGCTGGTTGGTCTCCAGTAGACACTGGGTGAGGGACAAATGGACACCTGATTAGAATATAATTTAAATGTTCTCCAGTTTGATGGTGCTGTCTAGAAAGTTCTGTTGGTCACAAGGGCTCGTATTTGACACAAAGAAATGTTTGATTTGGTGACAACTATGTGTTTATTGTAATCCCACTATGCGTTGAAAACTGGATTCGGTTTTTCAACACACAGTGGAATCACAGCCAATATGTGCCCAAATGTATTGAGAATATCACTGGTTTCCAGTAAGTTTCCCCAATGTTGTCAGAAGCATTATTTCTTTGCATATATGGAATTGAGGGATGTCCTCCCAGGGGAATGGTTCTCTGCCCTTGTTTGTACTTGATTTCTCATCTAATGGGGGTAAGAATCACATTCTTATAAATAGAAAGACTTTTTCAAACACAGGGTGTGATCATTGTCTCAAGGAAGTGTGGGTAAGTTTTTTGGCAAAGCGAATGATATGAATTATCACCTCCAGGTAGTTTGATTTTGGCAGCTGTCATACGAGGAAAACAAGGGAGATACGGAAATTCCTTTTTAAAGACTCACGAATTCAAGATTTATAGAAGTAAAATGATTTGGCAACATCAATGGCTAATTAGGGGTTGTGCTGGAAATAGAACCTGGCTGTACTGTTTCTAAGGGGAGTGCCCTTATTACCATAGCATGCTATTCTTTGGAGAGGGGTTTTTCACCAGCTGAACTGAATAAACTACAAATTAGGATTGTCTGAAAGTGAGGGACAATGTTTACCCCACATACTTTATGTGGTTCCCTCAAAAAAGGCTTAACGAATGTTTTTTGAAAATGGTAAGCAAATAGCTTTCTTCTTATTTTCCTATTTGAATAAAGAATCAGCCCTCACTCACACTTTCGGAGCTAAAGGGGGAAAAAATAACCATAAAACTTCTGCAGCAATTTTTACAAACTTTTTCTCTTGTTCACAGGACCTATTAGTAACATTGCATTATTTTTTTAAATGGACCATTTTTAGCGATAGTAGAAGGGAGAAATCTCTCATTCCCATTCCTATATAAAGTACAATTTAAAAACTGCCTCTTTAAAAAGTTGTAGCATTACATCCTATGGGCAATGCCTAAGGCTGAAGCACAATGAATTTTCTGTGGGGTTTCACTGCTGTGACCTCGATATACTATAGGTTGTTCACTGCAGCTAGGAAGGAATTTGTTTAAAAAGCGCAAGAAATTCTTGAAGTATCCAAGAAGCATTTGAAATCAGAACTGCTACCTTTCCCTCCACACAATGTGTGGCTGATAACAAACATGCACTTTCTGAGGAATTTGAGCTTAGGTAGTTAACCGACAGTTCTAATGGACTCCAGAAGACGTACAACCAAATAATAATGACCTACTTTTGTTACCACGGCACCCAGCATAAATGATCATTTTAAACTGCTTGGAAAATCAAACTGTTCAGAAAGTACTTTTACAGTCAAGGTCAAGGTGTAGGCCAGAAAAATAAGATGTAAAGGATAATTTAATCAGAACCTTTCTCCAACAGACATTAGGGTTAGATTTGCAAAGTACCAGCAGCCCCACTGGAACCACCATCTTCTCCATCTTGGTAGAATAAAGATGAAGCTCCTAAGTAATTGAGTACAAATCTTTTTTATCTCATAAAAGTTAAGGACTGAAACCAGACTGACAAGCTCCTTCAAAAGTTTTCCCTTTACCCTTCTCTTCCCCCCTCCCTTCCTCCCTCCCTGCCTCCCTCCTTCCTCCCTCCCTCCTTCCTTCCTTCTTTCTTCCTCTTCCTATCCTCTTCTTTCTGTCCCTTTTTCCTCCCATGTTTTTATTTTTCTTTTTTATCATTATTTTTTTTCATGAGATACAGTCTCGCTTTGTCACCCAGGCTGGAGTGCAGAGGCACAATCTTGGTTCACTGCAACCTCTGCCTCCTGGGTTCAAGTGAGTCTCCTGCCTCAGCCTCCTGAGTAGCTGAGATTACAGGTGCTCACCATCACACCCAGCTAATTTTTGTATATTTATAGAGACAGGGTTTCATCATGTTGGCCCGACTGGTCTCAAACTCCTGACCTCAGGTGATCCACCCCCCTCAGCCTCCCAAAGTGCTGGGATTATAGGCTTGAGCCACCACGTCCAGCCCTTTGTATATTTTTAAAAGGTCTTCTTTTCTAGCTCTTGGAAATAAAATCAGAAATTATACTTTATGTGGAAAATTTCAGTGTACCTCATAACATTATAAAGTGTTCTGACAAAGCTCTTCAAAAGTCCATATGTTCATGGTGTTAAATAGATGAGGGGAAAATAGAACACTCAAAGATCTAGCTCAGAAAGAAAATTCTCAGAATGCTAGGTTATCCTGTTCATTTTGGAGGCAACACAAGACAGGCAGAATGAAAGTGTGGTGTCATTTTGAGGGGAGAGGCAGAGGACAGAAGGGGCAGAGAGAGCCGGTGTGGAAAGAGTGGAGATAGGATGAAGGTAGGAGGTATTTATGTGACACCAAATCACCCCTGCCTCCCATACTCAAAAACAAGCTCCTTGAGGTCAGAAATTTCACCTTCATTGTCTTCATAGACCCCCCTCAGCAAACATAGCTTCGGGCTCATGCCTTCATGAATTGACTCATTCATTTATTCACATATTTTCTGAGCACTTACTATGTAGACTTTCAACAACCAGTATTTATTGTGTGCTGTTTTGGATGAAAGTCAGCATAGACTAAAGGGTTCCTGATGTCCTGAAGTTTATGTTCAGGGTTGGGAGAGGGTAGACACAGGCAGATAATAAGCAATTTTACATAAATAGAAGGTGGTCATCACTGCTTAGAACTGTGCTGTATAATGTGGTAGCCATGTAAATATAAATATGAAGCTGAGCATCATGGAGGTAAAGGGGTCTATTTTATGAAAAGTGGTCACGGATGGTCTGTCTGGCAAGGTAACATTTGGGCAGGGACCTAAAGGAAGTGAGCAAGTGAGCAGGCAGATATCAAAGGAAAAGTGTTCCAGGCAGAGAACAGCAGTTGCAAAGCTCTGAGCTGTAGGCTAGGGGGTGAGTGGTAAACAAAACAGACACAGTCATGGTTCATCCTCTTGGCGTTTTCATTTATATGGAAGGTAGACATTAATCTAGGCAACAAAGAAATGCATAATTAACAATCAAGCTGTGATAGAGAATAAGTAGGGGAAGGGACTTAGGACTGGCTGATGAGGGAAGCCTCATGGAGGAGGTGTGAAGCCTGAGCACAAGTATGGAGAGAAGAGGGCATTCCAGGTAGGAGAGCAAAGGGGAGAAGTTTCCTGGGCTGGAATAAGTCTTCTGGGAACCCAAATGAAAGAAGACTGCTGGGGCTGGAATATAGTAAGTGAGGAAGGAAGTGGTCCAATATGTCATTGAAGAGGAAGCCAAAGGGTGGTGTTCTTGTAGCCCACCTGAAGGAGTTTGATTTTTATTCTCAGTGCAGTGTAGCCCATTGATAAGTGATAAACATTGAGTGACATGATCACATTTGCAGTTTGAATATACTGATTGTGTATTCTACTGTGTGGAGAATAGATTGGGCAAGGGGCTGGGAATGGAAGTGGGGTGGTTAGTTAAGTTGTCCAGGCAAAGCATAATGATGGCTTGGACTAATGGAGTTAAAAGAGAAATGAAAAATTAAGTTAAATTTAAAAATAAAGAGAAGTGAATGGATTTTGATAAATAAATTAGAGATAGAACCAACATTAAATAGCACATAAAAGGTACATGGAGAATGTTAGATGGACTGGATGGACGGATGGATGGCTGGATGGATGGATGAGTGGGTGAATGAATGGCTGGTTACTAGTTCTCTGGCTTCCAATGCAATTCTGGCAGGCCACTCTCAAACTTTAAAGAGAACAGGGTGATATCTAAGCTGGTACTTAGCGGTGTTCCCCTTCTTCAGGTAGATCTTTAGTTTCCCATGATTCCTTACTCATGATTTTAATAATGGAGTTCTGCTGGTGAAGGTATCATATTATTTGCCAATGAATGTTCTTGCCAGAAAACCTTACTGATAATTAAGCATGCAACTGGAAGCAGGGTGTGTGTGGGAGGTGGGGATGAGGGGCAGGTGTATGTTTATGTGTTTGTGTGTAATTACTACTTTATTCAGTGTCAGCAGTGGGAAAGATTGAGTTACTTAGAGCAGTGCTTCTCAAATGGACTATGTACACCAGTCATCTGGGGATCTTGATAAAATGCACATTCTGAATTGGCAGGTCTGGAAGGGGACCTGACATTCTGGATTCCAACAGTCTCCTACATCGTGCTGATCCTTCTGGTCCTCAGGTCCTTCTTTGAGCAGCACGGGCTTAGAGCAGTGATCAGCAAGTGGCTAGATGGCAAATATTTGCAGCTCTGCAGGCAACAGCTCCAGAAATGCCCTGTGAGCTGCCTTCTCATGTAAACCCAGCAGTGGGCCTTTGTCTGTGACTCGATTTCCTCCTTAGGGAGACCTAGCTGGCGAGGCCTGCAACTGAGAAACACCAAAAATGGTAGTGAAAGAGCATTGTATTTTTCAACTAAACCAATTTCCTTTAGGATAGAGGTCAAAAAAGCTGTGCTTTGAAATTAGTCAGCTGTGGGTTCAATTCCATCTCCAAATTGTCTGTGAACTGGAGTTTCCTTAAGTACAAAATGGGGCTGAGCTGACCTTGGTAGTGTGTTATGTTCATACATGCTTGTACATGAAGCATTTAGTCCCAAACCATCCAAGCACAGGGTAAATGAAACAAAGGACAACTAGTATACCCTTATGTTTTAAGGTAAAAAGGGTTTTTTGAGGTTTTCGAGGGTAGATAGATGCTCTTGGCATTCCTCTAACAAACCTAAATGTGATTATTTCTCCTGAGTGACTAAAACTGTAAAACTAACTGTGATTATCTTTGCTTCTATGGATTTAAGAGAAAACAAAACAACTCACTCTGTAAACCTCCAAAGAAAAGCCCTCCCCTTCGCCCCCCACAGATTTTCTTGCTGTTTGTTTCTTTACCTCAGTGTCTCCTACTCAAAGCATAATGAGTGCTGTTTTTGCTCCAGCAACAAGGCCCTGCACAAAGCCAGGCGGGAGGCCTGTGGATGAGGTGCTCTGCAAGCTGAGCCAGAAGCCTTAGGAAAATGCTTGCCAAACACTGATGTTTGACTAATTGGTAATGTCTGCGGAGTTGGCACCAGGAGAAAAGAAAGTAAAGAGGCTGGTGGATGTTGAGGAAGGAAGACAGACAGACTTGAAGCCAAGCCTCGAGTGTTTGGAGAAAGAGCCTGCCCACCATGGAGTTCAAGGAAGCTTGTCAAACTGTTTTGAAATGGTCGGTTAAACCCCTGAAGGACAGTGTGCCCAGATGGCCAGCATTTGATTTAGCTGTTCAGGACAGCAAGAGACTGAGACAGGAAGATGAGCAAAGTCTCAGATGTGCCCTCCTGAGTCCAGACAGCTTGGTGTAAAATTGTCCTGTGAAACCCTGTTATAACATTTTAGTGGCACCAAAAAAGGGTGCTGGGACAGGGGAAATTCCAGCATGGGCCCCATGCTGTGTTTGGAACCAGCCATCCTCTGATTGTTGAACTGAGGTAACTCACCCAGATGTTTCCCTCTTTCAGGCTTAGTGTCCTCTGGAGGAGGAGTAGAAGGAAGGGAGGACTCCCCTCCTGCCATGTGATTCAGCACTGGCCAGTCCAGTGGATAGGATCCAATCAGGTGGGATCTCAAAGCAGTCTCCTTCCCCTTACCTCCTCCTGAGGGATGGAAGGGCCCATTCCTCTCAAGGGGCTTCCATGTTCCCCATGGTAGGGAGGGTAGAGATGGCTGCCTTAGGAGAAAAAAGATTCTTATTTCTCCTCTATTTGCATCTGTCCAGAGGACTACTCCACACAGAGTAGTCTGATGTGTCCACTTTCAGAAGCAGCAACTTTTAAAACGCAGCCAAACATGAAGACTCGCCTCCCTAGGAACCCTTCTCTGGATCCGTTCTCATCTTTGCAAGTTAGCATTGATTGGGCCTCACCTCCTTCAGCCATGCTACTCTCTTAGGTTATCTCTTGGTCAGAGTGGTCTTTCTGAAGCTAAATCAATAAATAATAATCAATGTGTGGCTCTCTCCTGCTCAAAATTGTTCAATTGTTCAATTTTGAGCAGGAGAGAGCTCAAACGTGACAATGAGATGAGGAGTAATTAGAATATTACAGCTGGTTGGAGGATAAGTGGATACAACAGTTTTGAAAAACAATTTAGCATTAGTTAGTAAAGTGAAAGAGGCATATACCTAGTGACCCAGAAAAAAATATAGCTATTGCCTAGGTATGTGTATGTGTACATGTGATGTGTGTATATATACACATCTAGTATATACATATACATCCTAGAAAAATGTGTACAAGAATGTTCCTAGCAACACTATTCAAATCAGCAATAGAATGCATAAATTCAAACAATGAAATACTATACAACAATGAAATTGTATAGTAGAAAAACATGGATGAGGCTTAGGATTCATCCTAACATAGGGTCAGCAACAGAAGCATCTGTCTCTGACAACTAAAAACACATATGTTTTATATAAATCTCAAAACATGCAAAACAACCTTTTCCTTAATGGATAGAAATGTGATAAAATTCAGAAGGAAACTGAGGAAATGATGAAATGGACGATGGAGTTACTTCTGAAGGAGGAGGAAATGGGAAAGGAAACTTCAAAGGAAAACATGATATGCTTTGTCTTAAAAGTATGTGAGGGAACTTCGGGGGTGTTGGAACTATTCCATATCTTGATCATAGTGGTTTTCCCATGACTGTATACATTTGTTAAAACTCATAGAACTGTATGCCAAAAAGGGTGAATTTTGTAGGAGGTAAAGTATAGCTCAGTTGAAAATACCCATGTTAAAGAAAAGTATATGGCGGACACACAGATAATATTTATTATATATTTTTATATACCTTATGTATAACTTATATTCTTTTACAGCTACGCAAGGTACTCAAAAAAGTGATTTTTAAAACCCCTCAGTGGCTCGCTATTTTCTCGGGTTAGGGTCAGATTGTTTATGTGGCCTGTGTTGCCCTTCATGTCCTGGCCCCTGCTCGCCTCCCCTCCCTGAGCAACCCACGGACCCGTGGCTGCCTCTCCCCTTCATACTATGATTACTGTCTCAGCGCTGACCTTGCTGGATTGCAGCTGTCTGTGGACTTCTCTATGTCCCACTAGACTGAAGGCTGCCTGAGTGTTATCTACCCCTTATATCCCCTGGGTCTGGCACATCATAGGAGTTCAGAAGGACTTGTGAAGTTTTGTTGAGATATGCAGGAATCCCCTTTGATTCCGTA
Organism: Homo sapiens; assembly: GCF_000001405.40. Taxonomy (NCBI): domain Eukaryota; kingdom Metazoa; phylum Chordata; class Mammalia; order Primates; family Hominidae; genus Homo; species Homo sapiens. The sequence continues at coordinate 25,530,238 of NC_000003.12, forward strand.
GGGGGAAAAACAATGGGAAGAAATGGGTAAGAGGTGGAGAGTCTACATGGTGATAATTACTTCAGACTTGGCCAGTTCTACAGGCCAAGGGTTTGATATCCTATTACTGTGGTAACAAATTACCGCACATTTAGCGGCTTGAACTAACACAAGTTTACTATCTTGTAGTTCTGGAGGTCTGACGTCCACAATGGGTCTCACTGAACTAAGATCAAGAATTTGGCAGCGCTGCATTCCTTTTTGGAGGCTCTAGGGGAGAAACCACTTTCTTGTCATTTCCAGCTCCTAGAAGCTGCCTGCATTCTTTGACTTGTGGCCACTTCCATCTTCAAAGCCAGCCATGGCCAGAGTCTTTCTCACATTACATTGCTCTGATTGTAACTCTTCAGGCTTCCTCTTCCACTTTAAAGGAGTCTTGTAATTACAGCAGGCCCACCTGGATTTTCCAGGATAATCTTATTTTAGGATCAGCTGATTAGTAATCTCAATTCCATCTGCAACTTAAATTTCCCCTTGCCACATAACATATTCACAGCTTCTGGAGATTATGATGTGGACATCTTTGAGTGGGATGGGGGAGGCATTACTCTGCCTACTGCCTACGGTGAAGAACTAAAAAAATTATCCATTGAAATTTAAGAGAGTGACAGCATGTAGCAAATGCCACTTCCTGGTTTCAGGATCATATGGACTTACGTTTTAACTTTTATACCCTAGGAGCAAACCCTAAGACAAGGATTTGAATGCATATAGTTTTTGTTTAGTTTGTGTGTTTGTTTTACATAATTGCCGGAAACACAGGTGGAGAAATAGAAAGAGATAAGGAAGTAAAGATAGCCAATGAAGAGTGTGTTTTAAGTTAGTTATTCTGTGTGCAAGTAGAACTTAACCTGGGGAACTATGAGAAGCAATGAAAAATACAAGCCTCAGAGTTATCTCAATCCCAATAAGCACCAGTTAAGGGCTGAGGGCTGCTCTTAGGAGAACTTCATTCCGAAGACCTGTGAACCACATGGGTTCCAGGGCCAAAGAAAGCCCACAAGCAAAGAGATACAAGTGTGGGTAGTTGGAAGTCAGGGCAGGACACTCTGAGAAAGTCAAGGCCAAGGGGGAGATCGATATACAGATAGATAGGTAGATAGATAGATAGGTAGATAGATAGATAGATAGATAGATAGATAGATAGAAGATAGATAGATACAGATAGATTTATATATGTGTGTTTGTGTGTGTGCGTGCGTGTGTATATCTCAAATTATTAAAGTCTTCTGGTAGTTTCTCTGGTGATAATGTATTTAATCTTTGTAGCACTTTGCCTCCCAAGAGCAATGTATGTTTGAAATCTGCCATAAATAATGTGAAAATGCTTGACCAACTGATTTGGTTAGCAAACGCTCTCTGGCTAACATCCAGAAGTGCTACAGTTTTCTGTATTTTTTATTTTGATAAATTTTGTTGTAGAACAAGAAAAAGATATAGACACTTTAAAAAAAAAAAAAAAAAAGCAGATACCACTTTCATGGCCTGCAAATTATAAAAATTTTGTGTCAGAATTCTTTTCTGCCAGGTAGGAATTTGAGAGGGGCAAAGAAGAGCTCGATTTAATTTCCCTCAGGGTCTTTGCTGAAGGGAGAAGAACAGAAATCTGGATTCAGTTTTGTTAGTAAAAATAATCTTTCCACCAGAAAATGTAAAAAGCTACATTGTTCAGGATATTTGGACCTATTCATTTCAATACAGTCTGATAGGTGGGGGTGGGGAGGGGAGATTTTGAGCTGTGCAGTTTTAATGAAATGTTTAAGGCTGAAATAATGGTTCTATACAGCTCTTGACATGATTTATTTTATTTTGTGTCAATTTGCCTAAAATGTGTAATGTTGTGGCATTCCACTGAGGGAGGGCTGCAAAGGGCTCTCACTGAGTCATGGATTATAATTTACATCTAGAAAGTCTACACATTCCATAATTATGGTGTGCTATGAATTAGTAGAGTAATATTGAATATCCCTAAACCCCTTATTATGGCTTCTCACTTGAAATATGTTTTCAATATACATTTATTCAGCAGTGCTTAAACATGGCAAGTCATAAACACATGCTTTTTAAATCATGTGGCTACATTTTCTTCCTGCTTAAATGTAAGATCAGATGTTATTAACAGCAGAGGGGCAGGAGACGAAAGGAGAGTGAAGCTGTTAAAAAACAAATAGCACTTTTCATTTTAAAAGATATGTCTCCTATTTATGATACTGTTTCCCCAAAGCAAAAGACGGAAGAGTATTTTAGAGTGTCGTGGTAGTTTCTCTAGTGATAATTTATTTTATCTTTGTAGCACTTTGCCTCCCAAGAGTGTTTGAAATCTGCCATATATAATGTGGAAATGCTTGACCAACTGATTTGGTTAGCAAATGGCCTCTGGCTAACATCCAGGAAGAGGAGCTAAATATTTAACTCTCAAATTATTATGAACATGGTCCAAATGTCTGGAGCCCTAAAGAGGCTTCCTATAACTGCTTCTAATGTGAGAATTTAACTTCATTCTTTGTTGAGAGTGGCTCAGACACCGAGCCACAAGATGAGAGAATTCCTCCCAGGGAATACAACTGGGCATTTTGGAAAGAAAGGCATTGCTTTTCAGGACATTTAAAGTTCACTTCAGAGGCTGGCCTCAGTACTCTTGAACCAACTTGAGTCCTATGCTTGCAATTCAGCATGCTGACACTAGGTGGCAGGCAAAACTGAGGTCATGCCAAACTTGTATAGCTAATGAGCCAGAAGGTATTATATTAAAAACTCAAAGAGAATTCTTTGTGAAAGAATAATATTTGCCAAAAATACTCTAGAGGCTGCCTCCACTTTTAAATCTAATGCATTCATTGTAAAGGCCATGTTAATGCACACTAACAAAAAGCTCTATTTTTATAAATAAAGTGAAAATATGCAGTTTTATGGGAAGGGGACACATTACTTTGTTTATATAACAATAATATTATACTTTATACCACTATTCAATAAGGTATAATAAGTTCTGTAAATGTGGTTATGTTTTGCTAGCCCTGAAAAAATATGAAATCCCATAGATAAATATATTGGTATCAGGAAATACTGGAATGTGAGAGGACTGTAATAGCACCAAAGTCAATCGAAAACACTAATGAGCCAAACTTAATGTGTCATTAGTTGCCTGGATAGTGGTGTATTATTTCACAAAAGGATAGCATTGTTTATTATTTTGCATCTTGGGCTTTTAGTTCTCCATGGGTAGTATAGCACATGGAATGCAAGATAAAGTTTGGATATGTTTGATTAGTGAGAAGTGAGGGAGGAGATTGTATCTTATGTGCCAGCCAGTAGAGTAAGTACTTACTTTGCAAACGATATATCTAGGTTTCTACTTTGTTGCTTTCATTCTGCCCAGTCATTGGCAGAAATCATAAAACGATCCCATAGAGGGAGCAAAAAGAACCCACATGATTCTATTAGACAATGCTAAATGAAAAAGAAAACCAATTAACAAAGTTTAAGTTTAAAGCAGGGACTATCTGTATAAATAAGTTTTAAATTATGTAATTGAAAGCATGATTTAAAGTAATGTAAACTCTTGGGCAAGAGTAAATGCCTTACTTCCTAACACTTCAATGCTTTGAATAAATCTTTAAATCCTGGTTTTCTCACTTGTGATGGTGAGACTCATTCCTGTTGAAACTTTCAGTGCTCTTAGGGGGCTTCTCAGAGTTCTTCCTCAGAAGCAGCAATAAGTCCTTGCTCATGTCTAGCAATTTAAGAAATGCTTTTACTATGTGCCAGTTGAAGAAATGCCTGACTTTATTTGGCTCAATGCAGCTCCAACTTCCTAGAGAATTAAAGGTTCAGTTTATTCTTTTATAATCAATCATCAGAAAATGAGATTATTAACAGTATAGACTTTGGAATCAGTCCATGTTAGCTGAAAACCCAGCTTCACCATTTGTTGACCTAAGACTTTGAGCAAATAACCAAGAGCATTTGTAAAATGTGAGTAATCATAGTACCTACCTTAACAGTAGAGAAGTTTGGATGGGTACCTATGTACCGTGCTTGGGTACTTTGTACCTGGTATATAGTAAGTACTACATTCAATAAATATTAATTATTATTACTATTATTAATGGGTCCTCAGTTACCTTACTGAGTCTGAGAAGTACTCAGGGTTTTTATACTTTTTTTCCTTAATAGCATAAGTAGAGAAAGGTCACTGCTCACAAGCCCTGTGGGAATGTCATGTGTGCTTCTCCCGCTCTTCCTGCTTTTCCTTCTTCCGTCAAGTATCTGGGTGTAACAGGTTCCCTTATCAGTGGCTTTCCTGGGCCCCCCGGCACAGTGTTTGCTGAACATACCTGTTTGGATACACTTTTGTGACACAGGTCATAGTTTTTGTTTATTTCTTTTTCTTTTTTTTTCAGAAGAAACTTTGTGAAACACATCTAATCACATTTCAGGTTTGTATTTTGTTTTATCCAAAGAGTCCTTACCTGTTGGCTTTGGGACTAGCACCTAAGCCATCATCTTTAACTAAAAGATGGGACAGGCTAATGCTGGGCTGCTAGTGCCCTGAACACTGGAAGAAGTTCCAGCTTCTGCTGAGGAGGTGGAGGCCATCACTCCTCCAGAGACCCTTCCTTCAGGTGCACCCAGATGTGTCATTCTGAAGCCCAGACCATATTCTGTATGCTTGCCAGTAAAGTGAATGAAAATGATCAAAATAGCCATGTGGCTGTAGGAGAAGCAAAATGGAGCAAACTGGATGTATTGCATTAATGATATGCAATGGAAGGAGGAGAAAGTAGTCAGGTTTGAGTTGCCCAGTGAAGGAAAAGCAGCAAGGACAGGGGCTTGGTTTTCACTCCACTATTAGCCAGGCAAGCTGAGTGTTCTGTTGGTTACTTAATTTACGAGGGCTTTGGATCAGTCATTCTAAAACTTGTTCCTCTTTTCTTTTTCTTAATTAATGAATGTTGATGAATTCTGAAATGGAAATCTTTTGGTTGGGGTCAGTGGTCACTTGCTTGGAGTGATGTCAGGGCAGTATTGTCTGGTGTTTAGGGACACAACCTAGCTTTATATCTTGGCTCTACCACCTGCTGGCCATGGGACATCGGGCAAATAACCTCTTCATGTCTCTGTGTCCTTATCTCTTTTTTTTTTTTTTTATGCTTTAGGTTCTGGAATACATGTGCAGAATGTGCAGGTTTGTTACATAGGTATACACGTGCCATGGTGGTTTGCTGCACCCATCAGCCCCTCATCTTCATTAGGTATTTCTCCTAATGCTATCCATCCTCTAGCCCCCCAGCCCCCGACAGGCCCTGGTGTGTGATGTTCCCTTCCCTGTGTCCATGTGTTCTCATTGTTCAACTCCCACTTATGAGTGAGAACATGCGGTGTTTGGCTTTCTGTTCCTGTGTTAGTTTGCTGAGAATGATGGTTTATGAGTTCATGTCCTTAGCAGGGACATGGTTGAAGCTGGAAACCATCCTTGTCTCTTAAATGGGAAATAATATGAATCCCTGCTTCATTAAGTTGCTGGGCAAATGGAATGAATACAGATGGTTCCTGACTTAGGAGGTTGGACTTGGAATTTTTTTTATTTTACAGTGTTATCAGGGTCTTAAATGCATTTCAACTTAGAATATTCTCAACTTGCAATGGGCTTATTGAGATGTAGCCCCACCTTCCATCGTAGGTCAAGGAAAAAGAAGTGGCTTACAAGAGTTCCAGATACAGAGAAAGCTATTAGCGAAGGTGAGGAGGACATAAAGATGACAACAGTGATACCAAGTTTCCCCATCCACTCTCACCTACCCACTATACTAAACAATGTTTTTCCTCTTACCTGCTATTAATATCTCACCATTCAAAACATATTCAGTAGAACCCAACTCTTAGAGTTGATAGGGAAACAAAAAAATAACTAAATCTCATTTTAAGAACAAGAGATAAAGCCAAGAGTAGGTTAAGTGACTTTTCTAAAGTCACACAGCTAGTTAGAGACAAAGCCAGGCCTAGATACCATAGTCTGCAGAATTCCAGTCTAATGCTAATAATATTTGTCATGCTAAAGACACGACACTGGAATAAAGAATATTAAAGTGTGCATGCCTCAGAAGACTTAGCAGGGTCTGTTCCTTGAAGGCTGAAATGGAAGTTAGATTATGCCAATTCATTACAACCTCATAAGCTAGCTTACAGTAAAAACCCACCATGGGGGAAAAACGACAAAATGGAATTGAGACACTTGAAGGAGGGTAAAATGTTTTAAATCAAACCATTCGTTAGAAAGTAGAGTACAAACCTAGATAAGATTTGTGGTTTCAAAAAACAAACAAACAATCAACAATTTTTATCTCTGGGCTCTGGTGGATATGGGGGGATTCGTTTGTTACAGCTAAAGTTAAACTGCAGGGAAAAATAAAATGCAGATGTGTTGCTGTGTTGAGCAAATGCAGCTGGGCGTTTCTGGAAGAAATGTTCTCTCAGAAACTTATCACTGGGAGCAGAAATGGTGAAAAGTTTGTGGGGTAAGTGGCAGAGGGTTCTTCATGGGAGTTTTATGAAAGTCACTGTGACATAGGATTTTTAGAAGCCCTAGGAAAAGAAAGTTGGGGAGTTTTCCAGTGAAATTTGGATTGAGAAAGAAAAGAAACCCACATTGTGCTAAACAAGATGGTGGATCCAGTTCAGAGAAATTGAGTAACAGACGAAATTCCCAGAATCATGAGAAAAACTAGTCAAAGACTTCCCCTGGGGAGCACCCGGATCAAAAAGCTGACTCCGGGGCCTCTCTATACAGGTTGCTGAGGAGGGGCCTGCTGCAGTAGGAGGCTGGAAGGGGTGGTTTGGAACTGAGTCAAGAAAAGACCCCAAACCCACAGGGACAGAGGAAGTTGAAAGAGGGGTTTGGCTTAGTGGAAGGGAAGGGAGGTTGGTCAAGAGAGGCCTGCTGACAGGAAAGCGGCTGACAACAAGAAGCATCTGGAAAGGGCCATTTGATGCTTTAAGCTCATGCCAAGCTAATTGAGTAATGTGAGCTTATGTTCTTGTAAATTACTTCAACTGTATATAGTTCTTCCCCTGAGACTGTCTTACTCTGCTTTTCAAAATTGGTTGTGTGTTTGAATAGGCCCCGAATGTGCTGCACTCTGTTTGCGTGCACACACAAACGTCACTTATTGATATAGTCTACATTCGCAATACTATGCACTGACTCATTCAGTTTTCACAAAATTCCCATATTGCAGATGTAGTCACTGAGGCTCTTGTGGGGCTGTTTTACTGTGGTGCCCTTGATTCCTAACCCCACATTGCCGTATCATGAAAATGCCTGTGGAATGAGGGGACTGTGGGTTTTAGTGTGTATTTCTGCAGCTCCCTTTTATAAGGAGGCTCTCTTCTATGGGCCCAACTCTGAATCATGATGCCGTTTGATTTACGACTCTCTTCTTGAATGCCTGGAGCAGAATCCCTCAGTTCATAAAGCTGAGGACAGAAGTTTTAACTATAATCAAAATGAAGACTCTTGCTCTTCTTTACCCAGGGCCTTCTCCCAACCTGTATCTCCTACCTCTTTTCTCTCCTCACAGACAGACCCCAAAATCTTAGCCTGCCTATTTTGTTGTTGCATGGAAGTCAGGATATCTAGGTCAGTTTATCCAAGTAGAAAGTGCTACTTTACTGAGTTAACTCTGTGAAAACTGCTGCCTCTTTACTTTATAGAAACAAAATCCCTTGTGTGCAGGATATTATCTCTGGAAGTTTTCAGGGGCTTCCAAGTAATCAGTTAGATTTAAAATCAACAATGAAACTTTTTTTTTTAAGCAATGGTGTTTCCCAGTAACAAGTGTCTTTTTCATTGTTTTATCAGACACTAAGTCAATTCAACCTTTTTAATTGTGAAAGGACTTTAAAATGCCCAATGCTACTACGTCAGTGTCCAGAAAGATTGGAATCCACCTGCCAGGATGGGAGGTTTACACCCATTTCATAATTATATAGAACTTTCTTGTTATTCCCATAATTCGACTCAGTTATATCATTAAACCCATCTGGTTATCAAAAGGAAAGGGATTGACTTGGTAATGCGGGCTCCTTTTTTTTGCTAAGCATCATTTTGAATTCTATCTTTACATCCGGGTTTTAGATGTCTTATAATTGTGATTTTTAAAATGTATTAAGATATAGAATTACGTTCATAATAATATTCTTCAACAGTTTAGAGTAGTGCTATTCAAAGTATGGTCCATGGACCAGAGATGTTTGGTGTGCTATTTGTTACTAGGCCCCACAAGTTAGGGCCTGACGTGGAGAGTAGGCATTTAGAAACTTCAGCAACTTGATACTGCTGCAACATTCAAGCAGCATTTCATTTTTCTAGTAGTTCATCTTTACTGTATTTTATAAAAGTATTTGTCCATGATAAATTAGAAATGGAGGGAAAACACTAGAATCATGGTCCTTCATCACAATAGTTTGAGGAAATCTATTGTATAATATACATCATTTCATTTGGTGCAACACCGAATGAGATGCTGTACAACAGGTTTTGTGAAGGAGATAGGGATTGCATTTTAAGCCTTATTTTTCAGGTAAATATACTTGGGTTCAAAGAGGTAAAAGCAGTTGATGTCACATTTTAGTTCCTCTTACCCACAGCCAGCATTTTCCAAGATACTACTCTGCTAATCACAGACAAGTTGAAGCAAGCTTAATTACAAATAGTCTTGCCTAAGCTTTTTAAAAGGTTTCTTTGTGTATAATTAACCTTGAATGATCTATGAACAGACAACCGTTAATGACATTTGAGTTCTCTCAATTCGTACAACCATTTAGATACCAACAAGCTGGCCAGTTGCCTGTGCTTTCCAAAACAGTTGAAAGATGGTAACTGCATAGAACTTTAAGGTTTGAAAGAGACCTAAGGGAAACCGCACAGCTACCTGGCAATGATCCTCTGGCAGACACATCAGTTACCATGGGAAGAATGTCTCATGGTTGACAGCATTCTATTTGAGCGAAGCAGGGACAATTAGAAAGTCCCCACCTCTACCTATTTAACTCCTACCTGTTGGCCCTATATCTACCTTCTCAAGGTACTGAGAATAATTCTCAATATTTGGTCATAGGCATTGTGTCCCTTCTGAAACGTCTTCCTCTACTTCAAACCAAACATCTCTAACTGTTTCAGTGGTCGCTTTTGTGGTATGCTTCAGGAATGCCCCTCACCCACAGACTCACCACCTGGCCACACTCTCTCTCTCTCTTTTTTTTTTTTTTTTCTTTTTTTTGGCCTATTTTTTCCCCTTTATTTCTTTTTTTTTTTCTCTTGTTTTGTATTTCTTTTTTCCCCCCCACACTCTCTACATTCTCTTTAGTCAATGTCCATCCTAAAATAAGAGAGTCCCATTAATGGATCCTGGTATTCCAGAGGTGGTCTGTCCAGAGTACAGGAAAATGATCATCTTCCTCGATCCATACACTGGATTTCTTATAGTGCAATCTAAGACTGCATTACTTATTTTGTATCCCCATCACATTGATGTCTTATACAATTGACTCTTAAACAATATTAGTTTGAACTGTGGGTCCATTTATATATAAATTAGAGTGAACTGTGTGGGTCCCTTTATATATGAATTTTTTTCAACCAAGTGTGGATCAAAAATACGGTATTTATGGGATGCAAACCCCACATATACAAAGGGCCAACTTCTCGTACACACAGGTTCTGCAGGGCCGACTGCTGGACTTTAGTATGCCCAGCTTTGGTTCTACACAGGGGTCCTGAAATCCCCTGCATATACCGAGTGACAACTGTAAAAGGATAATAATGCTAAGTCCTTTTCATATGTATTTCCTTAGTTGATTGGTTATTTTATTTATTGACCCAGTGATTTAGTAATTGATCAATTCCTTCCTTCACTCACCATCCAGTGAAGCATCCAGCCAGCGAGACCATGGAATTCTGTAATATCTGCTTCGTGATTTTAATCCTGTAAGATATTTCGAGAAGAAATCATGCTTAGTGGAAGGAAAGCGGTTTAGGCTTTTTAATCTTCCTAGTTAATTTGATCTGGAGCCTCAGTGTCTGGGCAGGCCCCAACTCTTTGGTCCACACCTCGGGGTATGGTTACCCAATTAACTAATTCCCAACTAGCTAAACTCTCTAGAATCTGGTTTATCAGTGAGCTCCCTGGATAGACACTTTGTTATTTTTAACTTCCGCCCTCATCCTCCTCCCCTTTTAGAATCACTAATTAAGGAGGTCTCTCTACTGTGAGTTTTGTGACCTCTGTTTCCCTGGTAACCAGATTGCATATCTGATTGTACCCAGCATCCCAGCTTCTGATGACATGGTCACAGCGTCCTATAACCACTAAGGTGAGACATAGGCACCAAGAAATAGTTACCAGACATTTTATATGGGTTGCCCCAGGGTGCTGTGGATGGAGGAGGAGTGAGAGAGAGATCATAACATTATTTCACATGTTATAATGAGCATGTATGATTTTTGTAATTAAGAAAAGTAATAATAGAAAAGATTAAAGAGAAGGAAGAAATCACTCCTACTAGCTTGTTGGCTAGGGCTCATTCAGGTCATGGTGGGGGCTTCCTCCTTAATGGCTGTCATGACCCACTCATTTCTTAACTCCTTGCATTCTGGCTTCTACCCCAACCACTCTGCAGAGGAAAAAAAAAATGCCTTTTTTAAGTTCTCTAATGACCTAAATCAGGGGTCAGTAAACTGTGGCCTGTGGGCCAAATCTAGCTGGTCACCTGCTTTTGTAAATAAAGTTTTTTTGGAACACAACCATGCCTATTCATTTATACTCATTGTCTAAAGCTGCTTTCCCAGGACAACCACAAAATTGAGTAGTTGTGACAGAGATGGTATGACCCGCAGAGATCATTTTGCTGACCCTTGCTCTCTATTGATAAATCCATTGATTTAGCCACTCTAGTGGCCCTGAATCCCTCCTCATCCTCTTCAGCCTCTCAGCTGCCTTTGGCTCTCTCCACCAATTCTTGAAAATACTTTCCCTCACCCACTGTGACTGAATTTTATTTTTCTCTCCTTCTCTCTCTCAGTCTTTTTTCTGTCTTTCGTTCTGACCTTTACTCTCCTGTAATCATGCATGAGGACACAGATTTTTGTCTTTTGTGTTCCTATCTACCTCTCCAGTGCTTGCAACAGTCCCTGGCATGTACGTTTGTTGAATGGATGAATGAGTCTAGCTCTGTATGGAGGAGAGTTGAATCAGGATTCTTTTGCATCATCTTGCAGAAAAGACCAGTTCAAACTTTACAAGTGAAAAAGTGGATGCCCCTGACAGTCAAAAAGGGAGAGTTTAGCTTAGAATCATGAACATTTCCCCTTACACAGCCGAAAGCCTGGATATTTTAGGGAACTTCTTTCTAGTCCATTGGCCCCAACACCTCACTCCTTATTGTGACATACTGTGAATATGTGCATGATGTAAGCAGACAGTGTAAATATCCTCCTCTTTACCTTCGAATTTGGTCTAGTCTCCAACTGCTTTACAGAACAACCCTCCGGCCCCTTCCTCCACAGACTCCTGAGCCCCTCTGTGGTCACCACCATGGTACTAGCTGAGAACTCTGCTATTCGTTTCGTGGGAGGTAGCTGTATTTCCACCATCTTTGCATAGCTGACCTCAATCATGTTTGTTAAATAAATTGTCAACTGAAGAAGGAAGAAAGGATGTAAGAGAGAAAAGGAAAGAAGAAGAAAGGAAAGCTAGGCATAGCTTAAGCCTTTTATTAAGATTAGGGCTGGCAAAGAAGAGGTTTCACTTTGTGTGCTAATGCTGACCAATTAGTAGTGATCAGCTAATGCTATCAGCTAATGCTGATCAATTGTATCATCGGATTCTGAGGCTATATTTGTGACAAGAGCTATGATCAATTAGTATGTCTGCTATGGGTGTTGAAAGAAGGAGAGCTGTGGCTTACAGGCCATGTTTTTCCATTCTACTTGCAGGCCAATAAAGTATACAAAAAATCTTTTAAAAAATGATTATGTGAGTAGAATACTAGGTGCCTGCCTTTGGGGACCTCCTCATCCCCTGTAATAAGTGACTGGATTTTTCATCCTATCACAATTAAACCCAATGGGGTAGAGGTAATTTTTCCAAAGGAAATTAGGGTGGTGGTAAGGTAGAGAAATAGATGCTAAGTACTGCTCCTCCCAATCAACCAAACTGTCTAGGGTCCACCACAGGGAGCAATCAAGAGTCTAGGATTCCTACTGTAGTATTAATAAAAGCTGTTCATTTGTCTTAACTCATCTAAGAATGGACTAAGACAGCTGGAATTTAGCCAAAATACAAAATTTTATGTAACGAAGCTTTGCAGCTGTGTGTGCAGATATTTCTGAAAAAGTCATCATCCCTTTGCCCTCCTCTGTTCCCTTGTGCAATAAGCATTTCCATGTGGCTGTGAACTTGCCTAACAGCATTAGTAACTGCCATGGAGCAGGTAATTAGTAAATTTATGGAGCACTTACTAAGGGCCCTCCCAAGTCCTTACATCCATTTTCTTACATAATCCTTACAATAACTCTGTGAAGTGTTTAGTATTGTTTCTGTTTGCAGATAGGGAATCAGAATCAAGTGGTGTGTTCACATAGTTAGTGGTGGTGGTGGTAATCTGATTCCCAAGCCTGTGCTCTTAAGCACTCACAAATTCAAGATTATAACATTTGTGTATACCCATGGACACAACTGCAGGTGATTTTGCCACTTAGGAAACACTGGTAATGTCTGTTGACATTTATAACACCTGGAAGAGATACTAGTAGAGCCAGGAATGCCACTAAACCTCCTGCCAAGGGCCTTGTGACAAAGAATATTTGGCCGAAAATGTCAGTCATGCCAAGACACTCATGTGTACATACACATGTACACGTGGTTTGGGACCACCTAAAGTATCCATAGAGCTTTGGGGTCTGAACAGATAAAAGACTTGGCTTTTAAAAGACAAAGCTCACTGTGAGTAGGAGCTGGCTGCTAATATTTTCTTAATTAACTAGGAGTTGCCAGAAAGAATTTTTTCCTAAAGGCACCTCGCTCCCCCCAACCAGTTCCTACTCTCCTTGACATACATCCTCCAAATAAGACAGAAAATTCAGTCTGTTCAGGCAGTGAAAATAATTAAACCGTGTACTTCAAGATGGCCCTTCCATGAGTGCCTCAATAACTCTGCAGCTTGGAGGGGCAATGTGGCAAATCCACTCATTCTGGGTGGTTGGCCAAGGGGGTCACAGTTGTCCTATAATCAGATTATGTTGCTATATCTGCCCATTGGCCATCTGTGGCCATTTGGGGAACTATTAAGCAAGCAGCGCTGACCTAAGTGAGATGGACGATGGCAATGTTCCTTGGAGTGATAGATTGACCAGAGGGATGGTGTAATAGCCTGCCAGTGGGGGCTAGCAGATGGGCAACTTTGACGAGAAGAGCAGTCAGCTCCCCACAGGGAGGAGCAAGATTGGAAATGCAAAAGTAACCTTCCATAGATGCACCCCCATGATCTTCAATGAAGAGCAAGAACCAAGCCTGTGACAGACGCAAGCTTAACATTAGAAACTGCATATGGCTTGGCCATGTATTGAAAAATCCTTTATAATCCCTTTCTTGAAGCTATTTTAAAGAGTAATGAAAAATGTGTGTAATCATGATGTATAAAGATGTTCATTGCAGCATTATTTATGCTAGCATAGAGTGGGTAATAAAGGACTGACGGGAAAAGAATGGCTATACAAAATTAATTCACACTCATAGAAGGGAACACTATACTGGCATTGAAAGTAATTTTCTTCCAAAGGCCATTTAATAACATGAAGAAATATTTACAAAGTTAAGTTTAAATGAAAAACAAGATCAGAAAAATTGGATATATTATTTTTGTTGAAAAAAATACATAAATGCATAGAAAAACAATAAAATGAATCAAAATGTTAATAGGGCTTATTTTGAGGACATAGATAATTAAGATTTATGTATTCTTCTTAGCAAGTTTCAGCAATTTCTAAATTGTCTACAGTGAGCCCATGTTGTTTTTTAAATGATACTTTTGTAAAATTTCAAAACAAAGAAGCTTTTCCCTGGTACTAATAAGGTTCTCATGCTATATGGAGACTATGGGAAATTAGTTACCCAAGACCTAGTTTAGCAGCTATCTTCACCAAAAACCAATTACTACCTGGAAGGTTACTTCAGTTAGTTCATCTCATGCCCTGTGTTGCTTGTCAGACACTGATGTTTAGCTGAACACACCAAAAAATCCTCCTCCTCTTCCTTCTCCTGGTAGATTGTAGAACTGCTCATCTGGAATTTGGGAAACAGGCAGACTTGTCTGGCTCATTTGACATGGTCATTCCCCCGCCCCCTCCTCAAAATGCCACTTCAGTAATCTACACATTACAGGCAATATCTCCAAGGGGCTGCTACCTTCCCTGAGCACTTTCAACGGACTTTCTTTTTGCCTTCCCTCTTTCTGGAGTGTGTAGATTTTTGTCCTAAACTGAAGTCAGTTTTTCAAGCAGTTGCTATGACAGAATCTACAGTTGTCGTAGTTGCACTAAGTTCACTTGAGCTATTGGTTTCAAGAAATAGGATGTAAGAAATCAGGGATTTTATTCTGTTGTCTGTACATTTTGTTGTTGTTGTTGTTGTTGTTGTTTTTCTTGAGACGGAGTCTCGTTCTGTCGCCCAGGCTGGAGGGCAGTGGCATGATCTCAGCTCACAGCAACCTCTGCCGTCCAGGTTCAGGTGATCCGCCTGCCTCAGCCTCCAAAGTAGCCACCACACCCAGCTAATGTTTGTATTTTTTTAGTAGAGATGGGGTTTTACCATTTTGGCCAGGCTGGTCTCGAACTTCTGACCTCAAGTGATCCACCCTCCTCAGCCCCACAAAGCTGTGGGATTACAGGCATGAGCCACCATTCCTGGCCTGGTGGCTAGGCATTTTCTATCTGGCATACCTTTGTACTTTTCCCTTAAGAAAGATGGCAGTGATGGGCTCTACTGAACCACAAGGAAGCTCTCTGCTTTGTCTCCTTGCCTCTCAAAGGTGCTCAGTGTGGCTTAGATATCTGCCTGGGTCAGTCCTCCTAGCCTACTGTCATTCACTTGTGTCCTGCCCTCCCAAGCCAGAAGCTGCAGGAGAACCTAGACTTTGAGTCCAGGTGTGTTACTTGCAGTGAACAGTTCTCCTCAGACCCAGCTGGCCATCCAACGTTCACCCGCTCTCCACTCTCATTCCCTCCGTGCCCCTGTGTGTGCGGTTGGCATTGCTCTGAGTAGCGGGTAAAGCCTTGGGGCCAGGGCTGTAAAGGTCAGACAGAACACCTCTCTGCATTGTTCCTGTCCTGCAGCTCCTCCCTGGGTAGCTACAAGCCCACAGACCAAGGGCTGCACCCCTCTCTCCTCCCTGCCCAGCACACAGCCTCCCTTCCAGATCCTTCATCGACAACAATTTATGAAAGGCTGAGGATGTACCAGGCACTCTTCCGGGTGCTGGTGATAACATGTGAAGAATTCTTGAAAATCCTGCCCTCCTGGGGCTTATATCTTTTGGGTGGGTTTGGGGAGAAAATAATAAAGAAGACAAAACAAGAAGTGAAATAAAACCAGGAAGGGGAATCAGGTTGTAATTTTTGATGAATTAGTTAAGGAAGGCCTTATGAGAAGGTGACACATCACATCAGTAAAGACTCAAAGGAGGTGAGGGAGACAGCAGACATCTGGGAGGGGAGAAGGGGAGAGAGGGCACCCAGGCAGAGGGAACAGCCAGTGCAGAAGCGCTTAGCTAGAGTATGCCCTGGCATGTGTAGGGACCATCGAGAAGGCCATTGTGTCTACAGGGGAATACATGATGGGGCCCACAGCAGGAGAAGGAATCAGAGGCCACAGGAAGAGATCCTGTTCACATGGGCTTTGTAAGGCTGTGTGCGAATTCCAGCTTTTCTCTCTTACTTCAATGGCATCAGCTGTTTTGCGCAGAAGAGTGCCACACTGGGGTGAATAGCATCCAGGTGTCTGCTCCGTCGAGCACAGACTGGAGGGGAGGGCAGGGCAGAGGCAGAGAGAGTGTGAGGAGGCTACAGAAGCTAACCCGATGAGAGGTGCTGGGGCCCTGGAGAGCAGGGAGCGATGAGTGGTGGGGAGGAGTCCAGTATTCACAGGCCTCTCCACCCCTCACACATTCAGGCCCAGTTGCAAGGTAGCTGTGGAAATTGAATGGGGATCAGAATGTCAGCAACTCGTTTCTGATAATCACTGTCTAGTCTGAGAAACTTATTAGTGCCAGAGAAAAGCTATTTTCTTTTGAATGGAAAAAAAAAGAGTACCCTTTTAACAATAATCAAAGCAACATAGGGTCACTGCAGACAATTTGGAAAGTACGGAAATTTGCAAAGAAGAAGACTCGAAGGAGGTGAGGGAGACAGCGAGGGATATAAATCATAATTCTATGTTGTAGAAATGTCTTACTAATATTTTTATTTATTTTATTCTGAGTTTTTTCTCGGCATACACACACATATTTAAATTTTCCTTACCTCATGTTTTAGTTTAACATTGCGAATATTTCCTCTGTGTCATCAAATAGTCTTTGAAAAGATTGTTTTAATGGCAACATAATGTTCCTTCCTACTAGTGTGAGTTAACTTATATAGCAATTTGCTTAGTGGAGGATGGGGCTTACAGGTGCAGCCTTGATGGGCTTCCTAAAATTTCACCCCCAAATCAGATAAGCTTAGCTACCTGGTAACAGCAGAGTTGATACCCGAAGGCCTCCTCCAAGGGCAGAGCCTGCTCCTGGGAGCTTCCGTGTCATGGAGAACAGGCCCATGTTCTGTTTCCTGCAGGCAGACACACATGGAGAAGGCCTGGGAGAGTTTGAACCCAGAATTCTAAGAGCCTTTACTAAGACTCACCAATATAAGCCTCTCTTCCTCCCTGGGAAAATGAGAAAGAGAGGTAGAGAAAGAGGCCAGGAGTGTCACCCTGGTGAAAGGCCTGTCTGTACATGAAAACCCAAGGCCAGAAAAACAGAGGTCTCCTCCCACCATTGGAATTTCAGCAGACTAATGGATGTCAAGTACTTGGCCCTGGTAAATGCTCAATAATTGCCATCTTCCCCCTTCCACTACTGTTCCCAGGAACATACCAAAATTTCATAAAATGAATAGTCCCATGTGCCAATTTAATGGGCCAAGCTGAATTATTGGGCGGTCATTGCTTTTCTGCCAACCTAGTGAACCCCCTGCAGAAAGCAGGATGAGTTCAGTGGGTTACCCTTTGATGTCATAAGTCATCCTTCTCACCCTGTGTAAGCTGAATATACTCAAAAGGAAAAAGATCAATGAACCCCCAAGTTGGCAGTGTCTTGGTAACCTGTGTTGGAGTTTAATAATTGTTTATGGATGGATGTATGGATGAGTAGATGGATGGACGAATGGACATAGAGAAGGCAGAGAGGGAAGAAAGGAGGATAGACGGTGGGTGGATGGAAAAAAGGGTAAATTAAGACAAAGTCATTGTATCCTTTTTTTTCTCTGAAGAGATATGGGGGAAATAATGATTTTACATAAGTCATTGTAGTCTTTTTTCTCAGGTGAAATACAAACCCAATATAAAAACCCCTCATTTCTGTTGGAAGTAAGTAAAGAGACACATTGTGATCTTAGTAGCATATTTTATCTGTTTGAGCCCCAGAAAGGAAGATGGGTGATTTTCTAGCTTGAGTGACATAAATCTGTGCCCTCCCCCTGTAAAATATATTGTCATTTCTGTGATTCATTTGGCTTTTTTTTTTTTTTTTTTGAAGTGGACTGTGGTTTGTGTGCAGTGGATGAAGTAATTGGAGTGAGTGCTTCTCCCTAGAGACAGAATCAATCACTGTGGTAGAAGATGGTGACATTTTAGAAAGAAACTCTGAGGAAAATGTCATGCTTAAAAAATTAGATTTAAACACACTGGCTCCAGATTGATTTTTATTACACTCAAATGGATACCCTGATTGATTATCAGTCTTACAAATGTTTAGCACATTTCTCACTTCTCTAATAATCAGAATAATCTAATTTTCAATGTCATTTAATGTACTCTATTCAAGGTTATAATAGATCATATTTCTAATAAAACACAGCAATTATGTAATGAATAATACAGGAGGACCAGCATTCAGATTCCCTTGATTTTAAGGCAGTGCCAAGGGAAGGTCTTAGACAAACCCATTTCTTTAAATGTGATGCACATTCCAAGTCTTTGCCTGCATTATAGAGGATGTTTTTTTCCTGCTGATGATCTGAATGGAACTTTGCCAGAAAACTTGACCTCCCCCGACAAAAAAAAAAAAAAAAAAAACCTTTTGAGAGGCAGCAAGTTTTGAATCCTTTTTTAATATGTGTTATCAGTGCACCTGAAGAAAAGTGACAGGTTGCTAAGTTATTTATTGAGTTTCTCTAGTAATTGCTGCTTTCTTCCCATTTTTTATATACATTCCCAGGAGAAATACTATATTTTAGTTCTAAAAATTTTTTCCAATATCCATTATAGCAGCAGCTGACATTATAGATGTTTTAGGGTGAGCCACAAGGTATCTAGTTTGGAGGAAGCTTGGCTCTATATTTTGAGCCCAATACCTGATTATGTTTGGTTTTTTCAAGAGACCTGACTCACGTTAGGAAGTAACTTGTACTTTTTCTATTTGTGGCTTCTAGCCAATTCCAGTCATGTCCAAATCTAGGTTAGTAATTATGAATTCCTTTGTTATGGCTTACAGCTCCATTTGATCTGGTATGCGTATGAAATGGTATCAAAACCTGGTGGCCTAACAAGCAATAGCACTTAAAAGGTTTATTGTTTTGTCCCATGTTCTTGGTGAGGGGCATTTAGGGGCAGCAGATAGAACAATGAAGGCTGAAGAGGTAGCAGGCCTGATAAGCATTTAGAGACTGAAAAGAAGGGGGCCAAAGCAGAAGGCCCACTTCTAAGATCAATCCTAGATGAACCTGGCAGAGTGAGAAATTCAGAAGCTCTGAAGGCTCCAGAAGATCTAAGCAGAAGTAATTGATGGGCCAGTACTAACAAGATGCCATTTAACAGAGGTGAACATTACGTTCTGATTCAGACTCGGCCAAATTGGTAGAGGAAATACAGGTTGGGAAGGATCAAGCTGAGGATCTGATGACCAGAAGCTTGCCATGAACCAACTCGGGGTAGTCACATGTCCTCCCTTTTAAGGTGTTTGGTTAATCAGATCATGAAAGACCATAACCCTCTGTACTGGGGGCTGATCAGAGCACACCTTGAAACATTAGTGCTTTTTATTCTGAGCACCTCATTTTAAGAGGGAAGTTACCTAGAACTGGACATTATCCAAAGAATGTTGACCAAGATGGCATGAGATCATAAAGCTGTGTGCTATGAGATGAGAAAAAGGAAAGTCATAGTTTGCTGCCATTTATTGAGTGCTGGGCCTTTTCAACACCTTTATGAGACATTACCATTCTTTCATGGTCATGGCAACTGACACCGAGATTGGCCAGATAATTTGCCAAAATTTACACAACTACTAAAGCTACACAGTCAAGATGTAAGCCCAGCTGTCTCTCTCTCTCTCAGCTTTTGTGATCTCACCATATCTGAGATTTTCTATAGACTGATGATTCTAGATGATCTCCAAGGTCCCTTCCAGCTGTAGAATTCTGATGGTCTCTATTCAGGATATGAGTTCAAATATCATTGCCTGATACTTGGAAACATTCCAAGCATAAAGAGAGAATACTGTCTTATGGTACTCAAAATAAGATGAGATTAACCTGGGAACACTTGCTGCTTAAGTAAATTGAGGTTGAGAAAATGAGGACCCCTTTGCAGTTAAGATACTTGGCAGTAAAATCTGTCTACATTTTTGAAAATATTAGTTCTTGAGACATTATGCAGTTTCCTAAAGCCTTGAGGAAAAGGAGTATGTGTGTCTGCATCGGCCTGCCTTAGTCTGTTTGGGCTGCTGTAACAAAAATACCATAGACTAGGTGGCTTATAAATAACAGAAATTTATTTCTCCCAGTTCTGAAGGCTGGGAAGTCCAAGATCAAGGCACCAGGAGATGCCTAGTGAGGTCCTACTTTCTGGTTCATAGATAGGTGTCTTCTTGCTGTAACCTCACATGGCAGAAGGGGGAAGCAAGCTCCCTCAGGACTCATTTAAGATACTAATCCCATCCATGAGGGCTCCACCCTCATGACTACGTCACCTCCCAAAGGCCTCGCCTTTGAATACCATCACATCGGGGATTAGGTTTCACTTTATTTAAAATTTAATTTCATTTTAAGTTCTGGGATACATCTGCAGGATGTGCAGGTTTGTTACACCTAGCAACCCATCACTTAGGTATTAAGCCTCATATGCATTAGCTATTTATCCCGATGTTCTCCCTCCCCACCGCCACCTGACAGGCCCCAGTGTGTGATGTTCCCCCTTCTGTGTCCATGTGTTCTCATTGTTCAGCTCCCACTTATAAGTGAGGACATGTGGTGTTTGGTTTTCTGAACCTGCATTAGTTTGCTGAAGATAATGGCTTTCAGCTCTATCCATGTCCCTGCAAAGGACATGATCTCGTTCCTTTTTACGACTGCATAGTATTCCAGGGTATATATGTACCAAGTTTTCTTTAGGGGATTAAGTTTTAACTTGCGAATTTGGAGAGGACACAAACATTTAGTCTATAGAACTGACTGTTTTAAGGGGTTAAGAAGGAGATGACCTACAAAATTAATGACAAAAATCATCTTTGAAGGCTTGAAGGGCAGGGTCTTAGCAGAGTAGTTAGGATGGGAAGGAGAGGTTTTAAATGCTGTCCTCATAGTGGGGACCTATGGTTACCTGAGCAGTTCACAAGGTATTATAGGGGGCCCAGCAAGAGGGAATGAGTAAGGAGTCATCTGTGGAACCCGGCAGCCCATTTGAGCTCTAACAGTACTGTTTTTACTTTTTACTGTTCATTGTCATATATGGTATTTTCCCACCTTTGGAAGATGAGCTATTGTCTGCAAAGCATCATTCAAAGAGGGAGTGAGTTTGAGAAACAGTAGATAGACTCATCAGACCCTGGTAGATATACTGGATAAGGAAGAGAGGAGGATAGGTCTGCCTCTTCCATTTGACTCATGGGCCCTCAGATGGATTATGGTGCCAGTCACTGAGGTGGCAACATGGAAGGAGAAAGAGTTATGTGGAGCAGCTAAAGAGTCCATTTTAGGGAGAAGATCAATGTGAGGTGCCAGTGATATCTAATGGGCAATGGGATGGTCACATCTGACGCTTAGGAGAAAGGTCTGGGCTAGAGATTGAGATTCGAGTCTCCTGGATATATGTCCTTAATAGTGGAGGGCTTGGGCATGGATCTCATTACACATAGAATAAGAAGAGGGCTAGGGACACTCCCAGAGATACAGAATTCTTTAGATGGGCTGCCAGATAGGTCTTGTGGGGATCCCAGGATGCAGATGTCTCAAGTTGAGTGTTTCTTAGCTTTCTCAATCAAGCCTTCAATCTGTTTTCCATAAATCTGGAAGTTAGCAATAGTTCTGAGAGAGGGGAATCCCAGTCCATGCCTACCTGCATTCCTCTTTTTGAAGTTAGTTAGCTCAAGGCATTTTTTTTATAACCATGTTTCATAGTTCTTGCTACTTTTTAAAGTCAAGAGGCATCCTAAAAAGTTCCCATAGCCCACTGAGCTGGCCCTTTTTTTAAATAAACCTGGTTATGAACAAGAGCCCTGGGATGAGACAGCAAAGCCAATAATCATAGTTGACCACGGGCCCCTCTGTAGTCAAGGTACATGGTAGCAAAAACAGACTGTGTGATTAAAAATGGCAGTTCCTGGAGCTGACCAACCATTGTGCAATTTCCTGAATTTGGTCAAAAGATTATAGGGTAAGTGGGCAAACAGGCTGGGCAAGGGAAAGTCAGCCTGGTGAAATTAATGAGAAAAATATTATTTTAGAGTCCAGTGTTCCTTTCCAGCTTAAGATCTAGACAACCTTAAATGCATGCACAGTTAAACCATATGTTCTCAGGATAATGAAAATGGCTGGGGTTGGGGGAGGGCGGCCAATTCTTGCTGACTGTGCTTTGGTTGTTAATTGGAAGGGACTTGGTAAGGGGCGGGGGGAACATTCTCGTGCCAGTGGCTTGTTAGGGCAACTTGACCTCTCTGCCTGCATTCCAGATATTTCCAAGATAGCTGGCCCTGCTTTGCATATATCTAGATCAAGTGGGCACCCCAAATCTCTTAGTCTGGTTTCCTCTCTCAAGTTCTTAGAAGGTCAGTTCTCACTCTTCACCTTTCTGCCTACTAAAATCTACCTGGAGGAGATAATACTGCACCCGTCTAAAATGAACCAAGGGTATGATAAAGGTAATGAAAGAAAGAATTTTGAAATGGGTGTAAATATTCAATGTCTAGGGTTTACTACAAAATAATCTTGGGAGGTGTGGGAGTAGGAAGAAAATAAGTTTGGCCATGAGTTGACCATTGAAGCAGAGTGTTGAGTGAATGGGGGCTGTTACATCATGGTCTCTACTTTAAGTATGTCTAGATTTTATGTAGCAGATCTGTTTAAATATAAATACGTATTCCAGTTGTCAGGACTGGAGGAATTAATGACATACCTTTTAAGGTATGATTTTGTGTTTTAAAGCTTGAAAATGAAAAACAGATATCCTACGAAGGAAGACGGGCAAACTATAATTCACTTGGTGAATACTATGAAATGCATGAGGAGTTAAAGTACTTACATATTCAAAATTTTAGTTCTATAGAGATGATTTTTTTCCTGCCATCTTTTGCTTTTTTTTTTTTTTGAAAGATTTGAGTAAATAAAACACAACTATATTGATTGCTACCTACAGACTTTTCTGGCTACCTAGTCTCTCGTTGCCCTTTCACTGGATGGGAGCCTCCTTGAGGGAGGGTGGCCTCTGCCACTGGCGCCCAGGCATACTCTTCACCACCCCTCAAGGAATGATTGACAGGGGAGCAGAGAACTTTTCTTTAGAGAACTCTAGGAATCTTTAAGCCCATCCTCTTCATCTCTGTGTGATTTAGACCCAGCTATTTGTGAGGATCCCTTTCTGACCACGTTATTTTCCAAAGGAGCAACAGGTAATGCAATGGCCTTGGAAAGTCTTTGGATGCTTATAAAGGAAGAATTGTGGAAGAACTCTCTTTCACATCACCAAAAAAACCAGTCATCTGAAGTGTTGCTTCCTAAGAATGTGGAGCAATCAATAAACCCCCTTGGAGTATCTTACATGTCGACACTCCCTTGGCCTTGATAACATCTGCCCTCCAAAGGCATTTGGCGTGCATCTGTTGAACACATTTGTATGGATTGTCACTGGGTCTTCGCTGCAACCTGGCAGGATTGGACGCCATCCTTCGTTCCCAGGCCTCATGAGAATCGAAACATCCAACATCTCTCAGGCACCTCTCAAATACCAGAGGTCCCCGACTCTCTTTATGTTCCCAAGATCTTTACTCATGCTTTCCCCTCAGCCTAGAATATTCTTCACCTAGTTAAACAGTACTCGGCCCAGACATTCTGATGCAGAATGTTCTGTGCAGATTTTCTCTGGCTGACTTCCCACTCCCCCTCCCCAACTAGAAAGAAGCCCATGTCACCTGTGTTTGCCACACTGTTTCCCCATGTGTTTTCAGGGTGTAATGTCATGTTAATCTGTGTTTGGTTAGGTGAGGAATGTGTGTGTCTACCTCTGGAGCAGGGGTCTACAAATACTGCAGGCCATGGTTAGGGTGGGGGAGGGGATTTCCCGAGAGAAAGTATCTGTGCGTGGAGGTGTAGGGCAGGGGAACTCACTGCTGTGCAGAAAATAACAACTGACATCTAGTATGTTGCCTGATAGCTGAAATAAAACAAAAAAACATGAGGGGGTGAGTATTAATTGTTTTATTTTTTGTTAAATTTATTTTCTTCCCTAAGTTTGATTTATTGCACAAGCAACTTCTTAACAATCAAGGACGTTTTTTAGTGTACAGGTCAGCCAACTCTGCAGTCCATAGGTTAAACCCGGCCCACTGCTTATTTTGGTAAAGAAAGTTTTACTGGGACACAGCCCTGTGCGTTTGTTGACGTGTAGTCCTGGCTCTTTTTGCGCTACAAGGGCAGAGTTGAGTAGTGTGACAAAAACTGGGAAGGCCCAAAAGCCTACAACATTTCTATCTGGCCTATTAGGAGAAAAATTTGCCACTCCTGGGCTAGACTGTGACTCAGTGAGGAACCACGTCTGCCTCTTCACCATCAACACCTCCAGTAACCCTCACAGTGCCGGGCACAGAGTTGCATAGGTTCGGCCTTAGTCTGTTTTCTGTTGGTTATACCAGAATACTTGAAACTGGATAATTCATAAAGAAAAGGAATTTCTTTCTTACTTTGAGGGCTGAGAAGTCCAAAGTCAAGGCACTGCATCTAGTCTTTTTGCTGATAGGGAATCTCTGTGGTGTCCCAAGATGGCACAGGGCCTCATATGGCAAGAGGATTGGGTGTGTTAACATGCCAGCCCACGTCTCTCTTCCACTTCTTATAAAGCCATCAGTTCCTCTCATGACCCATTAATCCATTAACCCATTAATTCATAAATAAGTTAATCTACTCCTGATGGCAGAGCACTCTCGGTCCAATCACTTCTTAAAGGCTTCTCATCTCAAAACTGCCACATTGCGGATTAAGTTTCAACATGAGTTTTAGAGGGGAAAAATATTCAAACCATAGCAGGTTCCCTGTAAATATTTGAATAAAATTAGTGAATGAATGAATGAATGAGTAAATTGACAAATAGCTACTCTAGCTTGTTTATTTAATTTATGGGAAAACTTTTCCCTCAATACATGCAATAGTTTCTGCTCCCTGATATCTAAAACACTTGCTCCTTCACCTCTTTCAGCTCTCTTCTCAGATGGCCCCTCATCAGAGAGGCTTTCCCTGCCACACTTCACAGTACAATGTCCCCTGTCGATCTTTCTCTCTTCCCTGCGTTGTTTTTCTTCATAACACTTATTACCTGTCATTATATTGGATATGCATTTGTTTATCATCTGCCTCCCCCAAGAAGAAAATAAACACCAAGAAGCTGGAAACATCTTTTATCACCGCCACATCCTCAGTGCCTAGAACAGTACCTGGAACATAGTGGATCCCCAGTTAATTTTTTTTTCTAGCTCTGTCAGGATTAAGTTTTAGTCATGTGTGTATCATTTAGTCAGCAAATATTTGAAAATGAATGATCACATTAAGAATTGACTGCACGCAGCCTAGGATTTCTTTGTATGTACTCTAGTTATTTCTTGGATGTTAACTGCCTTCCCCCTAGATCCCAAACACTGTCTTACTGGTACTGATCTTACACCCACAAGGTATGGGTTGGTAAGAAATAGATGGCCCCGGGGATGTTGGAGTTCTCTACTGCTTGCTGATCTACCATTGCCTTTCCTCTCTCCACCAAGGGCTGGAGGCTGCCTCTACCTTAGAAGGCATTAGCAGATGTCTTTTTTATTAAAAGGGAAAGAAAGCCCATTCTGGGCATGGGTGTGGGTGTTAAAGGAAGGGAAAAGGAAGGGCAAAGGGAAGTGGATTGTGAAGCTCTGGCAGGAACGTTTTGTATGTTGTTTCTTGGACATCTTGTATTTTTTTTTTTGACCCCTTAGCAGAAGCATTCCCAGGAATAGAAACTGGATTTTCTGTTCATATTAGACATCCAAGACTGTGGCTGTAAGCTATGCAGAGAATGGTGGAGATGGCTTTCTTTCTTTTCCAAATGACTCTCCAGAGAAATAAATACCTGAGAATTAAAGTTCTGTAGGCCACAAAGAAGATTTTTGTGAACTAAATAGGATTCAGCAATCCTTTACAGACAGTGCAATTTGGGATGATCTATTTATATTGAGAAACTGATAAGTTCACTCAGGGGAAGGCTAAGTTGGCTACAATTCTAGCCAACACTTCATATGCTGAGACTGACCTGGGAGCTTTGGCTTATTTCTGCTGTTTCATTTTTTAAGATTTTCTTTTAGTAACACATGTGGACTGAGAGTGACCCCTCAATGGCATTCAGGACAACCAAGGCCAAGTAGAAAAATTTTCTAGTTATAGTCCTCATTACATTCTTGTTACCAACACTAATCTTTTGAAAAAGCAAAAAGTTTTAAGAATTATTGTATGAGCCATATATAGCTTTGGAATTAGATAGAAATGGGTTCAAATTCTGGTCCTATAAATTACTGGCTTAAATGTGACCTTTAAAGTCTCTTGGCCAAAGTTTCCTCATGTGCAACTTGGGAAGTAAATCATGCCATTGACCACATGGGGCTGCTGTAAGAATTAAATGAGAATGTATGTCATGCACTTAGCACAGCCAGCACCCCGAAGGGCTGGGGTTGATGACAGCAGTGATGTTGCCTGTTCATGGCAAACTGTCCTTACAGCTGAGGGAGATGCAAGAGAAGTCTGGGTCACACACCACAGCCCTAATTTGAGAAACTGGTCTGTGACAGTTGGCAATTATGAGTTTGAATTTCCATAATGGATTGGAATTTCTCTCATCTTTGCATTTCAAAGCCAAGGGCAAGGAATAGTTATTATTTTCTCATAGTAATTCTTGTAAACAATTCCTGATGTGCAAGGTAGGTCAACAAATTACATGGAACCATTCTTGCATAAGGCAGTTTCTCACAATGACGTGCTGTTTGGGTGTCTTTAGAGTAAACTTGAAAGAAGTTCTCCTTCTTTGTGTTTTGCTTCCACATGGCATTGCATTCACACACACACACACACACACACACACACACACACAATTGCCATGAAAGTAGAGACTTCTGCTTTGAGTTCCTCTATAGGTTATGTCTACATCAGCATCTGTTGCACAGTAGTAGCTCAATAACTATTAGTGGAATGAATAACTGAGTCTATTTCACATTAAGTCAATTTCTAGAAGTCAAGAGCTAGAAGAAACAAAACCCGGAGGGACTAAGGAATTCCTCTTCATTTTCCATGGATACCATTCCAATCATAAATGGGCTTTTCCCAAGGCTCTCTCCGCAGCCTATCACTTCTCTGGAGCCTGAAACCCAGATAGCCAATTACATAAAGCACACACTGGATAACTCCACTTGGGTGGCACATGGGCACTTGGAATTCTAAGTGGAGAAGGAGGAGGCCCTTTTTCCTCCTCCTTTGTTCCCTCACCATCATTGTGCAAGCTGGAAACCCTTGACCCTTCCTGCTGCCTGGCACCTTGCATCTGCTATCCTGGCACTTCCCTACAGTCCCTCCCTGGTTTAGACATCCCTCTTCTCTCACTCGGAACTTCTAGCAACTACTTCAGTGGTCCCTATACCCCTAATCATTTCTTCACCATGAACAGTGACTCGTCTAAACAGCAACCCCTAATAAACTTAAAAGCCAAGTCTCCTTGGCCAAGTTCACACAATCACATGAGCTGTGGTCCAGCCACAGCCCAGAACTGCAAGCCTCACCCTATTCCCTGCAGAGCTCCAAAGCTGCCCTGTTGCTTCTCTCTAGGTCTGCAAACTGGCTCTCTTTTCTGCCTGGAAAGCACTCGGTTCTCCCAGCCTTTGGTTAGCTCAAGTCTCCTGCTTTGGATATTTACATAGAATTTAAGTGAATGCATATTTCAAGATCTCATTCCATATTGACCCTCCAGTGAGCCTCTCTCTGCAAATGAGCAATTTTGGATTCTCCGGGAAGTTCAAACAGCCTTTTTGTGTTTGTAAACATGGGTAGTTTCACTGACTTCTCCTACAGGTTGGATTACACAAAAAACATGTTTTCAAGCGCTTGGCCTCAAGTTTATTTTCTAGGCTGATTTTTGAAGGACTTTATCTGGCCTCCTCTTAACCTTCCCCACCCCCAAGTCTGGCTTCCATCCTTATTGCTCTGCTACAAATGTTCTCTCGAAAGTCACAACTTTCTCCATTGCCAAAACCAATGAACTTTGCTCCTTCTTCATTCTTTCTGACTGGCGGCTACTTGAACACTTGGCCAGGCTGCTGCTGCTTCAAATTCTTTTCTCCATTGGTTTCTGCGGTTTTTTATTCCAATTTCTCCCACAGTTCATCTGCTTTCATCCCCGTATCCTTTTCCCTTTCCCATCAACTACTAGCAATTCCCAAGGATTAGTTCCTGGCCCTTTTTTTTTTTTTTTTTTTATCTTTCCTCTCTCTCACCTTAGATTGTTCATCCTCGCTTACGACTTCAACAGTCATCTCTAAGGTTTGACTCCTAAATAATCTAACTTTGGAGGTGCTCTCTTGCCAAATCCACAATGCCATTGCTCTGACAGCCTCTGGATTCCTAATTCATGCCCCCTCAAACCAAATTCATCATATTCCTGCCAGAAACTGGCTTCCCTACTCCCCACCAGCTACCCTACATTTCTTCTCTGTTTTGATACCATCAGTAGCCCAATACGGGGTTAAAACCTTATTGTTACCTCTAAGTCGTCTTCTTCATCCCCATTTTCATTCTGTTGCCAAGTCTAGCATATTTTTCCTTGCGGTGATTCACTATATCTCCCCACTTCTCTTTGTCCTCATTATTTCTCCCCATCAATCCCTGTCTCCACATTTTTCTTCAGTGACACCAGCCACTCCACTCCCCTTCAAACATGATGTAGTCATTCTTGGAAGTATTTTCTCATATCTCCCCCATCCAGAATGTTTTTTCCTCCCCTTTTGGCCTCCTGAATGAGACCCCATCCTTTAAAGGCCACCGCAAACCTAAATTCCATCATGTAGCCACGTTTTTCCAACCCTCAGGCCTTTGCGCACATTGGTCCCTTCATCCAGAATGTCTCCTAGCCTCTCTAAGCCCCATTCATTTAAGAAATATATGTTGAACATTCCTTATGGAGAAGATACTGGACTGTGCACTGAGGATTTCTGAGTGAATAAGACCTAGCATATTCTTATAAGGGTATTCAGCTCAAGATTCCTCTCTTCTGAGATGTTTTTTCCCTATGGCCCCACAGGCTAAACTATCAGCTTCCTCATCTGTGAGTCTCAGTACCATCTTACAACCTGTCCCTTAGGTTTTGAATTCATATTGCTTGAGTCTAAGAATGAATATCTCCCTTCTGACATCTAGCTCAGTGCATGATAGTTATTTCTTTAGATGACTGTGTCTTTTACTAGAATGTGAATCTCTTGAAATGATACCTTCTTACTCTTGTGTCTTTAACATGCATAATGGCAAACAAAGTGTAAGTGCTCAATAACTATTTGAGCAGAAGAAGAAATAAATAGATGGATATATGGTTGGATGGGTGGATGGTTAATTGGTTGGATCGATGGATGGATAGGAAGATAGATGGATTGATGAATGGACAGAGATAGATAGACAGACAGACAAGTAGATGGACAGATGAATAGATGAAAGGATGGACAGATGGACAAATGGATGGATAGGTGGATCAATGGATGGAAAATGGGACAGATGAATGGGCAGCTGCATTGGATAGTTGGAAGGATGGACAGATGGATGCATGGATGAATGAGTAGACAGAAGGACTGGATAAACAGGCAATTCTTTCTTGGATGTCTATTTGGATGGATAGACAGATGGATGGATGGATGAAAAACACTCCCAGTTATAAGACACTGTTCAGATCTATAATGATTAGGAAAGAAGGTTATAGTTAATTGACTAATCATATCCAACAGTGGGCTAGCATATATCTCATACATAGACTGCCAATTTTCTAAAAATTAATAGAATGCATTTAGAACAAAAGCTATACTGAACAAGATTTATATGTGGTGATTCTGAAGATCCTTAGAAACTTTAGCATTTCCAGGACCTCATTAAGAATCACTTAGGGGTATATAGACTGGCGTAAACCATTTGAAATGCTGTAAAGTGAGGTTTTTCATTTAAACTAACTATGTGATATAAACACCTATATCTACATGTAGACCATTTCTCTAATGATTTGGATTTCTAAAATTGACAACATGAAAGAGCTTCTCTACATTAATATCTTAACGGTATTTGGCAAACATCTGGCAAAATTATAAGCCATTTGTCTATCTCTCTCAGATGTCTTATTGACATGTGGATGGCTCAGGCAGAAATCCATCACGTATATTAAGCAATCTCAGAAAACGTTGAATCCCAAGGACATGAGCGTGGCCATAAATGTTCACTAAGCCAAGTTCAGACAGACAGTCCTAACATTAGAGGTGAACCCACTGGAAGCTTAATAACTGACAGTTTCCATACTCTGTCTTCCCTTTAATCTCTAGTTATAGAGCACCAGGCTGGAATGCTGGTCTCATCTTGGATAAAAATTCTTTCCTCCCTCCCTCATTTTTTCCTTCCTTGGTTTCTTTCTACCTTCCTTCCTCCACTGCTGCCTTAGCATTTCACATCTCAAAGCTTTTGTGTATATTAAATCCTTATATTCTATATTATATATCATGTGCATTTCATTTATTGAAGGGAGAACCCCTCATGCTTT
Source organism: Homo sapiens (assembly GCF_000001405.40). Classification (NCBI taxonomy): domain Eukaryota; kingdom Metazoa; phylum Chordata; class Mammalia; order Primates; family Hominidae; genus Homo; species Homo sapiens. Next base: position 25,560,858 of record NC_000003.12, read on the forward strand.
ATTTGACTCTGTTTCTTTAGTGGCTACAGGACTCAATAAATGTTTGGTGAATAAACAAATTGGTATAGGGCTCCCACTATTTTTGTTCATGTTACATTGTGTTGCAATCATGTATATATCTAAATATATATGAGATCCTGTGTGCAATGAACAAAAACTGATGTCCTCATTTTTCAGATAAGGAAACTGAGGCTCAGAGACATTAAGAGACTATCCTGAGCTTACATAGTTAGTACAATAAATGACGAGCTAAAATGCAGGCCTTTGAAATTTTATCCCAGGGTCCTTCCATTTGTCCATTGTTTCTTTCATATTATTTAAGACCTATGGGGAACAGTGCCATAATTTCTGTGTGTTGTAACAGATGTGGGTGGGATCTTTGAGTGGTAGGAATGACCAATTGTTTTCTTTCTTGCCTCAAATGCTGAATAGAGGGAACCATGTATTCAAATATCCTGTAGCATAAAAGGCATTTGGGCACGTGTTACTGTTGCATAAAAACACTCTTTACACAGACTGTATTACACAGATTATTGCTGTGTAACAAACTACCCCCAAGCTCAGTGGCTTAAAACTATAAGCTTTTGTTACTGTTCACAGCACCATGGATCAGTCGGGTTGTACTTCTGGGTTCACTGGGCTCTCTACTGGGTAGGCAACTCTGCTGATCTTACCTGTGCTCTTTCCGAGGTTCAAGCTGGCTCCAGATTGATCTAGTGTGGTCTTGGCTGGAACAACTGGGCTGTCCTCTTTATGGTCTCTTGGGACTTCTGCTTCTCTTTTCCTAAGCTGAGAAAAACTTCATTTCTATTTTACATAACATTTTAAGAGGAAATGTATGATGAAAATGTCAAGCAGAACTTCAGTTCATTTGCTAAAAATGTATTGGCTTTTAAAAGACAGTAGAAATGAAAGATCCGGCCATTATATTTTATCATGATAGAGACTGTTATTTAATATTTGAAAGCCCATAACTTGTTATAAAGAATATACATGACACAGAGCAAGATACAAGCTTATCTGGAACAGTCTGTTGCTGGGAAATTTCTTTTTTGCCCTCCTGCCCTTCATCAGATTCTGTTTTTGAAAGGCAGTCTATGCCTATTCCATGAAAGAAATATAAAGGAGTGTGCTTGTATCCCTGCTCAACTTTTTTACCCTGCTCAACTTTTTTACCCTAGATATATGGGACCCCTATTTGAAGACTATTGATTCCTGAACCTTAGACTGTCAGCCTTTTTTCAAAAAAGTTAAAAGACCCACTCACAGTGTTTCAGATACACGAGGGCAGCTTGGGCTTCAGCAGAAGTGAACTTGAGTTTGGCACAGCGAAGAATTTCCTGCCTATGAAAATTGATTATGGAAGAGATACTAAGCCTTTTTTTTTTTTCTAGATCAGAGGTTTTTTAAAAACAAGGTGAATTGATCATACAGTAAGTGTGTGAGTTTATTCCTGGTTAAAAAGCAGAGGGCCAGCCACAGTGTCTTTAATTTCCTTTTTTTAACATTCAGTTTTATGCCATAAATAAAAGGCTTCATCTCAGCTCTTATTCATATTGGGTAGCTCTGTCACAAACACGAAGCCACAGACACGTGTGCCTCTTTGGACAGGATTTAGGCAAAGTAATCATTGAGAATAGCCCATTGCTGCCAGAGGAAATGTACAAAGAAGCACCGCCGGGTATGAAGGAAAGCATCTCAGGGGTTCATGTCATCCCTCAACTACTCACTGTTGAGTTCCTACTTTTATACATTAAGCCAGAACATTTTCTTTTTTCTCATTTCTGGAATTGAACTTAGGATATTTCTTATAGCTCATATGTCCAAAGAAAAGGATTTTTCATCTAAAACTAAATCTCTTGCCTTGCAAGGACGCGCACCACACCGTGCTTGTCTGAAAATGAATGCGACCACAGTAGGGCTGCCCTTACCAGCCCAGACAGAGGAGGGAAAAAGTATTTGAAAGACTGTCCACACAAGAAGAGGTAAAATCTGCATATCAAAAAGTAACCAGTGAGGGAAATATGATTAAATTTGTTTTGAAAGTTTCATTAGCATAACATACCACTTTAACCACAAAGAAGTATTTGACGTCTGTATATTCTGATATTTCAGAGATTTTCTATAACTTCTTTGAATAATTTTAAGAAGCTGAGCTAAGCTGGAAGATCATATTAAACTCTCAGAATGCTGTGTCCAGACTAATTTCCCCCAAGACTTCAATATTCTGTAAAAATTCTAAGCATGCTCCTTGCTCAATTGCTGGCACAATGGACACCAGGTCATCTCTTAGACTTCGAGGTTGTAGGGGCCTCCTGTCACCTTTTGAAGTACTTGCACATATGCTACATGTTGCAGACTCAGAGCAGTCCTCTTAGGATTCCATTTTGACCTCCATTTTACAAACCCTGAAATCAAAGTCCCTGGAAATGGAATAACTTGATTCATTCAACACATACTCTTCGGCACCCTACCCTCAGCCTGGTCCAAAAGGCACATGTCTCATGAGTGGCAAGAAAACTTAGCTGCAGCCTCATTCACTGACCTTTTTTCTCTGTATATTTGTTCCAATTTCAACTGGAATTCACATGGCAGGCACTTTATTAGGAAAAAGACACAGTCCCCACCTTCAGGCAGATTCTGATGTAGAAGAAATGTTTACTCACCCCAACTCTCCCCAGTTTACAGTGGGACGTGCTATGTTAAATGCTTGAATTAAATCCTTAGGTTGTGGGAAAAGTAAGTCTCTAACAATTAGTAATAGATCCACCTGCCTTCAGATCCATGGTAGCTCGTTTACATGATGAGATTAGAAAATGATTTTTTAACTAAAATTAAAGCATGTTTTAATGTTTTTCTTTTAAATATATCAGTGTGTTAGTTACAGGTCATCCCCAACTCATGACAACCCCATAGTTCTAATCACCAACTGTAACTCATTATTCTTGCAGTTAGCAAGGAGCTGAAGAGTCAAGATGAACAAATTCCAGACTTTAATTTTCAAGCAAGAATAAATAGACCATCATGCTTCCTTTGCTAAGCTGAATATAGAGAACTTTATGGACAAAAATACCATCAATTGTATTTTCCTTTTTTTTTTTTTTTTTGATGTGAAAGGATTTTTAGTGAAGCATTGTTTTCATCTCTTCCTGAATCCAAGTGAATCTACATCTTTTGCATGTTTCCTGCATTAAATTTTTATTGTGTGCCTGAAAATCAATATTCCAGATACATGCACAAGTGCACACATTAAAATGAACATGACTTCATTTATTTCCATGATTAGACATTCAAATAAAAGTGCTTGGGTGTCTGTTTTCATATTCATAGGTCGAGATCCGTACATCAGAGGTATTTGTATAAGTGACACTTTTATTACATTCATTTCATTTGCAATATGATAGTGGATCATAAATATGTTACTTTTATGCCACCAAATCTGATTTGTAGCACTTAGCCCCTCACAAGGAGAATACTTGATATTTTATGGAGCACCTTTCATCCAAGAAGCGCTTTGCAAACATCAGGCCGGGTTCTATCAGGTGTATAAATCACATCTGTGACCCCCTGAATGCCCCACCTGCTTCATCAACCTTCTGGCTACTACTGTAGGGGTGGAGAGCAGTTAGTGATTCCCCCGCAGACCCCAACATGATAGTGAGACCTTTAAGTTCTGGAAGAAAGAGGCTCAGGTGAACTCTGTATTGCCACATATAGGCCCTGACAGTGGACAGAACACCACATTTAGTTATATGTCTACCTTATCATTTGCAAAACAGTTTTGAGGCCCCCATCTGTGGGTCGGATCTTGTATTAAGCCCTGGGGACATAGAGACAAGTAACATGTGGCCCTTGCCTTTCAGATATTCACAGACTTGGAGGGGAGGGCTTTGATGCAGGCTTGACAGTGTTTGCTCCTCTCTTTGCCTCTCCATTCCCTCCCAGAGGTGCACCGTACCTGAAAGCAGCTTGTCAAACTCCCAGGTCTGGCATAGGTATATGAGTGCATATACCAGTCAGTCGCAATCAGAGTGAAAGAAGAGGTCCACCATCAAACATCCCAGGCAGCCTTGGAGCTGAGCATCAGATGCACACCCCACGCTCCCAGAGAAGAGAGTCATCTCCCCACCCACCATCCCATAGCATCCCTCAATTTACCCTCCCAATTCCCCAGCGTTAGCTTCCTAATCTAGGACCAGTAGGATCCCCCTGCCACACCCAGTAATACACAGGCACAGCTCCCTGTAGCATCCTTCATTGTACTCACTACGCTGTGGACTGTGTGTACATGGGGTAGACTCAGACGCAGCGGAGCACAGTGGGTTTCCTAAGTTCTGATCCTGACTGTATCACTCACAGGATGCATGGCCTCAGGCAGGGTACTCACCTTCCTGTGCCTCCACTTTCTCATCTGCAAAATGGGTATAATAGTGATATCTACTCTATTAGGTTGTTGTAAGGATTGAATGGCCTACCATGAATAGAAGGCTTTATGATAGTTGTAATGAACACTTTCAGTATTGTGGTAAATAATACTCTCGTATATTAATTGCAGTACATGTAATAATAGTGATGCCAATATTCTATTATTATTATTATTACTGTCACTGTTTTATTGTATGATGAATGTCTGTCTGCTACCATAAGTTTTTGCTCCATGGTAGCAACAACCATCCTGTTTTGCGATGGCACATAGTAGATACTCAATAAATATTCATTGAATGAATGAATGAACAAAACAATGAAGGAACAAATGAATCCACCCACTCATTTGGTGCCACTGCGATGGCTTCTCCAAGCACCATTTTTCATATCAGTCTCCTCTGCCACTGACAGCCACAGGCCCCACAGTAATCCCCACAAGTCCTTGGTGTTTAGGTCATCCATTTCCCCCACGGAAGGGCCTTACATTCTTCCTGCATAACTAACCCACATAGGCCTTTACAGTAGTCTACCTCCTTCCCACCAAGCCCACCATCTGTGTGTCTCCATGCAGGTGCTACTGCCATCTCGGGGGAGGCTCTGAAAGGAGCTGTCTCCTCTGGAGTTGACCCCAGGTGGTAAGTGGTGGAGCTAGCACTAGTTCCAGATCTCCTGACTTCCCCTGCAGTACTTGTATCGCCCTTGCCTCCCACTGCTGGCCTCCAGGGGAACGAGTCCCTGCACTGCCCCAGGAGCCACTGACCACGAGGCCTCAAAGGGACCAATAGTCCCAAGAACTTGGACAAAGCTACCATCCCTAGGCCCCCGTGGCTTCTTGTGCACTGTGTCACCTCCATGATTCTGGTGGTTCTTGGCAGCCCTTCTCAAACACTGCGTCTGCGTTCTTCTAGAGTTTAAAACCATTGAGGGAAGCAGCTGCTGAAGCCACGTGTTTAGAAAATTTGTCCGTCAACTTATGAAGCTGTATGTAATTGGGGCATCATCACCAGAGGGGTTGTCCCTGCATTTTGTGGGTGTGGAAGAATTTGTGATAATCCCAGGAGTCCTTTATTCACATAGACAGTGGTGGTGGGACTTCACGTAGGGGACAAAAGGAGTGTGGAAAGTAGCCTGAGGTTACACACTGCTCCCCTTCGAGTGAGCTGCAAAGGCTGCTCCAAATTGGGCCCAAAGCACAGAAAATGGTGCTCTGGCTTCACAGTTGTGATTTTGCAAACGGCGTGTGTGATCACTGCACAACCCAACAGAGATGCCCAACTTGGTGCCCAGCTGCAGCTCACCCAGGGCCCCTTCCCACAGGACCTCACCCCTCCCTTTCTTGCTTGGTTCAGTTACTTCATGGTGACAGCTCACAGTGTCTCCTCTCTCCTGGTAACCCTCTAGAGCTGGGTTTGCTCGTCTGAGTTTTCCAGGCCCCTGGTGGTGGATGGGGACAGTGAAGCAGAATGCTTAGGAGCAGACACAGGTCCTGCAGACTTCCCTGTGGATGGGATTATGGGGACTCCTTCTGTGGGTTGTTAGTTTGTTTTGTGGTTTCTCTTTCTGCACATTGGGTTGACTATTTTCAAACATGGTATTGTTGGGCCTCAAGTTCCTTGAGTGTAGAAATGGGGTCATAAGGCCCACCTCACCTGGCTTACTGTGGGGATTTCGCGAGCTAGGATTCTTCACCTGCTGATGCCCAGTGGCCCTTGCCACACAATCACTAAAGGGTAGTGAGGCTGCTGCTGTGTTTTAATGTAGCTGTAGGTGTCATCTCAGCTTCAGAATCGACTCAAACAGTTCCTGGTATTTAGCGATGTGTCACCTCCCACAGGGCTCTGGGTTTTTTGTTGGTGTTGTTTTGTGATATAATTCACGTAGCATAACATTCATCATTTTAAACTGTACCATTCAGCGGTGCGTAGTGGATCCACTAAGTTGTGCAGCCTTCACCAGTAAGTCCAGAACATTTTCATCTCCTAAAAAACAAAACCCTGAACCCGTTAGCACTCCCGATCCTCCCTCCCCACCAACTTGCCCCCGTACCTGACAGCCACGAGTCTACTTTTTGTCTTTGGATTGGCCTGTTCTGGACATCCATATAATTTAGAATCACACAATGTGTGGCCTTTTGCGACTGGCTTCTTTAAGGCGTATGTGTGAAAGCTTCATCTGTGTTGTAGTATGCATCCATAATTCATTCCTTTCTATGACAAATAATATTCCACCATAAGGACGTCCTAGATTCCACTTCCCCGTCATCGGGTGATGAACATTTGGGTTCTTTCCACTTTTCAACTGCCGTGAGTCACACTGTCATGAACATTCATGGACAAGTTTTGCATAGACACATATTTTCAGTTCTCTTGGGTGTACACCTAGGAGAGGAATTGCTGCGTCACATGGTACCTCTGCGTATAACTTTGAGAAAAACTGCCGAGTACTCTTCCTCGGGGCTCTGTTTCAGAAGGACCCTCCCTGCTTAGATTTGACTTTTTCACTAGCTAAGGAAGGCCATTGGCAGAGGCCGAGGAAAAGAGGGGGGTCTGATCACCTGAGATCCTGCGCACTCACACACAAGCCTTCAGGCATTCCCTCCCCTCAGCAGCCCAGACTCCATCCTCACGGAGAGCCACCATGCCGCCTCTGCCACCCTGCATGACCCCTTTCCCCCTCATTGTGTCTCCTTTGCCCGCCGGCTTCTTTGCATTCTCTCTGCTTTGAACCATGATACCCACTCTCACCCAGCGTCCTGCGCCGGCTGGGAGGGATCGGGTCACAGAGGTCTCGAGGGGCCAGTCTGCACTGGGAAAGAATACAGCTGAGGCTGCACTTCCCACTCATTTCACCAGTGATCTAGAAATTTTCTGAGCCAATGAGCAGTGTCATTTCAGAGTCCTGGGGGAAGGAAACTGTCTAGAAGGGTGTTCTCTTCAGACCTGTTGGTTTCCTTAGGAATAAGTAAGTGAGTCCAAGTGAGGAAGGAACTTCTCAACCACGTGAACTTGAGCATATTTCTTAGCTTCTCCAAGACTCAGTTTCTTCATCTGTAAAATGGGTTTAAACTTGCCTACCTGATAAAAGGATCAAGTGAGATACCGTGATACCATGTTCAAGGGACTCAAAAAAATGTTCCTGGTCTCCCCAGCTGCCCTCCCTCCTGGTTAGGTAGGAGTGGCTCGTACAGACACTGACTTTGTAGTAGGACTCACCTCCCTTTTTTCCTTTCTTCCCCCTTCTCACCCCTTGCTCTTTCCTTTCACCACTTCCTCTCTCCTCCTGCTATTGTCTTACTCTGCCCTCAGCTCCTACCCCAAATATGGGTATTCTCATGGTGTGGACCCAGGGAACTGCCAGTTCTCAAATCACCCGTGTGCTCTTAGGGAGGCAACTCAGGCCAGATCCTCTTAGGGCAGATCAGATTATGCCCTGGGTCATTTTGCAGTGCAGATTCCCAGGTCACAGTGGTGGCATGCACAGCCAGGCAGCATCCAGCCTGGCACCCGCTGGGCCCCAGAGAACATGGACTCCCTGGAGGGGGTGGCATGGTCTGTTTCGCCTGTCTGCCTCCCTGGGTTTCAGTTTCTTTCCTCGCGAGATCCTAGCCAGGGGCTAGAGCTTTGAGTTACACTCGGATTTGAAGTCATCCCAGAGGTCTGTGCTGCAGGAGGAAGCACGGGCTTCCATAGCACTGTGTCCTGGGCCCTGACTTTGTGCCTGGCACCGTGCTTGGCTCGGAGCATGCAGAGGGAAAGGACACACACCTGCTGTGGGTCCAGTGTTCCAGACACAACGTGGAGTCAAGTGGCTACCAGCGAATAAGGGAATGAATGGTTTTCCAGGCTGAAGATTTCATACTGTATCAATTATTATTTTTAAGTAATTTTATATTCCAAAACAGATAATATGGTTCATACAGAAAGTTTAGAAAGCAGAAAAACACGAAGGGACAAAAACCATCATCCTTATCTCCTCTCAGATGAGTTTCTTCAAAAGTGCCTGTCACTTAATTCAGAAAACTAAAAAGCAAAGACACCAAAATGTGTAGCTAGGAAATACTAATTATGAAGTAACGGGGCTTTGTTCAGAGACCTGACCCTTCCCTTACAATGTCACTCAGGGCATCCCATTTGAGGGTAAAGCTCTTGGAAAAATCCTTCTCTCTTCAAGAGATCCAGTCCACAGAAAAAGTTCTCTCACAACAAGCCAAGACTCTGAGCCTCCTGGGTGAGCCCAAGCTCTCCAAACAACTGACGGGCACATGCATATACAGAAAGACAAACCTAGCTCTCTGCCGGGGTCCCGCGGCTGCCAAATCCCTTTTCCAGGGAGGTGTGTTATTACCACCTCTTCCCACTGTTTCTGTCCCAAATATCAAATGAGCTTAAGGCAGCCTTGGGAGGTGGAACCTCCCAGCTCAGGAGCACAGGCCCAGCCTTCAGCGACCCCTGATGTGCCTTCTCTCTCGTTTCCAGCTGTCAGGAATGACAGGAACAAGAAAAAGAAGGAGACTTCGAAGCAAGAATGCACAGAGAGCTATGAAATGACAGCTGAGTTGGACGATCTCACAGAGAAGATCCGAAAAGCTCACCAGGAAACTTTCCCTTCACTCTGCCAGCTGGGTAAATACACCACGGTAAGAGATACTCCTGCCCCAGGCTGCTGGGAGTGTGGAAACCTTGTACGTGCATGTGTGCAGACACACACACACACACACACACACACACACACACACACACTTTGCACTGGGCCTGGCAGGGGCTTGCATGCTAGCCAGCTGGGGCTATGTAGTAGCCACTTCTTTCTGTGAGGTAGCCTTTGGGCGTGGGCAATCAGTGAGTAGGCTGAGTGCCGCCTCACTGCAGTCATGCACACATGCATTCACTCTAGATGCATTAACTGAGTATTTGCTATACGACAGGCTGTGTTCTAAGCCCTGGCAACATGAACTATTCAGTGCTGCTCTCAGAGACTTTGATCTGGTGAAGGAAACAAGTAAAGCCAGTGAAGCGTTACATGGGTCATGACGGACCTCTGTACGGAGGGACCCAGGGGGACGGGGCCTGATCTTTTAAAAACCCCAATCCATCTGTGAAATCCAACCAAGATAAAGAGGCCATCCCCTGGGCCAAGGTTTGCCTTCTGTGAGAGGACATGTACAAAACCCCCAAGCCAGGGCCTAGAAAAGTTTGGGGTAGGCATGCCCCATGCCCAGTTGAGTGAATGTTCCCCCTCTGCTTCCCAGCGTTCCACTAGGAATGGCCTTTCACTGAGATTGGAAATAAAGAGAGGCAGGAAAAAGAGAAGTGAGATAAAAAGGTAGGAGGTGTATGTTGGCTGGTCTAGGTTGTGCCAGTGGAGGGGTCATGAGGTGCTTTAATTTTTCCAAGTGGTTTTTGCATGTATTATGTTCACTGATGTATATTTCTAACTTGTGGCATGTAATAGACACTCAGTAGATATTTGATGAATTAATACAACTAGAATGTTGTTCTGGCCTCTTTAAAAAGCTTAGGTTGCTCACCTACAATGCTATGGTAAACATACTTTAAAAACAAAATCCAAATATTGTAGCACTTGCTGGCTTGGTGAATGGTGTTCTAGAAAAATGATAGCATGGGAGGTCCTGAAGATCAAAAGACAAAATAGTGATACCAGAAAGAAAAAAAAAAAACAGTGAGCGGCGGGGCTTTGGAGCAGTTCTTGGTGAGCATGGGGTGTAGTGCGCTAGGATGTTGGTGGTATCTGTAACACAATAATGGTGACCAGGAGCAGGCCCAGAGGGGCGCCCATGGAATCTGGGGCCAGCACAAACCTAGGTGGCTTCTCAGATGAAAATGAGACTACACAGTTGGGTGGCACCAGCTTCTGAAGGGCTGGCACCCACCTTAAACAGACAAGTCTCCTGGCTGAGCTCAGAGACTTTGGCTCACCTGGAAGCAGAGGTAGAACCTTGAGCAGTACTTTTCAAAACTCAGCGTGCATCTGAAGCACCTGGTGAACTCGTTACAGTGCAGGTTCTGGTGCAGCAGGCATGGCCTAGGGGCATTTCTAACAAGCTGCCAGGCTGCTTATGCTGCTGGTCTGCAGACCAGACTCTGAAGAGCAAATGAGCCGGGCTTTGAGAAGCAACACCCAGGGTGGCACTCTGGGGTCCACCTCGCCCATTGGTGTCAGCCAGGAGAAACACTGGCATGTCTGCCAGGCCGAGGGAGAGTCTCGGCTTAACCTCAACCAGTCTTCACTGAGTTTGGGGAACACTGTCCCATCCCAGAGCAGGGACACAGGCCAGGACAAGACTGGACACTGTAAGGGAGCTTTCATTTTCACCTGGGAGAGAAAGTGGAATGTGACCCCATGTATCCAGAACAGAGGCCTGGAACCACACGAATGTACTTCAAGTCCTACTCAGCCACCATCAGCCCCATGACGGTGAACAAATTACCTAACGTCTCTCAGCCTCAGTTTTCCCATCTCTAAATGGGAATAATGTGAAATAGTTGGGAGGATGAAATGAGACAATTTATGAAAAGCTGCTGTGATGGAACCCAAAAATATCTACCCAGCAGTGGAGTGGCAGAAACATCATCCAGACACGTACCTTCTACTGGATACTAACTGACCCTCCAGAGACCTGGCCCCCATGCTGGGTGCATCTGACAATACAGAAAAGTAACATGATGAATAACCAATACCTGAAAGTATGCCATTTATTTCTTTTAGAAATACTTACTAATTGCCAACCATTCAGTGGCATTTCAGGCCCTGTATTGAGCTGTGTATCAAGGTGAGGGCGTCTTGACCTAAGAAATGAGGGAACTCAGGCTGGCACAGTGGGAAGGGGCGAAAAGAGAAGATGAGAGAAAACAGGTGCTGTGCAATGGTGGACTGTGTTGAGTTGAGAGCAAGTGGGAAGTGAGAATGGGAAAAGCCTGGCGGAGTCTTGAGTGCCACTTGAGGAGTCTGTAAATAATGAACAGTAATTGATGGTTGTGGTCAAAAATCTTTATTATTATCATTGTAATCATTATTACATCTCATATTTATTGAGCATTTACTATGTACTAGGGACCATGCTAAGTACTATAAGTATACTAATTCTTTTATTCCTTATGAGGACTCTGTGATTTGGGTTTCGTTGCCCTCATATTACAGATGCAAAAGCCAGGTACAGAAAGGCTCGATAACTTTCCCCTTGTCTCTTAGTCAACAAGTGGTCAGAGGTGAGACTTGAACCTAAACAGTCTGACTCCAGGGCAGCTCTTTTAACCAGTATACTATACACAGAATCCCTTGAGAGGGTTGCCAAAAAGGGAGAATGGAAGCTGGGGCCATTGGCGGCATCTAGCTAGGAGGAGAGAGCTGTGACCCAGGAATAAATCAATCTTGTAGCTCCAAGAAAGTCAGAGGAAAAGAGATGAGAGTGGGGAGGTCTTCCTGAAAGAGGAGACTTTTGATCCAGGTCATGAGGTGAGCGACTTTATATGGCAATACCTAGGGCCAGTAACTGCTACATCAGGGTCCCCCTCCGCCTCCTCCAGGTGGTATCTTAGCATAGCCAAGTCAATCCCCAGACCCTGACTCACCTAGTAATCAGGTGAAACAGCTCCCACTCTAACCTGGAGGAGGGCAGGACAAACACAACGTACAGCATTTGCCGCTCCTGGAACATGCGCCCTGGTGTGACCGGGATTCCTACAGGATGGCTCACATGTGAGGCATTGCCACTCCTGCGAGCGGTCCCTCACCACTGATGAGCAGAACGTGGAGAGATAAACCCCCCCAGCTTCCTTATTCGTTGGGCAGGATACTCTTAGGTATCCTCTAAACCACGTCCCAGAGTTTCCCAACTAGATCGAGCTCTGACTGCCCACAGTGATGATCTCCGCTGGCCGCCTTCCTTCCCTGCCCACTCTGTTCTTCCAGTGCTTCCTGGGATCTCCTCCCACATAAACTATCGTGCATTCCAATTCTAGTCTCAGCCTCGGCTTCTGGCCTAAGAGAGAGAGGCTTCCCTGCAGGCCTCCAGGGCCCTTTCCTATCCACCCCAATATGGGGGTGAGTCACCCCCAGTCCTCAACTGGGGCCCACCCTCCTAAACACATTGTGGAGACTTCTTGTACCTCCCAGTCAGGCAGAAAAACAGAAACACGATTTTATCTCTAGAGCGTGGCCCTTCACTACTGGGCATCCTTCCGGAGGCCTGCTGCCCACCGCGGGGTGGAGGGCGCTCTGAGCCAGTCTCGCAGCTGACCGTGCTCTTCATTTGTACTATCTCTCCCCAGATCTAGCTGTGTTTTTATTGTGAGCCACTTAAAATCCTTTCTGGAAGTCGGTGGTATAAATAAATAACAGCAGCCATAACACATTCTCTGCAAGCTCTTAGTTCGGAGTTGAGCATTTTTAAAAAGAGCTTTTTTTAGACAGGCAGTTGCTTCCACGGCAGGAAACTTCCTGTCATCTTCACCAGAGTGGCATCCCTGTCAGATGCCTTTGGAATTAGTGGGCAGAGAGGAATAAGAAAGGCAGCCAACTGCGCATCTACAGATCTTTGAAAGAGTAGTTCCTTTTTCTTCCCTAATTAGGGTGGATTTGGGACAAATGGTTGGGTCCCCGGAGACCGCAGGAATGGCTGGAAGAGGCAGAAACATATCCCCACCACCCCCACCTCAGGCCAGGGCAGGGCACTCACCCACAATCTTCAGAGCTAGTATCCCTGGGAAGGTTTCTACCCAATGACCCTCCGCCGCCATAAAAGGAGAGAGGGTGGATTCCCTGTGGAAAGGTGGAAAGCAGGAGAGAAGCTATTTATAGATGAGCTTTCCAAAATAGAATCAGGACTGAACCAGAGGTAACATCCTCGCTCTGAGGACGTGTTCTCCGCTTCCTTAGGGTGAACCCTAGTGAGTATCATTTGGGCTTTAGGGCCTCATAAATTCAAGCTCAACTCTTATCCCTGCTACTTAGGAGTCATGTGACTTTGGAAAGTTACATCATCATTTGCACCTCAGCTCCTTCATCTGTATAATGGGAGTTTTAAAAACATCCACCTCCTGCCTGGAGGGTTCCATGAGAAAAATATATGGAGCGCCTTGCACAGTTTCCGGCACAGAGGAGTCGTGCCGAATGTGCAGCTCTCCTCCTCTCCACCCCATCATAAATGTCTTGTCATTTTTTCGAGCCACATGCCCAGGTTCTGTAAACTAGCGTGGGTGTGACAGTGGGACAGATTTCCAGGTGGTGTAGCCCCCACCCCCAGCTCGTGCTGTCTGCTCCGGGCCGCCTCTGCTCCCGGCCTCCCACTGCTCTGCCGTGTGCGGGCCGCTCATCACCAGGTGGGGCCTGGCGGGAGGTAAGCTGTCCTCCGAGGGGCTTGTGAATATGAACTATGAAGATTTAAGAAGCCCTTAACCTGCTCAGAAAAATGACCACAAACAGAATTATTAACCACGAAAGACTTTCCAGGAGACATACCATAGAAAAGGAAGGCTGTTTTGAGCACTTGTCATGGGTGGACTCGGTGCGCTTTTTGGAAACTAACATTTGCCATCAACCAGAGGAGCAGAACCTGGAACTCGGGGAGCTCGGGCTGCCAGGAGAGATGCATCAGGAGGGATAGAAGGTCAGTGGGGGCCACGAAACCCGAGTTCCAGTCCCCACTGTCACCTCACAGCTGTCTGACTTTGAGCCAGTTGTTAACTTAGTGAGCCTCAGTTTCTTGCTAGTAAACACACCTGTGCTGCCAGTATCACCCAGCAGCGGTCCCCAACCTTCTTGGCACCAGGGACCAGTTTCATGGAAGAGAATTTTTCCATAGATGCTGGGCTTGGGGATAGTTTCAGGATGAAACTCATGAAGGACAACTTAGATCCCTCGCATGCGCACTTTGCAGTAGGGTTCATGTTCCTATGAGAATGTAATGCCGCCGCTGATCTGAAGGAGGTGGAGTTCTGGCGATAACGCTCGCTCCTGGCCACTCACCTCCTGCCGTGCGGCCCAGTTCCTAGCAGGACACCGACCAGTACCCATCCACGACCCAGGGCTTGGGGACCCCTGACCTAGACCATTCTTTCATGTTGCAACAAACAATGACTGCATACCTACTGTGTTAGTTTCCTAGGGCTGCTGGAACAAAATAATACAAACTGGGTGGCTTGAGACAACATTATTTGATCGCATTTCTGGAAGCTAGAAGTCCAAAATCAAGGTGTGTGCATGGCCACGCTGTCTCTGACAGCTCTGGGAGAGAGCCCTTTCTTGCCTCTTGTAGCTTCTGGCGTGGAAGGCAGTGCTTGTAGTTGCATGACACCAATCCTCCGTCTTCTCATGGTCATCTTCTCCCTGTGTTTCTTCACATCGTCTTCTCTCTATGCATGTCAACCTCTGTCCAGATTTCCACATTTTTTTTTATAAGGGCACCAAGTCATACTGGATTAGGGCCCACCCTAATTACCTCATTTTAACTTGATTACCCCTATAAAGACACTATTTTCAAATAGCGTCACATTCTGACATACTCGGGCTAGGATTTCAACACATCTTTTTGAGGAACACAGTTTAACCCGTAACAAACAGTAACACCTAGTGAGTGCAGAACTGGAGTGCATGGATGTTACCTTTCCATGCTTGCCGCTCTCTGCAAAGTCTAGCTGGAGATCAAATTTTGTCACAAGTGTTGTGAGTATTTAGAAACCTCTGGCAGCACACATAAGTCCTGATCTTTTGAAGAAAAATGTTCTGTAGGCACTGTGCTAAGTACCCACATTCTTCCTCAGTGATGGAATAAGGGAAAGACGTTCCCAGCAAAAGCAATAGCATGAACACGGCACAGGGTTTCACAGGGATGGGGCTGGGTGGGAGGGAGGCAGAGCTAAGTTTGAGGAGGTAGGTCAGGGCTAGCTTCCTAGGGGCTTTGGGTGCTGGGATAAGGTGTGTGAACATTAGCCCTAGGGAGCCAAGGGAAGTTTCTAGTCATGAGAAAAAGCAGTTCGAAGAAGGTGGTGCCTAGCTGCTGTGTCTGGCTGGAAGGCTTCGGCAGGGACACAGGGCAGGGCTTTTGATCTTTCTCAGATATGCCCTGCAGCTCCAGAAGGCATTCGTGGCCCCTTCCAGCAGCTGGGACCACTCCAGAATTCTAGCATTTCTTGGACATCCTCTAGGGCCTTGGACTATACCCACCACCCCACCCCTGCACTCGACCAAGGCCCCAGATCTCTGAACCCCAGGAGTGAAGGGGCTGCAGATGGATAGATGGTCCTTTCCAAGGTCATGTCCCAGCTCAGGAATCTTAGACGATGGTGGTCCAGGAGCACGCCTGAAACGTGACCTCCAGGGGAATCCTGCGGCATCACTCTTGCTTTTTAGCCAGGCTGCTAGGAAATACTCGAAAGATTCTAGAGACCCTCCCTACCTGCCCTCTCCCATTGCCCTTTGCTCGAAGCCCTCTCTAGCCACAGGCTGCACCATGCCTTTAAGATCACGCCCTCCTGTCTACCCAGAGCTACAGGGTGGCTGCCAAGCTGCCTTCTCCCCACCTGTTGGAGGCATCTGGTCCTAAGGAAAATGCTGCAGGCGTGTTGGGGGCCTTCTCCTCTCTTCTCTTCTGTTGGGGGCAGACGTTCCCGAAGCCATGCTCTCATAGTGCCTAGATAATGTGTGTATTGACCACAAAGAGATGTTGGCCGGCACATAACATTCTCTTCATAGCTGTGCTGGAGCTCTTGTAGCCACCTGATGGAAGCATCCAGAGATTCCAATAAGGAGGGAGATCACAGATGCAACCACAGGCTTTAGGAGTCAGGAAGTTCTAACCAGAAAGTAGAAATATGTGAGGAACCAGTAGGGAGGGGGTGACGTGGTGCACTGGTGGGAAGCCTAAACACCCCAACCCAACTGTGTGGGTGAATCCCACACCCTCCGGTTCGCCCGCGGGATCTTGCACAAATGATTGCACTTCTGTGGGCCTTCGCTTCCTCATCAGCCAAATGGGGACCATAATGGTGCCTACCGCATGGGGGCGCTGTGAAAAGTAAAGAGAGTCGGTGATCGTTAAGCATGTAGAACAGTGCCTGGCACGAGGCAAGCCCTAGAAAAAGGGGTGGTTACATGCAAAAACATACAAAATGCAGGAATTGAATGTGGGTGACAGGGATGGTCTGCAAATTGAACTTGAAAGGACATCAGTCTCCAGGATGGTGGAAGGATTTCAGGCCTAAGGAAGAAGGAGGCACTTCCATGGATATACCCAACATTGCCACAGAATTTTAATTCTTTATTTCTTTAATGAAAATTTACATTTCCTTCTTAACTTTGAAAAAAAAGCCAGAACGCTTGAACAAACCACTGTAATACCCAGGAGCTGCCTCCAGTGGGATTTAAAGATGCTGGTGATTCCACTTTCCTTTATGGGTCTTGTTCTGAAAGTCCTGCCAGTCCAGGAAGGCAGCCCGTTGCAGCAGAGAACCAAACCAGCAGAAGAAAGGGATCCATTTGCGTGGCAAAACTTGCCATTTAATTGGATTTCATAGTAGGGTTGGGCTTTTCTGCTGCTTAAGATGGCCCTGGGGGGCCATGGGCGCGACCCTCCATATATGGGCCACCACGCGGCATCCTGGGGAGGCGCTGCAGCTCCTGTAGCCCCTGCCGAAGAGGGGACCTCCTCTGGAAGCCCTGGCCAGACTCTCAGTCGGCAGCAGATGGAGGAGAGCCCCTTGCCCTTCTGGCTTGGCTGTTTTCCTCATCAGCCTGCCTCATACTCACAGCAAGGGTCACTCCTCACCACCCCACTTTCTGCTTCTCCTTCTCTGTTGGTTTTCCTCCCTGCACACTCAGAAATGCTGCTGAAAATCCACGCTTCGCTGGTGCTCCCCACAGCCGCCTTCATTACCAACCCAAGCAGGCCAGGGCTCTCCATTTGCCGCAGCTGGAAGATAATATATAAGCCATTTGAAGCCTCATGCCTATGAATCCAGCAGCCAGTATAATAAAACACCAGGTTATTTTGTGTTTTATTAACTGCCTCTTCCCTTCAGTTTGCATAATAGTGAGTTAGATTTACATGCCGTTAAGACGGCTGTGCATTATTTTTAATAGAAGGTACGACAGGCTCCTCTCTCTCAGCCCTGGCGCGTGATAAAGTTACCTCATGCAATGTTGATGAAGGTTTCGTTCACACTTGCTGGGTCGGGGCAATGTCTTTTTTTCCAGATGGATACTCTATTGTAAAATGATTTCCCTCCATAAGCTTGACTCTCCGTCCCTCTCTTCCGTGTCATCTTCCTACGAACCGGATAAACTGCCTATTAAATTTAATTACGGCCCAAATGGCCACACATCTTGATCTCATGTTCCCTCAAGTGTACTGTATACCACCAAGGTCCTTGAGGAAGGAATAAAATAAATCTGGAGGATGCATGTCTACTCTCCACAAGGAACGTCGTGGAAGGCAAAGTTGACCACCTTCGTTTTTACAGTGTCTGTGGCACCTCGTGCAAACTCTTCTTTCTGGCTTTCCATGCAGACGTTCAAAGCAAGAGCTAGTTTTATTCACTTCCTGTAGACTGATTTTAACTGAGGTGGGGAACTAAAGATATCAGTTTGAGAAACACAGTACCTCTCCTGAGCTGTTTACATTTGTCAGAGAACCAAACGTCAGCCTTTTGTTGGATAGTAAATTACAAATATCTCATCATTTTATCTGTAAATATCTTAATATGTATTCTAAATGAAAGAAGCTCCTGCAAACGAAAGTAAAGCATCAGTGCCATTATTACCATCCTAAAATAAAATGATCTCTAACACCTAATAGCTCATATTTCTGGTTTTCTCATATATATCACCACCTCTTTACAGTTTATTTTTTGAATTAAAATTTAGATAAGGTTTACACCATGCAATTGGTTGTCAGTTTTCTCAGTATCTTAAGTCAGGTTTATTGCAGTATATTTTACATAATGTAATTTTTATCTTTTTTAAAGGTATAGTTTGATGAGTGTGATAAAAGTATACAGTCACATAACCTGACTCCAGTCAAGATGTAGAATATTTCCATTGCTCCAGAGAGTTTCCTTGTGCACCTGTGGTCAGTCCCCACCTGCCTTCCCGCTCCTGGAAAACCACTGAACTGTTCTCAATCACTATAGTTTTGCCTTTTCCAGAACGTCATATAAATGGAATCGTTTTGAGTATGGGCGTTTTATGTCTGCCTTCTTTGGTTTAGCATGCTTCCAAGGTTTATCCATGTTGTAGCATGTATTACAGTTTCCTTCCTTATTAACGCTACCTAGCATTTTCATTGCAAAGTTGTAATCACAATTTATTTATCCACCCATCAGTTAATGAGCATTTGGGTTGAGTTGCTTTCAATCTATAGATTTCTCTCTCCACTTGTTTTTCTCTCTTGCAATGTTCTTATTGAAGAAACCAGTTCATTGGTTTTGTGGATTTTCTGGCATTCTGGATGTTGATAGCTGTACCCACTTTGTGTAGTTTACCGTGTCCCTGGATTTCCTGAGGTTATCTAGAGTCTCAGTCAGATTCAAGTTTGATTTCTGGCCAGAATATTTCATGGGTGGTGGTGTGTTTTTCCATCAGGACATCAGCATGACAGGTGGCGTGTTTTTAAGAGATTAACAAGTACTGATGGTCAATGCTTAGAGCCATTCATTCATCAGAGTTAGAAAATGGTGACTCCTCATTCCTTTCTTGTTTGTTAGCTGGATAACTGCATACAGAGATACTTCCTCTCCTCTGTTACTTGATTATCCAGTGGTACAGGCATAAGATTTTAAGTGTTTTAAAAGGATGAATCCGACCGGACACAGTGGCTCACGCCTGTAATCCCAGCACTTTGGGAGGCCGAGGCGGGTGAATCATGAGGTCAGGAGATCGAGACCATCCTGGCTAACACGGTGAAACCCTGGCTCTGCTAAAAATACAAAAGGTTAGCTGGGCATGGTGGCACACGCCTGTAATCCCAGCTACTTGGGAAGCTGAGGCAGGAGAATCGTTTGAACCCGGGAGGTGGAGGTTGCAGTGAGCTGAGATCGTGCTACTGCACTCCAGCCTGGGTGACAGAGCGAGACTCCGTCTCACACACACAAAAAAAGGATGAATCCAGGCTAAAAAAAATGTAGCTGTCCCACCAACAACCTGCCTGCTCAAGGCTGACATGTCACCCCCTCTAATTGGAAACACATTGAATTTCTCCCCTCCTATAGAGCTTCCCGGAAACTGTATCTGATGACATTTTCTCTCTCTCCTAGAATTCCAGTGCTGACCATCGAGTCCGACTGGACCTGGGCCTCTGGGACAAATTCAGTGAACTGGCCACCAAGTGCATTATTAAGATCGTGGAGTTTGCTAAACGTCTGCCTGGTTTCACTGGCTTGACCATCGCAGACCAAATTACCCTGCTGAAGGCCGCCTGCCTGGACATCCTGGTATGTGCCTTTTTGAGCTCTCAATGGGTCTGGGGAGGGAGAGAGGGCACCGTGGAGGGGAGGGAGGGGACCAAGAGACATTGAAGATCTCCAGAGGAGGTTTTGAGTTTCGACTCTAGCACTCACCTGACTTAGTAGGTGGACTCACCTAGCCTCTGGCTCCTTATCTGTGAAATGGGCTGAATTCCCATCCCTCAGGCTCACTGAGGTCTGCGAGGCTCAAATGGGCTGAGGTTGGCAAACTCTACAGGTGAATGCTGGTCTGTTTCTAAGTTTACCCCAGACCCCCTGATTTTACAAGAAACAAAATCATCACATATGCTCTCAGGACCCCTGGCACCTGTAAGTTACTGAGTAATCATTGCCACTCTTCCTCAGGTCTGTTTAGCAAACAGGACACATAAACATTCAAGCTTCCTGTGCGACCACCACACACGGGGACCTCTCTCCTCCTAAGTGGGAGTGCGTTCGTGTGCTTAATTATAGTAACTGTATTTGCTTTGCAGAATGGTTTATACCCAAAGCTATGAGAGACCTAATAAAAAAGCAATGTTTTTATAGCACTTCAAAAGCTGATTTTACTTTCCCTATGTTCTGATGCATCCCTGGAGGCCAGTCCCCCATCCCACTTTCTCCATGGGCCTCCCTGCGTACATACGTCTAATGGGAGCTGCTCCCATCCAAGGAAACAGTCCCAGCCTGAAGCCCCCACCAGGGAAAGAGAGGGTGGACTTCCAGCCTGTGGAAGACAAAGTGTGCTGACCCCCTTACCCTCTTTAAGGCTCTAGAAGCAGTAGCGTGAGCAGGGCAGGGAGCGAAGGGGCATCAGGGATCCCCTTTTTACAGGTGAGGAAACTGAGGCCCACAGACGTGCTATGACTGAATATTTGCATCCTCCCAAAATGTATATGTTGAAGCCTTAATTCCCAATGTGATGGTATTAGGAGGTGGGGTCTTTGGGCGGGGGCGATTAGGTTTAGGTGAGGTTACAGGGTGGAGCCCCAAGATGGAATCAGTGCCCTTATGAGGAGATGAAGCCACCAGAGCTCCCTTTCTCTTTCTTGTGAGGATATAGCAGGAAGGCAGCTGTGACCTAAGATGAGAGCCCTCACCAAGAACCCAGCCATGCCAGCTCCCTGACCTCAGACTTCCAGCCTCTAGACCTAGGAGAAGCAAATGTTGTTGTTTAAGGGGCCAGGTCTCTGTTACAGTAGCCTGAACTAAGACAGGAGGGCAGGGATCTTCCCAAGGTCACAGATGGGGGTGGTGCAAGATCGGGGTGGAGTGGGGTATACGGCCAGAGTGGTACTGGGCTACCTCCAGGCCTAACAGGATGTAAAAGAGGATATGAAGCATAAACAGGAGCCCTTAGGGATAGCAGAGATGAGAGAGTTGTGGGCCACAGTGAGCTAGACCACCAGAGAGTAACAGAGACAATGTGGGCGAATCAATAATGATGTTAACAATGAGCTATTAGAATAATGAATGAAAATTACTGGGCCTTTTAATGCTTTCCTGACAAGAACTTAAAATGTAACACTCAGTAGAATTTCCCCTAAACCTCATAACACTTCCAAGATATTAGCAGAGACTGGAGTTACCACCACAGTGTCTGAGTGGTCTGTGAGGTGACTCACAGCAAATCAAGTCCACAGCAAGCAATGCTGTGTCATTCTGACAGCCCTGCATCACGCAGCCACCCAGCAGGGCCTGGAGCCTTCCCAGGCCTCAGGCTCTGACCTTGACCTTCTGCTTGTTTCTTAATCCTTCTTTTGTCTAGTTGCCAGATGATGACAGTTTGTGATACTCAGCCCCAACATATGGAGTGAGAGGTATGCTTTGAGATCCTCCGGGAAAGTGTCTTATTTCTGCACAGCCACACACTTAGTGATCAGGGTGCAGTCTCCACAAGATTTAAATCCCCTTCCTCAATTTAGAAATCCCCTTCCTGCCTCCAGCACCTCTCTTCCCACATCTCAGCTTACACTGAATCCTGCAGCACTCTTCCAGCCCCATGGATCCAAGCATTAGCCATTAGCCCCTTGGTAGAGTCAGTAGAACAGAAACCAATTTTTGTGACCTTGGTGAAGTTATTTAACTTCTCTAAGCCTCTGTTTACCTATGTACAAAATAGAAATGCAAATCAACAAGGCATTAAATAAGGTAATTACTTAAATGGGATTAAATACATTAACAGCTGTAATACCTAGCACGTAGTAGGTACTTAGCCAATGATGTTGATGACAAGGCCAAAGCTGGGTTAACGTGGGCAATTTCAGCCCTGTGGTGGGAATCAGGAAACTTTCAACCACTCCTTCCTGGGCCATGGGGGTGAGGAGTCTGGGTTGGGGTGCAATAGGCCAGGGAGGAAAATGTCCCGATAGTTAAAGGGCAAAGACCTCCAATCATACCAGACAAAGTTCGAAGGAATACCCATTTGGCCCTAGGCAAGAGCTTGTTTCCAAGAATTTGTAGCAAAGGCAATTAATCACAAGATCCTGAAAGTACGCAAGTTCAAAGAGCATATTTTGAATGAGAATATTAACTGGCAGAGCTGTTTAGAAGAATCTTCTTATCTAAGTCATTGATATATGGATAGAGTGGGACAGAGTAACCAGGCGGATGGACAGACAGACAGACCCAGGCTGAGGTTATTCTCAGACCCTAGAAAGGAAACCCAGGCTGTCTCAAGGGTCACCAGCCCTGATTGAGTACCGCCTGTTCAGAGCCACGTGTCTCGTGTTGTGTGTGGTCTCTCAACAAGACAAGGTAATGCTTCCAACTGCACGCCTGCCAGGGCTGGCACTTTCACAGGAAGATGCGGTCAGCTGCGGGACACGCAGCCGAGGCTCTCCAGGAAGGGTTGATTCAGAATCATGAGGTGAGAGCCCTCATAATACAGGCAGATGGGGATGGAAGGCCTCACCTGTCCTGCCCTTGCTCACCTTCCAGGGGAATTTCCCATCCTAGCCTTTGCTCGGTGGGGACCATTTAGTGGGCAGCCCACAGCCGGGCTTCCTTCACGAGGTTGGGTCCAGAAGATTCTGAGGCCACACTTTGAGTTTCATGTTTTCCCACAGGAGCCAAGTAGCCAAAAATGTCTCTATTAAGACAGGCAGCCTCTTCATAACCACTGCAGATGGGTTTTTTATGTTTCTTTCTTCACTCAAGAGTTGGTAGCATCCTAGGGCTGTGTTCAGGCAAGTGAGGGAGCCCCGGAGCAGGAGTGACCCCTTCACCTGGCTCTGCCCCCATGTTTCCTTCTCGTTCAATCTCCTTTATGCCTTTTCTTCCACTCTCTCTCACCTGCCTCTTCTCCTCTGCACGTAATTAGGATCAAGTCTCTCTCAACTTAAAATAAAAATCGTAAAAACAAACCTTGAGGTGGTCAGACTTCGGTTTCTCTGCCTCTTCTCTCCCTCCACCCCTCTTCCCTCCCTCCCATCCTTCTCTTCTTCCTTCCGCAAATATCTGTTGATGACCTACTGTGTGCCGCGCACTATTCTAGGCTCTGAGGAGGCAGCAGAGGGAACCAAGCTAAAACCCCAGCCCTCATGGAGCCGACCTTCTCCTGGTGGGGGGACACAGACAGTAAGCAAGCAGATACGTGGATTAGACAGCGTCTTACATGCAACAGAGGAGAACAGAAGCAGAATCAGGGATGGAGCACAACAAAGGAGGGCTGGGGCTTGTTTCTGTAGCTCAGACACAGGTGGCATTTGAAGAAACCTGAATGAAGAAACAATTTCCCAGTGTTTCCCAGAAAGAGCCAGGCCCAAGAAAAGACACTGATGGGAGGGGTGTGTGAGTCGTGGGGAGCCTAGAGAGAGTGGAGTTCAAAGGCCCTGGGGCAGAGGAAGCCCCGGCAGGTTGGAGGAAGTGAGTGTGCCTGGAAGGGAGTGAGCCAGCGGGGGCGAGACCTTAGATCCTGGAGTGGGGCCTGTGATCGTGCACAGATTCTCCTTCTTGGTATCCTATAGAGTCACTGGGTTTTGAGCAGAGGTGTACCACGGTCTGACTTTTGGTTTAAACGTTTGCTCTGTCTTGTCATGTAGCACTGCGTCAATATTGGTTGAAGTCATGATTCTCACATGTATTTACTGAGCACTTACCTCGTGGATGTGAGATGGCAGAGTGGAGGGTCCCTGCCCTGTTGGACTCTACAGTCAACTCCAACCCCGCCTGGCCTGCCCCTACTTTTGCCACAGTATTTATCTCCTCCCCTCACCCTCCGCCCCCACCCCACTGCACGCAATCCTGGCTCCACATAGATCCTGCTTTCCTTCAGCTTGCCCCAGCTGTTGAATGTGGGCTCTGAAACTAGCTTGCCTGGGTTCAAAATCTGGCTCTGCTGCTTACTAGCTGTGTGACCTTGGGAAAGTTACTTCCCTCTCTGAGCCTCAGTTGCCTCGTATTTACAATGAAGATGGCAATAGAAGCTTCCTTTCAGGCTCTAGAAAGCATGAAATGAAGTAGCACGTAGAGCTTGGAACAGTGTGTGGCACCCTACAGGCCTCAGTTATGTTCGGTATTATTGTTAAGTCGCACTATGCCCTCAGGGGTCCTGTTATTGTCCACATTTTGCAGGTGAGGCAGCTGAGGCCCAAGGGGAAGGCAAAGACCCATAGAGCTCCCTGGAAGAGTTTCCAGCCTCTGGATAAAGGAGGGCAAAATTGCTTTTGCAAAATAGAAAACCTTGAACAAATTTTCGGATGAGAAAATGACTTGCTTTGCCAGGGTTTGTTTAAAGACTGTGGTGGAGAATTCATTAAGTGCTGTATTTTTTACAATGAAATTAAACCATGTGGGAACACAGCAAGGGATAATGATTCACTTGTGATTCTGAAGACAGGGTTTTCATATCAGCCCCGTGGGCAAATGATGGGGAAAGCTGGTATGCCACAGTGATGCGTGGGTGGTGCAACCAGGCCACTCAGCAGAAGCAGCGAGAGGGTCCTTCCTTCCTGGACAGGGGCTCATGCCATCTTGCCTCTGCCGGGGTTGCCCTTGTAAAAGAGCCACTGCCTATGTTTCTCAAAGCTGGAACTTCAGAAGCGGGACTGATTGTATTTGTCAACACAGGAGGAAGCTCAGAGAGGGGAAGTGACTTTCCCCAGGTCGCGCAGCTAGTAAACAGTGGAGCCAGATGTTGAACCCAGGCAAGCTGCCTTCAGAGCCCACATTCAACAGGTTGGGCAAGCTGAAGGGGAGCAGGGTCAGTGTGGAGCCAGGACTGGGTGGGCAGGATGGGTGAAGGAGGTAAATACTGTTGTAAAACTGGGGGCAGGCCAGGCGGGGTTGAAGAGCTTGACTGGAAATTCTAGCCGCCCATCTGGCCCAACTCACAAGGGCGCCTCTCTCTGCTATATCACCTCGTGGCACTGCCTCGAGCCTCAGTCAAGCTCTTTCCTGACTCAGAGCCTTTTTACATCCCATTCCGTCTGTCTAGGTTACCCACCCTCTTCTCCTCATGTTCTTCCTGGCCTATTCCTCATCTCAGCTGAAATGCCATCTCTTCAGAAAAGCCTTCTCCGACCAGCCACCCGATTCCTCCCTCACACTGCAGGTCTGTCCCAAGCTCTTAAGGCATAGCGTAATGACAGGTGCATTTCCCAAAAGCTTCTCCCCCAGTCTGTTGTCTCAGTGAGAGTAGGAACCATCTTAGGGTTGGTCGCCGTGGCAGGGTTCCAGGCTCGAAAGGGGGATTTAGTGAATATTTGTGAATGGATGAATGAGCAAATGAATTAAAAGTCAAAATTCAAATCCCAGCATATATGCTGCTTTTGGAATATCACGCCTGTTAAGGCTTCAAGATTTAATGTCTTTCCCTACAAGACACACGGCTTCCTGAGTCCTGCCACCCACTGCCCTTACTGCCCCCAAGGAAAATATTCCCATGCCAGTCACAGCAGCACCCTCCTTCTGGTGACGCAAAAGTGACGGCCTGTGTGACTTCAAAATGTGATTTGTGGCTCCTTGACGCCCTGGAGACTGTGCAGCTGTATAGCCATGGAGGGCCGTTCCCATGTGAACCTGTCCCTCCCTCTCCCCTTCCTGGGGACTCAGTAGAGACAAGAGCCCAGGCTGGTGGGGAGCGAGCTCTGGGCTTAAAGACCCACAGCCTGAGCTCAGGCTTCAGCGTTGCGCCTGGGCGTCTGTGCCATCACGAGGAGGCCCTGGGTCTCTCCTAGCCTCAGCTTACCCACCTGTAGATGTGGCACGATTACCCCATGAGGCACCAGGAATTGCTGTGGGGTAGCCAGTGTAGCGGTTAAGAGGGTGGGCTTTGCAGTCCAACTCCCTGGATTCAAATCCCAGCTCTGCCATTTAGGAGCTGAGTGAACTTAGGGAAGCTAACTGACCTCTCTAAGCCTCAGTTTCCTCACCAATTGAATAAGTAGAATAGTAGCTCCTCCCCATTCAGGTTGCTGGAATAAAGAATTGAGTTAATTAGTTCCTGGCACATAGTAAGTGTTCCTTTAAATAAGCTGTAATCATCAGTCTTGAGTAAGCCTAGGCTGCCTTTATGAAGTGTGGTGTCTGAGCTGCTAGGCAATAGCACCTGGGGCTGTGCTGTCTAGTTCAGCAGCTGCGAGGCAGCTGTGGCTCATGAGCACCTTGAAATGTGCCTGGTGTGAAGTGTGTATTGCAAAATAAACAGTCTTTTAAAGACTTAGTATTTAAACATGTATAATATCTCCTTAATGATTTTTTTGTATTGATTACATGTTGAAACAAAAATAATTTGGATATCTTAAGTTAAAATAGATTATTAAAATAATTCCATCTATTTCTCTTAACATTGCAAAACAATGGCTGCTAGAGTACTGGTCTGCAAAACAGAGACAGTAACGGTAACAAGGAACTCCTGCTGCTTCTAACATCTGTATTTTCTCCTCGGTTAAGGCAGGCTGGCTACAGGTCCCATTGGGGAAAACATTTTGTTCCCATGAGCTCATCACAACAGGCACTATATGCGCTGCGTGTGTCTTTGTTATTAGTATCACCACTTAAACATTGTTACTAGTATCACTACCTAAACATTCCCACA
The DNA here is from genome assembly GCF_000001405.40 of Homo sapiens. Lineage (NCBI taxonomy): Eukaryota > Metazoa > Chordata > Mammalia > Primates > Hominidae > Homo > Homo sapiens. Next base: position 25,587,774 of record NC_000003.12, read on the forward strand.
GGCATATGGGGATAAATTGTCGAATCAGATCAGGATCTGCCCACATGTTGCCAAACACAATCAGTGTAGAGTGACCAAGATGGTTGAGCAACCTGAGCTTTCTCCTTTGCCTGAAAACTGGGCAACCCCTTGATGCCTCCCTCTGAGGTTTACAAGATAGAAGAGAGTCTGATGAAGGAATTCAGTTTATTCATTCAATAAATATTCATTAACCACCTGCTGTATGGAGGACATTGTTCTAGATATTAAAGACACAACAGAGAGCAAGACAGGTAAAGAGCGGTCTCATTCTCAGAGCTCATATTCTAGAAGGGAGATAGGCCAGGAAACTCAGATGGTGACAACTGCTATGAAGAAAAGAAAACAGGGTGGTGGTTTGCATTGTGAAATACTACACAGCAGTGAAAAAGAATGAACTATTGCTGTGTACACTCATATGGGTGAATCACACAGAGAATATTGAGTGAATAAAAGCGGACACAAAAGAGAATATTCTGTATGATTCCATTGATCTGAAGTTCAAGAACTTGCAAAACTAACTTGTAGGAATATAGGTCAAATAATGGTTACTTCTGAGGAAGAGGTTTGATTAGGAGAAGTCAAAGGAGCCGGTAGGTGCTGGAAATATTCATATCTTGATCTAGGTAGTAGTTGCACAGATACATGGTTAGGGAGAATGCCTTAAGCTGTACTCGAGATTTGTGTGCAGCTCCAGGCATGTGTGCTATATTCATTATCTATTGCAGTGTAACAAAATACCACAAAACTTAGCAGCTTAAAACATAAGCATTATTATCTCCCGTAGTCACAGTGGGTCAGGAATCTGGTACTGACTTCATTGGGTGGTTCTGGCTCGGTATCTGTCATGAAATAGCAATCAAGACCCCGGCCAGAGCTGCAGTCATCTAAAGAATTCCAGAGGCTGGAAGCTCTCCGCCTCCACAATCGCTCATCACATTTGTCTAGGAATTTAGTGCTGGTTATTGATGGGAGGACTCAGTTTCTTCCTCTGTGGACCTGTCCGTGGGGCTGGTTAACTGTCCTCTTGAAATGTCAGCTAGCTTCCCCAGAGCAAGAGATTCAAGAGACAGCAAGCAAGAAGGAAGTGACAATGCTTTTTGTGACCTAGTTTCAGAAGTCACACACCATCACTTTCACCATATTCTATTTGTTAAAAGCAAATCATTAAGTCCAGGCCACACTCAAGGGGAGAGGAATTAAGCTCCACCCCTTAAAGGGAGTAGGATCAAAGAATTTGCACACATATTTTTAAACCACCACACGTTATACCTCAGTTTTAAAACAATGTTATTTCTTATTCCAAAAACCAAAAGGGTGGTGGGATAGAAAATAATGGGTTTTAGGAAGCATTTTCACTGAGGCTTTAGAGGAGGTGACATTTAAGCTGAACTCTGAGAAAAGAGCCATGTGAAGATCAGGGAAAAGCACTGAAGCCAGAGGGAAAAGCAAGTGCAAACACTTTGCCTCAGCAGTGAGTCATCGAAGCTTCACAAAGAAGACCAAGATGGCCAGAAGTTCATGAGCAAAGGAAAGGAGGAGTAGTTAAAGTTGGCAAGGTAGGGAGAGGCCACTGAGGCCACAGAAAGAAGTTTGGATTTTATTCTGAAGGTGACTAGAAGCCATTTGAGGAGTTTTCTCCTCTGATGAACATTTTGGACAACATGCTCTGGCTGCTGTGGATTGACCGCATAGTACTCGAGCAGGAATAGAAATGAAGGATCACTTCAGAGGCCCTCACCGTAAGAGAGGTGATGGCAGCTTGGTGGACAAGTCCCTGGCTCTGCCTCTGGGGTCCCACATCATCAGATTCTTCCAGGGTTCCATTAACAAGTGGGCCTCCCCCAGGACACACACTGAACACACACTCCCATCAAAAGCAATAGAGAGATGCACAGTTGTCTTTGCTGATGGCAAGAAGAGAAGGCTCTTTTTGCCCTGAGGAGGATCAACTTTGACCATCAACTGGAGCTTTGTGTTGTCCAACAGGGCCCTGCTTTGGTTGGTGAGACAGCCTGGCCTAGGCTATTTTTACCCATCTCGTGGGGCCTGCATGCCGGTCTTTCCAGATAAGATGCCTTCCTTTCAAACAAAGAGTGTTTTAATCCTGGAGAAGTACTTGGTGGTTGCCACTGGCATTTGATTTTAGTGTGACAAAATGAAACGACTTGGGTTCTCTCCAGAGACAGAACCAGCCGGAAGCAGTGAGAAGGATGCCTGTTTCACATGGGGGCCATCCTGTTTCAGGCTGGGGCCGGGGCAGGGAAGGGAGGCTCCTCAGATAAAAGAAGACATTGAGCAGTCTTCCTTCTCAGGCCATGTGCGTTCCCTCTCTGGATGTACCAGTTGTACTTGGTTTCGGCTTTGAACTTTCTAGGAAGAGAGGCAACAGAACATAGTTTAAATGACTCATCAGAATCCAAATACATTCTAACTTTTGAGGAAGAAAACCTTTTCGAATAGAATAGTTAGAAACATTTGAGGGCTGCAGTTTGGATATGGATTTCTAAGTGAGTTATTGGCAATTTGCAATGTCCTAAATCCTGGTCTTTTGTTCCTTTCCGACAAATCTCTGGATTCTTTCATTTTTTGCAGGGGACAGATCTCATGCATTCATTTCTTGGCGGCATGTTAAAGCTGCAAAGATTTATTTAGTACCCATTTGATTCCAGACTAGAAACGTATCCCAGGATTTGGGGCCCATAAATATTGAGCATACTAACTTTGTTGTTGTGGTGGTGGTTGTTGAGACAGGGTCTCACTCTGTCACCCAGGCTGAAGTGCAGTGGCGTGATCCCAGCTCACTGCAACCTCCCCCTCCCAGTTCAAGAGATTCTCCAACCTCAGCCTGCCCAGCAGATGGGACTACAGGTGCGCTTCACCAGGCCTGGCTAATTTTTGTACTTTTTGGTAGGGACAGATTTCACCGTGTGGGCCAGGCTGGTCTCGAGTTCCTGACTGCAGATGATCTATCCGCCTTGCCCTCCCAAAGTGCTAACTTTGACTGTCACTTGATAACTCCCTGCACAGACAGTATTTCCTAATGTTTCTCCAGGTAGTTGAAGGAACATCAGGCTGGGGATTGGAAGGCCTGTATTCTAGGCTCTAGCACCATTGCTTGTGTGACCTTGGGCACCACACTTTACTTCCCACTTTCAGGGGAAATGTGAGGCTTTATGCCCAATGACCTCTGGGTTTTCTTACTGCTGTGACATTGGGAATGGCTTCATACCCCATCAGTTACCAAGATGAAGTGAAACAGGTCAACCAGTTGGGAAACCAGTGGAAATGGCTGGGCTAGCTCAGAAAGGCCCCTGGGCAAGTATCTGGGAGGTGAAAATAACGACCCATCAAATGAAGAGAGATCATGGTAGTGTTTTGAGAACTACTCACATTAATGATCAATTGCTAATTCACTATGCCACTTGATCATATAGTAGGAACATTAAGAAGTTTGAGGACATGTCCTGATTTAGATATCTCTCTACCACCCCTCCCAATATAAAACGAAGTTTCTGTTTCCAGGCCACAAGCTCTGCACCCCTCTACAGCAGGCAGGCCAACGTGAATAGTTATGCAGTTATGTGCTGCACAAAAGTGCCCAGTAAGGCCGATATCGAAATCAGTACTGGGCTAAAGATTATCTAACCTTAGAGAGGTGTCTAGGTTTGACTATTGGCGTGGAGAGAAAATGAGGCAGCTGTGGAGCAATGGTTAAAACCATGGGTTCTAGAAAAAGCTGAAATCAAATCATTCTACTAGCTTATGTGACCTAGCATAAGCTATTCAGATTTGTTTCCCCAGCTAATAGTAACAATTCATGGGTTGATAGGAGAAATAATATACTAGTGTTTAGTATGGTACCTGGTAGGTGATCAATAAAACATTAGCTATTACTGTATGTTAGGGATGAAGAGGGCTTACTCATTCAGTTTTCCTCTCGGAGTTTTAACCAATAAGACACTGAAGTCAGACTTTTAAAAATATATACAACAGAGGCGCTGCTGCACCCTCACTCTATAGGATGTCCTGGTGCCTTCCTCCTTATCCACGCTGGAGTCCTTTGTGTAGGGAGAAGGCTGGCTCCTAGGTCACTGCCTTCTTGGAGATTTAGAGAACCCAAAAGCATGTGACCATTGCAGTACAACTGTCCCATCATGGTTCATGTGGTCCAGTGGGTTTGAGGCTCTTGTGGATCCACCACCAGTCAGATAGGACTGTCTTCCCCATGGGAAGTGTCCTGGTCCCAAACCCCCAGTGTTTCCCTGACAAGATGAGAGATTTGACAGAAGTTTTTCTTTTAGGAGACCTGATGGGAATATGGGCAGGATGGAGAGGGCTTTACTACTCCTCCTAGGTAGAGGTCCTGTGTCTTCCTCAGAGGCCACTCCTCTCTGCACATGGCTGTGTAACAGGAATAATGCAGGCCTTTCTGATCACATCTGCCCTCCTGTAGGTTGACACTGAGGTGGACATTCACAGGACTATACCCAGTCAAATTGAATGCCATTATCTGGGAAAAACTTTCAACTTCTTCAACCTCCTGAGTTATTCACTTTTGTCCAGGTGGGATTTACTTCTCTCTGTGCTTCAAGCAGCTCTGAAACTTTTTCAGAGAGAAAAGTCAAGTATGGAAACCTGGTCAGCAGAGACCCTTTATTGTCGGTGCAGAAATGTGGTTCTGGGTGGGGAAGTGCTCTGCAATGCACGGAGCTCCTTACCAGCATTTAGGCTTAATAGGGCAGTGGAAACATGAACCAGGATTGAGTATCTACAGAAGCAAGGCATTTTTAGTTTGTTTTGCTCTGAGTGAGGCCTAGAGGCACAGGGCAGTGAGCAAGAGTCTCCTTAGTAGCTAGCGCCCCAGGGGGCCAACAGGGTTATGTGTCAAGCATACACTGGGTGGGACTGGGAGACTCTGGCAGAGTGACTCAGGCTTTTTGCCTGTAGAAATCCTGCCTACACTTTAGGGTTCGGTTGAAATGCTACCTCTTTATGGATCTGCCCTTGATTTCCTCCTGGCTATTTCTGAGCTTTCCTTTTTCTGAACTCCCTAGTACCTTGCTGGTTTCACTCATGTCCCTTGTATTACAGCTGCCTGTGTAACCGTGTGATCAGAGGCATCATGGGAGAGAGAGCCTAACTTGGGTTTGAGTCAGATTCAGTTACATGTTAACTATGTGACATTGGGCACATCACCTAACCTTTCTGAGCCTTAAGTCCTTCATTTGTAAAATAAGAATAATATTCACTTTACCAAGCTGTTTGAAAGATTGAATGTAGGGTATGTACAAAACTTGATATATACTATGCATTTAATAAATTGTCATTTATTGCAGACTGTAAGCTCTTAAAAAATAGAATCTTATTCATCTTTTTTTTTTTTTATCTCCAGCACCTGGCACAGTGCCTGGGACATAATTAGGCACTCAGTAAATGTTTATTTGAGTCAAGTAATGAATTACTTTTAAAAAGATATTTCTCAAAATTTCTTATGTCCTGTTTAGTGTTTCCTAAAAAACTTTAGCCCCTGGGTTTTGACTTCTGTAGTCTCTTAATGAAAGAGCTAAAGAAGACATTCAACATGTGAAAGGGGGACAGACTGCCCCAAGAGCTCCTTGGAAATCTTCATGTTATTTCCTGCTTACATCTGATTGATGATTTCAGGACAGGATGGCTTAGAACATCCATCAATTTTTTTTTCCTTCCAGATTCTTAGAATTTGCACCAGGTATACCCCAGAACAAGACACCATGACTTTCTCAGACGGCCTTACCCTAAATCGAACTCAGATGCACAATGCTGGATTTGGTCCTCTGACTGACCTTGTGTTCACCTTTGCCAACCAGCTCCTGCCTTTGGAAATGGATGACACAGAAACAGGCCTTCTCAGTGCCATCTGCTTAATCTGTGGAGGTACCAACTATGTAGAAAAGCCTCATGAAATTCCATGAAGAACAGTTTATACTTGTAATTTGTGAAAAATTCCTCATTTCCCTTTTGGAGTTGTTTTACATGGGAAAACATGTGAATAAAGCCAGGCATACATGCCTGGTTTCATTGTATTTTTCCATGTTGTTACAAATTAACTAATGGTATTTGGGATCCTTCTGCTCAGAAAGAAATCCCAAAAAGCTATTACTCCAATTGCCACAGATTTTTTTTCTTAAAGGCAGGATCACACTATTATAAAATGAATTGTCTGGGGACATTTGAATGATGACAAGGGACTTGTATGTGCTGTTTGTTATCTAGTGGGTAGGCATACAAGTATTTGGCTGGGCCCTCCCACCAACCCTTGCAGGACTGGGATAAAATTTAGCTTTCTTCTTTGTAGTGACCCCTACTGGCCTATAGGAGGCTGAATCGTAAGTGGTTAAAAAGTAATGGTTTTAATTAAGGAGCAGATTTATTTTATGCTAAAATAACCATCCTGCTCAAGATTTGTTTTAATTCAGTTTGGTAGTGACACCTTCTGGTCAAAGGAGGTAATTCTTTCCCTGGGACAAAAGCAACCAGGCATCAAAATGTTTATACTACCAAGGGGGGGCAGTTTTTTTTTGTTTTTCAAGTATCACTGCTTAAAGCAACTGCATAAGTCTGCAAATTTGTGTATGTAATTGAATTACCAAATTAATGAACTCATAACAGTAGGAATAAGGAAACAAGGAAGAGGGGAAAAGGGCATAAATCCTGATTTTGTTTAATACTTTATTCCTGGTATCCAGACCGCCAGGACCTTGAGGAACCGACAAAAGTAGATAAGCTACAAGAACCATTGCTGGAAGCACTAAAAATTTATATCAGAAAAAGACGACCCAGCAAGCCTCACATGTTTCCAAAGATCTTAATGAAAATCACAGATCTCCGTAGCATCAGTGCTAAAGGTATGTCTTCGTGCTCTCAGTACTGTAGTCACACAGTGGACTTGAGGGCCTTACCAGGTTGTGTTGCTTTATTCAATTCAGGATGTTTAATGGCTGCTTTTAAAGTCTTGGAACTCATTTCTCATTGAAATCAAAAGGAAATACTATCCCTCCCCCCTCTAAAAAAAAAAAAAAAACACCTCAAATCTTACCCTATTCAATTATCTTAACGATTGAGAGCTTTAAAATTCATGACTGATTAGAAAAACATTGTTTTCAAGAGAATGTACTAAAACAGGCTAATTCTCTAGGTTCATACATTTAATTCCAGCTTTCTACACATCTCTGGTTTATGTTACCTTGACTCCAGTTTTTCTTGAATATCTAAACCTTTGTTAAGTTTCTCTCAATCACTTTAGCCATTGCTCTTTTGTATATAGGCAGATTTTCTTCTGCACACTTCTAAGCAAAGGAATTCTTGCCTAAGAGGTATATTCTTTGCCTAGTGATTTTCTGTTTATGTAGCAACTCAAGCAATTAATAGAGGTGCCTAGATCCATATCACAGTTGAGTGTTTAACAGTAAGGTTTTTCTATGTAGAGAGACAACTCAGCAGCTATCCCTGGTACCAAATGGGCTATTGTCATTCTCCTTTCCCCATCAGACTACTTACTCTGTCTCTGAAGATGTTTGCTAGCCAAGGAATAAACTCTGTATTTCAGAAAGTGCTTAAAAGCACAGGGAACTTGTTTGACAAGCAGTCTTAACTCGAGCTCCTTCTAAGAGGTCTCCTAGATGAGCATTCTGAATTCATCCTTGCATGGAATTAAGAGTAGAAGTAAACAGCAGATACCAGTGTGGTTGTGAATACGGTATCTTTGATTTTTAAAAATGAGGCTGTTTAACATAATACTATCATTCTGTATAGATGACTAGACTAGTGATATCTAATAGAATTTACTGCAATTACAGAAATAATCTGTACTGTCCAGTTCAGTAGCCACCAGACACAAGAGGTTCTCGAGCACTTGAAGTGTGGCTTATGCAACTGAGGCACTGTTTTTCTCATTTTATTTAACAAATTTAAATTTAGCTACCTAGTGGGTATTGTACTGGACAGAGTGCTGCTAAATCTAGTTGTCAATAGTCACTGCACATCGTGAACTCCTCTGTTTGTGGGTAACTGCCATCAACCTGTCTTTTTCAAGATACACTTCTTTCATCAGGAACTTCTCTTTGTAAATTGTTATTTCCTGAAACTAAGACATCATATTTAAACGTCACCATATCTCAGCTGCTTTTCCACAAAGTAAAAATGTTTTAATGGTGTAAAATAAGGATAGCCTCTGGGAGGCATTGTTTGCATAATTTTCTGTTATCAAAAGGAGCAATTGTATCAGTTATTGCTTGCATAAAAGACGAATGAAGTTCTAGCAGATCATAAAAAGACCCTCTCTATCAACATACTATGAGTCTGAGCTGGTTGAGAACCCAATCTAACTAACTTTGCAATAAACTAACACATGATTTTTGGTGGATGCAGTTCCCATTCCAAATACATTTATCTTTCTTTGTATTTATGAGTGTGATAGTAATCGATAGATCTTTTTCAACAAAAAGCCACCTGATATCTACATTTCATAATTCCTAAGCAAGAATCTTAGGAAACACCTCTGTTAAAATATATGAAAATTGGTCCCTGGTTATCTGTCATAGCTTAACTCCTTATCTTAACCATATTTCCATTATCTCTTTTGAAAAGGTGCAGAGCGTGTAATTACCTTGAAAATGGAAATTCCTGGATCAATGCCACCTCTCATTCAAGAAATGCTGGAGAATTCTGAAGGACATGAACCCTTGACCCCAAGTTCAAGTGGGAACACAGCAGAGCACAGTCCTAGCATCTCACCCAGCTCAGTGGAAAACAGTGGGGTCAGTCAGTCACCACTCGTGCAATAAGACATTTTCTAGCTACTTCAAACATTCCCCAGTACCTTCAGTTCCAGGATTTAAAATGCAAGAAAAAACATTTTTACTGCTGCTTAGTTTTTGGACTGAAAAGATATTAAAACTCAAGAAGGACCAAGAAGTTTTCATATGTATCAATATATATACTCCTCACTGTGTAACTTACCTAGAAATACAAACTTTTCCAATTTTAAAAAATCAGCCATTTCATGCAACCAGAAACTAGTTAAAAGCTTCTATTTTCCTCTTTGAACACTCAAGATTGCATGGCAAAGACCCAGTCAAAATGATTTACCCCTGGTTAAGTTTCTGAAGACTTTGTACATACAGAAGTATGGCTCTGTTCTTTCTATACTGTATGTTTGGTGCTTTCCTTTTGTCTTGCATACTCAAAATAACCATGACACCAAGGTTATGAAATAGACTACTGTACACGTCTACCTAGGTTCAAAAAGATAACTGTCTTGCTTTCATGGAATAGTCAAGACATCAAGGTAAGGAAACAGGACTATTGACAGGACTATTGTACAGTATGACAAGATAAGGCTGAAGATATTCTACTTTAGTTAGTATGGAAGCTTGTCTTTGCTCTTTCTGATGCTCTCAAACTGCATCTTTTATTTCATGTTGCCCAGTAAAAGTATACAAATTCCCTGCACTAGCAGAAGAGAATTCTGTATCAGTGTAACTGCCAGTTCAGTTAATCAAATGTCATTTGTTCAATTGTTAATGTCACTTTAAATTAAAAGTGGTTTATTACTTGTTTAATGACATAACTACACAGTTAGTTAAAAAAAATTTTTTTACAGTAATGATAGCCTCCAAGGCAGAAACACTTTTCAGTGTTAAGTTTTTGTTTACTTGTTCACAAGCCATTAGGGAAATTTCATGGGATAATTAGCAGGCTGGTCTACCACCTGGACCATGTAACTCTAGTGTCCTTCCTGATTCATGCCTGATATTGGGATTTTTTTTTCCAGCCTTCTTGATGCCAAGGGGCTAATTAATATTAACAACTCCCAAAGAAACAGGCATAGAATCTGCCTCCTTTGACCTTGTTCAATCACTATGAAGCAGAGTGAAAGCTGTGGTAGAGTGGTTAACAGATACAAGTGTCAGTTTCTTAGTTCTCATTTAAGCACTAGTGGAATTTTTTTTTTTTGATATATTAGCAAGTCTGTGATGTACTTTCACTGGCTCTGTTTGTACATTGAGATTGTTTGTTTAACAATGCTTTCTATGTTCATATACTGTTTACCTTTTTCCATGGAGTCTCCTGGCAAAGAATAAAATATATTTATTTTAAAGGTGTGTGGGAGCTTTTACTACACCTTTATCTTCAGTAAAGAGACAGAGAACACAGTTCCATTTTTAATGTTTAAATTTCATTTCAAAAAGCAGGTCTGTAGTTTGTAACCATGACAATTAAAATCTGTGCTAATGCACGGCAGTCTATAACAATTCTACAAGCCAATCAGACAGTACGTGACATTTCAATGAGTAAAAAAGAGCATAAAACTGTATGTGTAAGAACAAAATGTTAAAAGGCCTACCACAATAATAAAAAACCGTCAATTACATCATCACATTAAAATAAGCCAGATGTACAAAAGTCTGAGACAGAGAAGACAAAAGGACAACACAAGATATTTGTTGAAAAATGTTTGTGCTCTTTGGGCACTTAATTAAACATTGCAAAATCAACATCATCTTCTTCTTCATCAGACTCTGCAAAATATTTTACTTCTTTCCTAGCCCGACCGGTTCGTGGCAGAGAAGGTGGCTCAGTAGGGAAGTCTGAGGGGAAGATGTCCACATCTGAATCCTGATCAAAAGATGTCTTCTTCGGTTTCTAGATTTTTTTTCAATAGATTTAAAAGTTATGAAAGGAAGTAAAGACTAGTATTAAGAACTATCACTCCTTAAACTTCGCTTATGTTTAGGAAGTATTACAAATAATGGTGCTTTTAAAATTAGAATCATAATGCTAACCTAAGTGTAAGACCAGTTATCTTATTTTTTGGAGGAAAAAGATTACATACAGTAATTCACCACCTTGGTGGTTTCATATTTACCAAGTTCTAGCCTGAAAAATGTAACACCTTTATTTCTGAAATTATATATTACCCAAAAAGTATGCACAATGCCCAGATTAGTAAAAATTCAAGCTGTCCTACTGGTAAGTACATATCAAGAATTCATGGGAGGAAACAAGACTCCTGCACCGTGTGTAGTATGTGTGCACTGTAAGTGTTTAAAAAAATGCAAAGCATCACCGAGGTGGACCTGAGACATAGAAGATGACTGAATGGAAGAGGTCAATGTGGAAATCAACATAAAAAGGGATGCGGGGGAGCTGATGTCATTCATTTACCTAAAAGAAATAGTGTACTTCTGGAAAAGGGTCAGACTAATTGGAAAAATCAGCCACAGTCAAATGAATTCAATTAAAAAAAAAATCAAATTAGCCCTGGTCAAATAAATCCAAGTTAAAAGGAAACAGTCTTTAGTCTGAAAAATAATATTTTAGTCTGAAAGAGTCTAATATTTAGGTAGCATAACACTACTACAGTTCAGTGGATGAAATGGAAGGTTCTAAGTAGGTTAATTTATAGCACAGTTATTTAGGAAATAGTCCTGATTATATAAATTTATACTTGAATAATTTCTTAACCAAATACAAGCCCCATATTGATACGAGATGCTAGGTGGAAAGCTGTTCCAGGACTATAGTCATAAGCAAACTAAGTCACTTACAGATCTTTTTTTAAAAAGCCATGCACTAATATGCAATGATGTTCCCGGTTACCTTGCTTGTTGTTTTGGATGTTTTCCTGCCAGGGTTATAATCGCCTTCATTTTCAGAGCCAGATGCTTTCCTTTTCTTTGCCCCTCGGCCTTTACCTTAAAATGATACAAAAGGTTTTTTCTTCCGTGGTTAAGTGCAATATAAAAAGATAAATGCCACAACATTGTAGTTTATTTCTTTGGCATGCCCAATCAGTGGAGCATTGCAGTCCTGATCTCTTACTATGAGTGATTATAAACAATTTGGCAGTAGCATTTCAATTCTGGGGTTGACATGACCAAAGACTTTTTGACAAATACATTTAAACTAGTGGGAAAGTCCCAAAGACAAATTTTAATGATGAATCCCTTCATACATAAAACATTTGTATTTGCTATTTGGTCCTTGAGCCTGAAAAGGAAATATCTTGGAAGAGTACTTCTTAAATTACATGGGATTTAAATATTTTTTTTCATTTCTAATTTGTCATGGGCCAATACTTTTAAAAATACCATAGAACACAAATTACTAAAAAATGTAATCACATGCTGTTTTAGTAACACATTATTATAAAGGTCTAAATGTTTACTCCGTTTTACTTATCAAAGACTAGTAACAACCAATTGCATATCCCACATTAAGTGGCACCATATGAGAACCACCAGTATTAACTATAAAATGTCAAATACATATTCCTTCTCAGACCTAGACTCAGCACATGCAGCATTTTTTTTCACCTACCTAACCTCTTATTCTCATCATTGGAGGTGGAAGGAGAAAAGGTAATATTTAAGTAGGGGCCAGATGTTCTCCATCCCACAATGATGCCAATGAAATAAAACAACTAAATAGCAATTTTATATCTTTAAAATCCCTTGACAGCTAGACTGGACAAGTACGAAGATAGACTTAAATAATCTTGGGATGTCATATTTGATCAAATGAATCAGGGAAATAGCATTTTTGAATTTATAAAGGCTTTCAATCCTGCATATCTTGAGTACTACTTTCCCAGTCACTGTGATTCTTTTCCACCCTATTATCCCCATTTCCCTGTAGGTCTACAGCTCCTTATCCCAACCACTCCTTAAAGAAATATAAGAAACACACTGAGGAAGATATCCTTCAGTTGAATAAAAGGTAGAGCAGCTACCCTCACAGCATGAGCTACCCTCATATCATGTCTTACAAACATATTTTACAAAACATCTTCAAGGGCTTTCCAGATTCTGGAGTTAAAGAGGGGATGCCATGGAGAACTGGTGCTGTTCCTTGTGTGGCCCTGAATACAGTTATTTCTTAGGTGAGAAAAAAAGTTCTAGCCTAAGAGTCCTGGATCTAGCCCATTACTATAAGTGTCACAGTTAGTGTGGAGTACTGATCTGACTTTTTAATAACAACTTTCAGTGAGTTGGCTGCAGGGGAGAATTTGGACCATTCTTAGGGATTCTTATTTAACCTCTTTGAGCCTCAATTTTTTAATTTGTAAAACAAAGTGACTGAACTAAATTGCTATGCCTCCTTTGGACTATATTCAGCACTGATTCCTAGACACACTGCTTACTGAGGAGTAAAGCAATTTAAAACAAAATAGATACCTAGCCTCTCTAAATTCAATGAGGTAGAAAAAATTCAATCTTTTCCACACAGCATATGTTTAAAGGGTTATAAGAAGATAATCCTCACCTTTTGGTGTTGTAGTCTTCTTTGGAATGCCAAATTCTGAATCCGAGTCAGAGTTTACAGCCTCTACTACTTTCTTCTGTTTTGGGGCTCTCTTGGGCTTAGGGACTGTATCTGAAGACGGTTTTCCTAGTAAGCAAATTTCCATTTCACAGGTCAATATACTTACCAACAAACCAAACTGAAGAGAGTCCTATATAAATGGAATTTCTTATAGCTGATTAGAAACTGAGTTGCCTGGCTGGGCGTGGTGGCTCACACCTGTAATGCCAGCACTCTGGGAGGCCAAGGCGGGGTGGATCACCTGAGGTCAGCAGTTCAAGACCAGCCTGGCCAATACGGTAAAACCCCATCTCTACTAAAAATAAAAAAATTAGCCAGGTGTGGTGGCAGATGCCTGTAATCCCAGCTACTTGGGAGGCTGAGGCAGGACAATCGCTTGAACCCGGGAGGTCGCAGTGAGCTGAGATTGCGCCACTGCACTCCAGTTGAGCAACAAGAGCAAAACTCTATCTTCAAAAAAAAAAATTGAGTCGCCTTAAATAATGAAATGGTTTCTCTCTGCTTGGCGGCAATGTAAAGGCAAACAATTTCTCATAGATGACAAAATGCTTTTTATTTAATTATGTATAATTTGCCCTTAGGTAATACAATTAAGACATTTTAAGGAAGAGCCATTAAAATAAATTAAGCAGTAACTTTTAAATACAGAATAGTCATGACAAAAGAGTAGCATATTTGATAAATTAATTATAACCCAGATATAACCACAGATTAAGTCCTAACTTTTAGAATGTTTTAGAGAAAAAAATGTATGGGATCCTCGAATACAATGAATAGAAACCAACTCACTTCCATTCAAAAGCTGAAATCCAGACTTGGCATTTTTATGTGGAAAGAAATATAAAATCCTAGATAAGTAGACAATTGATACCAGGCCTTTGCTTTCTGGAATTTTGAAAAATAGACCTTGTTTTACAGCTTTATCTGCAGTTCTATGTGAAAACTGATAAATAAGGCCAGTTGCAGTGGCTTACACCTGTAATCCCAGAACTTTGGGAGGCCAAGGCAGGCGGATCACTGGAGGTCAGGAGTTCGAGACCAGCCTGCCCAACATGGTGAAACCCCATCTCTACTAAAAATACAAAAAATTAGCCCAGTGAGGTGGCGTGTGCCTGTAGTCGCAGCTACTTGGGAGGATGAGGCAGAGGAATCGCTTGAACCCAGGCAAGGGAGGTTGCCGTGAGCCAAGATCACGCTACTCCACTCTAGCCTTGGTGACAGAGCAAGACTCTGTCTCAAAAAAAAAAAAAGAAAAAGAAAAAAAAAAAACTGATAAATCACTTTTTGTAATTAAGAAAACCTAATTTGGAAGAAAATATATTAACTGTAGACTTTGTTTAAAAAAAAAAAAAAACCTACACTGATTCTATGGAAAATGTATTCCAGTCGCAATTTGAGACACTACAAATAAGGCCCCTCGTTAGCCAAGAGCAGGAGGAGCCCTAGGAAAGTGGCACCCAGATTGTGTGGCTTTTCCCACCTGAGTCTTCATGACTATATCTACCACAAGAACCACAGGGCAGCTCCTAGCAGGGAGTATAAACTTAGCCAGGTGTTCTAGGAACCACTTTTTTTCCTTGGCTTGGAGTTACATGGCACTTTCAATTCTACCAGGCAAACAGGTCAGATATCTGAGTACTATAGCTGCCTTTCTGCTGTAAACTATTGGAACTACAGAATTTAACTTGTGTAACATACGCAATTTGGAGTTAACATAGACAATCCCACAGAGGGATATGATGCATCCTCTTCTTGAAATGATATTTTATTGGAATTATATTTCGTAAGGGAGGCTAAAGGAAAGCTGAGGACTTGCTGGGGTCCCTGAAATCACACCACACAGGCAGTCTACCTATTCAACTTAGACAAGGCCAGTTCAGCTACTGAAGAAGGAAGCAAGTAGGATAGGTACCATGATAATCTAGCTTTTTGGTCATGCTAAACTCATTAGGTTAAATATGGGTGAACAGTTTGATGAAGGAAACGGGGTATGTTTCAGGAAGTAATACGGCTCCCAAGTTTTCAGGGTGTTTATAAGATGCTCATATGAAGATTATTTTTTAAAGGTGCTTTTTGATTGTTCTGTTGTTGTTATTTGAGATGGAGTCTCACTCTACCGTCCAGGCTGGAGTGCAGTGGTGCCATCTCAGCTCACTGCAACCTCTGCCTCCCAAGTTCAAGCGATTCTTGTGCCTCAGCTTCCTGAGTAGCTGGGACTACAGGCATGCATACGCCACCACACCAGGCTAATTTTTGTATTTTTAGTAGAGATGGGGTTTTGCCATGTTGGCCAGGCTGGTCTTAAACTCTTGACCTCAAGCAATCTGCCTGCCTCGACCTCCCAGAGTTCTGGGATTACAGGTGTGAGCCACTGCGCCCAGCCTGATTGTTTTTTTAAAAAAGAGAAATTATAGGGTCCATCTCAATGTGGGTTCCCCAGATTTGGGCCAATCTGCCTAATCCTAGAGTATGGATTCAAGTATAAGTATTTATTTGAGAGATAAAGGAGGGGGAGACAAAAATGAGACAATGAAGAGAAGGCAGCCAGTAATAGGTAAGTTACCAAGCCAATCATCACTCTAGGAGCTTAATTCCATAAGAAATTTTTGAGTCCCAGTGTGAAACACACATCCCACAGTTGGCTCACATGAGAGGCAAGGACACTGAGATATTTATAGACCAACTTTCCTCAATCTGCTAGTTAAAGGCAGCTGGGAGCAGGGGGGTGTTAATATTCCAGCACAGTGGCAAAGAGGAAGTCCTCAGGCAACGAAAGGCAGATATTGCCCAATATGCACTAAGTGGTAAGGGACATGGGTAGGTCACCCAGTGTGTTGGCTACAGAGACTCTTGTAAATAACCAGTTTCTCAATATGGTTCTACTGCATTCAGAATAAGCAGGACTTTTCAAAATTGTTGTTCTGCTACATTCAATACATGTGTCTGTAATGATGTTGTCTGTTGTGAATTTTTAAAATCCTTGAGGGAACAATCCATATTATTTACTTGCTGTCTTAAATAGCACACATCTCAATTAGATTTGTGGGGTTTTTTTTAAGTGTCATCCTTCAAACACAAAGCACAAATACTGACCTCTTTCAAAAAGACCACGGTACATATATCTTGGTACTAGTAAGAGATTCATTAATCAACTCAAAGTGTTTTGTGGCCAATCTAAGGCTGTGAAAAAGAGAGAAGCTGCATGACTCACATAGAAAAAGAGGACCTCAACTGAGCTGACCAATCCCTCCACATAAGGAGTTGAGTCATGATCAACATAGATAACAGAAGCAAGCTACTAGCAAGACAAAATTTTAATCTCCATTACAACCTAACCACAAGGGAGCTTTTGTAGAAAGCTATCTTTAGATAGTAATGCACGGGATTATTTTATAATTACAACAGCTTTAAAATTAAGTCTTACAGAAATTTTATTAACGCCCTCAGATGGCTAGAAAACGAGAGGTTCTCCTTATAAGCACTTATACTTCTTAATTGTTTTATGATAAAAAAATGCAAATAGTTTCAAATTAAATTACATTTCCTTTTACATTAACTATCTCTATCCAATGCTTAACTCAATCAAATATAAGTACATACCCTTTTTAGCAGCTACCGTTTTACTTGGAACTTTATCTGTCTGTTTCAGACCAAATGATGGTGAAAAAACAGAAGCAGAATCTTCTTCATTACTGTCAAATTTAGCTGAATCTAAAAATTGCAAAGCCTTCTTTTAGTAAAGAGATGTTATAAAGATCTCTCAGTAAACTTTGACTCTTTTAACTGATGACTTCCCTTTAGCTAGACAATTGATCTTATGTTACTATTTTGTGACCAAATAATCCACAATATACAAACAGCTAAAAATAAAATGTATCAGTTATACACCAAAAATGTTAACTATGTGGTGAAATAACACAGAAGTGCATAAAGTAGTAAAAATTAAAAGTCCCAAATGCTAAATATTTAAAACATAACTGACCAATTCAAAAATACATGCTGCCAATTTATTTTAAAATGAGATATGAAAATGTCCCACTGTATTATTTTAGTACCTACACAAATAATACTATTAACCATTTCAGGAATATCAGTAATAATGTTTAAATCTAAAAGAATAGTAAGTATTCCTATTTTTAAATAAATTTTTGAAGACTAATTTAAAAGGCAGACAGGCTTACCTTCAGTTTACTCTTGCACTCAAATTAGTGTAATGCGTTCTTCCCTAACACCATAGCACAAACTTTTAAAATAGCTACTTGGATGTAAATAAATATGTTTACACAACTCTTTTGACACACTGTCAAAAATGAGTACGTATACATATAGAATATGTACCAAATATGTCTAAATGTATAGATGTGTGTATTAAAAAATGATAGTGAATCAATTAAGTGACCTTAAAAATTCCATACACAAAAAAAATACGAAACAAGAAGTATACACACTGATTAAATTTGTTCTTATGACGGTTTTAATCTCTCAGGTAACAACCAATCTGCAATCACACTGGTGCCCTTACAGATTTAGAAAACTGTCGTATATACATTCACATTGCCATGAAAATCAAATTTCAAGCTTTCAAAATTTCATTATTTCTTTTCTCTCATTAAAACACTACACATACACTCACACCCATAAACACAGATAAGCATTTGCCTGTCCACCTAAATGCTTCCATAATGCCTATTTTGACCAATTAGTTAGGAATCACCTCAGAAAAAGTAAAGAAGCCTTATTATCTTGAGCAAAATATAAAAAGGAAGTTTTCTACTCATTAAAAATTCTGAAGTTAAATCATGACCTAACGATTTATTTACTGTTTTCTCTCCACCACTAAAAGCAATAATACAATAACCAATGAAAAGACTAAATGAACATACCATCTTCTGACTTCTGAGAATATGAAGGAAATGAGAAGAGATTTCCAAAATCCTGACTTTTTTTGTCATGCAAAGATTTTCTATTAGAAAGAAAATAAACACCACAGAGGATACAATTTAAATATCTGATTTCAATCCTGATAAATTATATATAATATTTACTGCAGGATTATAATCACAGAACAAAACTTTAGTTTTCATTTCTTTCTCTTTCTCTGTTAAAGACAGGGTAATAAAACTCTTTCTCTCTTATGTGTAAAAGTGTGCACACATACCCATGATCCATGTGCACATACCACGTATGCACACAGACACCATACAAATCAATTATTTAATATAAAAAAGAATGGAAACTAAGCAATGGTTTAAAGTTATTCAAAATACTTTGAATACTTAACCAAATTCTTAAACCAAATTCTACAGTTGATAGAAATAACCATTCCAGAATTTAAGATCAGCAAACTATGGACAAAAACCCAAGGAAAAAGACAGAATTCCCATCACACCAGGCAACAATCCTATTTCTAATTCAAGACTACAGGTGGGCAATTATTTCAGGATCTGGTGAAGGCCAATTGTAATAGGTGAGAAAATACTTTTAAAAAAACATCTAAAATAGTTCACAAACCTCAAATCCCAGATGTATTCACGCTCACCAAAAGCAAGAAAAATCTATCAAGGCCAAATTTAGGGAAGAAACAAACCTCCCAATTCTAAGGACTTAGTAACTTTTCTCAAAACCAGGGGTTGTCCAACTATATCCCATGGACCTGCTGCCTATTTTTGTAAACAATATTTTACTGGAACATGGCTACACTGATTTATTTACATATCATTTGTGGCTGCTTTTTTACTAGAATGGCAGCATTAAGTAGTTGTGATAGAAACAATATGGCCCACGAAGCCTAAAACATTTACTATTGAGCCCTTTATGGAAAAAGTTTGCCAATCCTTCCTTTAAACTACAGCAACTGTGATGGGAACAGCTGCAATATTAACAAGATTGATTCCTTCATGAAGAAGAACTTGCCTAGAATGATAACAATTTCTTAGAAGAGCTCACTATAATATCTTTGGCAAATGTTTACAACAATTAACTATACCACATCACTAAATAGCATTACTTACTCTGGAGTGGCTTTTGATTTGCCTGGTGAAAATGTATATTCATCTTTATCTAACCCATCTGAAGGAACAAATTCATCTTCCCCATCATTTGTTATGGGAGATGCTTTAACTTTCAATTCCTCTAAATCATTATTGTCATCATCATCATCATCAGCATCATCATCCTCTTCTTCTGAGAAATCAAATGTGTATTTAGGTCTTTCGGCTAGGAGGAAAAATAAAAATGAATGTTAAACTCAAATCCTAGCTTTGTATACATGAATTATTATTACTGATAAAGCATTTGAAGTATATTCCAACCATCTCTAAAAATACCATAAGAAATAAAAGCAAGCATTTACAGAATAAAAGCCAACAACTTTGGCCTTAGTTATCTGGTAGTGTTAATGTCTGTCTTACACTTTCCAGGAGGCTACCACATAATACTGTGCATGTTAGGAGAGCATAAACTAATGTACTTATTGATATACTTAATAATTAATCAAAAACACTGAGGAAAGTAGTCAATATGGCCTTGTCTCATACAGCCATTATACAAATGACAACAAATACAATGTTTCCCATATTTGCAATCACAAACAACAAATTTTACAGTTATTTTAAAAGTGCTAAACTTTCTTGTTTTTTTGACACAGAGTCTTGTTCTGCTGCCTGGGCAGGAAATGCAGTGGTATGATCATAGCTCACTGCAGCCTCAAACTCCTGGGCTCAAGCAATCCTCACCCCTCAGCCTGCTGAGTAGCTGGGACTACAGGTGTGCCACCATTCCTGGCTGATTTTTTTTAAAAAATTGTTTTAGACACAGGGTCTTGCCATGTTACCCAGGCTGGTCTTGAACTCCTGACCTCAAGTGATCCTCCCTCCTCAGCCTCCCAAAGTGCTGAGATTACAGGCGTGAGCCACTGTACCGACACCTAAACTTTCTCTTAACTTTTTGGATAAAAACTTCTATCTTCTCTTCAGAGTTAGTTTTACTATGAAATAACAAAGACAGTAATTTTTTAGATGAATGAAAAAAGACAGGAGACATAAAGACCTCAATATATTCACAAAACAATAATACAATGCATAAAAAGATACCAATTATCGTGAAAGGCATATTGCCATAAAGCAAGTATGTTTTATTATAATTTCTAGCATGTATTATGGAATAAAATTTTTAAATTACTTGGATGTTAATTTTGCACTTCACTTTTGATGTATGTAAATACAATTTTAAAGCATTTAATGTAATAAACCATTTTCATATAACTTACTCATATTAAAGATTCACCTATATTATGCTACCTATGTACACTAGGGAAAGAAATTCAATCACTTGGTGATTGCAGAACCAAAGAATTTAAGGTCTGATATATAATTAAAAATGTACTTCCCAGAGGTAAACACCCACAATGTTGTATCATTCATTTTAATAAATTAGGACAAATTTTCAAATAACAAAATTTCAGAAGAATGTACAAAATAGAAAACTCACTAGATGTTAATAACTTCAACACTTCTCCTTAATGAAAATTCAGAAAGGATCAAATTATATTCTTATAAGTACTATATTATTATAACAGCAAAATGGGATTCTGCAGTTCACCCGCACAACTATCATTATCTAAAAGAGAGCTATGTACTCAGACTTTTAAAGCGGGAGGAAATTTTTCATGATATAAGGGGTAGAAAACCAAACAAAAACAAAACCACAAAGCACTTCTAATATTAATAGATCTATCATTGCTGGTATTGTGGCAAGGTACATTTTTTCCCAAACATCTTAAAACTGTGGAAGGAATATAAACCAAACTTTATAATAAAAATCAGGAAAGAAACATGATTCACTTTAGAGAAATTTATGTCCAACTTTGCTAGAAAGACTGTTCTATAAGGCAATTTTTTCCTTCTTCCTAACTTTAACTTCTGAAATACTAATGGCTTAGTACTTAAACAACACTGATAATACTAACAATACCAACGTATAGGTTAAACTATAATATACAGTAATATTAAATGTGTTACAATACCTGCTGCTCTCCTAAGCAAAGAATCTCTTGGAATAACCACAGGTTCTGTTTCTTCCAAATCACTTTCTGACTTGGATTCATCATCTGACCAAGGATTCCGTTTCTTCACTTTCTTTGCACTAGGTTTACCAGATGATGTAGGTGTTTTTCTCACTCTGGTACCTAAAGCAAAAGAATAGCAATAAGGTATGTATCCATATTTATAGAAATGTCATTAGTAAAAATAAAATTGTTATAATGAAAAGTTCATTACAAAATAAACGTTTATGAAAATTGAAGGCATTATTTCAACTACCAGAAAAAGAGCACAATCAAAAGAATCTAGTAATACTCTATACAAATATTTTTTCTCTCACACACATGCAAAACTATAATCATTTCTCACCAGGCTCCTTCTTCTCCCTCTTAGGTTTGGGACCTTTATTTATAGGAACTGATGGAGTCAATGCCTCTTCTCCTGCACCTTCTACTGGTGCTCCACTGAATTCTTCATCAAATTCCACTTTTACTGCTGCAGTATCAAGATCACCCTACATAATAAAAAGAAAATCAAGCCACGAGTAAAAATAAAAACATCACATATTTTAGAGATAGTTTCAATCAACAGATAGCGCCTTCAAATCAGGTAAATTTAAAAACAGTGATTCTGATGAGGTCCTAACAGCTGACTTTGATCAGACCATGTTTTACTTCACTTATCTATAGTAAATAATATTGCATGTAACTCTTAATTTTCCAGTACATTCAGTGAAATGACAGCTACTTAGAAGCAACCATAAAAAATAAGAAGGCAGCTTTTGATTATCAGAGGGATTTCCAGACCACTAGCTAAAAGGTACCTGCAAAATAAGTTTCTATAGCTCAGGCAGGCCTTTATATACCATTAAAAAATCCTGTAACCCCAGCTACTCAGGAGGCTGAGGCAGGAGAATTGCTTGAATCTGAGAGGCGGAGATTGCGGTGAGCCTCTGGCCTGGGAAACAAAAGCGAAACTCTGTCTCAAAAAAAAAAAAAATCTTCAAATTATTGAAGGAAAATAAGTAACATGTGTCTTGCACTGCTAGGCACTGTAAGGTAGACCCCAACCCTAAGACCATGGGGTAAAAAAACAAAAACAAAAAACACAGAGGCACACAACAAGGATGAGTCATTACAATACAAATAACAAATATAGAGGCTGGTACAGCCATGGCCCAAGGGGAGAAGTGAGAAACTCTGCTCAAGGCAGGGTCAAAAAAGTCTCCATGGAGAAGTACCTTTTCTGACTGAGTTCTAAAGGAAACACATAGGTTTGCCAGGTGGGAATTAAGGAGGGAAGGGCATCCCAGGCAGAAGGCACAAAGCCATCTAACAGGAATTAAATGTTTAAAGAATTAGGTTTTTAAATGTAATAGTCTGCTAGAACTCAAGGAAAAGTGAGAACAAAGTAGCCAGGAGAAGAAACACACAGAGGCATACAGGTGCTAACACTGTATACCAAGAATTTGTGCATAGTCAGTGGGGAGTCACTGAAGATTTTTAAGCCTAACAATCAGACTGACTTTTTAGAATTTTCATTCTAGTAGTAAAATATAGAACTTAAAGGAATGAAGTAGAAAAGGGGAGAAATCATGATTAAATGACTAGAAACAGAGAGTTAAGAGGACCACTTTAAAGTATCTCAGAGAAAACACAAAATTCTAAGGCAATGTCAAATGGGGACCAAGATAAGGGGGTGGATTTTGGAATTACTTAGTAGGCAGTCAATAGGACTTAGTTACTGATTAAATGACAAAACTCCCAGGTTTTTGGCTTATATCATTGATGGCTGATAGTGTCATTAACTGGGATAAGGCAAAGAACAGATTTTGAAATCAGGATAATGAATCCAGTTTCAGACATGCTGAGTTTGATGGGCTTCAAGCATTCAAGTGGCTATGAGCTTGGCACTCCTGAAAGCATTATAGCTTAGGAACACAGATTTAGGGGCCATCAGTATGAATGGAATAAGCTCTGGGCATAGATAAGGTTACTTGAGGGGACCATATAAGGTAGAGAAAAGAATGCTGAGAAATGAATCTGACAAACGCCAACTGAAAAGAAACCATCTTCCGAGGGAGACAGGCAAGAGTATCTGGGTAAATGAACCTGTGTGCCGTGGGGAGCCAAGTAAGAGGAAAGTAGTAGAGACCTGAGTTTATCAGAACAGAAGAGAAAGGCTACTCTGGTGTCAAAATGCACCTACGCTTCAAATATTAGCTCTGCACAGAGAACTCTCCAATCTCTAACTCTAGCTCTTTAGGCTCATTTTCCAAGCTCTAGTAAGAATGAGGCTATATTCCCACCTACTTGTTGGACACATCTAAACGTATACTTTCTGGATTGTAAAAATCAACCTGTCCAAAAACATTAGCCTCTCTAAGACCAACATGCACCCTGTTTCCTCAGCTCTGAACATTTTTTCTGATGTTTCCTTCTTCCGGCTAACTCTGGTCAATCCTGCTTGAGGTTAGGTCAACGCCATTTTTTTTTTTAATCCTCAATAGCACCTATCAGTGCCAATGACACAGGATGTGCTTGGTAGTTTAAGGACAAACACAAGTAAATAGTAAAAGATGACAGAGTACTTTGTAAGCCAAACAGACCCTTTCCCACTCTAAGTCTTCTCTAATGGATTATGATGTAGCACTAAAGTTTATACTTTAAAGTTGATATACTTATGGTTGGGTTTTTGGAGGTTTTTGTTTTGTTTTGTTTTGGCTTCCAAGATTTTTATTTTTATTTATTTATTTTTTTTTGAGATGGAGTCTCACTCTTGTCAACCAGGCTGGAGTGCAGTGGCACAATCTCGGCTCACTGCAAGCTCCGCCTCCCGGGTTCGCACCATTCTCCTGCCTCAGCCTCCCAAGTAGCTGTGATACAGGCGCCCACCACCACGCCCAGCTAATTTTTTGTATTTTTTAGTAGAGACGGGGTTTCACCATGTTTGCCAGGATGGTCTTGACCTCCTGACCTCATGATCCGCCCGCCTCAGCCTCCCAAAGTGCTGGGATTACAGGCGTGAGCCACCGTGCCCGGCCGGCTTCCAAGATTTTAACTTAGAAGGCAGCTGAGTGGAGTGTTTCTATTTCTCATTTTAAAAGCTGAATTAAGTAGCTCTTTACAATATGTGATCCTTTACCAATATGTTTTCCTTCTATAGATCAACTGCTGTCATAGAAGGATTTCCTATTACCATTGAAATATATTTTGAATAAAACAAAGCATGATTTAAACACGCATTAAAATTTTTTAAATTATACATATATTTCATTATAGAAATGAGTCTATCAATGACAAGAGGTATGTCATACCTTCTTCTTCTTCAGCAACTTTTTGCTGGCATCTGCCTTCATAGCTGTAATTTCAGGAATTATTCTTCTGCCATAAGGTGAGGGCATTGTCTCTTCCAACTGGAGTTTCTTCACCTTAGGTTTGCCAACTTTACCTTTAATTGCTTTTCCAGACATTCCAGCCAGAACATCTTCTCGTTCTTGAGATTCCACTTTCTAAAGTATAATCATAAGGCAGAAGGAACATAAACAACTTCTTAGAAAAGATAATCACTACTTCATAAAATACTGAAACAAATGTTATTCACTCAGTAAAGAATAAAGCTTTCCTTTTAACTTATCTAATTCAAGATTAAATAATGGAAAAAAAATAAAGAATTCTAAATCAGAAGACCTGGATTGTAATCCCAATTCATCTAACTAGTTTCCCATTTGTAATACGAGGGGGCAATAGTGACTAAATGACCTGAGAAGTCTCTGCCAATTCTTGGATCCCGTGATATATTATGGAATCAAGACCTCTGATAACCTAGTATCATCAAAATCCTAGCAAATCATATACAAAGGCAGTTCTGCTAATAAGTATGAAGTTATTTTTTTCTATTGCTTTAGTCGTAATAGAAAATATGAAAAAAAACCTCCTAAATGTAAATTAAAGTCAGAAAGTATGAGAAGTTAAAAGTGCCAATATAATTAGATTGAACTCAGGCAGGTCTATGTAATGATAAATTAGGATATAATCATGATTAATATCCTAGATTTTGCATTTACCAGAATTATTCCTTAAAATAAGCTTTGAAAGGCACAAGGAAAAAATGACATTTCTTTAGAGATTTTTTTAAAAGATCTTTGTAGCACAACAGTTTAATAGAAATTACCCAAGCTTTGAAATCAGATAGTTCTGGATTTCAACTGCACTTCCACTTACTAGTTATGTATCCTCAGGAAATAACAGAGGCCAGTTGCAGTGGCTCACACCTGTAATCCCAGCACTTTGTGAGGCTGAGGTAGGTGGATCACTTGAGCCCAGGAGTTTGACACCAGCCTAGGCAACATAACAAAACCTCATCTCTACACAAAAATGCAAAAATTAGCCAGATGTGGTGGCACACATGTCCCAGCTACTCAGGAGACTAAGGTAGGAGGACTGCTTGAGCCCAAGTGGTTGAGGCTGCAATGAGCCATGATTGTACCACTGCACTCCAGCCTGGGTGACAGAGCAAGACCATGTCTCAAAAAAAAAAAACAAAAAAGCCAGATAATTTATAGAGCATCCACCATGTGCTAGGCATTTAAAAAATCCTGTGATCCCCATTTTATAGATGAGGAAAGTGGGTGTCTGAGAAGATGAGTAATTCTATAATGATATAATTCCTAAGAAAGTGACTTAACCTCTCCAAGCTTCAGGATCCTTATCTGTATAATACAGGTTAATGATAACCTCATTCATTTGAAGTTGTGGTGAGGGTCACTCTAAGCATTACATAGAAGGCTGTGCCAGTGTACAATAGATATTCAATTAATGTTATCATTAGACTTTAAATGATACAGAGAGACATGAAATTTAAGTCTAAATCTTTTTAAATGTTAAAAATAAATACATCCAGAATTTAAATAAGTTGTTTGGACCTATTTCATTAATTGTCAAATAATAAAATAAGATGATAAATTAAAAGTGAAAGAGTATTTTTTGCTAGGGTTGTTTTGAATGACGACTTTTCAATAGTGAGGAAATGTACAGGCATAACCACAAAAGTTTCCTGTGTTTCACTATATTAGTGACCAAATTTAAAGCAATATCAGGATATCAATAATATTAGGAATAATTTTTCTTTTAATATATGATGGCTTCATTTTTAATGAATAATTTTTAAATAAATTATAACTCAGCAGGAAACAATGTGCAAAAAAACTAATTAATGAACAATATACGGAAAGCACAAAAAAAGGAAGACTCACATTGCAGCACTTGAAAGATCGTTGAGGGAGCCTAGAAAAATAGCACTAAAAAATTCTAAATTCTTTTAGGCAGCTAATTTACCACACTTGTTCTTAAGAGTTCTAATTCTGACTTAGACCACTGAAGTAAAAGTAGAGCATGTAGACAATAAATCAACAAAGCAACTTTAAAAAAAAAAAGTAGTATGAGTAATAAATGGTATTTTACATTTTGCTACTCAAAAATCAGGTATTCATAATGCTACCATTAATTCCAATATTTTAATTGGGCAATTTTAGAAAAGGTGTGCTTTTTATATCTCTACATTTTTTTTATTTTTTAAATTAGAATTCTACTTGGAAAAAACTATGTTATAACAATCAAATATTGAAATGTCTGTTATAAATGTAGAGACTATCATTCTACTCCTAAAATCAAAGTACTTACATTCAATTATACACACATATTAGCCTTACCTCTTTCCAGGAAAACATTAAACTGAATCAATTATTTAATCTAAAACTCAGTTAAAAATTTTTAACTAATTGAAAGCAGATTTAATTTATTCTAAATTTCAATTTCATAGCATTTAAATTCCTCCATACAAGAAGTTCTTTATAACTTCACATAACTAGAAGCTTAAGCCTAACTCAACTTATAAACATATTAACCTTCACAGAGTTAAAGAAAACTTTAAGATCACTTAAAAGAATTTCATTCTTGTTCATAAACATGACTTTTCCAAATAAATTTTAATAGAGACTTAACCTACATCCAGTTCTTCAACAAATGCCGCTAAATCCTCTTTCCAAAGATCTGAAGGAGATTTTCTTTTAAGATCATTGACCTCTCGCCCCTATAATAAAAAAGTACAGTTTAAACATTCAATAGTTTTAAAACATATGAAGGATAAATCAAAATACTTATTTTTGGAAAAAGAAAAAGATACAGATAACACTGAAATAGTTTCAAACTATTTAACCCACAAAAGTTCATACTTTTGCATCTCTCTGTTTAATCAGTTCTTCAACTTTTTCTTTAGTAAGAGACCACAGAGACATATTTAAAATATAATTAAAATCTGGGCCTGAAGGAGTTCCTGAATCGGAGGAACTATCATCATGCTGGTTTTGTGTTTCATCCTCTTCTGCTGCCTGTAAAAAATAACAAACTGTATATTAAAGTCTTGTATAGTATCAAATTAATGTTGAATTTTATTGAATAATTAGTTTAAAATTCTACAAGTGCTACACTATAAATGCTACATCTTCAGGATGGTGGGGTTATTTTGGATTACCTATAAAAATATATTTCCTTATAAAAAGTTTAAAATTTTCTAAAGACGCACAATAAGATCTTCAGAAGGAATGGTATACACTATCCCTATTTATCCAGGAATCTGATGAAAAATTAACTGATTTCCTCAGGTACTCAGTAACAAAATGAGAGGATACCACATTTTAAAGTTAAGAGAGTAGAATTAATGTTTTATCACTGCATCTTGTCAGATTTTTATACTGGTGAGTGAATGAACAATCTGAAATACAAAATAAATACCAGTTATGAAAATTATTTTACAGTTATAATAAATATGTTAAGGTACATTCACTCGCTGAGGGTGAATTCTTAATAAAAACTTCTCTAAAGCCAGAATATTCATGTCAGGACTCAGAGAAAGTCCACTTAAGAATTTAAGAGTTGGTGAGTTAGAGTAAGAATTTCGTCAGGGTTTTGCTGAAATTTTATTCATCAGGCCCTTGTCTATAGAAACAGCTGCAACAAAAAAATTATTTTGTGCTAATATTAAATTTCAAAATACAATGAATTTAATAAAAGTTATTTTAGGTGATATCACCTTTAAATTTTTTAAAATAACAATAGCCATTAAATAAAATTTTATCTAAGTTGTTTAATTTAAAATGACTGAGTTAACCATGACACTCCATAAAGCAAAAAGTTTACTTTTGGTAACCAAAAGAGGAAAAAAAAAAAAAAAGCTTTATAATTAAAATTTGTAAGCAAAACAATGTATATACACAAAGTACAGTTTACGTGTACTTCAGAAGTAAGATAAAAATTAAAACTGCAAAGCAAGATGCTTCATTATATAAACAAAAACTATAAATTTGATTAAGCCACATTAGCCAAATACGGAATGCTATTGTTGAGTTGATAGATGATTAATAAGTACCTAGATAACTTACAATAAATAATTCTACACTTTTGAAAAATTCTTCATGAAACAGCTTGTTTCTATGGAGTATTCAGGTTGTTAGACAACTATAAAAATATCACTAGGATACAACAAAATCCTGTTTAGACCCACATTTAGTGGGTCTAGTCTATTAGATCTAGGTTTTGACTACACCCAAAGTATTGTTAAGAAGTGTTCTATGAATATGTGTATCTATCACCGTTAACATAAATATGACTAAGAACACTTCCAGAAATTAAAAAAAAAAATAAACTTTGCAAGTTCTAATGACAAAATTCCATTATGCTTTACAAAAAACTTTAATCTTCTAATTAGCTACTTTATAATTCTCTTTTCTCCAACTCTGTATAATAGGACACTCTTGTAAGAGCAGTTCCTTTTGTTACCTGAACTCCCCAAAATGTACACATGGCCAAGATGCTGAAAAAATTCTGATGGTGGTAATGCAATAACTGAAATCAAGCTAGGCTTTACCCATAAATTCTACTTCCACCAGAAGGACATTCTGACACTGTAGAAATCTTTATCTTTTAAGACTAAGCATTAAAAATTCATCAGCTTACTAGTTACTTTTTTTAAAAAAAAACATATAGTTTAAACCAACGGTGATACAGAAAGGCAAAAGGCAAGTGTTGTAGAAACCATAATTTGGGGTTCAATAAAACACATTAAGAGGAAAACAAAGGGCTTCAATCATCTTAACTCTGAATGCGCCCATCTTGTCCTACCGAATTTTCTTCAAATAATGAATAAGCCTATTATCTTAATATGTAATTGCTATTCTATATAACTTAGTCTAATTTTACTCACTTTAATATATGACTTTTATTGACTTCAAACTGAAAAATGTAAGCAAAAGCAATATTTCAATGTAGTTTGATAAAAAATACAAAAACATTATGATTGAGAACTCAAGTACAGGGAAGTTTAAAGGTTCAAGTTATGTCACACAATTATAACTATGTTTTAAAGATGTTAATGTTATGGAATCATATATGCACAAAATAATCTAATACCCAAAAAATTAATCATTCAACTTTTCTTCCTCTTCTGTAATAAATTTCTGTTCTCAATCACAATGTTGTACTGTTGCTTAAATTTTTCTTTTAGTTATACAAAACATCAAAAAGCTAATTGAGGGGACTCTCAAAGCTTCAATATCCCATTCATTTAACTATTATTACTATTTTGTGATCTGCAATGGGCAACTTACTTAATAAAACATCAGACTTTTAATCTGAAGTTCCAGGGTTTAAATCTCTGGCTAAAAATCTAAGCATGAGGCAGAGCTTGGTGTTTGATAAATACTGTCTATAATAATTAACATTTTGTCTCTTGTCTTCCCAGTATTAACCAAAACCAGATCAAGTGAGTGGTGACTGGATGCCATACTGTGAACATAGGCTGATTCTGGGTGCAACCAGTCTGATTCCCAGGTAATATACATGTACCTCACAAAAACCACCACCACAACACCTTTTAATGGCAGACTCAGGAAAAAAGGTCAAGGAGACTGAGCTACCTTCTCACACCTGGAGTCATTTCTCCAGGCTCTGGTTGAGTCACACTGGCCAAGTGCTTTGTGGTGGGTGTGTACTATAAATTCCTGTACTTTATCTGTTCTGTGGATAAACAGAAGACTTTAGTCTCTAAATAGACAACTCAGCACCTTTAGTAGTACTAAATTTAAAATTTAGGGGTTGAATTTTTGTTTGTTTTGGAAGTTGCTTTTAAAAGCTTCTCTGAATGTCTTTTTCTGCAAATGATTACCTTTTCTTGTGCTTCTTTCCAGGCTTTCACTGGGTCAGATTCATAACCTCTCTGGACTAACATTTGAATCAAATCTTTCTTTGACCTATTCTCTATGTGAGGGAAAAATAAAGTTAGGATCAAGATAAGAGATTCAATTTGTATTTGCTTATATTCTACTGATAAAAATGTCTTCTATTAATAAAGTTTTTTTTCCATTTTAACTAATGTTCAAATTTTTAAAGGTTGTATCTTACCTATAGTAATTTTCCCTTGTATCTTCTCTAAAATGAAACGGGCTTGATTGTTAAGCTTTGTAGATTCTGCTCCCAACATTCCCACAAGCCACTCCTTACGTAAACCGTAATAACTTAATCGTAAATCAAAGAATTCTTTCAGAATGTCTTGCACAGTTTCATATTTCTTCAGACATCCCATATGATCAAAAAGTACCTAAGCAAAACACATATACTTTGCAGATCATATAGATCTGTACTGGTATTTTAACTTATATAACATCTACAATACTTAAAATAACCATAATATATAACCATAATGCATGTGTGTGAACACAGACTACCCCTAAAAACCATTAAACAGAACTAAGACTATTAAGCACATTTCTGTAAATATTTCTTTGGTGACTGCAAGCCAATAAATTCAATTCTCACAACAAAAGTATTTAGGAATAATATTGAAAGACAAAAATAGGCCTTAAAAAAAGGGCTCTTAAAGTAACCATAAAACCACCTACAAAAATGATTTTTCCCCAAACTGAAAACATACATATTCTATTGCTAAGTTTAAAAATGTTCAAGTTTTTCCTCCCCCATATATTCTGTGTATACGCATTTGTCCCCTTTCTCTCGCTTTCACATTTACTTGTGCTATAATCCAGTCACCCAAACTCCTCTCTATCCTTTTTCTTTCTTCCATCAGCCTTTCTCAGCGGATTATGGCACTTTTTCTCAGCCACTGTACTACTGCTGAACTTTTTTTACTTTTTTAGATCTAAAAGCTAATTTGGAATGGAACTTGAATCACACACTTAAAGTTTCTACCTTCCTCCCCAGTTGTATAAATAAAGATAAATGTGCAAGTTTAATAAAGCAGATTAGAGTTATGAGTACTCTACAGTTAAAATGCTAATAGAGATGGCCATAAAGTACACAAAGGCCCTGCAATAACCACTCTCATAACTTTTAGTCAATGTGTGTGAAGATGTGTGTATCCTGTGTTTTCAAGCCCAGATGCATAAACACAGAGTTGAGAATAAGGGTAGTGGACAATACTAGAAGAAAGAAATGTGCCCCTAGAATCTTCAGCAAATCTGCAGGATGGGAAAAAAAAAAAAAAAAAAATGCCTTCAGGCTTACTATAGCCACTCCCATCATGAAACCAATTATAATAATCCGACTTATACCATGCAAGAAAGATTAAATTAACAGTAAATCTAATAAATTACCATGGAATTACAAGTAAGAGTAGTTTGAAGTTTAAAAACTTTATGCAGTCCAGCAGCTTCTGCTTGTGCTAGTTTCTCTTCAGTCATTTTCACCACAAATTTCACAGTTGTGTCAGTATGATATTCTTTATAATCAGAAATTAATGCTGGTGTTTTATCTGTTCCATTTAGCATAGGTTCTAAAACCTGTTCTTTATATACCTATAAAGATTTAAAAATTAGTGATTCTTTTCATGACACACTCTCATGTTCTCATACTACAAGTCATACAGTCTTGAAAATTCTCAACTCTCATGGGGAATTAAAAAGGAAACCTCAATCTCTATCATCTCCTATCCAATCAGTATAGAAGGCAATACACAGGGATCTCGGTGGTGGGAAAAGACATAAGAAGTAATGGTGCTGACCCACTCATACTCTAAAGGGCAAGATAAAGGCTGAGTATGAAAAGGATGACATCAACTGGAACTGTCAAGAGGTGACATGCATACTTTTAGATTTGTAAAGCTGATGCTGACATGAATTTACTGACCATATTTACAAGAATTAAAAACACTGTCATATTCTACTCCTTTTATTTTAAATAAATACAAAGATAATAGTCTATAAAAGCCTTACCTAACATAAGTCATACTACGCTACTTAGATATAAATACTATTTAAATATTCAAAGCACAAATTCAACTGAAGGGTAAAAGAAGGTACAGGAATTTTTTAACACTACGCACGCTTAGGACCAACAACGGTGGAATCATCCTTACCAGAAAAAATTGCTTAATACACTGCCCTTCCCTCAGGCAGATCACATATTTACACTGACCTGTGTCCAAGTTCTAACTGGAAGCTCTGTAATTTCTACTGTGTTTCTGTCCACTACAAATATTTCACCACTGACTGCATACTGGTTTTGACCAAGTTCTTGAATCGTGCCTTTAAAGTTTTTGTAGTTTGGAAGCTGTAGAGAAAAAGGTAAATAGCATTGACTTCTCTCTTGAGTACCAGTACCATGAGTCTATGGTCTAACATTGACAGATTAACACAACTGAAACAGAATTTCTCATCCTCAATTGTCCCTTTCCAACTGATCAATTAAGCTTGAATTCATAGCTTCTGTTCATACAACCTGAACATCCTCCAATCTCAAAATGTTAGTATCATCTTTCCTAGTCTTCCTAGAACAGTACTTTCTTTCAGCCTACTTCCCCTACACCTACTTCTCTCCTAGATCAATATCCTTTAAATTCAAACTCCTTGGGCCTTACATTGAAAGCATTTCATAGTCTGGACCCAATCTGGCTTTCAATTTTTTCTCTAATGATTTGTCTTACAAAACCACTACTCTTCTCCCATATTTTGTTTGACTATTTTGAATATTCTCACTTTCACTCTATCCACAAGTCCTGACACATATTCAGGCCCAACCCCATTCCATTCATCATTCATCTACATAAATCTTACTCATCCTTCCCAACTGAATTACAAGTCCTCTCTCCCTCTTCTAAGTTTTTATTTGTTTTGAGACAGGGTCTCCACTTTGTCACCCAGGCTGGAGTGCCGTGGCACGATATCAGCTCACTGCAGCCTCAACCACCTGGGCTCAAAGGATCCTCCCACCTCAGCCTCCCAAGTAGCTGGGGTTACAGATGCGTGCCACCATGTCCAGCTAATTTTTGTATTTTTGTAGAGACAGGGTTTTGCCATGTTGCCCAGGCTGGTCTTCAACTCCTGAGCTAGTGATCTGCCCAGCTCAGCCTCCCAAAGTGCTGGGATTATAGACATGAGTCACTGCACCTGGCCTACTCTAAAATTCTTATTCGTTATTATCATTAAGAAATCGAGTATATAGGCCGGGCACAGTGGCTCATGCCTGTAATCCCAGCACTTTGGGAGGCCAAAGCAGGCGGATCACTTGAGGCCAGGAGTTCGAGACCAGCCTGGCCAACACAGTGAAACCCCGTCTCTACTAAAAATACAAAAATTAGACAGGCATGGTGGCGCACACCTGTGGCCCCATCTACTCAGGAGGCTGAGACAGCAGAATCACTTGAACCTGGGAGACAGAGGTTGCAGTGACCCAAGATCACACCACTGTACTCCAGCCTGGGTGACAGAGTGAGACTCTGTCTCAGAAAAAAAAAAAAAGAAAGAAAGAAATTGAGCATATAGCATAGGACATTTCTTCTGGCATACCAAGCAACTATCAATATCGTTTGTCACTGTTAAACTTCAAGCCTTGATGCTTTGATGTCTTGTCTTGACAACTGTTTAACTTTTCAAAGATAAAAACCATAGCTCTTTATCTCACCACTTAGCACAGTTTCATACACATAGTAGGCACATAAGAACCATGTATTGATCAAATACACTATCTTAACAATCTAAAATCCATTTAAAAATCCAAAACCATTTCAGTAAAACACTATCATTAAAAATTTGATGCTTATGTTAGAAATATTTTGAAGTACTTTGAAGTATTTAAGAGAAAAAGCAGAATATATGTCTTATTGCTAAAGAATAACTTTCACTTTAAAATACAAAAATGAAATAAAACTTGGAAAAATACATCAAAATATTGTCTCTATATTGTGGGTTTATGGATTTTTTTACTCTTTGCTTACCTATATTTTCTACAATAAACATTATCATTTTGGTAATAAAAATACACTTTTCTCCAGGTAATTTTAAATCATGGGGAGGAAGGAAGGACATTTTTCTTGGAGGAGGTCTGAGCAGAGTGAATGATACAAGAAAACAACAAACATAAAAAAAAAATGGGGATTTTTTTTTTTTTTTTTGGGAGACGGAGTCTCATTCTGTTCCCCAAGCTGGAGTACAGTGGCGCAATCTCGGCTCACCGCAACCTCCACCTCCTGGGTTCAAGCGATTCTCCTGCCTCTGCCTCCCAAGTAGCTGGGATTACAGGTGCCCTCCAGCACACCCGGCTAATTTTTGTATTTTTAGTAGAGACAGGGTTCTACCTGGTTTGGTCAGGCTGGCCTAGAACTCCTGACCTCAGGTGATCCACCCACCTCGGCCTCCAAAGTGCTGGGATTACAGGCGTGAGCCTGAGCAACACCTAATTTTTTTTGTATATTTAGTAGAGATGGAGTTTCCCCATGTTGGTCAGTCTGGTCTCGAACTCCTGACCTCAGGTGATCCATATGCCTTGGCCTCCCAAAGTGCTGGAATTACAGGTGTGAGCCACCACGCCCAGCCTTGGGGATATATTAAAATATATACAAGGTAGTTTGTTTTCTGTCTTTTTACAAATGGTACACTAATGAATACAATGTGTTTTTAAGCATCCTTACAAACTATTAAGCGGTAGTTTGAGAACAGAAACAAGGTTACACATAATTTTATCAGAAAAGGATTGTTTTCTAATAATATAGGGTTTAGAGGTTTGAAAACCTGGAATATGAGGTGTTTCTAAATTTAAATAAACAGTTTCTCCCCATGAAACTTACCTCCAAAACTCATTCCAAAGTTTATACTTTTTACTGTAGGCACATATCAAATTATACCCTAATTAGGTCTTTACGGTCTACAATATGTTCTAAAATAAAAATGTTCCATTACTTTTCTAAAATGACGGGAATTTGTAGTTTACACATTATCATTTGTTAAATAAATAATAAGTTCCAAATAATTACCATGGGATGAGGATCCAGGCCATCTAGCATTCGTCTGACATTGTTCACAATTTCCCTAGCATCATAGTTGGGTAGTTTACAAGCCCATCCAGTACCAATGCCCTCAGCACCATTTATTAAAACCATGGGAATTATAGGAATATACCACTCAGGCTCTACACGTTGATTATCATCATAAAGGAACTTAAGGAGGTTGTCATCCACAGCAGGAAAAAGTAGCCTTGCTAAAGTGCTAATGAAAACAAAAAGAAGCAAATGAAAAAATGTCATGGCTTTGGGAAAGAAAACTTTATACATAATTAAAAACTTCACACTGCAAAAACAAATCTTTTGAAGAGAATGCATTTTTAATAATTTTGATTACATCCGCTTAATAATAAAATTTGCCTAACTGTATTATTCAAATGCATCTTTCTCTCAGTTACAAGCCCAGAATAAAATAGTCCTATTTTACTTATGTACTTACCTACCTGATTTAATATTGATAACTTTTAAAGAATTTCCTATTACTCTAAATAAAGTACATAACCCATCTTCAGCCTAAAGAGTAAAGTTGGTGAGAAAAACATCCTTAATTCACTAGGACTGATTTCACCAACAATTCATAAAAATTAAGGTCAACAGACTTCATTCTATTTGTGGTCAAATAATTTGGA
The DNA here is from genome assembly GCF_000001405.40 of Homo sapiens. NCBI lineage: Eukaryota > Metazoa > Chordata > Mammalia > Primates > Hominidae > Homo > Homo sapiens. The sequence goes on from NC_000003.12 coordinate 25,624,171, forward strand.
ACATTCACCTTCTAAGTAGAATAACCAGATAATCACATCTCTCCACAGCTATAATTCCATCGAACATTTAGTTAGTTGGTTCCAAATCAAATCAAACTTTATACCATTATATCAGCAAATATTTACCTTAACATTGTGAAAATATAACGAGGGCTTGCAGCATCTTTGCCACCATGAAGCCGAGTTCCAAACTGACCAATAGGCTGAAGCAAGTTAATGTTGTTACTTCCCACAAAGTTCTGAGCCAAATTCACAATAGTCATCATCAATGCTTGCTATACAACAGAAGAAGGCAGAACATAACATTAATATTCTAAATTTTCTATAATTACTCCCCAACTTGAATTAAAATCCAAGTGAAGAATAAAGGCTTTAGAATCTCACTAATCTGTATATTCTCTTAATTCTTTTACATTTCCAAAGACTTTACTAAAGGAAAAATACTATGTGTAATTATCATTCTTCAAGACAATAATTACAGTTCTCAATTGATTCCAATCTTAATGCTTACTTCTCCATGATGATAAGCCGACATCTCAGCAACAGAGCCAGCCAACTGGGCAACTTTTACTTCACGTTTATCATTCCTCTTGAAACAGGTAAATAAAACTTTCCGCTGGCCAGGTTTAAAGCCTATTTTTAAAAGAGCTCTTTTAAAATGTTACTTCAAGATATAGTTGTAACAATTCAGGGGAATAAAGCAAAGATACAATTTGCTTTTCAAGAACACCAGTAAAATTGTTACTTGAGATTCTGTAACAAAGTGAGTACATACTAACACGTTTGTTTTGTTTGTTTGTTTTTTCCTAGAAAGCCATCTGCAGGTATATACTAAGATGTTTTTATGCCATCTCCATCTACTCCAAAAGTGAACTGCCAATTGAAAGACAACATTCTGGCCTTAAAGAATCACCTAGTGGTACCAAACTCCTTTAACAGTAGTTTCCAAACACTCAAACAACCAAAACGCCATTTGTAGCTAACTAAATTGCCAGCATGCCATCAAGGAGCCTGAAATCTATTCTAAGTATCCCACATCAGGAAAACCCTTATAAAAAGCGATTTATTGTGGTAGTGAAGAATAAAGGCTTTAGAATCTCACTAATCTGTATATTCTTCTCAACTTGGCCATTTACCATGTGACTAAGCAAATAACTAGTAAGTCTATGTCCTCATCCAAGTAATAGAAATAATTACTTTCTTAATATAGTTTTCATAAGGATTGCATGAAACAATGTGAGCAAATCACTCTGCTCCCTTACCATTCTTCTTGCTCTAGGCCAAGCTTGTCCAACCCGTGGCCCGTGGGCTGCATGTGGCCCAACACAAATTTGTCAGTTTTCTTAAAACATCATGAGGTTTTTTGTTTGTTTGTTTTTGCGATTATTTTTGTTTTTTGGTTTTTTTGCAATTATTTTTGTTTTTTGTTTGTTTTTGTTTTAAGCTCATCAGCTATCGTTAGTGTTAGTGTATTTTTACATGTGGCCCAAGACAATTCTTCCTCTTCCAATGTGGCCCAGGGAAGCCAAAAGGTTAGACACCCTGGCTCTAGGCCAATAAGCACAGTAACAATCTTTTCAGTATATGCTATCACTGTAATCATACTGGACCCAGAGTATGGTAAAAACATGAGGATGATAAAATATGGCAACTTCTTTAAGAATTTTGTAATCTAATTCTAGAGGCAAAATGAACAAAGGTAAAATAAGAGGTACATAATAATTGGTATAGAAGTTTAGGTATCTAAGACCAATTTAGAGTAGAATTGCTAGGAAGGCTTCATAGAAGAAAGGCGATTTGTGGCTAGAACTTGAGGGATAGGTAGAAACATCTGCTATTACCAGAAAAGCCAAGCAATACAAAGATCAACAAACTTCATAAAGGTTATGAGAAAAAAAAAAGTTCTAGATAGAAGATCAAAATCTGCTTCAACTAACGAGAAATAGTTTCTAAATTTTTTTCAAATTAGAAATAGTTCCTAAATTTTTTTCAAGTTAAGTTAAAGCATTAGGCTTTGGGTAATACAGAATAAAAGCTTTTTAAAATTTAATCTCTGATAAATATTTTAGAAATTATCAAAGTTCCATTTTACTTTTTTAGAAAATCTGCAGACAACTTGGGCAAAAGCTTTAAGACTTTTAAAGTTAATTTTCCTGAAAAACTCGGAAAAGGTTTAAAAGTTTCAAATTAAGGAATATTAAAGATTTCAGCACTATGAAAACATAAAACAAAAGCAAAATCAAAAAGGCCTTAAATTCCTCTGAATAAGCTCTTCATATACAAGATTTAAAGTAAGAATTTTAATATGTATCATAAGGATGGCTTAAAGTACATGAAATTAAACTATAGTAAATAACATTAAAAAATGAGGTTTTTAAATATTACTCACCATCAACAAGAGATGGTATAGATCTTTCATTGTCTGAGTTTGAGAAGAGAATCAATTCCTTGTTGATGAAATCATTATAAGTCAAATGCTTTGTTGCAGTACCATATAAAAATTGCTAAGAGAAAAGTTATATAGCAATATTATCATTATTACTGCATGAATTCTAGTCTCTCTCTCCTTCTTTCCCCAGGTCACCACTCTTTAAGACTAACCTCTGGTAAGCCATGTAGCCTACGCTGTCTCCGGTCTTCCATAAAATTTGTTAACCATTCTTTTCTGTCATCAATCTTCTTCTTACTAAATGCCTGAAAGATTCCAGGTAACGATTTTGCACATTAAAAATAAAATAAATTTTATTACAAAATTAAAATGTATAAGTGGCCAATAACTAATTCTTAATTTCTGGAAAATTAGGTTATTTTACAATATTTTAATCAAAAACACATTTAAACTAAGGTCTTTCAATTAAAGAAGTTTATACAAGCACAGCATCATCTGGGGGAAAAATTAAAATTAACTAGCTTGAGCATTCAAAAGAGACTTATCATAGGGAACCAGGACTGGGAGGAAAGGAATAGAAGGTAGGGGGATGGCTAACAAAAGCTTTTAAAAAATTAACTTAATTACCAAGGTAATGGCAGCATCATCTTCAGGACCAGCATATCTAAACAAGATGCGATGCCTTTCCATATCAGCAAAATATTCCTTTGCTTCTTTAGCTGTACTAGTACCCAATCCTGCACAATTTTAAAAATAAAAGTGAGTCATGAATATCAATGTCTGTTTAAAACCATCAAGTAAAAAGCTGGTGGAAAAGTTGTAATAGATGGATCAAGCTGGCAACACCTATACTAAGTGATCAATCTTAATAAGCAACTAAAGACAAAGTAGACATTAGATGCTTCCTGATGAAAGCACACAACGCTACCTATGAAATGTTTTTGCCAAACAAATGTAACCCAAATCTGATCACGCCTCTGATTTAACCATCAGTTAACAGAAAATAAGGGCAAAGGAAAATACTATATATTAAATGTAACTAGAGGAATATAATTAACAAAATCCAGAATGTGGAATATTACACAGAACAAACAACCCAACTTCTTTAACAAATAAATTACAAGGAAAAAATATAAAAAGAGAAATGCTATATTAATAAACTTATCAACCAAATGCAATGTGTGGACCTTACTTGGATCCTGACTTTGGAAAAAAACAAACAAACTCAGGCCAAGCATGGTGGCTCATGCCTGTAATCCCAGCACTTTGGGAGGCTGAGGTGGGCGGATCACTTAAGGCCGGGACTTCTAGACCACCCTGGCCAACACAGCAAAACCCCACCCATACTACAAATAGCCAGGCATAGTGGCACATGCCTGTAATCTCAGCTACTTGGGTGGCTGAAGCATGAGAATCACTTGAACACATGAGGAAGAGAGCCGAGATCCCACCACTGCACTCCAGCCTGGGCAACAGAGCAAGACTCTATCTCAAAAAAATAAAAACAATTAAAAAAAAACGAAATAAAAATAAAAATAAAAAACTCTAAAAATAAACAATTTTAATACAGTCCAGGGGAATTTTAACACTGGCTGGGTATTTAACATTATTTAAAAAAAAAAAAAAAAAAAGGGAGCCAGGCATGGTGGCTCACACCTGTAATCCCAATACTTTGGGAGGCCAAGGTGGGTGGATGGCTTGAACTCAGGAGTCCAAGACCAGCCTGGGCAACAAACCAAAACCCCATCTCTACAAAAATACAAAAATTAGCTGGGTGTGGTGGCACACACCTGTAGTCCCAGCTACTTGCGGGGGCTGAGGCAAGAGGATCATTTGAGCCCGGAAAGTCAAGGCGGCAGTGAGCTGTGTTCATGCTACTGCACTCCAGCCTGGGTGACAAAGCAAGACCCTGTCTCAACAATAGGATATTAAAGAAGGTTATGATAATGGTATTATGGGTTACTTAAAAAAATTCTTTCAGAAATACATACTGAAGTAGTTATAGGTGAAATACTAGACTATAATGTCTGGAAGTTTTTTCAAACTAATGGAGTGGCAATAAAGGAGGTTTACAGGAAACAAGACTAGCCATTGAAATGGTGATCCCATTCAATGAAATCTATTACACTATTCTACTTGCATACATTTTTCTATAACAATACTTTAAAATCAGTGATAGCTATTTTCGAAGTCTAAAATAGTCAAACTTTCAAGTCATCTTTTAGATTGCTTTCATAAGAATACATTTATATCAGTATTTAAAATCTAAGTATTTTAAAATACAAACCTTTATAGTACTTTATTTTCCAGGCTTTCTGGTTTTCTATATGTTTTTTCCATTCGTCAAATTCAGGAATACTGTAGAAGGAAAGTTCCTGCTTATTTTTGCTTGCCTTAAATTAATTAAAAAACAAAATTAGTTTTTCTGCTACCCTTTAAGACAACAATATAAAAATATATTAATGCAAAGAGTACCTTTACAATAGGAGTAATGAACTCTTCAAGAAAACCATGCTTCAAAAGTGATGGCCAATTGTGATGGATGAAATTAATAAGCAGGCCTTTTATGTGAGAACCATCTTGATCCTAAATAAATGTTAGTAAAGTAAAAAATGTTGTAATACTTTTATAAAATGATTACTTATATAAACAAATTTTAAAACGTGAATGCAAAAAACCAAAATTCTGAATTTTAGAAATGCATTTTACAAAAGCTATTAAGATGATCATACTAAATTTTTTAATACACAAATAAAGAATATAGTAGTAATAGACTGAATCTGTCATTATAAAAATATATTATCATTTTATCTGTTTTATAGTTTCCCCAGATTTCACTAAAAGAATGATTTAAGGATAGAAAATACATAAAATAAAACATGGTTATAATGCCACCTTAATGGGCAATGGTAGGGAAACCCAGGTAATACAGATATTCACAAGTCTTCCCTAGATAAAAAATTGGAAAATTTCTGCTTAAAACTATATATTAATAGCAGTTTTTTCAGTTGCAGATTTTCTCTACAAATACTTTAGAGTGCATAAGAGAAAACAGTTGAATGCATCTGAAATTCTTCCTTTTCAATTTTCTAGTTCTTTCTCGATTACCATCATTTTACTATTTAAGTCCTGGTATTTGTGCATTCCAAATCATGCCATCATGTATAAATATTAACCCTTATCATTAATCTTTCTTACTTGTTAATTCCATAATTTTGTTCCTACTTGTAGGTAGGCTGCTATAGTACCACACTGTATTATATTCTCCTTAGTTACCCCAAAAATCAGACAATGTAAAATGTGCTTCATAAAAATGTTTCCACTAAATGACGTGGTTTTTTCATTTTTTCCTCCTGATGTATAATCACTTTCAGTTATACCATCTTCGGGCAAGTCTCATAAAACAAATATTAAAGGGAGAATCTGAAGAAGACATGAATTTGAAATATGTGGTAACTTTAAAACCAACCTGATCGGTCATAATCATAATCTTTCCATAGCGTAAGGTTTTCAGAGATTCTGCATCATCGTAACTTTTCTTATATTGTAGACCAACTATTTTAATAATATTATTTATTTCAGCATTTTCCATGATCTGTTCAAAAAGGAAAAGCACTGAGAGTAGTTTGAAGTGTTGAAATATACGAGTCAGAAATTACATTTAAAAATTCGAGAAGTTTAGTAAAGTATTAGAAATGTCATATGTATGTGTGCATGTGTGTATACACATATATATACACACACATACATACCTGTTTATGAGAAGCTTCCCGTACATTAAGAATTTTGCCCCTGAGTGGAAAAACTCCGTATCTGTCTCGTCCAATCACACCTAATCCAGACACAGCCAGTGATTTGGCAGAGTCTCCCTCTGTTAATATCAGTGTACACTCCAGGGAATGTTTACCACCTGAGAGAAATTTAAAATTATACATAGTAAAAATTTCTCATACTTTCACTGATGAGAAAAATGAAGTCAGAAAATTAACATTAGAATGCTGACAGTGAAAGACTATAAAAGTTATTTTACATTATTGCTCAGTATAAATATTAAGTATATTTTATTAAATTCCTATCCCCTGAAAATTAGTAATATGTTGTGTATGTGATAATTTCAATGAAGTAAAATCATACTCTGAATGGAAAATCATAGTCTAACTATATGTAGAAAATAAAAAAATTCTGTAACTAAATAAAAGTGAAACTTAAATCAAAATCTTATTTAAAAATATCAATCTTACCAGCATCATTAGCATCATCCAGTTTGGGAATACCTTTGATTTTACTGTATTTTACTGATGAACACTTCTTATTCAGCTGAGTCTGAGCCTTAAATTTCACCCAGTTCAGGATACTTTCTACAATGCCACAATTAGAGGCCTAAAAATAAAAGAATAATGGTATACAAACAAGCTGAAAATTCATACATTTAGCTAAAATGTATAGGGCCTAATGCAAGACCTGGAATCTGTGCAATTTTAAGGTATTTTAGGGCAAAACAATAATGGTGATAAGCATCATGATACATGCTAATCAGCTTTTACTCAACTACTGTAAAATTAAAGCTAAAATATAAATACATGAAAAAGGATAACTTTTACATATGAGAAACATTCTATTATAATAAACTCCATGAGGAATATGCATTGCTCTTGTTACAAATTAATTTTATTAAAATTAACACAGTGAAAACAGATCCACACATGAACCTACTAGCCGGCAAATTCCAGACGTTGACATTTCTGATATCCTTCAATACAAAACGTGAGTCTTTAATTCACTATGACAAAAAGTATTAACCTAAAAGGAACATTAGGATAACCTTGGTAACTTATGAATAGACTTTTATTCTTTAAATAGCTTGGTAATAAAGATTTCAACATTACATATTGTTTGTACTCTGCAGTGAATCAATCTGTGGCAAGATGTTAACCCAGACAGAAAAAGGAAAAGAAAGTTAAGCATCTCCAACTCTAAGTCCTAAAAGTTTTTTTATCATCCTCGGTGATTTGATGTTAGGTGTATAAAACAGTTTTCTGGAATGTTTAAGACATAAACAAAAGAGGTGAACTGTGTTGTCAAATTTAAACTTAGTGCACCTAAAATGAAAAAGTATAAAATTTAAAATCAAATCACTTCATCAAGGAAACAATTGTTATGAGGACAGAAATTTGGGAAAGCATTAATATAGCATAATTTGTACTCAGAATTCATTAAGATTAGATCCAAAAGTACTATTTCTACAGGCCTTAAGTTAGAACCTAAAAAACAACTTTTGTTTTTGTTTCTGATAATCTACTTTTTGGAATTTGAGAAATACATTAGTTCTAGGGCAGTTATAGAGCATTTCCCCACCAAAATTCCAAAGAGGAGAGGCTGTGATTGATTCATCTCCATTATTTATTTGTGCTCTCACCTTATTTTAGAGAAGTTAAGGTAGCCTAAAAAAATTATGTGCAAAGCAAAGCAATTTAAGAACATGTAGAAAATAGTACATTTTGTTATACATGTTACCACAATTTTTAAACATGTATAAAGATAAGAATCAGTAGATCAAGTTGAAATGAGAGTAGAAAAGATGAAAGAGTTGCATAAGGATCTGGACATCTGTTAGGGGAAATCTGACCTTTACAATGGTCAATACAAAGCTAAAAATGCAATTAGTTACATAATTCCCTACTTTAGTTCTTGGCAAAACAATTGTTTTAGGAAACATTAAAGTCTACCCTTTAAAGTTATCAAATTAAGCATATTAGTTTGTAGTGCAAGCATGCTTATACCCACAGTTAATACGATGAAAGAAACTAATCACAAATAAAGTAAATCAAGAAAACTACCTAATCAACTCTTAATAACAACAATAAAAAAAATACAAGTTTTACTCACTGCTTTAAAAAATTTTTCTGACAGCTGGCATTTAGACCCAAAACTTTTGGGCTGCAGAGTCATGTTTTCCTTAGTCTGAGAATCAAAAGTTGGATTTTCAATAAGGCAATTAATAAAAACCCATATATGGTTTTTTACCTGTTGAAAACATACCCAAAAAAGTCAATATCAGAGCTGATATTTAGTAATTCAGTATATATATAATGCATATGTATGCATCATGTACAATATATAACACATCCCTTACTTGAAATGGTTTCACTGATACACCAGCTTTGTTCTTTTTCTTAACTACTTCAATCAGTTTACCAACAACTTGATCTACCACATAATCCACGTGCCGTCCACCCTAAAGAAAAAAAAATATATGAAATCTGAAATCCTGTATTGTTAAAGTAGCAAAATACTTTATCTGTATTATAAACCCTATTTTCTAAAAGAGTAATAGAGTCTCAGAACGAGAGTTGAGATTTTAAAAAAATAAGACATTTTGGCTACAGAGCCAATAAACCAACCGCTGTGTTTTTTTTGTTTGTTTGTTTGTTTGCTTTCCTCACTTCAATTCTAACACCAATTCTCAGGTGCTTTCAACACCAGCAACCAATTCTCTGATTCTCCAGACACCAAATGGATGTTCAACAATGTAATTCAATTTTGATACTAACTACCTGGAGTTAGCACAAGTATTTAGGGTTGGTTAAGGGCTCAATCCCACAGGACTCCCCACACTTCAGATGCCAGTTACAAGTCCTAGGCCTCCTGTACTTCTAACGAACCTATGACCCACTCCTCAGGAATGATAATTTGCTGGAACAGGTCACAGAACTCAAGAACACACTTTACTTCATTTACAAGTTTTTTATATAGGATCCAGCAATAATAGCCAAATGGAAGAGATGCATAGGGCATAGTACAGGGGAAAGGGTACACAAAGCTCCATGCCTTACCCAGACATGCCACCCTCTTGGCACCTCAAATGTATTCACCAACCTAGGAGTTCTGTGAACTCCATTGTTCAGGAGTTTTTACAGAGCTTTATCACATAGCCATAATTGATTTTTAACTCAGTCACCAGCCCCCTCTCCTCTCCCCAGAGGTTGGGGAAGGTGGGGCTAAAAGTTACAGAAAAAGGAATTTGTTATTCTAAATTTCATAAAATATAAATATGTTCAACTACAAACACTAGTCATATAAATTTATTTCTCAATAATTGTTTAAATAAATTTTAATACAGCAATTTCATAGAAAATAGGTTTTTGTTTTCATAAGTCAATTCTTATTTAACAAAAACAGATTTGGGTTTTTTGGGGGTTGTGGATATTGTTATTTGTTTTGTAGTTTTTATTGAAGTACTGTTCTACCACTGACTTGGAAACAAATAATTTGCTTACTTACTTTTGTAGTTGCAATACTATTTACAAAGCTGATTTGCTGGAATCCTTTTTCACTCAATGTGAGACAAACATCCCATCTTTCATTTGCAAGCTCATGAATAACTTTCAGGGCCACCCCAGTTTCATCCAATTTGTCTTTCACATAAAGATCTACATAACTGCGAAATCCATTTACCTATTAATTTAAAAAACAAAAACAATTAAAAATCTTACACTGGCAGCTCAAATAGGTGAATCACCTTCAGTACGTATACTTTCATTTCCTCTCACTTACAACAGTTCTAAGTGCACCGATCCAAACCTTAGTGGCATTTCCCAGATCTATTCCTTAACCCTTGACCTTTAAAAAAGAAATTCATTTCTATGTGTACTTGACAAAAAGAGGATGTGAAGGGACAGGTAAATTGTTATAAAATATTTCAGAAATTTCTATTTTTAAAATGATAAGGTAGACTTCCAGTTTCAGTTCAGACAGATAATGAACTAGCAGGAAAAAAAGCTTCCATCCTTGTAAGAAAACGGGTGATCAGACAACAAATTAATGGGTTTTTCATGAACCCACTGAAGAACTGAGATCACAGGAGAGCTGGCCATCCTGAAGTCTGGAGAGACATAAGTGTCTGTAGGAGACCACAAAACCTAAGCTTTTGCTTACCTGGGGCAGATATTTAATAAGCTAGTAGGAACTTTAAACTAGAAATTTTGACTAATTGCTACTGGAAGAGTGTATACTAGTTTGAATGCATAAAGCTTCTAGGGACTATAGTCATAAGTTCATTCATTCATACTCTTGCAGGTTTTTCTTTCAGAAAACCCACCAAATTCTCACAGGGAAGACCAGTGAGAATCTAGAGGTTTCCCCTCTGCACTCCCATGGTGCTAGCTGGGAGACAGAAACAGTAGTCACTGGGAAATCAACCCAGATCTATCTCCCTTACCAAAAAAAAAAAAAAAAAAACCAAAAAAAGGCTTATTCTGCAGGGCAGGAAACCTCAAGGACACAGGCTGAGAACACTGGTGGAAACCTGCTGCAGCTGGGGAAAGAGAATAGAGGGCAGAAAAAAAGTCTTTACCTATGGAGGAGAGGCATAAACTTATAAAGGTCAAACCCCTGAGATACAGGTTCACCATGCACTCCAAAGACTGGGATGTAATGAGACATTAGAGAACATCTCCCCCAAAATCTACCATCATGCTACCAAGCTTCCATTAACAACAGTGGGTTTCAGCTGGAAGAGCTGCAAGAGACAGATCACCTCTGAGGGGCAGCTCAAAAAGAAGGGCCTAAGCCAAGGGGAAAGACAAAAACAAGAAAGAATCTGGAAGTCTCTGGTATTCACGGCAACAACAAACCTCAACACTAATAACTACAGCAAAAACAAACTTCAAACACAGCCCATCTCCTGGGTAAATATAACCTAAGTCCCACACTAATGCTTATTTACCTCGATATCTACAAAACAAATCTGGTTTTCCACAACTTACAGGGCATGCCAAAAGACAAGAAAAAAACAATCTGAAAAGATAAAGCGATTATCAGAAACAGAGTAAGTATCTCACAGATTTTGTAACATGTATCAGATAAAGTATTTTAAATAACTACAATTAATTAGTATGTTAAAGTATCTAATGGAAAATGTAGACAATATGCAACTTCAGCAAAGACATGTAAACTATAAGAAATAATCAAATGGAAATGTTAAAAACAAAAAACATAGAAGGCATGAGGAATGTCTTTGACAGGCTCTTCAGGAAACTTGATGCAGAGACTGCAAATGACTAAACTTGAAGAGAGGGGATAGAAATTAAACCAATACAAAAAGTGGAAGTAGAGTGAATAAAATAGACAAAGCATGCAAGAACTGCAGACAGTATCAAATAATGTAACATATATATAACCAAGAAGGAAAGGAAAGAACAAGACAGAAGCATTATTTGAAGAAATAATGGCCAAATGTATCAATAATCACTTTAAATGTGAATCATCTGAACACACCAGTAAAAGAGACTACCAGATGAGCTTTAAAAAAGGAAGACCCAACAATATTCTCTCTATAAAATAACATAGTATTAAAACTATTTTACAGGACACTTACAGGCAATTTCTTTCCATTAAACATGACCTTGACCCCTCTACACGAACCAGCCAAATCATATGCCCTTCTAGTCATGAGGGCCACAATATCCTTGTCAAGTTTTTCCATCTTAAATTTGGACAGATCTGGTTGGAATGTTATGCATGTGTAATCTTCACCATCAAAATGTTTAATTTTGGCTTCAGAAGTCTTCATCATATTATTCATCCATGTCTTTAAAAGAAAAAAATTCAAATATTTCTATAATGCTTCCATATCTCATAATATATAAAGACTACACTCATTAAATTCATTCATTTATCAAACTATATCAATTTTACAACTTCACAACAAACCAAACAAATCCTTGATAATATTACAGACAAAAAAAAATAGTAAATACAGTCAGCCCTTGGGTAGCCACAGGTTCTACATTTGCAGATTCGACCAACTGCAGCTTAAAAATATTTGGGAAAAAATACAAATTTTTAAAATACAGCATAACTGTTCACATGGCATTTATACTGTATTACATATTATAAGTAATCTAGAGTTGATTTAAAGTACATGGGAGGATGTGTATAGGTTATATGCAAATACTACCCCATTTTATATAAGGGACTTGATCCTCCTCTGATTTTTGGTATAGAAAGGGCATCCCAGAACCAATCCTCCTGAGGCAACTGTATTACTGTGATAATAATCTCATGTTAAAAATAAACTAAACTGTACAACTTTATAAACTGCCAACAAAATCTCTCAAATTCTTCAACGTGACTATATAGACTTTTACAAAAATAAACATGCATGATGCTTTTCCTGAGAAAATTATTTTAGCTTACTTCAACAACGGGGTTGCTGGAGAGCAATAAAGAAAATTTAAAATAAAAATTATTTTAGCTTATATAAAATTTCAAATCATTTTCATAGACCTTCAAGAATAAAATAAAATTTTGAAATATAAATTTGATGATTCATTGAGGAATTTTTCAAACACACTAAGTGGTTGCATGTACATGAGTCTGCGAGGTTCAGGACATTTTCACTAATACTTAACTAAGTTAAATAAAGTCTGTTAAATAAAGCACTTTGTTTGAAAGGAATGATAGAGGAATAGGCTTATATTAAATCTCCCAGGCATTCTGATGTCTCTTTACTCTGATGATTTGACTTGGATAATGCTTTGGAAAAAAAAAATGAAGTTATACAGGCATCACTGCAATTTACCCAAGGTTCTACTATCTCGGCAAGATAATAAAACGTTATTTTAAAAAAAGAAATAGATGTGTTTCTAGCATACCTGCTTAAAACTGTGTTTGTATTCTTTGCAAGCTGTTTCTACTGTAAACTTTGTACTGAAAATATTACAAAGTTTTGCACCATAACCATTACGACCACCTGTAAGAAAAATTAAATGTAAAAGGTTTAGTAAAAATGATTTTAAAGGAACTTCGTTAATTTACCACCATACGGCAAGGCTGTTGCAAAACTGTTCCACTAACTGCATTACCAATCACCAATTGAAGATTCCAGAGTATATTTAGATTTTCTTCCATTTAAAGAAAAATACAATTAAGATTTAGTATATATAGTAGTGTAATTAAAATGGGTATTTTGTACATTTACCACAGTCTTTACAATTTCAAAAGCATTAAGCTTTGTATCTTTCACGACCCAGCAAATCTCTGTGAGTATGAAATCTGAACTTTCTCTCAAACTTGCTTCTCTATTACAAAATTTTAATCTATATCATTTCCCGGAGCGTTGGTTTAAAAAGCAAAACAAAACAAAACAAAAAACCTATCAACCTATTTGGGCAACATAAATAAGTATGAAAATATATGGTTTTGGTCAAAGCACTTTCAACTCTATTTACAGAGTCTAGATTTTCAATCCTGACCTTCTCAAGGAAAACAGTTTAAAAGTAACTTAATACCAAAAGACACAGTGCTATGTAATAACAAATTTATATACATAGACATCATACCAGTCCTATCTAAATCAAAACTCAAACTGTCAGCCAAGTTAAACTTCCAGCAGTTCTAACATAAAGTCAATGTACTATCAGTCTTAAGGTTTTTAAATGTCACTGTTAAACTATTACCAAGACAATATTTATACATGATAGTTTATAAATATTAATTCTGACAATGATTTTCTCACACCAAAACTGCACAATTTCCTTAGTAAGTTATACATTTTATATTAAGAAAACAGTATTTTTCAACCAAAATTCCATTCAGACTTTACCTGTAACTTTTTTCTCATCATCATCATAGTTACTGGATGTTAAAAGCTGTCCAAAAATTAAAGCAGGAACATAAACTTTCTCTACCTTGTGTTCTACTACTGGAATGCCTTTCCCATTATTCCAAATGCTTATAATGTTAGATTCACTGTAAAAAAAAAAAAAAAAAAAAAAAAAAAAAAAAAAAAAAGCAGAATTTAGAGCTTAAAATAGTAAAGATAAATTAATTCATTAAAAAGTAATCTAGAATAAACCTTAATGGTTATAAGATACTAGTCATTATCAATTGGAAGGCACTGATTCATCTCTCAAGAAAATACTCGCTGAGGACAAACATTTCTTTCCCTGAGTCGTAACTAATAGAGAAGGATTATGAAGGAAATGAAGGCAAGGAATGGAAAATTACAGATCTTAAACATCTCAGGATGACAAAAAAGGCAACATACTCATGAGAAAACCTTTAAAAAAGGTTTCATCATGTTTAGCACATGGTACTGTAATTAAAATAGGCATTCTGTAAGTTAATTATCTTCATCACAATTTCAAAAAAAAAAATCAACGTTTGGCATCCTTAACATTCTCTAAGTCCATATGAGTATGAAATTGGAACTGGCTATCAAACTCACCTCTCTTATAAAATTTCAATCTGTATCATTTCTCAGATCTGGTATTTATTTCTGTAATCTCTAAACAATTATTCAGAATTTTATAACTTTGCTCCACTGATAATCTTCAATAAAAATTAGGAATAAGAATACTGCATTTAATAGTTTACAAATAAAGTTTCAAAAATAATTAGGCTGAAAAAAATTGAAAATCTAAATATCCAATGCTTATCAGTTGGCAAGAGGTTAAATAAATTGTGACACATCAACATAATAAAATACTTGCGAGTAGTTTTAAAAAATTAAGTGGATCTATGTAAGTTAATAAGGAAGGCTGTCTATAATATGTTGAATAAAGGGAAAGACATAAAATAGTATATATACTATGATTCCGTTTGTTAAAAAAAGAAATGTCTACATATATAATTTAGCATGAGTATGCAATATTTTTTGAAAGCTACAGTTTTAAAATTTCAACTCTAAATAAAGAACACTTAAGCTAGAGGAATATTTTCAACTCTGGTTAATATGCTTTCCACGTTTGTTTTTGTTTTTGTTTGAGATAGAGTCTCGCTCTGTCATCCAGGCTGGAGTGCAATGACACGATCTCAGCTCACTCAACCTCTGCCTCCTGGGTTCCAGCAATTCTCCTGCCTCAGCCTCCCAAGTAGCTGGGATTACAGAAGCACGCCACCACGACTGGCTAATTTTTGTATTTTTAGGAGACACGGGGTTTCACCATGTTGGCCAGGCTGGTCTCGAACTCCTGACCTCATAATCCACCCGCCTTGGCCTCCCAAAGTGCTGGGATTACAGGCGTGAGCCACCGCGCCCAGCCTCCACATTTGTTTTTAATCAGATAGACATCCACAAATAAATTGTTTCAATACTGTTATGTTGTATTATTTAATAAGTGTTAAGCTCCCTTGTAAGAAGTTGCTCTAAGTTCTCTAACTTCTGGAAGAACTGTCCAAATTCTGCATGGCATCCCTTGTATTTAATCTGTTCTCAAGGCTTTACAACCATGACCTTTTCCTTAAATTTTATCCCTACATCACAGAATACTATGGAGGAAAAGAAAGAATAAGAGCTAGGTTGTACTATATATCCTATATACTTTGTCCATTAGCTATTAAAATTTAACCTCTCCTCCACACAAGAAGTTTATGTGCACAAATGTACAAAAATAAAAATCTGCTATACAAAAATGTTAAAAAGAATGCAACTCAAAGGATACAAAAATGGACAGCAGAGAAAACTGGATCAACTGGATCAACAGTGCAACAGCTCTTTTTCTCATTTAAATTTAGCTTTAAAATGACTTCTTAAATTAGAAATCTTACTGAAGCAAAAATTGCACCTCTGAAATAACATTTATTTTAATCAAAATAATACTAATTCTATAGTATATGTGGTAAAAAATGACTATGGGACAAAATTCACAAGAGACAAAATGTTATAGTTAAAACTCAGAAATACAATATACAAATCAGCAACTTCTCACAAAATGCTTGCCTACTGCCAATTTTAGGAGTATATGAAATTCAATTAAAGGCAAGATCAAGACTCAATTTTTTCATCAATGATTTGTAAACAACAAAAGAAACAAGAAAGGAGGGGTGAAAAAATATACTACCATCACCTTTTCTTCTTGGAATAGCTAAGGATTTTTGTTTATATTGAAATAAAATAATTTTCTAGCAGAAGCAGTTAAAATGAGGTGGGGGATATGAAAAAAAAATTGATACCTCATTGACATTAAGAAGCAAATAAACTTAGTTATAATTTTCCCTCCCTCTTCTGCCTACACAAAAATGTTTGCTGATTAAAAACAGAGTATAAAATGAAGTGATAAAGGCACTAGAATTACTAGAATTATGTTGAATTACTCTTTCTACAAAATCTGTAATGAACTGATAAGTAAAATAAACCAAGAGCCCTTATCCAGTCTACAGAGTTGTCTTATAGCTCACTTCTTCGTTGTCTTTTTTTTTTTTTTTTTTTTTTTGAGATGGGGTCTCGCTCTGTCGCCCAGGCTAGAGTACAGTGGCACAATCATGGCTCACTGCAGCCTGACCTCCCAGGCTCAAGCAATCCTCCCGCCTCAGCCTCCTGAGTAGCTGGGACTACAAGCACATGCCGCCACCATGCCCAGATAATTTTGGTGTTTTTGTTTGTTTGTTTGTTTGTTTTTTGTAGAGACAGGTTTTCACCATGTTGCCCAGACTGGTCTCGAGCTCCTGGGCTCAAGGGATCTGCCTGACTCAGCCTCCCAAAGTGCCAGGAATACAGGCGTGAGCTGCCGCACCTGGCTTAGCTCACTTCTTTATCACTTTGTTATGATGGCATGCTATACACTATTTCTTAAATTCAATCTTATTGCATTAATGTGGCTAAAATCTTTGGACTAATATGGCCAGAACCACATAAAAGAACTAAACAATTGCAACTATGTTCATCAAGAGTGTATTTAAGGAAGGTCCTTTCTTTCTTAGTTTTAATTAGAGTTGTTCAATTTTGAAAAAAATTCAAAGATATCAAACATTCAGTGTCTATTACTCCTTACTCTCCTAAAACATAATAAATGAAGGGAGATATGGTTTTTAACTGACAATTGCCTAAATAAGGAAAAGGAATCTTAACAGCCAAAATGTCCTTGAAACCATCTTAAACTTCTGTATAAGTTGTAACTTATGTCTTGTATGCCTTATATAACTTCTCAAGAATGCATTCATTATAGAAATAATCCAAATTTAAAAAAAAATGGAGAAAAAAATAAATAATCTCGACAGCACAGTTATATGGTAACATTTTCATATAAAATATAGTTAACTTCATGGTATAACCAAATACAAATTATAGTTTTATTATACTACTAATCTTAACTGAAATTAGATTATTACTAGTAAGACTATACCTGAATTATTAGATTTTTATGTTTACTAGAGAAAAATCTTAAAATCATGCTAAATTACTAATGAAATTACAAAGGATGAATGTAATATTTTACAAAAGGCATGCTGGTAAAAACAGGATAAATTTAACAGCTATGTTTCTGATTTAATGCTACTATTTTTTATACATCTTCATTCTATGCAAAAAAATAATAAAAATCACCACAGTAATATAATTAGCTAAACAACTGGTTACAACAACAGTACCTAATCTATTAAATTATGTCATAAATAATGGAAAACTCCAAACACCAGTCATGAAAAGTAAACTTAAAGTATAATATAACTGGAATCACACTAACAATAGCCCTTAGCCTTGAGTCCCAAAAGTAAGGGTAAGAAAAGATAGGGTGATTACCCTAGCAGCTGAAATAGCATACACAGCATCAAAGAAAAATGGTCTCCAAGAGCCCCGATAGGGAAGTTCTTTGGAAGAAAAGACAATAAATGACACAGAAAAGAGGCAAAAATAACAAAGTCTCAAACAACAGGGAAACTTTAAAAGAGTACTACCCATATACATTATTTGAGGAGTACTCATAAATTGGGGACTATCTGAATAAAACTTAGCATAAAAAATTAAACTTTAAATATACTTACGGATCAATAGAAACTTTAATACAAGTCATGTTCTTATCCCTCTGTTTATTGTCAGCAGCATTAACTACAAAATTAAACACCTCAATGAGTAATATACAAAATTATATAAATAAATACATGGACACAACTGTATGTGCATCACTGCTTAATATAAACATCTACATATGGTAATAGTTAATGAAAATAATTACTATTAACTTCTCATATAAAATCTTATTTTCCAAATAATATTCCTAAATTGTATTATCACACCAAATTACTGTTATGTTTTCCACCACAAAAAAAGAGGAGGAAATGTTTTAGTGATACATATTAATCAAAACATATTAAGTAAGAACAAACACCTGCATTTTACAACACCCAAATCCAGGTCTAAAAGTAAAAACTTTTGTTTAATTATATTTTCTCTTGGTAACAAGCAATTGCATTCTATTGATCACTTTCAATAAACTAGTGACTTTATAGGCATATTGAATAGAAACCAGTTCATTTTCAGTTACAAACAAAGAAAAAGTCTTTAACACCCTTAGAAATCAAAATTCTGTATCCTAGGCACTATAGCTGACAATATAAATATTTTTGCATTCATTAACCACTGCTTCAAGGAAATTTGAACACAATCATAGAAGAAATATGCTCCTGACAAACACTTGCAATAAACTTAAAACAGTAAAATTATAATATGGAGGCAAGAGTAAAGGTATAAAATGCAACACAGTTTTAATCTCTTATCTCTTCACCAAATACCAACAGAAGAAGTTCTGAGACCCATACAACTGCACTAAGAAACCTCAAGTTGCACTGATGAGGTGGGAGAGCAAGAGAATTTCTAGAGTGTCCTTGGTTAAAATATTTCCAAAGTACAAGCATTCCCTAGCAGTCAACTAGGCATTCACATAATTTAATTAATCATGTGATTTGGAGAGGACAGAGATCATTTACAGCAATGGTTATTACACTTGGCTGCCCAACAGAAATATCTGATTTGTTGGTGAAAAACATATTTACATATCCCACCAACTCAACGAATCTGCAAAATCAGTCCCTGTCATCTCCATATTCAAGATGACTCCAGGTAACTGTGATGCTAGCATATCCCAGATGACTACACATAGAGGAGTACAGACCAACTATGGGATTACAAATATAACACATTGATTTCATAGATGAAGAAAATGAAACAAAGATGAAACAGAGATATGAAAACATTACAGATCATGGTATAAATTTTCTGAAGATCATTTATATTCAGAAGGATAAAAGCCAGAGATACACCTTTCAAATTTATACTGGTTAAGTCTGGCTTTATATATAAAAGGACACTATGATGATATTAATAGAAACATGCATTAAATCCTAAGCAAGTACTCACCCAAAATTTCATCAAAGATCTTGTATAAACCTGGCACAAAGGTAACCTCCCTGCAATTCATTCCTACATCTTCATCATACACCCACATGAACTGCATTGAAAAATTCAAAAAAAATTTTACTCAATAAATCCTTAATATCAATTTTTCATAGTATAATCCACATCCTGTCATTTACACTATATGAATACTTAGATCTGCAAAGTAGAAAAACATATACAACTTCAGTAATAGTCAACTTCACTATTCATATTAAATTAACCTCAAAATTGAGAAATTGTTCATTTTGTATCAAGTTTGTATTATTATAAAGTCAGTTTTAATGTAAGACATCAATAATTATTAGAAACAGTATTAAATAGTTGAAAAAATAAAAACATTACTTTTCATAAATAATGGAAAATTAATGCTTTTTTTTTTTTTTATAATACAGGGAGCAGAGTAAAATAATACGAACAAAGCAAGACTTTGGAGTCAGAGAGATCTACTTTGAATCCCAGTTCTTACTAGTTGAGAGATATGAACAAGTTACTTAAATTTATGTAAGCTTCCCTTTCTTCATCTATAGAGATAACAGTACCTACTTCCCAAAATGGTTAGGATCAAATGAGATAATATATGTAAGCCAAGTTCCTAGTAAGCAGTAAACAATAGTCAGTGTATATGTACAAATTCTGCAAGGTACTACCATTAACATTAATGACAATATGAACTTAAAGACTTACAAGCCTGGGCGCAGTGGCTCACGCCTGTAATCCTAGCACTCTGGGGGGCCAAGGTGGATGGATCACCTGAGGTCAGGAGTTCAAGACCAGCCTGGCCAACATGGCAAAACACTGTCTCTACTAACAACACAAAAATTAGCCAGGCGTGGTGGCGCATGCCTGTAATCCCAGCTACTTGGAAGGCTGAGGCAGGAGAATCGTTTGAACCCAGGAGGCAGAGGTTGCACCGAGCCAAGATCACACTACTACACTCCAGCCTGGGCGACAGAGCGAGACACGGGGTGGGGGGGCATCAGGGGGTGATGGGAGATGGCGGGTGGGGAAGACTTACATAAAAAGTTCGTATGGCACCATTTTACTCTATACTTCATTTTTCTGATTTTTGTTTTTTGTTTTGAGATGGAGTCTCGCCCTGTCGCCCAGGCTGGAGTGCAGTGGCGTGATCTCGGCTCACTGCAAGCTCCGCCTCCCAGGTTCACTGTCATTCTCCTGTCTCAGGCTCCTGAGTAGCTGGGACTACAGGCGCCCGCCACCACACCCAGAAAATTTTTTTTTTTGTATTTTTTTGTATTTTTATTAGAGACAGAGTTTCACCATGTTAGCCAGGATGGTTTCGATCTCCTGACCTTGTGATCCACCCGCCTCGGCCTCCCAAAGTGCTGGGATTACAGGTGTGAGCCACTGCGCTCAGCCTCTTCTGACGGTTTTTAATCCCCAAAAAGAAGTAAATACATTTCTACTTCTAGATCTTTCACCCTACTTTGACTATGACAGATGAAATTACAAATTTCCAAAGCAAGTAATTACAATAATTTTATCAACATATTAAAAAGTAAATATAGATGCACATCTCCTAATTTCAATCAATTTTAGCAATAATTACCTGCGTCAATGGCTCCACTGACCCAATATATGTATCAGGACGAAGAAGAATGTGTTCAAGTTGTGTCTTCTTCTGATACACTCTCTCAACAGACAACTTCTTTGAAGAATCATTTTTGTTGGCAGTTTCTGACTCTTCTTTTTTTGCAGCATTGTTCTGATCAAAAAGAGTCTAAAATTAACCAAAAAATCAAATTTAAATAACCTACCAAGGGGTAGACAATGAGTATGGACACACGACATGGGTTTTCTTTTTTAATGGCAAAATTATCTTTCAGACTGATTTTTTAAATCTAAAGAAAACACAGGTCTATTTACTGACCGTCTGGCTCTTATTATACAACATGAACCTGTAGTTTTGACTGAGCCCAAAACGTGGGTATAGTCACCAGAATCACTAGAGCAGTCTCCAGCAATCCAAAAATACAAACATTTCCCAATTCTGTAAGATATCAAGTTTGTTTGTTTGTTTTGTTTTTGAGACAGAGTCTTGCTCTGTCACCCAGGCTAGAGTGCAATGGTGTGATCTTGGCTCACTGCAGCCTCCACCTCCCAGTTTCAAGTGATTCTCCTGCCTCAGCCTCCTGAGTAGCTGGGACTACAGGTGCGCACCACTATGCCCAGGTAATTTTTTTTTTTTTTTTGTATTTTTAGTAGAGACAAGGTTTCACCATGTTGGCCAGGCTGGTCTCGAACTTCTGACCTCAGGTGATCAGCCTGCCTTGGCCTCCCAAAGTGCTAGCATTACAGGTGTGAGCCACCACACCTGGACTCAAGTTAATTTTTGTGGTCCTCAAAACCTCCCAAGAAATTTGAGTTCTGGTGAAGTTACAGAATCACAATGACTGAACCTGGCTAGGTGCAGGAGCCCCAAAAGCTTCCAGATGTAAGCTTCCCACCATTAAGCTACTGAAGACTACAGTATAAACAAAAATGACCTACACAAAATATTAACCTATGTAGTTAATAAACACTGATATGACTGAAATGGCTTATAAAATCCTCAAATTTCACACATTTGTAGATCATGCCAATAATTCCTCACATATCAGCTCTGGGTGTCCCAATACTGATCCCAGTTTCTCTACCAGTTTCAAGGAGGCACAGGTTGGTGATCTTAATTCTAAACATTCCTACAGCAGATGAGGATGTCAAATCAAATTTCCAAGGTCTACAAATTTCCTTGTCTTCTTAAGAGCAGCAGAGAATATACTTCTCTCCTTCTGGGATTCCTTAATGCTGACAAATATGACATCCCACTAAAAAGATATTGTGATGGCCTATCTTTTCAGAATCAAAAAATAACTCAAAAGACACAATGAGAATTAAAATATCTTCAGAGGCCTTCAAATTTTAGTAGAAATTAAAGAAACAGAATACAGATAATAGGAGATACAGAGATTTTGTGCATTTAAACAAGCAGTATGCAATTTCAATTCCGCTTTAAAGTTTTTATTTTTAAAAACTGTATCATTAAGTATGTTTAAAAATCAAAATACATGACCTCTGAAAAGTCTAAACGAAGATAAGAATTTAATATATCCTCAGGAAACTCAAACGTTAATTATAATTTCACAATGCAGTAAGTTTTATATACAATTAAAGATTTAATAATATTTCAAAATAAAAGTATTAAAAATAACTCATTTTACTAGATTTTAAACTATATTCTTATACATTCCTACATTTATAAGTTTTTCCATTAACACTGCTCAAAGACAATTAAAAGTAGCTTTGGATAAAAGAAAATAATTCTGTTTCACAAAGTTTTCACATTCACATTCCACTTCTGCAAAAGTTAGACGATGAACTAGCCGGCCAGAAAGATGAACTTTATTTTTAAAATACCAGATAGTCTTCAAATTTCTAATCGTATTCTTTGCTTTTTATGAAGAAATAGTTGATTGATAAAAACAAATTTACATTTAAGGGCCAGGCGCAGTGACGTTAATTTATAGAAACGATTCTAACAATAAAATCATAATTTATTTTTTAATGAAGCCTCAAAATAGTTAGAACAAAGATCATAATCATTAAAATCACACTCTAAGAAAGTACTCAAAGAAGATAGATGCTATGGAATCGAAAGTAGGTAACATTTTACCATTAACTTAGAACTGCTATTCTAAGTCTGCAATTATTGACATAAAGGTTGAAGACACATGATAACCATACAAATAAAA
The DNA here is from genome assembly GCF_000001405.40 of Homo sapiens. Taxonomy (NCBI): domain Eukaryota; kingdom Metazoa; phylum Chordata; class Mammalia; order Primates; family Hominidae; genus Homo; species Homo sapiens. Next base: position 25,647,482 of record NC_000003.12, read on the forward strand.
GCTTTCGTATTCCAGGCTACTCTTCTAAAACCAACCCCATCACAAAGAAAATATTTTCAAGATTAGACTCAACCAGAGGCTCATGTCTATCTAATTTGTATGAACTAAACTGAACTAAAGGGCACACAGGGATAAAAAAAAAAAAACAGGAGTAAAACCTTACCTCATGCTTTCTTCAAGAATTTACAACTTTTTCCACACTTCCTTACTTATAATCACCACCTCTTCCTCCCTGCACCTCTTCCCAAATGGATATATTACAAAAAAAAGTTTGAAAGCTTGAACCCACCAAATTCCTATCAAGTTCAAAGACTTACCATTCTTGCTAAGATAATGTCTAAAAAAAACAGGTAACATTTGAGTGTGGTCAGCCAGATGGCAAAACAAGAAACCCCAGGCCTTTCTTTCCCCATGAAGACAAGGATTCAACAATAACAAACAATCCAACTGCCTTTGTGATAAGTTCCAGCACCCCAGGTGAGCATAAAATAGCATCAAAGCTCATGTCCTCCCTCCTATCTGCCCCAGCAAGGCAAGATTGAGAAAAACAAACAAGACAACAACAACTTCCACCTTCTCCCTGGGGAGGAGCAGAAAAGGAATATACCTCCAATGGAACAGCTGAGGGCAGTGCTACCCTAGAAACTTCTTGACTGAATCTAAGTACTGACATTGAACAGGGTGCCAGGTTGAGGGCCATTGAAAACAAAAGCAAAGTGCTTTGGTTTAGCATCAGACCCTGCAGTATCAGAAACAGACACAAGGTGGAGCTCCAGTACTGTAGTTTACTACAGCACGAGACGCCACAAGTAAAGCAGACAAAGACACACCAGAGGGAGCAGACAGATGGACAGAGGCAAACCTCTTCAATTAAGAAATTACAAACCCAAAGAGGATGCATCCCCATAAAAGATTTGTGAGGTCTCAGGATTCTCTAGCTAGACTAACTGGATGAAGAAAGTCTTCCCAGTATGAAACCAGACCGCAAAGACCAGAGAGTTAGCTAAGCCTTCAAATGCCAAAGCCCTAACAGAAAATAACAATACAAAGAAACAGGGAAATACAGCCGATTCAATGTAAAAAACTAAATTGCAGCCAGGCGCAGTGGCTCACACCTGTAATCCCAGCACTTTGGGAGGCTGAGGCAGGCAGATCCCTTGAGCCCAGAGCTCAAAACCAGTCTGTGCAACATGGCCAAATCTTATCTCTAGCAAAACAAAACAAAAAAAAATTAGCCAGGTGTGGTAGTGCACACTTGTAGTCCCAGCTACTTGGGAGGCTGAGACGGGAGGATTGCCTGAGCCCAGAAGGTCGAGGCTGCAGTGAGCCATCTGCACACAACTGTACTCCAGCCTGGGTGACAGAGCAAGAGCCTGTCTCAAAAAAATAATAAATAAATCACCACAAATTGAGCCTAAAGAAATGGAAATATATTGTCATACAAAGAATTCAAATTAACTGCCATAAGGATGCTTAATGAAATAAATGAGTACAGATGAACAAACAAAAACTCGGTGTAACAATGCATAAACAAAAGGAAAAAATCAACAAAGATAAAAACTATGATGAAGTAGCAAACATTATTTCTGGAACTGAAGCATACAGTAAATGAATTGAAAATACACTAGAGGGATGTAACAGTAGACTTGAGCAGGCAGAATTTTTTTAAATCAGCAAATTTGAAGACAGGACTTTCAAAATTGCCAAGGGAAAGGAGCAAAAAGGCAAAGGAATGAATAAACATAAAAAGAGCTTAAAGAACTTATGGGCCACTATCTATCAGAACAACATATACATTATGTAAGCCTCAAAGGAGAAGAAAGGGAGAAATGGAGAAAGAGCCTATTTGAAGAAATAATAGCTGAAAACTTTCCAAATCTGAGGACATAAATGCATATACAAATTAAAGAAGCTCAAAGAACTCCAAGGATAAATCTAAAGAAAACTACACCAAGACACATCATAATTATACTGTCAAAAGTCATAGACAAAGAGAGAATCTTAAAAGCAGCAACAGAAAAGTGAATCATCAATTACAAAGGAGCTTCTGTTAGATTACTAGCCAATTTCTCAGCAGAAACCTTGCAAGATAGAAGGGATTGGAAGAATATATCTGAAGTACTGAAAGAAAAAAAAAAAAAACACTGCCAACCAAGAACATTGTATCCAGCAAAAGTGCCCTTCAAAAATGAAGTAGAAATTAATACTTTCTTAGATAAACAAACACTGGGACAGTTCATCACCACTAGGTTTGCCCAACAAGAAATGATAAAGGGAGTCCCTTAAAGCAAAAGGATAAAAAATAGCAACACAGTAACACAAAAATACATAACTCCCTGGTAAAGTCCAAGGAGACTCCAAAAAGTTCTTGGAAAAATGGAATCAAAAGATAAAAATAAAAAATATAAATTTTATTTCTCAACAAAAGCTCCATAAAGGTCAAGACACTTTTATAAGTGATGATATCAGCCATTTAGCTCAACTCTGAAGAACCAAGGGTCTTGGGAATTTAACCATGCCAATGCAGTCTTTTTACATTATCAACTGAAAAAATTAGGTGCCTTTTAAAGATTTAAGATTAGTAAACAAAAAAAGTCAGAAGGAGCAAAATCAGGATTATAAGATGGATGCCTAATTATTTATCATCAAAACTCTCATAAAATTGCTCTTGTTTGATGAAAGGAATGAGCAGGAGTACTGTCATGATGGAGAAAGACTCTGGTGAAGCTTTCCTGGGGATTTTTCTGCTAAAACTTTACCTAACTTTCTCAAAACACTCTTATAATAAGCAGATGTTATCGTTCTTTGGCCCTTCATAAAGTCAACAAGCAAAATGCCTTGAGCATCCTAAAAAACTGTTGCCAAGACCTTTGCTCTTGACCTGTCTGCTTTCGCTTTGATTGGACCACTTCCACCTCTTAGTAGCCATTGCTTTGATTGTGCTTTGTCTTCAGGATTATGCTGGTAAAGCCCTGTTTCATTTCCTGCTACAATTATTTGAAGAAATGTGTCAGTATCTTGATCCCATTTGTTTAAAATTTCCATTAAAAGCTTTGCTCTTGTCTGCAGCTGATCTAGGCACAATGGTTTTGGCACTCATTGAATGGAAAGTCTGTGAATCTTTAATTTTTCATATAGAATTGTGGAAGCTGAACCGACTGAGACATCTATGGTGTTAGCTATTGTTTCTGCTATTAATCATTGGTCCTCTTAAATAAGGGCATGAACATGATTAATCTTTTCCTGACAAATTGATGTAATGGTCTGCTGCTGCAGGCTTCATCTTTAACATCATCTCATCTCTTCTTAAAAGAAGTTATCCATTTGTAAACTGCTCATTTATTTGAGGCATTGGCCCTGTAAACATATTGTAAATCAATGATTTCACCATTCTTTCACCTAAGCTTCTTCATAAACTTGATGTTTGTTCTTGCTTCAATTTTAGCATAATTCATATTGCTCTGACAGGGGCTCTTTTCCAAATGATGTCTTATCCTTCTTAGTACCGCAAACTAGATTTTGTTCAGACACGTTATAACAAGTTAGTACAAGTTTATTTTGATACCAAAAAATTTTGAAATCCATGCATAGTTTTCTCATAATACACATTTTCCATGAACTTTTTGAAGACTATTTGTATACAGACAAATATGGCATCTTCTAGTATTGTAATACAGTAATACAGATCACTTAAATATAGTATAGAATTTTTTAAAGCATAAAAAATAATTCTAAATCTGTGTTAAAATATACACAATATAAAAAGAGGTAAAGTATCATCAAAAACAAAGCAGGGGAGGGCAGAGGTGAAAAAAGGAAGAGTTTTCATATGGCATTGAAGTTACTAATTTAAAATTTATTTTTATCACCTGAAGATATGTTATGTAATGGCAAGGTAAAGTCAAGGAAAATATCTGTAGAATATACACAAAGAGAAATTAGAAGAAAATCAAAACATGTCACTAAAAAAAAAAAAAATCAATGAAACACAAAAGAAGGCAGCAAGGGAAGAAAGATGGACAAAAAAGCTATAAGACATATAAAAAAATAATCAAAATGGCAATAGTGAGTCCATGTCAATAATTACTTTAAATATAAATTGGGCCAGGAGCGGTGGCTCACATCTGTAATTCCAGCACTTTGGGAGACCAAGGTGGGCAGATCACTTGAGGTCAGGAGTTAAGAGACCAGCATGGCCAATATGGTAAAACGCCATCTCTACTAAAAATACAAAAATTAGCCAGGCATGGTGGCAGCCACCTGTAATCCCAGCTACTCGGGAGGCTGAGGCAGAAGAATCACTTGAACCTGAGGCAGAGGTTGCAGTGAGCCAAGATTGTGCCACTGTACTTCAGCCTGGACAACAGAGGGAGATTGTGTCTCAAAAAAAAAAAAAAAGATTAAGTGCCCAAATAAAAGACATAGATTGGCCAATGGAATAAAAAAATAAGATCCAACTACAGGTTGTTTACAAGACATCTGCTTCAGATCCAAAGATGCACAAAGGCTACAAATAAAAGGATGGAAAAAGATATTCCAGAAAACTGGAATCTGAAGAGAGTGGCCGTACTTACATCAGACAACATAGAGTTTAAGATAAAAACTGTCACAAGAGACAGAGTAGGACATTATATGATAAAAGGGTCAATTCACCAGTAAGATATGCATCTAACATTACAGTTCCCAAATTTATGAGCAAACACTGACAGAAGTGAAGGGAGAGAGAGACCAACACAATAATAGTAGGAGACTTCACTAGCCCACTTTCAGTTATGGATAGAACAACCACACAGAAGATCAATAAAGACACAAAGAACTTGAACAACACTATAGACCAATTGGACCTAACAGACATACTCAGAACACTCCAATCAACAACAGGAGAATACACATTCTTTTCAATTGCACTTGGAACATTCTCCAACAAAGACCACATGTTACGTGACAAAACAAGTCTTAACAAACTTAAGAAGACTATAATCATATAAGGTATATTTTCCATCAAAAATGGAATTAAACTAGAAATCAATAGTAGAAGGAAAACAGTAAAATCCACAAATAAGTGGAAGTTAAACAACTCACTCTCATATAACCAATGGGTGAGAGATGAAATCACAAGCGAATTTAGAAAATATCAGGAGACAAATGAAAACCAAAACACAATAGAGCAATATTTATGTAATGCAGCTAAAACAGTATTACACCTAACATTAACAATCAGTAAAGATCTCGAATTAACAACCTAACTTTAGACCCTTTCAAAGAACTAGGAAAAGAGAAACTAAACCAAATTAATGAAGGGAAATAAAGATTAAAACAAAGATAAATAAAATAGAGAATAGAAAAACAATGAGGAAAAAAAATCAATGAAACCAAGAGTTTGTTTTTTGAAAAAATTAACAAAACTGACAAATCGTTAGCTAGATTACATAAGAAAAAAAAGAGATAATCAAATAACTAAAATTAGAAACGAAAGGGGACATTATAATTGATGTCACAGAAATAAAGATTATAAAAGACTTACATGACCACACATATGGCAACAGATTAGATAACCTAGAAGAAATGAATACATTCCAAACATATAATCTACCAAGACTGAATCATGAATAAAAAATCTCAACAGCCCTATAACAAATAAGAAGATGAAACAGTAATCAAAAACTTCCCAACAAAGAAAAGCCCAGTACCAGATGGCTTCACTTGAAAATTCTACCAAATAATCAAAGAAGAATTAACTCTTCAAACTCTTACCAAAAAATGAGGGGCAGGGAACACTTCCAGAATCATTCTATGAAGCCAGCATTTCTCTGATACAAAAACTAGAAGACAGAACAAGAGGACTACAGAACAATACCCGTGATAAAGACTGATGCAAAAAATCCCCCCAAAAATACTGGCAAACTCAATTCAATAGCACTTTTTTTTTTTAAGAGAGGGTCTCATTTTGTTGCCCACACTGGAGTGCAGTGGCATGACAATGGCTCACTGCAGCCTCAACCTCCCAGGCTCAAGTGATCCTCCCACCTCAGCACACCCACCCTCCTCCTTAATACCCCACAACCCCTGCCCCAAGTAGCTAGTACTACAACTGTGTGCCTCCACACCTGGCTAATTTTAAAATTTCTTCTAGAGACAAGGTTTTACCATATTGTCCAGGATGGTCTTAAACTCCTGGCCGCAAGCGATTCTCCTGCATTGGCCTCCCAAAGTGCTGGGATTACAGGCAGGAGCCACCATGCCTGACCCAACAGCACATTAAAAGGATTACACACAATAAGCAAATGGGATTTATACTTGAAATGCAAGGATGTTTCCAAATATGAAAACAAATCATTGTACTACACTATATTAACAAAATGAAGGGCAAAAAACACATTATCATCTCAATTGATGTGCAAAAAGCATTTGACAAAATTCAACACACTTTCCTGATAAAAACACATAACAAACTAGAAATAGAAAGAAAACACCTCAATATAATAAAAGCAATACACACAAAGCCAACAGCTAACAGCACATATACTGGTGAAAGACTAAAAACTTTTCCTCTAAGATCAGGAGGAACAAGGCAAGGATGCCCAATATTATCAATATTCAAGATAGTATTAGAAGTCCTAGTCAGAGCAATTAAGACAAGAAAAGGAAATAAAAGGCATAGAAATTGGAAAAGAAGTAGAATTATGCTCACAAATGGCATAATCTTATAGTAGATAACCCAAAAGATTCCACAGAAAAACTATTACAACTAATAAATGATTTCAGCAAGTTGCAGGATACAAAAATTGGTTATGTTTTCATGCAGTAACCATGACCAATCAAAAAAGGAAATTATGAAAACAATCCCATTTACTATAGCATCAAAAAGGATAAACTACCACAGAGTAAACTTAACCAAAGAGGTGAGAATAATGTCAAAATACAAAACATTGTTAAAAGAAATGAAAAAAAGATACCAATAAATGGAAGGGCATTCCATTCTCATGGATTTAAAAGCTTAAAATATTGTTAAAATGTCCAAACTATCCAAAGTGATCTACAGATTCAATGCCATTCCTACCAAAATCCCAATGGTATTTTTTGCAGAAATACAAAAAAAAATCTAAAATTCATATGGAATCTCAAGAGGACCCATAGAGCTAAATCAGTCTTTAATCAGAAGAATAAAGCTAAAGGCCTCACACCTCCTGATTTCAAAACCTGATTTTACTACAGAACAACAGAAATCTAAAACAGTGTGGCACTGGCATACAGACAGAAGAGAGAGCACAGAAATAAACCCTTACATAAAAGGCCAAATGATTTTTCACAAGAATGCCAAGACTACACAGTGGGGAAAGGACAGTCTCTTCAACAAATGGTGCTGGGAAAACTGGATAACAAGCAAAAGAATGAAGTTGGACTCTCATGCCACATACAAAAATTAACATAGATTAAAGACCTAAAAGTAATACCTAAAACTCTGAAACTCCTAGAAGGAAACATAAAGGAAAACCTTTGAGACACTGGATTTGGCAATGATTTCATGGATATGGCACCAAAATCACAGGCAACAAAAGCAAAAATAGACAAACAGGACACCAAACTTAAGAATTTCTGTGCACCAAAGAAAACAACTGACAGAGTGAAAAGGCAGCGTATGGAATGGAGAAAATATCTGTAAACCATCAAATGGTTAATATCCAAAATAGATAAGGAGCTTCTATAACTCGACAATAACAAAATAACCCCATTCAAATGGATAAAGGATTTCAATAGACAATTCTCCAAATAAGATATGCAAATGGTCAACAGCATATGAAAAGATAATCAACATTACTAATAAGAGAAATGAAAATCAAAACCACAATAAGATATCACCTCACACCTATTAAGACAGCCATCAGAAAATAACTGTTGGTAAGGATGTGGAGAAACTGGAACATTTCTACACTGTTGGTGAGAATATAAAATGCTAGAAAAATGCTACAGCCATTATGGAAATAGTGTGGAGGTTCCTCAAAAAATTAAAAATAGAATTACTATATGATCCAGCAATCCCACTTTTGGGTATATATCCAAAAGAATTCAAAGCAAAATCTCAAAGAGATATTTGCACACCCATGTTCATCACGGTATTATTCATAATAGCCAAAAGGCGAGGCAACCCAAATGTTCACTGGTGTATGAATGGATTTTTAAAATGCGTATATAGATACAATGGAGTATTATGCAGCCTCAAAAAACATGGAAATCTTGTCATGTGCTATAACATGGATGAACCTCAAGGATATTATGCTAAACAAAATAAGCCAGTCACAAAGGACAAATACTGTATGATTACAATCATATAAAGTATCCACAGTAATCAAAATCATAGAAACAGAAAGTAGAAAGGTGGTTAACCAAGGGCTGGGGGGAGAGGGAATTAGTGTTTAGTAGATATAGTTTCAGTTTGGGAAAATGAAATACTTCTAGAGATCTGTTGCTTAACAATGTAAATATATTTAACACTACCGAACTCTACACTTAATGGCTAAGACAGTAAATTTAATGTTGTATTTTTTTACAACAAAAAAAATTGAACATGTGAAATGTAGATGACTTTGTCTAATATTATTTGTAATTTTCTCTAGGAAGAACATAGAAATACTGTAAAATAAGTGTGATGAATGTGTGACAATACACTTTTTTCTAAATATCATATGACAACTATTGAGGAAAGAAAAAGATATACCATTCTATTTAAAGTCAGGAAAAGCCTTAAGGGATACACATTATTTATAGAATACAATGGAAGTCATTTGCAGATATTTCAAATCAACTGCCAATTATAATATCAAACAACTTATAAAACCTAGGGCATGGTGCCATAGGCCTGTCGTCCCAGCTACTCTGGAGTCTGAGACCGGAGGATCAATCCCCTGAGCCCAGGAATTTGAGACCAGCCTGGGTGATAGCAAGCCTCCATCACAAAAATAAATAAATAAATAAATAGATAAAAAACAAACAAAAATCCTTAATATAAACCCTTAAACTTGGACGTTTCAATGAGTAAATAAGTCTATAATTACTATACTAAAAATAATTGGTGTTAATCTTTTATTGCTCTAGTTTTTATAGAAAATTTATATTAGTAAAGATAATCAAGTATGTTTAAATTAGTAGTTTATCAAAATGGCACTGTTTAGTGGGCATTACAAAGGAGTATATATAAAACATGAGCCCATTTTTGTCAGAAAAAAATTATGCATAATATATGCATGCATAGGAAAAAATGTGAAATATGCCCAACAGAATATCAATAAAAATTATCTATAGAGTAGAAATACATGCCACTTTTATCTTTTCTACACCTTTTCTAAATTTCTACAATGAATGCATAAAGAAATATGTTAAAGGCTTATTAACCCAAGTATGTGAAAACATAATTAAGCTAGAATAAAACTGAAGGTTTCTTTTCCTAGAGGCAATGTTTACACCTATTTATTACTTCTGCAACCCCAACTTTCTCACTAGAGGCTATGCAAAAACAAAATCAAAATACACAAATAAGATTGGCAGCCTTGGCAGAGTAGAAAGTAGAAATTAACACTAGAATCCAATTTGTCTTTTACGTTCCCATTCTCAACAAATGGTAATTTACATTGCTCACTGGCTCACTAGTGGCAAACACAGGAGGTTCTCCCCTGAGACTTTTATATGTTTTTGTAACAGAAACCTGAAATAATAGTCTCTTTCAACTCCTGTTTGTCAGCAGAAAGTTGTCCCCTGAGCAATGTCCAGGTCACTAAAAATCAAAATCTGGGGTAAGGGGAGAGAGGGCAACTTACCCAGTTAATATGATGATCCCATCCCTAGAACAGGTATGCATATTTAATACAAACCACCTTTGGCCTTAGAAGAGAGAAGCTAAATGAGAAACCTATTCTGCACCTTCTCCCTTGCTGTTATCATCACTATCTCTATCTCTTAAAAAAAATGTCACCCTGGGTAGCTCTTCAATTTTAACACTCTTGCTGACAATATTCAGAAAAGAGAACAGCAAATTGCCTTGAACAACCACAAACTAGCAAACTCCTATCTGCATGTTTATAAAAGCACCTCAACTTTACAGATCATAAAAGAGAGTGATGTATATCTGACACATGCAGGCTAACAGAATTATACTCACTTTAGACCCAGAAGAGTCTTTTGATTTTACCTCTTTTTATTCTTATATGTTCACAGTAATAAGATATCATGTTCTATAGCAATTGCTCACAGTACTCCACATTGAATAAAAATTAACAACATGCCTTTAAAAATAATAATTCACCGGCTGGGCGCGGTGGCTGACGCCTGTAATCCCAGCACTTTGGAAGGCTGAGGCAGGTGGATCATCAGGTCAGGAGATCGAGACCATCCCGGCTAAAACGGTGAAACCCCGTCTCTACTAAAAATACAAAAAATTAGCCGGGCGTAGTGGCGGGCGCCTGTAGTCCCAGCTACTTGGGAGGCTGAGGCAGGAGAATGGCGTGAACCCGGGAGGCGGAGCTTGCAGTGAGCCGAGATCCCGCCACTGCACTCCAGCCTGGGCGACAGAGCGAGACTCCGTCTCAAAAAAAAAAAAAAAAAATTAGCTGGGCATGGTGGCGGGCGCCTGTAGTCCCAGCTACTCAGGAGGCTGAGGCAGGAGAATCGCCAAGAACCCGGGAGGCAGAGCTTGCAGTGAGTCGAGACAGCGCCACTGCACCCCAACCTGGGCAACAACAGAGCGAGATTCCATCTCAAAAAATATATAATAATAATTATTATTATTATTTACCAAAAGCATTTTGAATAAATTTGCGTTGAGACTAACGATTGAAAACTTGTTAAGTTTATTTGTAATTTATTTCCCTGCCTTAATTTATGTGAACAAATTACCAAACTACTGATAGTAATAAACAATGCCAGCATCCAATTAAATTGGAATCTAAAAAATCAAGGCTACATTTTCATTATCATGAAGACAATAAAAGTGTAAAATAATCACCATATTAAATTTCCTACACATATCTAAAAGTTGTTTTAATTATATTCTTTTTCATTTATAAATATGATGATAACATCATTGACTTTTTCTGAATTTCAAGTCAGCTGCCAAATTAAACAAAGCATTTAGGGAAAATTTAAAATTATAACAAAAATACCAAAATAACTATATAGACTATATATTTTAAATATTAACCTATCTTATGGCACTTTTGCAATATTGCTAATGCCTAATAAAAAAACAGATTTAATACTAATCCAAGATTTGATCTTTTTCAAGAACATTTCTCAGTCTTCAGAAGAAAATGGAAAACATTCCAGTAAAACTTCCTATTTTTCAGAACGACTATACACCAAGATCATTCTGCAAAACAAAACAAAAGATTCTTCAATGGACAGAATTGTCACCTGAAATATAGCAATTTGGCAGAAGCACCCAGTTTGTTTTTCTGAGGGAGAATGAATTGCTGACAAACAGGGTAAAGGAGATGGTTTGCCAGTTGGTACTAAAAAAGAACTGAGCCACTCATTCACATAATCAACACAGAAAGCTCACCATCACCAGGCCAACAAGAGTGGAAGTGGGGGCTGGCAGCCTAGCAACGAGCCCCTTCTTTTACCTTCTTCTGTACAATCCCCTCAGACTTAACACCAACCTTTTATAATGTCTCCTCTCTCTTTTCTCCCTCAAGGCTGCCATCCCATGATGTTCATTCTAACCATATTTCACCTATATGTAAATGGAGAGGCCATGTTATCTACCCACCATTAATGAAGCAAAAAGCAACAAACTGTCCCCTGTCTATGCTCCTTCAGAAATACCCTTCTAAACAAAGGGGCAAGGAAGAGATAAGAGATACTTAAGACAGTAACAAATGCTTAGACTTCTGCTATGAAAATAGGCTTTCTCTATAATAAAGGGAATGAAAATACTTATCACTGGATTAAAAAAGAAGGGAGAATGTATGTGTGAACCCATCTGGGAGCTACTATGTGCCAAGCACTACGATAATCTTAATTAATTCTTATATAGTATCTCCATGAAATAGACACTGTTATAATTCCCTTTGTACAGATGAGATAACTAAGGTTGGGATAAGTGTTTTCCCAAAGCTAACAAAACTAGTACTTGACAAAGGTGAATTATGAAACTAGATGATCTGATTTCACAGCCCATACTCTTAGCATTATGCTATACTAAGTACACATATTCTGAAAAGGAAATATACTCCTTAGCTTTTTGTATGAAAGTAAAAGGTTAGTAGAAAAAGACAGGTATATCCCAGATGTCTCCTTATTCTGTCTTATCAGAGTATAAAAGATGAGTTGTTTTGTCTTTCAATGTTTTTAAAGTTGAAGGCTGTGTAAATGTTAAGAACACTGAGTCTGGTTTAAATTCCACCTGTGCCTTAACCATGTGCCTAAGAATTTGTTACCTAATCTCTAAACCCGTTTCCTTCTCTGCAAATAGGAATAACTATAGCTACTTCAACTTTTCGTTAAAATGGGGTTCTATACGTGTTAATACTTTTAAAAATTCAAGAAGTTTATTTTTTAAAGTGTACTCAGTAAAATGCAATTGTTGCCACCACCTAACCAACAAACCTGGGATTACAGGTGAACATACTTCGATTCAGAAAAATTAAGTTTATTAAAAACGTGCCTAAATACTGCTATATCATGTACTTGAGAATGTATCTAAAAAACACTGCTACTTAAACTCTTGTCCTACTAATGACAGAAGACTTTTTAGGAAGTCAGCATGTCAATTATCCAATTTTTAAATAACTGAGACTGGATTACGTATCCAGTTCTTTGTTTAACACTCTGAAGGACATAAACAAGGAAAATACATGCTCTCTAACTTCAGAAATTTGTAATATTAAGGCAAAGTTATCATGCATGAAAGTTACATAAAAAATAAAGACTTCTGTTTTATGATTCATGAGAGTAACAAACATTCAATGAAAGAAAAAGATGAGTATCAACTGGAAAATAATAATGTGACAAGGCTCTGAGCTAGCCCTGAAGAACAGTTAAGATTTAGACTAGTAAAGAGAAGTGAAAAAGTAATTCCAGATGGAAGGCAAATATGTAAAGACAAAGTGACAAAAACAAGCCTAACTTGTGTAGGGGACAGTGAAGAGATAAATCTAACTATGGAGACTATAATAAATAAATTTCATTGGAAAGGGCACATAGTTTATGAAAGTCTGGCTCAGCAATTTAGACTCGCAACAGTAAACCACTAAAGCAAGGTTCTTAAAATAAATCTTTAAACAATATTTAAATACATAGTCATGTTTAATTAGAGATATTCACACTCCAAAAATATGTTATATATTTCAAAAAATGTGACTTTTGAGAAAACTACAATGTTATTTGTGGTTATACAGTTTTTCAAAAAGAGACTTTACTGTTAGAGATAAATACTGAAATATTTACAGAGAAAGTGATAAAATTCTAGGATTTGCTCTGCTTCAAAAGAATGAGAAGGGATAAAGTGGGTGGTCTTAGGTTGATTTTTTTTTTTTTTTTTTTGAGACGGAGTTTCACTCTTGATGCCCAGGCTGGAGTGCAATGGCGTGATCTCGGCTCACCGCAACCTCCGCCTCCAAGGTTCAAGCGATTCTCCTGCCTCAGCCTCCCGAGTAGCTGGGATTACAAGCATGCGCCACCACCCCAGCTAATTTTGTATTTTTAGTAGAGATGGGGTTTCTCCATGTTGGTCAGGCTGGTCATGAACTCCTGACCTCAGGTGATCCGCCTGCCTTGGCCTCCCAAAGTTCTGGGATTACAGGCGTGAGCCACCGCACCCGGCAGGTTGATAATTATTGAAGCTTAAGGCTAAATAGAGGGAAGCTTGTTATACTACTCTGGTTACCACTTTTTGAGATGCTTAACATTTTCCATTAAAAATTTTTTTTAATCTACCAAGTTAGAATATTGTTGGGAAAAAGATTAAGTCATATAACTGTATTCTAGTATTTCCACAAATGTCTTTGTTACAATCACTTATGATACAAGACTGACAGAATGAACCAGACTATTACTATCTACTAATCAAAGCTCTACAAAGAATTAATTCAAGAAACCCTGCTGCCTTAAGAGAAGCCTTTGTAACTGCTATACATTTTAAATCAAAATAGCTTTGCCATGTTTATATTTTTCACTTTTTTTAATTATAAAAAATTCTGGTTGAGATACTCCTACAAATCAAACACAAACCAAATGAATTATTAAAATAAGTTAATGCCAGTCCTAAAACCACTTGGCTTTGTAGTTTCAGATATTGAAAGGCAAATTTTCATGCAATGACATTAACAACACATGCTGGCATGCATCCCAACAGTAGTTAATATCAGCAACACATGGCATACAACTCCTCACCCAGAAGAAAGAAATCAGGGGCTAATTCTATTTTTATTTCTTTCTGTTACCACAAGCAGGTGGCAACATAACACTAGCTTCAATAAAGCAGACGAAGTTACCTTTCTCAAAACAGATGACCACTGCAATAAAGCCCCAACTCGTGCAAAGGAAAAATTAATTTGCTTTTACCCCAGCTAAAAGATATTTTATGTAAAAGCAACTGCAATCTATTATTTGAGTGTGCATTTCTTGAAGTTCACCAATAATAACAAACATCATTAAGCCCAGCACTGTGCTACACACGTTATCTCATTTCATTCTCAATGCAACCTTATTTGACAGATAAAAAAACAGGCTTAGAAAGGTTAGGTTCCTTGGGAAAAGTCCAACTAAATGTGTTGGAGAGACAGTATCTGAACCTACATCAGCCTGACGTCAAAGCCCATAACTACCTCACTATATTGCCTCCCATAAAATCAAACCAGTCTATATGATCAATGATGTATATTATGGACATAAAGATGCTCATATAACCTTAGAGTAAGCATCAACTCTTAAAGAAGACTTACAGGAGTGATTATCTTTTTAATAAACTTCTAATTCCATAAGATATACTCTATAAATAAAACACTAAGTGATCTTCACTTCTCTTTATTTTACTGCATTTCCCATATTTTCCATAATCTGCTTTATAATGAAAATTCCTTTAATCAATAAGTCAATTTCAGTTTCAAATGGATTTTTCTATCTTGAATGAGATGCTCCAAGTTTTGCTAAATTAGCAATGAGTTTCCTATGGAGCTTGAAAGAAATAAATTGTCATTTAATTATCTACAAAATTATATAACAGTTAATTAAAGTACTGCTATCAAATGTTAAAGCCAACAATCCACTACGGAGCAAAATGTTTACCATTATAGAACCAGAGGTCTTCAGAGGAAACACCGATCAGGCCTCAACACTTCCAAATAGTGAATGAGAACTTACAATACCATTTGGCTGTCTAAGTCAATTTTCCGATGTCTGATTTTAGTGACAGGGGTAAAAGCCATTAATTCTGAAAGTCATTATTTTGCATGTATGTGTCCATCTCCTCCTTCTTCCTCTCACATACCCTCTACTGCAAGTCCACATGGACCACTAACTTAGTATCTGACATTTTCTCTCCTGGCCCTAGTCCCTTCATACTTTCATTCTACATAATCGGAGTAATATACAACATTCAAAGAATTTCAACAATAAGAGCATGGCAAGTTATTTTGCAATGTACCCTGGCACGCAAACATAAGTGATTAAAATGTTTTGCTGCTGTCAGTAGCACCCTTTTTATAAGAAGCAGTTGTCAATATAGCACAAATTGCTATTCAACTCACCCAAACCTCACCCAAACAAAGAGAAAACGAACTAAGTAACAAAAATGCCTATATGAAAGCTCCCTTGAGGTATTTAAAACAGGGACGGGGGAACAGACCGTCAAAAGTCCAGAAAAATGTAACACTTTTTACTTTTCTCCGAAATACCTAGGTTTTCTGTATAGGAAATGACCCTGGTCTGAACTCTACGCTGAGCAAGTGAAATGCCGGCGAATTATCGATCTGTCGTGGGAATCCAGTCTCCCTTCCTCCTTCCGCTGCAGTTACTTCTACTTCCCAGCAAGAACTGAGCGTCGAAATCCTTTAACTTCAGGACTAAGCACTTCAGTCACCTCTCCAGGACATCCATTCAGCCCTCACCCCGTTACACCTGCGATGCTGACGTAGACAAGCACTTCTTTTAATAATCTCACCCTGACAGAGGGACGACCTACAGTATTAACTGCTGTGAAAGTCATCCCCAATGCGCTCTCAATTGAGCGCATTGAATGAGGCTTTCCAAATTGAAGTGCAAGTTGCTGTAGAAATCCCAATGCATTCTTCTTTGAGATTAAAGCCCCAGAAAGAGCTGCATTTAGAATACACACACACACACACCCCTTTTCCCAGGGTTTTCTTGAACTACATTTGGAGAAAATGCTGCCCCACACAGACACACTTGCATTATCGCCATCCCCACCATTTCAGGTTCGGCTGCCCCGGAAGAGTCTGGTTAAAAAGAAAAGAGAGGAAGCGGGGGCTGTATGTTACGTTCGCGGTTTTGTCCCCCCAAAGTTTCAAGTACACATTACGCTCTGGCAGTCAGGACTTCCAGAGACGTACAGAGAAAGAAAGAAAGAAAAGGCGCGGGGAGCGGGCTGGAGGATTCTGCAAGCACAGGCCCCTATGGAGCGCCCGTTCGGGGGACGGGATTTCCCTCCCTTTCCCCTCCCCCGCCCGTTCGGAATTCCGCCCCCGCCGCGGGCCCGGAACAATGCAGCCGCCCGTCCCGGGGACCAGCCACTTACCACCCAGGTCAGTGCCCCGTTGCCGCCGCCCACGCCGGCTCCCGCGCCGCAGCCACCCGACTTGGCCATGGCGAGTGCCTCCAGCTCACAGGCCCTGAGGCCGCAGCCGCCGCTCCCGCCTCCCTGCGGGCCGCTGGGCCCCGCCGCTCCGCACCCACCGCTCCACTCGCCGCACTCCTAGCCGCGCCGACCCCCGCGCCCCATCGCGAAGATCCGGAGCGGACGTCCAGCCGAGCCCGCTGAGGAGGCCGCGCCGCCGGCTGCCCTCAAACTCGAGGCGCGGCGTCCGCGTCGCCCGGGCCTAGCGCGGCGGCTGAGGAGAAAGCAGGGAGCGACCGGCGGCGGCCGAGCGGCGGCGTTGCCTTCTCGCCCGCCCGCGGGCGCCGCTGCAGGCCGGGCTGAAGCCCGGGCGTGCGAGCCGCGAGGGCGGCCGGGGAGCCCGAGGCGCTCGGACGTGGCGAGGACGCAGAGGTGCCTTGTCCTTCTCACACTCCGCGAAGGCCAGCCACTCGAGTCGCCAGAGTAGTCGTCCCGGTCGCCGCCGCTGCTTCAAAGGCAGCCTTAGCCTCGCTGCAGCCCCGATTTCCTCACACACACACACCGAGAGGGACAATAAACAGAGCCGCCGCCGCCGCCGCCACGGTCACCTCCCTCTTGTCCGGCATAACACCGCACACACACATTTGCACACCGGGGAGAGAGGGAGGGCGCGGCGGCCGCCCCCGCTGTCAGTCAGCGCCATGCTGTCCAATCCGGGCCTTGTCGCCACAGCCTCTCGGCCAATCCCAAAATTCCAAGCCCCCTGGAGGGGCGGGACCCGAGGGGGGAAACGTCATTGCGGGTAGCAACCGAAAGGAAGACTTGGGGTTTTTGTTTGTGTGTGTGTCTGTGGGTTTTCCATTTGAAGGGAGAGCAGGGGCTGCTTCAAGGGTCAATTGAGGGCGGCAAAGGGAAAGGGTCGAATTGGCCTCGGGTCGATTGTAATCCTCCAAGCGTGCTGTTTACTCTGAGACCTAACCGGGAATCCGAAGCGTTTGCCTGGGGCCTCTAAGGATGAGGATGGGGGCGGGGTGGGGATGGGGGTGGCAGGAAGAAGCCGGGGGCCGTCCCAAAGGGAAATTATTTTAAAAGAGCGGTTGTAAACCGCAGGCAAGACGTTGTAGACCACTGGTGCAAGGAGGCCCCGTGACCCGGCCTCCCCAAGGGCCTAAGTGGACGCTGCTGTCGAAAAAAATCATCTCAGACCTTCTCCATCTCCTTCTTCCGTCTCCTCCCCTCACCCCAAAAGAGCATATGGTCAGTTTCAAGAAAACTACATATGAAAAGCTTAAATGATAAGGGACACACAGAGAATGTTCTAGGGAAAGAATGCAGGGTGGGTTGAGTGTTCTATTTCTACTCTTTGTTGACCTTTCTTCTCTGAACAATGCAGAGATGTCACTGTCACTTTTCTCATCTGTCCAGAACTGTGCCCCCTGCCTCTAAGAGGGCATGCTTAATTTTTAAAACTGTTTTCAGTGGAATTTTCAAATGCACAGTAAGGAATAATTTCATTCACATTAAAGCTTTCTAAGAATGAAAATTACCAATACAGCAACATCACAGTCTTTGGCAGATGGAAGATGGCTTTACTTCTTCCTGTTTTTCAGTGTAATTCCACTCAAGTATTTATTGGGCGCACACTCTGCCACGCTGTGCCAGGCTCTGCGATGGGTTCAAAGTAAAAACAAGGCCCCTGATTTCAAACCATTTATAACCTGGCTTGTGAGACAGACTAAAAGGGAGCCAACGATCACCAAAATGAGTACTTGAAGGCATGAAGTGCCACCAAAGAGTTGTGATGAAAGCTTTTTATAAAGATGAAAACAGTATTACTGTTTTTTGAAGAGGTGTTTTTGTGAACTTCCAACTGTGCATTTCCTCTCAAGGGAAAACAAAAATGTCTCAGGTCACATCTTTAAACTGCATTCTGAGTCTAGAGGTGGAGAACTCTGAAACATGGAAATAATTTAAACATAGTTTTTTTAATTAGCTCTCTGATGGCCATGTAACTTTGCCATACTAGGGACTTCAGAACAGTGAAGCCTTTCTTTACCTTGAACTTGGGGTGCAAACTTTTCTGAACCTGACCAAGTATCCATAGCCTTGTTATTTAACTTCCCTGAGCCTCAGTTTAGTGCTTGTTAAAATGATCTTGTGTTCTTACTGTGAGTTTGCATCTCCAAGTACACATGTATTTTGTTTGAAAAGGGGTAATTTTAAAGGCAATGAGTTTTTTTTATGAAGATGTACTAGGTAGAAGCTAAGCTATAAAATACATAGCTGTCTCCTTTTTTAAACTTAAGTTGTCAAAGCTCTTTATCTTCCGTTTTTGTTGTTGTTTTTAGAGACAGAGTCTTGCTCTGTCACCCAGGCTGGAGTACAGTGGCATGATCTCGGCTCACTGCACCCTCCACCTCCCAGGTTCAAGCAATTCTCCTGCCTCAGCCTCCCAGGTAGCTGGGATTACAGGCACCGGCCACCATGCCTGGCTAATTTTTTTTACTTTTACTAGAGACGGGGTTTTCACCATGTTGGCCACCCTGGTCTCGAACTCCTGACCTCAAGTGAGCCGCCCATCTTGGCCTCCCAAAATGCTGGGATTACAGGCATGAGCCACCGCACCCAGCCTAGGTTCAGATTTTGAAATGAATAAAACAATATATTCAAAACTCAAATAGATTAATAAAAATAATGTTCTTTTCACTTGCCTCATATGTGAGGCATTGAGTCCTTTTGTCTTCTCAGTATGAAAAAGCCTTTTAATAAGTGTTACTAGTTTTAAGAAAATACTGACTTACCCAGAAGAATTGCAAATAAGAATTGCTGAATATACATGAAAATCAACATTTTTAAAGCAGAGATTTGTGATGAGTGGAAGACGGAATCTAGATTAAAAGTATCTCAGCTTCTAAAGAATTGTCCTTTTTAACTGTGCAGCAGACTTAGCATATCTTTATGATAAAATTGATTGTACGCAACTTGAGCATAGCTTTCTCTTCTGGGGTAATGTGAAGTAATTTTCAATTAGGGGTGGATCACCTGAGGTCAGGAGTTCAAGACCAGCCTGACGAACATCATGAAACCCCTTCTCTACTAAAAATACAAAAATTAGCCAGGCGTGGTGACCTGTGCCTATAATTCCAGCTACTGGGGAGGCAGACATAGGAGAATCACTTGAACCTGGGAGGCAGAGGTTGCAGTGAGCCGAGATCGCACCACTGCACTCTAGCCTTAGCGACAGAGCGAGACTCCATCTCAAAAAAAAAAAAAAAAAAGCTTCTATATCAGGTTTGTCTAGTTTTAGATACTACTTTGTATGTATATATTACATATAATGACTTAATTTCTACCCCACAGCAAGCACTGACCAAAAGGAAAAACTAGAAATTAGTCATTTCTATAAACTGTATAAAGGTCTTTATTTAATCAAGATTTCTGAGTAGCTTCCATAGGAGCTTATCCTAACTACTTCAGAATTTCTATTTTTAGATCTTATATTTCCTTATTGTAGCAATGAAAAAAAAATTAAATGCCTACTGTGTTAGGTACTCAGGACCTGGGAATTTAAAAAGGTGATGAAGACGCATTTTCTGCCTTAAGTTCACCCTTGAATTATAGTTTCAAGCTAATCATTTAATTGAAAAGCAATTTTATATTTATTCATTTGCTGTTTAATAAACAATTTACCTCGCTTTGGGAGACCAAGGCAGGCAGATCACCTGAGGTCAGGAGTTCAAGACTAGCCTTGCCAAGATGGCAAAACCGCATCTCTACTAAAAATACAAAAATTAGCTGGGCATGTGCCTGTAATCCCAGCTACTCGGGAGGCTGAGGCAGGAGAATCGCTTGAACCCGGAAGGCGGAGGTTGCAGTGCACCAAGACTGCACCACTGCACTCCAACCCGGGCAACAGAGCAAGACTCCATCTCAAAAATATATATATACATAAAAAATAAACAATTTACCTGATGAGCCACACCTATCATCACACTTTATACACAGTAGGTAATTTAATCAGTAAGTAAATTATCCAAGAAAATAGCAACTCAAAACCATACTTCTAGGTATCTGCCAAAGTTTCAATAGTTTCCATTTAAATGTTGTGTATCATTCCAACACTGAGATTCAGTTGGGAGGAGGAGGACAAATCTTTAACCTCGGGAGCATTTAAAGAAGCTAACATTTGAATTCAAAATTCAATGTCTATAATTTCACCTCTCCCTTCTCATTGCATTAATTTTGTGGATCCTTACGATATACAAGGTTGCTGGACTAAGAAAAATTTTTAATGTCTGGCCTATGGTAGACTCAGTAAGTGATTGCCTAGTTAATGACTATTGTATGTTTAAATGTAATTTAGTTTGTTATAGTTCTTTAGAAGTGAGCTCAAGGAAGAAAAGTTACTATCAATGTGACTTTTTGGTTTTCAGTATTTCTCTAGTAAATATTATAGTACATTATTAACTCTGCTTCTTCTAACTATTTAATTGCTACAGTTTATAAGTATATTTTTACTTTTAAAATGATATTTAAGCACCAAAAGTAACAAGTGTTTGCGGATGGCTGAAGATATCAATGATCATATTCCTGAGTATTATTACCACTAGGAAGACAGACAGCAGGTAAAGTTCTTCAATTTCTACCTGCAATAATTACAGGGTACAGTATTTGTTTTGATTTTTTGTTTTGCAGGAGTTTGTTTAGATTGGTTTTGGTCAAATAAGCTACACTGATCTTCTGGTGACATTCTAATTATACAGACAGAAGGGACACTTTCACTTATATGATATAGCTCAATAATATTCAGGGTTCTCAGTAATTCAGGGTTCTCAATAATAATTCAGGGTTTTCATACAACGTGGAGAATAAAATTAGCATGTGTCTTAAGAAAGTTGCTCTTGGCCTTTGTAAAAATGTCTAATAATTGGATGGACTTTCAAAGATGCATCTTGTTTTGAGAAAATTCTGCTTTGGGGGACATTAGATGTTATCATGCACCTGCCCTTCACCAACAAGATACACAATCTATCATGTGTATTACTAAGTTGTATTTGAAGTTTCTGGTTGCCCACAGTCATCTGATATTGTTACTTCATAGGTTTATAAGACTCACATCTTAAAAAATGAGACAGCAGTGGCTTTCCCAACTCGACTGTTTTCATTTCAGAAGAGTAGGGAATGGCCGGGCACAGTGGCACTTGTCTGTAATTCTAGCATTTTGGGAGGAACAAAACAAAAAAGGTACCTGCAAGTTATGTAAGGTGGTAATTAAAAATCAAAAATTCGAAAAGATACCATCTTTTAGTATGCCAATTAATAACAGAAAATAGCAAATTATTTCTGTTTCTTAAGAATTAAGAGGTCAGCCCAGATGTCATATATAACTAGTATCTTTATCTATCAGCTTTCCTCTTTGAGATGATTGTCAAAATGTGGAAAGATCCAGAAGGAGGCTGAGAAATGCAGACTCTTTAAGGAATATATTTCCATTTTAAATGTTGTTTGGGAAAAGTAAAAGAGTAAGACTAGCCTATTCAATAAAGGGTATACCACACAGTGCTAGCTTGTCAAAGAGAGTGTCTGGCATACAGTTGGTGTTCAATAAATAATTGCTTTACAAAAGGATATGAGGTGTTATCAAGAAGCCTCCCTCAGAAAAATTTCATGCACCATCCATGGTGGTGCTGAAACTTGGCCATTTGAGATTCATTCTTCAGCATCCTTGAGTCTTTTGTGTTTTCAAGTATTATTGGTTGACTACCAGAGAGGGTAAAATACCTTAAACTTTAATCTGCTAACTTTATCGGTTAACAGATGAAGAATTGGTTGAAGCATTGTGTCTCTTTAGTAGTGAGAAACAGGATGGTGTGAGGAGGGAAGGAAAAAAAGAAATTATTGGTACCAAAACAATTGAGGGAGAGGGGAGATGGAGAACAAAAGCATCAAACTGTGTGAAACTGAGTGGAGAAAAGAAACACTTTCTGGTCTGAAAGTAGATCAGCTGTAGCCTTGCCAGTGCTTATACTTTATTTCATTAAGAAGGAAAACCTCACTTATTGAGAACCCCGGTATCAATTTGTTACAGTACTAGTCAGGCCCTTTCACACATACTAGCTTAATTAACTTCCAACAACCCTAAGAGAGGTAGTATCATCATTCTTATTTCAGTCAAGAAAATTAAAGCTCATAGAAAGTCACAGAGCAGCCGGATGCAGTGGCTCATGCCTGTAATCTCAGCACTTTGGGAGGCTAAGGTGTGCAGATCACTTGAGGTCAGGAGTTCGAGACCAGGCTGGCCAACATGGTGAAACCCTGTCTCTACTAAAAAATACAAAAGTTATCCAGGTGTACAGCACATGCCTGTAATCTCAGCTACTCGGGAGGCTGAGGCAGGAGAATTGCTTGAACCCAGGAGACAGAGGTAGCAGTGAGCCGAGATTGTGCCACTGCACCCTAGCCTGGGCAACAGAGCTAGACTCCATCTCAAAAGAAAAAAAAAAGAAAGTCACAGAGCTAAGTAGTGAAACTGAAATCCAAGCCCAAGTCTCTTACTCCAAACCTCACCCTTTTGTCATACTGCCAAGTTGGCTAACATACTTGGCAATATAGCATATTTGGCAATGTGTTAAAAAGCTGGCAATACTGGTGAATAATTCTAGCCATTGGCCCTCAGTAGAACCCTTCGGTTGTTAAATTGTATTGCTGAACTATGGTGACAAATGTCTATCATTTGTATGACTGACTAGATGTTTTCTTTGAAACTAGTCTGAATCTACTTTGTCTTACCTTGTTACCTTTGTCTTACCTTGTTCAAAAAGCAAAGCAAGTTGCTTTTTGAAGCCCAAAGGATCAAAGAGAACCCAAAGCTCAAGGTCCTGTGAATCTTGTGATACCTCACCATCAATGTAATTTTGTTTTTTTTTTTTTTTTTTGGAAGATGGAGTCTCGCTCTGTCGCCCAGGCTGGAGTGCAATGGCGCCATCTCGGCTCACTGCAACCTCCACCTACCAGGTTCAAGCAATTCTCCTGCCTCAGCCTCCTGAGTAGCTGGGACTACAGGTGCATGCCACCACACCTGGCCAATTTTTTTTTTTTTTTTCGTATTTTAGTAGAGATGGGTTTCACTGTATTGCCCAGGCTGGTCTCCAACTCCTGAGCTCAGGCAATCCACCCACCTCGGCCTCCCAAAGTGCTAGGATTACAGGCATGAGCCAGCACGCCCGGCCCGCAATTTTATACTTTATAATCCAGTGTCCTCATCATAGAAGATATTCAAATAGCTAACATTCAAATGCAGAGGGAAAAATACAGATGTACTATGGGATTCCACTCTTGGATTCACATTTTGGATAATTTCAAATTCACAATAGAAGATATTAAAGATATCTTCAATTCAGAAGATCTAAAAGATATCTTCAATTCAGAAGATATTGAAAGCAGCATACAAATTTCTCAAAGTGTTTAGTTATACAGGGAAGACTTATTTGTGAACACTCCATCTATTATATGAATTATTTGCCTTTTTGTAATCTATTTTTATGTGTTATATGTTTGCTTCTTCCATTCCAGCATTTAGTAAATCTTGTTTCTCAGTATGCTAGAACTTTGAAGTATAAATGAGTATTTTGGAAATTATAAGTTTCAGAAACCATACACACTACTGTATAGTACCCATGCACAAGGAATTCACAAAACCCACTAGCATTTTTAAAGCCTCCGAGCAGTCCTGCAGTAAGCAAGTCAAACTTATTTAGTCTTGATAGTCTTTTCAGGAATATCTATTAACATCCTTGGAATTCATGTTTTAATGTAAAGACTTTGGGAACTACTGCCACTTTTTATTTTTGTTATTAGAACATGCTGCCTGGGCACAGTGGCTCACGCCTGTAATCCCAGCACTTCGGGAGGCTGAGGTGGATGAATCACTTGAGGTCAGGAGTTTAAGACCTGCCTGGCCAACATGGCGAAACCCCATTTCTACTAAAAATACAAAAATTAGCCGGGTGTGGTGGCAGGTGCCTGTAATCCCAGCTACTTGGGAGGCTAAGGCACGAGAATTGCTTGAACCTGGGAGGTGGAGGTTGCAGTGAGCTGAGATTGCACCACTGCACTCCAGCCTGGGTAACAGAGCAAGACTGTCTTAAATAAATAAATAAATACATAAATAAAACATGTTAATTTATATGTTTAGCAACTATATCTCTGGTTGAAAGAAAAAGCAAAGAACAAATTGACCCACAATTCTGCCATTCAGGTAATTACTGTTAACAGTTTGGTGAATATCTTTCTACTCCTTTTGCAAATTCTCAAAAACTTTTACTTTAAAAAAAGAAAACGGTAGGCTCTAATAAGTCATTTAAAATTAAAAAAGAATGCTATCCCATTAGAATAGCAAAAATTTAAAAGACTGACTATACCAAATGTTAATGAGAACATAGAGCAACACAGACTCTCATACGCTGTTAGTATTATGGATCTTACCACTGGATACCACTTTGGAAAACTCTTTCTCAGTATCTATTAAACCACTTTGGATAACTGTCTCTCAGTGTGTGCTAAAGCTAAACATTTACATATCTTATGAATCAGAAATTTAACTCACAGTGTTATGGGATCCTTGGGGTGTCGCTTCACCAGCCGGAAACCTCTGTGGTCAGTGGTGCCTTTGCCTGAGTTTTGCTCTGGCCCACTGGGCTTGTTCTGCCCACTTGGCCTGGCAGGCTGCACCCAGCTCACACTACTGGCCTGGATCTTATGCCTGCCAAGGGTGAGCCAGGCATGGAGTGGCAGGGGGTGTGTAAGCAAGCATGGGGGTCCGGCCACTGCACACAGCCAGGCTTGCTGGCTGTGGCAGAGCAGGCCGCCCCCAGGTGCCAGCAAGGGTGCTGTCTCCCTGCAAGGCTGCAGCTGGACCAGGCCTACCACAAGCAGCTTCCATGACTGGCACCAGGGAACACAGTGGTACCCAGAAACTTGGAAACACCAGGCAGAGCCCTAAAGAGGGTATTACAGCCCTGGCTCAGGGAGCTCCTAGGTCTGGGGTCCCTGAAGGGCCACAGCTCTTGTCTCCTTCTCTTTTCTCTCCTTGTTGCTCACAATGTGGCAAGCAAGGGGCATGTTTCAGCCCTCTTTGTGTTGTAGCTCTTTTAGCCCCCCATTTGACAGGTCCCAAGTTCTTTTCCAACATCCAAGAAGAATGAGGTATGCAGACAAGTGGAAGGTGAGCAAGATGAAGAGGAGCCTTCATGAGCGATAGAACAACTCAGAAGAGACTTGCAGTGGGTAGTTCCTCCCTGTAGCCAGCATGTCTGGATGAGTGTTCAGCTCTTAGAGATGATAACTCCTCTCTGCAGGCAGGTTGTTCCGACTGAGTGTTCAGCTCTCAGCAGAGAGGGTAGCTCTTCTCTGCAGCTGATGGTCCCATTGTCTCTTCAGCTCTCAGCAGAGAGGGTGACTCCTCTCTGCAGCTGGTCATCCCATTATCTCTTTGGGTCCGGCTGAGTATGGGGCTTTTATGGGCATTAGAGGGGAGGAAGTTCATGCCAACTGGTCCACGGGCAGCCATTGGCAGGCCTGGAAAAAGCACAAGTTCCCACTCTGGTCCACAGGATCAGCAGCTCGGCCCCCAGGCTCCAGGCCTTCCCTGGCTTGAAGGTGGGGCTTCACCAGGGACCTACTTGTTTTCACCAAGTAGCCTGTCTGCCTCCTGCTGCTGTTCACGGCACCAAGGCTGATTGTGCTGAGGGGGCGCCTTCAGGCCAGCACCAAGCCACCCTCAGCAACCCCTGGCCTCCCTCCCACACTTGTTGGCACCCAAAATCCAGAGGGGGCTGAGGCATCAGGGGGCTGGCATGTCAGCACTGCCTTGAGCATGCACACACCCAGCCAGGCTGCGACAGTGCCCGGGCTCAGCCTCAACTTTTCGCTGTGATCAGAGCAGGTGCCAAAAGTTGGGATAAGCCAGAGAGTAGGAGCAGGTACTTCCAAGCCTGGGGGGCATAAAAGGAGGGCCTTCCTGGGTCCCTGAGAGTACAGGGATGCCTCAGTCTACAGCCACGGCTTGAGTGGCTGCAGCTGTGCCTGGGAGGGCAGGGCTTCTGCCTGCTTCTGGTTCCCAAGAGCACAGGGGTTCCCAGGTTGTAGCCACAACTTGGGTGGCTGCAGTTGTGCCTGATGAGCTCCCTCACCACCATCTTAGAAGGAGCAAGGCTCCCACTTGTCCATGGCTCCCACTGGCTCCATGGAGTGCACAGCCCTGGCCACATTTTCCCCACAGCAACAGCAGGTGAGGTGCAGGTGATGCCACACCCTGGCCAACCGCACACAAACAAATTCGATGCTCTCAGCGCTGGCTCCGTAAGTCCCGGCTGCGCCTTCAGCCGGGTGCTTGAGGGCTCCCAAGACACAGCAAGGAGCGAGGTTGAGGCTGCAGCAGAGGCTCCAGGCCTGGAGTGGGTCCTGCCCAGCCATGTGAGGGTGGGGGTGGTATAGTCAGCTGCCTTGGGGATGTGGGGCACAGAGGTCCCACCACTGCCACTGCTGCTCCTGCAGCCACTCCTGCTGCCACCACCTGCACCTCCCCACTGGGGCCAGCATGACGGCAGTGGCTGCTCCAGATGGCCCACTGCTGCCATCAATAGGTATATACAAATAGAAATGCATACTTATGTACCAAGACACACACAAGAACATATATAGCAACACTTCATGGCAGCCCCAAACTAGAAACAATCCAAATATCCATCAGTGATAGAATGGCTATATTTTATGTGTGTACAATGAATATTGGTCAGCAATAAAAATGAGTGATCTACCACTACACTTAACATGTATGAGCCTCATAAATACAGTATCAACCTAAAGTCAAACATAAAAGAACACATACTATATGATTCCCTTCATATAAAATATTATTTTATATATATATATATATATATATATATATATATATATATATATATATATATATTATTTTTTTGAGAGAGAGTTTTTGCTCTGTTGCCCAGGCTGGAGTGCAATGGCATGATCTTGGCTCACTGCAACCCCTACCTCCAGGGTTCAGGCGATTCTCCTGCCTCAGTCTCCTGAGTAGCTGTGATTACAGGCACCCGCCACCATGCCCAGCTAATTTTTGTATTTTTAGTAGAGACAAGGTTTCACCATGTTGGCCAGGCTAGTCTCAAACTCTTCACCTCAGGTGATCTACCCACCTCAGCCTCCCACAGTGCTAGGATTACAGGTGTGAGCTACCGTGGCCGGCATTTTTATATAAAATTTTAAAACAGATAAAACTAATCTATAATATTATAAGTCAAGATGTAGTTACCTGTGGGAGGGAGACTCTGGGTGCTAATAATTTTTATTTGCTGAATTAGGTGGTGAATATATATTTCGAGAATTCACTCAGCTACACACTTTCGAATTTTATACTTTTCATTATTTTAATAAAAAGTTTACCCAAAAAATGCTATATCTCCAACACTTGACAAAAATAAGAGTGTATAGAAAAACAAGATCATTAATGCCTCTGAGTCCATCAGTGATTCAGAAGATTCACACTCTGGATATAAAGTGGTAGGAATACTCTTACCAGTGTTTTTCACTTTGGTTTTGCTTTTGATGTGTGCACAAAATGATATAAAATGAAATAGTTCTTTCAGTAAGCACAAAAGAAAACTCATATGTGATGGAAAAATGAATACTATCCCATCTGAAGCTATGCAGGTTCATTAATGAAATCTTGTAATTACCATGTTTACCTGTAAACCTTTACCTCCAAAACTCAATTTTCAGAAGTATAGAATTTTTATGACAAACAATAACATTTATTGGCTCCTATTATATGGGCACTGGGTTAACATATTGCTTGCATTATCTACTTTAATATTCATAACAGCTGTATGAAATACGAATTTATTTTTAAAATTTTTCAAAATTATAAATATAATACCTTCTGGTTGAAAAAACACAATAAAAAAACTATGTCCAGTAAAACTTGCAAACACTTCTTTAAAATCTGCTTTCCCTATTGATGTCTCTGGTTAACAAGTAGGTAGGTTTCCTTCCAGATCCTTTATATGTATGTAGAAACACACACATGCACACAGAAAAGAGATGAGTAATTAATGGGACCATATTATAAATACTGTTCTGTGTGTTGCTTTAGTTATTTTAACTGGCTGTCCTTGAAATCTTTTCTATGTCTGCATGTAGATCGCTCTCATTCTTATAATAACTGCAGTGATTAGTTTGCCATTTTACTTTAAAAGGGATTTCTCAAGCTCACTATGAACAGGCTCTCAACTAAGAGCACTATTGACTTTTCGGACTGGGTAATTTTTTAAAGACCTGTCCTATATATTGTGGGATGTTCACCAGCATTCCTGGCCTCTGCCCATTAGAAACCAGTAACGTATCACCACTGCTACCACCATCCCCATTGTGACAAACAAAAATGTCTCCAGACATTTTGTCCTTTGAGAAACAAAAGCCTTCTCTCGCACCACCGTCAAGAACCACTGTTGTAGAAGGATATGTGTGTTGTTATTTTCAACAATATAAAAGGGATTTGATGAACATCTTGGTATTATTTATTATAAACCACATATTACAGATGAGAAAACTGAGGCTAGAAAGGTTGATCAGCCCAAAGTCCCACTGCTGTAAGTGGTAGAAGTGAAATTTGAACCCAGTTCTGTCTCCTCCAGAGTTTATGAGTTTAATCTCCTTTCCAGTTCTCTCATTTTACTACCCAGCAGGTGTAGAGACCACTCCAAAGGTGATAGTAAGAATGGTAAATATCAGTACTTGACGATAAGAACAAATGTTAAAGTATCTTAGCTCTGACAAACATCCTTTAGCTTCTGACACAGCTAAGAGTTAAAACTTCTCTGCTTTCTAAAAGTACCCATAGCAGAACAAGTCCTTTGTAATAAACATTTAAGTAAATAGAAAACTCCAAAATTTCCAAACAGAAAGCCAGTGTAGTATCACCACAGTTAATATGTTTAACTATGACAAAGTGCCCTGAGCGCTAACCCAGTTTATAGTGATAACAGGTCCAAGGTCAGAGTTGCAGAGGTTCATGGGCAGGCAGCTTTGCTATCATCTTCATCTTTAATAAATATACATGTGTATCAAGCTCCTGTTCCACACAATAGCACACCATTAGTTCCTCATACTCCAATTGCTGGTCAAACGAGGCAAGCAACAGAGGGAGAGTGAAACAAAAGCCAAATTAACACAGCTGTTAATATCGATTACTTGCTATGCACCAGGTATTTAAGGTCTTTTGTGTCTGTTAATTCATTCCACAAATACTTATTAAACACCTACCATGTGTCATATGGGGCACCAGGTGCTACAGATGTAGAAGTAAACTAGAGAGACCTAGAGCACACCTCTATGAAGCATGTGGAAAAAAGGCATTAAATAACTACTTGCATAAATAAATCATTGTGATTGGTGGGGAAAAACAATGAAGCAGGAGGTTGGAGGCTTTCCTGAGAAAATTATGTTAAGCTCTGAGGATGTATGAGTTAACATCTCAAGAATAGCAAGTTGCATGTATGACACTCTCAGGCTTGTTGGAGCATGGTGTAGTTGAAGTGACAGAAGACAACTACTGCTGGAAGAGAAGATGACCAAAGTCAAATGAAACAGGGCCTATTGGGTCAAATTAGGGGTTTTAATCTTTGGACCAAACAAACTAACATACATGCAGAAATACACAATGGCAAACTCTTGAAGAAATTTTTAAGCAGGAGCAGGTTACGAGTACATGTGGAGTTTTGGTTTGTTTTGGTTTCTGGTTTTTTTTCTTTTGAGACAGAGTCTTGCTCTGTCGCCCAGGCTGGAGTCCAGGGGTGCATTCTCAGCTCACTGCAGCCTCCACCTCCGGGTTCAAGAGATTCTTCTGCCTCAGCCTCCCAAGTGGCTGGGATTACAGGCACGAGCCATCACACCCAGCTAATTTTTTCTATTTTGAGTAGAGCGGGTTTTCACCATGTTGGCCAGGCTGGTCTCGAACTCCTGACTTCAAATGATCTGCCTGCCTTGGCCTCCCAAAATGCTGGGATTACAGATGTGAGCCACCACACCCGGCCTGGAATTTTCTATTTTGTTTGCTCTAATATTCTTAATATTGTCTCATTCTTACAAAAGGGAAAAATCAGGGACCAAGTCTTAGAAATTAAACCAACTTGCCTACTACAATATATTCTTTTCTTTCACCACCAGAAAAATAAAATAATGTGGATCACAGTTATTGTAAGCCTCACAGAAGATATATTACAATTGATTCCTTGTTTCCATTTTGTTTTTTAATTTTCACACCTGGTAAATGAAAATATTTCTCCTGATGAATAAGAGTGGTTGCTAGTAGAGCTCTAAGTACAAAAATTCCCAGTGATTCTAATATTAAGTCCAGGCAACCACAATTTCTTGGCTGTCTTTTTAAAATCTGTTTCCCTGAACACATCATCCATAAATTCACTGCCTTGTTATTTTACCAGTGGTGATCTTTGTAATAGCTGAGCTGACCCTTCCCAGGAGGTCTCTGACAACCACATAATGATTGCTTCACTTGATTGTGGACATCTGATAATACAGAATATAGTAAAAGGTTGAAGTGTTTCACTATTACCTTGGTCATGAATTTCTCCCAGGAATTTGTCATGCTGTACAATTCTTGCTTTTAATTAAACTATCTTCCACTCGTCTTTTTCACATTACATTTCTTGTTTGTTCATTTGTCTCCAGTAACCTCAAATGAAATTTTTCACAGCAGTTTTTAATTCCTTGGCCTCAATTTTTACAGACTTTGTTAAAAAATTATTTCAAAGTATAATTTATCTGGGTCTCTATAAAATGAAAGGGATTTAGATTTGGTATTCCCTTCTAGCTAAATATTTCTATGTTTTTTTAATCTTCCTGTTATTTGAATATAAGAGTAATAATTTGAAAAATATGACCAGTGAATTGCATTGGCCCTTCACAGTTTGTTTTGAGAACCTTTTTTTTCTTTAACTTGATAGCAAACATTTCATATTTTACCCACACTGTTAGCTTCTGAAAGAATGAATACAACCAGGCTTCTTTCAACAGCCCTAAATCCCTGAATGAGAGCCTCCATTGTTTACCAGTAGGGCTCAAAAATCAAATATTCTAGTTTAACAATTACAAGAGAGAGTGGGGGAGGGGGAGGGGTAAAGTGGGGGAGGGGGAGGGGAAAGTGGGGCGGGGAAAGTGAGGAGGGGAAAGGGGGAGGGGAAAAGGGGAGGGCGAGGGGAAAGGCGGAGGGCGAGGGGAAAGGGGGAGGGGAAAGGGGGAGGGCGAGGGGAAAGGGGGAGGGCGAGGGGAAAGGGGAAGGGCGAGGGGAAAGGGGGAGGGCGAGGGGAAAGGGGGAGGGCGAAGGGAAAGGGGGAGTACAGAGGAGGGGGAGTACAGAGGAGGGGGAGAGAGGAGGGGGAGAGAGGAGGGGGAGAGAGGAGGGGGAAGGGGGAAGAGAGGGGAGAAAAGAGTGGGGGTTGGAGAGAGAGCAGCAGGACAGGGGAAGAGAAGAGAGGGGCCAGGGAGAGAGGAGATAGGAGTTGGGGGGTGACAGGATAGAGGAGCGAGAGGAGGAGAGAGGTGACTAGATCCATTTTGTGCTTGATTTGGGTAATGGCAAAAATGCCTTTTGCTGTTTAAAAAATTATTTTACCCTTTTATTAGAGCAGCCTCTTCAAAGGTCATGGGAGAAGAAGTCATGCTTCTAGGAGACTATTGTTTCACCTAATCTCAGTCATCCAGCATCTCTTGCCATTGGAGAGAGCTGAGCCTTCGGTCCCAACAAAAGTAATATCTGAGAGTTGGGACTGTGCAGACTCTGAATGAGCTGACTGTTCATTTCAGTCCTCCTGAAGAAGAGATATATAGATTTTCTCTAGCCCTTAAAAGTCTCCTGTACACAGACAGGGTGAATTCTTCGTGAACTGATTTGTTTTCATTTCTGAAGTTCCCTTGTTCTACCCCTTGATTGGTGTATGCTAAATTTTATTCATCAGTTTAGAACAAGTCACAAAATCATTTGCTAATAAACTCAAATAATAGGAAGGTTAAGAATTAAAAAAACAAAAAAACAAAAAAAACCTGCCATAGACCCCAGTAACTTGCTCTAATTCTTTTTTTTTTTTTTTTTTTTTTTTTGAGGCGGAGTCTCGCTCTGTCCCCCAGGCTGGAGTGCAGTGGCGCTATCTCGGCTCCCTGCAAGCTCCGCCTCCCGGGTTCACACCATTCTCCTGC
This sequence comes from Homo sapiens, assembly GCF_000001405.40. NCBI lineage: Eukaryota > Metazoa > Chordata > Mammalia > Primates > Hominidae > Homo > Homo sapiens. The sequence goes on from NC_000003.12 coordinate 25,680,555, forward strand.
CTCAGCCTCCAGAGTAGCTGGGACTACAGGCACCCGCCACCATGCCCGGCTAATTTTTTGTATTTTTAGTAGAGACGAGGTTTCACCGTGTTAGCCAGGATGGTCTCGATCTCCTGACCTCATGATCCGCCTGCCTCCGCCTCCCAAAGTACTGGGATTACAGGCGTGAGCCACGGTGCCCGGCCAGCTATAATTCTATTTTCCATTTTCATGTCAACAGATGTGATTGGGAAGTTGTTATCTCCAGTACAACAACAACAACAACAACAAAAACCTTCTAGAAATTGTAATAACCAAGGCAAGTAGCCACATTTGTATGCCTTATTATTGGACCTGAATTCTATTATCTTCCATCTGTCTGCTCAGTCTCCTTGTAACTAGCTATTGTCCTTCCTTCTCCTACCCTAGCTTCCTAACACCAGAGCTAAAACCAAGAAAGCATAAAAAACCCCAAGGTGATCTAAAATCACATGCAAAAGGTGTAATAGAATCAATCATCAAGCAAACCAAATAAAATCAGAATCCTTCAGAAAGAATCACCTATTCAAAATAGAATTCCATACCTTCTCACTTCCATCCACGACAAAGTTTCAAAATTTTTCTAACTAGAAATAATGCCTTTCATTTCATATTTAGAGAGGACAGAAAACTGAAAATATCACTGCTACAGGTAACTTGTTGATTCAATTGTATTTGATTTGATATTGATTTTATTTGATATTACATTTCCAGGAAGTTGGTTTTGTCACAACAGATCGTTTCAGAAAGGAAAAACTGCATTAGAGGGAAAGAAGACAGAAATAAGAGTTGAGGGAACAGTGCAGGTAAACTTCATGTGATTCCAAATTTTGCTTTGGCCCAGCTTTGGGTATATTTCAGATAGGTGGAACTCTTGAATCTACTCCATTTATGCAAACCTCTAAGCTGCCCCCAGAATTGAATCTCCGGTGTTTCTTTAAATCAGACACAAGTCTCCAGGGCTGGACCGAGGGACACAGGCAAAGCCTATGCAAAAATGGAATTATAAATACTATATCTGTTCTTTAGAGAATGAAGTTGTATATTTTATAAAGTCATGTAGCTGTTAAAACTATTTTAAAGTGAGGAAACTGAGGTTCAGAAAAACCATGAGATATGTGCACTATCACTTAAGTCAAACACACAGAGCTAGGATTCAAATTGAGGTGTGTTCAACTCCTCAGGCCATGCTCCTTTTTTATACCTCACCTAATCTTAAAAGTACTGTAAGCTTATTTATCTAATAGCTCCTTCAAGCCCCATTTCTTCACTCCTAAACATCCTACTCATCATTATACTGTTATAAACAGTTAGGAAACTTTCATTTAAGACACTTGATTCAAAGAAAAAATTGAAAAAAAGACAGTAGTTTACAGGGTTGTTTTTTTTTTTAATTTTTAGCAATGGGGTCTTACTATATTGCCCGGGCTGAAGTGCAGTGACGATTTACAGGCATGATCATAGTACATGGTAACCTTGAACTCCAGTCTCAGCCTCCTGAGTAGCTGGCACTACAGGCATGTGCCACTGTGCCAGGCTGCTGGTTGAATTTAAATGGTACTTTCAAAAAGAACTATTTTCACTGGCACTTTAAGTACATTTTACAATAAACATCATGGCCAACCATTAATATCTACTCTAGGCAAAATTATGAAGTATATTAACTTTGCCTTTCAAGACCTCAGTCGCATAAGTTCTATATTTCATCACATTAAGAAGGATCTAAAATTCATTTGCATTCAAGATTAAGTAATTCAAAGTAGATGAAGGAAGGGCTTTGCTTTCACAGGATTTAAAGGTTTAAGGTGCTGACTTCTCAGGCCTTTCTATATGTTTATGGGTATCATAAACATGTTATACAGCATTCCCCAAAATTATTTGACCACAGAACACTTTTTTCTCTACATAGAATCTCAAAGAATGAGAAATGCTGGCTGACAGGCCATCAGCCAAGTTTTCCCTGCAACAGTTTTATTTTTCTCTAAATGTCCCTAAGGAGTAAAAATTATAAATACATAATCCAAAAATGAAATTTAAAAAAAAACCATTTTTACAATAGCATCAAAAAGAATAAAATACTCAGAGTAAGTTTAACAAATGAAGTGCAAAACTTGTACTCAAACCACAAAGCATTGTTGAGAGAAATTAAAGATCGAAATAATGGGAAGATGTCCAATGTTCACGGATTGAAAGGCAATATTGTTAAGATGACCATACTCCCCAAATTGATCTACAAATTCAAATCAACCCCTAGCAGAATTCTAGCTGGCTTTGTAGAACAGGACAAGCCAATTCTAAGACTCATGAAACTCAGGAGACTCAGAATAACCAACACAATCTTCTAATAGAAGAATAAAATTGAAACATCAGGCCGGGCGCGGTGGCTCATGCCTGTAATCCCAGCATTTTGGGAGGCCGATACGGGTGGATCACGAGCTTAGGAGATCGAGACCATCCTGGCTAACACAGTGAAACCCCGTCTCTACTAAAAATACGAAAAAATAGCTGGGCGTGGTGGCGGGCGCCTGTAGTCCCAGCCACTGGGGAGGCTGAGGCAGGAGAATGGCGTGAACCCAGGAGGCGGAGCTTGCAGTGAGCCAAGATTGCGCCACTGCACTCCGGCCTGGGCGACAGAGCGAGACTCCGTCTCAAAAAGAAAAAAAAAAAAGATCAATACTTCCCAATTTGGAAACTTACTAGAAAGCCACAGTAATGAAGACAGTAAGGAACTGGCATAAGAATAGACATATAAGTCAATGGAATAGAATTGAGAGTCCAGAAATAAACCCATATATCTACAGTCAAATGATTTTCAACCAGGGTGCCAAGATCATTCAATAGGGAAAGAATAGTCTTTTCAACAAATGGTGCTGAAACAACTGGATAGCCACATGCAAAAGACTAAAGTTGGACCCTTACTTCACATTATATACAAAAATTAATCCCAAATGGATCAAAGGCCTTAATGGGAGAGTCAAAACTATAAAACTCTCAGATAAAAATATAGGGATAAATATTTATGAACTTGGATTTCGCAATAAATTCTTAAACACCAAACCCATGAGCCTCAGTAAAAATAAATAAATTGGACTTTATCAAAATTAAGCTTTTGTGCTGCAAAGGATACCATTAAGAGAGTGAAAAGACAACCCATGGAATGGGAGAAAATATTTGCAAATCATATCTAATGGACTTGTTTTCAGTGAAAAACTCTTACAATCCCCAATAATAAAACAAGTAACTCAATTAAAAAATCTGAATTGACATTTCTCCAAAGAAGATATACAAATAGCCAATAAATGCATGAAAAGATGCTCTATATCAATAGTCATCAGGGAAACACAAATGAAAATCACAATGAGCTTCCACTTCACACCTGTAAAATGGCTATAACCAAAGACATGGAGGCTAGTAAATGTTGGCCAGAAAGTGGAGTGAAGAACACTCATACACTGCTGGTAGGCATGTAAAATGGTGGAAAAGTTTGACAGTTCCTCAGAAATTTCAATGCAGAACCATCATTTGACTCAGCAATTTCACTTCTAGCTGTATACCCAAGAGAAGTGAAAACATATGCTCACAAAAAAAGCTTGTACGTGGATGTTCATAGCAGTATTATTCACAGTATCCAAAAGGTGGAAACAATCCAAATACCCATCAATGGATGAATGAATAAACAAAATGTGGTATATCTACGTAATGGGATATTATTTGGCCATCAAATGAATGAAATACTATTACAAGCTACAATATGGACAAATTTTGAAAACATGCTAAAATGAAAGAAGCCAGCCATGAAAGATCACATATTATATGATTTCATTTATATGAAATATCCAGAAGAGGCAAATATAGACAGACAGTATATTAGTGATTTATTAAGCCTGGGGGAGGACAGGATTGGAGGATTGGGAGTGACAGCTTAAGGGCACAGGGTTTCTTTTCAAGGTGATGAAAATGTTCTAAAATTGACTGTGGTGAGGGTTGCACAACTCTTTGAATATACTTTGTGTAACCTTGAAATGGGTGAATTTTATGGTATATTAATTATATCTCAGTGAAGCCATTTCCCCCAAAAATCTGTAGCACAGGCCTCAAAATGTGCTCAGTGGAATGGTTGCTTCCATGGACCATGGGTTATTGGTCCACAAAGCGCTAAGGAGCTTGCACCACTATAAAAATGTAACAAGACTTTCTTGAAAAGAAAGTGTGCTGCTTATCCAAGCACAAGCTTATCTCATTCATAGTCTCCTGTGAGTAGCACTGATCTATCGCACTACACACACCAAATAGAATGGTTTTTAGCGTCTCTGGTGACTATGGCTACAGAGACTAAAGTGAGGAGGGAAAGCAATCTTGTAACAGTGGCTACTCCCAAATTTCCATGTTAGCAGGTAGAGCATGAGACCATGACTGAGAGAAGAGAGTTGTTAGCGAAGTGCCAAAGTTGGAAGCAGGGGTAGGGTATGGAAGATGAAGAATAGAAACAGAAATATAAAGCCAATCCAGAGCTGGAAGTTGAACAAGAGAACCACAGCTAAGAAAATAGCAGTAACAATGTATTCAAATTTAGCTTCTTTAAGAAGCATCTGGAGAAAAAAATGTGGGTGACAAGCTGCCACCCTCACTGCCCTGGTTGGGATATAGAAGGACTTGAGAGGAGGGTCAAGAATCTATACAACAAGCAGTACAGACAATTTCAATGCAAGTAGTCCTTGAACCCCACATTAAAACAGTGAACTAGAGGAAGAAGCAGAAAATAAATGCACACAGCAGGGATGGAATCATTTTATAGAAGAGATTTTATGGGATTTTATGGAGCTGAATCCCTGGTAGTCACAGGAGGACTCTTAAAATTGAAGCTGAGTTCATTTTTGAAAAAAGAAAAAAATCTATGCTTAGCTATTTTGCAATATAAGATTTTGACTTACTCTTACTGTAATTACAAATCAGGACTTTAAGCAATGTCCTGTATTTTTTTTAAAGCAACAACATGAAGTCACACAATGTCCTATTTTTAGTAAAAAAAAAAAAAAGAAAAAGACGTTAGGATGTAAAAAACAAAATAAAAGCTATAGTTTAAATTTCTAGCTCTTCTTAGAGTTGTAGAGGTATATTTCATCAACAATGTATAACAATTAAAGTAATTTCAATTAGGCTAAATATCAGGTTAAAAAGAGCTATGAGTTAGGGTTCAAGTTTAAAGAGAGCTACAAACAGGGAGTCTAGGCCTTAAATAAACCAACCTACAAGTATTTATTGAACACCAACCACATAACCATCATTTTATAGGCACCATGGAAAGGAAGACAAATGTCCTTGGCTCCAAGGATATTATAAATATGGAGACAAGGCATTTAATAATAAATGAGAATCATTTATTCATTCAGCAAACATTTGCTGAGTATCTGCTAGGCTGAAGACTGGCAAATATCAATGAAAAATTATTTTGTACTTATTATCTATCCTTTATGCCTTTTTGCTTGTCTAGAATATTTTATAATGATTTTAAGTGCTAGTTAAATTGTTCCAGTTTAGTGTTGGCTAATAACAACTGCTAATAATATTGATTTCAGGTTTGAGAGAATCTAGCACTCAAGACAGTTAGAATTAACACTAATTGAAAATTATGCCTTTAATTGATCCTAAAGTTAAAAAAAAAAATCTGGTAATGGCTTTTGCTTTTAATTACCTGTACTTACTTTTCCTTTCAAACTGCCTTTAAACTCTTCATATCATTTATTCTGGGATTTAACTAAAATACTGCCTGATGTTATTATTTCCTAAGACTTTACACATGTATATCTCAGTCTTTGAACACAGCCAAGAGAAGGGATCCTATCTTATGCCCTTTTATATTCCCATCATACAGCACCACTTCCTAAAGATTAATAATGATCCATTCAAATATGAATGAATCTTGTTATAAGTACAACATAATTGGACAGGTGCTAGACTACAGGATTGCCACATTATTTCAGTCTTTTACTCAACAGAGTTATGTTTCTAAGAATGCGGGTGATGCCCTATTCGAAAGAAAAATAAACTGTGAAATAATGGCATTACACTGTTTTAATGAGAAAGATGATAATAGATTTTCCTGACAAAAAATGATTAGATTTATGGATGAGAAAAGTTCATATACTAGTTCAGAAGAAAAGCACTTAAATATGTTGATCAGCCAAGCTCCCTGTGCAATATAAAGCTGTGTAAATGTTAATCCCAAAGTAAAATCTTTACCTAGTAGAAATTTAAAATTTAGTCTCACACCTGTAGCCCGTCCCGCCCCAGCCGCCGCCGCCAGCACCGGACCCGGAGCCGCCATGCCCAAGTGCCCCAAGTGCGACAAGGAAGTTTACTTCGCCGAGAGGGTGACCTCTCTGGGCAAGGACTTGCCTCGGCCCTGCCTGAAGTGCGAGAATGTGGGAAGACGCTGACCTCCGAGGGCCACGCTGAGCACGAAAGCAAGCCCTACTGCAACCACTTGCTATGCCGCCATGTTTGGGCAAAAAGGCTCTGGCCGGGGTGAAGCCGACAGCCACACTTTCAAGTAAATCGGGTGGTGGAGACCTCATCCTTGGCCGCTCGCTGGGCCACTGTCCAGGCAAATGCCAGGCCTCGCCCCCAGATGCCCAGGGCTCCTTTGTGGCCCCTAGTGCCCTCAATAAACATGAACACTTGGGGGAAAAAAAAAAAGGAAATTTAAAATCTAGAGGGAAGATAACAGGAACAAAAGACATTTAATTAAAAAGAAAGAAGATAAGAATTTTAATGCACCCAGTTTAAATTTTTTGTGTTTAGGAAGACTATAAAGTGAATGTAGGTTGTATTTTTACTATCATGTTATTTATATGCCATTATTAGGTAGCTGAATTTCTGTTTCAGCCATTACAAACTGCATCAGTTGCTTTTAACCTGTCTTGCCAAGCATATCTGACAACTCCTACCTACCTTCAGTTCTCTAAGTTCTTTACTTTTGTCCCATCAGACGCCTACTTCAATCTTCAAGCCCTTCTCCATCCTCTTCAAATCAACAGCTTCTAGCTTTATCTACTCTTTTTAACTTCCTTAACTTCCTGTTTCCACTTCCATCTATTGACTTGACCCCTGACTCTCTATCAGCTCCATTCTGCCCCAGGCCTCCTGGGTGGTGCTGGAGAAAATGGCAAAAATCACCTGCTACTCAAAGATCAACAACATCAGCAACACCTGGGAGCTTGTAGGAACTGTAGAATTTCAGTCCTGCCCCAGGTCCACTGAATCAGAATCTGCATTTTAACAAGATCGCCAGATGATTCAAATGCACATTAAAACTGACAAACATTAACAGAAAACACTGCTATAAAAATCATGGTCTCCAGTGGCAACTGAGTGGCAATTGACCTTAGTGCCTCTGAACACCCTAGGCAGGTCTCCCTGAGCAGCATGCTATTCCATTCCCCTGGGCTGCCATTTCCAACCTGACCCTCTCCTTGGAAGTTAATCCATTGCTTTACCCCTATCATTGGCAAATCACATTACCTTTTCCTTTGCTGTAAAAAAGAAAGAAAAGAAGGAAAGGGAAGGGGAGGGGAGGGGAGGGCTTAGGCAGAAAGTTCTCCCTTTGCTATCCTCACTTGCTTACCTCTGTGTCCACTCCTTTTCCCTTCTCTTCAACAGTGGGAGAAGTACCTTTGCCACAGATTGTGGTCAGTTTTTCATCTATATCCTTAAATCCATCTCCCTCCACCTCCCAGTTTTCACTCCATCCACAGAAAAATTTAATCTGCCATTTTCATTTAAAGCTGTTTCTGCTACTGCCTCAACTAACTTCAACCTCTCATATCCAGCTTCTACCCTCACCATCTCATCTCTGATTCAAGTGTCACCTCTGCAGCTTGGCATCTCCCTTCACCATTCCGGGGACACTACTCTAAGGAACCAATCTCACTCTGCACCATTTGACACTGTTTGTCATTCTCTCATTTGGATCCTCTCTGTAGTTTGCTTTAAGAATAACTCTCCCCTCTGGTTTTGTTTTTCAATTTCTTGCTGCTCTTCTGTCTCCGTCATGAATCTATTTCCTCTACATGTACCTCAAGGTTCTTGTTCCCAGGAATGCATCTTTGGCTCTTCCCATTTCTCATTCCTTACTGCATGATCTCATCCATTCTCATGCCACATGCTGATGATTCCCAATCTATAGCCCAGACATCTCTGATAAACCTGTTACTAAACTTCTTGTGTGTTGCTCCACTTAGATGTAACTGAGACAACTCTCATTCAGCATGTCCCAAACTGATTTCATTGTTCACTTAATACCTGTTTATTGAGCACCTACCATGAGCCAATGCTAGGTAATGGGGATGCAGTAATAATTAAGCATACCCCTCTCCTAGCTTCTGTTGTTTACATGGAGGAAAGGCATATAGACAATAAACAAATAGATATCAGGTGGTGATGAGGGTATGTGAAAAATAAAGGTAAGTAAGGGAGAGAGAAGGTGCTGGGGTCAGTGTTATTTTATTGGTGATGGTCAAGAAAGGCCCCTTTAGGTTGGGGGTGGGGGCGGTGGCTCACACCTGTATTCCCAGCACCTGGGGAGGCTGAGGTGGGCAGATGGCTTGAGCTCAGGAGTTTGAGACCAGCCTGGGCAACGTAGGGAGACCCCAGTCTCTACAAAAAATACAAAAGTTAGCCAAGCGTGCCTGTGGTCCCAGCTACTCAGGAGGCTGAGGTGGGAGGATGGCTTGAGCCAGGGAGGAGGAGATTGCAGGGAGCCAAGATTGCATAACTGCACACCAGCTTAGAAAACAAAGCCAGATTCTTTCCCCCTCGCAAAAAAAGGAAGAAATAAAGAAAAAGAAAGATCTCTTCTTTGATAAGCTGGCCTGTGAGTAGGAGCTGAAGAAAGGGAGGAAATGAGCCATGGTGGGGAGAGAATTCCAGGATGAGGGAATAGCAAGTGCGAAAGCCCTGAGGCAGGATGAAGCAGGAGTGTGTTGGGGCATCCCAGAAACAATAAGGCTGGAGCAATTGGAGTGAAAGACACAGTGATAGGAGGTGAGTCCTGGGAGGCAGCAGGGTGTTGGGGCGTCCCAGAAACAATAAGGCTGGAGCAATCGGAGTGAAAGACACAGTGATAGGAGGTGAGTCCTGGGAGGCAGCAGGGGCCAGGTAGGTGGGAAAGGGTTTAGTGGGCTCTGAGAAGGACTTTGCTTTCACAGTTAGTGGAATGGGAGCCACTGGAGTTTTGAGCAGGAAAATGACATGTTCTAACTTGATTCCTATCCACCAAACTTCACCTCCTTAGCCTTCTCCTCCCTATACTCTCCATCTCAGTGAAAGGCCCTTCCATCATCTGACCCTTATAATTCTCATTCTCTTTCTTAAGGTTCAGAGAACCTCAATACGATATTCCAGTTTTAAATATACCATTATTCTGAGTAAGGGGTCCTGGTTGCTAATTGCTTACAGTCTATAATGTTGTAACCATAGCTTTTAAATTAATTTTCCACAGCAAACAAGTAATAAAAGTACTTCAAATTTAAGGATTTTTTTTTTTTTTGAGACAGTCTCGCTCTTTTGCCTAGGCTAGAGTGCAGTGGTGCAATCTCAGCTCACTGCAACCGCCACTTCCCAGGTTCAAGTGATTCTCCTGCCTCAGCCTCCCAAGTAGCTGGGACTACAGTCGCATGCCACCATGCCCGGCTAATTTTTATATTTTTAGTAGAGTCAGGGTTTTACCGTACTGGTTAGGCTGGTCTGGAACTCCTGACCTCAGGTGATCCACCTGCCTCAGCCTCCCAAAGTGCTGGGATTACAGGCATGATCTTTTTTTTAAGAATATGTAAGAATTATCTCATCACCTGCACATTCTGCACATGCCTCCAAGAACTTTAAAAAAGTCTGCCTTTTGCCATTATCAGGGGGAAAAATATTATCTCAGAATCAAAGTAACAAAGGTGTTAAAGTAAGATAGTTGGTCTTTCTGTATTATGAAAACACATTTATCACAAAGTAATGAATTTCTGGATGTTCTGTTATATCAGGAAACTTTGATATGAAGTATAAAAGTTATTATGCAGAACAGGAAACTGAAGCTGGGAAAGTAAGGTGACAAGTTCAGATCACACAGCTCATAGGAGCGTAAACTGTCTCCTGGCTTGTTGCTCTTTTCACTTTAATACAGAAAAGCCAAACTTCAACAGGTGCACTTTTATTTTTTAACAACCTTTGTTGAAGAAGTAAAAACCAAATCATCATTTAGTTCTTTTTATTTGAGATAATGGCAAGACATGTCAATTGCAGAGGCAGGAGTAAGGCATGCTCAGAAGCCCTTGGAATTGAGCTCAGAAGTCCCTAAGTCTAAGCAATCTTGGTACTCAGAGCCAAGTCACACCATGGAACCTGCCCCACAAGTTGAAGCCTTCTCAAACAGCTCAGCCCTTCAGGCAAGGTTTAATCATATCTAATTCTGTAGCTCTATTCTAACTGAAGCATTTGATTTTTACCTATTCAATATGCTATTTATTTCATATTGACCCCAAATGAAATCATTTGTCTTTTTGTGGTGCCCTTTTCAAAAGGTATGCATTTAGAATAATGCTTTAAATACAAATTATTCACCTGGTAGAGGGCAGAGAAGGGGGGCATGTACATAAGCTTAGAAGGAGTGTACAAATGCCAGGGAGACTGGTTATTCAGGAAATTTAAAAGATATTCCAGTGGATATAAAGAAAACAGCACACACAGCCATTATTTAGTTAAACAACTCTCCTTATCTCAGGTGTGTATCTGGCATCACTGATGCCTAATAAATTAACGAACATGTCCCATCCTGAAACCCTGAACTTCTGCACACAATGACTTAGATCATAAAGTAACCAATGAAAGCATGAGACAATGCCAACCCGAAACTTTCAATGCACTTGGCTCTATTTAGATTTGGATGAGAGGAAGAGGCAAAGGCCTCCATGTTCTTGACTTTTGATTTCCTGGGTTTTTTGTTCCCTCCAAAGTTCCTAGGGTCTTCACTATAGAGGAAGATACAGATTTGAGGGAGAAGTAGGTGAGTTCTGTCTGGGATATCTAAGTGAATATCTTCATTAAATGAGAAAAGATGTCCCTAGAACTCAGGACATAAGCCTGGACTGCAGATAAAAGTTAGCGACATGCCAGCAAAGGTCTACTAGGTTATCCCATGGAGGTAGATGGCCCAGGAAGAGTGTGCAAAGTGGAAAGAGGCTGTAGGGCAGGACAGTCTCCTTGACTGCATGGTTTTCACCAGCCTGGCAAATAGCAGGTAGTGCAGGGGAGAATGGGCCAGTTGAGGAATAGGGATTGGTAGAGTGAGTGAGGCAGAAGCTGAAATCATTCAACCCAGAGTCTAGACTGAGAAGGAAAGAAAACAATGCCATGAGCAAGTTGAGAGACTTGGAGAAAAGGAAGAAGTCAAGAGATTGGTTGTGGCTACTACACTTACTAGCTGTGTAATCTTGAGTCTGTCACTTAACATCTCTCTTAAAAGTTACACATTCCATGTGTAACTATGCCAGGGTTCTAGCCTCTGCTCTCTGGCATGACAAATAAGCTATCTGATAGATACATTAAAAGTATTCCTCAAAACACAGTTTCTTCATCCAAACAAGTAACTCTCTCCAAGGGTGAGAGGCCATTTGAAAAGAGTGAGAGGAGGAAGGAAGGGAGAAGGTATTCCAGAATATTAATAATCTCTCTATCTCTTCCTTGACAAAATAGGTTATATGCAACCAAGTCCAACTTTGATGGACTCATGTATAACCATCAAGGTACATGGTTCCATTTACAGCACAAGGTTTGCACAAAACCTAGGAGTTGCAGAATATACATTTCTGGCAGCAGCAATAAGCAGAGAGGCCCCCTACTCCCATAAACTCCACATTCTTTTTCCAGCTGCATGCCAGACCAACAATAACCAAACTATTACTACTCCCTCAGGAAAAGCAGGAATGTGAAAATAGAACAGAACTGAAATCTATTAAGATTCATATCCATAGGAGTTTTTTATGAGGCTAACAAAAGACATTAGAAAAACTAAGACCAACTGTAATGCAACCCCCAATCTTTAAATTGCTCAGAGGTTGAAAATTGCTTAGAGAAAAAGCCTTCCTTTTTCTCCACAACCTCGCCAGCATCTGTTGAGTTAATTAGAATTTCCTTTTGGGGGAAGAGAACACAGTTTAACAAAAACTATTTGCTGTTTGGATTTTGGAAGAGAAACCCAGTAATCTATTAATATTATGCTTTGGAGAAAAGTAATAAAACCCATTCATGATCTGAATCCTTAAGATTTCAAAACCTCTTTTTATTTAATCAGGGGCTCTGTGCTTAAAATGCTGTGAATACTGCAAACAGAGAGAAAAGGTAAAGCTGCACTTCCTGCTCTTAAAAACTAAAACATCTATCCTAGACATGTTGTCTATATGTTGTTTCAACCTCATGGTAGGGCTCTACAAAACCGGAATGGAAAGTTGTTTTCTTTTAACTTTTAAGTTTAGGGTACAGATGCAGGATGTGCAGGTTTCTTACATAGGTAAAGGTGTGCCATGGGGTTGGTTGTACAGATTATTTCATCACCCAGGTATTACACACAGTATCCATCCGTTATTTTTCCTGCTTCCCTCCCTCCTCCCACCTTCTACCCTCCAACAGGACTCCGTGTGTGTTGTTCCCCTCTATGTGTTCTTGTGTCCTCATCATTTAACTCCCACTTATAAGTGAGAACACATAGTATTTGATTTTCTGTTTCTGCATTAGCTTGCTGAGGATAATGGCTTCCAGCTCCATCCATGTTCCTGCAAAGGACATGAGGACATGATCTCATTCTTTTTTATGGCTGTATAGTATTCCATGGTGTAAATGTGCCCCATTTTATTTATCCAGTCTATCATTAGTGGGTGTTTGGGTTGATTCCATGTCTTTGCTATTGTGAATAGTGCTGCAATGAACACATGCATGCATATGTCTTAATAATGAAACGATTTGTATTCAATTGGGTATATACCCAGTAATGCGATTGCTGGGTTGAATGGTATTTCTGTCTTTAGGCCTTTGAGGAATCACCACACTGTCTTCCACAGTGGTTGAACTAATTTACACTCCCAGCAACAGTGTAAAAGTGTTCCCTTTTCTCCACAACCTCGCCAGCGTCTGTTATTTATTTTTTAATTTTTTAATAATACCCATTCTGACTGATGTGAGACAGTATCTCATTGTGCTTTTGAATTGCATTTCTCTAGTGATCAGTGATGTTGAGCTTTTTTTCACACAATTGTTGGCTGCATGTATGTCTTCTTTTGAGAAGTCTCTGTTAATGTCCTTTGGCCACTTTTTAACGGGTCTTTTTTTTTCTTGTAAATTTGTTTTAAGTTTCTTATAGATGCTGGATATTAGACCTTTGTCAGATGCATAGTTTGCAAAATTTTTCTCCCATTCTGTAGGTTGTCTGTTTACTCTGTTGATAGTTTATTTTTCTGTGCAGAAACTGTTTTGTTTAATAAGATCCCATTTGTCAATTTTTGCTTTCATTAAAATTGCTTTTGGCATCTTCGTCATAAAATCTTTGCCTGTGCCTATGTCCTGAATGGTATTGCCTAGGTTGTCTTCCAGGGTTTTTATAGTTTTGGGTTTTACATTTAAGTCTTTAATTCATCTTGAGTTAATTTTTGTATATGGTGTAAGGAAGGCGTCCAGTTTCAATTTTCTGCATATGGCTAGCCAGTTATCCCAGCACCATTTATTGAATAGGGAGTCCTTTTCCCATTGCTCCTTTTTGTCAGGCTTGTTGAAGATCAGATAGTTGTAGTTGTGCAGTCTTATTTCTGGGTTCTCTATTCTGTTCCATTGATTTATGTGTCTATTCTTGTTCGAGTACCATGCTGTTTTGGTTACTGTAGCCCTGTAGTATTGTTTGAAGTTGGGTAGCATGTTGCCTCCAGCTTTGTTCTTTTTGCTTAGGATTGCCTTGGCTAGGCCAGGCACGGTGACTCCCACATGTAATCCCAACACTTTGGGGGGCTGAGGCAGGTGGATCACAAGATCAGGAGATCAAGACTATCCTGGCTAACACAATGAAACCCTGTCTCTACCAAAAATATAAAAAATTAGCCAGGCATGGTGGCACACGCCTGTAGTCCCAGCTACCCTGGAGGCTGAGGCAGGAGAATCACTTGAACCTGGGAGGTGGAGGTTGCATTGACCCAAGATTGCGCCACTACACTCCAGCTTGGGCGACAGAGTGAGACTCCATCTCAAAAAAAAAAAAGAAAAAAAAAAAAAAAAAAGAAGGATTTCCTTGGCTATTCAGGATCTTTTTTTGTTCCATATGAATTTTAAAATAAATTTTTCTAATTCTGTGAAGAATGTCAGTGGTACTTTAATGGGAATAACATTGAATCTATAATTTGCTTTGGGCAGTATGGCCATTTTGATGATATTGATTCTTCCTATCCAGGAGCATGGAATGTTTTTCTATTTGTTTGTGTCATCTCTAATTTTGCAAAGTATTTTTCTTATCTTTAAAAACATTGATTATAATCCCAGCACTTTGAGAGGCTGAGGCGGGCCTATCATTTGAGCCCAGGAGTTTGAGATCAGCCTGGGCAACATGGTGAAACCCCGTCGCTACAAAAAAATACAAAAATTAACCAGTCATGGTGATGCATGCTTGTAGTCCTAGCTACTCGGGAGGCTAAGTTGGGAGGATGGTTTGGGCCCAAGAGGTGGAGGTTGCTGTGAGCTGAGATCGCGCCACTGCACTCCAGCCTGGGCAATAGAGCCACACTTTGTCTCAAACAAACAAACATTGAAAAAACTATTATGAGAGAATGATCATCACAGAATGTCGCTGAATTGTAGAAAATAAGATGCCTTAACTTTTGGTGCTTTGAGAGGTACTAGGTTGGCAGTTTAGGTATCAGTGGTGAACTATTATTAATACATATTTAACAACCAAAATACCCAAATGTGAGTGATGTAGATTTTCTGGAGGAATTCCAGTCCACTCTGCCTTGATGTAACAGAAAATCTCTCTGGTTCTGGGACCTTCGAAGGTATGTGTGCACACTTGGGGGAAGAGGGAACCTGTGGCCCCTGCCCAAGAGGCTTCTTGTTGAATGACAGACAACTAATGCCTTATTGGCATTGCCCAGGAATTGGCAAGCCCAGGGAGAAAGTTCTGTTCTGGATTGCACAGCTCACCATTCTTTACTTGGCCCAAGCAGAGAGGAAAGTTAAAATCCTTAGAGAGGAAGACCTAGATTGTGTTAGGTGTTGGCAGGAGGAAGTAGTAGAAGATATATTTATTTTCATTTCCCCAGGATTGGCATGCACTCAGCAAGTGTTTCCATAAATTACATAAACTAATTTTAGTTCCCATTTTGCTGTTAACTTATTTTATGACTTCAAGCAAGTGATTTTTGCTTAAGCCTCAGTGTCTCTAACTTTACAGTTGGTACAACCCCTGAGATAACACCTATGAACAAATTTATAAACTCTAAAGCTCTATGCACATGAAAGGATGAAAAATAAGTTGTCTCTGTTTTTTTGTTTGTTTGTTTTGTTTTGAGACAGGGTTTCACTCTGCTGCCTAGAGTGGAGTGCGGTGGCGCAATCTCAACTCTGCAACTTCTGCCTCCTTGGCTCAAGCAATCCTCCCACCTCAGCCTCCGGAGTAGCTGGGACTACAGGCACACAGCCACCATGTCCAGCTAATTTTTGTATTTTTTTGGTAGAGACAGGGTTTCAACATGTTGCCCAGGCTCGACTCAAACTTCTGAGCTCAAGCAATCCACCCACCTTTGCCTCCCAAAGTCCTGGGATTACAGGCATGAGCCACTGCACTCAACCAGTTGTCTCTGTTTTGCTTCTTCTCAAATACCGACAGATATTAAACATTGTCAAAAACACAGTGCTAATATTTTCTACGACTTTCTTCCAATCGAAAAGCTTCTATAGCTTGTGAAAACACATATTCTTGCTCATAGGCTAAAGCTAATTTCATTATAAAATTTTAAAAATTTGGCCTTAAGTGTCTTTGTTTTTTTCAGAGTTGAACGTTATAAAAATTTTTCTTCACCTTAGTTTTAATTAAGATTGATTTTCTCGGCTGCTCCGCAAAAACTCATTTAACACATAGTGTAGTCACCTACATTTCTGCTGTTAATTCTTAGTTCTGACAACTATAGCTGTATCTACTACTTATAGTCTATTACTGTTATAAATTGAATACTTACAACGTCCACAGCACTGTGCTTTGGGTTTTATATATATTCTCTTTAATCTTCATAACAACTCAGTAAGGAAGATATTCTTTTTCTACACATGCAAAAAGAGACTCAGAAAGGTAAAGCGACTCAACCCAGCTAAGAAATAATAGAGCCAGGATTCAGCCAACTCTGGCGTACTTCAGTGTCCTTGGTCTTTCTGTTATGTCAGCTAACTGACCTCAAACATATTTATGGAACATAGCCCACTGGTAAATTAGAGTCTATATATACGAATGTCAGAACTACCAATTCATTTTTAAGAAGAAAAGGAAGAGGAGGGATGGGGGAGGAGGAGGAGGAAGAGGAGAATGAACAGAAGGGGGAATAATGAGGAAGATGAGGAGGAGGAAAACCACTGTAATATGTAACTTTTCCAAAAATCTTTACTGAATGTGCCTCAGATTACCACACTTAATGCCCTTCATTGTTTGGTACAATCAAATGAACAGTCTACAATCATTCTTCTGACATTTTCTAATTCAAGTAACAGCCTTGATAGTACTAAAATAAACCAGGAAAAAGCTTCTACAGTGCTCCTTGTGTAAAAATAATCCTTAAAAGATTTTAAAGATAATTCCCACCATCAAGCATATAAAAGAGGTCCCTGCATCTTTCACCTATTAAATCATCTATCTCTACTGATGCCACTTCAGCAGGGAATAGCTCGTTTAGTAACTATTTTTGGGTCTTTGCAGATTCTGCTACAGGTG
The DNA here is from genome assembly GCF_000001405.40 of Homo sapiens. Taxonomy (NCBI): domain Eukaryota; kingdom Metazoa; phylum Chordata; class Mammalia; order Primates; family Hominidae; genus Homo; species Homo sapiens. The sequence continues at coordinate 25,697,569 of NC_000003.12, forward strand.
TCTTGTACTTAAGAATGAGTAACTTCTCCTAGTATTACCACACTGGCTGGAGGCAAAGCTCTTAAGAAACATGAAGTAGAACTTGGCTTGAAGCCCTTTGAACATATAATTACTCTCTAAATTTCCAATCTACACAATAGCATTTTACAGTAGCAGCATCATTCCAGCACAGTGAGAGAAATGTTAAACTTAGCTTATTGGTAAAAATAGTCTACATAGCTTAAAAAATTATGCACATTTTAAATAAGTTTGAAACGTAAGCTAACTTCCCACATTTCTTTCCAGTCTTTGGAATATGGGCAATTTGACACTCAGCCTACAATTAGAAAATATAGAGTGTGCAATCAGAAAAGCTAAAAAAGCTTCTAACTATGAATCAAAAGAAATATGTATATTACACTCAATTATTCAGAAGTTAATTATCCAGAATCATCCAATATTAGCCAGAAACATTCAGATTTTCTTCATTTCCCTCATTTTCAGTCACTGATCAGCAAGCTGTGCACATCTCCAGGAGTACTTATAAAAATTAAGTTAAGAGACAAGGAGACTCTCTTATCAGCTAATATTTAGGGACCTAAAACCTAGGTAAAGAAATAACAGCAATGGTTATCAACTGGGGTAATTGAGAGGATGTGATACATCAGAGCACCCTAGGAACTGTCTCTACCAATTCATTTTTTTTTAAAATTATACTTTAAGTTTTAGGGTACATGTGCACAATCTGCAGGTTAGTTACATATGTATACATATGACATGCTGGTGCACTGCACCCTCTAACATGTCATCTAGCATTAGGTATATCTCCCAATGCTATCCCTCCCACCTCCCCCCACTCCACAACAGTCCCCAGAGTGTGATGTTCCCCCTCCTGTGTCCATGTGTTCCCATTATTCAATTCCCACCTATGAGTGAGAATATGTGGTGTTTGTTTTTTTGTTCTTGCGATAGTTTACTGAGAATGATGATTTCCAATTTCATCCATGTCCCTACAAAGGACATGAACTCATCATTTTTTATGGCTGCATAGTATTCCATGGTGTATATGTGCCACATTTGCTTAATCCAGTCTATCATTGTTGGACATTTGGGTTGGTTCCAAGTCTTTGCTATTGTGAACAGTGCTACAATAAACATACGTGTGCATGTGTCTTTTTTTTTTGTATGTTATATAAATTATATTTTATTAGAACATTGCAAAAAAAATTAACAGAGAAGGGGGTAGGGGAGACAATTAACACAAAACAGCTGCTACATTCCTTAATTCTCTAACCAGTTACAAATTCTAATTTGAGAATCATGACTTTTTTCTTCCACTACCCATTCCACGTTCCCCTTATCCTCTGCTAAAACCTTAGCTGGATGGGGTTCTTTACCTGATAGGGTGAGCCAAACCCCCTTCCTGTCATACCTCAGTCTTTGGGGCGTTTACTGATTGCTATAGTGAATCCCCTGGGTTTCAAACACCTTACCTGGTAAGGTAACAACTCATTTTCTCATTATTAATTGGTTTCTATCATGCGTCCGTAAGAGTCACCCCTTTAGCTCCCTCTAGGTTAAGTAGCACAAGAGCCAAAAACGGCCAAACAGAGGGGCTCAATTTTCCATTTAACAGGACTGCCTGACTGTTAAGCATGGAAAAGCATTCCTTCCTTGGGCACTTGGACACAAACCCACCAAATCCATGGTTATGAAGATTAAAGGGAGAAGTTCTGGAAGTGTATTGAAAGGAATAATAATGAAAGGGGCCCTTCCTACCTTACCTTTTGGTTCTCGAACCCTTGGATCCTGACTATAAGGCAGTCACCACTGTAGAATTAAGGCATGTATGTACTGCATCCTCTAGAACAGCACCTCAAATTTTAGTAGGTCTTTCCATCATTCTTTCTTTTTTTTTTTTTATTATACTCTAAGTTTTAGGGTACATGTGCACATTGTGCAGGTTAGTTACATATGTATACATGTGCCATGCTGGTGCGCTGCACCCACTAACGTGTCATCTAGCATTAGGTATATCTCCCAATGCTATCCCTCCCCCATCCCCCGACCCCACCACAGTCCCCAGAGTGTGATATTCCCCTTCCTGTATCCAAGTGATCTCATTGTTCAATTCCCACCTATGAGTGAGAATATGCGGTGTTTGGTTTTTTGTTCTTGCTATAGTTTACTGAGAATGATGGTTTCCAATTTCATCCATGTCCCTACAAAGGACATGAACTCATCATTTTTTATGGCTGCATAGTATTCCATGGTGTATATGTGCCCCATTTTCTTAATCCAGTCTATCATTGTTGGACATTTGGGTTGGTTCCAAGTCTTTGCTATTGTGAATAGTGCCGCAATAAACATACGTGTGCATGTGTCTTTATAGCAGCATGATTTATAGTCCTTTGGGTACATACCCAGTAATGGGATGGCTGGGTCAAATGGTATTTCTAGTTCTAGATCCCTGAGGAATCGCCACATGGACTTCCACAATGGTTGAACTAGTTTACAGTCCCACCAACAGTGTAAAAGTCTTCCTATTTCTCCACATCCTCTCCAGCACCTGTTGTTTCCTGACTTTTTAATGATTGCCATTCTAACTGGTGTGAGATGATATCTCATTGTGGTTTTGATTTGCATTTCTCTGATGGCCAGTGATGGTGAGCATTTTTTCATGTGTTTTTTGGCTGCATAAATGTCTTCTTTTGGGAAGGGTCTGTTCATGTCCTTCGCCCACTTTTTGATGGGGTTGTTTGTTTTTTTCTTGTAAATTTGTTTGAGTTCATTTTAGATTCTGGACATTAGCCCTTTGTCAGATGAGTAGGTTGTGAAAATTTTCTCCCATTTTGTGGGTTGCCTGTTCACTCCGATGGTAGTTTCTTTTGCTGTGCAGAAGCTCTTTAGTTTAATTAGATCCCATTTTTCAATTTTGGCTTTTGTTGCTATTGCTTTTGGTGTTTTAGACATAAGGTCCTTGCCCATGCCTATGTCCTGAATGGTAATGCCTAGGTTTTCTTCTAAGGTTTTTATGGTTTTAGGTCTAACATTTAAGTCTTTAATCCATCTTCAATTAATTTTTGTATAAGGTGTAAGGAAGGGATCCAGTTTCAGCTTTCTACATATGGCTAGCCAGTTTTCCCAGCACCATTTATTAAATAGGGAATCCTTTCCCCATTGCTTGTTTTTCTCAGGTTTGTCAAAGATCAGATAATTGTAGATGTGCGGCGTTATTTCTGAGGGCTCTGTTCTGTTCCATTGATCTATATCTCTGTTTTGGTACCAGTACCATGCTGTTTTGGTTACTGTAGCCTTGTAGTATAGTTTGAAGTCAGGTAGCATGATGCCTCCAGCTTTGTTCTTTTGGCTTAGGATTGCCTTGGTGATGCGGGCTCTTTTTTGGTTCCATATGAACTTTAAAGTAGTTTTTTCCAATTCTGTGAAGAAAGTCATTGGTAGCTTGATGGGGATGGCATTGAATCTATAAATTACCTTGGGCAGTATGGCCATTTTCACAATGCTGATTCTTCCTACCCGTGAGCATGGAATGTTCTTCCATTTGTTTGTATCCTCTTTTATTTCATTGAGCAGTGGTTTGTAGTTCTCCTTGAAAAGGTCCTTCACATCCCTTGTAAGTTGGATTCCTAGGTATTTTATTCTCTTTGAAGCAACTGTGAATGGGAGTTCACTCATGATTTGGCTCTCTGTTTGTCTGTTATTGGTGTATAAGAATGCTTGTGATTTTTGTACATTGATTTTGTATCCTGAGACTTTGCTGAAGTTGCTTATCAGCTTAAGGAGATTTTGGGCTGAGACAATGGGGTTTTCTAGATTTACAATCATGTTGTCTGCAAACAGGGACAATTTGACTTCCTCTTTTCCTAATCGAATACCCTTTATTTCCTTCTCCTGCCTAAGTGCCCTGGCCAGAACTTCCAACACTATGTTGAATAGGAGTGGTGAGAGAGGGCATCCCTGTCTTCTGCCAGTTTTCAAAGGGAATGCTTCCAGTTTTTGCCCATTCAGTATGATATTGGCTGTGGGTTTGTCATAGATAGCTCTTATTATTTTGAGATACGTCCCATCAATACCTAATTTATTGAGAGTTTTTAGCATGAAGGGCTGTTGAATTTTGTCAAAGGCCTTTTCTGCATCTATTGGGATAATCGTGTGGTTTTTGTCTTTGTTTCTGTTTATATGCTGGATTACATTTATTGATTTGCGTATATTGAACCAGCCTTGCATCCCAGGGATGAAGCCCACTTGATCATGGTGGATAAGCTTTTTGATGTGCTGCTGGATTCGGTTTGCCAGTATTTTATTGAGGATTTTTGCATCAATGTTCATCAAGGATATTGGTCTAAAATTCTCTTTTTTGGTTGTGTCTCTGCACGGCTTTGGTATCAGGATGATGCTGGCCTCATAAAATGAGTTAGGGAGGATTCCTTCTTTTTCTATTGATTGGAATAGTTTCAGAAGGAATGCTACCAGCTCCTCATTGTACCTCTAGTAGAATTCATTTGTTTTGTTCAATTTGTAAATTTGATTATGTGAATCATTTTAATCTTGGTTATATAATTATTCTAAAGTGGATATTAAGTCTTGCTGAAATTTAATCACAATTTTTGGAAATCCTAAATGGGGGCAGTGGGGAAGTGGAGAAAATACTTTCAGTTCAAATGCAAACATTTAACATTTCATTTAAATGTTCTCTTCAATATAAAGTGATTAAACTGTATGCTCAATGTATTCAGCTGATTTACAAACATTTATGCTTTAGCCATAAACCCTAACGTTACAATCCTGTTTAGTAATGGTCTTGTCCGTGAGTAGCTCACAGACAGATGATTGGCAGGTCGGCTGGGTCTAAAAATAAAACAATGAGAAGAAGAGTTGAGTATCCACAGGGAAGTAGAAAAATAATAAGACTGGTTTTCCAGTGAGGGTTATGGAAATCAGTATCTTCAACTTAAAGACACACATTGTGAATGATTTAAGTTTTAATGAGGTGCAAGTTAGATTGTGACTCTGAATTACTTCATAAGACAGAAGTGTAGTTAAAGCTTTAATCACATTAGTTTATTTCACTGTCAACAATCATTTTACAATACCACAGTGCATTTAATAGTGGAAATGAAAACAACCCAGAAGAAATACAGTACCAGAGTCATAAGTTCAAACTTAAGGACTCACATGAGTGAGCTAAAATAAAACTAAAATGTCACATTTTGAAAACCAATCAGTGAGTCAGCCCATCAGGCACTCAACATTTCTGGAAGACCTACTATGTGGTAAGAATTGAACGAAGATTTTTCTTGTGGAGAATGAAGGGGGAGTTTGAACTGAGGATGGATCTGATTAAATAAATATTTCTAGAAGATCACAGATAACTTTGCAGTAACATGTAGAATATATTGGAAGAAGGAGATACTAGAGCACAGAAGCCAATTAGGAAGGCATGAGGGCTTGGCCATGTTATGGGGTTAGAGAGGAATGAGTGGAAGATAGAAATATTTTAAAAGAAGAATCAACAAGATGGACCTCATAAGATTTCATGATGTAAGTTGGCATTATTGATAGAAATAGGAAAGATCGGAAATCTACCTGCTCTTGCAGTTGAGCAGGTAGATTTTGGGTTGGTGTGGAATATCTTCCATTTAAGATGCTGGTAGTTCATCTAAATGGTTGCTGGATCAATTTAATTTACCATAAGAACCCAAAGTATATGTGATTTCTTCATAATGTCACCTACTATAATTTTATGCAGTGATGAGGCTGAGTTTGAAAAGATGCAATCTATTAATTGTATTTTTACACATTTACCTTCTGTTAATTAATACTAGTCAGATATAATACTTACTGCAGAAAGCTGAGATTTAACTGTATCTTTGAAACCTACTTTCTTATACAATGAATGTTGTCTACATCTTATCGATATATGAACTGTAAACAGATTCAAACTTTGCCTATGTTGAATCTGTTTGTCAGGAGATTGGGGTCTAAAAGTATTTTGCACAATATTGAGTTAATCACAGCATGCACAATCTTTAAAACAGTTCACAGAGGCTAGTATGTTCAGCTTAATGTGGATCTCTAAATTCTATGCTTTCATGTAAACAAGCTGTAGTCCAGAACCACCAGGCCTGCACTTAGCCATCGGGCTCTATTTTAATCTCACTTCTCCTTCAAAATTACTGTCTTCCTGAAATGCCAAACATATCTGTCACAAATTACAGAAGTCCGTTCCAATTATTCTGATATTCCTTTATCTTTATGGTACATGAGATTAAGCAATAGATTACTTTTTGTTTTTTAAGCACACGACAAGTAGGAAACAAGAAGATCAGGAAATGGTATATTCGATGCTCTATATGTTTAGAATAGTTAACAAAATTGAGATTCAAACATAAAGAACATCTCGGCCCAGTGTGGTGGCTCATGCCTGTAATCCCAGCACTTTGGGAGGCTGAGGCGGGCGGATCACCTGAGGTTAGGAGTCCAAGACCAGCCTGGCCAACGTGGTGAAACTCTGTCTCTACTAAAAATACAAAGTTAGCCGGGTGTGGTGTCGCACACCTGTAGTTCCAGCTACTCAGGGGGCTGAGGCAGGAGACTCACTTGAACCAAGGAGGTGGAGGTTGCAGTGAGCCGAGATCGCGCCATTGCTCTCCAGCCTGGGCGATAGAGCAAGACTCCGTCTAAAACAAACAAACAAACAAACAAACAAAAAATCTCTGTACTAATCATACATGAACCATAAAATCCAGCCAATTTAATTTATAGTCGTGTAATGCTGTTTAAAAACCCTTGCTTAAATATTTCACACCCTAAAAGTGTTAGTCCCATACCAAGAAGTAGAGTAGTTCCTTGAATGCTGGGGTTGCATCCTCAGTTTCCACTATAGTATTTGAAAATAGGAGGTATCCAGTAATAAAAGCAGCAGGGAGGGAAGAGTATAATGCCTTGGTGACAGTCACAACAAATTGGTGACTCTCTAAGATGTTATTAATGAATAGAAAACTGAACTGCAGCTATATCATCTCAGGACATGTTCTGGGTATTTTGATTTTTTTAAAAAATTGCAAATAGCTGATTATCTTACCATTTATTGTTTCTCTTAAAACAACTTACTGTCTCTTAAAAAAACTTAGTAAAAACAAAACCACAAAGTAATAAAACCACTAAAAATCCAGCAGGCAATTGGTTTGCTTCCAATTATAATGCATCTAGATAGTTGATTACTATGCAGTCATAAAAAATAATGAAAAATACATTATGATTCACGTTTAAATTACAGAACATTATGTATAGTGCAATTTTATTTTTATTTTAAAAAAGATATATTAACTTAAAAATTGTTCCTGTCTTAAGATAAATATGTATTTTGGTAAAGATACATACCAGAATCCAATCAGTGATTATCTCTGAGCAATGGGATTACAGGTGATTTTTAAAGTTTTGCTTCTCTGTATGTTATCTTTTTCTATAGTGAACATGTATTATAAGAAAGATAATTACAAGAAAAAATAAAAATAATTAAACTGTTTTAAAATTTATAAACCCCAGAGTCACAGCTGCATAAAAATAAATTTTAATTGCTTTTAAGTTAGTATTTACTGCATTTTATTTAGGACTAACAATTTCTTCAGAATCTGATTTTCTTGTTACATTTTTGGAAATAACTGCAAATTTACAAAGAGATGTTATGGCTGAAGCAAGTATGAATGAAAAGAAAGGCATCTACACAGGAGTAGCCAAGGCTGAATTTCAGGAAGGCAAGGTTTGACCAGGTCTGGCCCTCCAGGAAGAGAGAAGGTCAAGCACAATGACCACTACCATTCATTGAATCTTACTGTATCCAAGCATCATGCTAATGCTTCACATAAAATATCTCTAATCCTCACTACATTCTTGAAAAGTTGGAGTTATTATCTCATGTATCATATAATAAAACAGACTCAGAGAAGGAAATTACTTAAAGCTATACAACTATTTAACAAGGCAGCTCCACTAGACTGACGGGACATTAGTGAGACCAAAGCAAGAAGGCAAATTGGTCCATGTAGAGATGGAAAGATGCTGATAAGCCCTGAGTTTCACTTCAACATTCCTCTGAATCAATGTTTAGTACAATACTACTAGGCCAATGGTTGGTCCTTCAATAACCTCCAACAACAAGTAGGGCCACAGTTAACATCACTGACACAACACATGGGAGAGCAAACTATTTCATATGAAGAAAAGGTGCATGGGGTTTATCCTGATGACACAGTGGTGGGAGGGCAACCAGTGAGGGAGAAAGGGGGATGCTTGCAGCTAGCTCAAGGAAGTGTGCAAAATGCATAGCCTATCTAAATTATTCAATACTCACAGTGAGAGATGGTAATGAATGGTAATGTGTCCTCCTTGTAACCAACATCTGGCAGGTAGAGGTGAGTGTAGACAATAAAGCTACACCAAATTGTCAATCATTTCACTGTTACTCTCTTTGGAATTTATCACTATCTAAACATCTATCTATCACTATCTAAATATGTGTATATTTTGTTTAAAACTCATCTCTCTCTCTCTAAAATATAAATTATATGAGAACAGGGGGTTTTGTCTATTTTATTCATTGCTATAATCCTAGTACTTAGTTCCTGACACAGATTAGACTGTCAATAATAACTGAATGGTTGAATCAACTATATTATGAATGTCGAGCTTTCTCCTACACATTTGTTAACAAGAAGCTTGTCATACGAAAGACTGGATTGTGTTTGAGAACGGCAGTGGAATATCTGCATAGATATGGAACCCAGGTGGCCAAAGATGTGAAACTCAGACATCACTGAGATATCTGCCTGCCTGAAGTCGAACTGTGGGAGTCCTTTACATCTAGGTTGATCAGTAAAACTATGAGATATATTCAGTTCTGTAAAAGGCATAGTGAAATTAGAACAAAGACTCAAAATTGAGCTTTGGTAAAAGACCTCAGTTAGGCAAGAAGAACTGAAAGATAGATAAGAATTGACCATGAAAAAAAAAGTTTTAAGAAGGTTGTGGTATGTGCACTGCTGTCAAGCTATCCCAGTGATGATTTTAACCATACATTTTAATTTAAATAACATACATGGCAATTTCAATATAAGATGATCACTTGTTCAACTGATTAGGGTACCAGAAAGCCAAGTTGAATTATGCTGATAGATTCAATCAGAAGAGGAACCAGAATGCAGGTTGAGAGAGATCTAGTCCCCCTGACTGAGGGAGAATGAAGAAATATCCGTGTATCTGAGACTACTACTTAAAGGCTAACATAAAGAAGAGCTCAAAAGTGGATCTTCAATAACATTTCACAAATTTGTACAATAATCTGCAGCACAGTGGATGCAAAATTTTTAGAATTTGTCCTGGAGCTAAACCATTAAATATACCCCAAAGGAGTCACAGTTTCCTGGAGAGGCAGGGAATCCACTTTGGATTCTTTTAATTCTGTAGTTGATCTGCTTACTGTTTGCTGCCTCTTACTATGTCCCTCTTGGGTGCTGTGCTAAGTATAGTAGGGGCAACAAAAAAGAACAGAACACAGTCCCTAAGGGGCTTGCCATCTTGTGTTTCAGCAGAGTGAATGGGTAAAAGACAAACTGTACTGGGTTCAAGATGAAATATGATGCAAAGAAATGGGCACCGTTAATCTAAGACACCATTTTTCTTTCTCCCTCCTTTATTTTCTCCTCTTCTCCCTTTGGAGGTAACCCTCTGTTGTAAATGAGTTAAGAGAAGAGAACCAGAAAAAGCTGAAGTTACTCCTTTTTCGAGTTAAAAAAGCAGCCGGCATATAATGACTCAAGGGAAATTACAATAAAACACAAAAAAACCCACATTAGTAAAATATTGGTAAAAATGAGAATGAGACAGGTTAGCAATTAGATACTCTTCCAAATATTAAACACTGGTCAAGGAGTTACTAACTTGTGTAACCTGTGCCAATGTCTTAACTCTCTGACCTTCAATTTCCTCATTATAAAAATGTGAGCATTAGGTTAGAACAGCAGTTCTCAAATGTTTGTCCATTTAAAAATCAGGGACTTGTTAATAAACTACATTCCCTAGCCTCAGCCAAGGATTCTGACTTGAAACCTCCTACATGAGACCCAGAAGACTGCATTTTAGACACACCCCTCATATGGTGTGATGCATAGTCCTTGCTCTGGAGAACACTGTCTGAGAGATCATGCACTGTGCAAGGCTCCATTACAAAAGGAAAATAGCAGAAATATTAACTACACATCTTGTAATTTCTTTTCTTTCTCTTTCTACTCATGTATTCCCATTGTAATACATTCACAAATAGTTTACAGGTGGAATTATTTCACAAATAGAAGTATAATTTAATCTGTATGCAATTCCTTCTGCAGTGAAATAAAAATTATACTTTTATCAGAAAATGAGGCTTAAACACAACACTGCATTCAAACTAAGAAAAATAATTAACTCACAGTCACAAAGCAAAATGAAGTTTCCAGAAGATTTCATGAGTTATGGTTTATGATATGGAGAGAAGAGTTTGAGCTATCAAATGGAAAATGTTTTCATTCTCCCACTGAAAATACGTTTTAGGAGTCATGGTTATTTAATATGCTTATATTAGGCATTCATGCAGCTCCTGTGTGCATCCAGGGACTGGCATGGACGTTTTCTACAGAGAAGCGGAAGGAGAGCAGGAAGTGAAGCATCTTGGTCTTCAGGAACCTTGTGACTGCTTCAATGTAGACACATACTCCCATACATGGAAAAAGTGGTACTTGAGTTTGTGCTTTATCCTTTGGGTAACTCCTCTGCCACCTGGTATTTTCAGGCTAATAGTATTTTATTTTGAAAAATACCATATTTTCCTTTAGTGGCAAAGATACATGGCTTGATTACATGACCATTCAGTGCTAACACTCCTCATACTGTCAGATGATTTGGATCCAAGTGAAATTACCATCCTCATTTCCTCAACCATGAATTTTTTGAAATTCAGCTACTTAGTGATTCATTTCAAAAAGCTCTCCTGCTATCATTCCCCCTCAGCATTTAATCTGTTTCAAATTTAAGTTTACAAGGAGTTCAAGAGCTTTGATGGTTCCATATTTATTAAGTGAAGATCAAAGACTCTCTTTGCTTTTTTGAGTTTTTTTTGTCTGAAAGGGATGACATAACATTTCAGATGTCTTTCTGACCAAGGAATTCAGCATGAAAATGCCTTCCTTTTCAAGCATTTACTTCTGTCTAAGCCTAAACATTCTCCAAATTATAAGCACATTGCCATCAAACATAAACTTTTATTCAGTGTTGTATTTCAAAGACTCCAGGAATTTAGCATACCTTTTTTTTTTTTTTTTTTTTTTTTTTTTTTTGCTACCAGAAACCGCTGTCCCTTTTCTTCCCACAAAGCCCTTTTTCTAGTTAGATTGGCTTCAGTGCTTATAAAGAGGTATAAGTGAAAGGTTATCTTTCTAAATAGATCTTGTAGAGAATATGGCTTTGTTGTGTTGTTTCTAACAAAAAATAATCAATGAATTTAAAAGATGGATCATATATGGAGAAAATATTATAGAAATATATAACAGACAAAAGATTAATGTCCAGAATACATAAGGACCTCCTAAAAACCAGCAAGAAGAAAAGGACAAAGAAGAGAAAAGAAAAGAAAGCAAAATATTTGATCACAGAACAGAAAGCCCAAATGATCAATAAATGTGAAAAGATACTCAAACTCATCCATAATCAGAAAAAAAAAAACAAAGTAAGTAACTAAATACTATTTTACACAGATCATACTGGCAAAGATTATAAAGTTTAACAATACTGCATATGGCCAAGATGTAGAGAAGCAGGATTTGAGTAAATAGCATTAAACATTTTATAGAACAACTGGCAATACATTTGAAAATATACATATCCTATGACCCATCAGTTCTATTTCTAGGAATATATCCTAGAGAAACTTTGCACTTATGCACAAGGAGATAAAGCATTAGCTGTGATACTAACAACTGCTTGTAATAAACACTAAGAATATCTTAAATGTCCATCAAGTCAATAAGGGAGAAATAAACTGGGGTACTGTTAAATGATGGAATCTATGCAGCCGTTAAAAGGAGTTATCAAGACCTATATGTATCAACATGGACATAGAAAATGAATAAAAAAGCAAGTTGCAGAACCTTATGTACTATATATACTATTTATGTAGACTTAAAACCATACGAATCAACATTGTATATTATTAACATATGTATATAGCAAAAGATCATAGAATAAACAGAATTCCTGATTACAGGTGCCTCTGTGGAAGGTAGGAGAAATGGGACTGAAAGAGGGTCCGGCTGGGCGCAGTGGCTCATGCCTGTAATCACAGCACTTTGGGGAGATTCAAGACCAGCCTGGGCAACATGGTGAAACCCTATTTCTACAGAAAAATACAAAAATTTGCTGAGCATGGTGGCACGTGCCTGTAGTCTCAGCTGCCTAGGGGACTGAGGCAGGCGGATCATTTGAACCCAGGAGGTTGAGGCTGCGGTGAGCCCAGATTGTGCCACTGCACTCCAGCCTGGGTGACAAAGTGAGACCCTGCCTAAAAAAAAAAAAAAAAAAAAAAAAAGAGGAAGAGGGTTGATATGGTTAAGCTTTGTTCCCCCACCCAAATCTCATCTTGAATTGTAATCCTCAGGTGTTGAGGGAGAGACCTGGTGGGAGGTGATTGGATCATGGGTGCAGTTTCCTCATGCTGTTCTTGTGATAGTGTGGGAGTTCTCACGAGATCTGATGGTTTTATAAATGGTAGTTTCCGTTAGGCTTTCTCTTTTTTTGAGACAGTCTCCCTATGTCACCCCGGCTGGAGTGCAGTGGCGCCATTTTGGCTCACTGTAACCTCTGCCTCCCGGGTTCGAGAGATTCTCCTGCCTCAGCCTCCGGAGCAGCTGGGACTACAGGTGCGCGCCACCATGCTGGGCTAATTTTTGTATTTTTAGTAGAGATGGGGTTGACCAGGCTGGTCTCAAACTCCTGGCCTCAGGTGATCCATCCGCCTCGGCCTCCCAAAGTGCTGGGATTACAGGCGTGAGCCACCGCACCCAGTCTCCCTTTGGGCTTTTTACACTCTCGACTGCCGCCACATAAGGTATGCTTGGTTCCCCTTTTGCCATGATTGTAAGTTTCCTGAGGCCTCCCCAGCCATACAGAACTGTGAGTCAATTAAACCTCTTTTCCTTGTAAATCACCCAGTATCAGGTAATATCTTTATAGCAGTGTGAGAATGGACTAATACAAGGTTCCATAGGAGATTTCATCTTTACATGTGCTGTGTTTCGTTTTTCATTAGAAGATGAAGCAAATAAAACAGTGCTAATATATATTACTTGAGTGGAGAGTGCACTGGTTTATGTCATATTATTCTTTGTACTTCTTTGTATTTTAGTTATTAAAACTAAAATAAATAATAGCAGGAAATAACTGGGGGAAAAAACAAAAATACTAATGACAATTCTTTTAAACTATGAGAGTGCTATGGTGGAGCTAGCCAGCTCTGCAGAGCTAGTTTCACAAAATGCAGTGGTGATATTTACAAAGCATTCTGAGAATTACTCATTGCAAGAATCCAAAGACAACTACAAAGATTGGGAATATTTGCGTCACAGAAAATTGAAAGTTGAGAAAATGTACAAGTTATAGAAATTAAGACATACAAATTGCTGAGTCTCCTATATTTTGTATTTGATAAGAGTAATGATTCCTACAATCTTATGTAGCTTATTGATGGAGTCTAAGTTTCTACCAATTCAAAGTCAACAACTTCCCCAAAAGCTAATCGACATGTCAAATCATCTTAAGAATTTGTAATATGAAACAATTATGTTAAACTTGACTAAAATATATACAAAACAGTACATTCCTTTAGAGGCAGTCACAAACTCTAATATGTACAGGTAGGTAACTTTCATGAGTAAAGTGATTACAAGTGAAAATGAATGAATTAATGTGTAAATAAATTCAACCAATTTAGTCCATCTTGGATTTTATAACCTTGGTAGACAAGGGAACAGAGGAGTATTTCTCTAGGAACACTGGTGTAAGTCTTGGGGTAAATGGTGACTGACACTAGGCTTCAGCACTGAAGCCAGAGACAGGGATGTGGGGTTTATGGTGAACAGGAAGTACCGGTCCTATACTGGTCCTGTCTTAAAGGGGGCATGGGTACTAGCCAACTGCTTCCATACAGGAATTATGAACCACAGTGTTGTTATATGATCCGATTTTTCGATATTAGCTAAAAAAATCCAGATTTTATGTTAATCTACTAATTTTTAAATGTCAAAAAAACTGGAGATAAGTCAAACTGTGAATTATCATATATTGAAAGAAATATTACACAGATGTACAAAGAATGAGGAAGCTCATAAAATACTGACGTAGCATGACTTCCATGAAATGCTAAGTAAAAAAGGCAAAGTGCAAAATGGTGTCTGAGTATAGAATAGTGTCTACAGTGATGGAAAGGGGGAGAAATGCTTTTTGCTTTTATTTTCAAAATGGGAAAGATGGAAGAATAAATCCAAGCTAATAAATATAGTTACCCATGAGGGTGGGATGGGTGGAAGAAGGAAACACAGAAGGAAGAAAACAGAGTTGGAAGCAAAACTTCTGCACTTTGATATACAGTTTTCACTTTGGAATTGTGTGTGTGCTTTATATAAGAAATAAGTAAAAAAAGAAAATCACCAAAACAAATGAACCTAAGTATTGAGCAGGGAGTGAGGGTCTGAGGGTCTGCATAACTGATGCCCAGGAACCCCATGGTAAAGCTCATGGTTGGCATGCCACGCCCACCACTTATACTGTCCCACAGTCAGCCCTCCCACCCAAGGGAAGGGTCGGGCAAAAAAATACGTCATCAGTGAGCAAACCCAGGCCGGTTACCTGTTATTATCAGTTTAGACCTTAATTATGAATATAGTGGATCAAACATTTAAGGAAAACATAAAAGAGAACCAAGGTGAACAATGTGATATAATTCAAGAGAAAACAGAAATATTTCAGTAACAAGAGACTTCTAGAATAGTTCTAATTAGTAATCTCAAGAGATAGAGAAGATAATACAATCATCAAGTGCAAGCTGATGTTTAGAAAAGCAATCATAAAGAGTTGGATATTGGCCAGGCATGGTGGCTCAAGCCTGCAATCCCAGCACTTTGGGAGGCCGAGGCGGGTGGATCACGAGGTCAGGAGATCGAGACCATCCTGGCTAACACGGTGAAACCCCGTCTCTACTAAAAATACAAAAAAAAAAAAAAAAAAAATAGCCAGGCGTAGTGGCGGGCGCCTGTAGTCCCAGCTGCTTGGGAGGCTGAGGCAGAATGGCGTGAACCCAGGAGGCGGAGCTTGCAGTGAGCCGAGATCGCACCACTGCACTCCAGGCTGGGCGACAGAGTGAGACTCCGTCTCAAAAAAAGAAAAAAAAAGACTCGGATATTAAATATGATTATCAAAACAAAGAACCCATCCAATAGAAAAAGGTATGAGTGTGCTTATACATAAATTCAATTTTACATATTGTAAACATATTAACATATAATTATATATAATACATATACATAGAAAATTTAAATACAAAACAAAAATGGCCAATGAATATTGAAAAACTGTTTAACCTCACAAGTAAACAGGGAAATGTAAGTTAAAACTAGATACTTTTCACAGTTCAGAATGGCAAAAGTAACTGCTATTTTGGAAATCTAATGATGTATAAACAAATCACTCAGAAATAATGTCTTTTAAAAATCATTTATTATCTCTCATGGTTTCTGTGCATGCATGAGGAATTCATTAGTGCTTTGGCTGGGCAGTTGTGACTTGGGGTGTCTCATTCCCTCGAAGCTACAGTTTTTAAAGGCTTGACTGGGGCAGGAGAAACCACTTCCATGACTGGCAAGTTGGTGCTTGCGATTGGAGGCAGGCCTCGGTTCCGCTCCACAGATCTTCTGGAGTGTCCTAGGGGCATGGCAACTGGCTTTTTCTGAGAGAGCAGTCCAAGAAAGCCGAGGCTTTTATGTCCTAGCCTCGGAAATACCACATTATTACTCACTATATTCTATTGGACACATGGGCTAGCTCTAATTTAGTATAAAAGGGACAACCCAAAGGGTATGGAAGCTAAGCGGCGGGGATCTCTGGTGGTTGGCTACCACAGCTGCGATATTCAGTTTCGGTAAGAATGGGAGGAAATCGGTGTTCTCAACCACTACTGCTGGGTGTGTAAATTATCTTTAGAGGGCAATTTGACAGTAGCTAGTCAGATTTAAAATGCACATACCTTTGCATGTATTTTATGTAAGAGAAATGTGTAGAAGGATGCTGATTGTAGCAGGGCTTTTAATAACCAAAAAAAGGGAAAAATCTAAATATCTGTAAATAATAGAATGGATAAATTACGGAATTCTGTGAAGCAGTTAAAAATAAGTGTAGCAGAACCATGACTGACCAAGGAATGATTTCAGTTAAAAAACAAGCGGGAAAAGGATATACTTTCATTTACATAAAAAAGCAAACACATGAAAACTGTGTGTGTGTATATGTTTCTGTGTATACATATATAGACATGAAAATCCACAGGAAACCTTTAGAAGGACACATGTAAAATTTTTGGCAGTTAACTTGGAAAATAATGTAGAGCATGGGAAGTGGAGGCAGCACTTTTACTTTATAATATTTTGTTATATCGTTTTAAAACAATTTCGTTATGCCCAGAGCAAGTCTTCAGAAAACTAAGAGAGAAGAGAGCAAGGTCGCAACTTCTAAGTCTGTTTTCACTGTGGCTTAAGAAATAGGAAAGGGGTGTTGGACACACAGCCATTAAAATACTGGCTCCCACTTAATTCTTCAGTTTCATCATCTATAAAATGGGGATAAGATACAGTATCTACTGTACAATGCCATCATGATCAAATGAGACAATGAAAGTCACTGGCACTTAGGAAAAACTCAAAAAGTGGTGACTATTGGTTTAGGTCTATTCTAAATCTCTTATTAGAAATAAAACTGTTTTGGTCAATATGCAGAGTGTAACTGAATACATGCTAAGAGAAATAAAACCAATCATGACCTGTATTGGTTTCCTCTTCTTCTCCCAAAAGTATTTAAGGAAGGTGTGCTACCTGGATCCGTTATTAGTTTATGAAGAGTGTATCTGCTGGTACTATAAAATCAAAACACAACTTATTGTTGTAGACGAAAAAAAGTCTTTAGAAAAGCTTAACTATGGTTAGAAAAATCAATTTCAATTATAACACCTCAACTTGAACATTTCTATTAAAGTTTCTATATTTCAATATTAATAACTTCTAACTTCAATTGTAACACCTTCTCAACTTGAACATTTCTATTAAAGTATCTATATTCACATAACACCTATTAAAACAGCAACCCACTTACAGGTCTCTGATTCTATAAACTTGCAACTTGATAGATGTAGAAATGAATCTTGCCTACACCACTGATTCATTGAATTGTCAGGACAGGTCATTTCCCTTCTCTGGGCTTGAGTTTTCCTCATTGGAAAAGTAAGAAATCTGGGTTAAATTATCTCTAACAACCCTTTCTATCTCAGAAGTGTTCTATGACAAAGTGTTCTCTGGCCCTCCTTTAATCAGAAGCACTATTTTCCTTGTGAATTGATCAAAGCATCAGATGTACTTCTCGTTCACCATGAGAATGTGGTTTCCAGCAAAGGACTTTCTTAAAAATAAAACACTGCAGCAACAAGCAGTGTCTGTGGAATTCATCATGATGGGATCTGACCTGAAACCAGGGTATAGATTCTTTTTAAATAATGTGCAATGGCAGTGGAAAGCTTATTAATCAGAAGATCCTAAATAAAATGTACCTTAATATTGGTCGCTCACTGAGGGGTCTGTACTATCGGCCATTCTTTGCCTAAGTTACTTTTGCCTTACCAGTTTACTGTCACTTAACTTTTCACATCATCAAGAACTGTGTTGTCCCATACCTTCTGTACCATTTCCAAACTTTTCTGAATAATAAAATATCTACTAACATATATTGGGTAGGCTCAGGGTTGAAAATCTCATGAAATATATTTATGAAAAGTGTTTTTGGCTGGGCGCAGTGGCTCACGCCTGTAATCCCAGCACTTTGGGAGGCCGAGGCAGGCAGATCATGAGGTCAGGAGATCGAGACCATCCTGGCTAACACGGTGAAACCCCGTCTCTACTAAAAATACAAAAAATTAGCCAGGCGTGGTGGTGGGCGCCTGTAGTCCCAACTACTTGGGAGGCTGAGGCAGGAAAATGGAGTGAACCCGGGAGGCAGAGCTTGCAGTGAGCCAAGATTGTGCCACTGCACTCCAGCCTGGGTGACAGAATGAGACTCGGTCTCAAAAACAAACAAACAAACAAAACAAAACAAAACAAAAAAAGTAAAGTGTTTTAGGTCTTTAATCCATCTTGAGTTAATTTTTGTATAAGGAAGGGGACCAGTTTCAGTTTTCTGCATATGGCTAGCCAGTTTTCCCAGGACCATTTATTAAATACGGAATTCTTTCCCCATTGCTTGTTTTTGTCAGGTTTGTCGCAATGGTTGTAGATGTGTATTTTTCTGAGGTCTCTGTTCTGTTCCATTGGTCTATATGTCTGTTTTAGTACCAATACCATGCTGTTTTGATTACTCTAGCCTTGTAGTATAGTTTGAAGTCAGGGAACATGATGCCTCCAGCTTTGTTCTCTTTGCTTAGGATTGTCATGGCTATACGGACTCTTTTGTGGTTCCATATGAAATTTAATTTTTTTCTAATTCTGTGAACAATGTTAATGGTAGTTTGATGGGACCAGCATTGAATCTATAAATTACTTTGGGCAGTATGGCCATTTTCATGATATTAATTCTTCCTATCCATGAGGATGTTAGGTTTTTCCATTTGTTTGTGTCCTCTCTTATTTCCTTGAGCAGTGGTTTGTAGTTCTCCTTGAAGCGGTCTTTCACATCCCTTGTTAGCTGTATTCCTAGATGTTTTATTCTGTTTGTAGCAATTATGAATGTGAGTTCATTCATGATCTGGCTCTCTGCTTGTCTACTGTTGGTGTATAGGAATGCTTGTGATTTTTATACACTGATTAAACCTAGGCAATACCATTCAGGACATAGGCATGGGCAAAGATTTCATGACGAAAACGCCAAAAGCAATTGCAATAAAAGCAAAAATTGACAAATAGGATCTAATTAAAGAGTTTCTGCACAGCAAAAGAAATTATCATCAGAGTGAACAGGCAACCTGCAGAATGGGAGAAAATTTTTGCAATCTACCCATCTGACAAAGATCTAATGTCCAGAATCTACAAGGAACTTAAATTTACAAGAAGAAAACAACGCCATCAAAAAGTGGGCAAAGGATATGGACAGACACTTCTCAAAAGACATTTATGTGGCCAATAAACATATGAAAAAAAGCTCAACATCACTGATCATTCGAGATATGCAAATAAAAACCACAATGAGATACTACCTCATCCCAGTCAGAATGGTGATTATTAAAAAGTCAAGAAACAATAGATGCTGGTGAGGCTGTGGAGAAACAGGAATGCTTTTACACTGTTGGTAGGAATGTAAACTAATGCAACCATTATGGAAGACAGTGTGGCGATTTCTCAAGGATCTAGAACTAGAAATACCATTTGACCCAGCAATCCCATTACTGGGTATATACCCAAAGGAATATACATCACTCTACTATTAAGACACGAGCACATGTATGTTTACTGCAGCATTATTTATATTAGCAAAGACATGGAACCAGCCCAAATGCCCATCAATGACACTGGATAAAGAAAATGTGGTACATATACACCATGGAATACTATGCAGCCATAGAAAGGAATGAAATCATGTCCTTTGCAGGGACATGGGGGAAGCTGGAAGCCATCATCCTTAGCAAACACAGGAACAGAAAACCAAACACTGCATGTTCTCACTGATAAGTGGGAGATGAACAATGAGAACACACGGACACAGGGAAGGGAACAACACACACCAGGGCCAGGCGGGGGGTGGGGTACAAGGGAAGGGAGAGCATTGGGACAAACAGTTTATGCATGCGGGGCTTAAAACCTAGATGACGGGTTGATAGGTGCAGCAAATCACCATGGCACACATATACCTATGTAACAAACCTATACGTTCTGCACTTGTATCCCAGAACTTAAAGTAAAATGAAAAATATGTATATATATTGAAAAGTATTCCCAAAAAAAGGGTGCAACTACCTTTTCTCTTTGACAGTTCAACTCTATAACAACATAAAACATTTGAACTCGAATAATGTTTTCTGCTTAAAGCCACAGTAAAAGTTAGAATGCATCCATTCAGTTGAGTTCCTACATTCTATTACCATCTTTATAAAACTGCTTGAAAAGTTCTAGGTTTTTTCATGCTGGTTAACAGGATTAGCCCATATGATCATCAAAATACTCACTGTGCCAATAGCAGACACCACAAGACAGGTAAGTGTCAAGTTCTTCCAATCTTAAGTACTTGGCCACTATAGGTTAAAATTTTGAGTCTGAGAGTTCCAGAAAACGTTCTTATATTCAAGACATATTAATAATTTCAGATGCATAAACTTCTTTTGAAATATAACTTTTTAGCAAAAAATGATTCTCAACAGAGTTTTACTGCAATTATAAAGCAAATATTAGCTGGGAGCAATGGCTCATGCCTGTAGTCCCAGCTACTTGGAAGGCTGAGGTGAGAGGGTTGCTTAAGCCCAGGAGTTCCAAGCATCTTAGGCAACATAGCAACATCTCATCTCTCAAAAGAAAAAAAGAATAAATATAAGACCTTTGTTTCCAGATCTTATTATATATTTTATAATACATGTCACGTTCTATTGAGTGGCACAGGGTGAGACTCTTGAGTGTGTCTTTTTCTTGTATAAAGAGTTGAGAACTCACTTTGCAGAATATCACAAAGGAATCTGGAGGCTTGGGGCTATGTCTTTTTCACCACTGCTTCCTCCACAGTGCTATCACAATGCTTTGTACATAAATGCTTAATAAATGTTCACTAAATTTGAGAGGTTATACAGAATATACACAAAACCTCTTGATACAACATATAGATACTGTATAATATAGTTACATAGTTTCAAAATCAAGAATATTTTATTCAATGAGGTAGATAAAAATATAACTCAAAGGTAAGGCATTTTCAAAATGTCCACGTATTATGGAATTTAAAATGTATCCTAGTTTATGTTGTCAATGTTAAATGTTTTCATAACTCATATCTATTCAAGTATTTTTCAATGTTTAGAAAAAAGATTTTTATTTAGCCAAAATAACCACTAAAAAGATGTAAGGCAAAATACTTCATTTTATTTCTTAAATGCCTGAATATTTATAATCATATAAATTTTCATGCATTATATAATTTATGAGCTACTGTACTTTCACATTAATTAAAAATATTAGGAGACTCTAATTTAACCACTTCTGAAGAAATGAATGGCTGATCAGAAAATGTCAAATTACTATCATAAGCCCAAGATTTTATCATAATCATGAATAGCATTTAATCATGAATATCATTATTTAACTTTTAAAACCATACTTACAGTTTTAGATTAAAATCCCATATTGAGTCAACAAGACTTTACTCCAAATTATAGTCACATATGGAAGAAAGGTTTTAATTCAATATTTTATTATAGTCCACGTATAAAGATAATTTTCATGAGGGTTACATGATGGATAGCTAGCAAAAGAAATATGCTAGCACAGGGTGGTAACTGCCAACTAAGCATGCACTGAACCAACAGACTACTTCAGTAAGTCCTTGATTATTGCCAGCTTTTCTATAATGTTCAGGTTCTCAAAGGTCACTGAATTTTATAATTATCTCCAAACAATTTTCTTCATGGTCATTTAAGCTTTGTCTAAACAGCTGGGTGTGTTGCCAAGCGACATCACCATCTCCTCTGCTTAATTCTGCTTCCAAAATAACTTCAGTGGCACCAGAAAAATCAGCATAGGAGTGAAGACTGTTATCTGTTAGAGGGAAAAAAAAAATTAACATTTTGCTTTTGGTAATTTAAAGAGCACAGATCATTTTGAAATGTATTTTATATAGGCTGATGTATAAGTTAAAATAAACCCTTAAAAATAAATACAAATTATTCTTTATGGAAGAAATGCATCCTTTGAAACAAAGAAATGATTTTTTCCTTGCATTTGTATTTCACAACAGAAAACATCAGCCTTTCTGTTACAATGGGATCACACAGGGTTTATTAAATTTTTTTTTTTTTACTGAAATAGTATTAATAACTCTTAGGTACGAAAAAGAGCTACATCTCAAATAAGTACAATTAGTCTTCAGAGTGGTAAATATATATTTCGTGATTAATTCTCCAGGCAAATGCTTACCGCCTGTCAGTTCTACTTGTGCTGTATCAGATCGCAATTTCCATTCTACTGTTCCAGTCTGAAAAGTTTGACTACTTGTTCTAATAGAAATGCTATCTACTTTTAGGCCAACTGACCCACACTCAAACTTCCAGGAAATATAAGCAAAAGATGATCCTTCCTTTCGGGCCAAATATACCTATAAGGAGTAGGGATGGGGAGAAAGGAACTGTCAGAAAAAATGAAATAGTATAGAAAACAAACTTAGTGAAGAATATTACTGTCACAGGGTAGTATGTACAAGTGGTTATTTAAAAACTAACTTTTCCCTGTTGAAAAGGTTCTTACTGCTAACATTTTTTTTGGCAATTTTTCCCATGGCATCTTTTACCCTAGAAGACAGGTATTATTTGAATGCAGATGTCCCCAAAAAGTGCAATTCTAAAGGACTGCATTCTAACCAAATTTTGGTAAATCATCTTCTTTTATATTAAGAAGTTCAACTCTTTAAAATGAGTTTTATGACTAATCCTGCTGAAAATGAAGAATCCTTTTAAATGCAACTACTCTTTAATTTTTATAAGTCTGGATTTTCATATACGCTTTCCTAGTGTGACATGGTATGCTATAGTCTCTAAATCGAGAAAATACCTGAGCCACTGCTAACTAATGGTTTAAAAGGTGATATCCATGCTCACTTCTCTAAATAGCATGCTCCCTGTTCCTTCATCAACGCCCTTTAGCACATTAAATGTATACTATTTAAGGCATCTAAGCCTACTGGCTGCTTCCAGCTCATCCCCTCTCATACTTTTATCTACACTCCTCAAAACATTGCCATGAAAACTGACATCCACAGCCTTGGTCTTTCACAGGTCACTCTATTCAACCATGCTCAAACTCTTAAGACTCTGACGCTTCAGTCGTTCATCCCTTACGTCTGAATTCCCACAAAATTCTATGTATTTGTTTGAAATCTTGGAAAGAAACCCCTTCCTCACTAATACTGCACTTACTACTACAGTTTGAACTTTACACTTATCTTAATGCAATTGACTACTGTTGTACAATTCCAATTGCTCTGACCATATTTTTATTTTCAAGTGTATTATTTTAGACACAGGGTCTCACTCTGTCACCCAGGCTGGAATGCAGTGGTGCAATCATAGCTCACTGAAGCCTTGAACTCCTGGGTTCAAATGACCCTGTTGTCTCAGCCTCCAACTACCATGCCTGGCTAATTTAAAAAAATTTTTTAGAGGCAGGGTCTCACTATGTTGCCCAGGCTGGTCTTGAACGCCTGCCTCAGTCTCCTGAGTTGCTGAGATTGTAGGTGTGAGCTACCGTGCCTGGCTCTGATCAGATTAATGTTTTAAAATCCCACTCTCTTTATGTTATCTGCCTGGTCTGAAATGTACAGCAAGTACTTGGTTCTTACATTAAGTCTAATCTATTAGCTTTAAAAATCCTCCACAATTAGGCTGGGCACGGTGGCTCACGCCTGTAATCCCAGCACTTTGGGAGGCTGAGGCAGGTGGATCACGAGGTCAGGAGATCGAAACCATCCTAACACAGTGAAACCCTGCCTCTACTAAAAATACAAAATATTAGCTGGGCGTGGTGGCAGGCGCCTGTAGTCCCAGCTATTCAGGAGGCTGAGGCAGGAGAATGGTGTGAACCCGGGGGGCGGAGCTTGCAGTGAGCCGAGACTGCGCCATTGCACTCCAGCCTGGGCGACAGAGCAAGACTCCATCTCAAAAAAAAAAAAAAAAAAAAAAAAAAGAAAAGAAAAAATCCTCCACAATTTCATCCCACCTTGAATTGCCAATGCTCCTTTTTATTTTTTTATACTATACTCCTTTATACTGCCCATACTCTGACCTATCTTCATCAAATCATAAGCTCTCTGGGGGCACAGTTTCTGGATTCATAAAAGCATTTAGTGCCGGGCACAGTCATTCACACCGGTAATCCCAGCACTTTGGGAGGCTGAGGCAGTCGGATCACTTGAGGTTAGGTGTTCAAGACCAGCCTAGCCAACATGGTGGAACCCCATCTCTACTAAAAATACCAAAATTAGCCGGGCATGTTAGTGCACACTTGTAATCCCAGCTACTCGGGAGGCTGATACATGAATATTGCTTGAACTAGGGAGGCAGAGGTTGCAGTGAGCGGGATGGTGCCACTGCACTCCAGCCCGGGTGACAGAGCGAGACTCTGTCTAAAAAAAAAAATAAAAATAAAAACATTTAGTAAATATTATTAAAGATCTGTATACACACATATATATATATATATATTCATGTTAGACTTGATCTTTTTAGAAACATCTAACTCATACTCTAGCTCAGGGGCAAATAGTTGAAAGTACCATATAAAACACATCTGCCATGGAATATCCTATTATATGTACTATTCTGTATTCTGGTCTTTACTCATATCAAGTAAAAAAATCAATCGCCAATAGTATTCTAATCACCATCTATTTGACAACCAACCTATAGCTATTTTTCTTCCAGGTATGCCCATTAATTTAATCTGAAAATTTTTAGAATCAGTGAGTTAGAGATTATGTAACAACTGAACAATCACTCTCCAAAGAAAATGTTCTTAAACTACTCAGAGTAGATATGTATAGCCAACTGTTATTTGTTGTTGACAAACCTAGATGTGGAACTGTCAATTGCTCCACTCAAGTTTGGACAACGCCACTATAACATCCTCTGGTGTTCATATATGTTCCTACTGCATGCTCCTCTTACAGCCGCTTGTAAGGAGGATGTGGGACTCAGGACTCCACCAGTGTTCCCCGGGAGTCATTAGTTTCACCCATCCTAAACTATTAGGCATCTGGGTTACACACAGGTTAACTGCTCCTTTAAAGGAATGGCTAGCAAAGGGGGATATCTGGGAAAGAAGAGCCAAACAGAGAGGTTACTGGAAGAAAGGTGAATTAAAAGAACTAAAAGACTTAAGGAAAGTAATCTTAAGACATAAACATTAACAGATATACTCAAATTTATCTCTCAATATGCACTTCTATATCTTGTATATTTTCAGAGCTCACTAGATTCAAATGTCCCTCAAAAGTGTGGGTATAAAATATGATAGGCTGAAATTACGTTAACTTCAAATCTAGCTTACTCCAATAACTGCCTTAATTATATTGTGTGGGTCTGGGTCAGAACTGTGGTTTTAACTGTTTAAGAGAAGGTTTATAGTAGCTGTTGAACATGTCTGACAGCATTTATTAAAGCCTTAAAATTTTCAGTCCTAAAGGCATCATCAGCTTTTAAGACTCTAGAAAGTTAAAGAATAAGATAGAGTTCATGATTTAATACTTAAATGTTTAAACATTCAAACATACTATGAGCAAAATAAAAAAGGTCTCTTATGTTAAAGAACAGTATATGGAGATAAAACACCCTATTTATACAGAAAATTCCTATCATCTTTTTTTGCACAATATATTCTGTCAAAGACTCATTTTTAGAGGTGGTAGAAAGTTACCAAGAATATGTATACTCAGTTTAGTAAATTAAAATGTACCACAACAATAGAATTTATAAAAAACCTCCAACTCTGATCCCACTATGTATAATATGAACACAATCAGTAACTATAATTTATTTAAAAGGAAAAAAAAAAGCAAACATTCACTTGTTTAGTGTAGAGAAAAAAAATTTTTTTTACAACTGTTGATTGTTCCTAACATCGTGAGTTATTTGATAGACATATTTTTGCCTGTTGGCTTTAAAAAATTTTTTTTAAATTTATTGTGTGCATTCTGTAAGCTCGGTTTTGTAATGTGTAGGTCTCTAAAAGGTGAGTGTTGCTATCCTACTTTAGCAGGAGTGCTAGTAAAGTCAGAAATCATGGAGGTTTTCTCCTGTATTCTATATATACCACCCAACCCCTCCTCCCACCAGTGACCCATCCTTGCTCCTTGTTGTAAGCACATATGAGCATATACACCCTTTGCGTGAGAACAAGACCTGTGTGTCTACGGTTTAGGCATAAGCCATACTATTCACAATATATAAAAATAGAACTTGTCTTTAGGTTGTGGCTGTAACCACTATTTTCAGGACTGAGAACAATTTGCATGTTGGCTTTATGTAACTAATATTCTACAGAAGATTTTGCTCAAAGATTTTTTGATTACTACATGTCAGGCTGCTATGGCTCCCTAGAGGTTCAGTTTGGACTATATTGTTTGAAGCTCTTCTTTAATACACTCTTAAAATTATTGTTCTACTGAGGCTGCTAAGATTCACTCAAGTTCAGTTCACCATACAGCAAGCACCCTGAAGTCCGTCATTCCCACAGATACCCAGCAAAGCAGCTGTATTTCAAGGAATCTCAAATTGTTGCTGGTAAACCGGTACTTGCAATGAGTCTTGTTTTTGGTTATTCCATTTTATGTTGAAAATCAAACATGAATCCACTTGTAGTTCCCACTGTAAATATTTCTGTGTATACTTCCAATTTATTCCATTTGTAGAATTTGGATAAGAATTTTTAAGATTTCCATGTATACTTCCAATTTACTCCATTTGTAATAGGAAACTTTCATGGTTGCCTATTACATAATTGCAAGGTAATCAAAGTCTCTGGGACCTGACAATTATTTACCTCTCTAGTCTCATTTCTCACTATTCTCCTCCATATTCTCTACTTCTCACTTTTTCCTGAATATACCAGATGTCTCTCACCTCAGTGCTTTTGAAGACACTATTTCTCATGTCCCCAAACAACCTCCCCTTCCATATCCTGTCCTCATACTAAGAAACTTTCCCTCTTCCTCCTCTCCAAAAGCCAACTCAGATATTACTTCTTCTGCAAGGCCTTCTCTGACTCAGTGTGATATTATGATATGTGTATATATACCTCCAGATTTTCATTCATGGTTCCTGGCTCATAACTCCCATAGCCTTTATTATTTCTAAGGCAGGCTATGGAAACTAAAAATATACTCTAATCTCCCCACAACTTGCTTTCTTGGAGCTGACCATAAATAATTTATCTGACCTACCTTGTCTGATTATGGGTCATAAAACCCCTATTTCAGAAAATGTCCTGTTCCATACCCTGGAGGTAGAAATGCTGCACAGAGAGACCAAGAAGAATCTGAACAGACAGGCTTTGCTGGGTTTTGTCAGGCTATTAGTATCAGATCACACCCTTTTTGTCCAATCATATTTCTACATTGTTGTCATGGTTATGAAAATCCAATGAAGTCTCCATAAAAGGCCTATCAGGACAGGGTTTGGAGAACTTCTGGAGAGCTGATCACATGGAGGTTCCTGGAGGGTGGCACACCCGGGGAGGGCAGAGGGGCTCCATGTGCCTTCCTATACCTTGCCCTGTGCATCTCTTCATCTGCATCCTTTGTAATATTCTTTATAATAAACCAGTAAACGTGTTTCCCTGAGTTCTATGAGTCACTCTAGCAAATTAACTGACTCCAAGGAGAGAGTCATAGGAACCTGATTTATAGCCAGTTGGTCAGAAGCACAGGTAAAACAAACTGGAGCTTGTGATTGGCATCTGAAGTGGGGAGGGGAGAGTCTTGGGGACTAAACCCTCAACATTTGGTATCTAATGTTATCTCCAGGAAGATCATGTTAGAATTGATTGGATTAGAGGTCACTCAGCTGGTTCTGCTGCAGAATTGCTTGCTTGCTTATTTGGGGGAACCCACCCCTCCACATATTTGGTCAGAGGTCTGAGTTGATTGTTGTAGAGAGAACAGAAAAAAAAAAATACTTGTAGAGTGAACAAAACAAAACAAAATACTTGGAGTATGAGGTTTTTTTCACTCAGATTCAGGGTGTTAGTGGCTCTTGTTTCTGTCTTCTTTCTCTCAGTATCATAAACAAACACATACTCTTCTACCATTTACCCCCATTAATCTAAACAGTTGACCCACATGTCTTTCACTTTACCAGCTGATACGCACCTTGAGGCTTGCCTCTTAATTCACCATTACATCAGACTGCCAAGCACAATATTTGACAATGTGCATATTTGCTGAGTGCTGAATGAATTCTTGACATAATGCCATGCACCCGCCCCCTCACCCCGCCAAAATGCTAAAATGACTGTAGTGACAAAGAGAGGGATAAAACTCATCAAAACCAAAAAGTATCTAAGACCATCCAAAGGACACTCAACAAAGTGAGGTTCTTACAGTGCTCTACATAGCCCTAGGGTGATGCAGAATTTATGCCACGTACATTTTTACATTCACCAATCTTTACTAAACACTTACTATGTATCGGGTACTATGCCAGATATATGAATACTGAGAGTACAAAAGTGAGTAGAAAAAGACAAGGTCTCTCCCTAAGAATTGTTTACAATCTAATGTAAACATTATTAGAGAGAGACAAATAATTTATTTTCATTTCTATTTGTTGAATACATGTCATGAAAGAGAGGTATATGGTACAATGAATCTATAAAGAGGGAAATGGATTCAATTTGCTGGGACCTGAGGGAGTGAGGCTTGGGCCAAGTGGTAAGGTTAAGAATAAATTAATCAAAAAAGAGAAGTATAGGAGGTTCTGTGAAGAAGGGAGAAGGGACAATATATCTGCAATGCAGAGAGCAAGGGGTAGCACAGTGCAAGGCAAAGCCAGAGAAGAAGGCAAGGACCAGATTTGGAAAAGACGTGGAGCTATGTCTTACTCTAAGAGCACTCAGTTAAGGATTAAGTTTTTGTAAATGTTTCTTTAGCGAGAGCATGGATCACAGCTTTGAAAGGATTAGGACAGAGGGAGATTAGTTAGGAAGCTATTAATACTGCTTTTATCAAGGTGTTATCACTTGCCTCCCAAAAAGCGTACTGGTCTTCTTGATTTAGTTTTTATATGCTTTTCAATTCAGACATTACTGAACAATGTTATTTGCTAAATAGCAAATTTTAATCTTTGTGCTCCTGGGAGGATACCTCTTTGAGAGGTAAAGAATCTGTTCTAAAACTCTGAAAGCAGGCTGCATGTGATCTGTCATGATACCTGGTTGGAGATTACTGAGAAAAACGGTAGTGAGAAATAGGTTTACTATTCAACAGAGCTAGAAAATCCCTAACTGGGGGCATGCTAGTACAGAACCAGAAATACTGATTTAGATGGAATACTTAAGTTATAACGACAATTGTTACTTCCGAGTTATCACTCTCTACAAGTAAAGATTCTAGTATTTTTCTTCATTTGATACTAAATACATGTAGCTAGAAAGAAATTCACTCAACTTAAAAAAAATGGTACCCTTCATAAAAGTATATCAAGGCATAAGCTTTACTTGAATAGGGGTGTGTTTTCTATTTAATGGCCTTTGTCTATCATTTACATTATTTAAATCTTTCTCACACTATAGCCCCTCTCTGGCTAAAATGTTCTATTTGGAGATCTTGAAATACGCCACGTACTCCATGCCTTTTTGTTTCCTTGCCTGATAAACACCTACTCAACCTCCAGTGTCCAGCTCAAATGTCGTCTGCTCAGTGGAGCTTTGCCCAACTCCTACAGCCAAAGCTAATTACTCCCACCTCACTGTTTCCATAGCAATGTGTTGATATCCTTATTATAGCACTCTGCATCATGGTTAAGATGGCGGTTTATGCTTTGGCTTCCCCTTTTAGATCGTGAGGTCAGGAATCATCTTTTTGTTTACGTAGCTGAGAATAATGCCTGGCACAACAGTACAAGTTTGCTGATGAACAAATGAGTGTATAAGACAAAGAAGAAATACTCCATACAGTAGTTCTGTTTCTTGGCATATCACATCTTCTGTAACACATCACTATTTTCCCCATCATTACTACTTTACTAACATTGCTGGTTAGGAGGAAACACATGATTTTTCTCCATTTTAGCAAGTATAGACTAGTCATTCGATAAAAAACCCTTTTATTCTATCTTGCTTTCTGTTCAGAGAAATTCTTAGGCTAAGGATAGTCTTCTAGAAGATGTTCATCCTCTCTCATCA
Organism: Homo sapiens; assembly: GCF_000001405.40. Classification (NCBI taxonomy): domain Eukaryota; kingdom Metazoa; phylum Chordata; class Mammalia; order Primates; family Hominidae; genus Homo; species Homo sapiens. The sequence goes on from NC_000003.12 coordinate 25,727,988, forward strand.
ACTGTACAACTAATTACAGGTATCTCGAAATTTTAAATTTTATCTCTATTTTTATGCATTTCTTTAGCTAAAGAAGAAAATTCCAAAATTTAGAATAATCCTGTAAGTTACTAATACAAAAATACCTCAACTTTTTTAGTATTAGACAATGTGATATAAATGGAGTATTTCTATGTTTAAGCAGCAAGATAAGTTTTTGAACAAAAACTTATGATTGAAAAAGAGAAAAGCAGAGACCTTATCTCTGTATGTTTTTGGTAATTTGATTAATGCCTAGTACAGTGACAGCATGTAACAGATGCTCATAAACACTAGCAGCTGTTTATATGTGACTCACTTTTTTAATCTATCCAATATATTTTACAAGTGAACAAGTTCCCACTCAAGTATCTTGGTAAATTAACTTTAAAAGCTTCCTATAAGTTAATTAATTCCTATGAAAATCTATCAAGAATATGATCAGATCTACTGAGGTCATGTGAATAGCTTTAAGTTTATTTTGGTGTGTTTCTAAGGAGCAGGCAGTTTTAAAGCAAAGCCTCTTATTTGTTACTGATAGCATGTGACGATAATATGCAACTTGGTATAAATGAACTGCTATAGTCCTAACCTCTACTTAATTATTTTTTTAAGATACAGAGAAGAAATAACCAATATTGCTGCTCAATCATCCACATTCTTTGAAGTGAATGCCTGTTAGATGTTTAGCTTTCTGAAACTTTGAACTAAATCTATTATACTCCCTAAATAGCCTGTATTTAATGGGCAATCAATACACATCTGTGAAGGAATTAATTCACAATATAATGTATTTATATATACAGTATCAAATAGAATATATATGTATATATGTTCATGCAAAAATCAGTCATATGGATTGATCATACATTTGATTATTTTTTCCCATGAAAGAATTAAATTCATCCTCTTTGATGAAAACAGATACTTCCTTGATATAAATGCAAGAATTTCTAGTGGACTTTTGATTACATATTGGGGACAGAATTTTCTTTTCCAGGTTATAGGATTACTGAAAATAAGTTTGATATATCAGTTTTCATATTTTACACAACTGAAAAATGAAGCCAATCTATATTTGTTTAAACAATGACAAAAGTTTTAAATGGTTTTATGCATTAAGTTACCATGTGCCAGTCTGTTTCAACTTTTCTGAATATAGATTCCATTTTCCACACGCCATTCTCCCATCCAGAAATGGTTTGATTGTTATTTGAAACTCGAACATAACGATCTTTCACAATATTGTAACAAAGGTGGAGCTGTTTAGAAATCTTCTCATTTTCACAGGGAATAAACAAGGTTTCTTTTCTCTTAAAAAGAAAGCAGAATTAGTTTTTCAACATTATGAAAGATGTAAAAAAGAAAAAAGAGAAATTACTAAGCAGAGTGGTAAGAGAATCCTTCAAAATTGAAAAGAAAAAATTAGTGCCATTGGAAAATTTGGAAATTATTTTATAAATTAAATATAATCAGTATGATGTTATTATAACTCTAAACATTACTAGAGAGAAAAACAAGAAGTATGAGCTCTGACTTATATTTTTGTGATTTTGCATTCAATGAATTCATTAATTTTTATTCTTTTCTACCACCACCACTATCCCCCTACTTGGACTTCTACAATTGTCTCCTGAAGCTGACTCCCAGCTTTCAACTCTTACCTCTCCTATCCATGCTCCACATAGCAATGAAAATGACTTTTCAAAAAATGTAAACTAGGATATGTCACTTTCCTGCTTAACTCACTTCAGTGACTTAAACTCCAAGCTCTTTACCACGGCTACCAGGGCCTTATGTGATGGTTCACCCTGCTTGCTTCTCCAGCCAGATCTTCTGTTACTCTTCCCTTTCATTTCTACACTCACATCACATTACTTTTCCTTTAGTTCCTCAAAAAGGTCCAGCTCATTTTGCCTCACGGCTTTGACACATGCTGCTTACTTTGTCTAGGATGCTGTTTTCTACTCTCCACATACTGGATTCTTTCTCATCCTGAGTCCTCAACCATTTCCTCAGTGTCCTTTCCTAGTTCCCTAAGCTAGGAGAGCAGCTGAGAGGTATAGCATGAAACAGTCTTCTGCATGTGTAAAATTATTACAAAAGCTTGTATTTTAACCTTAAAATCCCAGGCAATCTTTGCATTCTAGTCCAAAATAACATTAATATTTTATAAAATATTTTAATTCTAAGATTAAAATAAAACTTTTCTTTCTGGAAATGATAGTACCAATGTTTCTTCTGTTTCCAATTGATTGCAAGATTAATTCCAAAAGTATTTAGGATTAATGTTTTTCTATTTACTTTTAAAACAAACATCCATTTCTAAAGGAAAAAATGATTTCTTTTTAAATCCATGGCCCTAAAATGGTCTCCAGCAATTAAGAAACTTAAAAAAAATTTCAAAAGGGAAAACAATGTGGTATGCAACCCAATTCATATTTTTAAAGTTAATCAACTTCCATGCCATGCAAGAGATAGCACACCCATGCATAAAAAGAAATGAAGACCTAAATAATATCCATGTTTTAAATTGAACACAGCTGCGAATTAAATTAGCTCTTTTTAACTGGCTGTATTTAGATTTATACTTGTAACACACTGCATTGGCAGTGATTTGAATTATTTGTTGAATTTGGATCTTGTAATCCTATGGCTGAACCAACACTTTTAACTGCCCGCTACAGACGATGGGATAAATTAAAAAGCAAACATAAAATTTATTAGTGATAATTCACTCCTTTAAAACATATTCTGTTACTAGAGAAATGAACTGTAACAATGGCAAATTTAGAAAAAGTAGATAAATACAACTTTAATTTGTTTGGAACTGCTTGATACTGATATTGTGATGAGTTATTTTTCTTTCAAGCATTTTTCATTGCATATTTCCTAAACATTTTATTAAATGCTCTCCAGTGACTCAACTTTAGCTCCCTAAGGGCAAAGGACAGTCTATTATACTGCCCTAATGCCTGTTACAAAGCCTAGCACACTGATTTTTACCTAGTCCCTTAACTTTAGGACCTACCTATGGAAATTATATTTCCATTGTTATTTAATTTTGGAAGATTAATCATGTGGTATCTTAAAATAAATTTTAATATAACAGTAATCATGCCACCAACAATTTCTAGCCAATATCAGATATATGCAAGCATATACCAAGAAATAAACACTTTCATCAGCTGAATTCCCCAAATTCTGTATTTTCTCCACTCCATAAAGTTTTCATCTGGAGAGGAAAAACGTAAAACAGCATTCTTTTAAATGCATTAGAATCTCATTTTAAAAGACCTAAATAAGCACTTCACAAAAGAGAATGAGGATATCCAAAAGTTTAAAGAACAGGCATTCACCATAATTAGTCATCACCAAAATGCAAATTAAAATCACGATACTACTATACGCCACCAGAACTGCTAAAATGAAAAGATAGACAATACCAAGTGTACACAAAGATGTCGAAAAACTTCATATACTGCTGGTGAGAGTATAAGCTGGCATAACCATTTTGAAAAACTGTTTGGCAATATGTACTAAAGCTGAATATACTCATACTCTATTACCTAGCAATTCCACTCCTAGGTATACATCCAACAAAATGCCTAAACATATTCACTGAAAACGTGAATATAAATGTTCAGAGCAGCACCATTTATATCAGCCAAAACTAGAAATAACCCAAATAGCCATCAACAGTGAAAAATTACATTCATACAATAAATTATACAGCAATGAGAACATACCATACACGTTGCAACATGTATCTCACTGACACAAAGTTACACAAAACAAGCTATATACAAAACAGTACATGCTATATGATTCCATTTTATAAAGCACAATAACAGGCAAAACTAATATATGATGTTAGAAGCCAGAATAATGATTACTTTCGAGGGTGTAAGGCAGTGGGGAAAGAAACTCACGCTTGTTTCTACGGTTCCAGTGATCTATTTCTTATTCTGGTTGGCGATTACATGGGTGTTAAATTTGTAAACATTCATTAAGCTGTACATTTATAATTTGTGCATTTTCCTGTATATTCTTCAGTAAAAGTTACACTGCACTAAAAATTTACATAAGGTAAAAAAAATTTTAAGTCCCATTTTAAAAATGCTTTGCTAACTCTTACACGATAATGCTATGTAAATCAATTACTGGTTCTCTTCAAATGTTTGCATTTTAAAATAATTACTCTCAAGTTAACTGAAAGGTCATAGTCAATGCAGTTGGAGGATAGTATAGGAAGAGCATAGTATATGAAGCAGGAAAGTAAAAGGATCATCATGCTAGAATGAATTAAATACCTGTAGACCCATTTCACCTCGGGCTACTCTCCAAGCCACTGACCCAGATATTCTTCCCCCAAGTTCTCCAGGTTTAGGGGTTTTGGGAGATATAAATTCAACAAGCTCCACAATTATCCTCTGGAGAAGTTCTTTCCTTCTGTTTTCTGACAAAAACAGTTGCCTCTGTAATTCATGTTTTTTAAAAAAGTTGTTAAGATTAGGGGAATGTATAGGTCCATCTCTAAGCAAGAATATACTTAAAACACTTGCATTTTAAGAGGTCTTGAAACAAGTACTGAATTTTATTTTCAAACATATATTATTCAGAAAATAAAAAGGACACTGTGGAAAACTTAAATAATTTTATAAATTTTATGTTGGGAAATCATTTAACACCTATTTCCAACTCTCCATGAGCTCTACTGTCCTAGATTTATTTATAATGAAGGTAGCAACTTCTGTTTCTGGATATGATAGACTGGCTTGTGTCAGAATGTCTTACTGAGAAAAGCTAGAAAAGCTAGTGGAAACACACAAACAGAACACTCACATATAAACACCTGTTTGAGTGCAACAGAAAGCTGTAAAGGCAGCCAGAACTTGAGAAGTCAAGATTCCAAGAGAAGAAAAGAATTGAGGTGAAGGGCACATACTGCACCTCTTTTCCCTTCCAGTCATTTGTCAATTATTAAGTGGCATGAGAAGAGGCTGAGAAGCCAAGGACAAAATAGTGACTAAAGTGCTGGAAATCAAAGCAGAATTTTTAGCAGAATCACAGTGCTGGGGTAAAAATAAACTGAGGGTCAGAGTGTTCTAATGCAAGGGGATCTAGCAAATAATCCAGGTTTTCAGGTAGAGATCTCCGAAGGGCTACACATCAGGAGTAAGTGCAGATTCAAAATAGACTGAAACCTCACCTGGAATCATTATCACTGATTGGATTAATGTGCTCTGCCCTGTTCTAACTGCCTGCTACAGCAAAATTCACTGCTTATTTTTTAATTTATGAAAAAAACCCACATGTATAGAGTTAAAAATTTCAATACTATCAAAGGGGTATAAAACAAAAATTGAACCTTTCATCTTGGAACTCCAGTTCCTCCTCTCAGAAGTAGTCATTGTTAATAACTTCCTGTGCCTTGCTTCAGAAATTTCCTCACATGGACGTGTGTGTGTGTGTGTGTGTGTGTGTGTGTGTGTGTGTGTGTGTGTGTGTATGTACATACATAATACATAAATATGAGTCTGTGTCATATCCAAGGCACAGTTACACTGATAAATAAGACAACACATTTTTTGTCAGGTACTACCAATACTGAAATTTTGTTTCAAAGAACTTTGAAATGAGACAGTTTAATCCAAAATAACTCATAATATTTAAAATGAGTCCGCAAAATTTTCAATGAACAAAAAGAATATTTTTATTCTTTAATATTCAAAAAGAATATTAAAATATTCTTGTTTATAAAACAATGCTACTACTTTAAGAATTTCAATAGGCTAATAAACGGCTATTCTCGATTACATAAAAAATGTCAACTGTTCTTTCAAAAAAGATAGCCACACCATACCTGCTTATTAAGCCCATTAATAGTGTCTCGAAGTAATGCTTCTTTAACCTTAGTTCTTCTGGCAATCACCTCTTCATGTTTGCAGGAATATCGCCAAGTGACATCAACTACCTGAAACAAATAACAGAATACAAATACTTAACAAGATTACAACCATCAACCTTTACTTACTAAATACCTAGAATGTATGTAATTTTTAAATGCATTTTTTTGGAGACGAAGTCTCGCTCTGTTGTCCAGGCTAGAGTGCAGTGGCGTGATCTCAGCTCACTGCAGTCTCACTTCCCAGGGTCAAGAGATTCTCGTATCTCAGCCTCCTGAGTAGCTGGGACTATAGGCATGCACCATCACGCCTGGCTGATTTTTGTATTGTTTTAAGTAGAGATGGGGTTTCACCATGTTGGCTAGGCTGGTCTCGAACTCCTGACCTCAGGTGATCCACCCACCTTGGCCTCCCAAAGTGCTGGGATTATAAGCATGAGCCACCACGCCCAGCCTTAAATGCAATTTTTAGAATACTATCCTTTGTTTAAAATTTAAAAGTCATGGGGCCTGGTGCAGTGGCTCATGCCTGTAATCTCAGCACTTTGGGAGGCTGAGGTGAGCAGATCACCTGAGGTCAGGAGTTGGAGACCAGCCTGGCCAACATGGTGAAACCCCGTCTCTACTGAAAAAAAACAAACAAAAAAAATTAGCCAGGTGTGGTGGCATGTGCTTGTAATCCCAGTTACTCAGGAGGCTGAGGCAGGAGAATCGCTTGAACTTGGGAGGCAGAGGTTGCAGTGAGCTGGGATCATGCAACTGCACTCCAGCCTGGGCAAGAGGGTGAGACTGTCTCGAAAAATTAAAATAAAATAAAATAAAACGTAAAAGCCTATAAAATAAACGGAAGAGAATACGTCACTTATTCATTCCTAAACAGTTGATAGTTTAACCAGAAACGCTATGATAAAAAAGTGAAAATTTCAAAACATTACCTTTTTAAAATTTATCTGCAAAGCTGATTCCACAAAATTCAACAAATAAAAATTTTATCCATTTTTATTGTATTAGATTTATATTACAGAACTGATTTTTGATACAAGTGGAAAGACAATTCAATGGAGAAAAAATAATCTTTTCAATAAATGGTGCTAGAACAATTCATTATCCATATGTAAAAAAAAACTTCATACACCTTGGATCATATAAAAAAATTAACTCAAAATGGATTGCAGACATAAGCATAAAACCAAAAAAAACTTCTAAAACAAAACATAGGAGAAAATCATTGTGACCAAGGGCTAGGCAAAATTTCTTAAATATAACATCAAAAAGCACAATCCATAAAACAACCAATTGGTAAACTGAACGCCAGTTTCTTCTCTTCAAAAATCATTAAGAGCATAAAAAGACAAACTACAGATAGGGAGAAAAATCTTTGCAAAGCACATATCTGATAATGGACTTATATAAGAATATATAAAGAACTCTCAAAACCAAACAGTAAGAAAACACAATACCCAATTAAAAAAAATAAGCAAAGGGGACATATGGATGGTAAGCAAACACATAAAAAGATGCTCAGTATTATTTGTCATTAGGGAAGTACAAATAAAAACCATAATGAAATGCCACTACACACCTATTAAAGGGGATAAAATTAAAAAGTCAGATCATACTAAATGTTAGCAAGGACATGGAGAAACTGGAAACTTACATACTGCTTGCGAAAATGTAAAATGGCACAACCACGTTGGAAAATAGTTTAGTGGTTTCTTAAAAAGTTGTATGTATATCTACCATATAATGCAGCCATTCTACTCCTAGGCATTAAGCAAAGAGAAAAGGCAGCATATGCCCATATAAAGACTTGTGTGCCTGAGTGTTCATGGCAGCTTAATTTGAAATTGTGAAAAAAACTGGGAACTACCCAAATAGCCATCAACAGGTGAAATGGTAAACTATGGCACATCCATACAATGAATACTGATTTGCAGTGATGATTTCAGTGTATACAAATAAAACTTATCAAACTGTACAATTTAAATATATGCAGGTTATTGTATGTTAATTATACATTCATGAAGCTGTCATAAAAGAAAAAAATATATTTTACTTTTGGAAAAAAGTTTTTTTCTTTTATGCTCTACCTCATCTTTTGAAAATGCTATGACATAGGAAAGCTTCTTGCCCCATCCTATTTCATAAAGGAGTGGCTTGTCACAGACATCTTCACATGCATCACAGTGCAGCCACCGCTGCTGAGAAGGAGAATAGACTTCTGTCCAGACATGGTCTACTCAAGTAAGAGAAAAGAGAGCAATGGAAAAAAGACAATGAAATCAGAATGACTTTCAATAACTATACACAAACTCCTAAGAATCATAAAGTAATGCATAATATTCTGAATTTCAGTTAATAAGTGCATTTTGTGGCACACAGGATTTTAGAATACCTGTATTAATTTCTGTCTCTTTGAAATCCTTAAAAATGTTTTTCCAATCTCCTTTAACGTGGTCAGTTTTAGGCTTAATGTGCGCTGTAACTCTTAAGAAGGTAGACATATTAAAGAGCAGCATAAAAAATATCATCCTGAGTTTACTATCATGAAGGAGTTAATGCCACTTTTGAAACTACAGTCTCTCTCTCTGGACTTTAAGGCCCAGAACCAGCAGGAAGTCTAATAGAATCTCTGGTCAATACATGCTTTATATTTGATTTTAAGAGAACACTAACTATTAATGGAAGGTTTCATTTAATTCTTTAGAAAATGGAAACACAAGGAAAACAACTTTTTAACATGTAGACCACACAAGTTATTTCTAAATAGGGACAACACAAATATCACATGACTTTTATTATTTCTGTATACTGTGCTTTAAGTTTATAGTTTACTAAATTTTTTACAGTAATCCCTATAGCAATGAAGATTTCTATGGTACATTATTACATGTTTTTATCCATATATAAACAGCATCACTATAAATGCCACGGTAAATTGCTAATAAAAGAAACAAGACCTAGTGTTTGATAGATCAATAGGGTGTTTACAGTTTACAATAATCCACTGCATATTTCATAATAGCTAGAAGAGAGTAATTCAAATGTTTCCAGCATAAAGACAAATATTTAAGATCTCAGACATCCCAATAATACTGATTTGCTCTGTAGAATTTATATAAATGCATTACAAGTATCCCCCAAATATGTACATCTATTATGCATCAATAAAAAAATAAAGGGGAAAAAAAGGAATATTTATAGTGCAAAGCACCAGGCACAGTGCTAGGTGTTTTACAAAACTCTTGTGATCCCTTCAAAAAACCTGGAAGGTTGGTATTATTACTGTTTTACACAAGGCAAATGGAAGGTCAGACTGACAAGGCCAAAAAGTAACAGAGAATCATGGGCTCAGAATGTAAACCCAAACCTGCAAGCCTGCAAAGCCCTACTACCCTCTGCTCATTCCACATTCTGTACCTGTGTAATCCCAAACATAGCGAGCTTCAAACCCTACAGCTCGGCAGCACAGTGTAAAACAATTGGCCCACTCGCCACACCGTCCACATCTTGTTTCCAAAAGTTTCTCAGGGTTATTATATCTGGTTTAAAAAGAAAAAAAACCTTAATTATCAAAATCAAGATTTTTAAGAGAATTTACATTACCTCTATGCTAAACAGAAATGTTTAATTTTTTTTTTTTTTTTGAGACGGAGTCTTGCTCTGTCACCCAGGCTGGAGTGCAGTGGCGCAATCTCGGCTCACTGCAACCTCCGCCTCCCAGGTTCAAGTGATTCTCCTGCCTCAGCCTCCAGAGTATCTGTGACTACAGGTGCATGCCACCAGGTCTGGCTAATTTTGTTTGTATTTTCAGTAGAGACGGGGTTTCACCATGTTAGCCAGGATGGTCTCGATCTCCTGACCTCGTGATTCGCCCGCCTCAGCCTCCCAAAGTGCTGAGATTACAGGTGTGAGCCACTGCGCCCGGCCTTTAATTTGTTTTTAAATATTTATTTAGAAATCTAGAATATATGAGGCACAATGTTAGAACATTTGGTGAAAAATAATTAAACGGTAGTACTGCTTTCAAGGTGTTCACAATCCTGAGGAAAGGGATGAACACAAATAATTTAAATATATGGCAGAATGTGATCAAACAATACAACAGGTCAGATTAGTGATCAAACAATACAACAGGTCAGAAAGTGGCTGGTGAGGAGAGCTTTTATTTGATCTGTGTTTTGAATAATGTAAGATTTGGAGAAGCAAATTCTCTAGGCAATTTGCCTAAAGCATTAGCACTAAAGTGGTATAGCTAGCTCACTGTATTTAAAAGGTAAACAACTTTAACAAATTACTCAACAAAAATTTTAGCTTAGTTTAATTCAATTTTATCTAAAATATTATCTTTCTTTCTAATAATCATTTTGATTAAAATTTTACTCTTTTGAAGTATTTAAAGGTGCCTGCTAATTTGGAAGTTGTTTTTTGGGATCTATTTGTAACATTCTTTTCAGAAGTTACTCCAATTATAAAATTACCAGACAATTCAAGAACACTAAATTTTGCATTTTGTGTTGAGATGGGTTTTGAACTGATAGAGCTGAGCAGGAAAAGTGCTGCAGCTGAGCAGAGAGGTCAGCCACGTGCTTTGGAAGGAAAGGAAACAGTGGCATAAATGAATGGGCTCTGCGATGACAAGTCTGTTAAGCAAATGCTTAACCAAGCATTTCTTAAGCTAAATAAATGAATTTATAACTTAGGTAATTAAATTTTTTTTTTTTTTGAGACAAAGTCTCAAGTCTCACTCTGTCGCCCAGGCTGGAGCGCAGTGGCACAATCTTGGATCACTGCAACCTCTGCCTCCCAGGTTCAAGCAATCCTCCTGCCTCAGCCTCCCCATATAGAGAAGAGCTAGAGGTTAAAACAAGCACATGATTAGAAACTATGTCCTAAGCTAAAAAAAATTAGATATTTTTAAAACGTGGTATCTTTCCTTGACTGATAATACAACCAGACTTTATAAACATTGCCAATTCAGAAAATCTGAAAACAGGCTTATAAATTAAAGAATGGAAATTAATTTAAAATTTAAAATGTCCTTAGTTTAAAATTTAGAGATATGAGGAGTAGGTTAGGTTGGGCAGGGGAAGCACCTAACTAAAACAAACTTCTGCTAATAAGACTGATAATAATAATGCTGATTATTGTGAGAGTGAATACAATTATGTGTTTAAAATAATCATCCGATGATAATATGGAAGGTAAAAGTATACCTCAGCATTATTATAAGTATTGTTAGCTATCAGACAGTTAAAAATTAGGAATTAAAAAAGTAATACAAGATTTATAGCATTAAACATGTTATGACTATACTCAAGTTATACTTTAGAACAAGAGTCAACAAATTTCCTATAAAAGACAGATGGTGAATATTTCAGACTTTGTGGGTCATATCATTTCTGTCACCATTATTCAACTCTGCTTGTTGCAGCATAAAAACAGACCATAAGCAAATAAATCAGCATGGTTATGTTCTAATAAAACTTTACTTACAAAAACAGGATGTCGGCTGGATTTAGCCTGCCAGCCACGGTTTGCTCACCGGTATTTTAGAGGAATATATTTCTGATAATTAAATATTAAAAAGTTCATTTAGTAAAAACTCTCTTCTAACTATTTCATTAAGAGATTATTCTGATTTTACCATCCAGGGCACCCACCTTGGGAATCGATTGCTGAACTGGCAGGCATCACAGTAATGATCTTCCACTTCCTTTGCACCCCACTTCAGCTCATCATCACTGGGCAGTAATGATCTATCTCTAGACCTAGTCTGTCCACCACATTTGCTGCACAAAACGTTATTCACCCAGTGAAAAAATTCTTCCTTAAACCAGTGCAAAAGCTCCAGCAAAAGAAAATCCTCATCACTTATATTGATACCTGAGAAATTAAGGGAGGACCAAGTAAGAGCTAAAACTGACAAAATTTAAACTATCCAAACATATTTATTCTCAAATACGAACCTGAAAAATATGAAAACATAAGATGATTTTAAGGTTTTCACTAATAAGAGGCAAGAAGAAACTGTCATTTATTAGGCACTAGGCTGAAATACAATGACAAGTATAACTGCACATTAAAAACAGTAGAACATTTACCATTTTATATCCTCTAACTGACATTATGCATTAACAAGTGAGCTGAACACAATGACCTCTTAGGGAACTATAGTCAGTTAGGAATTGATCCTGAAGTACAAGGGAGGTAGAAAAATAAATTTGATTTTGAAAAACATTTAAAAATGGGAAACATTGAATTTGTTATCAGGTATATACACAAGTAAACATGAAACAATCACAAAAGGCAGAAATCACAGAATTCCAGACATTTAAAAAATCATCCTATTAGCCTTTCTATTAGGGCTTCAACTGTACAATATAATCCATCCATGGATACTCATCCCCAAACACATAAAAACACAACCATATCTCTAGTATATATAACAACCCTAGTAAGTTATAACATGACAGATAATATACCCACTTTTCCATAAACAGATCTCTCTTGTTCATATTCAAGACCATGGTATCTCTGGCAAGAAGGGAAGGAGAGGGAAAATCAATCTTAAAAACATATATAGGGGGTTCTCATCTCTATCTTTAATGTTTTATGATTAAAACAGAGTGATAATAAAACATAAATATGAAGGACATATATAGCATAATGATAAAATCTAATAAAGCTTGATGTTGGTCATAGGTATATGATATATTATACTTTGTTCTTGTATTTATGTTTGATGTATTTCAAAATAAAAAACTACAGAAAAAAAAACTACAGAGAATGTAAAAAGGCCAGAAATATTTATGTTCCTGGAGGGAAAACTCAATATTTCTAAAGCTGATAACCTTCCACAAATTAATCTATAATTTAATATAATCCCAATTAAAATTATAAAATATTTTTTCATAAAATTTGACAAGCTAGCCAGGTGTGGCGGCTCACAGCTCTAATCCCAGCACTTTGGGAGGCCAAGGTAGGCAGATCATCTGAGGTCAGGAGTTCGAGACCAGCCTGGCCAACATGGTGAAACTTCGTCTCTACTAAAAACTACAAAAATTTTCTGGGTTTGGTGGTAGGTGCCTGTGATCCCAGCTACTTGGGAGGCTGAGGCGGGAGAATCACCTGAACCTGGGATGCAGAGGTTGCAGTGAGCCAAGATCATGCCATTGCACTCCAGCCTGAGTGACAGAGCGAAACTCTGTCTCATTAAAAAAAAAAAAAAAAAAAAAATTGACAAGCTAACTACAAAATCCCATGTGAAAGAGAAAATGCACAAAATAGCCAACACAACTTTGAGCAAGAATCATAAGGTAAATTTGCCTACCGTGTATCAAGACATATTATAAAACTCTAATATTTAAAACAATGTGGTATTAGTGAAGAATAAACAGATCAATGAAACAAAAGAATTCTGAAAGACAGATTTCTAAGCAAATGCACAGTATTTAATAAAGTTAGCATTTTAAAGCAGCTCTAACAGGATGGACTGTTTCAATAAATGATATTAGGACAAATAGCTATCTATCAGATCCCTACTATAGTTCATTAAAAAAAAACTTTCTCTGGAATAATATAAAATAATAGAAGTTTATAGGTGAGTATGTTTATGTTTATGACTTTGGGTTAGGAAGGTCTTAGGCAAGCAAGATACAAACTGTAAAATCAATAATAAAAAAATTAAATTTTCTTATGTTAAAAATAAAAACTTTTGAATTTCAAAAGCTACACTAAAGAACTCTGGGAGGAAAAATTTGTAACATGTCTAACAAAGAAAAGATAAATTTCTGGACGGGCACGGTGGCTCACGCCTATAATCCCAGCACTTTAGGAGGCTGAGGTGGGAGGATCACTTGAGGTCAGGAGTTGGAGAACAGCCTGCCCAACATGGTGAAACCCCGTCTCTACTAAAAATACAAAAGAAAAAAAAAATTAGCCGGGCGTGGTGGCAGGTACCTGTAATCCCAGCTACTCAGGAAGCTGAGGCAGGAGAATCACTTGAACCTGGGAGGCGGAGGTTGCAGTGAGCCGAGATCGCGCCACTGCACTCCAATCTGGGCGACAACAGCAAAACTCTGTCTCAAAAAGATAAATTTCTAAATACATAAAGAACTTCTATAAATCAGTAAGAACATTAAGAAACCCACTAGAAAAATTCACAAAGTCCATAAAAGAAATTCAATACTTTCATTAAGTGGAAACAAATATTCTTAGACACTTCTAGTATAAATTGGAAGGCAATTTGGCAGGATCCATTATAATATAAAAGTATTACACACACTTGACATTTCAGTATCTATCCAAGAGAAATACTTGTGCATGTGTGCCAGGAGACATGGTTTACAAGAATCTCCACTGTGGTGGCATTTAGAACAGAGAAAATGGAAACAACCTCTATGTCCATCAATAGGGAATTGTATAAATAATAGTGTATGTACAATCAAACACTATGGAGTTAAAAAGCTGTCCAATACATATTTGTAAATGAAAAACACCAAGGAGCTGAATATATATGAGATGATAAATTTTAAATAAACCCCACACAACTTAAACTATTTTTATAGATAATTATTTAAGGTATAAATATCCAGGACAAGACATGAAAAAGAACAGAACTGAATGGCAGGGAGAGTTTGGCGTTTCCCATATAATATGAAAGCTTTCCAACAGGAAGATATTCATGAATTAGTTACATTAAAAACAAAGTTTTAGAAACAGAGGACTGTCATTCTCCTTCTCAGTCTAGTGCCTACCATGCAGCAGCTAGAGTAATCTTCTTAAAAGTACAGGCCAGATTATGTGACTTAAAAAACCCTCCAATGGGTTTCCATCTCATTCAAAATAAAATTCAAAGTCCCAACTCTTGTTCTTTCAGCTGGCTCCCCGTCGTAGGCTAAAAAATGGCCCTCAGAGGATATCCATGTCCTAATCACTGTAGCCTATGAATGTAGTTACCTTATGTGGCAAAAAAAAAAAAAAAAAAAAAAAAAAGGTCTTTGCAGATATTATAAAGTTAAGGATCTCTAGATGGGGAGATTATCCTGGAATATGTGGATAAATTCAATCACAATTAACCTCATAAAAAGCAAGTAAATGGAGATTTTACACACAGAGAAGGCAATGTGAAGATGGGACAGAGAGAGATTTGAAGATGCTGGCCTTAAGACCAGACTGTTGCAGCCACAAACCAAGGACTGCCAGCAGCAACCAAAAGCTGGAAGAGGCAAAGAACAGATTCTCCCCTCCAAAAGAAGCATGGCTCTGGGGATACTTCGATTTCCCGCTGTGATAATGATTTTGGATTTCTGCCTTCTGGAACTGTAAGAATAAATTTCTTTTTATTTCACCAAGTTTGTGGTAATTTGTTATAGTAGCCCCAGGAAACTTAAATACCCTCTTCCCTCTCTGACCTCAAACCCTATCTCCTCCTGTCTTGTTCACTGGCTACAGCCACCATGCTCTCCCTGCCATCTCTTAAACTTGCCAACCTCACTCCCACCTCAGGAGGCCTTTGCAGTTGCTCATGCCTTCTACCTAAAAGGGAAATCATTGCTTTTTAGAGAAGCCATCCCTGAAAATCTTGTATCAAACAGCATCTTACTAGTCGTCACTCACTCTGTTCTCCCATTGGTCTTCCTAGCACTTTTCACTAGTGTGTGTGTGTGTCTCTTTCCATAATGGTAGGTACTTAGTTTTGTTCACTGCTATATCCCCAACACTTAGTGTTCTGCTTGCTATACACTAGATGCTTAATAAATATTTGAATGATGAAAGGACTGAACAAACATGCCTCAAAATATTACTTAGAATTGTAATTGTTCACCAAATAGTCATTATCAAGACCAAGAAGAAAGGAAAGGAAAACAGAGTATTTGTACTTCTGTTACATACTCCAGGTATAATCCAGCTGAAAGTAGGACTACTAAACAGTAACACCCAATTAAGGGTCAATGTTCCTCATTTAAACAATATCCTTAACTAGGGGCTCAGAGAAATAAAAGTAGATTCCTGTATGATGAAAGCTCAGAAATCTCAGAGATAAGGGAAGCCTGATTTAGATGCTAAATTCTGTGAATACTGGGTTTATTTCAAAAATATAATTAAGACTTCAAATTTCTAAAGTTACCATCTTCAAAAATACCATATAAACGTAGATTTCTAGTAACTTATCAGTGACAAAATAAAATCAACAAGTTTAGACCTAACTCCATTCTCTGAAAACCACTTCAATATACAAGAGAATGAGAAAATGGGTAAAAACATCAGTAGAGGTAGCCTCATCCATGTTCTCCATCTCATATCTTCACATACAATTTAGTAGGCCAAGATATATTTTGTTACCACTTTTCAAAAATGGGTTCTTCCTCCTCCAAAAAGATGTTTTACCTGTATCTGGAACATGCAATCATGACAAACCTTCAGTCTACCAGGCCAAAGCTATCAAATCATGCTTCTCTATCTCATTTGGCAGTGCCACAAGGTCCCCATTTCTGCATCAAACCAAAACACTTTCCCCAGTCCATAGACCCAGAATATGATTTTTGTCTGGAAAGGAAAAAACAGTGCACTGCACTAATGAAAGAAAATCACCAACTTGGCCAGCGGGGGCTTCGTCATCATCTCAGTGCCATTCACTCACTGGGGCAGAGACTGATGGTGGCCATATAATATCCACTTGCTACTTCTTCCTCATTTATAGAATTTCAATTTTGGAGGGATGACAATGCACCAGTTAAAAAACTACAGATCCCAACTTCCCTTGCGGCTAAGTGTGGCTAAATGACTAAGCTTCATGTTACTCCAAGGAAGACTACTTCAAGAGAAGAAGCTCAAATTAGAGATAAAACCTTTATGCCTTTTCTCTGTTTCTTCTTCCTGATGTTTGGTCTGGAAATGTAATGGCTGGAGCTGCAGCAGCCATTTTGGACTACAAGGTGATGTGAAGGATGGAAAACATATACATCCGAGCCGAAAAGACAGAAGGCACCTAGGTCTTTGATGATAGCTCACCATTAGCTCCAGACTGACTACTTCCATAATTTCTTACATGAGAAAATAATCTCTAAGCCACCAGTCATTTTACTCATAGCACAACCTAATCCTAATTGATATACTCATTATGCCTACCATACCACTTATTTCACTATATAAGTTTCCTTCACTTGTTACTCTTCCTCTTCCCATATCCTGCTGTTTCTAAAATATCGCCATCCAATAGAATTTTCAGCAATAATGGAAATAATTCCTATTCCTACTGTCCAGTAGGGTTGTCACTAACTTGTGGTTATTGAGTAGCTGAAATGTGCTGAGTGTGACTGAAGAACTTGATTTTTCATCTCATTTAATTTAAATGTAAATATCCATATGTGGCTAGTGCTACACTGTTTTCTAGAACCTCTGTAATCCTACCTCTCCACCCTGTCCTCTCAATTTTAGCAATCTCATTTACCTGCATGGCTTTACCTATCATCCTGAAGTGTATTTCAAGGCTTGACTTCTTATCGAATTTCCAGGCCTATGTTTTCACTTGGCAGTCCAGATAGTAGGCACCTCAACTCACTCTTCCTTTCCCTTTAAAACCTGTTTCTACTGACTCCTTTAATTTCCTAGTTGCCTAGATTCAAAGTTACCCAGTCATCTTTGACATCTTCCTTATATATACATGATGCCTTATCCTATTGACTGCAAATTCCACATATTCTATAACCCCAACAACTTTCACATCCATCTTCTCCCTTGTAATCTCAACCCTCTGTTCACCCTCTTATCCCTCTTATGTAAATTAGATTACTATTGTGTTTTAATTTTTCTCTCCTTGTACTCTTTTGATTTTAATTCATTTCACAAGTTATTACTAGATTAATCTTCCTTAAATACAGTCTGATGTCACTCAGAGTTTCAATAGTCAATCCTGCTGAATTACCTATTCGAGAACACCTGAGAAATTATTTTCTGCTTTCTGATGAATAAGGTTATGTAACATTTCTGCTGTATGTTCAATTATAGTCACAATATAACATTAGTCTTTCGGCCAAGACGTGTTTCCTTTGAATTTCTTTGGTCTTTACTATTTCAAACCTTATTAGAAATATGCTTTGTTTCATTTTACTAATTTTTTTGAAAACATTAAAAATGAACTTGGTATACACTGCTCTGTCTGAAATTCAATGTCAACCAAAATATGGTTTCAGCCTACTTGATCTTCCACTGCTTTATATACACCCTACCCTACACACAGTCTAACTGTATTATTCATTGTTCCCAAATAGAGCCTGTCCTTCTCTGCCTCTATGCATGTTGATCACTACACTTGGAAGAAAATCCCCAATCCCTTAGTATGTATTTTGACATATTTTATAAATCCCACTCATCCTTCATGCCCTTAAAAAAAAATCTTTTACTGATTTTCATAATTTTCACTACTAATCTGCTGTGTCATTTCTTTCCTATTTTAATTAAAACTTTTTAAGCGTGAAAGAATATATACACAGATCTTAAATACACATACTCCAATGTGATGAAGTTATTGATAGTTTGTCTTCTCCCTATTTTCCAAATTTTCTACAACCCCTGTATTACCTTTATAATTAGAAAGAAAAAATGCTGGAGCAAATGTTAGCAGGGAACATCAGCAGATTTTTATGGGAAATGGACTTTAAGTCTTAGCTAATAGACTTGAAGGATTCTTGGTCCACTGATAAGACCATTCCCACTGTGAGGACAGATGGACAAATGCATCAGGATAAACATAATGTTCACCTAACTAATGCTCTTTATTGTAGATTTTTGCTCCTTGAGCAATTTCCTGGTTGTTATTTGCCTAGAGAGAGGAAATATGATGGACACAAACAGGAACATTCTGTCTCTATGCTATTTCTCACTGAAGTTTATTCATTTAGCAACATAATGGTTTTATTTTTTATTTTTTGAGACGGAGTTTCGCTCTTTTGCCCAGGCTGCAGTGCAGTGGTGCAATCTCTACTCACTGCAACCTCCGCCTTCCGGTTTCAAGCGATTCTCCTGCTTCAGACTCCCGAGTAGCTGGGATTATGGGCATCTGCAACTGCAAATTAGCCCGGCTAATTTTTGCATTTTTAGTACAGACGGGGTTTCACCATGTTGGCCAAGCTGGTCTACAACATAATGTTTTAAAAATTATACTTCATACATTACATTTGTTGGACTCTGCTTTACACTCAGTTGATCTGTATATTTGAATTCTCATCTTCTATTTAGCTGCTTCTTAAGGCAAGGCTATATTATTATCCTGTCTCTCCCCTGCAGGGCCCAGCCCAATGACTCAAACACAAAACATGTTCAGTAAGTACCTGATAAACAGGCATTTCTATAAGTCATCATATAAAGGACCACAGTACTTTGAAGCTGGACAGGGCCTGTATAATCACATATTAATAAACATTCTTATTGTACACACAGGAAAAAAACTGTTAATACAAGAAGAGAACAACTGTCTTAAGGTTAGCAGGCCTGTAGCAGAAGTAAATCTAAGGCCCAAGCCAGTCATCAAAAATTGAAAAATGGCATAGTGTAATATTTTTAAAAAGACAAAAATTACCAAAATACAAAGGGTAGCAAAATATATAAATGACATTTGTGAAAATTGGTCAAATGGTTAAAAAAGGAAGAGACACATATAGTTAAGCCTTCAGATGGATTTCTGGTTTCATCTTCCAGTTTCTAGCAAGCAGAGGTCAATACTCTCACCTTTAAAACAATAAAAAGCTCAACTGAAATCAGTGACTTTTCTTGGACCCATTAGAGAACTGAGGTCACAGAGTGAATTATCACCCCAAAGTCCAAAAAGATACACAAATATAGAGAATCACAGTCAAAATCTGCTTACATGGAAAAGAAGTCACTAGAGCCATAAACTGGTAAGGACATTTAAATAGCAATTTTGACAAACTGCTGGAAGCTGAGTATGGACTAGCTTGGGAGTAAGAAATTCAGTCTTGGGAGAGGTCCCCACACTTCTGTGCATTTTGTCTGCAGGAAGCCCACCAGGTTTTCACAATGAAGAACCAAGAAAAATCCTTTGTGGCTCTAGAAAAGATGGGAAGAGTAAGAATTGTGAGGTATACCCAGAGTGTTCTTCACAATTAAGGCCTCTCCAGGGAAAAAGATTTTACCAGAGTCTTCTCTGAACTGGGGGAAGGACATATATTTCCCTGACTCCAGCCCCTTGTAGCCTTCCTGTCTCACCTATGGGGGTAAAAAGGCTAACAAACACTTGTGAAAGGCACAGGCCCAGAGATATAGGCCCACTAAAATACTGAGATTTAATCAAAAGATTATAGAACCTTCTCCTTGATACCTTACCATCACACCAATAGGGCTCCAGTATAATAACAATGGATTACAACTAAACGAACACCAAGCAGGATAAATGCAGACTCTAATGAGGAGTTCTTAGGGAAGCCTAAAGACAATGGGGGAGACGACAAGAACACTGGAGGAATTTGAAGCCTCTGATACCTACGGCTAAAGCAAACAAGAAAACAACTCTAGTTAGATTAATTCCTAGCTAGATTAGCATAAAACCTTACATGAAAGGCCTGTTTACCTCAGTTCCTATTATCCAGTACATCATGCCCAGCTTTTACATGTATTTTTTCATTTATTTCTAAAAATTATCATTCTTATTTCTACATGAAGAAACTGAGTCATAGAGATTAAATTACTTGCTCAGTGATGCACAGGAAGTAGCAGAGCTGAATTTACACAAAGACAGTTGACTCCAAAACCTACTCTTAATCAATAAATAATGTCTCTCTACTCATAAAAGTGAGTCAATGGTCTATTCATATGGATTAATTCTGAATATGGTTTCTGTTAGATTCACATTAAAATTCACTAATTTAAATTCACTAATGACGCTATCATATATTCTGTGGGCTAAAGTTCTACTTTACCTAAAAATATACACATACCAATGATTAAACTGCAAATGCGTATTCAGGTAAAAAAAAAAAGTTTTTAAAAAGAATGTTCAAAAGACTTGAATAAACATTTCTCCAAAGAAGATATTCAAATGACCAATAAGCACATGAAAAAAATGCTCAATATCATGAATTAGGAAAATGCAAATCAAAACTACAGTGACATACCGCTTCATCCCCATTAGCATGGCTACTATTGAAAAATCAGAAAATAATAAGCGTTGGTAAAAACAGGGGAAATTAGAACACTTGTGCACTGTTAGCAGGAATATAAAATGATACAGTCACTGTGGAAAACAGTATGGTGGTTCCTCAAAAAATTAAAAATAGAATTGCCATAAGATCCAGCAGTTTCACTTCTGGGTGTATACCAAAAATAATTGAAACCAGGATTTCAGACTAAAGTATTTAAACACCCACGTTCATAGCAACATTATTCACAATAGCCAAAATATTGAAACAACCCAAGTATCCATGAATAAATGAATAAATGGATATGCAAAATGTGATATATACATAAACAGGACATTATTCACCTTAAAAAGGAAGGAAGCTCTCTCCTCCTCAGCACTGCCTACAGAGGTGGCAGCCATCTCCTCTTCGGCCTCATGGCCGCCCTCAGACCCCTTGTGAAGCCCAAGATCATCAAAAAGAGAACCAAGAAGTTCATCCGGCACCAGTCTGACTGATATGTCAAAAATTAAGTGTAACTGGCGGAAACCCAGAGGTATTGACGACAGGGTTCATAGAAGGTTCAAGAGCCAGATCTTGATGCCCAACATTAGTTATGGGAGCAACAAAAAAACAAAGCACATGCTGCCCAGTGGCTTCCAGAAGTTCCTGGTCCACAACGTCAAGGAGCTTGAAGTGCTGCTGATGTGCAACAAAACTTACTGTGCTGAGATTGCTCACAATGTTTCCTCCAAGAACTGCAAAGCCATCATGGAAAGAGCCACCCAGCTGGCCATCAGAGTCACCAACCCCAATGCCAGGCTGCACAGCGAAGAAAATGAGTAGACAGCTCATGTGCATGTTTTGTGTTTAAATAAAACTGTAAAAACTGCCAAAAAAAAAAAAAAAAGAAGGAAATTCTGCAATATGTTACAACCTAGATGTACCAGTTTGTTCTTATGCTGCTATGATGAAATACCTGCAACTGGGTAATTTATAAAGAAGAGGTTTAATTGACTCACAGTTCCACATGGCTGGAGAGGCCTCCCAAAACTTATCATGGCAGAAGGCACCTTTTCACAGGGCAGCAGGAGAGAGAATGAGTGCAAGCAGGGGAAACGCCAGATGCTTATAAAACCATCAGATCTCCTGGGACTCACTCATTATTATGAGAGCAGCATCAGGGAAACCACCACCGTGATTCAATTACCTCCAACTGGTCCCACCCTTGACACACGGGGATTATAAGGATTACAATTCAAGGTGAGATTTGGGTGGGGACACAGAGCCAAACCATATCACTGGATGAACCCTGAGGTTCATTATGCTAAGTGAAATAAACCAGTCACCAAAAGACAAATACTGTATGATTCCACTTATATAAGATAGAATAGTCAAAATCACAGCGACAAAGTAGAATAGTCGTTGCTGGAAGCTGGGGAAGGATTATTACTTAATGAGTATAGTTTCAGTTTTACAAGATAAAAAAAGCTATAGATGGTGGTAATGGCTGAACAACATTATGACTATATTTAATAACACTGAAATGTACACTTAAAAATGGGTAAGATGGTAAATTTTGTTATATGTATTTTACCTCAATTAAAAAATTGAAAAAAAAGGTGATATGTGACCATGAGGTATATGCAATAAAATTATACTATTATTGTACTTCTTAAAAACTCAAATTGAAATAGGTTAAGTATTTATAATGTATAACACTGTAAAACAATGTATAAGAGCAAAAGGCACTACAACTGTCCCTCAGTATATGCTGGGGATTGGTTCCAGGACCCCCACCTATACCAGAATCCACACATACTCATGTCTCACAGTCAGCCCTGCAGAACCCATGTATATAAAGAGTTGACCCTCCGTATATGGGTTTTGCATCCTGTGAATCCACGTTTGGTTTAAAAGAATCCACATATAAGTGGACCCATGCAGTTCAAACCCATGTTCTTCAAGGGTCAGTTGTATTTCAGTATTTTCTGTTTATTTAGCAATGATTTACATTTAGCAATAAATGATTATGTAAAGCTACTACCTTTATCCAATTTTCTAGCTCTCGATAACTTTTCTTGTGATTTCCTTTTTAGTTCTTGGACCGGAATACAAGCCAACGCTTTCTCCTGAAGAGCAGGATTTTCATAGACCAGCACATGCTGAATGTTGGACTGAAGAACTTCTAGAATGGCTGAGTCAGCAGCAACCTAATAGGAAAAAAAAAAACTGAAATTAACTTTTCACCATATGCTACAAAAATAATATATAATAAAAAAACTGTGGTTTTATGATTTTACAGATAGAAGGGAATGTATGGATTCACTTAAATATAATAATTATACCCATAAACTTCATAACATTAGTATTAGGAGACAGCCACATTTGTGTCAGAGCCTAAGATCTATCTATTTTTTTCCTTTTGTATATACTATTAAGGATATATTTAAATAAGGATATGCGGAATTCTTGAATACAAGCATGGATCAATACAGAGCTCTGATCTATGCATCTAATGGCCCCTTCCACTTTAAATCCCTGTAATGTACAGCAGTAGCAAAAGAGGTGTGCTCTTAAAGAACCAGGAATTTTGAGAAGTTCCTGAAAGAGAAAAGGCAAATATGAAAGGACTAAAGGAAGAAACCTCCAGAGAGGATGGTGATGAAAAGTAAAAAAAGTTTCCAAAATAATCCCAAGGGCAGAGAAGCCATAGGATCTACAGAATAGGAAGTGTCCTCAGGGCAAGCATTAGGAAGAGTGGTTGGACTCTGGAGGAACAGCTAATTATCTCGGCTTCTCCCTCCTTGTCACCTCATCAACAAAGAGGTCTGCCTCTGAGCAGTAAGTGTGCATACTTAGAGTCACAAAAGGAAAGGGGAGTAACCAAGCTCAGAACTGTTGCCACTGGCACATCCCACTGTGCAACATGTACTGCCCTTCTCCACAGCTGTTAGAAGCAAATGCAGTATTCACAGACAAGCTGGCAGGACCTCTCAAATACATATGGATCTACAACAACTGTGGGGGAGATGCATGAGAATCAGTATCAGAAGAACTAATCCTGTAGCAATGACAGCAAATACAGAAAAAACTTTAAAAAGTTTCAATAGTACACTATATTCAGAGAAAGACTCAACTATAGATCTTGGACGTAAAAATTTTATTTATTTATTATTATTATTTTTTTGAGACAGAGTCTCACTGTGTTGCCCAGGCTGGAGTGCAGTGGTGAGATCCTGGCTCGCTGCAACCTCTGCCTCCTGGGTTCAAGTGATTCTCCTCCCTCAGCTTTCTGAGTAGCTGGGAGCACAGGTGCCACCACCATGCCCAGCTTATTTTTGTATTTTTAGTAGAGATGGGGTTTCACCATATTGGCCAGGCTGGTCTCGAACTCCTGACCTTGTGATCCGCCCGCCTCAGCCTCCCAAAGTGCTGGGATTACAGGCATAAGCCACCACGCCTGGCTAGATATAAAAATTTAAACATTAAAATAAAGAAGAAGCCAGGCACTTTGGGAGGCCAAGGTGGAAGGATTACTTGAGTAGGGAGTTCTAGGCCAACCTGGGTAATACAGCAAGATCCTATCTCTTAAAAAAAAAAAAAAAAATTAAGTAGTCAAGCATAGTGTTGTGTGCCTGCAGTCCCAGCTACTCAGGAGGCTAAGGTGGGTAGATCGTTTGAGCCCAGGAGGTCAAGGCTACAGTGAGCTGTGACTGCCCTACTGCACCCAGCCTGGGCAATGTAGTCTCAAAAATAAATTAATAAGTAATATAAAATAAATAATATAAAATAAAGAAGAAAGCATAGATGGTGTCAAACGGTAGAATAAACATGGCTAAAGAGTGATCAGTCAATTAATAACCAAAGGCATTTTCTGAGAATGAGGATAAAAAGAACAAACAGACATTGAGGATAAATCCAAAACTTCTCACATCCAGTTAAGGGAAATTCCAGAAAGACAGTAAAAACAATGGAAGAAGGCAACTGCTCAAAAAAAAACAGAAATAAATTTCTCATAGCTGAAGAGCTAGTATGTATGGAAAACAAAACAAAAACAAATGCTAAGCATATAATGATGACATTTTACAATAGCAAGGCTAAAAACAAAATCCTAAGAGTCTTCAAGTAAGAAGAAACATTACACGCAAAGAAAAAATTATTTGATGTCAGATATTTCATTGGAAACAATGAAGCAATTTTTTTTGAAAATCTGAGGGGAAATGATTAGGAACACAGAATTCATTCCCAGTTAAACTAATCATGTACAGGGGCAAAATAAATATATTTTCTGATATGTAACAATACAGAAAGTATATCACTCTCAAATCCTATCTAAAAGAATTATTAGGAAAGTTATTATAGCCAAAAAAAATATAGCTTACATAAATTTTTAAAAATAAATACATACTTGGGAGTAGGATCTAAATAAAAGCACCAGTACAAGTTTCGATTGGTATAGATAATCACAACTGGAAAGCAAAATCTCAATTTTTTCATAGGAAAGGTAGCAAGGAAGGGAGCAGAACAGAGGTTCTTGTCTTATGGGAAGATGTTGGTAGAAAAATATAAAATTAAAAACTTACATTACAGATTTCAGGTCAATAATTAAAAGACTAAAAAGATTATATTTAACTTCCTAACTCTTAAAGGAATAAACCTATTATAGAAAAAAAACTTCATCTAAACAAAACAGGGAGAAAAGAAAAAAAAGCAAGAACATAGACAACACAAAATAAGGTATCAGAAATAAGTTTAAACATCTTAGCAATTAGAATAAATGTGAATGGGTTAAATGTGCATATTGCAAAGTAGAGACAGGTCGATAACAACAACAAAAAACCATTACCAAATACTTACATGTCAGGCACTGTATTAAGCACTGGAATGGGTGCACAAGACAGACATGATCAATTTAAGGTCTATAGGGAAAAGGTATTCAACAAATAATGACAGACCCACCACAGTAACTCAAAAATATTTGTCTGTGTGTGAATGTGTTAGATACTGGAAAAATAATGGAGACCAAAATAGATATGGACATTACCCTCAAAAAGCAAGTAGTCTATGGATACAAAAACAAGCAAATACTGATAATGTTCATTTACTCAAATTTTATCCTTTATTTGCTAGGTGCTGGGGATATAACGGTTAAAAATTAATCATAGGGATAAATATTATTAAGCAAATATATAGCATAAAATGAGACTTTACAACAAGGTCCTTGAACCTGAACTTTTTTGTGGCACAATAGGAAGGATGAGAAGAAGCTAACAAAAAGGGAAGGAAAAGACCATTCCTGTCAGAAGGAACAGCACAAAGGTAGATGGGGATTGCTTAGCATATTTTGAAGGATCAGAGAGATCAGTGTTTAGTACCCAGAGAACTAAGGGGAAAGCAGTGGAGAGATAAAGATCTTTCTGGTCGCTTTTCATTGCAATGATAAGCCATTAAAGAGACTTAAGCAAGAAGAGTAAAACGATCTGATGTGTTTTCAGAATATCACTTTAGCCACTATGCAGAGAAAGCAGGCATCAGAAGACCCCATGGGGGACTACTGCAGAGCTCCAAGAGAGCTGGTGGTTTAAATTAGGGTAGTTTTACAACTGTTAGGAAAAAAAAAAAAGCAAATGGATATGAAAAGAACTTAGGAAATAAAATCAATAAGTTTTGGTGACTGTACTATGAAGTCAAGAGTATTTGGAAAAGGAAAAGAACACATTAGAGATGACTCGTGCTTTTTTTTTTTTTTTTTGATACGAGCAACTGGGTCAGCACTTGAACCACTTGCAGCAGGAGAAAAACCATGAAATGACCAACTAAGTTAAAGACTACCAATAGGCTCTCTCTCCGGATAACGAGTGGCTGGATAACATGGAATTGGGCAAGATGGCACTTCCCAAGAACGCTCCTAGGGATGCCTTGGTGATGGCACAGATCTCGAAGGATATGGGAATCACAGACTACAAACCAAAGGTTATAAATCAAATTTTGGAATTTGCTTTCCGAAATGTGACTACAATTCTGGATGATGCAAAAATTTATTCGAGCCATGCTAAGAAACCTAATGTTGATGCAGATGATGTGAGACTGGCAATCCAGTGTCGTGCTGATCTTTTTACCTCTCTTCCCCCAAGAGGTTTCTTACTGGATATTGCAAGGCAGAAAAATCAAACCCCTTTGCCACTGATTAAGCCATATGCAGGACCTAGACTCCCACCTGATAGATACTGCTTAACAGCTCCAAACTATAGGCTGAAGTCCTTAATTAAAAAGGGACCTAACCAAGGGAGGCTAGTTCTACGATTGACTGTTGGTGCTGTTAGTAGCAAACCTACCACTCCTACTATAGTGACCCCACAAACAGTGTCTGTCCCAAATAAAGTTTCAACTCCAATGTCAGTGACAAGCCAAAGATTTAACAGTGCAGATTCCACCTTCTCGGTCCACACCTGTCAAACCAGTTCCTGCAATAACTGCAGTTCAAAATGTTCCAACTAATCCCTCAATGATTGGGCCCAAAAATATTCTTATTCCCATCAACATGGTTTCATCATAGAACACAGCCAATGAAGCAAACCCACTGAAGAGAAAAACATGAAGATGATGATGACAATGATACTATGTAAGGAATTATAGTCTAGTCTAGATGCATTTCAAAAGGAAAGCTGGTTTTGAGCCCAATATACTGAACTAGAATATTCTAGATCTTCTCGTTTTACCTTAAAAGACTTTCATATTAGTTAAAACTGTTAGATCTCTTTAGTAAACACACAAAATGTGCTTTTCATTAGGCTTCAATTACAAACAGTTAAGTACTTGTTTCTTAATAGTTTCATTAATGTTGAGTCCTTATATGGCAATTCTGTTTTTGAGACACTTTTCTGCCTTTTATCACTGACAGCAGCACCTAAGTTTTAGGTTCTACAGCCTGGTCAGCAGATTTATCTTTTACAGCATGATTTCTAATCTACATTTAAATACTACTTTATTTTATAAGGTAATATAGCCACTTTTGTTGTCACTAGCTTTTTTATTTTTACCAAATCTCTCAATTTAGGAAACATTTTTGGAAAGAGTGGATTTAGAGGAGAGATTCTAAATCCATTTTGAATGTTTTTGTTTCTTGGCCTTCCTTAATTCCCCAACTGAACTCCCTTTCTAAATCCCATTCATTTTCTGCACCTACCCCATAGGTTTGTTTCTCTCCATTGTTCTTAAATGTAAAAGGCCATACCTGGAATTTAAAAAATATCATTCCTGGTAATACAGCTCAGTGTCATTTTCATATTTTTAAAACATTCTCTATATGCCTAATGTTTTGTGATTCACTTTAACCTGATGGCTTGCATTTGCTGTTTTTCACTCTATGTCAGAACAGTTGGGTTTTACTCCTTAGTTTTTATGCCTGTTGAGCTTTCTGTGCTTTTGACAGGTAGTTTTGGGTCAGTTACAGTTTTAGTCTTATATTCCAAGTTGATAACTCTACCATATTTCACATTTCTAAATTTAACAGAGATGCTATAGGTTAAAATTTGTTTTGATAAGTAATTACACTGGACCTAGGCAAAACCAATGAAGAACAAGTGTTTTCTTCCCTTTTACCACATACACGTATGTTTTGATCACTGCTGCTTGAGTCCTCCAATTGGTATAATTCAGATCACATTTTTAGCTAGTTGCTGAGGATATCACATATAAGAT
This sequence comes from Homo sapiens, assembly GCF_000001405.40. Taxonomy (NCBI): domain Eukaryota; kingdom Metazoa; phylum Chordata; class Mammalia; order Primates; family Hominidae; genus Homo; species Homo sapiens. The sequence goes on from NC_000003.12 coordinate 25,756,755, forward strand.
GGGATCAAACCTGAAAGTAAGACACTAATGGTTCTCCATCCTCTAAAAGGCCAACAAAGAAAATAAACTAGTGTGGCGTGATGTGACTTGCATTTATGTGCACTCTGCATTGGTTTCCCAATAATACTGTAATATTGCTGAACACTTTCCCAGTTTTCCTCTTATACACATCTTAAAGTCATATTGGGAAAGATGGAAAGCTTTCGAGAATATAAACAGACCTGTTTTGTTTTTCTTAAGTTCAACATATATTTGCAGACTTTTGTAAAATAAATGTTCATATCATAATTTAGAATTTATAGCCAAGGATCCTCAAAACAGAAGTTTCATCTTAGGCTAGTGCTTGATATATCTAAGAAAAAGTCCAGTAACAGAGAAGAAATGTCTCAAATGTCTCATCAGTTTTAAAGTTTTTTGATATTAGGGAAAGGTAATAGAAAAACAGGTAAAATGTATAAAAATAGACCTGATCAACTTCATAGGAGATAAATATTTGTTATATAGCATAGGATATCATTACTTGAATGTTCTCAGGGAGGAAGCAAGTCAAAAGGCCTAGGTTCTAGTCCTAGCTCCATCATTCACCAACTGTGTGACCTTACTTCACCTCTTAGCTTTGCTCTCAATAGTAGTAGGAAAATAACACCTACCCTGCCTACCTCACAGGGCTGTTGTAAGGGTTCGACTGGTATACGTGAAAGTTCTTTCAAAACTGTATAATACTATATGACTGTAAGGAAATATTAATGTATTTGTTCCAAGGCTATTAATAAAAATTTGAGCTTAAAAGAAAAAAGACTACCGAATGGTAAAAACCAACTGAAAAAAGTCAATTAAATTTGGCAACATGGAAATCACTGACCATAGTAAGAATACAGTCTAATGATAGCATTAATAAGGAAAACAATTTGCAAGAGACTGAGTCATACAAGTGATGTGCAACAGTGGGCTTGCTAAGCTGTAGCAAAGGAGCTGTACAAGAAGGTCCACGAGGATGTGGACAGAAAGTATGAGAATTTCTGTTTATATTTTGTCTGACAAGTAAAACAATTAAGTTATAATAATATTTACTATCTGAATTAACAGTGCCTCCCTCACAGACTGGAGAAGCTACCCTGAGGTAAGAGAAAAAAATGTCATAAAGTCAAAGGGTTAACAGTGGCACCCGCACTCCTACTTCTGCAGCTGTCATGTGACAAAGCTGTGCAGTTCAAATGTACTGGGTTAAGTGGAATTACAGATTATATGATTTTAACTAAATTAATCCTCAATCTAGCTTAAAAAGATTACAAAGAACTCTAGGCCCTAAGGCCAATACTAATAATAAGAGCACACATTAACAAAGAGAAAATGGCAGGGCAAACACATCATCTGCTTTTTTGGCATAAGCACTTCAACAGCTACATTTTAGTGCAAAAAAGAAAATCACTAACAATCTAATGAGATCTAACAAAGCCCCTTAAATTCAAAATTATCAAGACTATTTTAAATATGGATTTGTATACATTCATTAGGTAATATAGTATTAATAAATTTTTTGGTGGAGCATGGTGGCTTATGGCTATAACCCTAGCACTTTTGGCAGCTGAGGCAGGCGGATTGCTTGAGACCAGGAGTTCCAGACCACCCTGAGCAACATGGCAAGACCCTCATCTCTACAAAAAATAAAGAAAAATTAGCTGGGCTTGGGGCACACACCTGTAGTCCCAGCTACTTGGAAGGCTGAGGTGGGAGGATCATCTGAGCCCAGGAGGTCAGAGCTGCAGTGAGCTGTGATCATGCCACTGCGTTCCAGCCTGAGCGACAAAGTGAGACCCTGTCTCAAAATAAATAAATAAATTTTTTTGAATTAAACATATTATTTACTATTTAGATCCTCTTTACATTGTCTTATAATGTGAACAGTATATTGCCGTAGTAGTACATGTATATAACACATAAACAAATGAACAAAAATATATTGACAATATGTGCTGAAAAATATTTTACTGATAGGGCATATAATTAAAGTATGGAGATCCACTAGAAACGTATATAAGAAATAAAGATGCAACAATGAGTACTGGGAAGAAGAGGTGAGAAAGACAGGGCATGGAGGACCAGGGATATTTGTATGTTGCCTTGTTTCTAAGATAGGAGAGCTTAAAGGTAAAGCTCTTAAACATTAACCTGCTTGTTAAAAATGTAGATTCTAAACTTCACCCCTCTTCCATTTTGATTCAGCCAGCCTGGAATTATGTTCAGAAATTTGCGTGTGATTCCAGTGGAACAACCTTAAATGAAAACTGGCCTAAAACAAGGTTTAAATGCCACTAGGAAGATTCCCCAAGAAAAGAACAGGTCCAAGATGGGGCACTGTCCATGTGAGATTCCATGGTGAACAGAGGAGAAGGGATACAGGGAGAGAGGAGCAACTGGCCTTTATTAAGAGCAGACACATTGCCTCCATTACAGAAGAGATGGGTACAACAGCTGACAAAAGAAATGTAGAGTTGGTGATGACAAGTCTGGGGAATTCGCCATGGAAACAAATATGCTCCTTTACTAGGATTAGTATAGAAACAGAAAAAAAAAAAAAAGAAATGTCTCCATTTTTATTTGAAAAAATTCATATTAAAATGAAGCACTTATAGTGTCTCATTTTATTTTTCTTAAATGCAGACTTTCATTTACCAAGAAGGTAAGAATTCATCCGGAGTATTTTTATTTTCAATTTAATTCTTTTCAATCTGGAAATTACCTCATTCATTGTAGTTTTAATGGCACTCAAAATATTTTAAACAATAAAGTTTATATTCTTGCCTTATTTCTTTACATATTCATTGGCACAACTCTGAAAAAACTAAGTCATAAAAATAGAAAGTTGCTGATTACATGGTGATTACAGCAGCTGGGTAACCATGTACTAATGCTACATAAGGCAGCAGTTAATTGAGAGACTAAAGTTACTTAGAGTACAAATGGAAGTTTAAAATGTGAAATCTGTTGGTTTTAGATCAAAGAGATTTTTCCTTCACTAATCATACTTCCAATTATTTTGATTTCTGATATGAGATATATTTAAGACTTCATAAGAAAAAAGTACAATGTGTATAATTTTGTCAAATCGTGGTAATTAATCAATGGAAGTTAGATTAGCAAATTCACTTCTTTAGTTAAAAAAACACACACACACACACACACACACACAACAAATCAAGGCTTGAGCCTACTTGCCCTCTCTTTAATTTTATGCAACCCTTTATTTTGAGGCTTTAAAATTTAGAACCTGTTTTTAGACATAAAAGTTTTGTTATTTTAAATATGTTTTAATCAACTTGTGACTTCAATAAACTTATTTAAAGAAAAACTTTTCTATTTATAAAGGTAATACATGTTGCTTCAAAAAATATTTCAGAAAATACTCAATAGTATAAATAATATGAAAGCACCCATAATTTCATCACTCAGAGTACATTATGGTTAAGATGTTTGTGTATGGCCTTCCAAACCTTTAAAAAAATGAACATATATATATATGTATGTGTGTGTGTATGTTTCTAATAAGAAAAATCAAAATATTACACATATACAGACAACATATGTTGTTTAATTTTGGAATTCTCAGTTTACCTTTTTTCCATATAATAATGTTATTCATGTCAAAACAGATCACATCTTCATTTTTAACATACGCTAAGTATGCTGATATAAGGACACAATGTAATCCCCTATCAGAGGGCATGCAAGTATTAACTTTTAAGAGTGGTAGGTTCATGAAAAAGAAAGTGGATGTTTAAATCTTATGTTCAAATAGGTTTCTTCTCTTACAAAGCTAGCACACAGGCCGGGCACGGTGGCTCACGCCTGTAACCCAGCACTTTGGGAGGCCAAGGTGGGCGGATCACCTGAGGTTGGGAGTTCGAGACCAGCCTGACCAACATGGAGAAACCCCGTCTCTACTAAAAATACTAAAACTAGCCAGACGTGGTGGCACATGCCTGTAATCCCAGCTACTACGGAGGCTGAGGCAGGAGAATCACTTGAACCCAGGAGGCAGAAGTTGCGGTGAGCCGAGATCACGCCATTGCACTCCAGCCTGGGCAACAAGAGTGAAACTCTGTCTCAAAAAAAAAAAAAAAAAAAAAAAAAAAAAAAAAAAAAAAAAAAAAAAAAAAAAAAAAAAAGCTCGCACACAGATCTAGACTAAGACTAAGAGGTTGCCTTATTGTTGGTTTATGAGATAAAATTAGTTTTAAAATTAACTAGTTCGTTTTATTATTTATCATTATCTGATAATATATGACTTTTATAATTTCAATGAAATAATCACAAATTATGATAATTGGTTTAAATAAACACATACCCATATATAAACTGGCAGTAATTTCTAGAGTGATAAAGAGTTGATGAAAAGTTCCTAACAATTTCATATACATACTCAAAGTAGTCATGTGCTAAATAAAAGCATACATTTAGATTAGCTGAGTAAAAAGTACTAAATGTATATTTTAAGCATATTATACTTCAGAATCACATTTTCAACCGAGATAAAGTTGTGAAGCTGGAAACATAATGCTTCTAACATTCTGAGGTACCATGTCATTGAAAAATTGTCCTTGCTGTTTTGAATCTGCTTTTGGAAGGCAATGGGTATAAAAATAAAGGATTATCAGAAAGTTACTTCCATTAGGAACACTAAACACTTAGCATGTACAACCAGCAAGTTTGAAAATCAATTAAGTCATCAGGCAAATGCAAATTAAAACCAAAATGAACTACTACTTAACAACCACTAAAATGGGTATACTAAAAAAGACAGTAACAATGGTTGGTGAGGATACTAAGAAACGGGAAGCCTCACATATTTCTGATGATAAAGTAAAATGGTACAATTTTGAAAAACAGCTTGGTAATTTCTTAAAAACATAAATATAAACTTACCATACAACCCAGTGGTTCCACTCCTAGGAATCTACTCAAGAGAAATAAAAACATATGTCTACACAAAAATTTGTATGTGAATGTTCACAGCAGCATTATTCATAATAGGCAAACATGGGAAACAACCCAAATGTCCATCAACTGATGAATGGAAACAATATGTGGCATATCCTTAAAATGGAATATTATTCAACAATAAAAAGGAACAAAATACTGATATATCCTGCAATACGAAGAACTTCAAAAATGTTACACAAAGAGCTAGAAACAAAAGATTACATACTATAATTCTATTAACATAAAATGTCCAGAAAAAGTAGCAAGATTAACTTTCTAACAATCACCACCACTATCATCATTTATTGAGTATCAATATATTCCAGTATTTTGTATCTTAAAAGCTTACTGGCAAACGTCAACATCAGTGACTATCATCTTAACTTATACATCGACATTTTACTTGATATAGTTTTAACCAAAAAAAAAAAAGTTATAAGTTCACTAGGACTTATCTAGTTTATACACAGGTTAAATGCTTTAAAAAATATCTCTCTGGCTCCCTGACTTTGGTACATTTTAATTCTCAGTATCTCCACTCAAAATGGGCAAGGTAGAAGAAAACTGTCAAATTCTGTAGTATAGCAACTAATGATGAAAGCATAATTAACAAAATACTTTAAAGAAATACATATATTCCAGTGATCCACGAATAACCAAGAGTTGTCTATGAAAAACAAGATTCATTCTAATTTCTCTCAACTTCAACACAGAAGATATTTTGTGTGAAGGACTAGAGTAGTAAGAATTGATATACACTAGCCTACTAATAGCATACACCTTTGAGAAAATTTATTTTCTTCTACACTAGAATGTGTTTTGCCAACAGAATGACATTCTGTTTTTAGTGTAGTGTTTAGAGGCTTTCTGGTGACGGACAGGATTTTAAAGACCTGGAACTATATCTGAATTGTAAGATTAAGAACTTAAAAAAAGGGCTGGGTGTGGTGGTGCACATCTGTAATCCAGCACTTTGGGAGGCCAAGGCAGGTGGATCACTTGAGGTCAGGAGTTTTGAGACCAGCCTGGCACACATGGAGAAACCCCGTCTCTACTAAAAACACAAAAAATTAGCCAAGTGTGGTGGCAGGTGCCTATAATCCCAGCTACTCGGGAGGCGCAGGCTATAGAATCTCTTGAACCCAGGAGGTGGGGGTTGCAGTGAGCCAAGATCGTGCCATTGCATTCTAGCCTGGGCAACAAGAGTGAAACTCCGTCTCAAAAAGAAGAAAAAACAAAAATTAGCCAGGAGAGATGGTGCATGCCTTTATTTCCAGAAACTCAGGAGGCTGAGGCACGAGAATCACTTCAACCTGGGAGGCAGAGGTTGCAGTGAGCCAAGATTTTGCCACTGTACTACAGCCTGGACAGAATGAGACTCTGTCTCAAAAAAAGAAAAAAACAAAACAAAAGAAAAGAAGTTTAAACAAGATTAAGAAAATGTGAATGGCTTTCCTGAGCCAGGACACTAACAAAATACTACTTAGCCCAGGAAAGAGATATTTTGTAAAATAAAATGTTTGCAAGCTTTTTTGCAGATTGGTTAACTATGTGCATTTTAAACTATAATACTGCAATTAAAAAGATAAAGTAGGAAATCTTAAAAGATATATTCTAACACTGTAATTGGAAAACTCCTAAGAAAAGGTGTTAAAAACCAAGAAAGATGTTAAGTGAGCTTCTGTAACTGTACCAACCTTAACTGCAAAACTGATGAAGACCTAAGGTATTCAAAATGGAATGCACATGATCTCAGGGAGGGGCATAAAAATCCATTGAGGTGCTTGTTAGACTTACAGAAATATCACAAGAATTTTTCTGACAGTAAAAACTTAGGAGAAGAATATGTAAGGACCTTGGTCAAAAGAGATTTTTGTAAACAGGATAATTTCCTATCAAATGGAATCATTTCAGTTTATCAAGAATGCCTGTAAGTTTGACTTTAGTTCTTCACAAGTATATATGGTGTATATTAATAATAAAATTTCACTAATTTGCTAGCATCCACTATCATTAAATTAATGCATTCTTAATTACCTTAAACCTAAAGAAGCTTTTTTATTGAATTAAGGTATTGATAATGGTTGTGCTGTTGGAAATAACCCCCACAGTGAAAGGCAGCAGGTACAATTTAGATCAGAAGTATTAATGCAGTAGAGGAAATCTGACAATTTTTTAAAGAGCTGAAGAAATTTGGATGTTTTAGAGTTATAAGAACTAAGAACAAAATATGGGGCATAAATTCAGGAATAAATCATAACACATTCCAAAGCTTTTGCTGTTTCAACACTTTGAAAGAAACAGTTAAAGAAGGTTTAATTCTAACATTACCGTTGAAGCAGATGGTGGATCTGATGACTGCCCTTGACGGTTCCTTGTGTGCTGGTTTAACCCACTGGGATTTGAAGATGGTGTTGTAGGAAGCTGGGTACTGGCTGCAGGTTGCTGAGATGACTTTACTTTGTGGCTCTTATTTGAGCCATCCAGTCTGCTACTTCTCTCTATGGCAATCAGGTCACGAATTTTTTGCAGCTGCTCCACTGAAGCTTTTTTAGGAAAGATGAGATGTGTTTCTCCCTGGAATTTATAAAATTAAAAAAAATGTGAACCTTTGCTTTATGCAGTCATTCTTTTGTGCACACACACACAGAAATGTATAATGAAACCAATAATATAGAATGCATGTTTCTAAAATCATACTGTTTTCTTACCATTATGGTTCTTTTTAAATACAGCCTAAGGTAAATAATGCCTAAACATAAACCAGAAAATTAAAAAAAAAATTATCTCCTTTTTGGCATTTAATCCTTAGCCTATTTAATGTGGTTCAAAGGACTTTCAGGAAAAAATATTTGATCTTCTAGAAACAATAAGTCAGAAGGCCTCATAAGGGTTGCAAAAATGCATATTCCTATCCTCTCTGCAATAGTATATGATACTACTATTCTCTATGAAATTCCCTATGAAATAATAATGACAGTAGAGATACAGCCACACAAAAGAATCCAGGGTCACATAAAACCAACAAGAAGTTATCTAACAACCTTTGAATCTTGTTAATCTGAGTCTTTAAAGAATAGCTACATGATTAGAAGCCTGTGTATGGGGTCAACTAATTTTTCCACGATAACGAAAAGTACACCCTGATAGTCAATCCAAAACTATGGATGGTTAACAGTAATAGGAAGGTAATCCGAACAAAACAAAAGAAATAAAAATCATGTATTTCAGTAGTGACTCATTTAAAGAATACCTATAAATATGCTAAGAATGCTTTAAAATAAAATGCTACAACAAATTCTATAATGTAAAACAGTAAATTACTCAAAACAAGAAAAAAGGTGAAATGAAATGACAATGTATTTGATCAAATTTCCAGGTATTGAAAAGAAACAATGTTAAAAACAGTAATTTCTCCAACTGCAAACAAGATAAAAAGTTGCAGCTGGGCATGGTGGCTCACGCCTGTAATCCCAGCACTTTGGGAGGCTCACATGGGCAGATTACCTGAGGTCAGGGGTTCGAGACCAGCCTGGTCAACATGGCAAAACCCTGTCTCTACCAAAAATACAAAAATAAGCTGGGCATGGTGGCGGGTGCCTGTAATCCCAGCTACTTGGGAGGCTGAGGCAGGAGAATTGCTTGAACCTGGGAGGCAGAGGTGAGCTGAGATCGTGCCACTGCACTCCAGCCTAGGTGACAGAGCAGGACTCAGTCTCAAAAAAAAAAAAAAAAAAAAGTTGCAACAGTCTGTAGTACACAGACCTGCAGATCATGAGCATTTAAATTAAACTCCAAAATCGACAATATTACTGTATTTCCCTGGTGATGGCAGACCTACAGGAATCAACTGAACAAGACATTACTCAATGACATGAAAGTCAATTCCATCTGAATCCTTTTTAAAAAGCTGGATTAGACCAGCAAGCTCCACGTATGATTCATAATTGCTATAAAAAAGACAACTACAATGTATTGTCTTTGTGTGTTCTAAGTACTGTGCTAGGCATTTTTTTCTCTGAGGCAGGGTCTCCCTCTGTCACCCAGGCTGGAGTGCAGTGGAGTGATCAAAGCTATAACCTCAAACTCTTGGGCTCAAGCGATCTTCCATCCTCAGCCTCCCAGCAGCTAGGACTACAGGTGCATGCCACCACACCTGGATGATTTTTATTTTTTGGAGAGACAGGGGTCTCACTCTTTTGCCCAGGCTGGTCTCAAACTCCTAACCTCAAATGATCCTCCCACCTCAGCCTCCCAAAGCAAAATGCTGGGCGTTTTAAATACATCATCTCAAGTAATACAACTACCCTGAAAAGTAGGTATTAGATTAATACTTTTTTTTTTTTTGGAGACAGAGTTTTGCTCTTGTTGCCCAGTCTGGAGTGCAGTGGTGTGATCTCGGCTCACTGCAACCTCCACCTCCCAGGTTCAAGCAATTCTCCTGCCTCAGTCTCCCAAGTAGCTGGGATTACAGGCATGCGCCACCACACCTGGGTAATTTTTGTATTTTTTAGTAGAGACAGGATTTCACCACGTTGGTCAGGCTGGTCTCAAACTCCTGACTTCAGGTGATCCGCCCACCACAGCCTCCCAAAAAGCTGGGATTATAGGCGTGAGCCACCATTCCCGGCCAATACTCACATGAAAATACAAAGGCTCAGGGAAGTTAACCTGCTTGAAGCCACAGAACAACTGGCAGAGCAGGGATTCAGACTCCATGACCTTAATCGTTATGCTATAAATGACTCCATCTTTGACTGAACAGAGACTGAAACCCATGAGCTTGCACAAATAGTTGAAGGGAATGAGCGGAGAACATTTGTACAACTGTAATGATTAGACGACTGGCACAAATTGTAACACAACGACTTTTTCAACCTTAGAAAGAATCTTCTTATATCTAGGAGGAGGCCTAGGAAGAGAAACCAGACATCTGGTTTAAAACCAAATATGAAGGCATCTGATCTCATAATGTTACTGGAACAGCACTGAGAAAGGCAAACAACTCCATGGACAGAGAAGGAAAAAGAGCATGACAGGTTATTTAGATGTAGGTCTCAGTCCACAACTCAGACAGGGCCCCAGTAAGACAGATACGCTGCTCATGCCATGCTCCCTTCCCTTCAGTCCCTTTACAACCAGTCCTAAAAGAAGATATAATTATGGCCAAAGTGTCTATATCAAAAAATTTAACCAACAGCACTGTTATTTTCATAAATGGACAAAATTATAAGCTTAATGCACTAGATTTAATAATATTTTAAGAAATCAAAAAGAGGCCAGGCGCAGTGGCTCACGCCTGTAATCCCAGCACTTTGGGAGACCGAGGCGGGCAAATCACAAGGTCACGAGTTTGAGATCAGCCTGACCAACATGGTGAAACCCTGTCTCTACTAAAAATACAAAAATTGGCTGGGCGCAGTGGCAGGCAACTATAATCCCAACTACTCGGGAGGCTGAGGCAGGAGAATCGCTTGAACCCAGGAGGCAGAGGTTGCAGTGAGCCGAGATCATGCTACTGCACTCCAGCCTGGGCGATAGAACTAGACTCCGTCTCAAAAAAAAAAAAAAAGAAATCAAAAAGAATTCTAGTATTTAACAAATTTGTTTCTCAAGGCATTTTTGTTGAGACAATTCTTATTACAGGATATTTAGCAAACCTGACCCTGACCACTAAATGCTGAAAATATCGTCCAGTCAATAAAACAACCAAACTGCCCTAGCAAATTTCCCGTACTCATCTTCAACAGGTTGAAGAAAGAGGTGCAGGTGGAGGGGGCAGGTATGGCTCCTGGTGGAAAACTACTCCACTGAGATAAACTGTAGGGTCACAGATCCATTTGGATCCTAATCTTTTTCATTTCAACATCACTCTCAGAAACTGTCATAAAAAAGAATGCAGCCTCAGAGACAAGTGGGCCTAAAAGTATCCAGAATTTTAATATACAGTTGAAAATTTTGGGATAGGTCTTAGGTTCATACTCCATTTACAAAAGCCCACCATGCTGGGAAAGTTAGATATCCATATGCAGAGGAATGAAACCAGATCCCATCTGTATCTTACCATATACAAAAATCAAATCAAGATGGATTAGAGGCTGGGCGGGGTGGCTCACGCCTGTAATCCCAGCACTTTGGGGGGCTGAAGCAGGTGGATCACTTGAGGTAGGGAGCTGACCAGCCTGCTGGCCAACATGGCGAAACCCCGTCTCTACTAAAAACACAAAAATTAGCTGGGCGTGGTGGCAGGCACCTGTAATCCCAGCTACTCGGGAGGCTGAGGCAAGAGAATCACTTGAACCCCAGAGGCGGTGGTTGCAGTGAGCCAGGATCGCACCACTACACTCCAGGCTGGGCGACAGAGCAAGACTCCATCTCAAAAAAAAAAAAAAAAAAAAAAAAGATTGGCCAGGTGTGGTGGCTCACGCCTGTAATCCCAGAACTTTGGGAGGCCGAGGTAGGTGAATCACCTGAGGTCAGGAGTTCAATACCAGCCTGGCCAACATGGTGAAACCCTGTCTCTACTAAAAATACAAAAAAAATTAGCTGGGCATGGTGGCGGACACCTGTAATCCCAGTTACTCGGAAGACTGAGGCAGGAGAATCACTTGAACCCGGCAGAGGCTGCGGTGAGTAGTGACTGTGCCACTGCACTCTAGCCTGGGCAACAAGAGGTGAAACTCCATCTAAAAAAAAAAAAAAAAAGATGGATTAGAGACTTAAGTGTAAGACCTTAAAGTATAACCTTAAACTGTAAGACTACTAGAAGAAAATATTGGGAAAACACTTCAGGAAATTGGTCTGGGCAAAGATTTCATAAGTAAGACTTTTTTTTTTTTTTTTTTTTTTAGCGGAGTCTCACTGTGTCGCCGAGGCTGGAGCACAGTGGTGCGATCTTGGCTCACTGCAACCTCCATTCTCCTGCCTCAGCCTCCCAAGTAGCTGGGACTACAGGCGCCCGCCACCACGCCCGGCTAATTTTTTGTATTTTTAGTAGAGATGGGGTTTCACCGTGTTAGACATGGTCTCAAACTCCTGACCTCATGATCCGCCCACCTTGGCCTCCCAAAGTGCTGGGATTACAGGCGTGAGCCACGGCGCCTGGCCTCATGAGTAAGACTTTAAGAACACAGGCAACTAAAGCAAAAATTGACAAAAGGTATCACATCAAATTAAAAAGCTTATGCACAGCAAAGGAAAGAACAATGTGAAGAGACACACTAGAAAGTGAAAGAAAATATGTGCAAACTATTCAAATGACAAGGGATTAAGAACCAGACTATAAAAGGAACTGAAACAACTTAATAGCAAAAAACAAATCTCATTTAAAAATGAGCAAAAGAGGCCGGCGCATTGGCTCACGCCTGTAATCCCAGCACTTTGGGAGACCAAGGTAGGTGTATCACTTGAGGTCAGGAGTTCGAGACCAGTCTGGCCAACATGGTGAAACCCCATCTCTACTAAAAATACAAAAGAATTAGCCGGGCATGATGGCGTGCACCTGCAGTCCCAACTATTCAGGAGGTTGAGGCAGGAGAATCACTTGAACTTGAGAGGTGAAGGCTGCAGTAAGCCGAGATTGTGCCACTAGACTCCAGCCTGGGCAACGAAGTGGGACTCCATTTCAAAAAATAATAAATAAAAATAAAAATGAGCAAAAGATCTGAATAGACATTTCTCAAAGGAAGACATACAATTGGCTAACAGGTATATGAAAAAATGCTCAACATCACTAATTATCAGAGAAAGGAAAATCAAAACCACAATGAGATATTATCTTACTCCAGTTAAAATAGCTATTATCAAAAAGACAGAAAATAAATGCTGGCAAGGATGCAAAGAATCTTTATACATTCCTAGTGGGTATACAAATTAGTATGTAAACTAAGAAAAAGAGTATGAAGTTTCCTCAAAAAAACTAAAAATAGAACTACCATATGATCCAGTAATCCTACTGCTAGGCACACATCCAAAAAAAGTAATCATTTTTTAATGATCTTTAATTTTTTAAAAAAAATTCTTATGCTTAATTTTTAAGCATTTTTAAATTTCTTTTATTTAATTCTTTTTTTTATTTCAATAGGTTTTTGGGGAAGGGGTTGATGTCTGGTTACATGGATAAGTTCTTTAGTGGTAATTTCTGAGGTTTTGAAGCACTTATCACTCAACTAAAAGTATAGTCTTTTATCCCTCGCACCCTTCCCACTTTTCCCCTCTCCAAGTCCCCAGAGTCCACTGTATGATTCTTAGGCCTTTGCATCCACATAGCTTAGCTCCCACTTATAAGTGAGAACATATAATGTTTGGTTTTCCATTCCTGAGTTACCTCACTTAGAATAATGGTCTCCAATTCCATCCAGGTTGCTGCAAATGCCATTATTTCATTCTTTTTTTATAGCTGAGTAGTATTCATAGTATTCCACTTTTTTGTTTGAGACAGAGTTTTGCTCTTGTCACACAAGCTGGAGTGCAATGGCATGATCTCAGCTCACTGCAACCTCCGCCTCCCGGGTTCTAGTGATTCTCCCCTCAGCCTCCCGAGTAGCTGGGACTACAAGTGCCCGCCACCATGCCCAGCAAATTTTTGTATTTTTAGTAGAGATGGGGTTTCACCATGTTGTCCAGGGAGGTCTTGAACTCCTGACCTCGGGTGATCCACCCACATCAGCCTCCCAAAGAACTAGGATTACAGCCATGAGCCACTACTGCCTGGCCTCCACATTTTCTTCATCCACTTGTTGACTGATGGATTGATTCCATATTTTTGCAATTGCAAACTGTGCTACTAAAAACATGCGTGTGCAAGTATCTTCTTCATATAATGACTTCTTTTCCTCTGGGTAGATATCCAGTACAGGAATTGCTAGATCAAATGGTAGATCTACTTTTAGTTCTTTAAGGACTCTCCATGCTGTTTTCCATAGGGGTCATACTAGTTTACATTCCCACCAACAGTGTAAAAGGGTTCCCTTTTCACCAACATCTATTATTTTTTGATTCTTTAATTATGGCCATTCTTGCAGCAGTAAGGTGTTGTCACACTGTGGTTTTGATTTGCATTTCCCTGATAAAGATGTTGAACATTTTTTCATGTTTATTGGCCATTTGTATATCTTCTTTTCAGAACTGCCTATTCATGTCCTTAGCCAACTTTTTGATGGGATTTTTTTTCTTGCTGATTTGTTTGAGTTCCTTCTAGATTCTAGATATCAGTCCTTTGTCGGATACTTAGTTTGTGAAGATTTTCTCCCATTCTGTGGGTTGTCTGTTAACTCTGCTGATTATTTCTTTTGCTGTGCAGAAGCTTTTCAGTATAAGCTCCATCTATTTATCTTTGTTTTTATTGCATTTGTTTTTGGGTTCTTGGTCATGAAGTCTTCGTCTAAGCCAATGTCTAGACTAGTTTTTCTGATGTTATCTTCTAGAATTTTTTATGGTTCCAGGTCTTAGATTTAAGTCTTTCATACAGCTCCAGTTGATTTTTGTATAAGGTAAGAGATGAGGATCCAGTTTCAATCTTCTACATGTGGCTTACCAATTATCCTAGCACCACTGAATAGGTGTCCTTTTCCCACTTTATGTTTTGTTTGCTTTGCTGTAGATCAGTTGGCTGTAAGTATTTGGCTTTAATTTCTGAGTTATTTATTCTATTCTATTGGTTTATGTGCCTATTTTTATGCCGGTACCATGCTGTTTTGTTGACTATAGTCTTGTAGTATAGTTTGAGGTCAAGTAATGTGATTTCTCCAGATTTGTTTTTTGGTTAGTCTTGTTTTGGCTACGTAGGCTGCTTTTAAAAATTTTAGGACTGTTTTTTTCTAGTTTTATGGAGAATGATGATGGTATTTTGATGGGAATTGCATTGAATTTGGAGATTGCTTTTGGTAGTATGGTCATTTTCACAATATTGATTCTACCCTTCCATGAGTATGGGATGTGTTTCCATTTGTTTGTGTTGTCTATGATTTCCTTCAGCAATGTTTTGTAGTTTTCCTTATAGAGGTCTTTCATGTGGTTGGTTAGGTATATTCCTAAGTATTTTATTTTATTTTATTGCAGCAATTGTAAAAGGAGTTGAGTTCTTGATTCTCAGCTTGGTCGCTGTTGGTGTAGAAATAGTGCTACTGATTTGGGTACATTAATTTTGTATCCTGAAACTTTAATGAATTCATTTATCAGCTGTAGGAGCTTTTTGGATGAGTCTTTAGGGTTTTCCAGGTATATGATCATATCATCAGCAAACAGCAACAGTCTATTCCTCTTTACCAATTTTGATGTTCTTGATTTCTTTCTCTTGTCTGACTGCTCTGGCTAGGACTTCCAGTACTATGTTGAATAGAAGTGGTGAAAGTGGGCATCCTTGTCTTGTTCTGGTTCTTGGGGGAATGCTTTCTACTTTTCCCTGTTCAGTGTACTGTTGGCTGTGAGTTTGTCATACAAAGTTTTGATTACCTTAAGGTATGTCCCTTCTATGCCAATTCTGCAGACCTGTCTAGTGCTGTCAGTGAGTATTGAAGTCTCCACTATTATTGTGTTGTTGTCTATCTCATTTCTTAGGTCTAGTAGCAATTGTTTTATAAATTTGGGAGCTCCAGTGTTAGGTGCATACATATTTAGGACTGTAATGTTTTCCTGTTGGACTAGCCCTTTTATCATTAAATAATGCCCCCCTTTGTCTTTTTTTAACTGTTGCTTTGAAGTCTGTTTTGTCTAAGAATAGTTACTCCTGCTGGCTTTTGGTTTTCATTTGCATGGAATATCTTTTTTCACCCCTTTACCTTAAGTTTATGTTAGTCTTTATGTATTAAGTGAGTCTCTTAGAGACAGAGAATACATGGTTGGTAAATTCTTACTCATTCTGACATTCTGTGCAGCATTTAGGCCACTGACATTCAATGTTAGTACTGAGATGTGAGGTACTATTCTAGTGATCATGCTAGTTGTTGTGTGAATACTTTGTTTTTTTTTCATTATTTATTGTTTTATAGGTTCTGTGAGATTTATGCTTTAAGGAGGTTATAATTTGGTGTATTTCGAGGTTTTATTTCAATATTTAGAGCTCCTTTTTAGCAGTTCTTGTAGTGCTAGCTTGGTAGTGGCAAATTCTCTTGGCATTTGTTTGTCTGAAAGACTATCTTTCCTTCATTTATGAAGCTTAGTTTTGCTGGATGCAAAATTCTTAGCTGATAATTATTTTGTTTAAAGAGGCTAAAGATAGGACCCCAATCCCTTCTAGCTTGTAGGGCTTCTACTGAGAAATCTGCTGTTAATCTGATAGGTGTTCCTTTTTAGGTTATCTGATGCTTTTGCCTAAGAGCTTGTAAGATTATTTCCTTTGTCTTGACTTTAGATAACCTGAGGACTATGTGCCTAGGTGATGATCTTTTTGAGATGAATTTCCCAGGTGTTCTTTGAGCTTCTTATATTTGGATATGTAGATCTCTAGGAAGGCCAGAGAAGTTTTCCTCAATTATTCCCTCAAATATGTCTTCCAAACTTTTAGATGTATTTTCTTCCTCTGGAACACTAATTATTCTTGGGTTTGGTCATTTAACATAATCCCAAACTTCCTTGGGGCTTTGATCATTTTTAAAATTCTTTTTTGTCTTTGTTGGATTGGGTTAATACGAAAGCCTCATCTTTGAGCTCTGAAGTTCTCTTCTACTTGTTCAATTCCATTGTTGAAACTTTCCGATGCATTCTGCATTTCCCTAGGTGTGTTCTTCACTTCCAGAAGTTGTAATTGTTTTTTATTTATACTATTTATTTCTCTGGAGATTTTTTTTCATCCATATCCTGTATCACTCTTTAAATTTCTTTAAGTTCTCTGGTGTCTCCTTAAGTAACCTAATAATTGACCTTCTGAATTCTTTTTCTGGCAATTCAGAGATTTCTTCTTGGTTTGGATCCATTGCTACTATGCTAGTGTGATCTTTTGGGGATGTTAAAGAACCCTGTTTTGTCATATTACCAGAATTGTTTTTCTGGTTCCTCCTCATTTAGGTATAGACTATGTCAGAGGAAGGATCAGGGGCTCAAGGGCTGCTGTTCAGATTCTTTGGCCCCATGGGGTGCTCCCTTGATGTGGTGCTCTTCCCTTCCTCTAGGAATGGGGCTTCCTGAGAGCTGGACTGCAGTGATTGTTATTGCTCTTCTGGGTCTAGCAAACCAGTAGAGCTACTGGGCTCTGAACTGGTATTAGAGAGTGTCTGCAAAGAGTCCTGTGATGTGATCTGTCTTCAAGTCTCAGCCATAGATACCAGTACCTACTCTGATGGAGGTGGCAGGGGAGTGAAGTGGACTCTGTGTGGGACCTTGGTTGCAGTTTTGTTTAGTGTGTTGGTTTTCTCGAATTCCAGGTGTGCTGGTAGTAAAGCTGTCATGCGATTGGACTCAAGACCTCTGGTTAGCCAGGATGTTACAGGTGGTGGAATTAGCTGTTGTATTCTCTTTTCTTGGGGCAGAGTTGTTCTTTAATGAGTTGCTGTAATGGTTTCAGTTGGTTGGCCCCCAGCCAGAAGGTGATGCTTTCAAGACAGCATCAGCTGCAGTAGTATCAAGAAGATGTAAGCTTGCCCTAGGGTTGCCTGCATAAGTATTTGGGTTTCTCAGGCAGTGGGCAGGGCCATAGAGTTCCCAAGAGATTATGTCTTTTCTCTCAGAAAGACCATCAGGTGAAGGCAGGGTTAGGCATGTCTGAGAGCAGACTCTCTTTGGGTTGGGCTTGTTGTGGCCACTGTGGCGGATGGGGGTGTGGTTCTCAGGCCAATGGAGTTATGTTTCCAGGGGGATTACAGCTATCTCTGCTGCATCATACAGGTCACCAGGGAAGTGGGGGAAAGCCAGCAATAACAGGCCATACCCAGCTCCCACACAGCCAGAAGGGCCAGTCTCACTCCCACCATGCTCCACCAATAGCACCATGTTTATATCCAGGCAGTGTACGCAGGGTTGAGATTTTGCCCCAGGCTACAAGTCTCCCCACTGAGAAAGCAATCAGGGTTTTCAGGCTTCACCCCTCTCCGTCTGCCTTGGCTTCTGTGCTTGTATCTGCAGTATCTGCATTTCCCATTTGCCACCTCCCCTACACACCCCAGTCCAGGAAAATTCGTGTTCAGCTGCAAGTTTCATTCTCCCTGTGGTCTTTCCCCAATTCCACTGGCAGCCCTCCCCAAGGACCCCTGTGAGATAAAGTCAGAAATGGCTTCCTTGGTGGCCAGGAGTGCCTGCAGGCTCTTCTCGCTGCTTGTTCTACTTTTATATTTCACTCAGCTCTCTAAATTAATTTCAGCTCTAGGTAAGGTTAAACCCTTCTCCCGTGATCTGGATTTTCAGGTTCCCCAGTGGACTTTCCCCGTCACACTTCGGGCACTCACAGGTTTTCCTCTGTCTCATGGAATTTGCAGCAGCAAGCTGCTTTTTTCAAAGGGTCTGTGAATTCTTTTGGTTTTCCTGGTATGTTCCTCTAGTATTTCTCAGAGCAAAAGTTCACGATGTGAGTTTCCAGGCACTGTTCTGTCAGTCCAATTGGGAGCTGCAAGTTAGTCCTGTCTCCTATCCACCATTTTCCAAAATCAGCATATTGAAGAGGTATCTGCATTCCTATGTTTACTGCAGCACTATTCACAATGGCCAAGATATGGAATTAACCTAATTGTCCATCAATAGATGAATGGATAAAGAATATGTGGTATCTATACACAACGGAATATTATTCCACCATAAAAAAGAACAAAATCCTGTCATTTGCATCATCATGGATGGAAATGGAGGGACATTATGTTAAGTAAAATAAGCCAGAATTCAGAAAGACAAATAACACATGTTCTCACTCATATGTGGGAGCTAAAACAATTGATCCCATAGAAGAAAAGAGTGATTGTAAAAAGATATTACAAAATTAAATAAAAATTTAAAAAAATAAAGAAGAGTGGAATGGCAGTTACCAAAGGCTTGGAGGGATAGAAGGGACTGGGCAATAGAAAGAGATTGGTTAATGGGCACAAAATTACAGTTAAATAGGAGGAATAATTTCTCATGTTCTATAGCACAATACGGTGACTACGGTTAAAAACAATTCATTGTATATTTCAAAATAGCTAGAAGACAGAATTTTGAATGTTTCTAACACAAAGAGATGATAAATGTTTGAGATCATGGATGTTCCAATTACTCAGATATGTTCATTACACATTTGTATGCTAGCATCAAAATATCACCTGTACCCCATAATGTACAACTATTATGTATTCATATAATTATTCTTTAAAAAGTCCACCAACTTTCTTTTTGGTGGTAGAGTTCAAGTCCTGAGGTGTGATGTCTAAAGCCGAACAGAAACTTTAAGTATAAATTAGTCATATCAAAACCTGTTAATCTTTTCTGAGACTGTGACTCCATTTGCATCAAATACTTCTGCAAGTCTCAGTGTGGCCTGTTATTTGGCACTGCAGTGACCAACACTGGTTTGCCTGAGACCGAGGGGTTTTCTGGGATGTGGGACTTTCATTGCTAAAACCAGGACAGTACTGAGCAAACTGGAATGGCTGGCTACCCTACTTGGCACTCAAATATTTGCTGAATGAAAGACAAATCTAATTCTATCGAATATGTGACACTTCGACATGAGAAATGGGTAGAGTCTTCCGTTGTCATTTACTCAATTTTCCCAACCAATTTGAATCTTGAAAATTGGCATTTCCTTGAACAAGGAATTTTAAATTCTTTATGTTCGGATACCTTTGTATCATCTATAATCAGATGACACCATAATTTATATCCCCTGCCTAATCTCTCCTTTGGGGTTGTAAACTCATATAGCCAACTGCTTACTTGGCTTCTCTACTTGAATATTTAACAGCAAATTGGTCACAATTGTCCAAAGACAGGTGTTAGTTTCTCCCCTAAAACCTGCTACTCTCCAAGGCTTCTCTATCTCAATTAATGATACTCCCATCCAATTAGTTGCTTAAACCAAAACATAGGTAAGTCCCCGATTCCTTCCTTTCCCTTATATCTTACATCTAAATCACCAGTAAGTCCTGTTGATTCTGTCACAAAAAGAAATCCTGGATCCATCTACTTCTCTCCATCTCCACCATCAGTACTTAATTCAACAAATCTTTATTGAGTACCTAACATCTGTAATGCACCAGCATTATTCCAGGAGCTAGCAACACAGGGAACAGAAATGACAAAAAACCCTGCCTTCATGGACTTTATACAAACCACTACCATTTCTTATTTAGACTAATGTAATAAGCTTTCTAACCGGTCTCCCTGCTTCATCCCTTGTCCCCATCCCACCACCTCCAGGAATTCTCTTTACAGCAAGCTAGAATAATCTTCAAAAATATTTTTCCCTACTTAAAACTTTCCAGGCTGGGCACGGCGGCTCACGCCTGTAATCCCAATACTTTGGGAGGCCAAGGCGGGCGGATCGCCTGAGGTCAAGAGTTCGAGACCAACCTGACCAACATGGAGAAATCCCATCTCTACTAAAAATACAAAATTAGCCAGGCGTGCTGTCGTATGCCTTTAATCCCAGCTACTCAGGAGGCTGAGGCAGGAGAATCGCTTGAATCCAGGAGGCGAAGGTTGTGGTAAGCTGAGATTGCATCACCGCACTCCAGCCTGGGCAACAAGAGCGAAACTCCATCTCAAAAAAAAAAAAAAAAAAAAAAATTCCCAGTGGCTTCTCATCTCACTTAAAATAAAGTCTAAGTCTTTTGCCACATTCCTCAAGACCCCATGTGTCCTGGTCTCTGCCTCCCTATGCAGCTTATTTCTGTTTCACGGTTACTTCTGCTGGAAATCCTTTACACACATTAATCCTTCTGCCTGAAACACTCTTACCTGAGAGTTTCAGGTACCTGAGATGTTTCAAGTCACAGCTCAAATGTCATCTCCTCAGAGAGGACTTCCCTGACCACTGCCTGCCATGCAAAGTACTTTTTATTCTATTACCTGGTCTTATTTTCTTCTTTGCACTCATCTTGTTTTCACATCTACTGGCTGTTTAACCTACTAGAATGTAAGCTCTATGTGAGGTGGGATTATATCTACTACTTTGTTCACTACTGTTACTTCAGGGCCTGAAATGGAACCTGGGGAGGGAAGCAGAGAGGCATGAAGAAAAGTGAATCTTACATAGCAGCTCAGCATATCTCTTTAACAACTTCTACAATTGCCTATTCTGACGACCACTGACTATTGAGTCTCTGTAACTTGTTCAAGTTCTTTCAATGCTCTACAAAGGAGAACTAGTTAAGGATATAAACATAAAGAAAATTCAGAATCTTAATAACTACTTTCGATGTGTCATAAAATTAAACTACACCACAAGATTCCAAAAGATAACACCAAAATATTCATTTGAAGTAAAAACAAAAAAAAATACTGAGACTCCTCTCCTGTCACAGAAGAAACCCCTTCTGTGTGGCAGCTCAACTCAGTTTTTCTGTTTACTTCAGACTCTTTTCATTTCCTACTACAGACAGGTAGCTAGACTCTATTAGTATTCATGTGTGCTCACAAATCAGGTTTTAGCTAAAAGCCTAAAGTGAACCACATTTGGTCCTTGGGTTGCATGTATGACCCTTATTTTAAAGAACTGAGACTCGTAAGAATTTCTCTGTGGAGCGTTGTTACATTTTACTGAAATTTTAAACTATACTTGTTGTGATTTTTAAATGTCCAATCAATGAAGAAATAACTACTTCTACTGATTCCCAAAATGATAAATTAAAAAACATTATCTTATTCAAACAATTATTCACCAACATGATAATGGCTGCTTTGTGCATGAAGAGGGGAGAGGAAATCCTTGAACATACTTACCTCTTCAAAGCCCATTTCAAATAAACATTCAACAGCTCCTCTGACAGGCAAGAGTCTAGTAGAAAAGGCTGTGTTTCCAATCCGGATGGATCTATATTTTTCATCATTAGGGTTTCTGACAAAAAACAAAAGTTTGATTATATATAAAAAAAACCAGGTCATAGTTCTTCAAAGACTTTACTTTCAACAAACATGACCTAGGTATACCTTTATAGTCACCTGATTTTCTTTCTTCCCTAAACCAATGGTTGTTTTTACTATAAGTAAAAACAGTAAATTACATTCTGTGCTGTTAAGGTACATTTTTTTTTTTTGAGATGGGGGGGGTCTCGCTTCAGTTTAAGATACATTCTTTTTTTTTTTTTTTTTTTTTTTTTTTGAGAGAGGGGTCTTGCTCTGTTTCCCAAGCTGGAGTGCAGTGGCGTGACCTCGGCTCACTACAGCCTCCACCTCCCAGGTTCAAGCAATTCTCCCACCTCAGCCTCCCAAGTAGCTAGGATTACAGGGGTGCACCACCACTCCTGGCTAATTTTGCATTTTTTAAGTAGAGACAGGGTTTCACCATGTCGACCAGGCTGGTCTCGAACTCTCGACCTCAGGTGATCCACCCGCCTCAGCCTCCCAAAGTGCTGGGGATTACAGGCGTGAGCCACCGCACCTGGCCCAAGACATATTCTTGACACAGACAGTATGGCAATAAAAGGAAGACATAAATTTCTTTTACCATAATTAAGATTTTGAATAGTACACTTGGGACAAGTAACCAGCACATGAAAAGTTTTGGTTTGAGATTTTTAATTACTTTGATAAATCAGAATTGTTTAAAAAAAATTAAAAGAATGTAAGGTTAAGCTAATCATAGTATTATATTCAAAAGACCCTCAGAACATAGTTTAGGATGATAAGTTTCATACCTGACACCAACTGCCTTAAAGTGATAGTGACTTCTTTAAGTACTATGTTAAGGAGGATTCTGAGGCAGTATCTGGGATCCATAGGAAGATGTACTTCCATAAGAAGCCACCTGCCCTGGGGTATGATATGGTGAGTAGGCAAATGCTAGCAAATGACTTATCAACTTTGTCCTATCTACACATGTTCTCTAGGTATTCTGACGTAAAAACAAAACCAAAAACCAAATATTTTAATTTTATAAGTTTTAACAAATTTTGCATTTGTTTTTCACCAGTCAATTGCCTATTGGCCAAAGTGTCATAAATACTAAATGAATGTTTTTAAACTTTTCCCTAATTTCAAAAATCATGTTTATTACAGAATATTCAGAGACAAATGCTCTATTTTTTTTGCTATTCAAAATGTCCACAGATTGGTGCTAATCTACAAATTATTTGTTACCCATACACAAGTAGTACAGAAATTTTTTCTTTGTTTGTTTACAAGTGCATAAAAATGAAGCAAGAAGTAGAGAAATTGAATGTTCGGTATACAGCAATTTGATATTGCCATGAAATTTTCAGTGTATTTTACAAAAGTTATAGGTCCATAAGGGATTGGAAATTAAAACAAAAACATTGTTCTTTACTATATGTAATTTGAGAATCACAGATGGTTGTGAAATACAAAGAAAATTTTATTCTCAACTCTTTATTCTGTGTATTAGATTAGGGTTTCTCAGTCTCAGCACCATTAACATGTGGGGCCTTTTCTCAGTGGAGTTTCCTTGTGCACTGCAGAACATTCGCATTCCTGGCTTCCATGCTACACTGTCTCACAAGTGAGCCTCTCTTTCTTATCACTTAAGAAAACTGAACTATAAAATAATCCTACATTTATCAAAGCTAGTTTTCGATAAATGGGGCATCTTTTCCTGACACTCAATGTATTTCACAGGGTGATAAACATGTCAGTACCACCAGGATGATATATCCTACTGGTTCAAAACTGCTTGAGCTATTTTAATCTATTCTTTTCCTCACAGCTTTCAGATCTCTACATGCTGGGTCTTTCTCTGGGCTAATTTTCTAGTTTCTTCCTGCTTTCACAATTGTTTAAAAATTCTTATAAAATACACATCAGTTCTCATATAGTTTTTGTTTTGTTTTTTAAAAAACAAAGTGTTGCTCTGTCACCCCGGCTAGAGTGCAATGACGCCATCAAAGCTCATTGCTGCTTAGAACTCCTGGGCTCAACAATCCTCTGCCTCAGCCTCTGAAGTAGCTAGGACTACAGGTGAGCCACCACGCCTGGCTATTTTTTTTTTTTATTAAGAGATGGGGTCTCACTGTGTTGCCCCGGCTGCAATCCTTCTACCTGGGGTGTCCTAAAGCCCTGGTACTACAGGTTGGAGCCACTTCGACTGGCCTTTGTTATTTTGATATATGTTGTTACCATTTAACTATTGATATACAATATAGATTTTCCTCTTTAGTTTCTAGTGAGCATTTTTTTTTTCTTTTTTGAGAAAGGTCTCACTTCGCCATCAAAGCTAGAATGCAGTGGCATGATTATGGGCTCAAGCCATCCTCCCACCTCTGCCCTCCAAGTAGCTGGGACTACAGGTGTCTGCCACCACGCTTGGCTAATTTTTTAATTTTTTTGTAGAGACGGGGTTTAGCCATGTTGCCCAGGCTGGTCTCAAACTCCTAAGCTCAAGCAATCCGCCCACCTTGGCCTCCCACAGTGCTGGGGTTACAGGTGTGAGCCACCGTGCCCAGTGAGCAATTTTATTTTTATATCATCTCTGGACCTCACATTAATCTATTTTTCTCAGTAAAAGTATACTGCAAACAGGCTCCAGCAATGACAGTCACATCCAGTTCCTCAAATTCTTTTTCTTATTAAGTATGTTGAGTAAACTGACCGTGGTTTTGTGTATAGACTGATACCAAAGGCCTGACCCTAAAGCCCTCAAAGACTTAGAGGGCTGTAGGGACATTAGACTTCAAACCCATCATATCCTCTTTCCTATCCTTGGAAAAGCAACGCACAAAGACTTTCTTAAACTCTTAATTTCTCAGCATTATTCCAGTGTGTCCACTATCCTTTGCGCTCATTGTCACACCCCTCATCTTTCAGAATCTTGAAGCTGTGAGGCGGAGGTTGCAGTGAGTCAAGATCGCGCCACTGCACTCCAGCCTCATCAACAAGAGCAAACTCCGTCTCAAAAACGAAAATCAGCAACGAGCCATTAGTAAACATTCATAATGAAGATTATGATGCTAAATGTCATTATTTGCATGCAAAGGTTTCCCCCTCATACTAAACCTCAGCATTTTGGGTTTCACTAGATTTAAAGCAGAAGTGAGGCTTCATTACAAGGCCACCTCTCTTTTCTGACTAGTGGGGTTTTAAATAGCCTGGTGGCTTTCCAGGTGGTAAGTCTCAGCTAATGGGCTCTGGAGAACCCAGCCTATCAGTTCATTTATGGAGTCCCTTGGCATCCTTGTACTGTGAAGAGCTGTAAGGCCTCAAAGAGTAAAAAAGGTGAGTTGAGAAGGTGTCACAGAGCACGAAGGTGGTCCCCACACAGGTCACAATTATGTAGCTGTGAACAGGCCACATGTTGCATCTTTCATAGCATCTGCCACAAAATAAGGGCTCAATATATTTTCCCTTCAATTTACTTTAAAAATCATTACCATTGCCTAAATGAAATATTACTGACATGGATTTTAAAAACTGCACATGTAACTAATGTCTAAAATTGGGTCACGTGAAACCTATAACCTTGAAACTGAGAATTTCCTTTTAGACTTCATGACAATATACCAAACACTTAATGCACCAGGGGCTGAGGGGAACAGAGAACCTAATTAATCACGGTGACCTGATAAATGAGGTAACACCCCTAAAGCAAGTGGCTCTCCTTTAACCTCAGTTCCATTTCCCTACCCCCCCACACCATGTCCCTTCAGATCATTTGATCTGAAGAGTTGAGGTGGGTACTTATTCAAAATGAATAATCAAACTTGCCTCCCAATTCCCAAAATCTGCAAGGTCCCTTAGACCTCTAGAAGTGCAATTTTGCTGACAGGAGAATGAAGGAAATTACTCTCATCCAAGGCGATTACCTCCACGAATTCTTAAAGGGTTATGTTACATAGTAGAATCCAGGTATTAATATAAAAACTGTAACTTCAAAATACTATAATGTTTCAATCAACAAAAGTGGGCAGAAAAAAAATTAAAAATTTTAAAACCCACCACTTCAGAAGCATTATGCTTTAGTACTCGGATAGTCTCAACATGGGAAGAAAACATCACTTTGTCAGTGAGTAACTTCTGATAAGTATGTGGAAATGTAAGCCACTCCGCTCGAAAAATGCACGCAGGGGGAATGACACGCGCGGTGCGGTTACCGTTGTGTCCCGATATCTGAGGCCGTTAAACGACGAGAAGAGCGGCAGTGTCTGAAGCACGCCTTCCTACCTCTCCTCCGCCCGGCCCCGCTTCCGGGACTCCAGTTCACCCGCAGCACCCTGACTGCAGGTGCCAAGTCACAACTGCAAAGAAACTTCCTTTTCTCGAGCGGGGGTGGGACTTGGCCGGGTCCCGAGGCCCCTGGCCGGCGGGCTCGGACGTTAGGAGCAGAACCAGCTCCAGGTCCCGGTCTGTCCGGGCGTCGCTGCCCTCTGAAGCTCAGGCCGGACGCCCCAGTCCCTGGCCGAACAAGGTGCCGCGGCCCACCCACCCCGGTACCCGCCGTCCGACCCCGTTGCCCTGCACCTGAGGATGTTGTCAGCATAGGTGAGCAGCAGCTTGGAGGCCTCCAAAAAGGTCTCCGGGGTGTTCTGGCAGAGCTCAGCCACGGCCGGGGACGCCGAGCCTGAGGAGCTGCCCAATGCCGCCGCCGCCATGCTTGAGCGCCAGCGGGCGCCGCCGCCGCCCCTCGCTCTCCGCGTCCCACACTGAGCAGGCGCCTCAGCGCGCAGCAGCTACCGCAGCCACCGGCAGGGGCGGGGTCCTCGGCCGGCAGGGGCGGGGTCCTCGGCCGGCAGGGGCGGGGTCCTCGGCCGGCAGGGGCGGGGTCCTCGGCCGGCAGGGGCGGGGTCTTCGGCCGGCAGGGGCGGGGTCGGGGGCCTGGGGCGGGGTCGGGGACCGGGGCCAGGAGCGGGGGAGCTCGGCTGGGAGCTACGGCTGCCCCTTCGCGGGGGGCAAGGGGCTGTTCGGAAGAAGGTGGGGGGCCTCGGCCGGCAGGGGCGAGGTGCTTCGACCCAGAGTTGGGGCCTGGTCGTACAGGTTGGGAAGGGGTTCCGCAGGGAGAGGCGGGGCCTGGGCTCCGGGGCTGAGGGGTGTGGGCCTGGAGGAGGGGGATGTCGAGTCCTTTAGGACGGAGGAGCTCGGCTGGAGGGGAGGCCGGCTTTGGTCTAGAGGTATCGGGCGAATGGTGCTGGCACGTGCCTCTCAGAAACCCGGATCCCTTTGCGCTCCGGGGCCAGCCTAATTGATCCAGCTATTAAGGTGGAGAAACCGCATGTACCTCCCTCCTTTCCCCACAAATAAAACCACCTTAGAGCCTTCTCTTCGCAGATTGTCAGGACGTTCTACATAGATGTGGATGAAAGACTACAGAAGGAAGGAGCAACAAACGTCAAAAACAAAACCATGGCTATAAACTCTGCTGGGTTTGTTATATGGATTCTTTTCAGAATTTGGCTAATGACTGAAAATCTAAGTTCCAGCTCAACTAGTATATGATTCCTCTGTAAGGAAGTGTATTTTTAAACCATAGGTTGCGACATAATAATGGGTTGTGGATTCGGTTTACCGCGTGGTGACCAGCGTAAAACACATGCATAATAATTACGCAATATTATAGAATGTCGGGGGCGGGAAGGGAATAAAAATTTGCATCCCACACAGTAAGGGTAAGTAATATTTTGTGACTTGTTTTTTAGGTAGATCATGTGATCAAGGTCTTTTATTCCTCTTAGAAGATGCATCCCTTACTACTTTAATCCAGTCTCTTCCCCACCATGTTCTTGAAAGTGTACTTTACCAGTGGCTTCCTTCTTTGCAGAAATTCCTTTTCAACCTCACGAAGTATTTTTCTTGACTTTATTTCTTAAGATAAGTGATTTGCCTGAATAACCTCTTTTAAATTTCTTGATGTTTCATCTGTTTACTTTTAAGAATTGAAATTTTCTTCCAGAATCTCCGAACAAGACCCTAAGCTATGACATCCAGTTCAATGACTATTCGTCTCCCAAATATACGTACGCTTTTAATAAATATGTAAATCTTTGGACCACCTTCCAAGTATGGTGTGTTCAACAGATAGTAGTATGTTACTACCGTCTGTAACTAAAATTTTCAGGGGCTTAACACAAGAGTAATTTCTTTCTGGCTCATATAACACTTTAATAATGCAGGTGTCATAATGTCAGTGGACCCAGTCTCCTTCCATACCTTAGAACAGGGGTCAAGAAACATTTTCTGTAAAGGGCCACATAGTGTTTTAGGCTTTGTGAGCCATAAGGTCTGTCTCAACTATTTAACTCTGCCTCTGCAGCTGTTGCTCCACAGACAATACTTGAAAATAAATGGGCATGGTTATGTTCTAGTGAAATTTTATTTACAAATCCAGGCAGCCTGCTTGGACAAAAAAAAAAAAAAAAAAAAAAAAGTCACACCTACTTTTAACCACATGAGCCCAGAAATGACACACAGCATTTTCTCTACCATATCATTACTAAGAATGAGGCCTCATCAAGATAAAAGGGGGTATTTCAGTAAGGCCAGATTTACAAAAAATAAAAAAAAAATTTAAAAACACATAAAAAGATAAAAGGGGAGAGTCTGGGAAATGTAGTCTCGTCCAACTACACAATGGATTGGGGGCTTGGGTCTGGAGATATAGCTATCACAAACTTTATTCCTCTTAATTTGGGTTTCTTTTTCCATTGATACATTTATTTATCCTTTACTAATTATATGAGAATAGTATATATTATACAGTACTTGTAACTTTTAAAAATGCAACAGAACTTTTTTTTTTTTTTCAAATAAAATTTTAGGGGCTGGACATGGTGGCTCACGCCTGTAATCCCAATACTTTGGGAGGCCGAGGTAGGTGGATCGCTTGAGCCCAGGAGTTCAAGACCAGCCTGGGCAACATGGCAAGACCCCATCTCTACAAAAAAAAAACAAAAACAAAAACATAGGAAGATTGTCTATATACAAAACACCAAAGTGGAAATGCTCTGGTATTGAAGCAGAGGTGTCAAGTGAAGGGCAGAAAGCTGTCAGCTAAGGCTTTCCCCTGACAGATAGAATGGTCATAGGGTACTTTTGTGGGGGAACAAAATGACTTTTGTTTTTCTCTTCATAATAGTTTGTTTCCTCAACTAAAACGCTATCTCACTGTAAGTTATCATTAGTTTTGTCTTCCCTATTTGATTAAAAGTCTCTTGTGCCATCTGTCTCAGACTGCTTTGCACACAGCAGGTACTGAATAGAGTTGTTGGTTAATCACTCAATGTAGTCACACAATAGTGAATCACTATACAAATTCCTGAAAGACTTCAACTCCTCCCCTTGCTAATGGTTTTTATGGAGGTTAACTTTTTAATATCACCAAACCAATCGTGGGGAAAATTTACAGAGTTCTTTCTTTTTTGTTTTATTAAAGAATAGTGTTAGCCAGGCGTGTTAGTGCACACCTGGAGTCCCAGCTACTTGGGAGGCTGAGAGGCAGGAGAATCGCTTGAACCCAGGAGGCAGAGGTTGCAGTGAGCTGAGGTTGCCCTACTGCACTCCAGCCTGGGTGACAGAGCGGGACTCTACCTCAAAAAAAAAAAAGAATAGCGCCATGATATGTCAACTCTAAAAATGATGTTTTTAATAAAGGTGAAATCCTGGGGAAAAAAAAAATCTTTATTTTGGAACAAAAATAAATAAATAAAAGAACAAGAATTTCAATGCTGATTTAGTACCCATTCTTTGGTTGTTTGAAACAACGATGGGTATAAAAGTTAGGGTAGCTTATTCAGCTTTTCTAAAGGAAATGGAAGAATTAGAATATCTCCAACTTGACTGAAGTGGGGGAAGCAGCCAGGAAAATGAGAGACCAAGTCCCTTTATATAATGGATTCCCTTAATAGCTTTATAAATGGCAATATTCAAAAGAGATTACAGTTACTCAAGAACTTTAACAGAAGTGTTGCTAAAGAGTTATTTGGAAGGACTTAAATTTCAGATGATTTTTTTAAAATGGTGATTTCCATGATTTTATGGACTGTACATTGTTATCACAATATTAATGCTATGGCATTGGTTTTCGCAAAAGTCATTTGGTGAGAAATGCACAAAAAGTGCATGTGTACTATCAAATGTAAGGATAAATGTTGATTTATTCATTCCATAATTCATTCATTCATCATGTATTTATGAAGTGACTACTAGTTGCTCAGCACTGTGAAGGAGACAAGTATGGTCCCTACTTTCATAGAAGTCATAAGTTTAGAGCAGTGGTTGGACAAGCAACAGCAGCATCAGCAGGAAACTTGTCAGAAAAACAAATTCTGAAGCTCCACATTTAAAGGTGGGACCCAGCAATCTGTGTGGTAACAAGCCCTTCAGGTGATTTTGATTAACAGTAAACTTTGAGAACTACTAGTTTAGAGGGAGGAAAATTTCACTGTGGGCTGCAGTTTCAGTGAGGGGGGACAACTTGAACAGAAGCCTTAAATTGAGAGGTTGAGAAGGTGAGAAAGGAGAGGACTTGCTACCTGTGAGAGACTCCCCACCCTCCTTAAATCATGTACAATATCCTAGTAACGTTTCCTTCTCAACATCTCCTGGATCTCTCCTTGCCATTGCCTTCAGAGCCTCGTGTTTCATCCATTCTTAACTTTCTTCCCTGTGTCCATTTCCACATCCTTCCAACCCACCCTGCTCATTTGTGCAATAGTGATCTTTCTAAAGCACCCATCTGATCATGTTGTTCTCCTGGTAAAAAGTTTTCTATGGCTCCCTCTATCCACATTCTAAAGTCAAATGGTGTCAGGAACCAGGCTGGTAAGTTAAATATTTTAAGTGGCTTTGTTCAAGACAAAGAGGAGTAAGAGAGACTCCAGTGAAGGGAATGAGAGAGTTTACCATGTCCTTTCTAGAGGAGTTTAGAATCAATAAAAGAATGTTGCACTCCAAATTATACCATGAAGGCTAGCATATGGTCTCTGAACTACGGGATTAAATCCAAAGTCCTCAGTATGATACCCCAGGCTTTTGTGATCTGGGCCCTGCCTTACTCTCATGCGTTTACTGTTGCTTTGTCCCACACTTCAAATTTGACATGGGCCACATATTTAGCTGTTTGTGGAAGATACCATGACACTTCATTTCTCCAGGCCTTTGTTCTCCTCCTGCCAGGATGCCCTTTCCCACCCAATTTACTAGACAAACATTCATTTCCAAGATGCAGTTCAAGGATCATTTCTCTGAAGCCTTTTCTGACTTTACGAGGTAGCACAGACCTCATTGTCCCTTTTGTGTTATAATAATTCCACTATAGCACCTGTTTCAACAGTTTGCACTTACTTGTTTCTATGGGTGTCTCCCTTTACTAGACCATAAACTTCTTGAAAGCAAGAGCCATACCTCTACTCATTTTTGCATTCAAACTTCAAGCATTGATAGGAAGAAAATGAGTGGTTGTTGAAAATAGCAAAAGCACAGAGATGAGAAAAGTTAGGGTCAATCAAGACATGTATAGTGAGAAAATCAGTTTGCTGGGTGGCAAGCTCATTTAATAGAGAATGGGAGCCATAATTGGAAAGATAGTTTTGAATCAGATTACAAAGAATTTAAGGCAAACCTAGGAAGTCTTAATAGGAGGGTAGGATAAGCAGAGCCCATTTGAAGATTTTGGTGCAAGAAGACACGATGGAATTGTAGCAGGAAATATGGTACCAAATATGTAAAGCCATTAAATATCATAAAATTTCCCACCCTTTTCCAGATCAAAGAAAAGGTGATAAGAGGTAGATACAAAAATGATGGTCTTTTTATTTTTCTGAAAGATTTTGTCACCTCTTAGCCAAGACGATTTTGTGATATTACAAAAGAAATAGCACATTAAAACTGTATGTTTCTTATGAGTTCAGCTTCAGAGAAAATATTGTAGGTATTTTCACACTATTATTTTAAAGACAGCAATGAAAAGAGATCAAGTTTAGGTACTTACTCATCAAGTGTTACTTTATAACCACATGTGTTTGTTTTAATTCTTCAAGAAACTCTACTTTGTCACTGAATGAGGATCAACTAGAGGTGACTGGTTAGGCCTGGGACGAAGGTCAAACTGAGCTTTGCTGAATTATTTTAAACAAAATAGATTTCCAAACTCATTTAAATCCAGGACCAACCTGGAAAGCTAAGCTTGACTCACATTCTTCTGTAGGGGTAGGAAAGAATGCAGAGCACTCTACTTGGAAACAATGGCTTCAAGAGGCATTGCCCAGAAAAAACCATAAATATGACTAGAAGGTCCAGATGAAGATTCTATGCTCAACCATTTTTCTAAAGAAGAGCAAGGACAAAACTCACGCCTGGGATAGCATGTGAAAAACAGATGTTCGATGAATACCATCTTGTCGACTTCTTGCTTTTTTACATTTTCATGTTATATTTTCCCTTTATCGGTTTGCAGTCAGCTCTAAGCAAACAGTTAATGAATTTTTCACACTTAGAAACAAATGTCTCCATTGTGACAATGGAGACAATTTTTGAGCACTGTCTCAAATCTGGTGATAATTTTTTTTTAAGTGAAAGGAAGTTTATTAGGAAAGTAAAGGAACAAAGAATGACTACTCCATAGGCAGAACAGCCTGGTGACAACTTTTAAAAAGTAAAAACTTTATTACAAAAACATTTGTTTATTGTAGAAAAGCTTTATTAAATAAAGCTAAGCAAAAATAAGGAGGGAAAGATCACAATCAGTATACATCTTGCAGACCTTTAAAGAATTATTTTTGAAAAAACGGATATATACTGTTTTGTAACTATGTCTCCTAACAAATAGTCGCAACATCTCATTAATAAATATTCACCTGCAGAATTATTTTAAACGGCTGCATGGCATTTGGATGTACCACAAGATACACAACAAATTTCCTGATGTTGGCCATTTTGGTTAATTCCACTTTACTCACAATTACTAATAACGTTGCGAGCTATAGCAATAACTTTGAAACTGCAGAGAATTTCCTTAATTCTTTCTTACAATTCCAGTAGAATACGATGGTGTCCCTTCTCCGACAAAAGGGAATATTTGGGCATTATCACTGCCAAAGAAAAATGCCTTTTTGATGGGTGAAAATGCTACCTCATCGCGTTATTGGCAGGTCCTCGATTATCGGCGAGTCACTGAGGTTCCGAGAGGGGCGTCTCTGCTCACGCAAACAGCTACCCAGCCGCCTCCCACGGTCTGACCTCAGCCAAGGTGACGCGGCTTAAAGTCAACCGGCGGAAAGAGAGTCGAACGGGACGCGTGCGTGGGAAAGCGCATGAGCGTACGTGCGAGCGCGCATGAGCGTACGTGCGTGTGCGCGTGCGCTCGAGAGCGTCATCGCCCCCGACTGTGGAGAAGTGTCCGGGGTAGCCCCGTTACAGGTATCGCTGGCTACCCTCCTCCTTCGCCCCTCCTTTCCTCCTTTACATTCAAATCAAGTCGGGGTTGAATTTCGAGAGGGGAGTCCGAGGACCTGGGGCCTGATTTCTTTTTCTCTCGCCATGCTTCTTCGGGCTGTGTACATGTGTGGTGGTGCCTGAGAGGCGATACAGGGAATGGCTACACTCTTTTACTCCCGCCCCTGGCCTTCGTAGTACCCTTGAAGTGATCCACTAGTCGTAACCCCTCCTTCCACCAATGATTCAATTGGAGAAGTTTAGAGGAGTGGAAAGACTTGTCCCCTTCCCCCATCGCAAGCTTGGTCACAGAGTGTATTGCCAACCCATGTATCCAGACGCTCAGTCTAGGGCTCTTGGCCCTGGGTAGCGTTTTGAAAAGGCTGGTTATCCTTAAGTACTGAAGATTGATAAAGCCCACTTACTTACTTAAAAGAATATGCCCTGAAATGTGTTTTCTGTGCCACTGACACCAGAAATGCTATTTAGAAGAAGTTATCAGTAATCCTGACAAAGGATGCTTCCTGCAGCTCAAATCAGGCTGGAGGTGCCTTTATATTTTTCATTGAATTACTGTTTTGGTGACTCGAATGAATCATCAATTCATTTATTTGTCTTCAAATGTCTGACGGCACTTAAGGTCTAAAAAAGAAGGTAAGTTTAAACAGATAGTTTGATGTTAAGGTATAAATTGAAAGTATGTAACATTTTCCCTGTGTTCATTAGCAGCTCATATCAAGCACCCAAAGGAACACCTTGGATGTTTTTCCTTAGGCCCTTAAGCTATTTAAAAGAATACCTCCTAGGTGTGTTGTGGTCTTTTACAGGAATGTGTTTCTGATCATCTGAATCTTAATCATGTCCAACTGCCTGCAAAATTTCCTGAAAATTACAAGCACTCGTCTTCTATGTTCAAGATTATGCCAACAGTTAAGAAGTAAAAGGAAGTTTTTCGGAACTGTGCCAATATCCAGATTGCATAGGCGAGTTGTCATTACAGGCATTGGCTTAGTGACTCCTCTTGGTGTTGGAACTCACCTGGTTTGGGATCGTCTTATCGGAGGAGAGAGTGGAATTGTTTCACTGGTTGGTGAAGAGTATAAGAGTATCCCTTGCAGTGTTGCTGCTTATGTGCCAAGAGGTAGTGATGAAGGTCAGTTCAATGAACAAAACTTTGTGTCCAAATCAGATATCAAGTCCATGTCTTCTCCCACCATCATGGCCATTGGGGCTGCAGAATTAGCCATGAAGGATTCTGGCTGGCATCCTCAGTCAGAAGCTGATCAAGTGGCTACTGGTGTTGCAATTGGCATGGGAATGATTCCTCTTGAAGTTGTTTCTGAAACTGCTTTGAATTTTCAGACAAAAGGTTACAATAAAGTTAGCCCATTTTTTGTCCCTAAGATTCTGGTCAATATGGCAGCAGGCCAGGTCAGCATTCGATATAAACTCAAGGGCCCAAATCATGCAGTATCCACAGCCTGTACCACAGGAGCTCATGCTGTGGGAGACTCATTTAGATTTATAGCCCATGGTGATGCTGATGTGATGGTGGCTGGAGGTACAGATTCTTGTATTAGCCCTTTATCTCTTGCTGGGTTTTCCAGAGCCCGGGCTCTGAGCACAAACTCAGATCCCAAGTTGGCATGTCGACCATTTCATCCAAAGAGAGATGGTTTTGTAATGGGAGAAGGTGCAGCTGTGCTGGTGCTGGAAGAATATGAACATGCTGTTCAAAGAAGAGCCCGGATCTATGCAGAAGTTTTGGGCTATGGACTCTCAGGTGATGCTGGTCACATAACTGCCCCTGATCCTGAAGGAGAAGGTGCCTTAAGGTAAAGATGGGTTATTTCCTTCGAAATATTTCTTCAAATAAGACACTTTATTGGGAATCCCAAATTAGGGAAGTTGTAGTGTCTGGCCTTGGTGTACAGTATCTCTGTTGTTTTTCTTTTTTAGACTAAACAAGATTGTTTAGTTCTTTGCTTAAGACATTTGAAGTATTTCAAAGCATTTGAACATACTTACAAAAATTGCATTTGAGTTAAAAACCAATGGAGTTGTGGAAAAGACCATGTGTGTCTTTGCCAACTTTTCACGCCTGCATTTGTGCTTAAGCATCAGTGTGCTCCCTCACAAAGTCCTCCTCTTTGACCCTTCATCAGACTTGGAAAGTAAAGTCAACCCTTCTAGATGTGTCTGGTTTTGCTCCATTTCAACAGGATTCTGTTCTTTTCAAATCAGCACTTCTCAAACTATAATCACCTAGGGATCTTATTTAAAATGCTAATTCTGATTCTGTAGGTCTAGGGTGGTGCTTGAGATTCTGTTTTGTTTTGTTTTTTTAGAGACAGGGTCTCTCTGTATTGCCCATGCTGGTCTTATCTCACTGCAGTCTCTAACTCCTGGGCTCAAGCAATCCTCTCACCTCAGCTTCCTGAGTAGCTGGGACTACAGGAATGCGCCACTGAGACCAGTTTTCTTTTTTTTGAATTTGTTTGTAGAGATGGGGTTTCACTTTATTTCCCAGGCTGAGAGATTCTGTAGTTCTAACAGGTGATGGTGATACTGCTGGTTTAAGGACTACATTTAAGTTAACTGTTATAGATTAGTGCATTTAAAATGCAAAAAAATAAAAATAAAAAGTCCCTGATAATGTGTTAATAGATAGCTAATAGTTTAGCTTTCTTAAATCATATTATGTTTTACTCAGTTAAATTAGCCAGAGTTAGCAACCTTTTCTGTAATGGGAAAAATATAGTAAATATTTTTGGCTTTGTGGGCCATGGAGTCTGTTGCAACTAATCAACTCTGCCATTGTCATGTGAAAGCAGCCGTAGACAGTATGTAAATGTGTGGGCATGAATGTGTTCCAATGAAACTATTTACAAAAATAGGCATCTAGCCAGGGCCATAGTTTACCTACCCCTAAATTATACATTTGAATTTTATTTTATTTGTTTTTGTTTGTTTGTTTTTCTTTTTTCTTTCTTTTTTTTTTTTTTAGTAGAGTTGGGGTCTTGCTATGTTGCCAGAGCAAGAGCTGGTCTCAAACTCCTGGCCTCAAGCAGTCCTCCTGCCTTGGCCTCCCAAAGTGCTGGGATTACAGGTGTGAGCTACCATGCCTGGCCTACTTTTGAATTTTAGTGAGTAGTTGCTGGTGGTAAAAATGTCAAGCATAGTAACAAAATAGATGAAGAAATGGTTATGTTCACAGGAAACCTTTCAGCATACTTCAAATTATACTCTGAGCTGGCTGTTAAGAAATATATATACACACACAAACACACATACATACATGTATATTTCTCTTAGGAACTAAAGGAAGATGACATCCAAAACGTTTTCAGAGGTCCTTTTAGATATAATTTTTACTCTTAAGTTTGTTTGGCTTAGCTTGCCTTTGTACTTTTTGTTTAGAATTCTTATAGCCTAAATAAAGAGGATTTTGAAAGATTATTTGAAACAATGAAACAGTAGATTATTGGGAAGTATGCCAAGTTTTGAATTTAAATGTGAAAGAAAAATCATAATTATAATTCTCATAAAAAATTGCCACACTCCAAAAATCCCTAGAACAAAAATTATTCTAGTCTTGAGTCAACATGGTATTTTTTCCCCAAGGAAAACTGCCAATGCAAATAAATGAAATTATGTTTTATTTGAGATTATACAATCTTGCATTGGCTTGTGTGTTTAACTCTTGGTGATGAACCAGTCCAAGGTAGTGAGTGTGACTCATTATTCCCATACAGATGGCATCCTAACTCACATGGTAATCCAAGATAGTGTTCCGTTACTAGAGCAAGGGATTCTTTTCATCCAGTGTACTTGGATACCTACATTTGTTTCACATAAGCCATACAGATAAAGAGACTTTTGTTAAAATTAAACTTAGTCCTGATAAATGTCTTTTCTTGTTTTATTAGGTGTATGGCTGCTGCTTTAAAAGATGCAGGTGTGCAGCCTGAGGAGATATCCTATATCAATGCACATGCTACTTCCACACCATTGGGAGATGCTGCTGAAAACAAAGCTATCAAACATCTCTTCAAAGACCATGCATATGCCCTTGCAGTTTCCTCAACTAAGGGAGCAACAGGACATCTGCTGGGAGCTGCAGGGGCAGTCGAGGCAGCTTTTACCACATTAGCTTGTTATTATCAAAAACTACCACCTACTTTAAACCTGGATTGTTCGGAACCAGAATTTGATCTCAACTATGTTCCACTAAAGGCACAGGAATGGAAAACTGAGAAAAGATTTATTGGCCTCACCAATTCCTTTGGTTTTGGTGGTACTAATGCAACACTTTGTATTGCTGGACTGTAGAACATATAATTTGTAATTAAATACTGATTTTTAAATGCTATATGTGAAGAAATTATGCATTTATGTATTGATACCCAGATATACTTTATGTTAGGGTTTCTCCACCTTGGCACTATTAATATTTGGGTAAGATAATTCTTTGTTGGGAAAAGGGGGATTGTACTGTACATTGTTGGGTGTTTAACACCATCCTGATTGCTTCCTAATCTATTCCAATAGCACTCTCTTCCCCAGTTGTGACAACCAAAAGTGTTTCCAGATATTGCCAAATGTTTTCTGGGGAACAAAATAACCCCACCCCTCCTGCATCCCGCCACCTATGAGAACCATGGATCTATATTTTCCTAATACTTTAGGTCAAACAATTTTCTATAACATTTGACCTGCTCCTATCCCTTTCAACTCCTTTTTGCTAGGCAGGGTTGCTATACTATAGTACTCCAGGCGTACCATTCCCATACAATATATAGGAAGGAATATAACAAAGTTTGCATCAGCATTCTTTGAGTTAAACTGTCAGCCAGTAATGATCTATTTACTCCTTATACACCTAGCCCTGTTTTCTTCATATTATCCATACTGTAATTCAGTATAATGAAATTTCTCTAAACTCCCAAGCCATCAGTTCTCTGAAAGAAGAAACTGAAATTGATTTGACATGTCTTATTCTTTTTGTCTTTATGTTGGCACCTAGTGATTAACGGAGATAAAAATCTTTGGGACGTGGAGCAGAAATTGTTCATGACTTGGGCCACGTCCCCTTGGCTTTCCTCTAACTTTTTTTAAGCTTTGCTAGTTTCCTGTGTTTTCCCAACATCCTACTATAAGTGTTGGTGGTTCCTCTACTTCTCTGCCTTGTTTTCTCTAACACGGAGTGTTCATCCGCCGCAGCCTGGAAGTGTTGGTAGGGGGAAGGGAACACATTCCCCAGAGGCAATACTCGACCAATGAGGGATGACGGTGGCTAAGTGCCTCAGCCTCCTTTCAGAAGGGTATCTATGGTTCTCCACAGTTTTTCAGAGGGTCCCCAGTGAATCGGAAGTTTAGTTACCCACAGCATTAGCTAGCTCTAATACTCCCTTCACTGGCTTTTATTTTCCCTTTCCCATGCTCCCTGATTGTTAATCTCATTCCCAGGAATCACCTCCCAAACAAACTGCTTGTTCTGAGGTTCTGCTTTCTGGGCAACTCAAACTAAGAACGTTTATGTTGTAGTGGGGGTTTATATATCAACGGGATAGAGTGAATAGGGGATAAACAGGGTGTGTGTATTTCTGCTGAAATGAATAGAGTTTCCCACATTGCAATAGACTGGACACATTGCCTGCCCACTGACTTTGACTATAGTACTTTATCCCCTTTATGCCAAAGACTCCAGCTGTGTCTTCACATAACTATAATCAGTTTTAATTTTCATGAGCACACATTTATTCATTCAACTGAAGTCTGTTGGGTGCTAACATAGACCTGGCTTTGTACTGGTCACCAGTGATGAAGAGAGTATGTCAGAGAAAGTTTCCTAAAGGAAGCTGAGGCTGTAAGGGTGAACAGGTCTTAGCCAGGTTGAAGGAGAAGATAAAGAAGGAAGGGTGTTCCAGTCAGGGAATTCAATGCGGGAAGGTTTAGAAGTCAGAACATTTGTACTAAACATAGGTGCATATACCCTAAGATGGATTAGGAAATAATGGCAAAAAATCTGGAAAGGTAGGTCACAAATAACTACAAGTTTTGTTCAAGGCAGTAAGGGTAATAGGAAGCCATTTAAGGTTTGGGATGGTGTGATGGCTTTGTAATGTGTCAGTTTGGCGAGGCTGAACTACATTTCACAGCATTCCCTTTATTGTATGTTCTCGGTTAGGGTGGGCCATAGGAAATTCTTGTGGGAGATTTGGAGGATGGAAGTGAAGCAGCAGCTGTTTTGTAGCTCATGCATGTTGCTTAATCTGCTAGCTCATCTTGGTGTGAGACTGGCTGAGTCTTCAACTGCTTCACCTTTCCCTGGATCCTCTGTCAGTTTCCCTGACTCCTGGACCAGGTGTGTGTTTCGTTCCATGATAATGAAGGACCTGACCTTCTGCCCCATACCACCAAAGTCAGAGGCCATAAGAACTGACAGATTCCTTTCTGTCACTTTGTTTGTGGATTCCATCTTGTTACTGGAATTTACATCCATCTTCCCTTCCCAACTGCCTGCCCTGTGGACTTCAAACTCCATCATCAGAAGATGACAGGCGAACATAGCTGCATTACAGAAACTTTAACCAGTTCTCACAATTGTGTAACTGGTTACACAAACTGTCAAATCCCTATAGCAGATATCTATATATGTCTTAGTGGTTCTATTTCTCTGAGTCAACATTGACTGATACATGTGAAGAAGAAGGGTTTATTGGGGGTGACATAATCATATTTTCTTTTGGAAACATCACCCTGGCTGCAGAGTGAAGAACAGCTTGGAGGGAAGCTTGATTCCCATAAGGGAATACAATCAGACGGTATTGCAAAATGTAGGTAAGAAAAGATGGTGGCCTGGATGAAGAAGAATATTTTGACCCAAGTTTCTTCCAAAATTGAAAATCATGTGTTTTTAAAAAATCAACTTTACCAGGGCATAATTTATATATCAAATACATTTATATGCCATTTTAAGTGTACAGGTCAATTAATTTTGATATAAGTATGCACACACATGGAACCACCACCTCAATCAAAGAACATTTCTGATACCCCAAAATTCCTTTTGCCCTTTTGCAGTCAGTGCCCCCAGCTCCAGAAAATCACTGAAGAGCTTTCTGTTACTATAGGTAAGATGTACTTTTCTAGAATTTTAAATAAGTGGAGTCATACAGAATATAACCTTTCGTGCCTGCCTTCTTATAATGTTTTTGAGGTTTATCCATGTTATTGATTGTGTCAGTAATTCATTTCTCTTTTATTGCTGAATTTTAAAAATTATCTCTTTTTTTTTTTTGAGATGACGTTTCGCTCTGCTGCCCAGGCTGGAGCGCAATGACGCGATCTCAGCTCACTGCAACCTCTGTCTCCCAGGTTCAAGCAATTCTCCTGCCTTAGCCTCCCGAGTAGCTAGGATTACAGGCACCTGCCAGCACACCCGGCTAATTTTTGTATATTTAGTAGAGATGGGTTTTCACCATGTTGACCAGGCTGGTCGCAAACTCCTGACTTCAGGTGATCCACCCGCCTCAGCCTCCCAAAGTGCTGGGATTACAGACGTGAGCCACCACGCCCGGCCCTAAAAATTCTTTAATCAGTATAGATACCCTTGACTTTTACTCTTTCCTTAGTCCCTACTTAGCTTATTTTTTAACTTTTTACTGTCACTGTTTTTTAAAAAAATGAATATGTATTGCCTTTTAAACAGAAAAAAGACAGGATTTTTTTAAAAATTATAGAACCAAGATAGTTTCTAAAGCAAAGAATTCTTCCGCCCCGAATCACAAATGTACAAGGGTTTAACAAAGGACCTACACACACGCGCACACACACTTTTATATATATTATTTAGATTACCAGAAATACTGCTAGAAATTTTAGAATTTCCTGTGGTTTAGTGCCATGAGTATATGATGAGTTTTGGATCCAAATATCCTAACCTTATCCCCAGGGTCTTTATATTTAAGGAAGAAATAAAACAAGATAAAATTAATAATAGTTGATTCATATGTTTGTTCAGGTCTTCAGAAGCAGACATCAAAACAGAAATTTCTATGCAAGAAATTTGTTGTGAAGGATAGAGGGTGAGAGCAGGAGAATGCAGAGAGAGCCTTCCTTCCCACAACTAGGAAGGAGAGGGGCACAGGAATGAAAGAGGATTGGGTAGGAAGGGTGTCAATCTGAAGTACCATTCTAATAAAGTTTTGGCCAGGCTGATGGGCAGTTTGCAATCAAAATCTCTTGTTAAAGGAGTTCCACATCTCTCCAGGATGGGCCTGCATTAGGACCCATACTGCGCGTGGTCATTGGCTGTGAGCTGTCCAGGCACAGCAGGAGATCTGAACTGTCCATTTTTCATGCCATTGTAATCTACCCCTTGCACCACAGACATCTGTTTCTCCAAGCAGGTTCATGGGACAGCTCTTTCATGGTTCCTGTGGGCCTCTCTTTCTGAGGAAAAATTTAGATGAGGGTAGTTAGTAGGATAAATAATAGCCTCTGAGGCTGCAGTTGGTCTCAGGTCCACAAATGCTATTCCTCCTCTCTCTAATCCACTATTCATTCTAAATTCCCCTTGCCCTCAGCTATCATCTCGTCAGACCTTGGTGGCTGGGTGGTATAACCCAAACCTTCAGTCCTCAGGAATGTAAGCCCTTGGCAATCATACCATCACCTTTTCATACAGTGGCTGCTGCCTGTATCATAGAGCACTGGGATCAGGAGGCAAGGAAATGCCAGGAGATACCCACGTAGATCACCTAGATTCCA
This sequence comes from Homo sapiens, assembly GCF_000001405.40. Classification (NCBI taxonomy): domain Eukaryota; kingdom Metazoa; phylum Chordata; class Mammalia; order Primates; family Hominidae; genus Homo; species Homo sapiens. The sequence continues at coordinate 25,798,938 of NC_000003.12, forward strand.
CATATATTCTCCCTGTCCTAATTGTGTGAACACAACACTACCTTCTCCAGCGGATTAGGGTCAACTCTCACTGTTAGTATGTTGACTTTATGGTTCCTGGGCACAAGAACTCCAAAGTGTCCTAGTGGCATCTACATCTTGTTGTTCAATGTAATACTTGTGTCTCCTGGCAAGAGTGCGTATCCTTTGGAGATCAGGACTTCCAACTTAAATAATTTGTTTACTTAGCTTAAATAAAATCTTATTTAGTTGCAGTAATACATCTCTGCAATGCCCAGAATTGCAAAATAGAAAGTATGAAATTCCTCATTGTGACTGAATCACTGGAAATAACAGTAAGTGGGGCCATTCATGTTTTCCAACTCCCTTTGTTTCTGAACCTACATGTTCTTCTTATTGCAGACTTAGCCCCATATAAAAGTTTTTGATGTAAGCATGTGCTGCATCTTGAGGATGGCACCACATCCAGTCAGAATTGTCACTGAGCTGTTGATTCGGGTATGCCTTTAGAAGGCAGTTCCAGCTTCTTTGAGGCTGGCTGCTTTTGGATGACATGATATGTGATACAAACTATGGAACCGTGGTCATAGGGCCATCTTATTTGCTGTACAATAGGTCCCCCTGCTCAGATGCTATGTCATAAGGGATTCCATGCCGGTGGATTATTTATTCCATAAGCTTGCAGATAGTGGTGCTGGCTGAGGCTCTGTGGGTAGGAAAGGCAAACCCACATCTGAAATAGGTATCTATCTATACCTATGAAGATGAACCACAGGTACTTTTGAGGTAGGTTGGACACTCAGAGGCAACAGTAGGGAGATATCTTGGTAAGTGGAAGTCCATATTTTGAGCCCACAGGTAGCCTTCGTTTCTGCCACTGTAACCTCTTGATTCACAGGCCTTTCATGTAAGTTATATGGCAGCCAATGACAAAGGCTGGCTACTGTCAATTGGCAAATTCATTTTGTCTACTTGGCTATTTAGTCCCTCTACTGTGATGGATACTTTCTGGTAGGTATAATTGTGTGATGCAGAAATCTTTATCCTTCATCATCTGTATGTCCATCCACATGCCTCTACTAAAGATACTGTTCTGCTCTTTCAGACCTTTTCCTTCTAGACCCCTGACTAAAGGCCAGGCCTTTGGACACTACCCAGGAATTTTTATATATTCTTACTTCTTGGGCCACTTCTACTGTATGAAGTGAGTAACCAGATGAAGCTCTGCCTATTGAGAAGATTTTTCCTTCCCAACATCTTTCAAGGCTACCCCTGAATGTGGCTGTGATGCAGCTGCCATTCATTTTCTACTTGAACTACTGCAAGACATCTTTAGGAGGTAGAATCAACAGGATTTGGTAATTGATACCTTCACCTTCCCCACCTAATTCCTTGCTTCTTAATCTTCCCTATTCTCCGTCCCCACCTAGACAAATTCCACCAGAGAAGGGATTTTTGCTATTTCTTTCACTGCCATAGTTCCTGTGTCTAGAACAGTACCTGGCACGAACTTGGTCTCAACAAACATTTGATGAGTGAACAATGAATGAATCTCAGTAAACTGCTCCACCAACCACGTAGAGCTCAGATCACAAGACTAGTAAGAATCATCCTTGATTTCTCCCTTTTCCTCATTCCCTTTCCTAATCCTTCAACAAATCTAGCCAATTATATTTTCAAAATATGCCCCGAGTAGTCACTGTTCTCCATTTCTACCACTGTTATCCTTTCTTCTCTGAACTGCAAGCGCCAACTTTTTGGTCTTCCTGCTTCCACTCTCCATTGCTTTCTAAGTATTATTCATTCTTGTAATAGCTGACAAATTGATCTTTTTACAATATAAATCAGATCATGTTATTTCCCTGCTGAAAATCTTCTGATGGCTTCCCATTTGACTCAGGTTGAATTCAAACACCTTACCAAGGTCTATGAGACCTCACAGGACCTCCCTCTCTAATCTCACCTCATACTGCTTGTGTTCAAACTGTGCTGGTGTATCAGCATGTGTATCCTCAAAAACACCAAGCTTATTTCTGCTCTTGTATGGAACACATTTTTATTTATGTGAAAATTATCTTCCTCTTTCTATTTGAGTTTCAGTACAAATATCTCTTCTTGAGAGAGACCTTCTCTAGCCACCCATTCTAAAGTAACCCCTTTTCTTCCTTCCCAATCCTTCTCCATCCACATCCCAGTGGTGTTGTTGAACACCTCTTTGCTTTTCCAGAGTAGTGCAATGGGAGAAATGGGAGATTGGGCTTGATAAGCCTGGATCTAAATCACTGTCACTGAGCCTAATTTTTCTCATGAAAATAGATTCAATCTGTAAAATGGAGTCAAACCTGTTTAACAATGGTTTTGAGACTCAAATCCAGTTGCTCAATATACTAAATATAATCTTCACATCTCTTTCACTATTAGAAATTATCTTTTGTAAGGAAAAATATACATCTTTAGGGCTTTTTTCTTTTCTCTGGTAGTATATAAGCTTCATGGCAGAGAGATTTTGTCAACCTTGTGAACAAGAATGGTATTCCCAGAAATGGTATTCCCAGAACTCAGCAAAGTATGTGGCACACACATATGTACACATATATACATACACACACAAACACATATACCAACAAAACCAAAAATTTTTGTTCCAACAGTAACTGAAAATATCTATGTTATAGGAAGGACAACAAAGAGGAGAATTTCATCCATGGTTTTAGAAAAGTAAGAGAGCTATTGTTACTGTCAAGAGTGAGTGCAAGGAATGGACCTTTAGAGCCATAACTAGTGGAGGCACTAATGATCATTCTCTGTCTAGTTACTTGAGACTCATGTTTGATCTTTGGTACCAAAGAAGAAAGGATGATGGTTATGTTGGTAATTTCTTTAGAATTGCTTAGCACGAGCAACATATCTTGAATTCTAAGAGACTAAATACGTTATCTTGAACAAAACTGCCTCTAGCTTAGGAATCAGCTAATTTATTTTTTTTTCTGCAAAGGGCCAGATGGTAAATATTTTTGGCTATGTGAGCCATATGGTCTCATTTGCAACTTCTCAACTCTGCCCTTATAGTGCAAAAGCAGCCATAGGAAAAAAATACAAAAACAAATGGGTATGGCAGGTTTTGGCCTTCAAGAAGCCAGATTTGCCCAATGGGCTGTAGTTTTTGACTCTTGCTCTAACTCTGCAAGGAAGTACATTCTCTGAAATGTTTAGCCGGCTGATTTTTCTGTGTCAGTGGAATACCCAAAAATTTTGCAGTATAAGATTAGACAGCTGAATTTTGGTACTGTAATAATAACAACTGTAACAACACCACCACCACCATAAATAGCTAGTGTTTATGTGCCAGGCATTGTTTCAAGTGCCTCTCTTAATATCGGCCCATTTAATTATCACAAGAGCTATGTCATTTAAGTAATATTGTTGTCCTCATTTTATGGATAAGAAATCTGAAGTGTAGTGAGATTAAAAAGCTGGTCCAGTCACACAGCCAAAGACTGGCAAAGCAGAGACTGAAAACTGTCTTCTGACTCCAAAGAGCAGGTTTTTAACTTCATGAATATACCACCTTTCCACAGAGCAAGCACTGAAATCTTATAGCGAGGGGCAGAGCTAACTCTTTGGGACCCTGTTCTGAGTTGGGAGAAGGAATGATTCAAATTTGATTGACCATCTCATTTTATTTCTTTGGAAAAGAAGAAAGATGTGATCTGTTTTGTTATTGCAGTTACTGACAAATAATTTAAGTGGATAAAGTCTGATAACCAAATCCCAACCTAAAAATTAAAATGATTCCTCTCTAGATATAAATATTCTACTCTTTTCAGGTTTATGGTTTGTGAATCTTTATTTATAATTTTTTAAATATTTTATCACAATACTTTAAGGGAAGGACTCTTTAATTTACAGGTAAAAACACCTGTGGTATATTTTTACGCATATAAAAATATCATAGGTATTTTATATATATAGTATTTATACCATAGGTAAAAGCACAGATAGTATATAATATGTGCTCATATATGCTCATTTTAAAAATGTAAAATAGTGCAGAAGCTATGTCAGTCCTTTCTCCACATCCCTGACCGCTTGTTAGTAACACTGTGCAACCTCACAGTGAACTAAAATATGTGTTGCCATTTTGATCTAGTCTAACATCAGCAAACAGCATATAAGAACTTTCTTTATCCTTTCATTGCTTAATTCTACCATGGCCAACCTCTGTTAAAGGTAGTCTGGTAGTGAATAACCTACCAGAAGATCTGTTTGCTTTTCCAGAGTGGTGCAATGGGAGAAATGGGAGAGTTGGGCTTGATAAGCCTGGATCTAAGTCACTAGCACTGGGCCTAATTTTTCTCACGAAGATAGAGTCAATCTGTAAAATGGAGTCAATATATTACCTGTCTAACAATGGTCTTGAGACTCAAATCCATTTGTTCAATATACTAAATATAATCCTCTGTACAAAGAGTAGATATTATATTTAAAGAGTAGTGTGTTGTTTTTCATATTAATGAATTATCCAGGAGCTTGATTGCTAAGTACAGAAAAATGTATTGTTTTTTTATTTTATCATTTGTATACATTTATATCAATTTATTATTATTACTACTACTATTATTATCATTGTGTTATCCTTGTGACCTATTTTTTTCTTTTTTTGAGATGGAGTCTTGCTTTGTCACCCAGGCTGGAGTGCAATGGCTCAGTCTAGGCTCACTGCAGCCTCTACCTCCCGGGTTCAAGCGATTCTCCTGCCTCAGCCTCCCAAGTAACTGAGACTACAGGTGCATGCCACCATACTCGGCTAATTTTTGTATTTTTAGTAGAGATGGGGTTTCACCATATTGGCCAGGCTGGTCTTAAACCCCTGACCTTGTGATCCGCCCACCTCAGCCTCCTAAAGTGCTAGGATTATAGACGTGAGCCACACCGTGTGTGGTGTGACCTATTATTAAATGGAGAAAAGCTTTGTCCAGGCAAAAAGAACCATATCCAGACTTTAGGAATTTCCCCTACAGTAAGCAGTCTAAGGCATTGAAATATTAACAAAGAAGCTTATGAAATTCCTTCTGTAGAGATGAAAGGTTAGAAAGCTGCCTTTCCTGGCTAGCTTATGCCCACCCCTTTTTAGCAGTAGGGGTGGATTAGATGACCTCTCAAGGTTCTTTCTAGCTATGGTTTTGTTTTTTGATGTCTACTTAAAGATTATGCTAATATTGCTGATGTGAAATCCTTTGTACACAAGGATGGTTGAAAACACTGGCTCATGATCTGAATCTATGCCTGCCTGGTTAAAACTGTATACTTGAAATTAACAGGGCTCAAATGCTCATGTTTTATACAAACCATTGGGTCTTTTTTTTCTTCTCAAGAAGATTTTTTTCTTAGTTGTCTTCTGTTCTAAAGCAAGAGGGAGAAGGTTGATAAAAATGCATTCAGTTATAGAAGGAATTAGATTATTTTAATAACTAAGCTCAGTTATATTGTGGTTCACAAAAATGAATGAATAATAATGTAGAGTGCAAAGATCCAGGAGGTAATCCCCTAGACGAGACATTGCTGGAGCAGCATATTAACTAGAAAAGAGCCATTGTTAGAGGAGAGCAGAGAGAGAATTCTCCAAATCCATAAGTGTCTTGTATTTAATAAGTAACTTGTATAATACTTAAAGAAAATAGGCTCTGGAGCTAGCCTTCCTGGGTTCAGATACTGGCTCTGCCCCTTGTGCATTCTGTGACCTTGGGAATTTATTTAACCTCTCTGTACCTTGTGTTTCTCATCTGTAAGTGGGGATGATAATAGTACCATATTAGTCAGGGTTCTCTAGAGGGACAGACTAATAAAATATATATATATACACACACACACATATATATGTAGTATTAAGAGGAGTTTATTAAGTATTTATTAAGTTTATTAAGTATTATTAAGTATTAACTCAATAATCACGAAGTCCCACAATAGGTTGTCTGCAGGCTGAGGAGCAAGGAGAGCCAGTCTGAGTTCCAAAACTGAGGAACTTGGAGTCCAATGTTTGAGAGCAGGAAGCATCCAGGATGGGAGAAAGATGAAGGCTGGGAGGCTAGGCCAGTTTCTCTTTTCACATTTTTCTTCCTGCTTATATTCTAGCTGTGCTGGCAGCTGATTAGATTGTGCCCACCCAGATTAAGGGTGGGTCTGCCTTTCCCAGCCCACTGACTCAAATGTTAATCTCTTTTGGCAGCACCCTCACAGACACACCCAGGATCAGTACTTTGTATCCTTCAATCCAATCAAGTTGACATTCAGTTACACAAGAACCTATTTCTTAGGGCTGTGGTGAAGATTGAATGAGTGAATACATGTAAAGCGATTAGCACAGTGCCTTGAATATAGTGTGCTTGATAATAGTGATTAATTCAAGATGTTAAGTATTATCGTCTTTTATTGTGTTTGTCTTTTGTTTTTGTTTCTTCACTTTTTATCATGGAAAGTTGCCAACACATCCAAAAACAGAGAAGTGCTGTATAATAACCCCGCCTGTACTCATCAGCAGTTATCTATCTATTCACGGGCAATCATGTTTTACCTAAATGCCTACTCCTATGTGATTATTTTGAAACAGATCTCATACATCATATTATTTCATTTACAGATATTTCAATGTGTATCTCTAAAACAGAGGTAGCAAACTGTAGCCCAATGTCTGTTTTATAAGTAAAGTTTTCTTATAATTTAGTGAAGGGTTATAGAATAAGTCACTATGGCATAAACATTATTTTGAGCTGAAAGCATTTGAGAATAAGCTTTTTTTTTTTTTCCCTGAACTCCCTTGCCTGCCTAAAAAGCCTCTCGAAAGAGCTCAATGTTCATAAATTCCTTTTCCAGGAGTTCTGCAACCAGGGAATATGGACTCTTAATACTAGGGAGAAACTGGCACCACACCTAACAAACTATCACAAAACTATCCTGTCTTCCATATAAAAGCCCATTTATCTTTCCTAAAAGTAATTTATTTTTCCATGAATACCTCCCTCCACTTTTCCCCGTTAAGATAGTATATAAGCCACAAATTCTAATGGCCACCTCAAGTCACATTTTCCTATGAACTCCCATTTACATATGTGAGTAAAAGTCTATCTTCTCTCTTGTGAATCTGTCATTTGTCAATTTATTAATAATTCACAGGCCTCCAATCACTAAAACTAAGAGGAAGTTTTTCCTCCCTGTCAACAGCTATCCTCATTCATTTACTTACTGTGTATAGCTGTTTCTGTACCATAATGGTGGAGCTGAGTAGTTGCAACAGATACTGTGTGGTCACCAAGCCTAAAATATTTACCATCTGGCCCTTTATAGAAAATGTGTGACAATTTTTACCTAAAAGACAAACAGACTCTCTTTCTCCTTTAAAAACATAACCATAGTCACTTTTACACCTAAAAACATTAATAATAATGCATTGATATAATCAAATACCCATAGTCACTTTTACACCTAAAAACATTAATAACAATGCACTGATATAATCAAATACCCAACTGGTGTTCAAATTTTCTCAAATGCCTTATACATTAAAAAAAAGATTTATTAAAAATTGGGATCCAGGCTGGAAGCCATGGCTCATGCCTATAATTCCAACACTTTAGAACACCAAGGTGGAATGATTGCTTGAGGACAGGAGTTCAAGACCAGCCTGGGCAACATAGCACTCTGTCTCTACAAAAACTTAAAAAAAAAAAAAAAGCCAGGTGTGGTGGTGCATGCCTGTAGTCCTAACTACTTGGGAAACTGAGGTGGGAGGATCACTTGACTGCAGGAGTAGGCTGCACTGAGCTATGATCATGCCACTGCCCTCCAGATAGTGACAGAGCAAGACTCTGTCTCTAAAACAACAACACAAACAAACAAAAAACAAAAAACAAAAAATCAAGATCCAAAAGAGGTCAATACATTTGGAAGATGTAGCTCTGAAGTCATTTGAAATAGAAGAGAATCAGTCCTCTTTCCCCTTGCAATTAAACTGTTAAAGAAACAGGTCATGGCTGGGTGTGGTGGCTCACGCCTGTAATCCCAGCACTTTGGGAGGCCGAGGTGGGCGGATCATGAGGTCAGGAGATCGAGAACATCCTGGCTAACACCGTGAAACCCGGTCTCCACTAAAAAAATACAAAAAATTAGCCGGGCGTGGTGGTGGGTGCCTGTAGTCCCAGCTACTCGGGAGGCTGAGGCAGGAAAATGGTGTGAACCCAGGTGGCGGAGATTGCAGTGAGCAGAGATTGCGCCACTGCACTCCAGCCTGGGCAACAGGGTGAGACTCCATTTCAAAACAAAAACAAAAACAAAAACAGGTCATTTGTCCTCTAGAGTTTTCCATGCTTATATTTTACTAGTTATAAGTCAGTGGTGTCCTCCATCCCTTGTATTTCCTATAAATTTGTGGCTAGAATTGGAGACTTTACTTGCTTGAAGTTTACAGGAACACATACCATTCAAGGGTAATGTGTACTTCCATCAGGCAGCACATAATGTCTATCTCTGATGTTAGCAGACAGGCAGAGTTTTGACAAGTTCTGAATAAAAATCAGCAATGGAGGTGGTGCCCCTTTGAACAAGAGAACTATCTGCCTACTAAAATATTGTAGAATTTTTCAAATGTACCTTTATTTATCATGGCAGCTGTAAATAGGTGGAGATTAGCAGTCCTTCACAGGGCACAAGCCTCTGAATTGTGCCCATTCTAATGACCTTTAAAATATATCTGGAGCCAGGCACGGTGGCTCACGCCTGTAATCCCAGCACTTTGGGAGGCCAAGGTGGGTGGATCACAAGGTCAGGAGTTCGAGAGCAGTCTGGCCAATATGGTGAAACCCTGTCTCTACTAAAAATACAAAAGTTAGCTGGGCATGGTGGCGGGCACCTGTAGTCCCAGCTACTCAGGAGGCTGAGGCAGGAGAATTGCTTAAACCGGGAGGCGGACGTTTCAGTGAGCCTAGACTGTGCCACTGCACTCCAGCCTGGGCAACAGGGCGAGACTCCATCTTAAAAAATAAAATAAAATAAAATAAAATTGAATAAAATAAAATATATCCGGAATCCATCCACTTCTTTTACTTCCCATGCTCCTGCTACCCTGGTCTATACCACTGTCATCTCCTGTCTGCATCACTGCTGTTGTCTCTTAACAGGCCTCCATGCTTCTGTACTGGCTTGCCCACAACCTATTCTCAACCCAGCAACCAGAATAACTCTTTTAAAATCCAAGTCATGGATGGGCGCGGTGGCTCATGCCTGTAATCCCAGCACTTTGGGAGGCTGAGGCGGGTGGATCACAAGGTCAGGAGTTCAATCAAGACTAGCCTGGCCAAGATGATGAAACCCCGTCTCTACTAAAAATACAAAAAATTAGCTGGGCATGGTGGCAGGCGCTGTAATCTCAGCTACTTGGGAGGCTGAGGGAGAGAACTGCTTAAACCCGGGAGGCGGAGGTTGCAGTAAGCAGAGATTGCACTACTGCACTACAGCCTGGGTGGCAGAGCAAGACTCCATCTCAATAAATAAATAAATACATAAATAAATCCATGTCATGTCACATGACTACTCTGCTTAAAACATTCCTATTTTCCCCATATCATTTGAGTAAGTACAAAAGTCCATACCATAGCTCACAAGCCCTAAATAATCTGTGCTCACTCCTGCTCCAGCCTTGTTCATTTCTTTGTAGACCCTTAGATGCAACCATCATAAAGACCCCATTAGGGCCTTTGCACCTGCTATTCCCTTTGCCTTCTGTGGTCTTCCCCCAGACACCCACATGACTTATTCCCTTACCTCCTTCAGGTCTTTGCTCAAATGTCTTCTAAAAAATTCCTAGTCTGGGAGCCGGGCGTGGTGGCTCATGCCGGTAATTCCAGCACTTTGGGAGGCTGAGGCAGGCGGATTGCCTGAGCTAAGGAGTTTGCGACCAGCCTGGGCAACACGGTGAAACCCTGTTTCTACTAAAATAGAAAAAATTAGATGGGTGTGGTGGCATGCGCCTGTAGTCCCAGCTACTTGGGAGGCTGAGACAGGAGGATTGCTTGAACCCGGGAGGCGGAGGTTGCAGTGAGCCAAGATCGCACCGTTGCACTCCAGCCTGGGCGACAGAGCGAGACTCTGTCTCAAAACAAAAACAAAAACAATAACAAAATTCCTAGTCTGATCCCTCTAGTAAATATTGCATTTGGCCCCCTGCCTCCACACTACTGATTACTCTTAACCCACTCACTTTTTAATTTTCTAAGGCATTAGTCATCTTCTACCACCATACCTTTTAATTTACTTATTACGTCTATTGTTTATTTTCTGTTTGTTTCTGCCTGAAGGTCAGTTTCCTAATGGCAGGATTCTTTGTTTTGTTCACTAAATTATCCCATGTGCCTAAAACAATGTTTGGCACACAGGAGGTGCCTAAGACATAGTTGTTGAATGAGTGATTGAATTGCTATCACTTATACCTACAAAGAGAAAACAAATGTATTTTATGAGCCAAAGGACCTCTGATCATCCCCTCCCAAATACTGTGTGTCTTTCTTCCTCCTAGGCAATCAGTCTGTGCCAGGTGCTATGTGAAATAGTTTCCAAGTATTATCTCATTTAGTCCTTCAAAGAACCCTAAGAAAATAGGAAATTATTACTCCCATTTCCAGATGATGTAACTCAGGTCTAGGAAAGTTTAGCTTCTGCCCAAGCTCACATAGATGGAAAAATGCAGAGACAGGACTGGAACTCAAATGTATCTGACCCCTAAATCCCTGCCTTAAACCACAAATATAATACTTCCCCAGTGGATGGCATTGCTCTAAGCTTCATTACTTATGGCAATTTCTGTATTCACTTATTCGACAAATATTGGTTGAGTGTTGACTACATGCCAGGTCCTTAGGATATATCAGTGAATGAAACAAAGATTTTTGCCATCACTGAGTTTTTATTACTTCTAACTCCTTTAAGAAATATGATTCAGGGCTAATATAGAAGGGGGCCGGTCAGTCTCCCAGAGTGAATGATTTTAGGGTCATAGGAAGAGCTCACGCTGTAAAAAAATTGCTCCCCTTCACCACAACTTGTCATAGTATTCTATCTGAAGTACCTGAATTAATAATACCTTTGGTGAGACTTCAAAGTTGCATTAAAGTGCATTTTTTTTCTGTTTAGTTTCATCCCTACCTTATAGATGAGAAAACCATCTGTAATCACCCAGGATGATTTTGAGACATTCTCAAAGTCAGTTAGTAAATGGCAGAGCTAGGATTTCTGGCTCCAAATTTTGTGTTCATTATACTAGAGCAAACATCAGAAAAGAACACGATGAACTAAGTGGGATGGGGGAGTATTCCAGGCAGCCATATCTATAAGAGGAAAATTAGGAAGATAAAGGCAGCCTGGAAACCCCAATTTACCCATTGATTTTCCCAGAGCTGGGTAACAGGAACCTCTTGGTAGGACAAGAGGAACAAGGGAAGGTCAGTACTTTTGCAGGCCAGTAGAACAATTAGAAGAAATAGGAAAGGGGTGAAGTTGAGAGACCAGCTGGGTGGACTCTGCTTGGAAGCACCAGGATACTTTACTTCAAACTGATTTTCAGAGGGCACAGCCTCAAAGGGATCAGAGAAGGGTATAGAGAAAGTCACCTTGATCTGGTCCATGTCCCTCTACCTTTCCTTGCATGGGACAGCTGGACCCAGCAGAACTCAAGTTATTATAGGTAACTTTACTGTGATTTAAACCAGAAATGTCTAATGCATGAGAACTCCATTAGTTTACATTCTAGTTTTTGGGGGTGTACGGGAGAAAGTGAGACAGAAAGAGACAAGGCTTTGGGTTAAAAAAGTTTCTTTAATTTCTGACTCTGTCATTTACTACCCAAATTATTTAAGTTCTCTTAATACCATTTTTCTTATCTGTAAGAAAGAGTTAACAATTCTTACCTTGTAAGTATTTATTCATTAATTCATTAAGCATTTATTGGCATCTATTATATACAAAGAACTGTACATAATAGGTATTGTAATAATATAAGAATATGTATACATATGAATGTATATATGGCCTGACAATAGTTGTTCAATAAGTAGCAACTATTATTATTATTACCAGTGTGCATAAGTAATCAATAATAAGTATGTTGGAATGGTAGTAGTACAAATATCACATCAGTTAGCCTTCCAGCCATGATTCAAGAGTATTCCTGTGGAACTTTATCTGCCAGGGGGAAAGATTATTTTCCTCTCTAACTGAAAGCACTACGTCTTTCTGCAATGCTTATGTGACTTCAAACAACCTTGGTCAGCTGTATCCCAGAAGAAAATTAAGCTGGTTGCCCTGAATATCATTCCATTTCATGACGGTTGATATGGATTTGCTAATAATTTTCACCTGATAAAGAGGCAGTCAGTAGAAAATTAGAAATTTTAATGAAGATTCTTATTAGCTGTTCCTCACAAATATTGGGACTATAATCAACCCAAGATTCTTGGCAAAGCAATTCTCATTTCAATTCTCACAAGTAATTATTATTTAGTGTTTATATCGTTTTGTATTTTTTAAAATGTTTTCAATTACTTTTTTCATTATTCTTTGGGAAAAAAAAACCCAAACCATAAAACAAAACCCTTTGAGGTGTCTTAGCATGTTAATCTCCATTTCACAGATGGGGGAATATGGGACAGTTCCTAAGCAAATGCCAATATATCCTGTTATGCTAACAAAAATAGTGCAAAGTTCTCTCCTAATGGGTGGCTACAACCAGCATCTACTATTAAACAAGAAACATATTTAAACACACACACACACACACACACACACACACACACACACACACAAAGATACCCTTGGATCAATGCTTGTAATGCTCAGTGAGGAGAAAAGGCTCGCTGCATGACTTCTCTCCAGAAGATTTGTATATTCAATGAACTTGTAATGAAGATGGTGATTTCATCCCCTCTCTACTAGATTTCTGCCTTTAGAATCCCCATTTTCCTCCTTGCCTTCTTCTACTCTTCTAATTCAGTTTATCCATCAACTTTTGCTGTCTAACAACCACACAATTTCAGTTGCATGCAACCATAAGTATTTGTTTCTGGCTCATGTACCTGTAGGTTGGCAGGGCTGATTCTGCTCCATGCTGAAAAGATAGTATTTACATGGGGTCTGTTTTTCTATTAAGTGCAGTAGTATAAGCTTTATGCATAAGCACATTTTAAGCCATTTTTGATTGTACATCCCATTGGCCAAAGCAAGGCACATGGCCCCTCTCAAAGTTGAGGGGCAGGCAAGCTTATTCTACCCACCATAAGGCCATAGAAAAGGTTTTGGATATATTTTTGGTGGCTGCTGAAGGACAATAAAATTCCACAGACACAGGCAACATCTTCCTCTTTTCCTCTTGCCTCATCCTTTCTCTGACTTTCCCTTTAGAGTGTAACAGCATGTGCAAAACAGAGTCACAGTAAGATACAGTCCCAGCAAGACCATGATCCCCAGTGTCCAAATGTGATACCCAGAGAAGCGACCCAGAAATTTCTCATGGGTAGTAGATTTGTAACTGAAATACTTTAATTTTTTTACCTCTATATTTAAACACTGCAATGTGACTTTAAAGATCTCCTTGTCAAGAGGCAGAGTCCATTTCCCTACCTCTTGAGTCTGCACTGACTGGTGACTGACTTGCTTTGGCTAATAGTATGCAGTGGATGTGATGGTATGTCAATTCTGTGCCTAGTCATCAAGGGCTCTTGTGTGCTTTTGTTCTCTCTTTGCTACTACAAGGCGAATAAGCCTGATCTAGTTGGCTGAAAGGTGAGAAGACCATATGCAGCAGAGCTGAGACCTCCTAGCTGTCCTTGCTGGAGCCGTTACTGATCACCCAGTCCATAGCCAACCTACCAGCTAACTGCTTACAGGAGTGTGCTCAGATCAACAACCTGCCTGACTGACCTACAGATATATGAGACATAATACATGTGGGTTTTTTGTTTTCATTTTTTGTCACTTGAACCGCAGGAATTTTTTTTCTTTTTAAATTTCAACTTTTGTTTTAGATACAGGGTTACATGTGCAGGTTTGTTACACGGGCATAGTTTTTTTTTTTTTGAGACAGAGTCTCGGGCCAGGCTAGAGTGCAGTGGCCCGATCTTGGCTCACTGCAAGCTCCGCCTCCTGGGTTCAGGCCATTCTCCTGCCTCAGCCTCCTGAGTAGCTGGGACTATAGGCGCCTGCAACCACGCCCGGCTAATTTTTTGTATTTTTAGTAGAGACGGGGCTTCACTGTTAGCCAGGATGGTCTCGATCTCCTGACCTCGTGATCTGCCTGCCTCGGCCCCCCAAAGTGCTGGGATTACAGGCGTGAGCCACCGCGCCCAGCCTACATGGGCATATTGTGTGATGCTGAAGTGTGGGGTACTGATCTTGTCAGCAAGGTAGTGAGTACAGTACCGAATAGGTAGCTTTTTCTACTCATGTCCCCCTCTTTTCCTTCTCCCTCTAGTAGTCCACAGTGTCTCTTGTTCCTTTGTTTATGTCCATGTGTGTTCAATGTTTAGCTCCCACTTGTAAGTAAGAACATGTGGGATTTGATTTTCTGTTCCTGTGTTAATTCACTCAGGATTGTAGCCTCCAACTGCATCCATGTTGCTGCAGAACACATGATTTCATTCTTTTTTTAAATGGCAATGTAGGATTCCATTGTGTATATGTACCATATTTCCTTCATCCAATCCACCACTGATGGGCACCTAGGTTGATTCCATATCTTTGCCATTGTAAATAGTGCTCCAGTGAACATATGAGTGTATGTGTCTTTTTTTTTTTTTCCAGGGTCTTGCTCTGTTGCCCAGGCTGGAGTGCAATGGTGCAATCTTGGCTCACTGCAACCTCCACCTCCTGGGTTCAAGCGATTCTCTTTCCTCAGCCTCCCAAGTAGCATGAGCCACCACGCCCACCTAATTTTTGGCTTTTTTTTTTTTTTTTTTTTTTTTTTTTGAGACAGGGCCTTACTCTGTCGCCCAGGCTGGAGTGCAGTAATGTGATCTCGGCTCACTGCAAACTCCGCCTCCCAGGCTCAAGCAATTCTCCTACTCAGCCTCCTAAGTAGCTGGGATTACAGGTGCTACATCACCACTGCCTAGCTAATTTTTATATTTTTGGTAGAGATGGGGTTTCACCATGTTGGTCAGGCTGGTCTCAAACTCCAGACCTCAAGTGATCTGCCCGCCTCAGCCTCTCAAAGTTCTGGGATTACAGGCATGAGCCATCTAGCCTTGCCCAATTTTTGGCATTTTTACTAGAGATGAGGTTTCACCATGTTGGCCAGGCTGGTCTCAGACTCCTGGCCTCAAGTGATCTGCCTGCCTTGGCCTTCTAAAATGCTGGGATTACAGGCATTTGAGCCACTGCACCCAGCCAAGTACACAAGCCTTTTTGGTAGAATGATTTATTCTCCTTTGGGTATATACCCAGTAATGGGATTGTTGGCCATATTGCCCAAAGCAATTTATAGATTCAATGCTATTCTTGTCAAACTACCAATGTCATTCTTCACAGAATTAGAAAAAAAAAATTCTAAAATTTGTATGGAATCAAAAAGAACCTGAATAGCCAAACCAATCCTAAGCAAAAAGAACAAAGCCAGAAGCATCACACAATCCAACTTCAAACTATACTATAAGGCCACAGTAACCAAAACAGCATGGTACTAGTGTAAAAACAGGTACAAAAGTCAATGGAACAGGATACAAAAACTCAGAAATAAAGTGACACACCTACAACCATCTAATCTTTGACAAGGCTGACAAAAACAAGCAATGGGGAAAGGACTTCATAGTCAATAAATGGTGCTGGGATAACTAGCTAGCCATATGTAGAAGAATGAAACCGGACCCTTACCTTTTACTAAATACAAAAATTAATTCAAAATAGATTAAAGATTTAAATGTAAAACTCAAACTATAAAAATCCTGGAAGAAAACCTAGGAGATACCTTTCTTGACATCAGCCTTGGAAAAAAAATTTTGGTTACATCCCAAAAGCAATTGCAACAAAAACAAAAATTGACAAGTGGAATCTAATTAAACTAAAAAGCTTCTGCACAGCAAAATAAACTATCAACAGAGTAAACAGACAAGCTACAATATGGGAGAAAACATTCACAAACTATGCATCTGACAAAGGTCTAATATTCAAAATCTATAAAGAACTTAAACAAATCAACAAGCAAAAAATAACCCTTTTAAAGAATGGGCAAAGGGACATGAACAGACACTTGTCAAAAGAAGACGTACAAGCAGCCAAAAACATGAAAAAATGCTCATCATCACTAATCATCAGAGAAATGCAAGTCAAATCTACACTGAGATACTCACACCAGTCAGAATGGCTATTACTAAAAAGTCAAAAAACAGCAGATGCTGGTGAGGCTGCAGAGAAAAAGTAATGCTTATGCACTGTTGGTGGGAATATAAATTAGTTCAGCGACTGTGGAAAGCAATTTGTTTTGTTTTTAAGAGAGATAAGGTCTTCCTCTGCCACCCAGGCAGGAGTACAGTGGCACAATCATAGGTCATAGCAGACTTAAACTCCTGGGCTCAAGAGATGCTCCTGTCTCAGCCATCAGAGTAACTAGGATTGTAGGTGTGCACCAACCACCTGGCGTGTTGTTTGAAACCACTAAAGTTTAGGTGGTTTGTTAGGAAGATATACTAACAAAAATGATATGGAGAGGAGACAGGGAAATACTGGGTAGAAAAGGGTGGTTGCCTGGCAAAGGCCCCACCCTCAAGCCTGGATAACTGTGGCCCTAAGTGAGAACAGGCATTCCTGTTTTAATGCCCCCAAAGTTGCTTTTTGGCCTGCCATGCCCCCATCCTGTACCCATATAAAACCCTGAACTCCAGGCTCCAGAAGCAGACAAGGAGATGAGGGGATGAATAGATGAACAGCAGAATGGTGAGGCAGAGAAGGAGAGAAAAGAAGGAATGTTGGGAGGAATTTGGCTGGGGATGGTCAGAGAATTGGCCACTGGATGGCCAAACTCCAGGGAAAGATCATCTTCCCACTCCATCCCCTGTCCAGCTCCCCATCAATCCTGCTGAGAGCCACCTCCACCACTCAATAAAACCTCCGTATTTATCCTTCAAGTCTGTGTGTGACCTGATTCTTCCGGGATGCTGCACAAGAGCTCCTGATACAGAAAGCTGTCATACTGGCCCCCTCCCTTTGCAAAAAGGCAGAGGATCCAATGAGCTGGTTAACCCTTAGGCCATCCGCAGATGGTAAGGCTAAAAGAGTGCACTGTAACACGTGCCCACTTGGGCTTTGGGAGTGGCAGACACCTACCCCTATAAGCTGCTGTGGGGCCAGAGCCCCAGATCACTTGCCCTGGTTCCTGCACCTGACCATCTTCATGCTCTCCCTTCTGTAAGGAGTTTGAGCTTGTGGTAGCCAAACAGAGTCACGTCCCTGTCGCATGTCCTGTGAAGGGTTGGGGGCAGGGAACTCTCCCACTTCAAAAACAGCCTGGAAGTTCCCACCTTGGGCTGCCTAGAACCATAGTATCATCTTCCCAGATCTTGCATATTCTTGGGGCAGGCTAGAGGTAATGAAAAGATGCCTCCAAGATGCCTCCCCAAACCTGCATCTCCACTTTTCACATCTCCTGACTTTTCTACAGTTAAGCATTTAGAGTGGGTAGGCATTTCTTTAGGAAGATTATGTGATTCTAATTGATTTTGGAGCATGTGATTACGACACAATAGAAAGGAAAGCAAAGCACAGTGTTTTCTGTTCAAGCTGTCAGATGCATTCCAATTTCTGTAACAATGGTAATTAATCTTAGCCGGGTAGAAAATTCATTTTCTTTGAGGAATCAGTGAACTATAGAGAAATTTGTCAGTAACCATTGTTTGGGATTTTAGTTGCCATGCAGGAGGCACAATAATTTTACACTGACAGCTAATATACCGAGAAACCAACCCAAAATGGAGAAAGTGATTTGGCATTATTGTGTATTTCTGGAAATATGTGATAATGGGGCTGAAATCAAATAAAGCAGTAAGAAGCCTGATATCAAAGCTTTACTTTCTTCTCCTCTATTTTGTCAGCACTAAAATGCAATATAAAAACAGAAATGTAAAGAGATGAGTGTGGTGTTCAAACTTTTTACAATTATCAAACATATTTAAGAGCAAGACCTTTGGGGTTTGAGGAAAACATTACTTGATGGAAGTGTCAGGAGTATGGCACATATTTCAGTTACTCTATAATTCACCTGTAAATTTTCTGTGGTTTAGTGTTCTGTTATCAGTATTTTTGTCTGCTCATAACTGAACTCAAATAGATTACTTTCACATTTGTGGGTGTGTGTCACTAGTTTTATGTTTACTAGTTTTATGATGCACTATTGTAGTTGAACTCTGGTACTGGTTTTAATTAGTCTATCAAAGCAACGGGGAATGTATGACAAGTCAAATCTGTATAAAATAAGGATATAACAGAATGTTTTATACTGTTTTTATATACACTGATGAAGCTATTCATCTATTTTGAAAAAGTTTCTCAGTTCTGATGGTAGATTTGCACCATTCCATTCACACTTTGCTTCATGTCCCTGCAAAGGGGCAGAGATATTATTCCCCTTTGTGATATCATGGTCTAGCATATGTAAGCACATTTTGGGGTCATATCAGTCATTTTTGGGTGACAAGGGTATCAGTTTCCAGCAAGCTTCTTTGTGCTGGCAAAGAGAACATGAGGGATCCAGCCTTTCTTTCCCTACTGAGCCTTGCTTGTAAGTTTCCCCAGTATAAAGCCTTTGCCTCCCAATATTTCATGTGATGATTTGTAATTCTTTCTGAGCCCTGGAGCTTAACAGGGAGTTGATCACAAAGGGACTCACCCTGCATGACAATACATTTTCAAATGACTCATTAAGGGAAGAAAATTAATATTGCTACCAAGAAGGTGAGTGCAGCAATTTTTGTCTGTTTTATTTATTGCTCTATCTCGAGCACCTAGAACAGCACCTGACATAGTAGTTGAAGTTCAATAAATGTCTGTTCAAGAAGTGAAAAGAAATTAGTAACGGACAGAGACCAAGAGATTTAGATGACTTCTCATACCAGCAAAAAAAAAACGCTTAGTAGTTTCCTTTTCTTTAGATTCCCTGGCAGAAGACTACTGCCTTGAGAGAAAGGGTTACTTATCAATTCTGAAGATAAAGTGTGTTTTATGCTTTCCGTCATCTTCCATTTATCTAAATCCCTTCCTCTATTCCAACCTGTCTGTTAGGGTTCAGATCAAGTTCAACTCCAAAGCCAGCATGAGATCTTTTATAATTACCCTTCACTAATGATCTTCTTCTTATCCAAATACTCGGGATCCCTTATGATTACTCTCTTATTAGAACACATGTGGCCAGATATGTCTGTGGAGTCATACAAAGCTTGATATGCCTGTCATGCAAATGGACAGAGATGTTCAGTAAAAAATTCTATATACGTAGTAGAATTCATGAGGGAGACCTGGGCTGGAGATACAAATGTGGAAGTCATTAATATATGGGTAGTTATGAAAGTCACAGAGCATGAGATTACTCAGGGAGAAAGTCTAGAATGAGACGAGTCAAGAGTAAAGTAACACTTTTCAAAGCTGCTTGTGCACACAAATCACCTGAGTATCTTGTTAAAATGCAGATTTTGATCCAGAAGTTCTGGGGTGAGGCCCGGGATTCTGAATTTGCATCACGCTCCCAGATAGTGAAGCTGCTTTTGCTTATTTACAGTCCACACTTGGAAAACCAAAGAGGTAGATGATTGAAACTTGAGTAACAACACCATTTAAATAATAGGCAAAAGGAAAAAAGCTACAAAGAGATTGTTAAAAAGTGGCAGAGATGGAAGAAGTCAAGAGAGATATTGGTGTCACAGAGTCAATGGTGGGAAGATTTTCAAGACAGA
This sequence comes from Homo sapiens, assembly GCF_000001405.40. Classification (NCBI taxonomy): domain Eukaryota; kingdom Metazoa; phylum Chordata; class Mammalia; order Primates; family Hominidae; genus Homo; species Homo sapiens. Next base: position 25,818,911 of record NC_000003.12, read on the forward strand.
GGATGTGCCCAACTCTGAGATGCTGCTGAGAAACAGGAAGTTAAAGATAGAACAGGCTCTGTTGGATTTTTCAGGAGAAAGTATCTGATTATTTAGTGCAGTTTTAATGGAGTAAGGAGGATAGATTGCTTCAGTGAAAAATGCAGAGAAGGCAAGCAGTAGCAATAAATGGATGTGGATAACTTTCAAGCAAGAGAAATTTGAGCATGTTTATATACTGAAGAGAAAGAGGAAGTAGAGAAGAAAAGGTTGAATATACAAGAGGTGGAGTAGTTGATGGAGCAATTTCGAAGAAAATGGGAGGTGACTGGAATGAGACTCAGACAATAAGCAAAAATGATGGGTCAAGAGTATCTATGTTTGAAGGTTGAATTAGGAAACAGAATTTTGGTGAAATGCAATTCTTACTTGAGGTTTCCATTTCTCTGGGAAGAAAGACTAGGGTTGCTCATGGAAAAATGATCTTTTAAAAAAGGTTGTATACAAAGGTAGTGGCTTAAGGAACATGATGAAGATGTAAGTAGCTATTGAGGAAAACAGGAAAGGGTATTGATCAGGGACAGGATTTCTGACTAGTACTGAGTTTCCACTTGAGGTTTAAAGCCTCGAATTTGTGATGGTACCAGTGCTCATGGTTATGTTATTTTCTCTGAGAGAGCTCAATAACCTGAGTGTAGGTGCTGAGTAGGAATTTATATTTGTGTTTTCACAGGGTAGGTAGGCATAATAGTCCACAAGAAGTGTCTGAGATTCTTGGCACACAGGCTTGGGTGCACCCATATTCACCTGTAATAATGGAACTTGCCATTTAAATCCCCAGGATGGAATTTTTACCCTGCTTATTGTACCAGTAAGTGGGGTTTTGGATGTAGGGGATCACTCTGGTTGCTAGCCCAAAAAGATATTAGGGAACTGCCATCAAAAATTACAAACCAAGATGTTTTATTTTCCAGATTATTACTGTTCAATATGGCAGCCACTAGCTAGCCACATGTGGCTACTGATAATTTGAGCATTTGAAATGTGGGTAGTCTGAATGGAGATGAGCTATAAGTTAGTATGAAATACATGTAGGCTTTCAAGACTTAGTACTAATACAAGTAAGTTAAGTATCTCACTAATAACTTAAAAATAGTGATTACATGTTGAAATGGTAAGATTTGGGGTTTATTTAGATTAAATAAAATACATTGTAAATTTTTTTCACTTTATTTTACTTTCTGAAATGTGGCTACTGGAGAATTTAAAATTACATATAAGGCTTATATGATATTTTGATATTGCTGTTACACATTCTTCTCTTCTTTGGGTCAATTATTTTTTACTCTCAATTACTCTTTACTTCTCTTTGTTATGTTAATCATTGTTTCAATGGCATAATTAATCCAAATCTTTTCTTTCTACCCCAAGTCAGATTATAGCTGAATTCACCATCTACTTTTTGTTTGCTACCATTTGGAGGAGGAGTTAAAGCAATTTGGAGCAGCAATCCAAGGAGCATCCTTGCATTAACTAGTGCATATTTGTCAGAAGTCATCTGAATTGGCAACCTGCCAGTTATGCAAAAGCTAAAAGCCTGACCCAAACAATGAAACTAGTTTTTTTCCTGTGTGCTGAGCTCATTCACTTAGAATGAAAATGGATTTCTCCTAACATTCATATAGTAAGCCAAAAGAAGGATTCTGACTGGCCCTGCTTAGGTCACATGCACATTCCTGAAGCAATCACTGGGGTCAGTAGTATGTGGCACTTGACTGACTCAGTTTGGGTCATCTGCCAACCCTGTGGCTAGTGGAAAGTTTGTTAACAAAAAGAACAGAGGAAAGTGTGTATACAGAGCAGATGAAAATAGTGGTCACTGCAGGCTACTCTAACCAGCCTGAAGTCTTCAAGCCTGAGCCTCTTAGTTCAGGGGAAGATTGAGCTCTCTCTCTCTCTCTCTCTCTCTGTCTCTCTCTCTCTCTCAACTCGTTTGGTTTGTATGTCTGAGTTCAAGTAGTTTGGGATCACCCACACAAATATGTGCATCTGAGAGGAACAAATCATCCTGAATCGTAGACTAGACAACCGGAAAATAGGCCACTTATGCCTTTCCTGAATCATTTGCTGTACTTAACAGTTTATTCTATAGTATTTGCATGACTTCACTTGATAAAGGCCTATCTGTAAATGCTGAGTAATTATATTGCTACTGTAGGTGACTAAGCCATTACCCACAGTAAGTTAGTTACGGCAGGTTGGTGTACAACCTGTGATAGAAAAAGACCCTTCACAGTTATCCTGTAATTAGTACATATTTGCTATAACTATTCCAGAAAAATGTCTCCTGGCCATCTTTAAGGAGAATAAAATCTCTATTATTCAAAATAATGCTGAAATCATCAAAAACTTAATTCTTGGAGTTGGTCAAATGAGGTTCTGGGAGTTCACTTTGAAAGGAACATAATCTAGAGATATGTGAAATTTAATAATTGTTCATCAGGAGATTTTGCTTTTCATTTATGGTTTTGCTTTTATGGTATGCTTTTCTTTACTTGTTGATTCTGGGATTTGAGGAAATAATCCATTAACAGTGGTTGAAAACGTGAGAATATCTTTTGCTTTGATTTGTAGATAAATTAATTTTCATAGCCATTTACTGTCCTCAATGTTTTTCCCATTCATTACACCAATGCTGTGAGGAAGGTCTTGATAGAGAGTGGAGAATCAGAGATAACAGCTACACATGACAGGATATTTGGTGAATGGTGACTAAACAATAAAGAATTTCACATAAAAAGAAGACTGGGCTAAGCACGGTGGCTCACGCCTGTAATCCCAGCATTTTGGGAGGCCGAGGCAGGCGGATCGCTTGAGCTCAGGAGTTTGGGACCCACTTGAACAGCATAGTGAGACCTCATCTCTACAAAAACTTAAAAATTAGCTGGGTGTAATGGTGCATAGTTTCAGAACAATAGAAGCATGATTTCCCCAGCTAAGCTGATTCAATAAAGTTCTGACTAAATCAGAGCCACCTGCTCAACTCACAGCCACTTGATCACAGAACTATGGGGCTAACCCACAGGCAGGTTAAGACTAAACACTTGTTTTTGTATGTCATTGAGGATTTGTGGTTGTTTGCTACACAGCATTAATGTGGAAATAGGCAACTGATACAGTGGAATTTAACCATTTTTTAAATTGGTACTTGTATTAATTTGTAGTTTTTAAAGCCTTGGTATATTTTTTCTGGATATTATTTGAGGTAACAAATGCAGTCGTGCTGAAGTGACAATACACATTAAAATTGGATAAAAGAACAAACAAACAAGCAAAAACCTACTTACTAGTTTATTTCTTTTCTCCTCTCCCTCCCTTTCTTTCTTCTCTTCTTCCCTTCCCTTCTTTCCCTTCCCTTCCTCCTTCCCTACCTCCCTCTCTCCCTCTCTCCTCCTTGATAGTTTCTAAACCTGATTTCTAACTTTGCTTTTTGCATTTATCTTGGCTTTAAATACATATACGAAAATATTTTCAATAGTGAAAAAGAAGGCAAGTAATTATCCATTTACAGAAAGAAAATGGAAAAGTTAAATTACTAAAACCAAGGGCAAATTACCAAATTAGTGGACCAAATTTATTTGTAAAGTTAACTTGAAAGATGTTAATTTTCTTGCATTTTTTATCAGCTTCTTCAATCTTTCAAATGCTGTGTGATTTAAGTTTCTGACCACGATGAGCATTATTCTCAATACATTTAGGGTCATGGCTCTGGATTTTATTTTTAATAATTGCTAAAACTCTTATTTGCCAATACCAAGGTTCTTTATTGGTCTGGCCTCACTTTTCTAGCTCTGCAACTATTGGTCCATATTAATATTTCTGCTGAATGTATTCTATGAATAGAAGTTTTCGTCCATTCTCACTTTAGACTTTAAAATGAGATAGTTAGTTCCTATAAGTTAAGCAGGATTGAATTTCATTGCATATTCAATCTAATTATCTTAGAAATCCAGAGATAATCCTCAAACCTCATTTAAATGATTAGTATCCCTGTTTCCTATAACAAGCCTTCCACTCAGAATTGTAATAAAGGAATAAGATGGACATTTTAAGGTTTTGCCTCCTTTCTCCTCGAAGTCATCACTTTTTTACTCTTTGAATTTATCAGTCCTACTTCCTGACTTCTTTACCTTCCCTATCCAGTCTGACTCTCATGATCCACCCTTCAGCCATATTTCTCACATCACTAACTTCCTTCATCTGTTTATCCTTCTACTGCACCTACCATGACAGCCCTGAACCCAGAGTAACCCAGCTCTTCATAGGAGGATCTCATTGAAGGGCACATCTACCAGTCTCTTCAGGCCCTGGCTTTACTCTTACACCCAGCACTATTGACAGATGACTGGTTTTGGAGAGAAAAACAGCAATCATCAGAGCAGATATCCCTCAACATTTTTTGTTTCTAATCTTCATGGCTCTAGACTTTCTTCCTCTCATCCAGCTTCTATAATGCATTGGTTATTTTTCTAAACATGATCACACTGATTAAAAATACTCAGTGGAACTCTTCTGCCTATAAATTCTAAGCATGGCATCCAAGGCTTTCGCAATCTAGTGGCCGCCTATTGTGTAGCTTTATTTTCTGCCTCTCAGCCAAGAGGTACTGAAAGGTAATTGGAAACTAGAAGTAACTGAAGGGGCAATCAGAGTAGAGCTGGCTGTCAGTAAAGGTCAGGTGAATGTGACGGTTTGTAAGATCCCAGGCAGGTGCCATGTTCTAGGGGGCTCCACTCTGGAGGAATAAAGAAACAGTTTGAAAGTGTAGGGAAGTATCTTGGGCTTGGCTTCCCTTAAAGCAGAGCTTGAGATATAAACTTGTGTGAAATCTGTTTATTTGGAAATATAATCCCAGGAAGCAGGGGTGGAGGATGGAGGAATGCAACAGGGAAGGAGGAAAGCCAGTACAAGGAGTCATTATTGGGTTGGCCCAGTGCTGTAAGTGTCTAGTTTTGGATCCAGCAGTACCTTGTGAGGAGTCTTATAAAATAAACTGTTTGCTTGGGAAATGCCAGAAAAGAGACTTTACTCATTGGCTTCTGTGCCCCATGGTCAAGGATGGCCTCACTAATGTTGACCCCTCTGTATACCTGGGCTAAGAATGCATGAATTCCATTTAAATTGGAAAAGAAGAAGCCAAATGGTCTCTCTTCACTGACAATAAAATTCTACCCAGAGAAAACCCCAAAGATTCTGCCAAAAGTCTACAGAACTCATGAACAATGTTAGTAAGGTTTCAGGATACAAGATCAATGTGTAAAAATCAGTAGCATTTCTATATACCAATAACGTTCAGGCTGAGAGTCAAATCAAGACCATAATCTGATTTACAATAGCCACAAAGAAAATGAAATACCCAGGAATACAGCTAACCAAGGAGGTAAAAGATCTCTACAAAGAGAACTACAAAACTCTTCTGAAATAAATCAGAGACAACACAAATAGATGGGAAAATATCCCATGCTTATGGATTGGAAGTCAATTTTTTTTTTTTTTTTTTTTTGAGACAGAGTCTTGCCCTGTCACCCAGGCTAGAGTGCAGTGGCGCAATGTCGGCTCACTGCAGCCTCCACTTCCCTGGTTCAAGCAATTCCCCTGCCTTAGCCTCCTGAGTACCTGGGATTACAGGCACGTGCCACCATGCCTGGCCAATTTTCTTGTATTTTTAGTAGAGATGGGGTTTCATCATGTTGGCCAGACTGGTCTCGAACTCCTGATCTCAGGCAATCCATCTGCCTCGGCCTCCCAAAGTGCTGGGATTACAGTCATGAGCCACTGTGCCCAGGCCTGCAAGTCAATATTGTTAAAATGGCCATAGTGCCCAAAGCAATTTGAAGATTTCTCAAATAACTTAAAACAGCTACCAGATGCAACATTATTCCTATCAAAGCACCAATGTTGTTCTTCACAAAACTAGAAAAAACTATTCTAAAATTCATATGGAACTAAAAAAGAGCCTGAATAGCCAAAGCAATTCTAAGCAAAAAGACCAAAGCTAGAGGCATCACACTACCCAACTTGAAAGTATACTATAAGGTTACAGTAACCAAAACGGCATGGTACTGATACAAAAACAGACACATAGACCAATGGAACAGGATGGAAAAGTCAGAAATAAAGCTGTGCACTTACAATTATCTGACCTTCAACAAGGCTGATGAAAATAAGCAATGGGGAAAGGACTCACTATTCAATAAATGGTGCTTGGATAATTGGCTAGCCATACGCAGAAGAATGAAACTGGACCCTTCCCTTTCACCATATACAAAAACTAACTCAAGATGAAATAAGAATTTAAATGTAAGACCTCAAGCTACAAAAATCCTAGAAGAAAACCTAGGAAATACCCTTCTTGACATCAGCCTTGGCAAGAATTTTTGGCTAAGTCCCCAAAAGCAATTGCAACAAAAAATAAACACTGACAAATGGGACCCAATTAAACTGAAGAGGTCTACACAGCAAAAGAAAGTATCAACAGAGTGAGCAGGATGAAAGAAAATATTTGCAAACTATGCACCTGACAAAGGTCTAATAACCAGAGTCTATAAGGAATTTAAACAAATCAAGCAAAAAACAAGCAACCTCGTTAAAAAACGGGCAAAGGAGATGAACAGACACTTCTCAAAAGAAGACATAGAAGTGGCCAACAAACATTAAAAAAATGCTCATCTTAACTAATCATCAGATAAATGCAAATCAAAACCATGAGATACCATCTCATACCAGTCAGAATGGCTATGATTAAAAAGTAAAAAAATAGCAGATGCTGGTGAGACTGCACAGAAAAGGGAACACTTTTACACTGTTGGTAGAATGTGAATTAGTTCAGCCACTGTGGAAAGCAGTTTAGAGATTTCTCAAAGGACTTAAAATGGGGCTACCATTTGACCCAGCAATCCCATTACTGGGTATATTTCTGAAGTAATATACATAATTATAGCAAAAAGACACATACACTCATTATGTTTATCACTATACTATTCACAATAGCAAAGATATGGAATCAACCTAGGTGCCCATCAATGGTGAATTGAATAAAGAAGAAGTGGTAGATATACACCATGAAATACTATTCAGCCATAACAGAGAATGAAATCATGTCTTTTGGAGCAATATGGAAGGAGCTGGAGGCCATAATCCTAAGTGAATTAATGCAGGGAAATACTGCATGTTCTCACTTATAAGTGGCAGCTAAACATTCAGCACACATGGACATAAACATGAGAATAACAGACACTGTGTACTACTAGAGGAAGGAGGAAGGAAGGGGGTTGTGGGTTGAAAAACTACCTATGGGGCATGATGCTCACTATCTGGTTGCAATATACCCATGTAACAAACCTGCACATGTACCCCCGTATCTAAAAGAAAAGTCTAAATTAAAAAAAAAAGAATGTGTGAATTCCAGGTGATTTGGAAGACATCTTGGGCTAGCTTCAAAGGAATCTCTTGGCAGAAAGCAAGAGGTATGCAGTCTGGCTTAAGGCAAGATATAATCCATTTGCTCTGGCACAAGAAAGATCAAAGACTGCATAAAACTGAAGCAATGGCTAGAGTAAGAGATGGAGCCAAGAACATTTTGAAATGTGTACAAGATGGATCTGATTCAGGAGGCGACATACTAAGCCAGAGTCATTGAGGAAAATACACCTGAGACAATGAGAAGTCAAGCAGGACACAGCTAAGGCCTCTTCTCGAAACCTTGCTATGGCTCCCTGTTTCTCTCATCTTAATAACCAAAGTGTTTCCTTCCCTGACCTTATCTCATTTCCTGCTCTGTACCAACACACACATTGCCACCACACTGTGGCTTCTGCCTTAGGAAATTTGCACAGGCTCTTCCTGGAGCAGGCAGGCTCTGCCTGGAGCAATCCTTATCTTTTTTTTTTTTTTTTTTGGGAAGGAGACTTGCTCTGTCACCCAGGCTGGAGTGCAATGGTGCAGTCTTGGCTCACTGCAACCTCCGCCTCCTGGGTTCAAGAGATTCTCCTGCCTTAGCCCCCTGAGTAGCTGAGATTACAGGCATGCACCACCACACCTGGCTAATTTTGTATTTTTAGTAGAGAGGGGGTTTCACCATGTTGGCCAGGCTGGTCTTGAACTCCTGGTCTCAGGTGATCTGCCCACCTTGCCTCCTAAAGTGTTGGGATTACAGGTGTGAACCACTGTGCCTGGCCTGGAGCAACCTTATTTAATGATGAGTGTTACAGCCCTAGAGGTCTAACTCTTCTTTCTTTAGTGTCTTTGTTCCATGCCATTCTCTCAGAGGCTTACCTGATGACTTCATTAAAAATGCCACCCTGTTAGACTCCTAATGCTCCTCAGCTTTTCTTTCTCCCACAGCACTCCACCACCTTCCAACGGACTATAAAATCTATTTCCTTATTAAGTTTATTATTTATTTTTCTCTCACCCTTTGCAGAAGGCAAGATCCAGAAGAGCTGGCATTTTTGACTAGTTTGTGGTGAATGTATCCCAAGTACCTGCAACAGTGACTGGCTTATAGTGGGTGCTAAAAATTGTTTGATTTTTCAACAAGAAAATGCAACAGCAATGCTATTATGGAAGCACTGAAGTGAACTCTGCTTTTAGGGAAGGGCTCACAGTTATTCCCTTTTGTGCTTTTTAGGGCCCATACTGTCTGCAATCCAGTTAGTAGGAATACCAGCTGCCTGCTTCTAATTGGAGCAGGTTCGGAGATGGGGTAGCATTATAACCATGACATTTTTTATATTGAAATTCAAGACTGAGCAGTGGTGAAGACCAAGTGGTTTGTCATCCCAACATATTTACATATGATGAACCACAGCTGAGAGACTTTGAAATGAAGGCAAAATTTGTTCCAGAAAGGAAACTAACCATGATATGATTAGTATATATTTATTTAATATATAAATATATTATGATATCTTATATTTATATAATATTTTAACTTACTGTATATCATCTAAGCAGTAGAACAATTACTTGTGGTAGGTAGAGATTAAGATTTCCACTTTAGAAAGAAATGTTTATTGATATATTTGCAGTTTTGAAAAACAAACTGAGCTAAATTCAGGTAACATAAAAAAAAACATTTAAAGCTTACAATTCAGTGGCATGTAGTATACGCATAAACATTTACAACTATAGCTTTTGTCTAGTTCCCAAAGATTTTTACCACTTCAAAGGGAAACCCTATACTCATTAAGCAGTCACTCTCCATTACGCTTGTCCCAAAGCCCCTGGAAACCACTAATCTGCTCTATGTCTTTATGGATTTACCTATTCCTGATGTCATATACATGAAATCATATGATAGGCAAATTTTTGTGTGTGGTCTCTCATTCAGCATACTGTTTCCAAGGTTCATCCAGGTTGTAGCATGTATCAGTATTTCATTCCTACTTATGATCGAATAATTTTCTATTGTGTGATCTACCACATTTTCTTTATCCATTCATCATTTGATAGACATTTGGATTGTTTCTACTTTTTGGCTATTATGAGTAGTGCTACTATGACCATTTGCATACAGGTTTTTGTTTGAACGCCTCTTTCAATTCTTTTGAGTATATATCTAGGAGTGGAATGTATATTTATGTTTACTCACTTTATTCTGGAAGCATATTTCCTGTAAGATACAAATATTTATTGAGGTGGTATTACATATATTAGGTAAATTGGATATTAAATAACATTAAGAAAAGTAAAAATATGGATAAGAAAAGAATATTGAGATGAAAAAGTGAAAATTTCAAATGAAAATATGTAAGCCACACATTCCACATGCTTGCTGCAATTAGATTAAGAATTTGATTTGTAGGCATCTGGTAGATGCTGAAGGCTTTTCTAAGTAAGAAACAAAACCCAGAAGTAAAATGCTTCTGCCAGACATGAAACCTAAAAGACAGGTTTGACTGCATAAAAATGAAGAGTTTCTGTACACTAAAAGGAAAAAAAGCCAGAAGATAACTAAGAAACTGGAAGGAACTAGTTGCAATATTGGTAACAAAAGGTCAACACAATATGTAAATGGTACTGATAAATCGCTTAAAAATACAATGGAATATATTACATCAAAGTGCAAGTAGATTTTTTTTTTAATAAAAAAAGGCTTTTTTGGGGGGAGGAATCTAATAGATTGGAAAAAATGTAAAAGGATAGATAACATTTAGTCTTGCTAGGGGTGTAGGGAACAGGTCAATGTAAATCAATGTCATTAAAAGAAAATGTGGTACGTAGACACCATGAAATACTATGCAGCCATAAAAAAGAACGAGATCATGTCTTCTGCGGGAACATGGAGGGAGCTGGGAGCTATTATCCTTAGCAAACTAACACAGGAACAGAAAACCAAATACCACATGTTCTCACTTATAAGTGGGAGCTAAATAATGAGAATTCATGAACACAAAGAAAGAAACAAAAGATACTGGGGTCTACTTGAGGGTGGAGGGTGGGAGGAGGAAGAGGAGCAGAAAATATAAATATTGGGTACTGGGCTTAATATCTGGGTGATGAAATAATCTGTACAACAAACCCTTATGACATGAATTTATCTATATAACTCATACTCCCAAATCTAAAATAAAAATTTTTTTAAAAGAGCGTATATTGGTAAACCTTTCTTGGGATTGCTATGGTTTGAATGTTTGGCTCCTCCAAAGTTCATGTCAAAACTGAACCCCCAGTGTAACAGTATTAGGAAGCGGGGCCTGTAAGAGGTGACTGGGTCTGAGGTCTCTGTTCTAATGAATGAATTAATACATTCATGGATTAATGGATTAACAGGTTATCACAGGAATGGGTTAGTTATAAGAATGAGCCTGTTATAAAAGTTAGTTTGGCTCTCAGTGTACCCGTCATGCCCTGTGATGCCTTCTGCCATGTTATAACACAGCATGAGGCCCTCACCAGACGCTGATAAGATGTGGCTCCTGATCGTAGACTTCCCAGCCTCCAGAATTGTAAGAAATAAAACTCTTTTCTTTATAAGTTACCTAGCCTTAGGTAGTATATTATAGTGACAGAAAATGGATGAAGACATAGGGAAACTGATAGCATGGTATTAGTGGAAGAATAGACATATAAGATTGGCATAGATCAATGGAATAGACTAAGGAACCCAGAAATAGACCCACATAGATCTTTGACAAAGGAGCAAAGGCAATTCAATAGGGGAAGATTAACCTTTTCAACAAATGGTACTGGAACCATTGTAAAATTTATATGCAAAAAAATGAACCTAAACACAGACCTTACACCTTTGACACATATTAACCAATTGTAGTGTTAACACTAGGGGGGAAAAGTCCTGAAAACACTAGGGATAAAAAAAAAATCCAAAAACCTAACAGTGATAAATCATAGACTATCTACAAAAGAAAGAAAAACAGAATGATATCAGACTTCTCATCAGCAACACTTGATGCATAAAACAAATACGGAATACAGTCAGAATCAATGGGAAAGTTCTCTGGACAGAAAGAAAATGATACCAATAGAACTTGTATATATGGCATCGAGCTATGAGAAGTATTGCATTGTTTAGCTTTGAAGTCTATACTTGAACCCAGAGAGAAAACTAGAATTTAACCTAAGTCTGGGGATGGGTATACAGTAACATTTTAAGAAAGAGAAATGAAACCAGGGCATGCTCTGGGCAAAATGACTAGTGCATTCAGTCCTGGCTAAGCTTAATTAAGTAATGTGAGTTTGGATACCTATAATTTTCTCAGCTGCATATTTATTCTCTTTACACCAATTGTGGCAGAGCAGTTATCAAACATACTCATTGAATCTCTGTGACATACTTTACTTTCTATAGAGCCTCTGGCAGCTGTCAGAGTTTACTTTACAGAAAGCCCCCCGGTCAGTGTGATAGTTCAGAGCATGACAGCTCCTTCTGCCGTAAGACATGATTTGAATAGAAAGCTTTTGCTCAGAAACAATGTAGTTTAGCCTAGTCAGTTAATCAAAAAGCATAATGCTAGGAGAGGCAATTTCATCATGTGGAAAACTTTTGATGCATTATCTCATCTACTCGCCAAATGCAGTCTTCCAGTGAAAATCACCCCATATACTACCAGATGGAATTTTATGCAAGCACATGTAGAAGTGTGCCAGGATAGTAAAAGGAGAAATTTCAAAGCACAGCTGCCAGCTCTGCCTAACATAGGACTGGAAGAACCAAATTTATAAGCGGGTGCTTGCCAGACAGCAGACCTCTCAGTTAAGCCAATTATGTAAATGGGCCTTGAAGAATGATTTGTACCAGGAACAGTTTCAGATGAAAGCCCTGCTCTTGTAAAGCCTTATCCTGGGTCTAGACTGTTTTAATATTTTTGCTTTCTCTCCAGTTTTGATTTGATTTGATTTTCCTGACTTGTGGAGAAGCTTTCCCTCATCAAGCAACTGTGGGCATGCAGAGTAAGACCTTTGTTAAATGGATAACTTTCAGGAGGACACAGAATCAGCAGAAACAATGGAATTTTCATTACTGTGGCATATTTTTAAGGTTAAAAAGGTAAGAATTCTCAAGAATTGATTAAATAAATTTTAAAGCAAAGAATCATCATGAACAGTGTTTTGTTTTCTGGTTTACTTGAAGCCAAAACAAATCCCAGGATACGATGATCATGAAACATTCCATTGAGACTGTAAACAAATTCCCTGTTTTTGTGTCTAGAAGTTATCTTGGCACCCCAGTCATTGAAATAGACTGATCTTTATGATAGAAGAGAAATACAAATTCTAGAGAAGAGTTGGGACTAAAGAAGAAAAAAAAATGTGTGCTTAACTTCAGGAGCTCCATCTTCAGGAATGAAAGGGGAAGGCGAGCAGAAAGCTGTACAAATTTTCAGACTGTGCTTGGTGCATTGTTCTTCTCAAGTCTCTCAACGGTTCAGAGGAGGCTTCCCGTTTGCCCAGGCAGCTGCCCTTACCACAGTGTCAATCAAATCAGCTCAGCTGTAGCTCCTGTCCAAAGTTTCATTTGGAGAAAGAGCTGCTTGCCTAAAAAAAATGAGGGAGCATCACTGCCTAGACTGAGAACGACTTTAGGAACCTTAGTTCGGGGGCCACATGGTTGCTCGATTTTGTAAAAAACATTTGTTTCCAAATATGTGTAATTTTATGATTCCCTTTTCTCTTTTCCCAGGTGTTTAGCAATAAAATTCCACTGAACTACAGTTGTATTTAACTGCTCTTCTCCAGGAATACCAAAGGAAACATAAAAAATAGAATGGGTAGGTACAGCTATCAAACTACTAGAAACAATAACATAATTTATTAAGGTGCCCAATTATAAGTTAATATACAAAATCAGAAGATTTCTTACATGAAGAGTAAGAGGTTTTATATAAGCTATACAGAAATTTATGTAGGGAATTTAATGGAAGAAAATCTTCCATTCATATTGGCATCACAAAATAAAATATCCAGAAACAAACTTGACCAAAAATGTAAAGGGCCTTTTGGAAGAAAACTGTAAACTCCACTGTGGGGCCATTAAAGAAGTCTTGAATACATAGATTAAATCCCTTGGTTTGAGATAATAAAACTCTCAATATTTACCATGCTTTTGTCATTTAAATACAAATTGTGGACATTTTTACCAGGGCAACAGATGAGTTACAACCATCCTTTTATCAGTTGCACAGAATCTTATTGAATGGGTATATCCTACTTATGTCAGTTCTTAGTAGTGAATATTAGGTTGTTTCTAATTTTTCCATATTAGAAACAATGTTAAAAGAACTTGCTCTTATTTGTGTTTCTTATGTCTACACTAGTATTCAATACCTTTCTAGGAGTGGAAATTCCTGGCTCAAACAAACTGCCTTCCAAGAAGATTTACTAATATACATTCCTACTAATGCTGTTTTAGAATGCCTTTTTCTCCATATTCCTATGAACACTGAGTGTTCTCTTTTTAACACTTTTTTTCCTCAATCTACTAGACTCCTTCTAAAATATATACTTTTCAAAACGCCTGCTTACCCTTCAATATATTGTCTTTTAAAAGATTATTTGTAGGTACTGTTTATGTGTTAGGTTGGTGGAAAATTAATTGTGATTTTGCAAAAACTGCAATTACTTTTGCACCAACCTAATATTATACATGTAGACCTTGTGTTACCCATATTGCAGATATTTCCTTCGAGTTTTCTTGTTATCTTTTTTTTTATTACACTTTAAGTTTTAGGGTACATGTGCACAGTGTGCAGGTTTGTTACATATGTATACATGTGCCATGTTGCTGTGCTGCACCCATTAGCTTGTTGTTTACCTTAGGTATATCTCCTAATGCTATCCTTCCCCACTTCCCCCACCCCACAACAGGCCCTGGTGTGTGATGTTCCCCACCCTGTGTCCAAGTGTTCTCATTGTTCAATTCCCACCTATGAGTGAGAACATGCGGTGTTTGGTTTCTTGTCCTTGTGATAGTTTGCTGAGAATGATGGTTTCCAGCTTCATCCATGTCCCTACAAAGGACATGAACTCATCCTCTTTTATGACTGCATAGTATTCCATGGTGTATATGCGCCACATTTGCTTAATCCAGTCTATCATTGTTGGACATTTGGGTCGGTTCCAAGTCTTTGCTATTGTGACTAGTGCCGCAATAAACATATGTGTGCATGTGTCTTTATAGCAGCATAATTTATAATCCTTTGGGTATATACCCAGTAATGGGACGGCTGGGTCAAATGGTATTTCTAGTTCTAGATCCTTGAGGAATCGCCACACTGTCTTCCACAATGGTTGAACTGGTTTACAGTCCCACCAACAGTGTAAAAGTGTTCCTATTTCTCCACATCCTCTCCAGCGCCTGTTGTTTCCTGACTTTTTAATGATCGCCATTCTAACTGGTGTGAAATGGTATCTCATTGTGGTTTTGATTTGCATTTCTCTGATGGCCAGTGATGATGAGCACTTTTTCATGTGTCTTTTGGCTGCATAAATGTCTTCTTTTGAGATGTGTCTATTCATATCCTTTGCCCACTTTTTGATGGGGTTGTTTGTTTTTTTCTTGCAAATTTGTTTGAGTTCTTTGTAGTTTCTGGATATTAGCCCTTTGTCAGATGAGTAGATTGCAAACATTTTCTCCCATTCTGTAGGTTGCCTGTTTGAGACGGAGTCTCACTCTGGGGCCCAGGCTGGAGTGCAGTGGCGTGATCTTGGCTCACTGCAACCCCCGTCTCCTGGGTTCAAATGATTCTCCTGCCTCAGCCTCCTGGGTGGCTGGGACTACAGGCGCGTGCCACCACGCCCAGCTAATTTTTTATATTTTTAGTAGAGACAGAGTTTCACTGTGTTAGTCAGGATGGTCTCAATCTCCTGACCTTGTGATCCACCCGCCTCAGCCTCCCAAAGTGCTGGGATTACAGGCATGAGCCACCACACCTGGCCTCTTGTTATCTTTGAACATTTTCTTTTCTTTTGTTACACAGATGTTCTTCATTTTTATGTAGTCACAGTTTTTTTTTTTTCTTCTTCTTTAGGTTTCATGGCTTGTGTAAAATGTTTTACTTCTGGGTTTCATTTCTTAAAAAAGCCTTCCACATCTGCTAGGTGCTGACAAATCAAATCCTCCATCTAACTATAGCCACCATGTGGAACCTGTGGCTATGTTTATGACCCCAGCAGCTTCTGCTCCAGGTAAGCAGATCTTGGCTATGAGTCTCTGGATGTACTTGTCTCTCTAGATTTCAGGGCAGTTATTTGCCCTGCTACCTCAGCCTCTGAAGGGTCCAATTAAAGTCATGGATTTTCAGTTTGTTCAGCTTTTCTTATTGTAAGATGGGAGATAGGACTTCCAATCTTTCTATATAGCAGAGGTGAAACTAGAAGATTTTTACTGTAAATTATTTCTATTTAGGTGCTGAATGGTTTTATATAAATGCAAACAGGTCATGAGGGGTGGCATATCAGTAATTAACTTTGGATATGTAAAGTTTGAAAAAGCTTTTGGATACACTAAGGAAAGATATCAAGTAAGTGATTAAAGTGATTTAATATACATATGTGTGTGTGTGTGTGTGTCTGTGTGTATATATCTACACGTGGGTGCATGTGTGTGTGACAAAGAGTCAGGGAAGGGGTTTGGGCTGGAGATAAAATTTTCTTTTCTTGTTTTTGATGTATTTTTTTTTTAACCTGGCAAGAATGAGAATTTGAAAAAATTTCTGAGTTCACATAAGTATGGTATTTATTATCTCTGGCAGTTTCCTAACATACTCAGCTAAAGTCCTTAGCACAGCCTGTAAGAGTCTAAATGATTTGGTAGATACTATTACCCTGACCTCCACTTCTACCCTTATCCCCTTGTTCACTGAGTTTAAGTCACACTGACCTCTTTGCACTTTCATCAGTAAACAAGGTTTGCTCCTGCCCTTATAGCTTTTGCCCTTACTTTTTCCTCTGCCTGTAACAGTTTCCCTCTGCCTATAACAATTTTCCCATAACAATCTTCCTTTACTTTCTTTAGGACTCAAAAATCATCTACTCAATAATACCTTACCGAAAATCGATCCTAAAATGCAACCACCTGTCTTGACACCTCATATTCCTCTTCTCCTTAGCATGTATCACTATGTTGCATTCTCTATCTGAAATATGTTGCTTATCTCCTATTTCTTCCATGAGATTGTAAGCTCCATAGGGAAGGAAACTTTTCCTGTTTGCTTCACCATATACTCAGTTTTAGGTCTATATTATAAAGGTAAAAAGAAATAAGCAAAAGTAATTTTAATAATATACTGTATTTAACCAATTATAATGTCATTATTTCAACATGTAATCACTACAAAATTATTAATGAGATAATTTACATTAATTTTTGTGTCTTAAGTCTTCAAAGTCTGTGGTGCACTTACATTACCAGCACATCTTCATTTGGATAAGGCACATTTCAAGTGCTCAATAACACAAGTGGCTTGTATAGTAGAGGCTACTGTATTAGACAGGGCTATGTACCATGTTAGGATTGGGAAACTTCTTAGGAGAAGTGGGATATTACTGAAGGATTTTAATTGGAGTTTAGGAGTGACATGATTACTTTTGCACAAACACAAATCACTGTGGCAGTGGAGTGGAGAACGAATTGGAGGGAATGAAGAGTTTATTTTATTTAGAGAAATTAGGAGGTTAAGAGACAGATTTGCTGAAAGACAACCATAGGCACTTGAACTAGGGTGCTGGCAGTAGGGAAAGATAGAAAAGAGAAGTATCAGACATTTAGCCAGTAAATTCCAGGAGGCTTGACAATAATTGGATTCAAAATAGGCAAATCAACTTTATAAGTCAGCTAATAATTTGATCGTAATAATCATTTGTCCCTGAAAAGTCAGAGAACAGGTTTTATTGAAATATTATTTTGAAGAATGTCACCTTTATTTCCAGATATGTGGAAATTGTGGAGTTTTGGGAACATGTTGGCTATGGAGAACTTTAGTTTCTAACGGCCAAATGTAAATGGCCGCAGTTGCCAGCACATGCAGAATAAGAAGACCCCAGCTCATGTTCCCCAACACAAACAATGGTTTGGCAGCTGTTCATGAACAAAACTGCCTTTGTGGGAGCTTTGGGATCCAGATAAGAGGTCACAAAACCCTGGCAAAGCTCAAGACTGAGGAGAGGTGCTCTGAGAAGGCAGGTACATGCCCCAGTGGCAGGCTCACTGAGCATGATTCCAGCTATAGACCCAAAGCAGCCCCGTCCCCCCATGGATGTGGCTCTAGCCCTGCTTGGCTGCAGTGCTGTAACTAGCCCTATCCAGCAAAAGACCTGGGAGGAGCCATACCAATCTATGCCTCTGGTAACAGGCCTACTGGCCACAGACCGGACTGTGGACCCTGAAATGGCCCTGTGACTTGGCTTCAACCCTGCTCTACCACCAGTCTGGAGTCAGTGCTGCATTCAAAGGGATCTTGTGAAACACACATTGTCATGCCCCAGGTTATAGATCCACCAACCTTGGTCCCTACTGTGGCTCTTGAAGAGTCCCTGTGACCCAGCTCCTGTCCTGCTCTCAGTCCTGCCCACCCAAAGACCAAGTAATGTCTGTCCATGCCCCTGGTAGCAGGCCTGCTGCCCTCAGTCCCTGCTGTGGACCCTAAGTCAGTCCTGGCTATAGACCCTGAAGCAGCCCTGAGACTCAGTTCCAGCCTCCTTCTGTCATGGTTTCAGAGTAATCTTGCCTGCTTGAAGAATTGGTGGCATACATGCCCCTCATGGTAGGCCCACTGACCTTGAGCCTGACTGTAAACCTTGCTGCAGTCCTGTGAGCTGGCTCCAGCACTGCTCTACCACAGTATTGGGGGAAGTCCTTCCTGCTTAGAGACCTAAACAGGGCCCTGACAGGAGTCTGTTCTGTTAGGGACCTGGTGGAGCCACACGCTTAGCAGGTATTCTCTGGCTGCAGACCCACTGTCTGCAGACTCAATTGCACAAACAGAAGCAGCCCCATGACCAGGCTCTAGCCTTGTTCAACTGTGGTTCTGGAGGTGGTTCCATCAATCTGGGGATCTGGCAGGAATCATGCTTGCCCACACCCCTGGTAACAGGACTGTCAACTGTGGAACCAACTACAGACCAGGCCACAGCCATGTGACCTAGCTCTAGCCCCACTTGACTCTGACCCAAGAAGCAGTTCTGTCAGTCTGAGAATGAGGCAGGAGAAGGTCTTTACCTGCTGAAAGCAGTCTATAAAAACAGGAAGAGGTGTTTGCTCCTCAAGTGAGCAGATACCAATATGAAGCTATATGAATCATGAAGAACCAGGCAAACATGACACTACTGAAGGAAATTAATAAAGCTCTAGTAACCAAGTACCAAAAAGTATAGATCTATGAATTTCTTGACAACAAATTGAAAATAATTGTCTTACGGAAGCACAGTGAGCTACAAGCTCAATAGACAGCTAAATCAATATCTCAGGAAAACAGTACATGAACAAAATGAGAGGTTTAACAAAGGTTTAGAAATCATACCTCTCATTTTGTTCATGTACAGGGCCCAGAGGCAGGCCATTTGAAATTATCCAGCCACAGGAGAAAAAAGACAAAAAATAAATAAATAAATAAATAAAAAAGAATGAGAAAGGCTACAGAATTGATGAGGCACCTTCAAGCTAGTCTGCATGTACATTATGTAAGTCTCCAAAGGAAAAGTGAAAGAGAAAGGAGCAAAAAGCTTATCTAAAGAAGAAATGACTGAAAACTCCCCAAATTTGGGGAAGAAAATAAACATCCCCATTTAAGAAATTATGAACTTCATATAGGTTGAAAATAAAAAGGCCTATGCTGAAACACATCACATTATAATTAAATTGTCATAAGTCAAAAATAGAGAATTTTGAGAGCAGCAAGAACAAAATGACATGGCAGAAACCATGCTTGCCCATACTCCTGGTAACAGGACTGCAGACTGTGGAACCAACTGCAGACCAGGCCATAGCCATGTGACCCACTTCTAGCCCCACTTGACTATGATCCAAGAGGCAGTCCCATTAGTCTGAGAATGAGGCAAGAGAAGGTCTTTACCTGCTGAAAGCAGTCCATAAAAATAAGAAGAGGTTTTATACACATAAATAGAAACTTCTATAGGACTATCAGCAGATCTCTCAGCAAAAACCTCGCAGGCCAGGAGAAAGTGGGATAGATAACATATTGAAAATACTGAAAAAAAAAACAAACCCTGCTAATCAAGAATACTATACTCAGCAAAACTATCCTTTCAAAATGAAGGAGAAAGTCGTTTACAGACAAAGAAAAACTGAGGGAGTTCATCACCATCAGAACTGCCTTACAAGAAATGCTCAGGGGGTTCTTCAAATTGAAATAAAAACATACTAAAGAGCAATGTGAAAGCATAAATGTGACTAGTAAAGGTTAATATATATACAAATACAGAACAATGCAACAATGTAATGGTGGAACATAAATTACTTTTAACATAAACATAAAAGTTACAAGACAAAAATACTAGGAATAACTGTGGCCACAAAAATTTGTTAATGGATACACGCTATATAAAGAGTCAAACTGACTTTAAGAACACCAAAAGTGTGGAGTAAAAATGTAAAGCCTTTTTTTTTTTTTTTTGAGACCGAGTCTCGCTCTGTCGCCCAGGCTGGAGTGCAGTGGCACGAACTTGGCTCACTGCAAGCTCCGCCTTCCGGGTTCACGCCATTCTCCTGCCTCAGCCTCCCTAGCTGGGACTACAGGCGCCTGCCACCATGCCCGGCTAATTTTTTATATTTTTTAGTAGAGACGGGATTTCACTGTGTTAGCCAGGATGGTCTTGATCTCCTGACCTCGTGATCCACCCGCCTCGGCCTCCCAAAAGTGCTGGAATTACAGGCGTGAGCCACTGCGCCCTGCCAAAAATGTAAAGCCTTTGTATGCAATTCAAGTTAAATTACCAACTTAAGATAAAAAGTCATAATTACAAGATACTTTATACAAGTCTCAAGGTAGCCACAAAAACCCTGATATGTATCTATATATATATCTGATATATATATACCTGATATCTATCCATCTATCCATATCTGATATATATATATATACCTGATATATACCTATCTATATATAGATATATATCAGGGTTTTTGTGGCTACCATGAGACTTGTATAAAGTATCTTGTAATTATTACTTTTTATCTTAAGTTGGTAATTTAACTTGTATTGCATACAAAGGCTTTACATATATGTAAATATATATGATATATATATAGATATCTATATGATATATATATAATACAGAGACAAGAATCAAAGAAATTACTACAGATAGTCATCAACTAACAACAAAAGACAATGAGAGAGGAAGACAGGAACAAAACAATAGCAAAGGTGACAGAAAACAACAAAATGTCCATAGTAAGTCCTCATCTGTCAATAATTATCTTAAAGGTGAATGAATTAAATTCCCCAATCAAAAGACATAAAGTGTCCAAGTGGATAAAGAAAAAAGAGCTAGTAATATGCTTTCCATAAGAGACTCACTTCAGCTTAAAGGACAGACACAGGCTGAAAGTTAGGGAACAGAAAAGATAATCCATACAAATGATAATCAAAAGAAAGCAGAAGTGGTTACACTTATATCAGAAAAAATAGACTTTAACTCAAAAACTGTCACAAATAATGTAATCATGTAATGATAAAGAGGCAATTCAACAGGAAAACATAAATATTGTAAATATACATGCACTTAATATTAGAGCACCTAAATACATAAAGCAAATATTGGCAGATCTGAAGGCAGAAATTGACATCAATACAATAATAGTAGAAGAATTCAGTATCCCTCTCTCAGTAAATGGATAGAACACCAGACAGAATTAACAAAGAAATTGCTGACTTGAGTAATACTATAGACCAAATAGACCCGAGAAACATACAGAACTTTCTACTCGACAGCATACATATACACATTCTTCTCAAGCACACAAGGAACATTCTCCATGATAGATTGCATGTTAGATTACGAAGTAAGTCTTAACAAATTTAAGAAGATTGAAATCATACCAGGTATTTTTCTGACTACAATGGAATGAAACTACAAATTAATAACAGTAAGAAAATGAAAAATTCACAAATATATGGAAATTAAGTAATACACATTGAGTCAAAGAGGAAAACAAAAATAAATTTTTTAAAAATTCAAGAAAAATGAAAACACAATATACCAAAACTTATGAGATGTAGTAAAGGCAGTACCAAGAGGGAAGTTTATAAACATAAAAGTTTATAAGAAATATTTTAAATAAACAAATGAATAAAGAAGGAATAGAAAGTCTGAACAGACCAGTAACAAATAAAGAGATTGAATTAGTAATCAAAAACCCTCCATAAAATAAAAGCCCAGGACCAGGTGGCTTCATGAGTGAATTCTACCAAACATTCAAAGAAGAATTAATGCTAATCCATTCTAAGCCCTTTCAAATAATAGAAAAAGGAGAAATGGTTCTAAATTCACTCATGAGGTCAGCATTATCTTGATACCAAAGCCAGACAAAGACACCACAAGAAAACTACAAGTCAATATCCCTCATGAATACAGACACCAAAATCTTCAATAAAATACTAGCAAACTGAAAACAACAGCACATTAAAAGGATCATGCATCATGATCAGGTGGGATTTATTCCTAAGATGAAAGGATAGTTCAATATACACAAACCAATTGATGTGGTATACCACTTTAACAAAATAAAGGACAAAAATCTTATGATCATCTCAGTCTATGTAGAAAAAACTTTTGACAAAATTTAACATTCATTCACTATAAAAATCTCTCAATAAAATAGATATAGAAGGGACTTGTTTCACCACAATAAAGACCAAATATGAAGAAAACCACAGCTAACATTATACTCAATGTTCAAAATTGAAAGCTTTTCCTCTAAGATCAGAAATAAGACAAGGATGCCCATTCTCTCCACTTCTATTTATCATAGTACTGGAAGTTCTAGCTAGGGTAATTTGACAAGGAAAAAAAATAAAAGTAATACAAATTCTAAAGGAAGTAGTTAAATTGCCTCTGTTTGAAGATGACATGATCTGACATATAGAAAACCATAAAGACTCCACCAAAAAACTGTCAGAACTGATAAACAAATTTAGTAAAGTTGCAGGATGCACAACAGACATACGAAAATCAGTTATGTTTCTATACACAAATAACAAACTATCCAAAAAGGTAATCTAGAAAACAATTCCATTTATCATAGCATAAAAAATACTTAGAAATAAAATTAACCAAGGAAGCGAAAGATCTGTATCCTAAATCTATAAAATATTGATGGAAATAATTGAAGAAGCCACAAATAAATGACAAGATATTCCATGTTCATGGATCAGAAAAATTAATATTGTCAAAATGTCCATACCACCTAAAATGATTTATAGATTCAGTGCAATCCCTATCAAAATTCCAACGCCATTCTTTAACAGAAATAGAAAAAATAGTGCTTAAATTCATATAGGACCACAAAAGACACTGAAGAGCTAAAGCAATCTTGAGAAAGAAGAACAAAGCTGGAGGCATTACACTTTCTGATTTCAAGTAATATTACAAAGATTACAGTAATTAAAGCAGTATGATAGTGCCATAAAACAGACACATAGACCAATGGAAAGCATAGAGGGCCCAGAAATAAACCCACACTTGTATAGTCAATTAATCTTCAACAAAGGTGCCAAGAATACACAGTGATGAATGGATATTCTCTCCAATAAATAATGTTAGAGTAACTGAATATCCACATGCAAAGGAATGAAATTGGGCCCTTATATTACACCATGCACAAAAATCTACTCAAAATGGATTACAGACATAAGACCTGAAACTATAAAACTACCAGAAGAAAACATAGAGGAAAAGTTCCTTGACATTGGCCTTGGTAATGATTTTTTTGCCAAAAGTACAGGCAACACATGGACTACATCATACAAAAAAGCTTCTGTATGGTAAAAGAAACAACCAACAAAATGAAAAGACAACCTATAGAATGGGCAAAAATATTTGCAAATCATATATCCTATAAAGGATTATTATCTAAAATATATAAGGGACCTCAATAGCAAAAACACAAATAACCTAATTAAACCATTGGCAAAAAAACTGAATAGATATTTTCCCACGGAAGAAATATAAATGGCCAACAGGTATATAAAAAGATACACAACATCACTAATCATCAGAGAAATACAAATAAACACCACAGTGAGATATAACCTCACAGTTGCGATGATTATTATCAACAAGTTGAAAGGTAACCAGTGTTGGCAAGGCTGTGGAGAAAAGGGAACCTTTGTACATAGTTGGAGGTACAGCCATTGTGGAAAATGGTATGGATGTACTTCGAAAATTAAAAATAAAACTACCATACAATCCATCAATCCCACTGCTGGGTATATATCCAAAGAAAATAAAATTATTGTCTCAAAGAGATATCTGCACTCCCACATTCATGCAGCATTTATTCAAGATATGGAAACCAATGTAAGTGTCCACTGACGAATGAATGTGCAAAGGAAATGCGACACACACAGGAATATTATTGAGCCTTACAGAAGAAGAAAATCCTGCCATTTGTGATAACATAAATGAACCCAGGAGACATTATGCTATGGGAAATAGGGCAGGAACAGAAAGATATACACATGTGATCTCACTTATATGTAAAACATAGATATGGAGAGTAGAAGACTGAAGTGTAGGAGAAATGGGGAGATATTAGTCAAAGGGGATAAAATTTCAGTTGTAAGATTAATGAGTTCTGGAGATCTAAAGTACAGCATGGTTAATAATTATGTATCACATACTTAAAATTTGTCTAGAGAGTAGATCTTAAGTGTTCTTGCCATGCACACTCATACACACAAAATGGTTACTATGTGAGGTAATGGGTATGTTAATTAGATTGATTATGACAATCATTTCACAATGTATACATATATCAAAACATCACAATGTATACCTTAAATATATACAATATTTATTTGTAAATCGTACTTCAACAATTCTGGAAAAAATAAAATAAAACAAATCTAAATGGCCACATGATGGTGCCAAAACCTTGGTTAGTTAATATGTCTTTTCTGTGGCGCTTGCACATTCCCTTTTCTACAGAAATGTTTCTACCTTGTCTTAGTTATTTTACTTAAAGAAGGAATCAATTAAGCATAAATGAATTTGTGTGTATGTTTGCACAGTAACCGTCTATTTCTAACAATGTTCTTAAGTCAACTGGTAGCCCTTACTTCACTCTCATTATTTTATACTTTTACTTGTAAAATTGGAGTTTTGTAAACCCAGTGTAGCACATTCTCGGAATGGTGCAGAAGGGGGATACAATTCTATATTAATTTATCTAGGAATGAGACCAGTAGGACTTCAATATAATAGCATTCTCTTTTTGGGAGGCATGAAGAAATTTTTCTATAGCACTTTTGGAAAATATACCAAGCTTCAATAAGAGATATTTATAAAGCAGGTGAACCAGACACCCAGATATGACATTTAACATGACTAGGTAGAGGTAGTTCTGTACCCTATGTATTCTTAATTAATCCTACGTATCCCAGGATCCTTAACTAATCCTGAAGGTATGGATTAATGAAAATCCAAACCACATGGTCAGATTTGCTCATCTTTTTCCCCAAATTATCTTGCCAGTTATTGAATATACACCATGGAGTGGAGAAATTAGTAAATATTAGAGATGTAATTTTTAGCACCTCTTGGAGACTAAAGTAAGGATCATTTACTCACTTAACAAACATTCTCCGAGTGTTTACTATAGGATAAGGACTATGAATTTAAGATTGGCAAATTACTTTTAATGCCATAAACTACCACCTTCTAGAACTGTATATGCCATAAGTACTCAAAGTGACAAGGATCACCAAACATAAAAACTTAAGTGCTATCAGGGTCTAGAATCATAAGTCTCACCCAGTCTTAAGAAGCCTCTACCATGTGTTGGTTCTGCAAGGTGCCAGAAAACAGCAAAATCTGGAAACATGTGTGCCATTACATTGTTATTAAGTGCCATGAAATATCAAGATATGACTAGTGCCACTGACATCTAGAACAAGCTCTTCTAGTTTCTACACCAGATGTCAGCAAACTATATCTTGCAGGCATAATATCTTCTTTTTAAAATGAAGGTTTGGCCAGGCATGGTGGATCATGATTGTAATCCCAGCACTTTGGAAGCCTGAGGGGGGAGGGTCACTTGAGGCCAGAAGTTTGACACTAGCCTGGATAGACAACATGGGGACACCCCATCTCTACAAAAATTAAAAAATTAGCCAGGCATTGTGGTGCATGCCAGTAGTCCCGGCAACTCAGGAGGCTGAGGCAGGAGAATCACTTAAGCCTGGGAGGTTGAGGCTGCAAGCCATGATTGTGCCATTGCACTTCATAAGCCTGGGTGGCAAAGTGAGACTTCACCTAGAAAAAAAAAAGTTTTATTGGAACACAACTAGGACCTTTTCATTTACACATTGTCTATAGCAGAGTTAAGTAATTGCAACAGAGATCTTTTGCCTGCAAAGCCTGAAATCTTTCCTATCTAGCTCTTTTAAAAAAAGTTTGCTGACACATGCTGTAGATTCTCAAATGCCACCCATCTATAAACACGTGTCATTAATTCTTAGAACCAGATTTGCTTCACATGGTTTAAATCAAAACTATTACTGTGCAACCAACACCCAGAACACAACTGCTTCAATAAGCAGACAAGCAAAAAACCATCTTGGGAGCAGTAATTAAGCACTAGCAAAAGCTCCTAAGAAAGTGTGTAGACTATATCTTTGTGTTTCATTCAGAATAAGATGATAGAATATAGATTATAGGTTTCTCACATTAAAATTTCCATGTTAATTCTCAATTAAATTCTCATGTTAATTGTTACTGACCATAATTTTGACTTTTCTTAGGAATACTGTTTTTGAACGAGAAGAAACAAAGAGAAGGAAGCAATATTTTTTACATATATGAATTCTTCTTGGATATTAGTTCTCAGTTTCAGGAGTGCTGATTTCATTAACCTTGAAATATTGGAGTTTGTATAAAAGGTTATGAATATAAATGAACTCAGTGTTAAAACCTGTCAACATCTACTTTAAATAGCAATGTAAACGCTGTTAGAAATAAAAGGCTGTTGTGGCAAGCTTTGTGACTAGGTTGATGCGAGTGCTAGAAGGCACAAAGATTATGCCATATAATGCTATTCTGTTACTTGCTTAATTTTAAAAATGTGAAGGGAAAAGTTTTATGTCTGGCTTTGTGTAGCAGGTTAGAGCTGGACCATTGGGGTTCTCAGATACAGAAGGAACAGATTGGCTGGTATCTAAGACTTAGAAGTCAGTCTGAAAACAACATGTTCTTGAGAGTAAGCAAGAAATCAAAACAATTCATATATTAAATGTTCCACAAGATCCTTGGCTACCATCAAAGATAAACAACAAAAGACATGAACTGGAATGCAAATGCTATTCAACCGATTGTGTGACACTGGGCAAGATACTTAGCTAATCTAAATCCTGGTTGTTCATGAATAAACTGAAGCTCATCATCATCATCATTACCTTCATTATCACCACTATCATCATCATTATCATCATCATGATATAACCTTCACTAGTATTTGGAAGTTGTTTATTATAGGTCACCCTTAACATAGATCATCTCTTTTAATCCTAACATAAAACACGTATTATTGTCCTTATTTGACAGATGAGGAAATCAAAGCTTAAGGTAGAAGTAACATTCCGAAGGTAACACAGGAGTCAATGACAGAGTTGGGCTGCTCCATGACCCAGTCTTTTAAACCCGTGCTAATGAAAATCCTTTTCTGGTATATCCATATATTACTGGTGGGTTTTTATAAACAAAATATTTTATTTTCTCCAGTGTATTTTTTCTGCATATTCCAAATTTTCTCCAATAATGTATGCTATTATTTTCTCTTTTTTCAATTTTTATTGAATGTAAAATAATGTAAAAATTAATATAAATAAAATTAATAAAAAATTAATAAAAATTAATAATGTAAAATTATTTACATTATTTTCTCTTTTTTCAATTTTTATTTACTTGACATATAATAATTGTACATATATATGGGGTAGATAGTGAGTTCCAATACATACCAGATATAGCAATAAAATCAGGGTAACTAGCATAATCACTCCAAACATCAAACTTTTTTTTTAATGTTGAGAACATTCAAAATCCTTTCTTTTAGCTATTTGAAAATATACAATAATTTATTGTTAACTCTAGTCAACCTATAGTGCTATAGAATAGTAGATCTTTCTCCTTGTATCAAGCTCATTACTGGTGGCTGGGCTTTCATGTAATTTTTTTGAAAGAAGTTTCTAAAGCATATCAAGAATCTAAAAGTGTTACTGTCCTTTTATCAGGTAATCTCACTTCTGGGAATATTGTTAGGAAATACTCATGTAAAAGTAAAGTAAAAAAGGACATTCATTGCAGTATTACTTATGGTAAACAACTGGAAACTTCTTAAATGTCAAACAAATGAGAAAAGATTAAGTAACTAATGATATATTACATAGTATCTTAAATATTCACCATGATGCCTATTTAGTAATAAAGTATAATGCATGGATCAGTTATATGAAAAACTGGAATATATAATTATATTCACATTATGATGCCAATTCTGTAGAATTTTGCATGTATATGAAAAAGGCATGTAGGAATATAAAGAAAATATCAAATATTGTTTCTTGAGGTGGTGATATTTCCAGTGAACTTCTCTTCTATTATTGTTATTGTAATCTGTACAAGTAATGAACAAATTTGAAATACAACATATATACCTGCTCTATGTACCTCACAGGATAATTGTGAAGATCAGCCAAAAAGATGAGTAAATGATATAAAGTTGACAAACTGTAAGACAATTGAAATACCATAAAAAACACCAGGCTGGTCTGGCTAGAAGAAGAAATCTTGTATTCAGACTGAACAAAACCCTAGGATCCCAGGACAAGCAGGTTTGGCTCCTCCTCTCATCCACCCTCACGATCTGGGCCAGAGATTGGCAAACTATGGCCCATGGGCAAAATCCTGTCCATACTCAGTTTTCGTATGATCTATGAGCTAGAAATACTTTTTAGATTTATAGTGGTTCAAAGAAAAAAAAATCAGAGAATGTTATTTCATGACCCATGAAAATGATATGAAATTCAATTTTCAGTGTACATAAATGAAGTTTTTTTTGGAACAGAGTAGCACCCATTTACTTACATATTATCCATGGATGCTTTATGCAATGGCAGCAAAGTTGAGTGGTTGCTATGAGACCAATTGCCCACAAAGCTTAAAATGCTTGCTATCCTGGCCCTTTACTAAAACAATTTTCTGACCCTTAACCTAGGCCAGCTTCAGTTCTTCACATCTTGTCTTGGCCTTATGAGAACTTTATTCTAGAGAATTTTTTTCCCAGTTGCACTTACATGGTTAGAAATACTGCCTTTTCCTAGTATTTAGCCTTTAAAAAATGTTTTCAAAACATTAGGGGTTGGAGCCATTGAACGGCTCCAACACCAACCAGGTTTACATTGCAATGTTTGCTAACACACAAATACATGTTCTGGTAGGTGCTCAGTGGGAGATACAGGACCTTCTTGGGCATCAAGAGATTTAATCTTTGATCTGTTCAAAGTTTGACCCGTCTGGGCCTCTGTTTCCTCATTTATAATAATGAAGAAAACTGGATGATTTCTGAGGCCCCATTCTACGTTTCTACAATGGCTTGTGTTATTTTAAAGGTTGGTGGTTCTTCATGGTGATTATACGGGCGCTTTTGCTTCTTTGATGATCTCCCTGTCTCTGGGACAATTAACCAATCATGTTTAAGGTAAGAGATAAAAAGTTAAATGCTGCAGGGACTAGACAGGTAAAATAAACGAGGGAACCCACCTGAGTTAATAGAGTCTGTGGTAAGCATTGTGGCATGCTGCAGAGTACAGCAGGTCCTGGAATAACATTGTTTCTCTTCAGTACCATTTCATTATAATGCTGATGAGAAAAAAAAATTGATCCTAGGCTGGGGCCATTGTCTTCATTTGCACATTCTCCTCATGTCTGTATGGATTTTCTTCAGATACCCTGGTTTCCTCCCACATCCCAAAGATGTTAGGTTCATTGGCATGTCTGAATTGTCCCAGTTTGAGTGAGTGTGGATGTGTGTGGGAGTGTGTCCTGTGATGGAATGGCATCCTGTCTAAGGTGGGTTTGTTACCGGACCAAACCAAGGGTCAGGCTGCTATTTCATGAAGCCCAATAATGAGACACAGATTAACTGGGGAGGAAGAGAGTTTTTATTTATGTAACTGGTTACAGGGAGAAGGCCTGGAAATTGTTGCCAGACCAATGCAAAATTACAAAGTTTTCCAGAGCTTATATACCTTCCAAGCTATATGTCTACGTGTAAGTGTGCATTCATCTAAAGACATAAATGATAAACTTCTTTTAATCTATAACTAGGGTCTGAGTCCTGAAGACCTTCTTCTGAAGCCAAAGTAAATTTTCTTAATCTAAATGGGTCCAGGTGTGGCAGTGATGACCCTTATCTGGTCTCCCGCTAAATCACAGAGGTTTGGGGAGTTCCTTTAGATCCAATAAACTTGTTTATGGAGGCTTGGGGAGTTTGTTCAGACCCCCAGTAAAACTTGTTTAATCCTAAATGGGTCATGTTAATTCCTTCATTATTTTGTCATGCTTTAAGGCCCAGGAAAGGCCTAGACAAAACTTTTGGCGGGCTTTTGTTACATTCCAGCCTTTGTGTAAGGGCACTGGCTCAATCAGCTTTTAATGTTTAACCTCCCTACTCAGTCAGTGCTGGCACAGTTGTAACGGAGGCCTGCGT
Source organism: Homo sapiens (assembly GCF_000001405.40). Lineage (NCBI taxonomy): Eukaryota > Metazoa > Chordata > Mammalia > Primates > Hominidae > Homo > Homo sapiens. The sequence goes on from NC_000003.12 coordinate 25,849,356, forward strand.
TAGTGAGACCCGGCCTGCCGCAGGTTCCCACTTTGTGACCCAGCTGCTAGGATACGCTATGGTCACCCATGACCCTGAACTGGAATAATTGGGTAAATAGTTATCTAATTTGTTTTTATTGCTTTTTCTCATTTGAATGTATACCTCACATTTATTTCAATGTTTAATATTAGAAGTATTTTGGCCTTTATTTAGATGTCTGATGATGTTTTTGTGACCAGAAATATGCCATAGGAACTTAACTCTTGTTTATGTCAATTAGCCTATTATAAAATTGGTTTTCTCATATAACCACTGAACCAGTTTTAACTGGCCCTACTCTATTGAAAACAGGATATTAAATTATTTTACAGGCACAGAGTGAAGAAATTACGAGTCATACAGCTGAAGTATGCACAGAAAAGATTTCAACCTCAAATAAAATCTGGAACTGAAGTTTCACTCCCCTCATGGAACAAATGTATCAAGACTTGGTCAGAACTGAAGGCCAGAACACTTTCAAAAGTGAAGGGGTACAAGCTCAGGAATGTTAGGTGTTAAGATCCCTTACCATACTTTACCATATATGGTCTTGTTTAAAGTTCTTCCAATCAAGACCTACCCACCAGCACTTCTGCATACCAGCCTGCTCTCTCTAACCCAGAAAACTTGCCCCAGACTCCAGAATGGGGAGATGGAATTGAGCTTTGTCTCCTGCCTCCTCGCCGCCAACCCCACAATAAAACCTTTTTTTTTCTTAAAAACTGGTGTCATAGTATTTGCGTCTATGTTAACCAGGAAGCGAGCCCATTGCTCAGTAACAGTTACACATCATGTCATTTAAAGCTTCAGTTTTCAAGAACTTATCGGTGATATTAAGTGATACTTACTGCACTTGGCCCATCTGAAGGGAGCAGCTGTAACTCAGCTGCAGCTGACTATTAATTTATGTTGCTAGATCTTTCACATTTTCAGAAGATGGATTTTATGTGAAATCTAATATATAAATGCAGGCAACTAATTCAAATTTTAAAAAATACTATGTAGCCCGTCTTCCCCAATTCCAGAATGCAGAATGGGCCTCTGAGTTACCATTTTAAGAACTCTTCCTCTACGTGTACGGTAATTTTTACGTAACTTTCCAATGGGGATGGACAACAAAGTTTCAAGGAACCCTTGGCCATCTGAAAATCCTATCTTCAGAGTATGACACTAAGCTGAGGTGGCAGAATATGTGTTTCCAAATGAACCTGGGTCTTGTGTTCACTTAGAACTTGCAAGATTTAAAAAAGCTTTTGGTATTATGACTGATTTTTAGGAATAGTATTTCTAAAACTTTATAAACAAGTAATACCCCCCACATTCACTTAGAAGCTGATCTTTTCTGTTTGGCTTCATGTTGTTAGCTAGAACAGATCATTTAGCTCAACTAGAATGGGAGTAAAGAACCTGGTCTTGCCATGTAAATTACTTCTGAACACACTATCCTTTCCTTTCTTCTTTTTTCTGGGTTAGGGGGATGTGATATATTTGTTTATTCTATGGATATTTATCAAGTGCCTACTAAGTGTAGGAATTGCTCCAGGTGCTGGGGACATAACAGTAAACTAAATAAAATCTTGCTCTCATAAAACTTACATTCTAGAAGGGAAGATAGACAATTAATAAATACATAATGTTAGACAGTGATAAGTGCTAGGAAGGAAAATAAAACCAATGAAATGTAAGGAGATAGAGAGTGATGGGGAGTATTATTTTAGATGGTATAGTCATGGAGGGCATCCTTGAGGAGGTGACATTTCCACAGAGATCCAAATAAGGTGAGTAAGCCATTAGAATATTTCTAGGCAAAAAGAACGCCACATACAAACACTCCTGGGCAAATTTCTTGGTGTGCTTGAGGAATGTCAAGGGGGCCAGTGTAGATGGAGCTGCTGTCAGCCAGGGGAAGAGTAATAGGAAATAAGAGTAATGGGAAATAAGATCCAAAGGGTAGCCAACTACCAGATCCTGTAGGGTTTTATAAACATAGTGAAGACTTTTATTTTAAGAATGTAGGAAAGCCATTAGAGGGGTGACATCATCTGATCACCTCTTAAGAAGCTCACTGTGGCTGCTGTAGGCACAGGGGTTTCCAGCAGAGGTACCTGTTAGGAGGCCATTGCAGTGATCCAGATAGATGAATGATGCACTAGGCTGGTAGCAGTGGATATTCTGAGAAGCAGTTGGATTTGGATAATATTTTCAGTGGTAGAGGTGAGAGATGACAGCGTGCTGGCAGCCGTCGCTGGCTCTCGGCGTCTCCTCTGCCTGGGCTCCTACTTTGGCGGCACTTGAGGAGCCCTTCAGCCTGCCACTGCACTGTGGGAGCCCCTTTCTGGGCTGGCCAAGGCCAGAGCCGGCTCCCTCAGCTTGCAGGGAGGTGTGGAGGGAGAGGCGCAGGTGGGAACCGGGGCTGCACACGGCGCTTGCGGGCCAGCGCGAGTTCCAGGTGGGCGTGGGCTCGGCAGGCCTGGCACTCGGAGCGGACCCCAGCCCACAAGCCCCGGCCAGTGAGGGGCTTAGCAGCTGGGCCAGCAGCTGCTGTGCTCGACTTCTTGCCGGGCCTTAGCTGCCTCCCCACTGGGCAGGGCTCCGGACCTGCAGCCTGCCATGCCTGAGCCTGCCCTCCCTGCCGTGGGCTCCTGTGCAGCCCAAGCCTCCCCGACTATCGCCATCCCCTGCTCCATGCTGCCCAGTCCCATCCACCACCCAAGGGCTGAGGAGTGCAGGCGCACAGCAGGCAGCTCCACCTGTGGCCCCGGTGTGAGATCCACTGGGTGAAGCCAGCTGGGCTGCTGAGTCTGGTGGGGACTTGGAGAACCTTTATGTCTAGCTAAGGGATTGTAAATACACCAATTGGTACTCTGTAACTAGCTCAAGGTTTGTAAACACACCAATCAGCACCCTGTGTCTAGCTCAGGGTTTGTGAATGCACCGATCGACACTCTGTATCTAGCTACTCTGGTGCGGACTTGGAGAACTTTTGTGTGGACACTCTCTGTCTAGCTAATCTAGTGGGGACGTGGAGAACTTTTGTATCTAGCTCAGGGATTGTAAAGGCACCAATCAGCACCCTGTCAAAATGGACCAATCAGCGCTCTGTAAAATGGACCAATCAGCTCTCTGTAAAACAGACCAATTGGCTCTCTGTAAAATGGACCAATCAGCAGGATGTGGGTGGGGCCAGATAAGGGAATAAACGCAGGCTGCCTGAGCCAGCAGTGGCAACCTATTGGGGTCTTCTTCTGCGCTGTGGGATGTTTGTTCTTTAACTTCTTGCAGTAAATCTTGCTGCTGCTCACTTTTTGGGTCTACACTGCCTTTATGAGCTGTTAATACTCACCTCGAAGGTTTGCAGCTTCACTCCTGAAGCCAGGGAGACCACGAACCCACCGGGAGGAACAAACAACTCCAGACGCGGCGCTCAGTCTTAAGAGCTGTAACACTCACCGCGAAGGTTCGCAGTTTCACTCCTGAGCCAGCGAGACCACGAACCCACCAGAAGGAAGAAACTCCGAACACATCCGAACATCAGAAGGAACAAACTCCAGACACGCCGCCTTTAAGAACTGTAACACTCACCGCGAGGGTTCGCGGCTTCATTCTTTAAGTCAGTGAGACCAAGAACCCACCAATTCCGGACACGGAGGTAACTTCTGTTCGTTGTTTAAGACAATTCAAAGGCTGCTTTCTCAGAGATATTTCCTGAACTCTTCCTCCTTGCTGAGTTGAGTTTCTCTCTCCTGTGATCACCCAAGCAGCCCTCTTTTACTTTTTGACATAATACATTTTATTAAGTGATTTATTATGTATCTGCTGTATCTATGTGGCTGCGAATTCTTTTTTAAGGCCCAGGTCCATGCCTTTTTTCTGTCTAGTGCCTGGCACTGTACTTGGACATAATTGGTGTTAAATGAATGATTGTTTAATAGACATATAAATCAAAAAAATTAATAGGAAATAAAATTGGGAAGAAGAAAATGGATAGGGAGATAAGCTGAATCTAGTGTCACATCATCGGTGGTTTTAATTTTGGTGGAAAGCTTTTCTGAGACTCAAAAAGCCTGGATGTGTTTGGTGGTCAGCCTTATCCTTGTGGTCTTCTTGTATCTCTATCAAACAGATGGAAAAATTCCCTTCAAGTAAATAGGATCTGAAGACAACTTCTGTGTCCAGGAGTCTCAGAAGTTAATATAACAAATTTATGAATATGTAACTTCTGAAATTTCATAAAATCACTTTTAAATTTTCTCTGCGTTTGAGAGTAGATACTAATTTGAAGTTTATTGATGGTGGAGGGATAATTATAGGCATGCCATTTATCTCTCAGCTCCTCTGAAACTGAAGCATTTAAATAATATGTTATATGTTTATACAGCCTCATATCCCATGTGTCAAATTTTCTTTTAATTTGAATATAAAATATAGAAGATAAAAGTGTCAAAATGATCTTACCGGTTAAATCCTTTTTATTGTTGTTCATTTTCATGTGGTAATGCCCTAAAAGGAATAATACGAACATGGTTTTGAAATGCAAAAGGAAGAGTAGCATGAGCAGGTTTTGAGCCAAGTGGTGAGCTACCAGAGACCAAATTATTCTCCGGGCTTTATTATTAGCTGACTTTGTGGATTTGACCAGGGAATATGGAGTAAAATAAAAGCAAGCACTATCAATAATTCATTCAATCACAGTCGATAAATTAACAAACAACTGCCAAAAGAATGGTATTTGCATCAGGCATAATAAGTACCAAGTGGGGGGATTCCATCAGCTGGAGATTAGGTTCCATTGAGCTAACAGAAAACCCAAGAAGAGGCTATTTTTCTCATACAATGAGAAGGCCAGAGATAGGCAATCTAGAGCAGTAATTGTGGCTTCATGTAAGCTCTTTCTGGCTCTGTTCTGCCATCCCTTAGAAGTATAGCTTTCATTTTCATGGTTATGAGATGTCTGTTCTACCTCTAGTACTGTGTTTGCATTCCAGATATTTTTCATGTATCTTCTAACAAGCATAGTGCCTAGCTCATAAGAGGTACTCAAATATTTATTTAATACATGAATAAATGGTGAGTCAGTGAAAAAAAATCTGAAGTTGTACAAAAGTGGAAGCTCAGTGTTCCAAATTATTTAATAGCCTGTCATTATCAGATGATCCGAGCAATTTATTTTTGCATTGTTACAGGCTGTGTTCTCCAGAAGTAGACAGTAGACCCTCAGATGTAGTCTGGTGTTCAAGATGTTTGTTAAAGATCAGTATCTGTAAAAGGAAAAGAGTTAGAAGCAGTATCAACTAGAGGAAAAAGCTAACATGCAGTGCAAGCCCAATGAAGCCTCTGTAGGTAGCTTTAGAATAAGCATTGCCTGTTAGACTGGTCTTACATTGGGTTGAAATGACCGAGTTTCCATATCCCTACTATCTCCTATCCCCTGACACTCTGCTTAGTCATCTGATGCAGGCTGCTCTGGGAAGAATGTGAACTTGAGTGAGGTGGCTTTCTGCAGCTAAGACTATGAAGAAGCTGAGAGTAGGAGGCTGCCTGGTGACTGCACTCCCCACTGCTGGGCGGGAAGTCCTTTCTTGAAGTGATCTGAGTGGCAAACCTCCATATCTGCTATAGTATGATATTTCACATATCCAATAACCGATGTCACTTGTCATGACACAAAAATAAAATGACAAGATCCATAAAAGAAAAGGAAAGAAGAAAGAAGGAGGAGGCATAATGAGAGCAGAAAGCTTAGCTCAAGGAAAGTGTCTTAATCAAGTTGGGCTGTTATAACAAAATAGTATAGACTGGGTGACTTAAACAACAAACATTTATTTCTCGCAGTTCTGGAGGCTGGGAAGTCCAAGATCCAAGATGCCCACACATGTGGTTCTTGGTGAAGGCCCTTTCCCTAACTTGCAGACAGCACCCTTCTTGCTGTATTCTCACATGGTGGAGAGAGGTTTCCTTTCTTGAGGAATAGCACATATTCACGAGCTTCCTTCATTCTGTCCTTTTTGAATGTTTCCTCTAGTCTCAGCTGGCAGTGTTTCTGCTGATATAATCCCATCTATTTTCTGGCTTCTGTTGACATCACTGATTAGGTCTGTGATTCACACCCACACTAATCTCCTTATCAAATGATTGGTCAGACACATGCTTGGTATTTTCTTCTGAACATGCTTTTTCTTTTTTTTGCAATATAGACAGGCTGGGCATTTTCCAAATCTTTAAGTTCTGGTTCTCTTTTGCTTAACAATTCTGTCTTGATGTCATTTCTCACTTTTTGCATTATACTCTGAGCAGTCAGGAGGAACCAAACCAGTTTTTCAACCCTTTGCTTAGAATTGTCAGCTAAATATCCAATTTCATTACTTGCATGTTCTACCTTTCACAAAACTCTAGAATAAAAACACAATTCAGAATAATTCTCTGCCACGTTATAACAAATGTTGCCTTTTTAAAAATTGTTCGATAACTTGTTCCTCATTTCTGTCCGAAACCTTATCAGAATGACCTTTACCATCAATATGTGTACCAACAGTATGTTGATGATTAGTTACATATTCTCTGGGAAGATGGAGGGTTTTTTCTTTCACTCTCCTCTTTTCTTTCTGAGCTCTCACTAGAATCCCATTGAGCAGTACCTTAACAATGGTCTCGAATTGTTCTGGTATGCATCTGAAAACCCTTCTAGCCTCTATGCATTATTCAGTTCCAAAACTGCTTCTGTGTTTTTAGATATTTGTTACAGCAGCACCCCACTTCTAGGTACCAATTTCTGTCTTAGCTCTGGGTACTATAAAAATACCATAGACTGGCCCGGTGCGGTGGCTCACGCCTGTAATCCCAGCACTTTGGGAGGCCGAGGTGGGCGGATCACGAGGTCAGGAGATCGAGAGCATCCTGGCTAATAGGGTGAAACCCCGTCTCTACTAAAAATACAAAAAATTATCCGGGCGTGGTGGCAGGCGCCTGTAGTACTAGTTGCTTGGGAGGCTGAGGCAGGAGAATGGCATGAACCTGGGAGGTGGAGCTTGCAGTGAGCTGAGATCGTGCCACTCAACTCCAGCCTGGGCAACAGAGTGAGACTCCGTATCAAAAAAAAAAAACTATAGACTGGGTGGCTCAAACAGCCAAATATTTAATATATATATATATCTTTTATATATAATATATATATCTAGTGTCTCTCTATATACATATATATACACATATATATACAGCAAGGTGCTGTCAGTTTCCATTCTTGGTAAGCGCCTCTGCCTAGCTTGCAGACAGCCACCTGTATCCTGATCTGTCTGCTTGTAGTTGTAGCCTCACATGGTGGAGATGGGAGGACCTCTTTTTAAAAGGGCACTAATCCCATCATAGGGGTTCCATTCTTGTGATCTCATCTAAAACTAATTTTCTCCCAAGGACTTCACCTTCTAGTAGCACCACATTGGGGGTTAGGGCTTCAATGTATAAATTTTGAGGGGACGTAAACCCTTTGTTTCAATCCATAACAGAAAATGATGGCTATTGATGTTGGAACTCAGCATTGACTTTGCCTATATAAATGCAACATCGTTAATGAACGGTTCTCAATGGACAGAAGTCTCTACTTGGGCAAAGTGGTATAACAGCAGCAAGTACTATTTAAAACTGATTTGACTGGAAGGAAATGGTTTATAAATGGGATTTCTAATGCAAGTTGCTGTTTTGGCTCTGAGTATGGAATCTAAGCATTGCAATCTCAAATAGAGCCCCACCTTGTGGTTAGTAGAGGAAGCTGCTCATCTCAGGAAATGAGTGGTTAGCTTTCTATTCTTTAATAGTGTGGGCTGAAGTAGATGTTTTCTTGATTTTTAAAAGCATATGTTTTTTGAATTTTATTATTATTAATTATCTTCACGTGGATACATAGCTGATAAGCAGTGCTTGATTTTATGACCCTTTAGCTTTGCCATTTGTTTCCCATATGCCCTCTTAGAATGTCCTTGGTATACAGTCCCCTCACCTGTATGTTATTTCTGGTCACTTTTTTACTCTCAGATGACTCCAACTAATCAATTACTGAGCTGAATTTGGCTCAGGGAGTATTTGCCTTTCAATAATGATAGCCTCTTGATAAAGTAAATGCCTTTAGGACCCTAGGGAATGACTCAAAATAGTGTGTGCTGGACATTTTGGTGTAAGGTGGGAGAAATATTTTGGACGGAAAGAAAATCAGGAAGAGAGGTGCCAGACTTATTTAAATCTAACTCAATCTATACTATCTTTATAGGAAATTAAAAATATAATACAATTTAATTAATTATGAGCATAGTCTATTTTTTGTTTCCTTTAATTATTGCAACTAACACATTTTCTCTTTTGCCAATAAAGGAAAACAAAAATATTTCACTCCAAAATATACTTCAGTGACATATTTCAAGAGGGTTATTCAGAGGGCCTACGGACAGGAATAGCCCTGAAAAGCTGCCTTTTGTGGAAGAAATTTGCATCTGTAGAGAAAAATCCACGTTAGTGAAATAAATACCCAGACTTTCTCTGAGGCCCTCCCCCTTATCCAGATCTAGAAAAGATGTACTCAACCACAAACTACCATCTCTTTTTTTCTGAGAGCTGCTGTCTGTGAGGTTTCATGTACACAACAAGCCCACCTTTGCCCCATGCCTTTCTTTCTCCCTCCTATAACCGTCTTGCTACACTCCAAGCCCATGTTTATTCTATAATCTCAAGATGGTGTAATGGCGTTAACCACCTGGCCCTTTCTTTGAGTTTTCACATTTTGTATTACTTCCATGCACATGTGTGTGCAATAATAAATTTTGTTTGGCTTTTCTCCTAATAATGGGCTGTTTGTCAGCTGATTTTCAGTGAGCCTTCAGAAGGCGAAGGGGAAGTTTCCCCTTGGCTTCTGCAGTTTTGTTGTACTGCAGGATACAAAAAGCTCTACAGTTTTGTTGTAGAGCAGGATAACCAAAACCACTCTGCTCCTCTGGATGTCACATCAAGGGAACCCAGGATCTGACACGCCAGCCGTAGGGTAAGAATATCTTCCCAGTCAGATTCCCAGGTGTCTTTCACGAATCCTGTTGAGAGGTCGGTAAAAATCACTATCTCTTTTTCCTTTTTCAAATTAAGATTAATGGGAGAAAAGCATTTACAGTAGTCTTAGATGAAGCAACTCTAGTTTATTTTTTAGTGTAAATATTCATATGTTTGGTCCTTGTGCTCTTAAAAGTAATGGTAAAACCTGCAATTACTCTTGCACCAACCTAATATCTCAAACTTCTCAAAGTTTAAGAGTGACTCTAGGACACCTTCTTCCATTTGCTATGCCTCTCCTTTTGCCACCTTCAGTCTCCCATCTAGTTTCCTTAAGTGATTGATACGTTCCCCTTCAAGACGATAATTCCTCCATTTGGTAGTCACTGGATGAAAAACTGAAGAAAGAAAATAAGAGAGTTTCAATTACCACATAAACAGATCTAAAAGATATGCTAGTGACTCTGGGACCCCTTGAGGAATAAAGCCAACGTGCCAGTTTTCATGTGCGTCTGTGTGAAGAGACCACCAAACAGGCTTTGTGTGAGCAACATGGCTGTTTATTTCACCTGTGTGCAGGTGGGCTGAGTCCGAAAAGAGAGTCAGCGAAGGGAGAATAAGGGTGGGGCCGTTTTATAGGATTTGGGTAGGTAAAGGAAAATTACAAAGGGGGTTTGTTCTCTGGCGGGCAGGAGTGGGGGGGTCACAAGGTGCTCAGTGGGGGTGCTTTTTGAGCCAGGATGAGCTAGGAAAAGGACTTTCACAAGGTAGTGTCATCACTTAAGGCAAGGACCGACCATTTACACTTCTTTTGTGGTGGAATGTCATCAGTTAAGGTGGGGCAGGGCATATTCACTTCTTTTGTGATTCTTCAGTTACTTCAGGCCATCTGGGCTTATACGTGCAAGTCACAGGGGATGCAATGGCTTGGCTTGGGCTCAGAGGCCTGACACCAGTGACCCCTTTTGGGGCCGCCTTTCTTTCTCATGGAGTCCTGAGAGTTATGAGTTGATTTGGCCCTATTCGTTAATGGATGTTGCCCTGAAATCAATGACCCAGTTAAGAAATTGAAACTAATTTTAAAAGCCACCTATTCAACTAAATCCGTCTCCAAAGTACATATTTATGGCATTTCACTGGCTCTTTAAAAGCTCTTTGTGAAAGAAATTTCTATCTGTAAAGAAAACCTCCATTTGCAAGGGCACCTTCCTCTCCGTATCTAAACCATGAGAAACTTTTACAATGAGAAAGGCAAGTTTACATAACAAACCTTACTTTTATTTAATGTACTTTTCCTGGCTATCTTTCCTTTTCTGTGCATTTACCTAAGCCCCTCTTTGTCTTGGTGGATAATTATGTTTAGATCTATGTTTTGTGTCTTTGAGATATAAATTTTTTACCTTGTTCCACCTAAGAGTCATTCCTTTAGAAGTACAAATTTGGGGTTGCCTACCTGTTTTCTTAGGGGAGTAAAATGAGTAATCACAAGATTGATCTGAATTGGGGAAAGCAAAACTATCGGGAAGCCAGCAAATGAAGAATCTTAATGAAAGCTATAAGATCTGCTTCTGTCTTTGTGTCTGTCTATATGTCAATGTGTATTATGTGTATATGATATTGCTATGTGATCTGAGATAATCTTTGGAAAGTAAAGCTAGTTTAAAAACTGTTGGTAAAATAAAATAGGAAAGTCTTCAGAATTGTCAGTACTAAATATAGTTTAGACGTTTTTGCCTGGATCTACTTTCAGATAGGTATATGCTGTCTCTGCTACATGTTTTAACATCATACGACTGCTGCTTTTATAGTATTTTTTGTACTTGCTTGATTTGCCTGTATGCTAAAGCAATAAGGGCTGGCTTCTGGGCTCACCGGAAGCTTTGCACACATCTTACTGTGAACTTACGTTTCTGATTTTTGGTCTCTGGATTCTGGGGTCTGGGTAGGTGGCCATAAGCAGGCCTGGGGACATATGTGTGCCTGCAGCACCTGGGCTACCAGCTACCATCTTCAGAGCTCTGTCCTCTGTCCTGGGCTCTACCTCTGATATATAAATCTAGGACCCAAATAGGTGCTATCCTTCATAGTCTCTTTGGTGCCACATGGTACACAGGACTCAGGACAACTGGGGAAGTCATGGGGTAGTGTGGTATCTGTGTTATAGTTTCAAAATTATTTTTAGTAATTTAAAATCTTAAAGTCATGTTGTATTAGTCCATTTTCATGCTGCTGATAAAGAGATACCTGAGACTGGGTAATTTACAGAGAAAAAAGGGTTTAATGGACTTACAATTCCATGTGGCTGGAGAGGCCTCACAATCATGGCAGAAGGCAAGGAGGAGCAAGTCATGTCTTACATGGATGGCAACAGGCAAAGAGAGAGCTTGTGATCTTTTGAAACCATCAGATCTCATGAGACTTATTCACTGTCAAAAGAATAGCACAGGAAAGACCTACCCCAATAATTCTATTACCTGCCATTGGGTCCCTCCCACAACATGTAGGAATTGAAGATGAGATTTGGGTGGGGACACAGCCAAACCATATATGTTTAATTAAGTAATAGATAATTATATGTCTAAGTCATTTCTAAGTAAGTTAAACTATGAAAACATTAATTATTAAATATAAGTTTATTTACTTTGACATCTTATTTTGCTAAGGTATAGAAACACTAAATATAATTAGAGCTGTTAATAAACAAAAAATTGAGAAAGAATATCTTTCTAAAAATTATAAAATGGCTTTCACCTTTAAATACTGATATAAAACAGTCCAAAATTACTCATTTCCTAGGTTTCGCTAGAAATTAGCATTATTGAGTTAAGATTAAATATATATAATTATATATATGAGAATATATATAATTATATATGAGAATATATATAATTAAATATATGAGAATATATATAATTATATATATGAGAATATATATAATTATATATATGAGAATATATATAATTAAAACTAATGAAATAAGAAATAATTCCATATGCAAAGTGTACGAGAAAAGTAAGGTATGTTTTTGGTGAGGAAAGTTACAGAGGCACGAAGATTGTGTTTATTGAGAATGAAATAATTATGTCTAGTTTATGGGTTATTTAAAGATTCTAAAGGACAACATGATATTGATAAAACTAAATAACAGTTTCTGACAGCCCCAGGAACCTCAAGAGATTTTGGGGGTCTTCAGCTAAAGAGGAGTTCACCCATCTCTCTTCTTTTTCTTTTCTTTTTTTTTTTGAGTCAGGGTCTTGCTCTGTTATTCAAGCTGGAATGCAGTGGCACAATCACAACTCACTGAAGCCTTGGCTTGTGTGCTCAAGTGGTCCTCCCACTTCAACTTTCTGAGTAGCTGGGACTGCAGGTGTGTGTCACCACACCTTGCTATTTTTAAATTTTTCTGTAGAGACGAGGTCTTGCTATGTTGCCTAGACTGAGTTCACTCATTTCATAAAAGTGTTACAGACACAGTATTTGGCTTTGCTTGTAAGCCTCAAGAGATTTTTAAAAGTTAAATCCAAAATTCCTTATTAAAAAATTCCAGCAAAGCCAGCTTAAAAACAGCCTATATAGCAATCACTGTTCTTTCTATACTTTATGCAAATAGGCCAAGTGTAATAAAACTAAACTTATTTTGTACATAAATTGGTCTTACTATGATTTCTCTTTGTTAGAAATGGGGTACTGGAGACAGGAAAACTATGTTTCAGAACGATACCTATAGTTCATCTGTTATTAGGTTCTGGATCTTTTTTTTTTGAGATTTTATTATTTACCTGCAATATAAACGAAATCCTAAATTTCTAGTTTCCTCAAATATATGACTGTGACTCTGTAGACTAACATTTCCAATTTTTCTTTCTCTCCTCTAACCTAGAATCACTAGAAATTAAAACTGTGCTTTCCTTAAAGCCCTGCAAATCGAAACTAGACAACTTGATAAAAACTTCAGAAGAAATCACTACAGCTATCTATCTTTTTCTTTTTTCTTTTCTTTTTTTTTTTTTTTTTGAGATGTAGTTTTGCCCTTGTTGCTCAGTCTGGAGTGCAATAGTGCCATCTCAGCTCACCACAACCTCCGTCTCCCAGGTTCAAGTGATTCTCCTGCCTCAGCCTCCCGGATTAGCTGGGATTAAAGGCATGCACCATCACGCCTGGCTAATTTTGTATTTTTAGTAGAGACAGGGTTTCTCCATGTTGGTCAGGCTGGTCTCAAACTCCCAGCCTCGAGCTATCCGCATGCCTCAGCCTCCCAAAGTGCTGGGATTACAGGCATGAGCCACTGTGCCCAGACATAGCTGTCTGTCTGTCTGTCTGTCTATCTATCTATCTATCTATCTATATTTGGCCTTCATGCCTGTTGATGTATGGACTACTCAGAAGGTTCACTAGAACATATGATTTGAACTACAATCTACAAAAATCTGTCCGATTGCCATGCCTGCCCAATCCAACTGAAGGTGTTTTAGAGACTTGAGAAAAACTAGTTTATAGACTACTCTAGACATTAACCTTAGTTTTTCCTTTGTTTCCATAGACATACCTCTTACTAACAGACATCTTACTTACAAGCATATTACTTACAAACATCTGTTTGCCTGTATCATATGTAGAGACTTGGCTTTGAGATCCCATCTGCAATGCCACCTCCTGGAATGGGGCACAAGTGTTTAACTGAACCGACTTATAAGAGACTGATTCAAGAAGGTATCAGCTGCTTGGTCTAATGTATGCTTTTTCCCCTTCCCCTTTGCCAGTCTCTTATCTCACAACCTCTGACCCAAACCTCTTCATAGCTACCAACCCCATTTTAATATGTGAAACTTTCTAAACACGAAGTTTCAAATGGGGGGACTAAAGAAAACCAAAAATGTTTTGTACCAAAATATACTTCTTGAACATATTTTGAGATGGTTATTCAGAGGGCGTGTAGACAGGAATAGCCCTGAAAAGCTGCCTTTTGTGGAGATTTGCATCTGTAGAGAAAAAAACCACATTAGTAAAATAATAAATCCAGGCTTTCTCTACGGCCCTCTCCCTTACCCGGATCTAGAAAAGATTAACTCAGCCACAGGATACCATTTATTCTTTCTGAGAGTTGCTAGTTGGGAGATTTTAACTATATAATAAGATTGCCTTTGCCCCACGCTTTTGTTTCTCTCTCCTTCCCATTACCAGTCTTGGCATGCTCCAGCCCCCTAACCTCATGGCATGAAAGCATCAACCAGCTGGCCTTTTCTTTGAGATTTTACATTTTTTATGACTCCCATGCACATGTGTGTGCATTAATAAATTTTGTTTGGCTTCTCTTCTGTTAGTCTGCCTTTTGCTAGTTGATTTTCAGTGAACCTGTAGGGGGCAAAGGGGAAGTTTTCCCTTGGTCCCTGTAGCAAGGGACAACTGCATGAGCAGTCTTAGAGATATCCAAACATGATCATAAAAGCACCAGTAAGAGGGGAAAATAAAGTCATTTTGGCATTGGCATTTGCAAATAAAAATATTATTAAAGACAATAAAATTTTTTTCATGATAGCTTATGTATTTTCAACAGTAATCCTTTGTTTTTAATGAGATGACTTTGTTTTGATTTTGTATTTTATCATTTTTATTGTTTTATGTTGTTGTTACTGTGTATTATTGCTTTTGAAGATTCTGAATCCTGTATTATTTGGGTAGAATTTATCATCAAAAGCTAATTGCTCTTATTAGAAATGCACTGTTGTATTTTGCTTTGGGAAGGAATACTTTAATAAGGCTCTGCAAATTTTTGAAGACAGTTTACTTCCAGCCACTCAAAATGTGTTGTCACATTTCTGACCTCCTCTGACAGGATTAAAACCTTTACACAGATAAAATAAATAGAAATATGCCTCTCTTCTTGAATAATTTGCATTTTAATTAACAAATAATTGTTTTCTGATTATAAAAATAATGCAACTTAATTTGTTATAGAAACTGAAAAACAGAACAACACACACATACAAAGTAAAAATCCTCTATAATAGTACTACCCAGAAAGAATCACTGTTAATATTTTGGTATACATCTGGTGAGTGTCAAACACAATTATTTAGAACACTAATATTCTCTTAGTACATACTTTTTAGTGGTTGCAAATAATTTAAAAATATAAATGGATCAACTTTCTTTAGCAGTTTCTATTTTTGTACATTATCTTGTTTTAGTTTATTTTTTCAGACCTCAAGAATACACTTGTTTTAGCTTTTATAAATACTTTCATATAAAAATATGAATGTTTATGGCTTTTAAGCTCTAACTTTTTCTTAGAATACATTCTTAGAAGTGCAAATGTTGGGTCAAAGAGTACATGAATTTTTATTCTTTGATACATGTTGAGTAACGATGTTATAGAAAATGTGTTAACATTTTGCACACTCACTTGCAATATTTAAGAAAGTACATTTTCTAACACCTTCCATAATCCTGGGTATTGTCATTAAAAAGAAAGTGAGAGAGAAAGAGCAACTTGCAGTTAGATAGACAAATAATGAAGTTATTAGTAAGGATGGGCAGAGTTTTCATAAGTTTATTTGGCAAATGCATTTTTCTTTCAGTTCTTTGCCCCTTTTCTGTTGTGTTTAATCTTTTCTTATTGTTTGATTTTTTTTTTTTTAGCTATTAAGAATAGTAATTCTTGTACACTGTTGGTGGGAATGCAGATTCCCAATAGGCATTATGAAAAACAGTATGGAGGTTTCTAGAGAAATGAAAAACAGAACTACTATATGACTTAGCAGTCCCTTTTGTAGGCATGTTCCCAAACAAAATGAAATCACCACCTCATAAAGATATCCGCCCTACCATGTTGATTGCAACATTATTGGCAATAGCTAAAACATAAAAAAACCTAAGTGTATGTCAATAGACAAATGGATAAAGAAACGATGGTATGTATATACGATGGAATATTATTCAGCTCTAAAAAGAATGAGATCTTGCCATTTGCCACAATGTGATGAACCTGAAGGATATTATGCTAAATGAAATAAGCCAGACTGAGGGATAAATATCACATGATCTCATTCATCTGTGGATCTAAAAAATAAAAATTCAAATATATAGAGACAGAGAACAAAAGAGTGATTACTTTGGATGGGGAAGAAATGGGGAGATGTAAGTCAGAGGATACAAAGTAGCAGATATATAGGATGAGCACATCTAGAGATCTAATATGCAACATGACTGTAGTTAATAAAATTGTACTGTATTTGGAATTTATGCTAAAAGAATAGATTTTAGCTGCCCTTGCCATAAAAGCAAACAAACAAAAATAGGTAACTATGTGCGATGATGAATATGTTAATTTGTTTCATTAATTTGCTTCATTAACATATTCATCATCACACATAGTTACCTGTTTTTTTCCTGTGTATCCCATAGCGTCATGTTATATATCTTAAATATATTAATACAATTTATTTTAAAAAATAGTTACTGTCATATATATTACAAATACAGCTTCCAGTTTAACTTTATTTTTGCTTTATTTGCCTATATGTAGCATATATATATATATATATATATATATATATATATATATATATATTTTTTTTTTTTTTTTTTTTTTTTTTTTTTGAGACAAGAGTTTCACTCTGTCACCCAGGCTGGAGTGCAATGGCCCAATCTCGGCTCACTGCAATCTCTGCCTCCCATGTTCAAGAGATTCTCCTGCTTCGGCCTCCTGAGTAGTTGGGACTACAGGCATGTGCCACCATGCCTGGCTAATTTTTTTGTATTTTTAGTAGAGATGAGGTTTCACCACATCAGTCGGGCTGGTCTCGACTTCCTGACCTCAAGTGATCTGCCTGCCTCAGCCTCCCAAAGTGTTGGGATTAGAGGAGTGAGCCACTGTGCCAGGCCTATTTTTTCTTTAACATGATGCATCCATTTTTTCTTATTTCTTCTTTGCCATTGAGTTTGAATATTTTCATTCTACCTGAGGCCAGAGTTTTCTCTTGGAAATTCCGGGCCCGAGCCAGTAAATAGGGCAGCATTTTTGGCTTGTGAAAGTAGGTGAGTAGAGACACTGCACTGACCTTTCATGGTTCATAACCTGGATCCAAAGGGGTTATGTCTCATCTCCACACTTTGACATAGTGTTAAAAAAAATCAGTGCCTCATGGTTTTTCATTAAGCTATTTTAATAGTCCTTAATGTTTTTGCCAAGAATTTCATGCCAAGTCTAAAAAATGTAGGATAATCATGTGTTGGAGAGAACATATACTTTGGAGTCAGATAAACACACCTGAGCTGGAATTTTAGTTATTCTACTTACTAGCTGGTGATCTTGGGTAACTTATGGAAATTTGCAGTCACAATTTCTTTCTCTGAGAAAGGGGATTGATAATACTTGACTCATCAGGTAATCATGATGTATTAGCATGCATTTTTCTCCTTCCTTTCTCTTTTCTTTCTTTCCTTCCTCCTCTCTGCCTTCCCTCTTGCCCTGCCTTTTCTCTGTATTTCTGTTGCATTAGTAAATGAGTGACTAATAACTTTAGTCTTAGAAGTTATTCAGTAGATGAAAGTTTCTCACTAATCTTTTAGATAATAATAATATCTCAGGTTTCTATTTGAAATTCTTTTCAGTGCATCCAAGATTATATATCTTTGATTTTTCAGAATTAATGTATTACCTTTCTCTTACACTCATTGAAGTAAATAAGTTGGCATTTTATTCCTGTCACCTTGGCTTATTCATACTCCAAAGATCTTTGTTTATCTGCAAATGTGAGGCTTTTCGAGCATTCACTGTTCATGTAATTTATAAAAGCGTTAAATACAGAACCCATCAGTATCCTGGAGAGATGCTGCTCAGATATTGTCTTTTGTCCAGGGCAATTATTATTTTTCTGAAACTAAGTAAGCAGAGAGTATTAGAGACTCTTTCTGGGGTATCTTCTCAACTCACAAATGATTTTTAAACTGCCTTTTTGCCCTACAGGGAGGGACCCCCAGCAGCCATATTTGCACTGTGTGATTCCTTCCCTTCTGGCCATTGCCGATTGGACCAGAATAGGTTGATCAGATGGTATCTTCTGGAGTGAAAGAACTGGAACTAAGGATTTTTAACTTTCTTTAGTTTGGCCTTTCAAATGGAGGCAAAGTAAACCTAGGGTTGGGAAGTGGCCATCGTGCATATTTATGTAGCCTGAGAAACAGCAGGATGGGAATGCTAGGAGATGAAACATGCTAAAATAAGGGGCTCAGCCTTCTGGAGGCTTCTGAGGCCTTGATTCTTGTCTCTTTTGGAGGCCAGATTACATTTCTGCGTTTGGAGTTCATGAGCTATATCTTCATCATTGTGATACATTCTCATTTTTCTTAATGTAGCCTTAATTAGCTTCCCTCACATACAGTTGAAGCGAACTTTACCTTTTTTCTTTTAGCTCAAATATGTAATATTTGGTAAGTCTTTATCTGTCTCCTATTAGCTCTCCATATTTTACTTCTAGAAAATACTCCTAAATGGAATTTCTCTTTCTCCCATTTGCCACAAACCACTCTTTCCATTTACAATGATTCTATAAAACAAAACAGAACCATTTGTACACAAGATAGAACATGTCCAATTTGGATTTGACTCCCAAGAACATTAATCTTACTATTAATCTTTTGATTAATGTCTAAAATTAATCTTTTGACATTCTATTGGTATATAGTTGAACCAAACTATTTTCATATCTGCTTTTAAAAAAGGGCATAGGAAGGAAGGCAAAATCTTGGAGATTGCTTATATTTGGTTCTCCTTGTATGGCTTCCTGTTCATGTTTTCTAAGCCCATTTTGCACACTTGTGCTTTTCATAACCATAGGAACTATACTTAGATTTACATTGTCTGATGCTTGCCAAGTCCAGGTTCAGTTCTTTGAGAATTGTTAGTCCTATTTTGAAGCATCCTATAACTTTGCTGCTCTGATCATAGCTTTTTAAACTAATGGACTCTTGACTCAAACTGGATATATTTGGATTCTTTCTCCGAGGGATTTAATATGATACAATAGGGATGTTTGTTAGTTGGAGTTGGGTGTTAAAGCTGAAAGGTCATATCAAACTGGGGCTCTGTACCTAGGGCAGTTGTGATCCACTAGCATCTTGGAGCTAGGCATGCCTGTATTCATAGAAAGAATATTTTAAAAGACTGTACATAGAGAAGCTGAGATGAGCTATGCTGTATAATAAAGAATTTGGTCTCTGTCTCAGGTTCCTGGCACATATCTTCTAAAGCTCTTGGAATTTCCCAAGTGATAGAGTTGTTGAGTCCTTTGGTTCACACCTGAGTTTATGCTAATTAGATGACTCAAGATCAGTTCTCCAATCACTTTAGATGGGGGCTGGATACCAGAAAGACCAATAACATGATTAAAAGGTGACTCCTTTGAGGCAGTCTGACCTCTGGGGAGGGGAGAAAGACTGGAGATTGAGTTGAATCACATGGCCAATAATTTAATCAATCATGCCTACATAATGAAACCCCAATTAAAACTCTGGACACCAAGTCTCAGGAGAGGTTCCTGACAAATGAACACATCAATGTGATGGGAGGTTGACCTGTTCTGTCTATGGGAAGAGAACATGCATGCTCTGTGTTGGGGACCCTCCCAGGCCTTGCCCTGTGTGTCTCTTCATTTGGCTGGTCCTGATCTGTATCCTTTATAATAATAAAACTTTAATCATAAGTAGAGCACTTTCCTAAGATCTGTGACTTGGTCTAGAAAATTATCAAACCTGAGGCATTTGTGAGAACCCCCAAATCTGTAGTCAGTCAAAGTGCAGGCAGCCTGGGGAACCCTGATGTTCAGCTGGAGTCTCAAGTGAGAGTAGTCTTGTGGAAGACTGAGCCCTTAACTTGTGGGGTCTTTGCTAACTCCAGGTAGTTAGTGCCAGAATAAAAACTGCAGCATACCAGTTGGTGCCGTAGAAACTATAATATAGGTCTAGAGAATCAGAAAGAGAAATTTCAAGTTCTAATGTTCCGACTTCAGTGTAGAAATTAACTTCTACAATAAAACTCTCCAAATAAAGATTTTTTGAGGAAAACATTATTTTCCTACTCTACTGTCTTATAAAGCTTCAATCATGGCAGAGTTTACAGGTCTCTAATTTTTCTCCAATTCATATTTCGACCTTAAAGTCTTAGTGGTTCTTTGTCTAAGCCCAAATTAATCACACTGTTAGAACATGAGGGCAGGAATGGACCCACAAGATCATTTGGCTAATTCCTTATGTTTTCACAAATGAGGAATCTAAGAAATAGAGAAGTGAAACATCTGGCATAGGATCATATTAATAATTACTGGTAAAATCTGGATTCAAATTATCTTTCTTATTTTCTAATTCAACAAATGTAATTTCACTTTTCAGCAACATCTATTGACTAAAGCTTTATTTTTTTCAGTGTTATAAATGAAAGCAAACTTTGCTGTCATGAATTTTTTATAGAAAAGGATATGGCTGTGAGTTGACACTGAATCTCACCAGGGAAGCTCCTTCCCATGTGAGGCTGCCTCACCAGTGTCTGCCTTTGGGGCCTGGTGTTTGGGTAATAACTGCTTTTAATAAATGAATTCTTAATATAAATTGAACTCACTTCTTTTCCATGACTTTGCTTTTTTGGTTGACTTTATTTCTTGGTGAATCTTTGCAAACATTCATTTTCTGTGAGTCAAAATATCTATTTTGCTATTTTTTCTCTGCTGTCTATGGATATCCTGAAAAAGGAGAGATTTTATTTTATTTTTTGGTATAAGGCACTGAGGTATACTTTACACGGTAAAATTCACTCTTTTAGGTGTATGGTTCATTGAGTTTTGACACACATATACAGTTTTGTAATGCCACATCAATCAAGTTATAGAATAGTTCCATTACCCACAAACGTTCCCTTGTGTCCTTTGTAGTGTATACTACCTTCCTACCCCAATTTTTAGATAAACAAAAATAGACTTTATTCCAAAATTACCAAAGGAATGTCGGAGGACATAATTCAGAAATCAAGAAATATCTAGGATGTTCATTATTATTTCTATTTTTAATTTCTTTCATAACTTTAAACACATTTAGTTTATAAACTCAAATAGTTGTATCATGCCTAATCTTTAGGTTGTGAAGTTTTCCCTTTTTTTGGTATGCTGTCTCCTCCTCATGGTGATGCATTTCCCTGTGTAATTTGCAATTTTCTATTGTGAGTTCATCTTTTCCCTGTTGTTTCTATTGTGTTGCCAGTGTCTGAGTCACCAGTGATCTGAAAGCACCCCTTGAAAGTGGTATTATTTACTTCTGTCAGTACTGTAGATGTTTCATCAGTTCCATAGATGTTTCATCAGTTCCAGACCAGTTTTCTTATGCTAGTTTCTTGGCTTAAAATTTCTGCCCCATGAAGGAAGTGTAACTTTGATTCTACATCCACATGTAGGGCAAACATGGGTTGCTAAATTGCTTTAAGACAACTTTCTATTTTCCCATCCTGAAGGCAAGTTTCCTTGACACTTTGCCTCCATGGGGACAGAATCTTTCTAGTTTCTTTAGTTTCATGAATTGGCTGCTTGGACCTAGTTTCTGGCTCTCTGCAAGAGTCCTGGTTCTAACATCACTCTCTCCACCCTGAGCCTGATTCAGCCAAGATACTAACATTCAAGCTGTCATCCTCTAGATCCTACATTTGGGTCCAATATCACTCTGCACTGTCAGAGCATCAGATAAAGCTAATACTTTTAAGCCATGTCTAGAACCTTTGTCTTAATAGTTGATAATGGGAAGTTGTCCCATATTGGCTCATTCTAACATGTATTTAGATGTGTCCTTGATAGTTTTTCTTCAGGGAATCTTATTTTCTAAGTAGTTTTTGCCAATTTTTTAAACATTTTACTCCTTCTTTCATATATATTTGATTGCCAATATAAAATAATCTGCTGTTTTTACCTGTTTTTAACTTGTCTCTGTGGATTGACATACAATTCTGGCTGGTTAGTTATCAGTTACAGACAGTTTTAATTTCTTCACATTTTCATGTAGATTAAAAGGGGTTAGGCCTAATATTGGGCTCCTTCATTTTCTCTTGCATTTTATAAATTGCAGAATATCTATTTGCCAGAGATTCTCTTTTGATCTTTGCTTTTATTTGTTGCTTTCCCTCCTGCCTGCCTATGCAGGCAGTGAAATGTATTAATTTTAGATTAATATTACTGCAGTGAAATGTATTCCTCAAAGATTACTGCTGAAGTTAATTTGTGTACAGTCATTACTTAATCTTCAGCATGGTCTATGTGCTCTCTGATTTAGTGCAGTCCACATTCTATTGTTGCATCTTACATGATGCCTGCAAATACTTTTATGCTTTCATTATATTAGAGATTGCAGACTTTTAAAAAATTTACCTCTAGTGTTCCCATAAGATGGTCACACTGTAGAACGGAATTCACTTTTTTGTTTAATTTTAGCTGTCAGTGGAGAACCAGGCAATTGACACACTACTGAAAAGAAAAGAGAATTAGAACAACTTGCCTGGAGTTAAAGTCCCTTAGTTAATGGATAAGTCACCAACACACAGTTCTTTAATAGGCAGAAATTTCAAGTCACACTGCAGACCATTTATATTTCTATCCTGTGTTGTATCCATATTTCATGTAAAATATGAAGCTAAGTTGGCAGAGATTCGTGTATCCACACTGAAGGTCCATGTTTGGCAAAAGACTATACCGATGGCATGCATGCTTTAATTGATGCCATGAAATAGCCCTTTACAATTGGTACTGTTATTCTAGGGCTGCTTTTTCTCTTTATACAAGGTGGGACCATGCTTTCCAAATAAAACTCAGCATTCACTGACTTATAGAATTGTAGTTTTGAGAACCACGCTCAAACATTGTCAAAAAATTCTAGGGCATGTACCTTTTAAAATGATCTGTTGTGTTCTTTTCACTTTCCATTCTCTTTTGGTGCATGCTGCTGCTACTGTTTGCTGTTAAATGGTTGCTGGTTTCACTTCAGATGGGTGCAGGTTTGAGTTAACGAAGGTAAAAGCTAGGTCATTTGAGAACAATATGACTTTTCTGAAAGCTAAATCATAGAGAAACTGCCAGATATAAAAACAGATAAACTATACATTTAAAAACTCATTTTAATAAAAACATATTATGATAAAAAGATAATTCCAGTCTGTTTGATTCTAGAGTCTATTCTCTTAATTATATTGTTAAGCAACAAAATGGGGAAGGAAGCAAACTTAAGTTGAACTTTCTGAGCCTGAGTTTCATTTTCTATGAAATAAGGATAGTAATATCTCATTGAATTGCTGTGGGGACTAAATTAGATAATGTATGTAAAATGCAAAAGACAATCTATAAATGTTTACTTCTCTCCTGCCGTCCATCTAGCTCAAACTTGCACTAGAGGTGATTAGGTATTTAGAGTTCAAATAACTGAGTTGTGATGTCAGCAAAATCAAAATTAAGCAGACTGAATTTCCAGATGTGTCCAAATGTCAATGAAACCAATATTTAAGCAGAGATCTACTGGACTGCGCTGTAACTCCATAAGCCTTGAATAATTGAGGATTGACTGTAAACTGAGGATCTGTGTTCTGCATTATGACCTTGCATTAACAGAGACTAAACAATTGAAGGTTTGGAGGTAAGTGAAATAGCCTGGTGCCTGTAATATTTCAGGAGGAAATGCAACAATATAACAAGCAACACAAGTACTGATATTAATTGAGAAAGGTCTCATTTATCTCTCTGGAAAATTTCTCCCTTCAAATGCCACTTATCACGAGAGTGTGGATTCTCTGATGTATTTTAGTGATCACTCAGTTATCTTCAGTACTTGCTCTCCACCCTGGTCTTATAATACAGACTTTTCTGCGTTTTCAGTTGTTCCAGGCTCTAGTCACATCTCAGTTATGTGCAATAATAGTCATTGTGGAGTTGCTGCAAATCAAAATTTCCCAGGTAATACCAAGTCTCATTTAACTTCCAGAGCCATCCATCACCAAACATTTTATTGGAGAACCAAAAAGGGTGGAGTAGGGGAGCTGAGTGAATTTCTGAGTCTGCTGGAGTTGATAACTGTAAGTGTCATGGCCCCAGTATTACTAGCCATAGATAGAGATAATTTAAAAAATCATCCCTGTAACCCTAGGTACTGATTATCTATTGCTACATAGCAAGCCGCCTTGAAACACATGGCTTAAAATAACAATTTATTTTTATATCTCACAGTTCTGTGGCTTAACTGGTCTCAGCTTGGCATCTCTCTTGTAGTTGAAGTCAAATAGAGGCTAGGGCTACATTCGTCTAAAGGTTCAGTTGAGTTGGAATGTGGCATGGCTGGCAGTTGATGATGACTGTTTCCTAGGAGTTCTGCTGGAGCTACATGCCTGAACACCAACCAATAACCTTTTCATGTGGCTGAGACCTTTCATATGGCCACAGTCCTCAGAGACAGCATCCCAAGAGTGATCCTTTTAAGAGGCTCAGGTAGAAATTGCAAGGTGTTTTTACAGTCTTTTCAGAGGTTGGAGTGTCACTTCTGTCATATTCTGCTGGTTCAACAAGCCAGTAAAGCCAAGCCCAGAGTAAGGTAATAAGACTCCACTTCTTGATGAGGAAATGTCAAAGTCATATTGCGGAACAGCGTATTAGATAGGAGATACTATGGTGATCATCTTTGGAAGGTGCAATCTGCCACATCCAGTTCTTCTGTTCCAGATGCCAACAGAGCTCACCTGTATCCAGAACACTCCTGGGCTCTGGCTGGTTTAAATACTTTCTGCATTTACTGGTCAACTCAGAATAATTTATAATTAGTAAGATGTATAGAAGAAATCAGAAAGTATCAATTTTCATAACATATCATGATTCTTTCACAAATCAGACATTCTTGCATTCTTATTCTTGTTGCCAGTGTTTTGCTCCATATGACATTCACAATTCTGTATTCATGTGTACTTTGGCCACTGAAATCCTGTTGTCCTCTTTACCTCTGCGTTGACCTTTTTGTGTTTCAGATGCTTGACTTGCTCTTGATCCCTGGTACCCAAGACTTTCATCACCTCTGCTTTCAAAGTTTGGCCTCCAGGCCTTTGAACTACCTCTAATAACTGTTTTTTTTTTTTTTTTTTTTTTTGAGAGGAGTCTCGCTCTGTCTCCCAGGCTGGAGTGCAGTGGTGCAATCTTGGCTCACTGCAAACTCTGCTCCCGGGTTCACGTCATTCTCCCACCTCAGCCTCCTGAGTAGCTGGGACTACGGGTGCCCGCCACCACGCCTGGCTAATTTTTTGTATTTTTAGTAGAGACGGAGTTTCACCATTCACAGGATGGTCTCGATCTCCTGACCTCATGATGTGCCCGCCTCGGCCTCCCAAAGTGCTGGGATTACAGGCATGAGCCACCGCGCCCGGCAATAACTGTTAGCTTAGCTTCCGTAGCTGCTGCCTTTACCACTTGACGTACAGATAATTGATGCGAATGCAGAGGAAACCTGAATGTTTGGCTTTCCTATCTTGACCCCACTTCTACCCAGTCCTTTTTAGGTTTTAATTTTATTAACTTGCTCCCATTGGTGTCTCCTTCCCATCAGGATGGAGGTATATTTATGCCTAAAATCTGAATTTTTCCCCTTCACGGTGAAAAACAAAGATTCCCTGCCACATGCCTTTCGTATAAGAGCCCTAAGACTTAGTGTTTTCAGTCTTCAACATCTCCTATATTATTAGGCTATTATTCTCTCTGAAGGCTATTTCTGTACTTTAATTCAGGAGGTATATTTGCTCTAGTCTCAGTCATTTAGTATGTTTTTGCAGGGATTCAGCAAAAGCCTCTTCTATTCATTTAACATATTGAAGGAAATACTTTTAAAAAGGAAGATAGGGGAAAACCCAAGAGTTTGAATAAGTGTTTTAATGGACTGAAAATAACTGATACAAATGGAACATAATTGGATTAAATGATAAGAATCCCTAACCTGTATCGATCACTCATGGGTCTCTAATTTTGGCAAGCGATGATAGTTAAAATGCATTGGTAATTGGTAATAGGAGACTAGATTATTTTTCCTAGGAACTGAAAATCGTGTAGAATATATCTTTTCCAATTTTGGAAAATTGGAAACATTTCAAGTTGTGGGTAACAGTTTTCTTGACGTTATTTCAACTCCTAAATTCAATCTGAAAGTTTTTTATTAATCATTTATCATGTCTTAGGCCACTGTAGGTGTGTGTGACTATGTGGGTAAGGGACATCGTTAATAGATTGACAATCCTTGCCCTCAATGATTTTCAGCTCAATAGAAGAGATAACACACTCACCCAAATAGCCAGCATACAATCCCTGTGTGATGTTTGTTATTGAGAAGTGTATTTTTTGTTATGTGCTCTTGGATTTGTGCCTTGAGAAATAGGCTTTAATGTGCCAGGGGGTACTGGGGAGTTAAAAGGGCATTCTAAGTGGAAAATCCAGCTGGGATAAAAGTAACAGAGGCAGGCCCTCACAGCTTTTTTAGGGAAATAATGATTAGATGAGTTTTAACAGCACATGTGATATATAGTGGGGGAAGTAATGGGCTGTAAGATTACAGAGATAAGTTTGAGCCATTTGGTGATGACTTTGAATGGCTTAAATGAGAGCATCTGTATTATTCAGTAGGCCATAAGGGTACATTTCCCTACTAATTTATAGGGCATCTTTGCAATATACCATATGATACATAGATATATCTGTTTCTGAGTTTTCTATTTCATTGGTACATTTTTTCCATTTGTGCATCAACATCACACTGTTTTAATTACTAAAGATTAGTAATGTCTTTATATGAACTTGTTTTTTCATATATGAGACATTATCTTATTTCTTGAATATGGGATAAAATGTACCTATAAAATTGTGGGAGGTTAGGGTGTTCTTTTGGTAGATATTGAAAAAAATTAATCAGTTTTTCTAGGTTTATTTGGGAATTCCATTTTTATTGAGCCAATTTTTGTGTTTTTATGCTTTTCCAGAAAATTATTCATTTTATCTAACTTTAAAAATTATTGGCATATTCTTATTCATATTCTTATCAATTATGGAATTGCTTGATTAGGGAAGTCACATCTTCAGTTTTACTAGATAGTGACTTTTCAAGTCTTTGTACTAATCTGAGTAGTTATCTTCAAGAATATTATTTCCCCATCATATCTTTGATTCTATTTATATGGCACTATTTTTGCTATTGTTTGAGCCTCTCTATCTGTCTTTGTCTCTGTCTCTGTTTCTCTCTCTCTATCCATATAGACACAGATATCTTAAAATCCCTTTATT
Organism: Homo sapiens; assembly: GCF_000001405.40. NCBI lineage: Eukaryota > Metazoa > Chordata > Mammalia > Primates > Hominidae > Homo > Homo sapiens. The sequence goes on from NC_000003.12 coordinate 25,876,721, forward strand.
TCTGTGCTACATTCTGAGTGAATTCCTTAGACTGCCTTCCAATTTATTAATTATTTTTCTCTTTGGGCTGGACTAGCACTTTATTTTGTCTATCTTTTTAAAAACTTTAATGTTTATAAGTTTAATTTTACTAATATGTATTTATCATTATCTGTTCTTTATTACTGACTGCTTTGGATTTAGACCTCTTATTTATTTTATGAGTGTTATTTCTTTATCTTCTTGAGGGTATTAACTTTTTTGGCATAAATCCATAATCTGATTCATAGACTGTCTTAACTGTAATTTCATTTATGTGTCTTGGTTTTAAGGGTTTTCTGGCTCATCGTATATTGAAGATTGTCTCTTTCTCTGTATAATTTATCCCCGTTTAGCAGTTTTGAGGTTGCACCCACCTGCCTCCTGCCTGACCACCTGGCCTTTGATCCAGGACCATGTCTCATACTGGTGCTTTCTTGCTCTTGTCCCTCAGTGATAATTGGGCTATTGCAGAATCAGTCACAGAGTCAGGGGATGGCTTGGCTCAGTATCTTGTCGCAAGGTGCTGTGTGTGTCCATCTGCCTCATTAGGCATGAGGTTTGTGTAAGTAGCAGCTACAGGCAATGGTTGGCAGCATATATTCTTCCTCCTCTTAGGAGCAGAGGAGTCCAACTCCAGCCTCTTCCCAACACAGCCAAATTCCCAGAATCCTCTGCCTACTTATGTATGCAAAGGACCACAGGCCTTGCTGGGTCCTGCTCATTACTGAATATTTTGGTGCCCTTGCTTCTTGGAGTTGCTTATCTCAATTTTAAATGCAGTCATATGTTTTGGTCATCTTTTAAAAATGTTATTTATCATTGTTATATGTTCAAAACACACAAAGTCCTCAAAACATAAACTCAAGCATAACTAATTTTAAAAACTAAAATCTTTCCAAATAATTTAAGGTTAACTCACATTTATTTATTTATTTTTGTAGAGATGTGGTCTCACTGTGTTGCCCAGGGTGAACTTGAACTCCTGGGCTCAAGTGATCCTCCCATCTTGGCCTCCCAAAGTGCTGGGGACATGAGCCACTAACATTTATTTTGAATAGCAGATTTTCATCCTTCCGTTCTTATTTGTCTTTCTGTGGTGATTAAGATGTCTAGTATTATAGCTACTTATTCAGTTTTATCTTTGTGTTTTCTTTTTATGTTGATATTTGTGTTTGCTTCACTTGCCCACATAATGTAATGTTGAATGGCACAAACATGTGACTTAGGCCCAAGAATCATTTCAACACTATAGTTCTAGTCCCAAGGAAATTATTGCTGGTTTTATCAAGAAAAAAATTGTGAAGATTTCTTTTGTAAATTTAAGGTAGCACTCAGTTCACTCAGAGCCATTGCTATTTGCATTATGTTTTTGTTTTAGATTTTATAATGGAAAACTTGAATATTCAGTCTACAGCCCACATCACAACATATTAATGAGAATTAGATAAGGAAATGTACGCTACAACACTTTGTAAATTTTAAAGCCACATGAGTTAATTATTATCTGTTTTAAGCAAATTATTCTGTTTCAATTTATACATAAAGGCTATTTTAACAGATTTTGTTCTGTAGAACAAAAATTCTGTTTCCAAGTAATAGAAAAGTGTATGAATTATCCTGTTTTGCATTTTAATACTATCATTAAAGCTTAATTGACAATTGTTAATGTTTTATTAAACAATGAAGTAGGCAATCATAAACTCAAGACTGTGGGTACTCATCGTCTCAAAATTAATAGCCCTTAGGATGGAAGGACTGCATATTTCAACAATTTTTGCAACAATACAATGGAAGTATGCTAGAACCATAAGGGACCTTAAGGTTGAGCATCCATCAACTAAATCAATTTTGCTTTGATTAGGCCAATCCAACCAGTGGTAATTTTCATCAAAATTTAAATTGCTGAAATGGACCCAAAGGAGTTTTGACCTTGATCTTAATACTATGGTTATTTAGATTCAGTATAACTCAGGTAGAACTTTCCAGAACCTAGTTAGAATACTGCTGTACTTGGAGTCAGTATACAGGCATGTCTTTGGGTATTAAACCTACCATGTAATGAACTTCTGGGCACTTTCTTAGCTAAAACTTTTTAGAAGGGGCCTGTGATAGACCAACTTAATGAAAATATCTGCTCCTTAGAGCTCTCATTGCAGCAAAATCATGGCTTGTTATTAGATTTACCTTTTTTGTATTGGACTTGAAGACAGATATGATTCCTATAAAATGCTTATGTTTTTGTGAACTGTTGCATGATCTCAGCCATATATTAGAGGTTTGTTTATAGTGAGATAGAAAGCAGGCTTCAAATTTCTGTGTTCTCTTATGGTCATGTTTGTAGACTTTTGTAGAATGATTAAATAATGTCCTTTCCCACTTTTTAGACTTGTGAAATTTTGGATGTCTTTTACTAGTGAAAGGAATTCTACAGTTTTCCATGACTTGTCTTGTTATTTAAATCCTCTGTTCTCATACACTATAATGCCTGTGATGACATAATGTAATGACTGTGATGACAATTTTGCATGCTACTTCATAGCTCAGAAAGTCTGCTAAATAGTATGTGTTCAGTGCCTCTTAGTTATTATCACTAATTGGGAGTGGAAGGGAAGCAGTGGTCTAGAGAAATCAAACAGCAATTAGTTTTTATTTGTATTGTGGTAAAATATACGTAATGCAAAATGTATCACTGTAACCATTTTTATGTGTTCAATTCACTGGCATTAAATACATTCATGATGTTGTGCCATCATAACCACTATTCATTTCTAAAGTTTTTCATCATCCTCAATAGAAACTCTGTGCCCATTAAATAATAACTACCAATTCCCTTTTCCCCTCAGCCACTGCTAACCTGTATTTTACATTCTGCCTCTATGAGTTTGACTATTCTAGATACCACACATAAGTGGAACCACACAATATTTGTTTTTTTGTGTGTGTGTCTGCTTGCATTTCGCATAATGTTTTCAAGGTTCACCCAAATTGTAGCATGTATTAGAATTTCATTCCTTTTTAAGGCTGAATATTCTATTGTGTGTGTGTGTGTGTGTGTGTGTGTATAACATTTTTATATATATATAAATATATATAAATTATATATACACACACACACCACATTTTGTTTATTCATTCATTTGTTGAAGGACACTTGGGCTGTTTCCACCTTTTGACTGTTGTGAATAATGCTGCAATGAACATTGTCTTACAAGTATCTGTTTGAGTCTCTACTTTCAATTCTTTTGGGTATATATACAGAAGTGACATTATTGGATTACATGGCAGTTCTTTTTTTCTTACTGAAGCTGGCCTAGAGAGATAATTCTATGTTAACTTTTTGAGGAACCGACAAACTGTTTTCCACAGTGGCTGCACCATTTTACATTCTCACTATCAATGCACAAAGGTTCCACTTTCTCCATATCCTCATCAACACTTGTTATTTTCTGGTGTGTGTGTATTTTTTTGTTTTTGATGGTAGCCATCTTAATGGATAAGTGGTATCTCATTGTGGTTATACTTTCCCTAATGACTAGTGATGTTGAGCATCTTTTCATGTGGCCATTGACCATTTGTATACCTTATTTGGAGAAATATCTATTCAAGTTCTTTGCCTTTTTTCTGAGATGGACAATTCGTTTTTAATAAATTACCTTGAATTTGGACTGTATGTTGGGATCCTTTTGTCTGTAGAATTATCTTGTTGACCAAATGACATAATACATATAGAAATAATGATGTTGAATTTGATGAATAATGATGTTAAATTTCTTACCTAAAATTTGAAAAAAAAATTTGTTATTTGTTATTCAGTTCTGATAGAAAGCCTGGTTGTCAGATATGTTTCTGTTTTATTGATAATGGTTTAGAGACAATCAACTTAGATCAGACAGTATCACTGCTTAGTGCAATTGGTATGTCCACAAATAATTGCATATAATATTAATTTTTGTCACTAGAATTATGTCTAAAGAATTCTCTATTTAGACATAAAATTACTTACTAATTTATTTGTTGTAGATCTGGAATTTTATACATTAATTTTGTTCTCAGTGGAACATGTCTATGATAAAATTTCCTTCTCTGATTCAATAAGAATAACAATAAGTATGCAGAGGCTTTGGACATAGAATCTCTGTTCCAGGCACTAATGAGATCTTCAAAAAAAGTATAAGATTTGATTTTAGGTCTCACAGAATTTAAGAATTTCAGTTTGTGTTAGATCCTATGATCAGAGACTGTGAAAGAACTTCAGAAGATAATGACAGTGATGAGATTGGGAGCCTGTGTCTTGAACCTACAGGACATCTGAATCCCCCTTGGGGGTCTTCTTGGTATCTGAGGAATGTGCCTCTTAGACATAATTGGTGAATATGGAAAGCTGGTCTGAGACTAATATAGATTGTGTTTAAATCTAGAGCAAGAGAACACTGTTTGCTCTGCTGGCAGGATACATCAACATCCTTGGCCCGCAGACTGCTTAAATGAAAATTTAAGCCAACATGTAAAATCTAGCATATTTCAGCATACATTTTTTTGTTTTTTTTTTTTTTTGGTTTCTTTTGAAACATCAGAAGATCTGGACACACTAGGCCTTCATTTCTTCACCTTTTAGATCTGTGTTGTTCAACAAGGTAGCCACTAAGCCCATGTGGATATTTTATATTTACATTTAAGTGAATGAACCTTAAATATAACTAAAAATTCAGCTACTTATTCACATTAGCAATAGTCACATGTGGCTATCGTATTGGACCGTGCAGATACAGAACATGACCATTTCTGCAGAAAGTTTTCTTGGATGCACTGCCTTGGATGGTGCATGTACTTCTCATTTGCCTCAGTCATCACTAATCCCCAGTTTCTTACATCCATCCATTTTCTCATTTATATTACTTGCTGTCCTTGTTATTTGAATACCTGACCCCCAATCTAAAGGAACTGTGTAGGATGGTATAAGCAGATAGAGCCTGAATTACTGTGTCTGAAAAGGCAGCAGACGTTTCTTGTAATTTGTCAAAGCAAGGCCTTCTCAGTTGTTACAACTTTGGACGCCAGGGAGCTTGTATTAGTTTCCTATTGTTATTGTAACAAATTACCGCAAACTTGTGGCTTAGCACAAATTCATTATCTTACAGTTCTGGAGGTCAGAAGTCTGAAAGGCATCTCACTAGGCAGAAACCAGAGTGATGGCAGAGGAGAGTTCCTTCTGGAGGTCTAGGAGAGCATCCATATCCTTTCCTTTTCCAGCTTCTAAGGCTGCCCACATTCAGTGCTCCTGACCCTTTTCCATCTTGAAAGCCAGCAATGACAGGTCAAGATATTCTCACACTGCATCACTTTGACACTGACTCTTCTTCTATATTCTTCTTTCACTTGTAAGGACCCTTGGATTTACGTTAGACCCACCCTGATAATCCAGGGAAATCTCCCGATCTCAAGATCCTTAATTTAATCATATCTGCAAAGTCCCATTTGCCATGTGAAATGACACAGTCCCAGATTCTAGGGGTTAGGACATGGGCATCTTTGGGGGCTCATTACTCTGCCTACCATAGAGCTCTTGGCCTTAATTGTTCTATCCAGTCCCACATCTGCTGGATGACTTGAACAAGATTTAAATTGAATGAGAAGTATACCCTATACTACATGCCTAATGCTGTCTCATTAAAACTTTTTTTCACTGCTTTTGTCGGAACTAGATAAATGGCATGTCTATCATCAGCATTTTAGAAGGATAACTTATTTTACAGACAGTGCCTTACTTAGTATACAGATGCTAAAATATTTTGGGATTATTTTCTGTCTCAGAGAATGGTCATGCAAAACAACACCATTGCTGTAAAATGTGGCGTTAGAGCCATTGCAGCACACGGAATGGCAGAGGCACTTGAGGCAGGCACACTGAAGTCAGAAGATACAAAGTTCAAGGTTGAGGGGTGTCAACCTGTTTGGCTGTGTGAGTTTGCAAGTCATTTGTCTTATATTTATCTCCATGACAGAACATTTTTTTTCAGCATAGATTTATTAATTTTTTTTTTTTTTTTTTTGAGACGGAGTCTTATTCTGTCACTCAGGCTGGAAGGCAGTGGCATGATCTCGGCTCACTGCAACCTTTGCCTCCTGGGTTCGAGGGATTCTCCTGCCTCAGCCTCCAGAGTAGCTGGGATTACAGGCCTGCACCACCACGCCTGGCTAATTTTTGTATTTTTAGTAGAGACAGGGTTTCACCATGTTGGCCAGGCTGCTCTAGAATTCCTGACCTCAGGTGATCCACCCCGCCCTTGGCCTCCCAAGGTGCTCGGATTACAGGCGTGAGCCACCAGTTTATTAATACATTTTATTGTGAAAGTTCTCTACATTTATCTTGGGAAATTTCCATTTACTGTATATTTGGCCTATGAATGACTTAGAAGGTTATGAGAGAGAGGAGTGAGAAAGGCTAAATCACTTGACTAATATAAACTGAGGCAAAAATAACCCATTGATAATTGCTGATGTCTTCTTAAATTTCTGCATGCACTTTTCTGAATTTATCATGAATTTGACTCAAATGTGTGTCAACCTTTAATAGTATTAATTCCTTCATATGACAGAAAATTTTTTAAAAACTGCTGTTACATTGTTATAAAGGGCAAACAGTTGCTTCTAGAAGTGAAATGTTGATCCAGATGGCAGAAGGCAGAAAGAGAAGAGGTTTGGGGGAACGGGTGAGAAGAGAGGTGAGCCAATGCAGCCAAACATTTTTGTAGAGTTTCAGGAGAGAGGGAAAATACATTTTTGAGCAGTTGCCATGATGATTGGTTCTATGTGTCAATTTGACTAGCCTACAGTGCCCAGTTATTTAACAAAACATTAATCTACCTGTCTCTGTGAAGGTATTTAGTAGATAAGTTTAACATCTACAACCAGTTGACTTTAAGTAAATATTACTCTTGATGATGTGGGTGGGCCTCATCCAATCAGTGGAAGGCCTTAGGAGCCTCCTCCAGCTGAAGTTTCCTGAAGAAGAAGAAATTCTGCCTTAAGACTGCAGCTTCTACTTCAAAACTGCCTGAGTTTCCAGACTGCTGGCTTGCCTTTGCCAGCCCCTACAATTGCGTGAGCTAATTCCTTAAATCTCTCTCTCCCTCTCTCACTACATTTTGTCTCTTCTATTGGTTCTGTGTTTCTGGAAAACCCTGGATAATACAGCTACCAAGAGGTCTTTAGGGAGAAATGGGAATGGAGTGGTTTTGAGGAAGTTTTTTTTCTGGGATTTGTGAAGGTTTGGACTTCCAAAGTCAGACTTGAGTTTTTCTTTTTAATATGATGGCTTCCATGCTTTAAATTTCAAGGAGAAAGGTCTGGGGTCTTAGTCTCTAAATTTCTGCTCCAGAGAGTCTCAGCTTTCTTCTCAAAATGAAGTTGAGAACCAACATCATCTACTCCCACACTCAGGCTGGACGTTGAGAACTGAAACCACTCCTTAATGTCTATACTAATGTCACTTTGATATTCCACTGTTTCTATCAAAAGACTATTTTTCTAGGAATCTCTTTCCAGGCAAATGGCTTGATTATTTATTATGGGAACTGTTCTCACGCTTCTAATAAAGACATTCCCGGAGAGTGGGTAATTTATAAAGGAAAGAGGTTTAATGGACACGCAGTTCCACATGGCTGGGAAGGCTTCACAATCATGACAGAAGGCAAATGAGGAGCAAAGTCATGCCTTACCTGGCGGCAATCAAGAGGGCTTGTGTAGGGGAACTCCCTTTCATAAACCCATCAGATCTCATGAGATTTATTCACTATCATGAGAACAGCATGGGAAAGACCCGCCCCCATCATTCATTACCTCCCACTGGGTCCCTCTCATGACACATGGGAATTATGGCAGCTACAATGCAAGATGAGATTTGGGTGGGCACACAGCCAAACCATATCAGGAACTTTCCAAAAGTGCCATCAACTCTTCAGTGGAAAGCATCAGTAGATAGTTTGTACCTTAAGATTCTTTTAAATCCCTCATATTTCATAGTTCTCCTTTGCTGTTTTTACCAATCCTGGACTGTTTTATTGTGTTCCTTACCTAACCCTAATCAAGTTCCCACATTGAAAGACCTATTTGAAACCAAACTTCCAATTCTCAATAAATTCTGACCTTGCTTTGCTCTGACGAGCCCCCTATCCTGACACTGTCAGAGCTCTATGGGGGGTGATTTTCTCCCTTACCATAGTGAGCAATGAGTTCAGTTTTATCTTATCAACAGGTGTGCTGGTTTTATTGCGGGAGCCAGTATTCCTCAGATGGGATGAGATATTGAACCAGTTAATCCCAGACCTTTTGCCTGTAGCCATGATCACTTTCTCATTCATTCTGTGTTCCTACAGGCTCATAAATTGTAGATTTCTGTCCTTTAATAAGTAGCCTTTGTCCTATACTCTAGCGCCTTTGTTACTACCCTCAGGGCAAAAAGGCTAGTGAGCATATATAGCTCACTCTGTTTAAGAGATGCATATGTTCTCTTCATTTATCTTGCTCTTTGATGGGTATACAAGCCCTGGAAAGGCTTCTTAGCCCCAGTACTAGGTAAGTAAATTGATTTAACTCAGGGGTAGGTAATAGGAAATTTGATTTCATCCTCAGGTGTAAGCAGTAACCTCTAATCCAGTTTTGCCAGCAATAAAGCTGACATTTTGACTCCTGCCTAACTCCTGTAGCTTTTTCTTAATTATTTTATAATATATAGAGGGAAGATATGTGCTTGATAGTATTGTTATTTGTTATAGCACAGATCCAGCCTGTCAGTAATACTTGTTCCCCCGACTTAGCCCACCTTGCACCATCGAATCTGTGACATGAAGCTATAATTGTCAACACAGGTGCAGCTGTTAAGCTATTTACAGCTGGGATGGTCAGGAAAAATCTCATCGAAGAGGTGATTTAGTTAATGTTGAAGGAATTTATATTGGCAGGAGTGAGCTGATTGGCAGTTCAGGAGGGCTCCGATGGGAATGATGGTGAGTCACTCGGGGCCCTGGGCCATGAGCACAGGAATGTTCAGTTAAAGGAATAGTCAAGTCTGAGTGCTGTGAAAAGGTTTTTGTTTTGGCATAGTGGAAATTAAGGCAGGAAAAGTAGCTGGAGGCCAGATTTAGCTGGTGTTAGCATTTTAATAATGGAAGGCATGATTTTGAAGGATAACATATTGATTAATCAAATTGGAAATAATTCCTCAATCCTGCAAGTAGGAGGCAATTTAAAAGTAATTATTTCCAGAATCTTTGATCATTTCATTTGTTTTTTTTGTCTTTAGTTAGTTGCCCATGGAAGGTAGGATGCACGCACACACACACACACACACACACACACACACACACACACACCCTCGGTAGACTATTAGAAGTGCTTGGAGCTTTTCATCTAATGCTCATTGGCTTTCACACCCAGTAAAGCTGACTTGTGGTTGTCTCCAACAGATATTTGAGAAGAGGTAAAAAAAAAAAAATACAGTAATTAGACTGTGAAACCAAATACCATTGTATCAAATTCAGTGTTTCATTGTGGTTCTGAGTCATGGTCACACCAACAAAATGAATCAAAAGGATAGGATTATGATATACCATTAAAGGATTAACATTTCAACATTTCATAAAGTAGGCACAGAGTATTTTCTTAGTATGCCATCAACTTGCTTATTTTCTACAAACCTTGCATAACAAGATATCTATTTTTTAAACTTTGAAATAAATTATTGATTTGCCAAATTTGCAGTTTGCTAGGGCAGGGCTAGGCAAATTTGCCTAAGGATGCCAAGTACCTTCTGATAGGAAAAAGACTGAGATTCTGGTTAAAAGATAATTCTCAGAGTTAAAATCGTGACTCTTACAGATATAAAAATGAACACTCGTTAGGGCCGGGTGCTGTGGCTGACGCCTGTAATCCCAGCACTTTGGGAGGTCGAGGTGGGCAGATCATGAGGTCAGGAGATCGAGACCATCCTGGCTAACAGGGTGAAACCCCGTCTGCTAAAAAATACAAAAAATTAGCCGGGTGTGGTGGCCGGTGCCTGTAGTCCCAGCTACTTGAGAGGCTGAGGCAGGAGAATGGCGTGAACCCAGGAGGCAGAGCTTGCAGTGAGCCGAGATCATGCCACTGCACTCCAGCCCTGCGACAGAGTGAGACTCTCTCTCAAAAAAAAACAAAAAACAAAAAACTAACACATGTTAAAGATTTTATTTTACTCATATATGACAGAACCTGTCAGATTTTATATCCAATTCAAAGGGAAAGTCAAAAAGCACAAATTTATATGGATTAAGGGAATTGAATGGCAAGTCAAGGTGAAACTGGTTTTTCTACAGAAGGGAGGGAAGCTAATAGAAAATCTACTGTAATAGAATTTGCATTTCTACTAACTTACAGAGTTATAAAATAGCGTAAAGCAATGAAAGGCTAGACTCTGATAAACTGAAAGGATATGCAATATATAGACAATGTTTGGTACTGCACTGAAACACAAACTTTTTCCTGTATACTTGGGAGTAAAAACAGGGCCAGTGGGAAAGATGGTTCTGGATCTAGGAGTCGGTAGGTTCTAGCCCAGCCTGCTGGGGCAGGCTTGTACCCTGTGAGATAGCTGTAATAGGGCTGGATATTTTCCATTTGCTTCTCCAGAGGCACTTGCTCTCCTCCTCTGCTCTGAGATGCTGACTTTTCTGTATTACATCACTGGGCATCCTTGCCTTCTTTTTTCCAGTTGGCTTCACCAATTGAACTCACCAGCAGGACATGGAAGGATGAAGTTGGGTACCCCTGTGCCTCTAGCTCCCTCTCTGTGGGCTTGGTGCAGGCTAGTTGTATTCTTCAACCAAAGATCACAGCTCTGGTCAATCAGTGTCCTGTCTCTGGTTTCCTGTATCCTCTTCCTTCCCCTAGACCTTCAGGCCTGGGGTGGTAACCACTCTCCACTGTCATTAGCTCTGGAGCATTGGGCTACTCCTTGGATTTCCCTGCATCATGCCCATACCTTTGACAATAGTCCCTTTAAAAACATTTATTTGTTTTAAGACAACTATCTGTTGGGACTTTGACAAATATGGTCAGTAAATTTAGAGATATGAAACGGGAAGCAGTGGAAGCCCAAGCCAATTTTGGCAAGGAGTATGTATGGCTCAGTGCAGTACTGACTAGGGTAGGGTGGGCGGGTGCTGGGGAAAGAACCATTGTATTAGTCTGTTCTCACACTGCTATTAAATATAAAGAACAACCCAAGACTGGGTAATCTGTAAAGAAAAGGGGTTTAATTGACTCACAGTTTCGCAGTCTTAACAGGAAGCATGACTGGGAGACCTCAGGAAACTTACACTCATGGCAGAAGGCGAAGGGAAAGCAAACACTTTCTTCACGTGGTAAGAGAGAGAGTGAGCTAAGGGCAAGTGCTACACACTTTTAAACCATCAGATCTAGTGAGAACTCACTCACTATCATGAGAACAGCATGGGGAAAATCCATCCTCATGATTCAATCATTTCCCACCAGGTCCCTCCACCAACATTGGGAATTACAATTCAACGTGATATTTGGGTAGGGACACAGAGCCAAACCATATCAACCATCTTCTCTCATATCTAGATTACTGAGACCTGGCAGAGACCTCAGCTAGTGACAATGGCAGTGATTAGAATACAAGGTGGAGGCTTTCTCTGGGTGTCCTAGATGTCATGTTTCACAGTTTGGCAGATTTGCAGCTGTTAAAGCAACTTACTTCTGATAGCAGATGTCCTATCTTCCAGTCTTAAGATGGCACACCTGAGTTCCAACGCCTCCAAAAACAGGTTGTAGAACACCTAATTAACGTGCTAGTTATGAGTAAACATCTATTATTTAACATAAAGGGTGTTAGAAATACTTTGTGAATTGGTCAAATGGATGTCTTTAAAGATGTAAGTTTGGCTAAAATGATTGCACAGGTACCTTGCATGAATAGGTTAAATCTGGTGAGCCTAGTCACTTAATTTCAGAATGGTTCCCTAGACACAACATTTAGCTCATCATCAATTCCTGTCCTCCCTCACATTGAATATGGAGGATTCAATTTTCTATCTTTAGAAGATTAGCTGATCCTACTGTCATAATATTATTGCATATACTTCAGAATAAAATGTTCATTCAAGATACTTGTTGGAATTTAAATAAGGACAAAAGGGGGACTTCACTGAGCTTATAGTGACAACTATGTATTAGGAAAACTAGATCATGTTTGCTAACAAATAACCCCTAGAATCTCAGTAGTTAAAACAACACAGTCTTATTTTTTACTCATGCTAAATGCATGAGTAAACTCTGCATTACCATCTGCAGAGAGAGTCCACTCTGCATTACCATCACTCTAAACCCCTGTCCTAATGAGCAACCACTAGTTAGAACATTGGAAGATAGAAAAGAGGAAACACCCTCTGGAGGGTCTCATTTTGGCAAATACAAGGCTACTTTGTGACCAGAAGACAAAGGGTTGAGAGTATTTGGGTAACAGCACTATGACTATCACAAGGTGCTTGACTTTTGTTGTTACTACTTGTAACAAATGTTTATATGCATAGCAGACTGTAACCTGAGACTTACTTTCATTATAGCCTACCACCCAGCAGAGAGGCTGTGGGAGAAAAAAACAAAAAGTCCCCACCCATCTTTAATAAGTAGAAACTATTGGTATTTACCAACAAAGTGTTGAACAATTGTTGAATGGACAAATTGTTAGGTCAGTTTACATCCAGTGAAATACTAAAAGAAGAGAAGAATTCTAAGCAAGGAAGAAGGGCGATGGCTACTGTATTTCAGCTCATGTCATCTGCAGCTTAAATGCTTGTCAGTGATGGTGGGGCACTGAAGCACAAAGATAAAACTCTGAAGGCAATCTAGTAGATTCCTAAGACTATTTTAAGCCTATCTTCCTTCTCTCCCTCCCTTGCTCCCTCGCTCCCCTGCTCCCCACTGCCTGCCTGCCTGCCTGCCTTCCTTCCTGCCTTCTTTTCTTCCTTCTTCCCTGCTTCCCTCCCTCCCTTCCTTCCTTAGCAAGCTGTTTATGCTTAGTAAATATTTCAACATCTTGATTATTCTATAGGATCCCATGGCACCAAAGACAAACAGTGAAATTCCAACATTCTCTCACTTGGCTATACAAGCAGGTGGGATCTTTTAAACAATCCCCTTGACTGTTAAGGATTCTGAAGGCCTATTTGGAAGTTTCTGTCTTTAGTCCCAAAAGTAATGGAATATTCAGAGAAACATCTAAATGAGAGTTAATTTCCAGCAAACAATATCCTGGCATTTACTGCCAATTCACTCTAGCCTAGAGCTAACCATCTGACTTGGAGATGAAACTTTTTTGTGTAATACAATATACAAAAAGCGATCATAGTGTTTTTTCTTGTAGCCATTTAAGTGGTATAGGAAATAGGACTGTTACTTACTTTATAGTAATCATCACATTCTGCCCAGCTTTATCCATAATTTAATAGGCATAAGATTCATCTACTCAAATTATTAAATAATTTAGCAAATTTGTAATTTAGATAAATCACCTTACATTCCCCTATGTAAACAACTAGTTAAAATACACCACATCTAGAAAGAGCTTTTCTCAGAAATATTTTTACTCTATAATGAGTCTTCTGAATATAAAATAAGCGTATTTAAACTTAAAAACAGCTGGCCTTACCTCCATCATGACTAAATATAAGGACTTGTTGAATTACAGCAATTAGTAATTAGTAAAAAGAAATAGAGATCTATGTGTTACTTTGGTGTGAATTTAAAAAAAAGTTGCTTGAGAAGTGGAGATGGCGTAATCTCTATGCATTGAATGTAAACAATAACCCTTTTTTCTTCCTGAATCTCAGAAGCAAAAGTTTAAAAACTTTAGTCATTAGACTTATCTAAAATGTTACTGATACACATGCAATATTTTCTGTTGTATTTTCACAAAGAAAAAATTTCCTAAACATACCATTAAAGCAGGTTATATACTTATATTTATGATTAAGTTGATTCCACTAAGAATCCATTCAATTTTCTTTCTTTTCTGTCCTTGTCATAAGTGGAAATCCTTGAGATATGAGAATGCTAATGGGGAGGCCATGGGTAGGGAAGGAGAGCGTGATTATGGGTTGAAAAGAGTTGGTCAACCTTGAAGTCCTGTTAGCCTTTTCGATTAGCACACTATCCAGTCAAGCTTCCCACAGCTAGGGAATCTTGTAAATTTGACCAAGTTTGTTTTTAGCTTCCTTTCTGACACTTTATTTGCTCTTCCAAGGAGCTTAATACTCCTGATTTTTTTATGCTCTGTCATTTGTCCCTCTTTTGGAGTTTTTTATTTTTTAAGATGACACACAATAATTGTCCAAATTTATAAGGTACCTAGTGATGTTTTCATACATATAATGTACAGTAATCAGGCATCTGCCACCATGCCCAGCTAATTTTTGTATTTGTAGTAGAGACGGGGTTTCACCATGTTTGCCAGGCTAGTCTCGAACTCCTGACCTCAAGTGCCCCGCCCACCTCGGCCTTCCAAAGTGCTGGGATTACAGGCGTGAGCCACTGTGCCTGGCCCACATCTATTCTTTGTTTCATTTTATTACTTTTCAAGATGGCAATGATTCAAATAGATTTTGGATAAAATGTTAGACAACTGATGGGTTACCCTTTACAATGGCACAATGCGTCAAACCAGTGAAAATACCATAGGCTGTAAGCATGCCTCAATAAGTCAGATTCACTGACATCCACTTTTAGAGGCAATAAATGTGAAACTCTCTAGTATGCTTGGCGTATTGGAGGACATTCCACACTGTTAATTTAAAAAATATTTAAAAGTAAACACATCTGGTAACATGGATCCTTCCATTTTTGTTTATATAATATAAAGGTGGTTATCTACACATAGAAAAAAGTCGTTTTATTTCCATCTCTAGAGGTAACATATTTTTAGATAATACTTATAGGTAGGACATTAGAAGGATATTAGAAAATATCTTATTTACCAAAGGTTCTTATTAAGAACGCAGGTTCCGAGGCTCCATCTCAAACCTATTGGAGCTAGTTTCTGGGTAGCATGGCCCAGGAATTTTCATTATATCAGGATTCTTATGTATTCTAGAGTTCAAAACCCTATACTGCTCAGTGGCATGAGGCCTTTGAGCCAATCATTACACTTAGTTTGATTAACTGTTACCTTTAATAGTGAATATGAGCCCATAAGAAAACATGGGAAATCTGAATTTCTTTCAGAGGTACCATCTTTTTTCAAACTCTAATAGTTACAATTTGAATTCTTTTAAAAATACCTTCTGTTTTTCAGAGATATCTATAGATTTCTGCAAGAAGGAAGGTAACAGCTATCAAGAGAAGGACTAGGACAGTGAGGATTTATACCTTTCTGTCTTTCCTCCATTTATTTGTCTCTTAAACACATCATTAATACAAAAACAAGAAAGTAAATAATTCATCAAAATAAATACATATAAATATGTAAATATTAAAAAACCATCTTAGTTTAGGTCTAAGTCATGCCATAAACAGAATGTGTACACTAGGGTCATTGTTCACAATGGGGACTGAACTTGATCACTGTTTAAAAATTATGATCCCTTGGATGGGTGTCCTCCAATGGCTGCCAAACATAGATAAGCAGAAAACCAAGTGTGCATGCTCCAGACTTCTACTCTTGCCTTAACTAAAGCAAGCTTACTTTTATGTTTGCCACATTAGGGGTCCACAAGGAATACATTTGGAACAAGAAAATCAGTGTACTATAAGAAGTCCAGGTGTCAGATTTTAATAGGGATTCAAGTTTAGAAAAGCACATCTAGGTTTTCTTTAAGTGCTTAAAAAGATTAAAGAGCCTGCCTTGTGCTAACAGCAGGGATACTTTTCATTTCTTTTGTTTTAGGGTTGGTAATTTCCACTGGAGTGGAGGGTGGAATTTCACTGTGTGTAACATAGTTAATAGGGAAAAAGGGTTCCTATTTCATAAGCTACTCTGATGGGGGCATTTATCCACTTAGAAAAACCAGATTTACTCACTGAGAAACCCACTGAAGTCATCTGCTCTACACGTGTTCTTGGGCAAGTTCATTATTCATCTTCTGCTGCAGGTTGCTAATTTTTTAAAAAAGCTATTAATTAGGGTCAGGCACGGTGGCTCACACCTGTAATCCCAGCACTTTGGGAGGCCAAGGTGGGCAGATCACAAGGTTGGGAGTTCAAGACCAGCCTGGCCAACACAGTGAAACCCCGTCTCTACTAAAAATACAAAAATTAGCCGGGCATGGCAGTGCGTGCCGGTAGTCTCAGCTAGTTGGGAGACTGAGGCAGGGGAATCATTTGAACCCGGGAGGTGGAGGTTGCAGTGAGCCGAGATTGTGCCACTGCGCTCCAGCCTGGTGACAGACTGAGACTCCATCTAAAAAAAAAGTTATTAATTTCTGCTTTCACCATTTGCACATGGTTTTTGTTATTAGTAATTGATCACAATGACCTGGCAGTCACTTGGTATGCAACAGATGGGCACTGGACTAGGACAGAGATGATGATTATGATTGGCTTGTGATAATAATGAAGTACAAAACTAACTATCTTTTAAAAATAAGTTGAGAAACCCCAGCAAATTTTCATGTGACTAAGTTAGATTTCAGTCTCTAAAGGCAACCTAGTCTAGACCCAAGTTCCAATCACAGGATTCAGTGTAAATTAGATGTCATCTCCTTAGTCTTGTCTCATATCCTCTCTCAGCTTCTCAACTACCCACTTTCATGGACATACCTTAGATATTGACATCAACTATAGTTAAAATCTTAATTTCAAGCATTCCACACTTATTTCAATTTTTCACCCCCATCAGGGCCTTCAATCTAAGGATGCTAAAATACTTTCACTTTACCTCAGCCCCATTATGTTTTTACTTCCTTTGTCACTTCATTTAGATTCCACTTTCCATCATGATAACACTCTGCTGTGTGCCTTCTTAACTGTCTTATTCCTCTCTACAGTTGTATGTTTGGCAAAATCCAACCCTGGTAAATCTCCTTGTTCCCTGTACTTGAGCAACTGAGAAAGACATAACCATGATGACCTAGCTCACTCTAAATATATGACCATGAAGCTCTAGTAGGCTTGGTAAACTTAGGTCATTTCTCCTTTCAACACTCTCCCGTACTTCCATGTGGCTATTTCACACAATACACAGTGGGGATTAGGTTCAGCTGAATGTAACAGAAATCCACTGATGAATCTTCTTACATAAAGCACAAGAAAGTATTTAATGGCTCTTTGAAAGTTCTACAAAGTTGTCAGGGACTCAAGAACCTTCCTTATTTTTTTCTTCTTCCTCTGCCATGCTTATACATGGCTTTTATCCTCAAGGTAACTAATATGGTTGCTGGAGTGTCAGTCTTCATATCTGAGTTCCAAGGAGCAGAAAGAGGAAGGCACGAGACACACGAGGCACCTCTCAGCTGAGGTACTCCCCTTTAAGGAGTCTTCTTGGTAGTATCATACAACTGCATACTTTTTGCCATAATCACACATCGTCAACTCATCACACTTAACTGAAAGGGAGGATAGAACATAAAATCTTTCTCTGTGTAACACAGGGCCAAGCTAAAAATAGGGGTTCTTTTACTAAGGAAGAGAGAGAAAATGGATATAGGACAAATCATTTTTGCTACATGCCTTTTCTTCTCTCCTCAAATTTCAGCATCTCTCCACTGCCTTGCTCTCCACCAAGACCTTGCTTGTTTCTCTGAGAAAATAGAAGCAGTTGGAAGACATTATTCACATACTTCCATCAACAAATTAACTAACTCATCTACTTTCAGCTCCACATTTCCCTTTAGCTATTGTTCCATTTCTCTGCTCCCTTTGAGAATAAACTTCTCAAAAGCATGTCAATTGCCTCTTCTACTTCATTGTCCCCCATTCTCACTAGAATCTAGTATAACCAGGCTTATGTTTTCTGAAACTATATTATCAAGGTCACCAACGACCTTCATGTTGTCAAATCCAATGGTCCTCACTTTACTTGACATGGTTCTCTCATCTTATATGGTTCTCATTTTAGTTGACATAGTTCATCACCTCCTCCTTGAAACTTTTTCATCTCTTGCCACTCAGTATACCCCAGTCTCTTTGTTCTCTGTCCACCTCTCTGGCTACTCAGTTCACATTCTCTTCGCTGAATCCTTTTTATCTTTAATGACCTCTTAACATCTCCACTTGAATGCCTATTAGGCATCTCAAATTTAACATGTGCCAAACTAGAACTCTTTATCTGAATATCCTCATCTTTCAGTCTTTCCCATTTCAGATGATGACAATTCTATTATTACTGTTGCTCTGACCGAAAGCTTTGAAGTCATCATTGTCTTTTCTCTGTTTCAAGTTCTACATCTTGTGTGTAAATCCTATTGGCTCCACCTTCAAAACATAGCCACAGCCTGACCTCTTCTCACTATCTCTGCTGCTAAGGGCCTAGTTCAAGCCTCATCGTTAATCACTGGGAACAGTGTAATTGGACTCTGTGTTCCTGCCCTCTTTCTAGAATTTTCTTTTCAACATACCAGTCAGAGTAACCCTTTAAAAATGTAAATTAAATCCCACCACTCTTCTGGTACAAATTTTCCAATAAATTCTCATCTTAGAATAAACCCCAAACTTCTTAGCTTCTGACCACAACCTACAAGGTCCTACATGATCCAACCCCTGCTACTCCTCTAACCTAATCTTTTCTTCCTGTCCTTATACTTCATTATGCTCCCATCACACAGACCTACATGCTATTTTTCAAACATACCAAATACATTTTTTACTTCAGGGCCTATGCACTTGCAGAATCAGCTCTCGGGAATGCTTTTCCTGCAGTTACGCATAGGAATGTTACTCACTTTATTCAGCTGTTGGCTCATGCATCATCATCCCAGACAACTTGTCCTTACTACTCTAGGTAAAATAGTACTTTCTTTTGCTTTTCAGCCAATTTATCCTGCTTCGCTTTTTGCATGGTCCTTAGTATTACCTGGCAGACTTATTTATATATTTGTTTATTTCTGGCTTCCCCTATTAGAATGCAAAATTCAGTAGAGTAGGGATCTTTTTTTTTTTTTTTTTTTTGAGACAGAGTCTTGCTCTGTCACCCAGGCTGGAGTGCAGTGGCACAATCTTGGCTCACTGCAAGCTCCGCCTCCCAGGTTCATGCCATTCTCCCACCTCAGCCCCCCAGTAGCTGGGACCACAGGCGCCGGCCACCATGCCCGGCCAATATTTTGTATTTTTAGTAGAGACGGGGTTTCACCGTGTTAGCCAGGATGCTCTCGGTCTCCTGACCTTGTGACCGACCCTCCTCGGCTTCCCAAAGTGCTGGGATTACAGGCGTGAGCCACTGCACCCAGCATTTTTTTTTTTTTTAAGTTGGAGTTTCTTCCTTGTTGCCCAGGCTGGAGTGCAATGGCACAATCTTGGCTCACCGCAACCTTCACCTCCCAGGTTCAAGCAATTCTCCTGCCTCAGCCTCCTGAGTAGCTGGGATTACAGGCATATGCCACCATACCCAGCTAATTTTGTATTTTTAGTAGAGATGGGGTTTCTCCATGTTGGTCATGCTGGTCTCGAACTCCTGACCTCAGGTGATCTGCATGCCTCGGCCTCCCAAAGCGCTGGGATTACAGGCATGAGCCACCACATCCAGCCTTTGTTTTCTTTCTTTTCAAAAAAACACAACTCTATATTTCTAACATGTAGAACAGTGCCTGGCATAAAATAGGTGTTAATAAATATCTGTTGAACACTTTACTTAGAGACCAACTTGTACATCCACAGATATGTTAGATACCTCCTGAGTTTCTTGTGAGATAATCTACAGACCAGTTAAGTTTGATCACAAATTAGCTCTTTTAGGGTTGCTTCCCAAATCCTGCCCATACCCTTGGGTGGATTTTCTGGCCTCCCCACTGCCAAGATCCAGGGTAGGGATAAAGGAAGAGGAGTGAGAGTCAGACACTCTGGCTCACAGCCACCTAGTTGAAATCCCTTTGGAATCTCCATGCTCTTCTCAGAATTTTTTCAGAAAAGAAAAGAACATGCATACAAATTGGGAATAGGCTATTTAAGCAGATTTGTCTTTTGACTTCAAGTATTGGATACATTGATTCTTTATTCTTTGAGTACAACAATCTGAACATTCTCATTTTGTGGGACACTACCATGGTGTGAGTCTTGTTGAATGCAGGGTATTACCTCACATCATTGAATCCAAAAAGTCCAATATTCTCTCTCCTTGGAATGGAGGCTGGAGAACGGGCACGTGACTGAGGGCTGGGACTTGAGTCCAGTGTTTCATAGTAACTTTCAATCTGTTAAATGGCACAAAGTTAATGGCACCAGTATTCCACTCTGGCAGCAGACGTGACAGTGCCTGGTGACGAGAAAGCAGCGACATCTAGAGGTGGCAGGTGCACTGTCTTACAGTAGCAGTGGTCTCCTGTGGTCTAACCTCTTCAAGTATTTCGATTCTTTTCCATTTTGCAGGCCTGGTCTTCCACATTTTTGTTGATCTGTGATCTCTTCATGTTTTTCTAGTATATTATCTTTGGATTAATATAACCAGAGTCAGTTTTTATTGCTTGTATTCAAGAACTCTAATTGATATGAAAGGTAAAAAAAAAAATTCCAAACAAAACAAACTATGGTAAAAACATGGTAACTTTTATATTAACTTTCTATCATATGATAATTAATGTACAAAGTATGAATGGTACTATTTTGTTTTTCTTATATTTTAATAGTTGTGATGGTTAATTTTATGTCAGTTTGGCTAGGCCATGGTACCCAGATTTTGGTCAAATTTTATTCCAGATATTTCTGTGTAGGTATTTTCTAACGATGAGATTAATATTGACTCTGGGCAAAGCAGATTACCTTCCAAAATGTGGGTGGGCAATATCCAATCAGTTGAGGCCTTAAGAAAAAGATTGATCTGCTCTAAAGAAAGAGGAAATTCTGCTAGCAGATTGCCTTTGGACTCAAACTGCAACCCTTCTGTGGGTTGAGGGACTGTTAGCCTACCCTGTAGATTTTGGACTTTCCAGGCCTCCAAAACCTTGTGAGCCTATTCCTTAAAATCTCTCTCTCTTCGTGTACACACACACACACACACACACACACACACACACACACACACACACCCTATTCTGTTCTCTGGAGAATCCTGACTAATACAATAGTGAAACAGATTACACTCTGATTGTGTTCCTCATACTAACTAGCTCTTGTAATACTTAACTCTTTGAGGCAATTATGCACCCCCACCCTCTTGCTGGATTCAGGCAAAGATTCTTTTGGGAGAAGGAGCTCCTGATACATCAGTGAGCAGACCCATTTCCACTTCCCAGAGGGTGTAAAGAAGGTCCAATTAGCGATTGGTCAGGGAATGTCAACTTATATGCAGCTACCAGTGATCTCTTAGACTAGCCCTTTCAAGGCTGCGGTGTGGGAGCTACACTCAGGAACAACAACCTCATAAACCAGAGATGTACCTCTGGGGACGCTGTTGCTGGTGGTAAGAGGTTCAGAGTGGTTGCAGTTGGACAAGATCTTGCCAATTCAAGCAATTCTTCTTTTTTTTTTTTTTTTTTTTTTTTTGAGACGCAGTCTCGCTGTATCACCCACGCTGGAGTGCAGTGGCGCCATCTTGGCTCACTGCAAGCTCCGCCTCCCGGGTTCACGCCGTTCTCCTGCCTCAGCCTCCCGCAGCTGGGACTACAGGCGCCCGCTACCGCGCCCAGCTAATTATTTGTATTTTTAGTAGAGACGGGGTTTCACTGTGGTCTCAAGCTCCTGACCTCATGATCTGCCCGCCTCGGCCTCCCAAAGTGTTGGGATTACACGCGTGAGCCACCGCGCCCGGCCCAATTCAAGCAATTCTAATAGGGTCATTGAATCTTTCTGGCTAGTATTGGAAATAAACTAGGGAGGAAACAAAAAAGAAATGGGACTTAAGGCAAGAAGAAACGGACCAGCCTACTTCTTTGCTTCAAACCTGCCTGATGCCATAGGAATTGGAAGTTGAAAGGAAGGAATAAGAGAAAAGCAAGTGAGGAATGATGGGGAACTGGGAGAAATGGTGCCTGGTAGAGGGGGTGAGAAGAGGAACTAGTTTTTGAGGGCATGTGAGACTACTTTTAGGAACTGTGCATGTAAAGACTAGATGGTGCTTGGGGGTCCTACATCATGCAGATGGGAGCAGCAAGCTAATAATGTACTTTGACTAATATTTATTATATTGTAGTTATGTTGATTTGCTGTGAGGCTCAAACAAATGAGATGAGGTAGGTGATGGTGCTGGGTAAACCATAAAATAATGCAAATGCAATTTAATAAAGGATATGTGGGTGTGCAGGAGAAAAACTATTCAAATGAAAGTTGGCACATCATTTTTCCATCCTACCAGCCTGCTCCTTTGCCCAGTTTCCCCTGATTTTAGGTGCTAAAAAGTAAAACCAAAGAGAAGGAAAGAAGGAATAGCAAATCTTATCAGCTCTCACCTAGACTATTGCAATAGTCCTTTCCCCCAGTATTTCCTGGAGTAATCCTTCTAAGGCACATATGCTCTTATCACTTTCCACTAGAAAGTGGAAAGACACTGAGATATGCCACCTAGATCCTCCTTTGAGGAAGAACTTTATGGAGCGTGGTCAGCAGACAGCCTCAGCTCTCCACTCCTTTCATATCTGCCTCAGCTAGAGTCTCTCCCCCTTCCCCCAGTCCAGTCCCAACTTCCCTTCTGACCACACAAGTCACATCCTGAGTGGAAGTAGGAGGACAAGGCCTAGAGGTTTCTACTTGAAGAACTACAACTCTGAAGAGTCCTTCTTGCTTCAGAACTCCTTACTGGGTTGTAGTTCTGAGGCTTTGCTGGGACTGCATCTTAGCTTAACTTCTCTCTCCACCCACTCTTGCTTCCTCCTTTTGTCTTCTCTTCATAGATATTGATCCCTCATAAACATCTGGCACCCCAAACTCTGTCTCAGTACTTGGTTTCAGAGAATGCAGCTTGCATACCATCTTTAATCCTTTTAAGTGATTGCTTCTTGTCTCCACAGAGCTTCCTAAGTAGGAGGACGTGGTCATCTCCTAAATAGACCTGGCACACAGCAGGGGCTCAGTAAATACTTGTTGCCCTTGGTATGCAAAGCCAGAGGATGAATAGGAGAACAATATTCTTTCCTCAGCCCTTCTTTCTTACAATTCCTGCAGTATTGTTTTCTCAATAGAAATAAAAAACATTAAATAGGAATATCTTGTAGACTAGATTATAAGTTACCATGAGTTTTAAAGTTAAAACTTGTGAATTTCAAATTATTTTGGCCCAAGCAGGAAGTTGCTTTAATCTCCGGCCTCAAACCCTGGAGATTAAACCCTGTTGATACTTCTGTGCTGTTAGAAGGACATTCATTAATAATCTGAGAAGTTCTGATTGTCTGCATCCTGACCTACATAGTATAGCATAAAGCATTCTCCACCATCTGCTGTCACCATCTTTGCAGCCAGATCTCCTGCCTTCCTTAATCTACATGCTTTACCCTAGCCATGTGGAACTGTTGTAGATTCCCTTGGAGTGGCCATGTGTTTTGAATATGCCCTAGATCCACCCGCTCATTTTTGTTCTGGTCATTGCATCTTGAATCTTTATTTTTGTTGAGGGTCCAGAACTTTCCTATGCCCTCTCCATGTGGTGTGGGTGAAGATGACTCTTCTTTTGGCTGGAGGAGTGGACTTGTGACCTAGGTCTGCCAGAGTGTCATGTTCCCTTGAACATAGTAACAGGAGATTGTGTGATTCAATTGGACATAGTAAGGCTCAATTTCGGGGCTTTTGTAAAACTAGTAGGAAAGAAGAAACATTTCTTTCTACTAGGGTTAATGAGAGACTGCCATGCAAGCTTAGAGTTGTTGCCAGCCACCTTGCCACCATGAAGGGGATGTCAGCCTCAGTATAGAGTCTACAGAGAGGAAAATGGAGCTGAGAGATAGAGATGCTAGTTTGTAATCTGTTAAATGCGTAGATTTAGACATATGTGAAGGCTGTATAACCCCAGATATTTTTACCTATTTGAGGCTGTACATTTCTATGCGTTTGTGTGTTTGAGTTTGTATATGTATATATGCCTTAAATGACACCTCACCTCTCACTCCTGGACCTGGCGAGCACCTTTGTTTTTTAAGCCTGAGGACAAATCACTTCCCTATTGAACAGGAATTCCTTGGTCAGAGGCTAAATTATTGCCTCCTTTGGTCTCTCATCGCATCTAGCCTATAGCTTCACTGGGGCATGTTTTACTTGCCGTGGTTTTCATCTGTTTACGTCTTCTGTTGCATAGTGATTCTCCTCCACTTCAGAGACTATACATTCTTTATTTTCTTATCTCCAGTGCATCATAGAGTACCTGGCACATGGTAGGTACTTTTTTATATTTGCATAAATGAGTGAAACTAGAAATAAGGGGTGGTCTATTATCTAAGTATAGCTACCCCAAAATACTGGATAAGATGTTTTTTGACTCTACTAATGGGATTATATATGTTTTCACTTGCAAAGAAGCTTTATTTATTGGAAGTATTAGAAATATGATGGTACAAAGTGTAATTTCCAACTGAAATAGGTAGTTTCAAGAATAATGTCCTAGGATGACATGTGGAATGTACTATGGTATTCCCATTGCTGTGCTTTCTGTAGGCAACTTCAGTTCCTTGTTTTTGCAATCATTAGAACTTAACCTTTGTTTTGTACTTTTGTTGTGAAAACCAATTGATTCTCAGCAACAATATTGGAAGCTTCTTTATCCCACCAGGATTTAAGGTAGACTAGAAGATCCAAATCTGCCTTCTTCAAGTGATGCTTGAAGTTTTCACGCATATGGTGGGAAAACAACTGCTTCTCATTAGTTTAGTCTAAAATAAAAGCTGTTTAGTCTTTTGAACATTTTAATGAGTTATTTGCTTGATCGCTTGGGTGAAACATTTCTCTGCAGTTAAGCAAATATATTAGAGGCACGTACAAATCTGTCAAACTTGATGTGTTGACTTTGCTCAGAACTTGGTTATTAATAATTTCTTAATAAGCAGCCCTTTAATCCTCCTGGTTTTGTAGACTGAACCTTTCTGATATCAAAGGATGAAGAGAGAGACATAGTAAACCTTTCTGTAAACATTGAGAGGAAGTTGGTAGGAGGCTCTCTGGCCCTGATGTGGTTTGCAAAATACATCAAAGCCGAGCAGTAAGAAATAATTATAATCAAGAAACTGAAAATGGTGACACAGATATATTTGTCTTTTGGTGGGAATGTTACTCCATCACACCATTTAACAGAATTGTTTGGGAATAGTAGTAAACAGATTTTATTATTAAGAAGAACTAGGAAAATTTTGTCTTTTCACTTTATGACAGGAAGGCAGACCTATAGAGTGGATATTTTCTCTTTTTTCAAAAATTTTACTGTGCTTTTACTGTTATTTGGAATAAACTCACATTCTATAGGTTAAATCACCTACTCTATTTTTAAGGACTGTGAGTTACATATGCATATTTGCTAGTAGGCAAAGTAAATGAAGTTATGATTGTATTACCAAAGTACAAAATTTGCTAAGTAAGATTTGGCTACAGAGAGGATAAGGGATAAAAATAAATATCATCTTGGAATATTTTTAAATGCACAGTGACATTTCAGGAGAAATGTACTTAGTTGCCTATTTTTTGAAAAAGCAAAGATCAGAGAAGTGAAATGTGGGAGTGATTCTATTAATGTTTCTGGTAGATTTTCCTATATTCTTAAAAATCTCAAGTTTCTTTCAGATTCATACACTAATAATTATATAAAGAGGGCAGAGAAAACAGCAATTATTATGATGACTGGATTAAGTACCCTGGCATGAAACAGAGAAAAACAAGCGTATCTGCATATGGGAACATGGCCACATAATGTTTTCAGCAACAGATTTCTATGGAGGATTTTTGGCATGAGTAATAAACATTCATATTGTTGGAATTGCCACATGAGTTATACTGGGGACTATTTTAAGATAAACCGGAACCTGTTAATTATTTCTTGGACTCTATAGTTCTAATTTATGTATTGTAAGATAAGAAGAATGTAAGTTGTTGATGACTTTTCTCTGGAGCATTATTAGTGCAGGTGTTTGTGGTTCTGAAACAATTTGAAAATTAAAAAATTCTGTGTAGCATTTTCAAGTCAGTAGGTGTAGGGTGTATTGATGATTCAAACTAATATATTCTGATTCAATCAATTATAATTGGCAGAAGCAGATTAGAACTCTAAGTAGGATGGGATATTCTTACCATTTTTGACTTCTCTTATCCTCAGAATGTCATGAGGAAAATGTGATAATAATAATAATGCCAATCTCATAGTATGGCTACTGTGAGAATCAGATAAAATTATGTATGTGTAGGGCACTTTGTAAATTACAAGTTACTAAATTGTATCTATACTTATTACCATTTTAAAAACATCGACGTTACTTCTAGCAGACGCTTATGATGCACCGAGCTTCATCCTGTTAGCCCACCTGATTTTAGTGCAGCTTAGGTGGACAGCTCCATGTGAGTTAACAGCATCCCTCATCAAGCACAGGATGTGACCTCTCTCTGCTGCCTTGGAGTGCTTTTTGTGAAAGCGCAGAAGGCTGATCAGTCATATACAGACACAACCTGGAAGCTTGGGGAAGCGAATGCCCTATGAGATAGGCTTGCTCCAAAGGCTGGTGGGAATCAGTGCATAAATGTCTCAGGCTTCTTGTCCTCTGGTGAGACAAATCTGAGATATGGCCCACGCCATTCCCCAGAGGAGCCTCAGTGAGAGTGAGCTGTAGTTGCCCACAGCAATAATCAGCAGATTAACACATGGATTGTACTGTCTTTTCCCTACTCCCTCACTTCTGCTTTCTGGGGCTGCCTCTCTTCAAACCATCTGCACCCAGCCTTTGTCTCAAGCTTTGCTCTCTGGAGGTATTACTCTAGCCTAACTCCCTCTAGACATATTAGCATAGTGCTAAAGAAACAAAAAAACATCAAACTACAGCAAAAATGAGATATTTCAGTAAGCACCCTATGGAGAAAAATTCCTGGCAATGAGTTTTACTACCATACTGAAGGGATTAGGGAACTGCTGTGATAATAGGTACTGTACTCAGGACTTTCAGAACTTCAGAGCTGTTGTTTTCAGTATATTTCAGACCTTTAATTACAGAAGAAAGTCTTGAATGTGGGGAGTGGGAACTCAAATCAGTTCTGTTTGAGTCATTGAATAACACTGTATAAAGTCTGCTGTTATAAAGCACTGTGAAAGGGGCGACCTAAGGAATGAAGAACAAAACATCAAAGGAACAAGAAAGAAGGAAGAATTAAGAATCGTGTGGATAATTGAGTCCCCAAACTTTGCCTGTTTTAGGCTTCCTTCCAATCCAGCATTTATCTTGGGACTGCCGGGTCTTATGTTCCATGAGTGCTGGGAACTCTGTGTATTGTTCCCTCTGTGTCACCTCACACAGCACATGGGACACAGCAGCTGCAGATAAGCAAATTTGGAATAAATGAATAAATTAACTGATTGAATTTCCCTGCTTAGGAGTGTGATGTGAGGGAAAGCCTTAGACCAGAAGGTGGCAGAAGGGGTTCAAGCCTAGGATCTGTCATTAACCTGACACATCAGCTTGCCAGCTCAACAGTCCTGCTGGTGCTGGTTATCCCAACACCGAAACAAAGGCCTTTAATTGGTTTCAGAGTTTTAAGAAAACTTGTTAAGCAACCGGACTTTGAGAGCAAGCAGAAATGGGTGTGAATCAAGACATCCCAAATGGGTGACCTTGTGAAAGTTAGTTTACATTTCTAATCCTAAAGTTTTGAGTTTGTCAAAGGGATACAATGATATCTTCCTCTATGGATTGTTAGGATGCTAACATTTAACATAGATAAAACTTTTCATATATAGTAGTCAATAATGTCTACTATTCCCTGCTATCTTCTTTTATTATTGGATTTCTGTGAGTCTCCATTTATCTGACAAAGAACCCTAGACTGGAGGAAATAGAAGAAAAAGAGTAGGACTGAGTAATTGATAGCTTGGGAAAAACCCTTCCAATATCAAAGAACTATTTATTTTTGTTGTTATATATCCAAATATTATAGATATATTATCAGGAAAGTTGGCATGCATACTAGTAATTTATTTTCTAGAAAAACTAGTATTTTTAAACTTTCTTAAAACTCAGACGTTTTATTTTTGGTCTTCCAGATTTCTATTGCCTCTTTGTTTTTTCATCTTCTCTTTGTTTTCACGGGTATCCTGCTTCCTTCTGTCAGGGGCTTTCTTCTCCTCCTCTTTTTCCCTGAGGACTTGGAGTCTTGCTGCGAGTTGGTAGTACTGTCTTGAGGACTCTGTTCTTGCACCGACCTTTTCTGCCAGTTCCTGAGCTCTCCAGCCCCTTTCATTAGAAGGAGCCAAGCATTCATTTGTTCACTGAGCATTTTATTTTTGTAGCAACTTACTGAATCTTCCAGTTCAGTGGATGCATTCCAGGCCAGAGGCTGCCTAAAGTATTTTTCAACAAATACTGTCCTCCAAACTCTCCTTCCTGGGTGTGAACTTAAAGATTGTTGGATGGGAATGGGCATGCTTGGCAACAGAATGCAGAGGGGAAAACTGGTGAGTTTGGTGAGCTGGAAGCCTGGCTTTACCTGGCTAATATGCCTCAACTGGTGAAGACCCTTTGGTGTTAGAAATCATTCCTCCCCTCCTTCCAAATTAACCCCCAACAAAGAAACAACATTTTTGCTTAGAAGAGTTACTTGTTTCTGTGTCATACTGCAAAAATAGCTGCCATTCTTCATCTCTTTCTATACCCTTCCCTTTGCAATGCGATCCCTTCTCTTTGCAGCTTCTCCCATAAAAAGGTACATTCTGTTTCTCTAAAACTTGAACCTAGGCTGGACTTATGACTTTCCTTGACAAATAGAATGCAGAGAAGTAACTAAGTGTGATTTAGAAGCCTGGCCTCAGGAGGCCGTGTGGTTTCTACTCTTTCTTTGGGAATGCTGCCAGCCATCATGTGAACAAGCCTGGGCAGTCTGATGGAGAATGGGATACCATGTGGGCCAGCAAGGAGTCAACCCAGTTTCCCAGGCAAGGCTTCAGACATGTGAAAGAGCTTAGCCAAGATTAGCCAAGCCTGGGCAAATGAGCAGAACCATCTAGATGGCCTAGAGATTCTTGAGTCCTAATACAGGATTGTTTTAAACCATTAAGTTTTGAGATGATTTGTTATGCAGAAAAATTGAACTGAATTTAGGTTTTACAAACCCACTAATATACACTATGTTAAATTGATAATTTAGATTCCAGGACGGCAATGACAAGCATGGATAATAATAAATACCAGAGCAGAGATGGGGCTAGAGGGCAAAGTTCCAGTATGCAAGGATGTTTCTTCAATGTTGCCTTTATCTGATCTCATTGATGGGCAATTCTTTGAGGACTCAGGCTCTTTAGTGGCTTTCATAGTATAAAGCTTTTGTAATGTCATTATAATGTCATCAAGTACTTTTCCAGCTCAGGAGGTCTCAAACTCTAGGGCTCCACATTCCTTTTCTAGGAGTTTTGTCTGTCCTGGGGTATTGTGAAAGATGGGCACACAGGACAAATCAGGTGATGACTGAACTAATCTTGGGGCATTGCTGTTGGATGAGCAATGTTTATGAGAAGTTTATTGAAAATGTTCTGTTTATACTTCCTATATTACATTAAATTGCATGACTTCAAGGAATTATTTTTCAAAAAATCATTTTTTTTTGTTTCCAAGTAACTAAAGATGTAAGTAAACGATGAAAAGTCAGTTTAACTTTTGTTAACTCAGCATTTAATCTTGTGCTCATTGGCTTACACATGACAACAAAAGGTCTTTAATGCTGAGTCTAAAAATAATTTAAACGAACATGATGTTAGTAATTTCTTTCTGGAAATTCCTTTTTTTCACTTAGCAAATTATTTTCTCTCTACAGAAAGCGAATGCTATATCCAAGGCTTCCTCTCATTTAAAAATTTTGAAGGGAGCTTTTTCCTTAATTAGCTAGAAACATCCAGATTTCATTGGCTTTATCCAGAGGCTGTAAGTCCTCATCACTAGTCAAACTCAAAATATTCAGAACGGAATTTGGTAAACTCAAGAAGAAGTAATCTCTAGATATTTGAAGATATTTCTATATTTATATGTTTCTCCTTCAGGAAATTTTAGGACTACATTAATATTTTTTCATCTAAGGTGACCAGCTTTTCCATTTTTTAATAGGATTGTGAAATAGTCCTTACTTAAGAAGATGTTTGAGATTCAGGAGAGATAAAAACTAGATAGAGAAAAACACTGTTGTGAATCATATGCTTTCGAAAAGGAAAATGTTCAAATTATCACAGTGTTACATGCTGTTTGGCTGGTTGGCTGTGCCAAGATGAGATTGGAACTTTGCCTGTCAGATCCCTTGGCTTCACTGAGCAGAGTTTTGTACCAATACTGCAGTAAAATTCTTGCTATTTATTTAAGACACAAATCAACATAGAAATATATACTCTAAGCCTAGAGAATCGAGAGAAAACTAGTCTTGACACAAAATTAGTAACACTTAAATTTATTTAATTCAAAGTCCATGTTAAAGCTCCTTCCAGAAAGAGGCGTATAGAGACATTGCCCAGTGATTATTATATGTCAAGAGTCTGATGCTCAGATTGGGCAAAACCAAGAGCCTCTTTTTCTCTCTACCTCTTTGCTGAATGTCTTCTTAAACTGGCTTATTTTTTCCCAGTATTATACATTATAGCTATGTATTATACCTATAAAATTAGATGATCAGGTAATGTAAGGCTTGCCTTTTTGAGGCTGTATTTGTATCCGAAGACAGAGAACAGATCATAGAAAGTCTGTTTATCATTGAGTTTATCTCAGGTGGCCACAGAGACATTTTTATGGAAAATGATTATTCTCTATTCCCAAACTTTATTTTGGATTCTGCTCCCAGTCCCCATTCACTGTTTCCCAGGTCTAATAAGTTTCCTTCTAAATTTGCCTTGAACTGATTGGGAATCTGTGAAGCCCACGGAGGTATACTCAGAACTCAGTGTGATGTGAGAAAGTGCATTTTTCCAGGAAGAAAAGCCAAATCTCTTAGGAGATTCTCACACAAATACATGCTTCTCCTCTGAAGTTGGAGCACCATCACTTAAATTGGCCATTGTGATTAAAGATGCTCCATTTGCTATGACTTCTTTCCCAGATAAATTGGCATAAATGGCTTAGCTGTCTAACAGCTTATAATCACCACCCATAACACAGTTATCAAAAAAGTTCTAAACAGTATGGTATGACCCAAACTATAATAGAAGAGTGAATAAAGAGATTCATGTGACCTATGGTGGAAATTTTTGAAAGATGTCACACTGAATCTTTATAAGCCCAGTTAAGAGCTAGAACATTTTAGGCATTCTTGACAGTATTATAAACAAATTCTACACAATTTTTAGCTAATAAATGAATTTATCATCTCATTAAAAATAATAGTGATAGATGTGTTTAGAATTAGATCAGTGGCTTAACTATGTTAGAGCTCTAGGTTGGCATCTCCATGATTCTCTTGTTCTACCCTCATGGTTGTAAAATGGCTACCACATCTCCAGGCATAACGTCACATAAATGACTTTAACTAAAGGCAAATGTAGGGTGAGAGCCAAAATAGTGAATATGATCTGTCCTCATGTCACTCTCATCTTTTATCAGGGAAGAGAAAAAATCTTTCTGGAACAACTTTCTTTACAATCTCCCCAGATAACTATTCTTTATTCCTTAAGGGCCAAAACTTTGATGCATAGCCATTACTAGAAACAGGAGGTCTTGGAAAGTGAGTGACTAGATTTTTCAGACTTTGCAACAGGAGGTGAGTGATGGTTAAGTGGGTCAGGAATGGCTGCGAGGTAGCAACAATCGTGTCTCTGCTATGATTGCCAAAATTTAAAAAATCAAGAGATTTCATGTGAAAATCTGAATTACACCATCTTTGGAAAAATGAGAAAAATCTGAAAATGCTGGCTGTGCTTGTGTGAAAAAGATAAGCCATTGCTCAGTAGCAGTTGCTTTATTAGGATAGGGAAGGAAAATTGATTTTGCCACAGGCCTCATTATTGTCCATTTTCTTCCCAACACTGGGACTCTGTTATTTGCCATTCCTCATTGTGTTTGCCTTGTTGTTTTTGTTAGATGAGGGCTCTTTCTTTTGTTCATCATACTTGGTTTTCCACTATAGGTATTTCAGATGAATTTGTTTGGGTGGTAAGACCAAGAAAACACAACATTCCAGAGTGACTTTTTTGGGTCCCTGTCTGTATGTAAAGTTTTGCTTTTAAAGAAGAAAAACCTAACTTTTAAGCAGATCATCTAGAATCTTAAGCCTTGCAGATCAAGTGAAAGTAATGCATTTGGCTGGAGGTGTCAACTTGTCATGTCCAGCAGGGAAAGTTAAGGAGGAGAGAAATGAATTTGCATCTCCCAAGATGATCAGATTCGGAGTAAAAATAATACAGCTTTATAAACAAAATAAAACCCAATCAAAATTCCTTTAAAATGAAGTTACTGAGTTTGTTCATTTGAGAACAGCAAGGGAAAAATATGAAATATTCAGAACATTTAGGGAAAAATATGAAATACAGTGATTTAAGGGGGACTTTAATGGATTCCCACAGGAAAAATATCATTAAAGAATTTAGAAAACAGCATCATGCAGTTGAGGAGTTTTTTTTTTTTTTTTTTTGCACCATTCTTAAAATGCCTCCAACTGATTTTCATTTACATTTTGACTCTAGGGACCCAAACATCAAAATTATACCGTTCAATACAGAATGACTCAGAAGCACCAGTGTTTCCTAACTCTTGAAAGTGAAGAACATACTATATTCTTATATTTTTATATAAACTACATTTTTATATAGGTTAAAAATTCACAAGCATTTATTGAATGGATTAGATTACTGCAGTCAGAAAGGTCTTTTTATACACTGCTTCTGTCAAATGTGTTTTTACTCACAAGATTTCAATAGTTTCTTAATTTGTACACGTTAAATCTTATCTCACCTGCTCAACTCATAAGGTTTGGCTCCACCTAGCTTCTCCCACACTTTCTTCCATTATTTTCTACTAACTCCATTCACTCCTAAAAGATTCTTTCTTTACTGTTTCAGGTACTCACTGCTTATATTCCCTGTCCCGTGTCACTCTATTTATTTTCTTTGTCTGCAAAGCCAGTCGTTCCACACCCAACTCTCATCCAGACTAAAACAAATTTTCAAGGTTCATTTTATGACTTGACCTCTCCCAGGATGCTTACCTCATCTTCAACATCATTAATAATCCGTTTTCATTGAGTTGCAACACTTTATACAGCCTTGTAGAGAACATTATTGCTGTATGGATAGAGATGATATGCTCATCAAGGACAAGGTTAGAACATTTTATTTGTTTTCTGGCCTTCATGCTGCCCATCATAGCACTGAGTACAAATTGGGGACTCAGTAAATGCTGATGAATAATACTTCCCTGACATCTTCAAGCAGAGTTCAGTGCTTCCTTTATATCTTGTCCTATGAAGCATTGTTCAGAGCTTCATTAGAGCAGTGGGCTCTATAAATAAATACCTGTTTATAAGACAGTAAGTCCTTGGTGATCTGCAACTATATTCTTTTCATCCTCAAGTCTCCAGCCTTTCATGCTGCTGGGCACATAGGCTTTTAATAAGTATTTGTTGACCAAATGTATGCATAATAGTTTTTCAGGTTAGAGTAACTAGCAGCACTGAAGACAATTTGATTAATAAAGTGACATCCCTGGTACTGGAAGCTGAGTATGTAGAAATGCATATGAGACTGGCAGTTCTACTCTAGGGAGAAAGGAGAAGTTTGCTGAAAAAGGAAGAAGTTTGCTGAAAAAGGGAGAATTTGTTAGGATAGATAATATATTTGGAATAGTTTCCTTGTAAGAGTTTCTAGGCGTGGTCTTGTAAGGTTGGGAGTATTTTGCAGGTTGGGTTTTTTTTTTGTAGGGGTAATGAATAAATTAGACACCCATGGCTTGGTTTAAACAATGCTTAGAAATGTAGTCATGATCATGATGGAGAGGTTATTGAATTTTTACCTTCTTATAACCATAAGGCAGAGGGTGGAATTAGGGGGTGTTTGGGAGGAGGTTATATAGAAAAAATACTTGAGACTATAAGAGAAAAAGCTGAGTGATGGATAAAGGGATAAAAAGAATACACTGAGCCTCTTATCTGCTGTGGTGTTCTTAAAGCAGATAAACTGAGAATGGTGGCGCCCCCTAGCTGTCCACGTACATCCACTCTATCCTTAAATAGTGATTGGATTTTTGGCAGCGCATATGGACAGGCTAAATTCCTAGTGTGTCCGTGGAACTAAATTCATATGATGTGTGCCACCTTTGGATCAGGACTTTTAGGAATGTGTGTGTGCCTCCTCCACACTCTCTTAATCTTTATGCCAGCTGGATTTAGAGGTTGATGAGATCTTAAGGGATTCTGGAGCCACAAGATAGAAAGAATCTTGATTCCTGAATCACTACATGGAAGAGCATCACAGTCAATCGAGAACACCTATGTTGAACTGTTCTGTGAACCAAAAAAACCCTTCAATTTTGTTTGTCCCGCTTACATTTTTTTAACCCATTTGTCACCACAATTTAGCCTAACCTAATGAATGCACCAGATGTTTTTGCATTGACACAGCCTTTTCGGTCCTTTATATTTGCACTGCCACAAGATAAAATCCTGTGGTTGCTTTGTTGGGTTGGTTTGGGTAACTAGCAACTGGGGCAGGCTGCTTCCGGGTTACTTGCAATAAACAAAGAAGAGTGAAGTCTCTAAAGTGACGTGTAGGGGAATGAGTTGAATGAGGCTTTATCAACAAAGATATTGGTACTGTTGTTAGCCTGAGGCCTAGTGATATAATCTATGTTTTCAAGAAGTTTATGGTACAGTTGAAAAAGTGTGTCATTGGTGGGGCACCATGGCTTACGCCTATAATGTCAGCATTTTGGGAGGCTGAGGCAGGAGGATCGCTTGAGCTCAGGAGTTCAGGAGCAGCTTGGGCAACATGGGGAGACTTCATCTCTAGAAAAATAAAAAAAAACTAGCTAGGCATGTTGACCTCTGCCTATTGTCCTAGCTACCCAGGGGGCTGAGACAGGAAAACCACTTGAACCAGGAAGTTGAGGCTGCAGTAAGCTGTGATCGTGCTATTGCACTCCAGCCTGGGTGACAGAGTGAGAACTTGTCTCATAAAAAAAAGAGTGATGTTTACAAATGCAAAGTATATTAACAGGCCACAAACACATGCCCAATGAATGGGCAATACATGGTCTTGGGGTTGATAAATGTGTCTCCAACACAGGCAGCTGCAGTAAAGAATGGAAACAGCATATGTGGAAGGAGGAACCTGGAGAGAGAGAGGCGACTAGAAAATTTTAGCCCTTGGGATTTCACAGAAATTTTCAGGAGGGCTTTGGACTTCCATGGGTTATGGTATGGGGACGTAACATCATATTACCTACATCTCAAGGGAACAGGAGACCTCAGCTGATAAGTGCTTTGAATTAGTACCTTCTTATCTGTCCAATCCATCACTGTCACTCATTTATATTCTTAGCATCTATCCCAGAGTGAAGCACATAGTAGAAGCACAGTATATTTGTTGAGTAGTCATTGATTGCTTTTACTTTCTAGTTGTGTTTTTAGTATTCCTAAACTATGTTCCACAGAACTGCAGGATCCTAGAATGTGCTTCAAACTGTTCTTTGAAGCACACCAATGACTTCCAAATCCACAGCTGCATCCTCAAACTCTTCTTGGATTGTCAGACTTGTGAATTCAACTGCCTACTAATTATGGTCAAAAGGATATCCCATGGGTCCCTCAAAGTCATCACACACAGAAGCTTCAGGCTTGTGTGTCCACTTTAGAAACAGTACAGAAGAAGAGAGATTGTTTTGTTCCCAGTGGCCATAAAAACCCTGAAAACAGAAACAGTCCCAAATGTCTAGGGAATTCTGTGCCTAGGGAAATGGGATAGTCTAATTGGCTCCATTGGGTCATGTGAGCCACTCTGGGGGAAGGCAAGGCAAGACTCCTTGATCAAGAGCCTCATTAGAGGCTGATGTGAACTGGGGGAGATGCACTTCCCAGAGGGAAGTAAAATGGGACAGATAAAATAACAAAGGATACTTAACGGTAGCAATTCAATAAATATTTGTTAAATTGAGTTGCATGTGGATCTTCACAACCAAAATTTTTTTGAACTTTACAAAGATAACTTTTTGGCCTACCTTTCAGTATGAACTTAATTTTGTTGAGCCAGCTGCTTATCTTTGGTCTAGAAGCTGTTATGCTAAGTTTTAGCTCAGGCTATCTTAGGCAGATTTATAACCTCCTGAGATGCTGACATTATAATGAAAATGCTGACAGCCTCCAAGTTTTGCTGACAGGAATGGCACAGCTGTGATAAAACTAGAAGATGAATGGAAATACAGTGCCTCATCCTTGTGGAATTGTCATGGGTTTACCTGGAAGAGAAACAAGTCCTTAATTAGCCCAGGGCTGGAAGAAAGGCTCTCCAACATTAGAGGCCCAAGTTGGTTTGGATTCAGTTGTCATGGTATTTTCCCAGGCCATTTTAAAACATGCCTGAAGGAATTGAGGAATAGAATATCATTTTAAAAAAAATCATTTTGCTTTGGCTTTGTCATCTAAATGAGGGGTCAGCAAACAAGGACCCATGGGCCAAATGTGACCCACAGTAGGTTATTGTAAATAAAGGTTTAATTAGCACACAGCTATGCCTGTTCATTTAAATATTGCCTATGGCTACTTTTGCATTATGGCAGAGTTAATTGTGACATAGACAGTTCGCCCACATAGCTTAAAACATTTACTCTCTGGTCCTTTACAGAAAAAGTTGATAGACCTTGAATTTAAATAAATTATTTTCAAGAGTTTTCATTGTTTATTTTGTTTCATGATACCATACATTACCTCTTTGCCTTCTACACACATCTTTCTAATTATGCTTAGAATATGTAGTTGTTTTAAAATACAAAGTAAAGTAGATTTGTTTAGAAATTCCATTATAATTCTTGAGTAACTTGGAGACACCTGGGATTTCCAACATTGAAATGATGCCCTAAGTTTTCTAGTAAGAGTGTTGGATAAATTTCAGCAGAGGTGAAACAATCCAAAGAATAATTTTTCAGAGTCATTATCTTCCAGGGAACCTAGGGTCAGGCACAAAAGTTGGAAGTATTGCAATCAGACAGATTTGAATCATTTAACATTGTTGAGCTGTTAAGAAAAGTAGATTAAGGCTCTTCCTTGAAGTTTTATTTTTCTTTGTTCCACATAGAGGTGAAGTGACAAAGAAATTTCACAAATGTTTGTGGGATTCCTATTTTATATTGGACATGATGGGGGTATTTTCACCCAATTTGTATCCCATTTAGTTGTAACAATAACTATAGGAACTAGGTGTTGCTCTTTTCATCGTTCAGTTGAAAGACAGACACTCAGAGAGATGAAACAATTTTCCTTGAGAAAAAGTTGTAGTGTTAGAATTTAAATCTAAATTGTCTGCTTCTATCCTATATTCCTAAAAGCGTGGGCTTAATTTGCAGTGTGATGTCTGAGCTGTGGGTATGATAAGTTGCTACCACATTGTCTCTTTCTTATCATTAGATGTTCATTTTCTTCTCATTAATAGAGAGGCAGCATAGTATATGCAGTGGTTCTCAGTCTATCCTAGAATATTTGAAATCAAAACTATTTTCATAATAATATTAGGACATTACTTGTCTTTGACTGTCATTACCTCATGCATGCACAGTGGAGTTTTTTGGAGGTTACATGAAGTGTGGTGACATCATTCCTCTGATGCCTAATGGTTGTATAATCTTAAGTTTTTCTCTTTTAATGTTAATATTGTAAATATTGATAAACATAATCTACATAAATAAAAAAAAATTTCAAGTTCTGAATAACTTTTAAGAGCATAGAAGGGTTCTCACCAAAGTGTTGGGAAACCATGGTGAAGTGATTAAGATAATGTCCCTTACTCACCTCCCCAAGCCAGACCTCCTGGATTTAAAACTAGTTTCTATCATTCATTGACTTGGGCAAGTTTTTTTTTTTTTTTATCTCAGCAGTCGTTGGTTTCTCATCTCTGACATAAGAACAACACTAATATCTATTTTACAAGATTGCTTAAATACATTCATATTTAATATTTATAAGTCTTTGTTAAATAAAACAATAATGACTTCAGTTTCAGAAGCTTTGAGACTATGTTCAACTTTTCAAGTGTAGTCCCCTCCCCTCCCTGCCCTTTAAACTGTAAATAAATTAGCTTTGTATAATTGTTCACAGTTACGGAATAAAAATATCCTAACCATCTTTAAATGAACTTTTAATTGCAGAATGATATATGTAAATTATTAATCATTACTGTACAGCCTGTTTAACATAAAACGAGTAGAATATTGCCAAACCTCAAAAATCCCATTTGTACCCTCCCAGTCACCATCCCCCACTTATTTCCCAAGGACAAGCCCTATTCTGACTTACAACATTGTCAACTAGTTTTGCCTGTTTTTGAACTTCATATAACTGAAATCTTAGGGCATGCAGGATTTTGTACCTGGCTTCTTCATTATTCTGTTTGTAAGATTTATCTATTTTGCTATGTGTAGTTTATAGGTAGGTCTATATTATTGTCGATAGTATTCCATTGTACAAATATACATAATACATTTATCTACCCTACTCTTGAAGGATATTTAGGTTATTTTTTAGATTTTGGCTATTATTAATAGGCTGTTATAAACATTCTTGCTCATGTTTAGACAAACATTTCATTGGGGCATTCCTTAGGAGTGAAATGGTTGGGTTATAGGGATTACATATGACCATGTCTTAGGGGTTCATATTGCTGAGTCATTGAGGGTGTGTATGTTCAGCTTTCCAATAGTTTTCCAAGGTGGCTCTATGAATTTACACGCTTACTAGCCGTGTATGACAGTCCAGTTGTCAACACTTGGTATTGTCTATACATTTTCTTTTGCTCATTCTTATTGATGTGTACAGAAATTACATTGGGTTTTGAATTTTTTTCCCTGCTAATGAAGTTGAGTATTCATTATTTGGGTAACTTCCTCTGTGAAGTACCTGTTCAAAATATTTGAACTTTATTTTCCTATTAGGTTATCTATTTTTTTCTTATTGATTTCAAGGAGATATTTATATATCCTACATGCATGTCCTTTGATAGTTTTAGTACATTTTTAAGGTTCTTTAGAGAGCTATTCTAGCATTCTGTCACCTCAACCATTTAAAATTTAAAATGGCAAAAGAGCTTTATTAGTAGAGCATCTAATTTCAAATCCACCATTTTAAGCTTTGCTATTATTACAGAAAAGCAAGTACAAAGTGTTGAGAAGAGAAAACAAATGGGATTTTGCTTCTGTAAGTTAATAGTTACATTTCAGCTGTTCTGTTTACACACCATTAAATGTACGCTCCAGAATGTGGTAGAACAAGAAAAACAATAGTACAGTTCTTACAATTTGTAATAAGCTGCACTTCACAGCACTTTACAAATAAACAGCAATCATATCTGATCTGGTGGACTCAGAGAGTAAGCAGAGGCTACCCCAGTTTATTATAGACATAAGCCCACCATGCAACAGACTAAGGGAAGGCTTACAGAGAAATGTCCAAACTTTCTTTGGAATACAACCTTATACTCTTTGTTATGGAAGGCAGGCACTGTTCTCAAATGCTCTTCCCATTGACTGGGCAGGCACTTACACAGAATAATCAAACAGCTGTTGACTTTGGAATTGAATTTTTTTTTTTCCCAAACTTCTCAGTACTAGTTCTAAACCATGGCTGCACATTAAAATCACCTGTTGAACTTCTAGACAATATTGATGCTTAATTGTGGTACTGAGCATCAGTTTTTTTTTTAACTTTTATTTTAGGTTTTGGGGTACATGTGCAGGCTTGTTACATGAGTAAATTGCGTGTTGCTGAGGTTTGGCATATGAATAATCCCATCACCCAGGTAGTGAACATAGTACGTGATAGGTAGTTTTTCAACTCACAACTCTCTCCCACCCTTCCCCTTCAGTGTCACCAGCATCTGTTGTTATCATCTTTATTTCCTTGTTTACTCAATGTTTAGCTCCTGCTTATAAGTGAGAACATGTGGGCTTTTTTTTCTGTTCCTTTGTTAATTCACTTAGGATAACATCATTCAGCTGCATTCGTGTTGCTGCAAAGGACATTTCTTTTCTTTTTATGGCTGTGTACTATTCCATGGTGTATATGTACCACTTTAAAAAAAAATTCAGTCCATTGTTAATGGGCATCTAGGTTGATACCATGTTTTTACTATTGTGTATAGTGCTGCAATGAACATAGAAGAGCATGTGTCTTTTTGGTAGAATGATATATTTTCCTTTGGGTATATACCCAGTAATAAGACTGCTGGGACAAATGGTAGCTCTGCTTTTAGGTTCTTTGAGAAACCTCCAAACTGCTTTCCACAGTGGCTAAACTAATTTATGTTTTACCAGCAGTGTGTAAGTGTTTCATTTTCTCCTCCTTGCCAACATCTGTTATTTTTTGACGTTTTAATAACTCTGACTAGTGGGAGATGGTATCTTATTTTGGTTTTGATTTGCATTTTTCTAATAATTAGTGATGTTAAGAATTTTTTTTAACACATTCGTTGGCTGCATGTATGTCGTCTTTTGAGAACTGTCTGTTCATTACCTTTGCTTATTTTTTTAAAATGGGGTTGCTTATTGGATTATTTAAGATCCTTAAAGATTCTGGATATTAGACCTTTGTCGGATACATAGTTTGTGACTGTTTTCTCCCATTCTGTAGGTTCTCTGTTTACTCTGTTGATAGCCACTTTTCCTGTGCAGAGCTCTTTAATTAGGTCCCGCTTGTCAACTTTTGTTTTTGCTTCAGTGGGTTTTGGGGACTTGGTCATACATTCTTTGCCCAGGCTAATGTTGAGAAGGGGTATTTCCTAGGTTTTTGTCTAGGATTTTTATAGTCTGTAATCCACCTTGAGGTAATTTTTACATATAGTAAAAGTCCAGTTTTAATCTTATGCTTATGGCCAGCTAGTTATCCTATTACCATTTATTGCATAGGAAGTCATTTCCCCCATTGCTTGTCATTGTCGACTTTGTTGAAGATCGGCTGTTTGTAGGTGTGTGGCTGTATTTCTGGTTCTCTATCCTGATCCATTGATCTGTTTATGTGTCTGTTTTTGTACCAGTACCATGCTGTTTTAGTTATTGTAGCCTTGAAGTATAGCTGGAAATTAGTCAGTGTGATGCCTCTGGGTTTGTTCTTTCTACTTAGGATTGCTTTGGCTATTTGGGCTCTATTTTGGTTCCATATTAATTTTAGAATAGTTTTTTTTCTAATTCTGTGAAAAATGACCTTGGTATTTTGATAGGAATAGTATTGAATCTGTAAATGTCTTTGGGCAATATGACTTTTAACAGGATTTGTTTCTCTATCCATGAGCATGGAATGTTTTACCATTTGTGTGCTGTCTGATTTCTTTCTGTAGTGTTTTATAATTCTCATTGCAGAGATCTTTCACCTCTTTGGTTAGCTGCATTCTGAGGTATTTTATTCTTTTCGTGGCTATTGTAATTGAATTGCATTCTTGATTTGGTTCTCAGCTTGGATGTTATTGGTATATGAGAGTGCTATTGATTTTTTTATCCTGAAACTTTACTGGAGTTATTTATCAGTTATAGTGCCCTTTTGGTGGAGCATATGGGATTTTCCAGGTCGTCATTTTCTAGGTCGTGACTTCTAGAATGATACTATCTGTGAAGAGAGATAGTTTGACTTCCTCTCTTCTTATTTGAATGCCTTTTATTTCTTTCTCTTTCTTGTTTGCTCGTCCTAGAACTTCTAGTACTATGTTGAATAGTAATGCTAAGAGTGAGCAACCTTATCTTGATCCAGTTCTCAAGACAAATGCTTTCAGCTTTTCTCCATTCAGTATGATGTTGGCTGCAGGTTTGTCA
Organism: Homo sapiens; assembly: GCF_000001405.40. Taxonomy (NCBI): domain Eukaryota; kingdom Metazoa; phylum Chordata; class Mammalia; order Primates; family Hominidae; genus Homo; species Homo sapiens. The sequence continues at coordinate 25,919,008 of NC_000003.12, forward strand.
TAAAAGGCTCATATTATTTTTAGGTATATTTCATAGATGCCTAATTTGTTGAGGGTTTTAAATATGAGATGATGTTGAATTTTACTTAAAGCTATTTTTGCATCTATTGAGATGATAATGTGGTTTTTATTTTTAATTCTGTTTATGTGGTCAGTCACATTTATTGATTTGTAATATGTTGGAATAACCTTGCATCCCAGGAATAAAGCCTACTTGATCTTGGTGTGTTAACTTTTTGATGTGCTGCTGGATTTGCTTTGCTAGTATTTTGTAGAGGATTTTTACACCTATGTTCATCAGGAATATTGGCGTGAAGTTTTCTTTTTTCACTGTCTCTGCCAGGTTTTGGTATCAGAGTGAAAGACAGTTAGAGAGAAGGAGAAGTTCACATGCAAAGGGCACCCCATCAGGCTAACAACAGACTTTTCATCAGAAACCTTACAAGTTAGAGAGATTGGAACCCTATTTTCAGCATCTTAAAAAAAAGGAAATTTCAACCAAAATTTTACATCCTATCAAAGCTTCATAAGCAAAGGATAAATAAAATCCTTTTTAGATAAGCAAATGTTAAAGGAACTTATTACCACCAGACCTGTCTTACAAGAGGTCCTTAAGGGAGTGTTGAACATGGAAATGAAATGAAGATACCTGTCACCACAAAAATACACTTAAGTACATAGCTCAATGACGCTACAAAGCAAGTATACAATCCAGTCTACACAGCAACCAGCTAACAACATGAGGACAGAATCAAATCCTCACATATCAATACTAACCTTGAATGTAAATGGGCTAAATGCCCCATTTAGAAGGCATAGAGTGGCAAGTTAGATAAAGATGCAAGACCCAACTATTTTCTGTCTTCAAGAGACCCATCTCACATGTAATAAAACTCACAGTCTCAATGTAAAGGGATGGGAAAAGGTCTGTCAGGCAAAAAGAAAACAAAAAGAGCTGGGGTTGGTATTCTTACATCAGATAAAACAGACTTTAAGCCAACAATGATAAAACCAAAAAAAATAAAAAGAAGGGCATTACATGACGATAAAGGGTTCAATTCAGCAAGACTGAACTATTCTAAATATATATGCACCCAGCATTGGAGCACCCAGATTCATAAGATGAGTTCTTGGAGAGCTACAAAGAGACTTAGATAACCACAAAATAATAGTGGGAGATTCAACACCCCACTGAGAGTGTTAGACAGTTCATTGAGGCAGACAACTAACAAAGATATTCCGCCTTAAACTTGACAGTTGGACAATTAGACCTAATAGACATCTGCAGAATACTCCACCCAACAAAAACAGAATATACATTCTTCTCATTTGCACATGGCACATATTCTAAGATCAACCACATGCTCAGACACAAAACAAGTCTCAAAAAATTTTTAAAAAATCAAAATTATACCTACCATGCTCAGACAACAGCACAATAAAAATAGATATCAATACAAAGAAGATCTCTGAAATCCATACAATTACATGGAAATTAAACAACCTGTTCCTAAATGATTTTTGGGTAAAGAATGAAATTAAGGCAGAAATCAAAAAATTCTTTGAAACTAATGAAAACAGACACAACATACCTGAATCTTTGGGATACAGATAGAGCACAGTTAAGAAGAAAGTTTATGGTGCTAAACACCTACATCAAGAAGTTAGAAAGATCTCAAATTAGCAACCTAATGTTGGACCCAGGGGAACTAGAAAAACAAGAACAAATCAACCCCAAAGCTAGCAGAAGAAAATAAATAACCAAAAACATAACTGAATGGAATAAAATTGAGATTCAAAAATCCATAGAAAATATCAATGAAACCAAAGGTTTGTTATTTGAAAGAATACTTAAGATTGACAGACTGCTAGCTAGATTAATAAAGAAAAAAAGAGAGATGATCCAAATAAGCACAATCAGAAATTTGAGAAAGGTGGTGATACAACCGACCCCACAGAACTAATAAAAAACTCCTCAGATATTATTATGAACACTTCTATGCACACAAACTAGAAAACTTAGAAGAACTGGATAAATTACTGGAAACACACCTTCTCAAGATTGAACCAGGAAGAAATTAAAACCCTGAGCAGACCAGTAAAAAGTTCCAAAATTGAATCAGTAATAAAAAACCTAGCAACTGAAAAATACCCTGGACCAGGTAGATTCACAGCTGAATTCTATTAGATGTCTCAAGAAGAGCTAGGACCATCCTACTGAAATAATTCCCAAAAATCAAGGTGGAGGGACTCCACCCTAACTCATTCTACAAAGCTAGTTTTTTTAACGCTCCCCAGATGATTCTCATTTCAGCCAAGATTGATAACCACTGAGCTACAGTATCCAATGAGGTAGTCAGTATGTTTTGGGAAAGAAGAATTGAGGAATAGAGTCTACATCCCATTCATCCCACTTCTTGGCTCTTCCAAAGAGTGGATGTGGAATCAGTTTCCACTCTTAGGGTAGCACCCCACATGTCCACCTTTGAAAGTCAACTAAGTATCTAGCTGCTTCTGGTCCTCTCAAGGTTTTTCTCCTTTTCTGTAGGCCTTTGGTTTTTAAAATCTCTTTTCTTTTTTCCCTTCTTCTCTCCTTCTGCATTTCCTTTCCCAGGGTCTACCTTTTCTTTTTCTTTTTCCTTGCTTTTCTTTTTTTTTTTTTTTTTTTTTGAAACAGGGTCTCACTCCATCACCCAGGCTGTAGTGCAGAAGCACAATCATAGCCCACTGTAGTCTTGACCTCCCAGGCTCAAGCAATCCTCCCATCTCAGTGTCCTGAGTAGCTGGGACTACAGGCACATGCTACCCTGCCTGGCTAGTTTAAAAAAAAAATTTATTTTTGTAGGTACCAGCTCTTGTGATGTTGCCAGGGCTGGTCTCAAATTTTTGGGCTCCTGAGTGATTCATCCCCCTCAGCCTCCCAAAGTGCTGGGACTACAGGCATGAATCAGCTTATGTAGTCAACCTTTTCTTGTGACTAGCCTTTGCTGAAAGGATTTGGTCAGTATTCTAGATCTAGTTCTGTTGCTAAAAGTGTCACAAGGCTTTGGTTACTAGAGGTAAATTCGAGGCAGGTAGGGAAGATCAGGCTCTTAGCATAACTCGTTCTTGAGAAGGAGCATGCAAAAGGCCTTTCACACTGCCAAACTAGCTTACTGCCAATCTACCTTCTGTATATTATTATGATGAAAGAAAATCTGGCCTCTTTTTCTCCTAAAATTTTATTATCAAAGACCTCTTTTGTTATCCTAGTTTGGGTGTGTGCCTGCTTCTAGGAAAAGTTTCATCATGTGCAGTGGCAGGAGGCATATTCCTTGACAAGAAAAATGTAAGAAAAAGCAAACCAAAATAATAATGAGATACTACTCTTTATTCTATATTAAATTAGCAAAATATTGTTTTTCCCTCTGTGAGAATATCCTATTTTTGATTGCTATGATACCCTTTTGAGGAAACAATTTGGCAATTTGTATCTTTATCCATGAGAGCAGTTATATAATTTTTTTTCATAATCTATCTGAGGAAACAATCTAAAAATGCAGAAATGACCTCATTTACAAAGGTGTTTAATGTGACTCCATCTATTAATACTGAAAAACTGATAATAGCCTAAGAGTACATAACATTAGGAGAATGATGGAGCAATTATAGAATATTCATCTGAAGGAATATTGTTATTTCTAAAAATGATATTTACAAACTTCTGGTTTAAAACAGTGTCTAGCTAGCAGCCCTTAAACTGTAATTTCTCACTGAAATATCCATAATGACGACTACTAAAAGCCAAAGCCAACAGATGAATTTATGCTAGAAGTTTTAAATTTCTTCTACCCAGAGAAAATCTGCTTAAGTTTGGCTTCATTCTATAAAGCCTGCCCAGAAAAAAATAAAAAGGTACTCTTCACTTTCACTACTGTCTTCTTTGACTCAAGGGTCTTACCAATCAGAGAAAAGGACATATGTTCTTCTACTGCCGTGAGTCTTCATGTGTAGTCTCAGACCAGCAGAATCAGCATTACTGGAGAACTTGTTAGAATCAGACACTTTGTGCATGGGACCCAGAATCACCTGCAGATGATTTTGATACACCTATAATTTGAGAACCATTGTTGTCATGCATAGGTGCTGATTTTTGAGGCAGCCAAATCATTCTTTCTGTCCCCTACTTCATTTGCCAACTTTATTTGAAAGGACAGAGACAGCCGTTCCTAGAAACTAGTGACAAGAAAGCTCAGGGTATCTGGTAGTAGCCAGTGGCATTCTGGGAGATATGGTCTCCAGGAAGAAAGTGCTAAAAAGAGAAGAAAGGTGAAAGAACTTGTCAGGATATTCTGTAAATGGTAGCTTGTCTCTCTCTCTCTCTCTCTCTTTTTTTTTTTTTTGAGACGGAATCTTGCTCTGTTGCCCAGGCTGGAGTGCAGTGGCACAGTCTCGGCTCACTGCAACCTCTGCCTCCTGGGTTCAAGCATTTCTCCATCCTCAGCCTCCTGAGTAGCTGGGATTACAGGTGTGTGCCACCATGCCCAGCTAATTTTGTATTTTTAGTAGAGATGGGGTTTCACCATGTTGGTTAGGCTGGCATTGAACTCCTGACCTGATGATCTGCCCACCTAGACCTCCCAAAGTGCTGGGATTACAGGCGTGAGCCACCGCACCCCCCTTGTCTTTATTGATTCAGAGAATCACAGAACCAGGTGTGAAAGGCAACATTACCTCAGTAGAGCAGAGAGTGCTGCTCCAGGTGAGTGGCAGCAAGAAACTTGCAATTTGACTGGAATTTGACCACCAATTCAGTGCCCAGATTGCTGGGCAAAAGGTGAGCAATATTGTCTTGTAGAGGATGAAGAAGGACGAAGGATGGAACCAACAACCAACATGGAGCTAATTGAAAAAAATGCCATAGTATAAGGGAAGAGAACAGACTCATAAAATACCTCTAAAAATTGTCTACTATGGGATTTAGAATAAACATGGAAATTCTCAGTAGTATGCAAAGAGATACAGCCCCTATGGAAGAGGAGCCAAAAATTATAAAGGAGGAAAAAGCTCTGATAAAAAGATAAGAGGATGAAATAAAAAGGGAGATGACTAATATTAATGTGGATTTCAAGTACATTAAAAATTAAATAGAATTAAAGTCCACATTAGAGGGAAAAAGATAACAATTTAGCATTATAAAAAAATCAAATCAACAAAGTCACACCCTTCTGGAATGTAGAAATAAAAGATAAATTGATAAAAATGATGACAAAAGTAATATAAACAGAAGACAGGGAATAAATATTAAACAAATGAATAGTTTGTGTTCATGAGAAAAATGCTGGAATAAATAACCATACATGTAATAGATGAGCTAAAAAGGCTAGTTTAGACATGTTGAAATATTTCATTATGCTCAAATAAAAGAATTAAAAAGAGACTCATATTTAAACTTACAGAGGGAAAATAATCTTGAACTAAATGACAAAGAAAAACAATCTCATATAATATCAAGCCATGGAGGAAAGAATTTACAAGAGTATAAAAATAAGTTGGCCTCAGAACTGGACTTTGCAATATGACTGCTCAAAAGATGAAGCTTGGAGCTCAAAAGATGAAGCTTGGAGCTCAAAAATGATGTTATGTAAAAGATGACTATTGTGTAGCTTAAATTAGTTTAACAAGACAAATCTAAATAATTATTGTAAACTTTCTTACATCACTGAATACTTGTGTTAGTTTTTTGACATTTGAGTCCATTTTGTGTTGCTATAGCAGAATACCAGAGGCTGAGTAATTTACAGTGAAAAGAAACTTACTTGGTTCACAGTTCTGGAGGCTGGGAAGTCCAACACTGAGAGGCTACATCTAGTGAGGGCCTTCTTGCTGGGTCACAACATGGCAGAAGGCATCATTTGGCAAGAAAGAGCAGGAAATTAATCACACAACCTCAAGCCCTTTTATAATCAGCATTAATCAACTCATGAGGGTGAAACCCTTACGTCCAAAATAATTATTTATTTATTTATTTTTATTTTTTGAGACAGAGTCTTGCTCTGTTGCCAGGCTAGAGTGCAGTGGCAGGATCTCGGCTCTGTTGAAGCCTCCCAGGTTCAAGCGATTCTCCTGCCTCAGCCTCCCAATAGCTGGGACTACAGGTACGCACCACTACACCTGGCTAACTTTTGTATTTTTAGTAGAGACAGGGTTTCACCATGTTCATTAGGCTAGTCTTGAACTCCTGACCTCATGATCCACCTGCCTCAGCCTCCCAAACTGCTGGGATTATAGGTGTGAGCCACTGTGCCCGGCATGACCCAATCAATTCTTAAAGGTCTTACCTCACAACACTGTTGCACTGGAAGTTAAGTTTCCAACATGTAAACTTTGGGGGACACATTCACACCATAGCAGATGTATAATGCAAAAAACAACAATTTAATAAATTCAATATTTTAAATATTTATTATCAAGTAACATCTTTAATAGTAAATAATAATGAAACAATAATCTAAGACTTTATTACTGGATTATCATAATATTAAAAACTGGTTGGGGGGATAAATAGTATAGTACCCCTATGCCTTATAAAAGAGGAAATTAAGAAGATACTTTTGTTCTTAATTCTGAGAAGTTGAAAAAGGTCCAGGAATGATTTTGAAAAAAAAATTGAGGTAACCATTAACAAAATTAAAAATAGGACATATACCTTTTATGTGCTAGAATACCAAAAAGCAAAGAAAACATAGGAAACATGAATGCCTGAGAAATAAAGCAAAAAAAATGTATTGACAAAATAAACTAAACATATTAGTTACACCAAAAACGAAGTGTATTAAACTCTATGAAATGGTTAAAAACATGAGATTCTGTCCTGTTTCTGTCACTTGCTAACTTCAGTTTCTTAACATCGTTATTTAACTTCATTAAGATTCAGTTTTTTAATTTTCTACATGGTGATAGCAAGACCTACTTCTAAAGGCTGTTCAGAGGACTGAGACATTGTAGAAACAAACAAGTATTACCCAATATCTGGCATACTGAGAAGACAGCACATTCTCCTGGTTGAGAGCCTGTATGGTGAAGTCTGGTAGGTTTCAAGCCTGGCTTGGTTACTTAACTAATCATGTGACTTGAGGTGAGTTACTGAGCTCTCCAAGTCTTAGTTTTTTTCATTTGTAAAATGAGCATAAAATAGTACCACCCAGTATTGTCATAAAGATTTAAGTGAAATAATACATGTGAACTATTTGAGACAATGCCTTACTACAGAGTACTCAATTATATTCATTATAATTATTAGAGTAAACTAGCAGCTTTACATCTGAAGTGTTAAAATGTGTATAAATAAAACTAACATTATTAATGAAAGAGCAATAGTAACATTTAAAAATATCAGACTGGCATGCAACACTAGTCAGTATTTGCATAAATACATTTGGTAGTTTCCTATGATGAAATACAGGCATACCTTGGAGATATTATGGATTTGGTTCCAGACCACCAAAATAAAGCAAATATCACAGTAAACCTTGTCACGGTTTTCTGTTGCATATAAAAGTTATGTTTATATTATACTGTAGTTTTTGAAGTGTGCAGTAACATTTTGTCTAAAAAACAACATACATACCTTAAAAATACTTTACTGCTAAAATGTGCTAACACCTAAACCTTCAGGGAGTAATAATCGTTTTACTGGTGGAGAATCTTACCTCAGTGTTGTGGCTGCTGACTGATCAGCATGGTGGTTGTTGGAAGTTGGGATGGCTGTGGCAATTCCTTAAAATAAGACAGCAATGAATTTTGATGCATCAATTGACTTTTTTTAATGAAAGATTTCTCTGTAGCGTGTGCTGCTGTTTGATAGCATTTTATCCACAGTAGAACTTTCAGTATTACAGTCAATCCTCTCAAACCCTACTGCTGCTTTATCAACTAAGTTTATACAAAGTTCTAAATCTTTTGTTGTCATTTCAACAATGTTTACCGCATTTTCATCAGGAGTAGCTTCCATTTCAAGAAACCACTTTCTTTGCTCACTCAGAAGAAGTAACTCCTCATCCATTCAAGTTTTATCCTGAGATTGCAGTCATATCTTCAGGCTTTTAGTTCTTATTTTATTTTATTTTTTGAGACGGAGTCTTGCTCTGTCACCCAGGCTGGAGTGCAGTGGCATGATCTCGGCTCACTGCAAGCTCCACTCCTGGGTTCACACCATTCTCCTGCCTCAGCCTCCTGAGTAGCTGGGACTACAGGCCCCTGCCACCGTGCCCAGCTAGTTTTTTTGTATTTTTAGTAGAGACGAGGTTTCACCGTGTTAGCCAGGGTGGTCTTGATCTCCTGACTTTGTGATCCGGCTGCCTTGGCCTCCCAAAGTGCTGGGATTACAGGCGTGAGCCACCGTGCCTGGGCAACTTTAGTTCTTATTTTGGTTCACTTGCTATTTCTATCACATGTGAAGTTCCTATCTCCATTGAAGATTTGAACCACTCAAAGTTAGCCAATATGATTAGAATCAGCTTCTTCCAAACTCCTATTATTGTTAATATTTTGACCTCCTTCCATGAATCATTAACGTTCTTAATGGCTTCTAGTATGGTGAATCCTTTCCAGAAAGTTTTCAGTTTACTTCACTCAGATCCATGAGAGGAATCACTATCTATGGCAACTACAGTTTTATGAAATGTATTTCTTAAATAAGAAGACTTGAAAGTCAAAATGATTCCTTGATCCATGGGCTGTAGAATGTGTGTTGTGTTAGCAGGCATGAAAGCCTCAATTTCATTGTATGTATCTGTCAGAGCTTTGAGGTGACCAGGTGCATTGTCGGTTAGCAGAAACATTTTGAAAGAAATCTTTTTTTCTGAGCAGTAGGTCTTAACAGTAGGCTTAAAATATTCAGTAAACTGTGCTGTAAACAGATGTGCTGTCATCCAGGCTTTGTTATTCCATTTATAGAGCACAGGAAGAATGGATTTAGCATAATTCTTCAGGGTCCTAGAATATTGTTCTGTCTCAGGGAACAGTGATGCCTGAGGGGAGGGAGAGAGATGGAGGAATAGCCAGTGGGTGAAACAATCAGAACATCACAACATTTATCAACTATGTTTGCTGTCTTATATGTGGGCATGGTTTGTGGCATTCCAAAGCAAGTATAATAGTGATCAAAGATCACTGATCACAAATCACCGTGACAGATACGATAACAATGAAAAAGTTTAAAATATTGTGAGAGTTACCAAAGTGTGACACACAGATATGAAGTGAGCACATACTGTTGGAAAAATAGTGTAGATAGCCTTGCTTGATGCAAGGTTGCCACAAACCTTCATGTAGTAGTATTTACGTGTAGTAAAATACACGTCTGTGAAGTGCAACAAAATGAGGTATGCCTATAAAACATAGCCATTACCCAGTGTAAAACAATTCATATGGAAAAACTTTGTAATATACATCTGGAATATTTATATCCAAGTATTAACAGGAGTTAACCCTTGGGAAATACACAATTTTGTTCTTTGTTTTTCTGTAAGTTTTGAAACATTCTGTAATAAGCATATATTATTTTTAAATCAATAAAAACATTGTATTTTAAAAGATATGCTTCTGAAAAATGTTTGATTACACAGGGAAAAATTCTTAATATGATATTAAAAGAAAACAGACACAACATTTTATGTACGAAATTTATATGCCAAGTAAAAATGTGGGAAAATATTAGCAATATTGTTAGCATTGTTGTTTCTGGGTGGTAGGATTATTATTTATTTTTCTTCATACTTTGTATCTATTTTTTTTCCAACTTTTCTGTGGTACTCAAGCATATATGGGTAAAATGGGAAAGAGAAAACTAAAGTCAATAAGAATAAATCCTTTGTAAATAAGCCATTAATTCAGATACTGGCAAGTTGAGTTTAGTAGAGCTGAAGGGAAGCTTGGAGAGCAATGTTTTTAATCCCCTTACTTTACTAGCGAGGGAGAGAGGCCAAGAGGTAGTGTGATATGCTGGGAGTCACAGAGGGAGTGAGTGAGTGAAAGAATCAGGCAGAGAACCCTGATCTCCTGTCTGCATAATTTTCTCACTAAATTGTATGCCTTACTGCAAATTTTGTGCAAATGCAGGTAGTTTAATGTAAACACCGAATTCCTTGTAAGGCATAGGAGTGTTCTAATTTATCCCCAGCAGCAGGGAACGTTTTATTATAACACAGAAATACCTTTGATCAGAGTAACAGTTTGTAGAGAACAACCACAACCAAACATCAATATCTGTTTTTAAAGTGGCCACAAATACCCCATGTAAGTTGGTTTGAAGTTGTCTATATGGTCCCCCTCTCCAAACAGATATACGTTTTCCCCATGTTCTCCTGGGCGTTTGGATTCGTGTCAATGGAAGTTAACAAAGTAGGCCCTGACAACTTGTACATATTCAACAGCAGATCCAACCCAATTCCAGGCAGAGGTATTTTGTTGCCATCATACAACAAGGAGGCTATGTGGATTTTTGAAGCAGTTCCCAAGTGGAAGTCCTCAGAAGTCCAGTGTTACGCTGAAATTTTCACTATCTAATTCAAATTTTACTATTTGTGGTAATGTAATTAAAGTGAGGATATATGGAAAATTGTTCATAAAGCAAAGTTTATTCACTTTTTTGATGAATGTCATATTTTTAAGGAAAGATAGTGACAGGTGTGTGTGTGTGTCTGTATAATGTCCTTACTTGAAAAAATAAAAAACTTATGTTGATCTCCAAAATGTTTTTGAAACTTTAAAGTCTGGGACCTATTCTTTTAAGTATTAGACATAAGAATTTGGAATTAGCAGAATCAGAGTTCAAATCTGGTGTTGCCATTGACAAAGTACACCGTGTGTATGTACTTTGAGAAATGTATTAATATCTCTGGGTCTTTCTTTTTTTTTCATTGTAAACTAGGGAAGGTAGTTTATATTTAATCTCATAACGATTAAATATTCTTATTCTCATAAAATGTGAATGTTAAATAGTTTCATCCTGATATACTTGCTACAAAATCAGGGCATAATAGAAAGCTGTGATGTGGACATTGATTGTGTGAGATAAATTACAAATACATTACAAATTACAAATCAATAAATGTTGCTTCAATTTCCCTTGTTATTAGCACCATATAGTCATTTAAAAAAATTCCATTAGAGATGTCCTGAGGAAAATATTTTTATCATATTTAAAATTTTCTCACTATAATCATATATCTTAAAAATTAGGTCTTAAAGCTTTCACAGTAGGTTTCTAGTAGCAGTTTTCAAATAAATTCTCATATTCTGAGAACTTTAGGTTTACTTTAAAAGGATTGTTATCTAAGTCATCATCATATTCTACTGTTTTATAGCTTGACTTTGTGGCAAGTGTTTCTGGAATGGACAAAGGGAGGTGACTGTCCTGAGAGAAGAACATACTGAAGAAGTTGGTAACAGTGTCCATATGTTTGTGGAACGATAGAATATTAGAGACCACTTCACCAAACTCCCACATTTCACAGACATAACTCATGATGCTCTTGCTTCCTTGACTCTGACATTGCATTTGTTATCTTTACCTACTCATTACTCCCTCTTGCCTGTATTACTTTCTTTAATGGTTCAGCCACTGGGGTGTCTTGCTGTCTTGTTTCCATACTATCTTCTTACTCTCTAGACTTTTGAAATAGTTTAAGTCTGCCAAGCTTTCATTCCTAAACAAAGAAACTCTAAAATCTGATTTACTCAAGAAGTCATCCATGAAAGACTGTAGGTCAAGTTAGGGTTTAAAATTTCTTTTTCCCGTTATAAAAAAACACACCAAAATCTTCAGCTAGGAGTAAATATTTATTTTACTATAGTTCAGAAATATCCATGTTTCTGAAGGTTACTTTTGATGGTGGGGTTATGATTATTAGTATGATTTATTCTTTATTTTTATTTGTTTATCTCCTTGGGAACAATTTATGTTGGAATTATCAGTGGGCTTGTTTGATATGTAAATGTAACACACAGATACACTTAACTCCTTTCTATGGTGCTGGGAGGGATTTGTCTCTTTGATGAAGTCTGGATTTGTTCAGCAAGTGTTTACAAGCACTCACTGTATGTAAGATGTGGTAGAGTTGAATTCAGCAGCTTGCAATATCAACAGATAAATAAGACAATAAGGACAGACATTGTCTTTAAAAAGTCATAGTTCTGGGAAAGATGGCTGAATAGGAACAGCTCCGGTCTGCAGCTCCCAGCAAGACCAATGCAGAAGGCAGGTGATTTCTGCATTTCCAACTGAGGTACCCAGTTCATCTCATTGGGACTGGTTAGACAGTGGGTGCAGCCCATGGAGGGTGAGCAGAAGCAGGGTGGGGCATTGCCTCACCTGGGAAGTTCAAGGGGTCCGGGAACTCCCTCTCCTAGCCAAGGGAAGCTGTGAGGGCATGAGGGACAGTGCTATCTTTATCAGATACTTTGCTTTTCCCATGATCTTCACAACCCACAGACCAGGAGATTCCCTCAGGTGCCTATACCACCAGGGCCTTGGGTTTTAAGCACAAAAGTGTGCAGACACTGAGCTAGCTGTAGGAGTTTTTTTTTTTTTTTCATACCTCAGTGGTGCCTGGAACACCAGCAAGACAGAACTGTTCACTCCCCTGGAAAGGGGGCTGAAGCCAGGGAGCCAAGTGGTCTTTCTCAGCGGATCTGACCCTCATGGAGCCCAGCAAGCTAAGATCCACTGGCTTGAAATTCTCGCTGCCAGCACAGCAGTCTGAAGTCCACCAGGGATGCTCAAGCTTGGTTGGGGGAGGGGACTCCACCATTACCAAGGCTTGAGTAGGCAGCTTTCCCCTCACAGCATAAACAAAGCTGCAGGGAAGTTTGGACCAGGCAGAGCCCACCGCAGCTAGGCAAAGCCACTGTAGCCAGACCGCCTCTCTAGATTCCTCCTTTCTGGGCAGGGCATCTCTGAAAGAAAGGCAGCAGCCCCAGTCAGGGGCTTATAGATAAAACTCCCATCTCCCTGGGACAGAGCTCCCTGGACAGAGCACCCCGGAGGAAGGGGTGGCCGTGGGTACAGCTTCAGCAGATATAAAGTTTCCTGCCTGCTGGCTCTGAAGAGAGCAGCAGATCTCTCAGCACAGCACTCGAGCTCTGCTAAGGGACGGACTGCCTCCTCAAGTGGGTCCCTGACCCCCATGCCTCCTGAAGGGGAGACATCTCCCAGCAGGGGTCAACAGACGCCTCATACAGGAGAGCTCCAGCTGGCATCTGGTGGGTGCCCCTCTGGGAAGAAGCTTCAAGAGGAAGGAGCAGGCAACAATCTTCACTGTTCTGCAGCCTCCGCTGGTGATACCCAGGCAAACAGGGTCTGGAGTGGACCCCTGGCAAACTCCAGCAGACCTGCAGAAGAGGGGCCTGACTGTTAGAAGAAAAACCAACAAACAGAAAGCAATAGCATCAACATCAACAAAAAGGAAGACCGTGCAAAAACTCCATCCGAAGGTCACCAACAGCAAAGACCATAGGTAGATAAATCCAACAAGATGAGGAAAAACCAGCACAAAAAGGCTGAAAATTCCAAAAACCAGAATGCCTCTTCTCCTCCAAAAGATCACAACTCCTCGCCAGGAAAGGAACAAAACTGGACAGAGAATGAGTTTGATGAATTGACAGAAGTAGGTGTCAGAAGGTGGGTAATAACACTTTAACTCCTCCAAGGTAAAGGAGCATGTTCTAACCCAATGCAAGGATGCTAAAAACCTTGATAAAAAGTTAGAGGAATTGCTAACTAGAATAACCAGTTTATAGAAAAACATAAATGACTTGATGGAGCTGAAAAACATAGCACGAGAACTTTGTGAAGCATACACAAGTATCAATAGCCAAATCAATCAACTGGAAGAAAGGATATCAGAGATTGAAGATCAACTTAGTAAAATAAAGCATGAAGACAAGATTAGAGAAAAAAGAATGAAAAGGAATGAACAAAGCCTACAAGAAATATGGGACTATGTGAAAAGACCAAATCTACGTTTGGTCTACCTGAAAGTGATGGGGAGAATGGAACGAAGTTGGAAAACACACTTCAGGATATTATGCAGGAAAACTTCTGCAACCTAGCAAGACAGGACAACATTCAAATTAAGGAAATACAGAGAACACCACAAAGATACTCCTCTAGAAGAGCAACCCCAAGACACATAATTGTCAGATTCACCAAGGTTGAAATGAAGGAAAAAATGTTAAGGGCAGCCAGAAAGAAAGGTTGGGTTACCCACAAAAGAAAGCCAATCAGACTGATAGCAGATCTCTCTGCAGAAACCCTACAAGCCGGAAGATAGTGGGGGCCAATATTCAACATTCTTAAAGAAAATAATTTTCAACCCAGAATTTCATATCCAGCAAAACTAAGCTTCATAAGTGAAGGAGCAATAAAATCCCTTATAGGCAAGCAAATGCCGAGGGATTTTGTCACCACCAGGCCTGCCTTACAAGAGCTCATGAGGGAAGGACTAAATATGGAAAGAAATAACCAATACCAGCCACTGCAAAAACAAACCAAAATGTAAAGACCATCAACAGTATGAAGAAACTGCATCAACTAATGAGCAAAATAACCAGCTAGCATCATAATGATAGGATCAAATTCACACATAACAATATTAACCTTACATGTAAACGGGCTAAATGCCCCAATTAAAAGACACAGTCTGGCAAATTGGATAAAGAGTCAAGACGCATCGGTGTGCTTTATTCAGGAGACCCATCTCAAATGCAAAGACTCACATAGGCTCAAAATAAAAGGATGGAGGAAGATTTACAAAGCAAATGGAAACCAAAGAAAAGCAGGGGTTGCAATCCTAATCTCTGATAAAACAGACTTTAAACCAACAAAGATAAACAAAGACAGAGAAAGGCATTACATAATGGTAAAGGGATCAATGCAACAAGAAGAGCTAACTATCCTAAATATATATTCACCCAATACAGGAGCACCTGGATTCATAAAGCAAGTTCTTAGAGACCTACACCTACAAAGAGACTTAGACTCCCGCACAGTAATAGTGGGAGACTTTTACACCCTACTGTCAATATTCGACAGATCAATGAGACAGAAAATTAAGGATATTCAGGACTTGACCTCAGCTCTGGATGAAGCAGACCTAATAGACATCTACAGAGCTCTCCACCCCAAATCAACAGAATATACATTCTTCTCACCACCACATCATACTTATTCTAAAATTGACCAAATAATTGGAAGTAAAACACTCCTCAGCAAATGTAAAAGAACAGAAATCATAACAATCTCTCGGACCACAGTGCAATCAAATTAGGACTCAGGATTCAGAAACTCATTCAAAACTGCACAACTACATGGAAACTGAACAACCTGCTCATGAATGACTACAGGGTAAATAACAAAATTAAGGCAGAAATACATAAGTTATTTGCAGCCAATGAGAACAAAGACACAATGTACCAGAACCTCTGGGACATAGCTAAAGCAGTGTGTAGAGGGAAATTTATAGCACTAAATGCCCACAAGAGAAAGTGGGAAAGATCTAAAATCAACACCCTAACATCTCAATTAAAAGAACTAGAGAAGCAAGAGCAAACAAATTCAAAAGCTAGCAGAAGACAAGAAATAACTAAGATCAGAGCAGAATGAAAGGAGATAGAGACACGAAAAACCCTTCAAAAAATCAGTGGATCCAGGAGCTGGTTTTCTTGAAAAGATTAACAAATAGATAGAGTGCAAGCCAGACTAATAAAGAAGAAAAGAGAGAAGAATCAAATAGACACAATAAAAAATGATAAAGGGGAGATCACCACTGATCCCACAGAAATACAAACTACCATCAGAGAATACTATAAACACCTCTATGCAAATAAACTAGAAAATCTAGAAGAAATGGATAAATTCCTGGACACATACACCCTCCCAAGACGAAACCAGGAAGAAGTTGAATCCCTGAATAGACCAATAACAAGTTCTGAAATTGAGGTGGTAATTAATAGCCTACCAACCAAAAAAAGCCCAGGGACCAGATGGATTCACAGCGAAATCCTACCAGAGTTACAAAGAGGAGCTGGTACCATTCCTTCTGAAACTATTCCGAACAATAGAAAAAGAGGGACTCCTCCCTAACTCATTTTATGAGGCCAGCATCATCCTTATACCAAAACCTGACAGAGACACAACAAAAAAAGAAAATTTCAGGCCAATATTCCTGATGAACATCGATGTGAAAATCCTCAATAAAATACTGGCAAATTGAATCCAGCAGCATATCAGAAAGCTTATCTAAGCTTCATTCCACCACGATCAAGTCAGCTTCATCCAACATATGCAAATCAATAAACGTAATCCATCACAAAACAGAACCAATGACAAAAACCACATGATTATCTCAATAGATGCAGAAAAGACCTTTGATAAAATTCAACACCCTTCATGCTAAAAACTCTCAGTAAACTAGGTATTGATGGAACTTATCTTAAAATAATAAGAGCTATTAATGACAGACCCACAGCCAATATCATACTGAATGGGAAAAAGCTGGAAGCATTCCCTTTGAAAACTGGCACAAGACAAGGATGCCCTCTCTCACCACTCCTATTCAACATAGTATTGGATGTTCTGGCCAGGGCAATCAGGCAAGAGAAAGAAATAAAGGGTATTCACATAGGAAGAGAGGAAGTCAAATTGTCTCTGTTTGCAGATGACATGATTGTATATTTAGAAAACCCTATCGTCTCAGGCCAAACTCTCCTTAAGCTGATAAGCAACTTCAGCAAAGTCTCAGAATACAAAACCAATGTGCAAAAATCTCAAGCATTCCTATACACCAATAATAGACAAACAGAGAGCCAAATCATGAGTGAACTCCTATTCACAGTTGCTACAAAGAGAATCAAATACCTAGGAATCCAACTTACAAGGGATGTGAAGGACCTCTTCAAGGAGAACTAGAAACCACTGCTTAAGGAAGTAAGAGAGGACACAAACAAATGGAAAAACATTCCATGCTCATGGATAGGAAGAATCAATATCGTGAAAATGGCTGTACTGCCCAAAGTAATTTATAAATTCAGTGCTATTCCCATCAAGGTACTTTCTTCACGGAATTAGGAAAAACTACTTTAAATTTCATATGGAACCAAAAAGAGACTATATATCCAAGACAATCCTAAGCAAAAGGAACAAAGCTGGTGGCATCACACTACCTGACTTCAAACTATACTATAAGGCCAGAGTAACCAAAACAGCATGGTACTGGTACCAAAACAGATACAGACCAACGGAACAGAACAGAGGCCTCAAAAATAACACCACACATCTACAACTATCTGATCTTTGACAAACCTGACAAAAGCAAGCAATGGGGAAAGGATTCCTTATTTAATAAATGGTGTTGGAAAAACTGGCTAGCCATATGCAGAAAACTGAAACCGGACCCCTTCCTTACCCTTATACAAAAATTAACTCAAGATGGATTAAAGGTTTTAACTAAGGCCTAAAACCATAAAAACCCTAGAAGAAAACCTAGGCAGTACGATTCAGGACATAGGCATGGGCAAGGACTTCATGACTAAAACACCAAAAGCAATGGCAACAAAAGCCAAAATTGACAAATGGGATCTAATTAAACTAAAGAGCTTCTGCACAGTGAAAGAAACTACCATCAGAGTGAACAGGCAACCTACAGAGTGGGAGACAATTTTTGCAATCTATCCATCTGACAAAGGGCTAATATCCAGAATCTACAAAGAACTTAAACAAATTTACAAGGAAAAAAGAACCCCATCAAAAAGTGAGAAAAGGATATGAACAGACACTTCAAAAGAAGACATTTATGTGGTCAACATGTGAAAAACAGCTCATCATTACTGGTCATTAGAGAAATGCAAATAAAAACCGCAATGAGATACCGTCTCACTCCAGTTAGAATGACCATAATTAAAAAGTCAGGAAACAACAGATGCTGGAGGGGATGTGAAGAAATAGGAACACTTTAACACTGTTGGTGGGAGTGTAAATTAGTTCATTGTGGAAGACAGTGTGGCGATTCCTCAGGGATCTAGAACTAGAAATACCATTTGACCTAGCAGTCCCATTACTGGGTATATACCCAAAGGATTATAAATCATTCTACTATAAATGCACATGTATGTTTATTGCAGCACTATTCACAATAGGAAAGACTTGGAACCAACGCAAATGCCCATCAGTGTTAGACTGGATAAAGGAAATGTGGCACATATACAACCATGGAACACTGTGCAGCCATAAAAAAGGATGAGTTCATGTCCTTTGCAGGGACATGGATGAAGCTGGAATCCATCATTCTTAGCAAACTAACACAGGAACAGAAAACCAAACACTGTGTGTTCTCACTCATAAGTGGGAGTTGAACAATGAGGCACAGGGAGGGAAACATAATACACTGGGGCCTGTTAGGGGTTCGGGGGCAAGGGGAGGGATAGCATTAGGGGAAATACCTAATGTGGATGACAGGTTGATGGGTGCAGCAAACCACCCTGGCACATGTATACCTATGTAACAAACCTGTACGTTCTGCACATGTATCCCAGAACTTACAGAATTAACTATTAAAAAAAAGTCACAGTTAAAAGTGAAGGTGGGTTTTTAATTTATTTATTAGGACAAACCCCACATGCTTTGTAATATTAGCCAACTGATTGTTCGAGTGGCAGCCAGTTGATGTAAGACAAGTTGTTCACAGGTAGAGAAGAGCCAATTCTTTTTAAAAAATTTTTATTTTAATTAACAATTACTAAGTGTATATATTATGTGGTACAATGTGATGTTTGATATATGTTTACAATGTGGAATGATTAAATCAGGGTAATTAAATCCATCACTTCATATACTTACCTTTTTTTTTTAAGTGAAAACATTTAAAATATATTCTGTTAATATGCACTGAGCATCGGTGGAGTCATCTAAGGCTATAGGGTCAGGGAGTGCTGACCAATGGGAGCCAGGTGTTTTTGGGAGACTGAGGGTAGTTTTGGAAAAAAGGGTACAAGGAAAGGTTGAGGAATTAATCAATTTATTAACCATCTACTGTGTGTGAGCCTTTCTGGTGCATATTGGGTATGCGAGATGAATAAAAAAAGTTTCATTCCTTGGACACGTTTAGAGGTAGAAAGGGATGTATAAACAAGTAGTTGAAGAACTATGATAGCTATAATGGATGACTTCATTCATAACACATTCTTATCCAAAGTTTGAGTGCCATGTTCTGGGCAGATTTGCTTGAAGGGTCTTCCCTGACATCTGTTTTTTTCTTAGGGCTTTGGATTCCTCAGATCTGATGCTTTAGGCTTATTTTTTCTTTTGTTGTTTGATTTTATATAAGCCTGATTAATCATGTTTTTTTTTTTCATTGACATAAGCCTGAAACTACGTCTATAGGTACGGTGTGAAACTTAGCAGTTTCTAGGATCCAGTGATATATTTGCTGTGGTGGAGCCAATTGATGAAGCCCAGAGTGCCAGCAGGCATTGCATAAAATTTTATTCTTCACTAGGTGGTCCAGTGCTCGAACACTGTTGGTATCACCAATTCCAGATGCTCAAATTGAATGGGCAGGACTGTATTCTTTGATTTAAGGTGTGTGGACAGTTTGTCCAATTCCAGAGGCATTCGGACTTTGGAATTTGTAGGCTGAGAGAGCTACTTATCTGAAATAAAGGTGGCTGGCACAGACAGGCTGAGGGCCCAGCATGGAGGGAAGAGAAGAAGCAGAAAGCCTTCCAAGAAGAAGCTGAACATTGACCTAGTTATTTTGATGGCATGCTCTGTTGCATTTCCCCTTCAGGCCAAGCCCAGGCTCCCTGATATAAAATTGAGGAACTCACTGCCAAGCACTTAAAGTTTGGGGATTTTACAAGTGTTTTTCTTTTTTTTCTTTCTTTATTTTTTTGTTCAGTAAGAATGCACTGCTCAATCAAGCAATATCTGTCCTCAAGCTGAAAATAGCCATAGTAATTAGGATTATTTGTGTTAAATTGATGAGTTCAGAGAGGAGTGGACAAGCAGAGGGTGAGAGGCAAAGCCATCTGGCTTCTGTGTGCCATGCCCTTCAGGATCTGGAGAGCCTTTTGGGACATATGGGAAAGAGTGTGGATAGAGTGTGGGGGCTGAAGAAATGTAGGCAGGTGCAGTTCTGTCCGTTTATTCTCTTGGGCTCTTTGCCAAAAGCATGCTCCCTCCCTTTCCCCTTTAGTGATAAGAACTGCTTTTCCTAACAGTCTATCTCCATATTTCTTTGGGGCCATTTCTTGGGCTTGTAGGCCAAACTATGGTGCAAGATTAATCAATATTGGTGCTATTGGCATTTTGAGGCAGATAATTCTTTATTGGGGAGGAGGTGGGGCTGTCCTGGGCGTTATAGAATCTTAGCATATCTTTGATATCTACGCATTAGATAGGTAACTCCTAGGCACTTCCTTGCCTGATTTATGACAATCTAAAATCTCTCCAGACATTAGCAAATATCTCCTAGAAGGCAAGCTCTTTTAGAAATCAGTGCTATAGAACTATGAAGCAATCCATCCTTCTCAAAGGCTGAACGTGGAACTTCACCTTGCTGAATCTGAAGCAGAGAACCATCCAGATTCCTTCCTCAGACCTTTAATGTCATTCTTACACAGAAATGATCATAATGGTACAATGCTGTAAAGACTATTACCGAGTATTGTTACTAAGGTCTCAATAAGAAATATACACACTGAATCTGAGGGTGATATTCTTAACAGTTTATAAACTCTGAATAACTTTTCAGATTCTTTATTTTTATTCATCTGTAGAGTATATGA
This sequence comes from Homo sapiens, assembly GCF_000001405.40. Taxonomy (NCBI): domain Eukaryota; kingdom Metazoa; phylum Chordata; class Mammalia; order Primates; family Hominidae; genus Homo; species Homo sapiens. The sequence goes on from NC_000003.12 coordinate 25,939,833, forward strand.
AAAGGAATCAAGGAAAATAAGACTAGAAAGTCAAGTTGGTGCTGGACTCTGAAGAGTCTTGGCTGTGGGGCTAAGAGTTAAGACTTTATTCTGTAGACAATGGAAGACATATTGAAGAATTCCTTAAATTCTTCTGTTTGCTACCATTACTCTGCACAAACTTTTCACTCTGGCCAAATTGATCTCCCCAAAGATATATGACAAAGCTGTGTTTATGTCTACTCTGTAGAGGATGGTGTGGTGCACTGCCCAACTCCCCTCTTGGGAATCCCCCCAACTACTGATAGCATTGCCTGCTGATAGCTCCTGGCTGAGTCCCTCTGCAGGAATTGCCCTCAGCTGAAAGGAACTACCTCACCCAAGGTTATGGCTCCTTCCTGAAAACAGCCTACATTCAGTGACTGGTCACTTTGAGGGAATAAGGGCCTAATCCTTTTGCCTTAATTGGGGCAGCTCTGAAGAGCCACTGCAGCTTTAGAGCTCTCATGAGATCAGCTGGATCCTTGGCAGCAACTGTGTTGATGGTCAACTTTCTCCCACTGTTTAATCTTTTTTTCCTCATCCCTTTGTGGGTGTTGATCCTAAAAGCAATTCCCCATAAACTATATGTGTATAAATTTTTGTCTCAGGATTCCAAAGGATCTTAAAGAAGCCTTCAGGCCTTACCTCTAATGATCCCCAACCTGGAATGCTTTCTTTCTTCCTTTCCATCTATCCCTGAAAGCCTAACAAAAGTCTCACCCACCTACTTAATAAAACTGTCCCAGGCCATTCTTGTCATGCCTGGTACAAATGGTGGCTAAGACAATAGAATCAAAGGGTATGCTGAATCGCTACAAGAAACAGGGAGCAGGTGACAGGTTTCGTTTTTGATCTGAGAATGAGTTGGTAGAGTGGGATATGGCTTTATAGTACACATTATGAGTTGTACCCAATATCCATCATGTCTTCTTCTGCAGTAGTAGAACCCTTAATATTTGGTTGGGCACATGGCTAGCCAGAATAAAAACTACATATCATCTCCCTTGAAAATGATGCAGTCATGGGATTAAGTTCTAGCCAATAGTCTGTGAGCTGCGGCAAAATATTCAACTTCCAGTGATGTCTTTAGAAAAGGTGGGTATTCTTTCTTTCCCTTTCTTGTAAGTTTTGATGTTTGGAATATGGATACATGGTGAGACATAGATCATGAACATGAGGGAGAGACTGTCAAGATGATTGAGTAGCAAGTTAGTAGAAGCTTGGAGTAGTGGAGTAGAACTGACATATTATGTCTGAATCATCTGCTTCGTGACCACAATGTGTGAGAGAGAATACACTTCCGCACTGTTTAGATCACTGTTAATTTAGGTCTCTGTGTTAGTCAGCTCAGAAGAAGTTATTCTGCAAAAATAGATGACCCTCAAATCTTAGTATTAATAGTTTAAATCCTTTGAATTGCCAAAAGAATCATCAGTCCACAAGGAAGGTATGTGTTTCAATGCTCTCTTCAGATGTAACAAAGGAGTTTAATTGAAAAGGATGGGTTCTTCTAGAGGGTGGAGCAAAGATCCCTGGGGAACAATGGGTAGGTGAGCAACTCACAGGTTAAAGCACAAAAGACAAATAGAGGCACATTATATTGTGCACCCAGGGTCTTGATCACAACATCTTCCCAGCAGGATTTCAGGATTGCAATGGACCAGAGGCTGCTGTGTACCTCCCATCCTTCCTTTTTCTAAATGAAAGAGTTTATTTCTGAATGAGGTGTTTACTGTAGTTATCTTGCTCTCTTATTCAACTGCTACATATTGGATGTGTGGGAGGGCAGATAACTTGTATTTTTAAGTTTCTGAGTCTCCAGATCAAGTTGTGCCACCTCTGGATCTCATGTAGATAACTCCATGCATCAGCTAAAGATTATGGACTTGGAGCTTGATACCTTTTATTCCTCTCCACTCCCTGCTGGTCCCTCTTGTCTTCCCTTTCTCTTTCTGCCCCTCTCTTTCTCTCCCCCTCCCTCCTTATCTTTTCTCCTTCCTCCTTTCCTCATCTCCCTTTCTTTTTCTTTTTTTAAGAGACAGGGTCTTGCTATGTTGTCCAGGCTGGACTCAAATTCCTAATTCCTGGGCTCAACTGATCCTCTTGCCTCAGCTTCCCTGAGTAGCTGGAACTACAGGCCCATGCCACTCTGCCCAGCTTCCCTTCCTTTCTACTTCTTTCTTTCCTTCCTCATCCCCTTCTTTTTTCTGCTTTTCTCTCTCCCTCTCTCATTCCCTTCATTTCTTTGTTTCTGTTATTTATACTTTTTTGTCTGTTTATGTGATTCTCACTGTGATTAATCTAGTTCACATTTAGTGTGTGAATCTTGAACAGAATTTCTCTTTGCTCAGGTATAATATTTGTGAATTCTTCTTTATTCCTCCCCTTGCGCCGCTGCACACCTGCTTACATTTTTCCTAAACTGGAGTTTCAGGGTTTGGCATTTTATCTCAACCACTTTTCTATGGCCTGAGATTTTGGAAGCTGGGAGATGGGAATAATCATTTATTGAAGAACTAGGTTCATCCTGATTTATTACACCACTGATTACTTTAGCCTATTTTGAACTTTGTAACTATGAAATCATAATCTATGTTTTCTTTGGTTTCTCAATGTTTCCCCCTCAACATTAAGTTGTAAAATTCACCCATGTCATCGTATGTAGTGATAATTCATTCTCATTGCTTTATTTAGGTACCGTATTTTGGGAATATGCCATATTTTATATTTTCATTTTACTGTTTATAGGCATTTGTGCACTTTCCAGTTTTGGCCTATTTTAAATAGTGCTGCTACGGACACTTTTGTACATATCTTTTGGTGAGTACATGTATGCATTTCTTTTGGGACTATAACTAGGAGTAAAATTTCTGTGTGATAGAGTATGCAAAGGGTATGCATATTTCCAAACAGTTTTCCCAAAGGGATTTACCAGTTTACCTCCCTCCCACCAGCAGTAGATGAGAGTTCTGATCATTCCATGTTCTTGCCAACACGTGTTAAAATTTTTCTTTGTCTTTCTCATTTTAGCCATTCTGTTTGTTATATTGTGGTGTCATTGTAGTTTTAATTTGTACTCCTCAATGACAAGTGAATCTGAGTGTCTTTATGTACATATCTATATTAGACTTTTGATATTCTGTTTGTAAACTACCTCTATTACTCTTTCAATCTTTTGCCCATAAAATGCCATATTTCCTTATTTTTTAAAAAATAACAAATTATATTCTAGTTTCCCCTTTCTTTTTATTGTAACTAAAAATACATTTTTTAATTACATTGAGAGCTGAAGGAAAAAGAGAAAGGACAGCTTTTCTATTATAACACAAATTATTGATGCTAATACTAGCTACCAGTTGTTAAGGAATTATCAATGTGCGAGATACCGTCAAGATTCTCTTGACACTACTCTGTCCTTATTATTCTTCTTACTCCTGGGAAACTACATTCATTTTATGGTTTGATCATCACAACATATAATATTATGATATCTGTTTTACAGGTAAGAAACAGGGTCTCAGAGACATTAAAACATTTCCCCAAAGACAGGCAGTGAGTGGCAGGATTTAAATCTAAACCCTAAATGAAAGGTAGATAATAATCTATATATCTATATTATTTAACAAAGTACATGAAGTTTTTTTTTTCCTTTTTTTTTTTTCCTAGTTTTCTTCTGTCACCTAGGCTTGAGGGCAGTGGTGTAATCATAGCTCAGTGTAACCTCCACCTCCTGGGCTCATGTGATCCTCCTGCCTCAGCCTCCTAAGGACCTGGGACTACACGCACTCACCACCATGGCTGACTAATTTTAAAATTTTTGTACATACGGTTCTCTCTCTGTTGCCCAGGCTGGACTGGTCTTGAATGCCTGGCCTCAAGTGATTCTTCCAACTTGGCCTCTGAGTTTTTGGGACTATAGGCATGAGCCACTGTGCTTGGTCCCTAGGCAGGTATTATTAACATCCTATGTCCAATAAAGAAATTGAAGCTTCAAGGAGAATAAGTACCTTCCAAGTTCCCTTTAGCAGGTGGCAGGTGGATACTGGACTTTAAGGGTTCTGTCCCCATTGAAGCATCGTCGTCATCTTGCACCAAGAACATTAAGGACACGGACACACATGAGGAGTGAGTTTAGGAGTGGAGGTTTAATAGGCAAAAGAAAGAGAAAGGAGGCCAGGCGCGGTGGCTCATGCCTGTAATCCCAGCACTGTGGGAGACTGAGGTGGGCGGATCACGAGGTCAGGAGATCGAGACCATCCTGGCTAACACGGTGAAACCCCGTCTCTACTAAAAATACAAAAAAATTAGCTGGGCGTGGTGGCAGGCGCCTGTAGTCCCAGTATTCCCAGCTACTTGGGAGGCTGAGGCGGGAGAATGGTGTGAACCCAGGAGGTGGAGCTTGCAGTGAGCCGAGTTTGTGCCACTGCACTCCAGCCTGGGTGACAGAGTGAGACTCCGTCTCAAAAAAAAAAAAAAAAAAAAAAAAAAGAAAAGAGAAGGGAGAACAGCTCTCTTTCTTTCCTTGCAAGAGAGGGGCTCCTGAAAGGGAAAAACCTGACCGTGGTGGGCTGCACCAGATTTTATAGTCAGGCTTGAGGAAGTGGTGTCTGATTTATGCAGGGCCCACAGATTGGTTGAACCAGATGTGACATTTACATAGTGTGTGATGAAGGCTGGTTGCCCCACCCTAATCTTATGCAAATTGGGTTTTTGCCTGGCCGGCACCATATTGTCTTCTCACTGTACACATGGCTGGCAAAGAGAAGTGAACACGGAGCCACCATTTTGAACATGCCTAATCCCAGGTAGCCTTTTCCTATTGGCGCAGCTGCCAGCATTCACCCGTGCAAGCTTCCAGCTTGCTTGTCTATGTCTGCAGCTCATTTTTACAGGTTGCTCTTTGTTTGAAAAGAAAATGATTTTGGGGCTGCTCTTCATTAAAAGGAAAACCTAACCAAAGGCCCCCATACTTTCACTATCTGCCTAAATAATTTCTTGTTAACTCCTATGTCACCACATCCATGTCTTCTGCTACCGCACTTTGCTGTCTTTCCTTGTGGGCATTCTTTAACAACAGCAATTTTAATTTCTTTCTTGCATTGGAGAGAATGACTGACATTAGTAATGATAAAATAGTCCTTTCAGATTTGTTATGAAGAGTTGTGGTATTTAGACAGGGAAAAGTATTTACAATCTGTGGTAATAAATAAGAAAAAGATGAAAAACAAAGTAATGCAAATAAACCTGAAAAATATGGACTAATTTTGTTGACTACAAGAATAATGAAAAGTGGGTGGTGGGATTTCACTGAAGTTAGTTTTATTTCATGTGAGATAAGTGACCCTTTTGTATCACAGATAAAACACTGAACACAGTGTAATTAGCAAGTATTACCAATACTCTATAGACCCTTTTCAAATTTGACTTAGGAGTCATGGAAGTTTTTTATTTTTTAAATGTTTCTGGTTATTGCTAAAGTTTATGACTTTAAATTTATCTTATCTTAGAGTCTCTCTTTCTTTCTTTCTTTCTTTCTTTCCTTCCTTCCTTCCTTCCTTCCTTCCTTCCTTCCTTCCTTCCTTCCTTCCTTCCTTCCTTCCTTCCTTCCTTCCTTCTTTCCTTCTCTTTCTTTCTTTCTGTGGCATCTTTTATCTGAAGTTCTGCCTAGGCCCTCTTTGTGGGCATGAGGTAATTGGTAGGCAAGCAATAATTTTTGCCTTTACTAAATTTCAAGACTGTCTTATGGTACAGTACCTGGGCTTCACACCCCTCAGACACACACCAAGTGGGGGATTAATTTATTCAGTATTCAATTATGCTGTCCTTCTAGTCTTTCCTCTCTCCTACTGTGCACTTAGCTGTCAGTGTGTTAATATATTGCTGTCCCTCTGCCTGTACCATCTGCAAGATTCTCTTGATACTACTCTGTCCTTTTATTCTTCTTACTTTTGGGAAAATAGAAAAGGGATACGCTTGCTTTCTTCCAGAGTTTAATTGCTTGGCCAATAAAACGTGATGGAAATGACCAGCTTCCAGGTTCATGCCTTAAGAGATTGTCAGCCACAACTCTCAATCTCTTAGAATACTCACTCTTAAAACCCACTTACCATGCTGTAGTGAAGCTCAAGCAGCCCCCATGGAGAGGCCTGCAGAAAGAGGAACCAAGTCCCCAGGCCAGTAGCTCTCAGCCAACAGTCAATACTAATTTGCCACTCACATGAGTAAGCCAACCTGGAAGTGGATTCTCTGCCCCAGCTGGTGCTGCATGGAGCAGAGACAGGCTGTTCTTGATGGGTCCTGCCCAAATTGTATACTAGTGAGTGAAATAAGCATTAGTTGTTGCTTTAAGCCTTTGAATTTTGTTGTATCTTATTACACAGCAATTGAAAACCAGAACATGGTTCAAATGGTCTTCAAGGCCTAAGCTGAAATTTCCAATCCAGCTTTTATTTATGAGCCTTTAATAAAGGACTGTAGGCTACTTGCTCTGCTTTTTAAAAATAGGTACATTGTTTCCCATTGGTTATTGTCTCTTGTGTGTGTAGTTTTCTCAGTTAGGAACTCCAAAGGGAAAAAAGGTGACAGATAGGATAATTAAAACTCTATCCAGAAGCCTTCCACAAATATCATTGACCAAAAACATTTATTGAGAAGATATGCTGCTAGAGATTGGTAATAGGAAAAAGATATTAAATGCTGGATCTCAGTCTTTGCTTTACCTTGGAATCACCCAGGAAGATTTACAAAACACAGTGCTGGGGTCTGGGTCTCCCACTGCGTTGCGGGTTCCAGAGTTTGTGCTTTAGTTGGAGTGTGGCCTGGATATCGCAATTTTGAAATCTCCCCAGGTGAGTCTCATTTGCAGCCAAGTTTGAGAACCACTAGTATGAAATACCATTACTGTCCAAGGAGGCTTGTAGTCTGCTTGAGGAGCCTGGATTTCACATAAAAAGATAAGCAAAGTACCAGGGAACACCCAGTATGTGAGATGGACAATCCTAAATGTGGGCTAGATATTGAAAAACAAACTGTGGTTCCTCTCATTTTGATTTCTCTTTTTACTAAAATTGTAGCCTGTATTCTGTTTCCTAATTACAACATTTCATTGATTGTTGTAACATAGGACACATGTTTGTCAAAATTTAATGTTTTTGCGAATAAGATGCATCTCACAAATGTGGATATTTAATATGTTGCTTTTGTTTCCTTAAGAATTTGTTTTCTAAGAAATCTATGTTAGCTATAATTAGCAGTATCTTAGAAGAAACATGATATGTACTGTCTTTCACTTGTTCCTATTCTGTGTATAATTTTTTGCCATCATATTCTATATTAGATTGTAAGATCATTGAGGACAAGAATCAAGTGTTTCACTGCTTTTAGTACAGTGTAACACCTAGTACAATGTTAACACTTATTATGGACTCAATAAATAGTTGCAGATGATTGGATACCCCTTTAAACTTATCACTCAACAAATTTAGAGATTCATGAGGCTGGGAGATACCTATAAATCACTTGCAAAATTCTAGAGAGAGAATTATAGAGATCCTCACTATACACGATTTAATCCATTTGGGTATTTACCATCTTGAGACCTCTGCATTATTTTCATTTAGGCTTTTGTTACAAGACATTTTGTTTTCTTGTGGTTCCAATGTTTTTCAGGGGGAGAAAAAAGCATCTAGGTTACCCTTTTACACCTAACTACTGTATATGTTCCTAGAGCATATAAATGTTGTCCCTGCACAACAAGTTGGCCTGAAGGATTAGGAGTTTTATAAATCCTCTTTATTTAGCATGCTTTACAGCTGCATTCCACTAAATCAAGTGCTGCTGTTTCCCTAAACACATTTCTTGTGAGTGCTACTTGCACGGAATTATATTAATACATTTAATCAGCAAAGCTCTCAATATTCCACATTCAATCAGTGCCTGGTACGTGAAGATGATAAATCCCCCCTTCTCCATCCTGCATGTCACCCAGTTGCTGTTTTCTGATTATATTCATTTTACTTAGGATGACTGAAGAAATAGGAAGTTCTTCCACTCAGTCTTTCTTAACTCTGTGACCTGCTTTGTTAACACTTGTGCTGTAGTTGCCCCACATCCATAGGACATTTCTAACTTGCTTGCTGATTTAGGCTTAGAGGGAGACTTGCCTGTACTCAGAACTAGCAAGCTTATGCCAAGCTCCCTTCTGGCATCATGGACGAGGGGTGGGAGCCTTCTTTTTTCTTGGTGTTTCCATATCCTTTTCCTTCTCCCTCCGTAATCTTTTATCTAGTGGCCAGAAGTAACTTCTAGTTGCATTCCCATCCTTTTTCTTTTCCCAGCCATCCTCCACGGTCAAATTACATAAATATGTGGCTTGTAGTTCATTCTGTTCTTTCCCAGTGGTTTATGGCCCAAGACTCATGTTAGACTTTCCTGTGGATCTTAAAAATACAAGTACTTGGAATCTACCCCTAGAGATTCTAAATCTGTGTATTGGCCTCAGGTATCTGTGTTTTTGAAGGAATATCGTAAGTGATTCTTACAACCCTTTTGAAGGTTGCTGTCTGAGGCATCTGCAAATGTATTCTTGGATTAAGTTTTATATGCCTTGTGCTTTGTAGGCATAGAACATGACTTATGGACAGATGTTGTTAATTTCTTTACTATATAGTAACATTTTTGTATGTTAGCTCTTTCTTAAGTTTTTACTTTCTAGCACATTAATTTTATTTAGGATGTTTTTAACCTCCCAAGTTGTAGCTGTCTGCTTCTTTATGAACCAAGAGCTGTTTGTTTTCCAGTGACAGTTTAATCAGATCTACGTACGATGAGATGCTTAATTCCTGCAAATGTAAAGATTCTAGGATAAAAAGGATCTTCTCATTAAATAGCAGGCAAATGGATGAGGCCATTTCCTGGGGTCCTTGCTGACACCCTCTCCCGTCTCCCTCATTTCAGTATGTGTATGCTCATGCTCTCTTTTTTTTCCTTTCTTGCATGTTATTGGGAAATCTAGTCTAGCCCAATTCAGAGTGTAGACTTTAAGGGCATTTGAAATGTCATCTCTCACAATGTCTTTATTGACTGTAGCAATGTTGTGCTTCCTGAGATTATTTCCCAATTAAACTACTTTCACTCAAAGCTTTGTCTTTAGCTATATTTTTTCAGGAAACCATCTAAGACACGGACCATTTCCCCTTTTTTGGCACTCAGTTAAATAATTTATTCTCTTTGGTTTCCTATATCTTGTTTTCTCAATCAGGTCATAAAGACTTTTAGAGCAGAATCTGCACCTTATGATTCTTTAGAGCCAATCTATACAGTGGTATGTGTGACACAGGGGCAAACTTAGAGAATGGGTACACATCATGATTAAGGTCTTCATTGATGGATTTAAAAATGAAATTAGAATAGGAATAAAATTCTTTGGAGCTTGCTGTAAAAAGGTGGGTTGAAGACTTTGAGGAGAAAGGAATAGTCTGGCAGGTATTTTCTTGTTCAATAGGTGCAGGGGTTGGTGAGACAGAGGTAGAATAAAGTTGTAAGTACAAAGGAGGAAGTCATCCTTCATTATGTATTTCAGAGAAGCTTATATTTCATAAAGAAAGAGATACATCAAAAAGAAGATGTTCTTATAATTTTGAAGCAGGGGTACATGAGAAATTGCTTTGAGATTTCAAAGGAAAGGAAATGTACATTTATCATAGTCTTTAGCACAGGTCCAAAAATTACTTAGAAAAATGGGTTATTTTCAGCAAGTTATTGTATAAGATACATGAAAGAAATATCAAATAATACAATATTTTCAGCAACGCAACTTCAAGAAAATGTGAAGCTATTCTATTTTGCCTTGTTCTACTGGTAAGAAGAGGAGAAAAAAGGCGATGTTTAGAGTGGATTGACAAGTTATTAAACCTGGTTCCTCCAAAGTATGGTAAGAGTAGGCAACCACTTATCTATTAGTGTTTTGTTTTGTGTCTTATTGATTTACATTATAATCTCTACTATTTCCTTTTTTGGCTTGCGTTAGTTTTGTTTGTTCTTCTGTTTCTAGTTTCTTAAGGTGGAAGATTAGGCTATTATATTGAGACTTTTTATTTTTTTGATAAGCATTTGAAGATATAAATTTCCCTCAAAGTACCACATTAACTGCATTTCACAAGTGATTTTTATTTTCATTCAGTTTAAAGTATTTTAAAAATTCCATTGACTCAGGGATTATTTAGAATTGTTTTTGTTTAATTTCCAAACATCTGGGGTTTTCCCAGACTTCTTTCTGTTGTGGACCTCTAGGTTAATTCTATTGTTGCGAGAGAGCATACTTTATATAAATCTTATCCTTTGAAATTTATTTAAACTTGTTTTATGTGACAGCGTATGGTATTTCCTGGAGCATATTCCACGTGTGCTTGTTCGAGTATTTAGCTATTTTTTTTTTTTTTTTTTTTGCCCTTGGGTTGGGGTCCTGACAGAAAAAAGTGCATTCCCTAAGTGGGGTAGATGAATAGATAATGGGGATATTTACAAAGATGTGGACAAGGTAAACCAATAAAATGGCACAGCAACCTAGGACTGCAATCATTAAAATGTTAAGAGTCTTATAATTGAAGGGATAAGGAGTGGAAGCAATTGCTGCAACCTGGAGTGAGAGCTGTGATGTAGGAGAGGGATACTTGCTGGAACTGTGGCTTTCGACAGAGAAATGCAGCTAAGTTGCAGCAATATAGCAGGACAGGTTCTGGAGGAAAAAATACTTTGACCTCACTCTTCTCCCTTTCTTTTGATTTTTTTTTTTTTTTTTTTTTTAACCAGTATCTTCTGTGGGTCAAACTTCATGGAAATCCAGAGGGAGAGGGGCCCATTAATGTCATAGTGATAGTTGTCCTTGGGCACAGGATAGGATGGAGACGGGTAAAGAGTAAACTGGAGAGAGTACATAGAAAATATCTAGATGTTGTCCCTGAACATATTCCACTATTCTTTGCATAAAAATGTGTTCCAACACAGAGGCACACAAAGTTCCATCAAGTATATATTATCTGTATTATGTCAATTCAGCTGTACTTCCACCTAAAATCTAAAATATTGGCAATTACCCAAGCTTCATGGCAGGTAGCAGAGGAGGAACATAAACATAGTGGCCACATATCCTGGATCTGGTCATAAGGTCTAATTTGACAATCTCATACCTTCTGTTTTCTGCAAGCTTTTCCTTGTTCTCCTAAATTTCTGCCAATACCTTGGCTAGCCTTTATCCTTTCCTAGAGGTTGGCCAAATTTTATTCCTGAAGAATTGGAGTCTTTGGTGGTTCTAGTTTTATTTAGTTGCTGAAGTTTCAATTGAGAAGTAGCATTGGTCAAGGGAATACTGAGAAGCACCCTACGAATCACTTGAGTTGAAGATGTAAGTCGTCTTTGCCTTCATTGGGTAGCCACATTCCAATTTCACGTTGGTAATTAGAATCAAACATCTCAGCCTGTAGAGTGATCCGCTTTTCTGCCACTTGGTTCAGAGCCATACAGCTTTTTGACACTGGGGATCTTAATAGAATGACCCCTCAGAATATGGATCAAAAGGGCAAAGTACTACTGGTAAGTGGTTTTATGGACAGTTTCCATTAATAAAGGGGTTCAGAGAAGAAGGACATAAGAAGATAAGTGCTAAGCTTTTCAGAGATACCTGGTGGGATTCATGACACACTTTTAGAGGGAATTCTTCAGGGGTATCACATGATACTGCATTATGCAAGTGGGACAAAGACTCAGTGGAATTAATTTTATTATTATTACTGCGATCACATTTGCAACAGTATGATGAGACCATGGCAATGTCAGGGCTGAACAATTTCAGAATATAGGAAATGGTTTCCTCATATCTTGTAATATATAAATTAAGGAAAAATTAGGTAGGAGTGGCAATGAGTTTATAAATATGCCGTCAGAAGGAAATTAATCATAGATTTAATGCTGTAAAAAATTGGGCATTCAATTTTGTGTGTATTGCCAACTTATGATCCTGAAGACACACTTGGGACCACTATTGCGAAGAAAATTATGACCAATCTCCTTGCCATCATATTTGACTCTCCTTGATCCAAGTCATTATGCCATGCAACTGTAGGTGTAAAATCAAGGAACAATACCCCGATTCTATTTAAGGGCATGACTTTTTAAAATGCGCTAACCTGTGCCACTGCTTGAGAGATATTTGAGTGAATTGACATTAATCATTCTCAGCATTTCTTACTTTAATATTGGTGGAATGGATTGTTGGCTGCTTATAAAGAGAGTGACAGCATGCATTAAATTAGCTACAAGGGTATCTTTTCATTTTTAAAGAGAAATTAAAGTTCTGGTCTTGGTTGCTACATAGCCTGAGTTTGATGGGATGACATTTGAGCAGTGGTACAACATTTCAATTAGTAATTGCCCAATCGTCTTCAAGTAGCATGAATGATGCTAGGACAGCTAAATTCTATGAATTTCTCTAGCTTTGTTTTTAACTTGACAGGCAGATTTTTTTCTATAGCTGAATACTCACTGTCTGTTATTTAGCAGGTGGATTGGACTAAGATCACAGTGATCGCCATCCATTTAAATAATAGTTACTTGAATGTAGCTGAGGGAGGCTTGAATAATTTTAACAAAGCCATATGTCTCCCTAAAATAGTTTTCAGTTTTTTAGAACAAAACACAGATTTCTTATTTTCTTTTTGATACCAATATTACTGGTCATGATGCTGATGCCACACTGTCATCCTGTATTCATTTTGAAGAGTTTTAGCACCTGAATGAGGTTGAAAGTAATTGTAGATAAATGTTACTGAAGTGATATGTAATTTCCTTCTTATGAATTATTCATATCAATACCTATTTCTGTAGCGCTGGTGCAGTATAAAATATTACATGCTGTGTATGTAAATGTCTTCATCATATTTTATTTCAATGCACTATTTTAAAGTTATTTGGCAAAAAATACCCTATCCTATAACAAACTAAAATCTCTTTATTCATACAAAATTTGTCACTCTTAAAAATATTAGTCATTTGAACAACAATATATCTATTTTTTATGCTTCTTTTATAATTCTCCTACCTTGAGTCATTGTTAGATGCATTAAGACCAAATTTATTTTCTTCCCGCCTACTTCTTCCTTAATGAATTGTTGAAAGATTATTGCTGCTGTTTCTAACTGAGACATAGCATTTATTATTAAATTCCTTGTGAATATTTAGATATACAAGATAGAGTGGTTCATGGGACTGTTATAACTTCATGTAATTATAAGAAAACCATTAGGGCTGCATGCTATTTTCTCTATATTATCTTTAGTACCTTTGTAGAATAATGGGAATAACAGGACTCTTGAGTCAAGAAGTCATGAGTTTGAATCCAGGATCTGCCATTTACTGGCTTTGTATCCTAAGATCCCAGGAGTACCTTTCTATCTTAACCTAATCTCAAATGTCAGTATTCATTGCTTCAATAGGACAAAAGCCGCAATGGCCAATAGCAGAGAAAATAAAATCAGAGAGACCATTGTCAAGAAAGAGTGCATTTACTTTCAACGCCTGTGCTGAGTTTTCTAGGCCCCAGGCCCCAGGGATTCTCAAGCCAGATCCTGGCATGGCCACCTTTTTTCTTGTGACTATTTCCTAAGCAATACAGCATAATAACTATTTACATAGCATTTACATTGTATTAGATATTAAAAGTATATTGGAGGATGTGCTTAGGTTATATCCAAATACTGCACTATTTTATATTAGGGATTTAAACATCCTTGAATTTTGTTATCCATGGGAGGCCCTAGAACCAATCCCCCATGGATACTGAGGGATGACTGTATATGTATCAAATGTCATCATAACATAATAAGAAAGTAATGACAGGTGAACTGTGTACCTGACTCATTTCTTAGAAGGCAACAGTAAATAACCATGCTAACAATACATTACTCAGAATAAAGAGCCCATCAGAACTTACGGACCATCAGTTCAATTCCCACCAACTTTATTCCCATTTCCTCTCTAGATAGGCTTCATCTGAGCCTCCAACACCTTTCCTATCTTTATTTAAAGAGATGATAGAGGGATCATCAATTAATCTTATTATCAGCCATAAATTCACCTTTCATTTGTGTTTCTTCAATCATAACTACTATGTTATTTTCACATCCAGCTTCTCAACTATAGTTGGTTACTTCTTTTATTCCACTTGCTCCTGCCCTCTGCTTACTGGCACACATGTGCTCTGAGTGAAAGTGCAGAAAAGTAGGTATTCTGCAGTTGTTCCCTTTGCTCAGTTAGTAGTCTCCATTTTTTGTGCAACTTTGGTCACTGTCTATGATGGATATTTATTTGCCCATTTAACTCATGTTCCACCCTTCACTCTGCTCTGCACCACAGAAGGCTGATCTATGTGGAAATAATCTACTCCCTTTATCCTTTGATTTTTAATTGGGTTCAGCCAATAGGAAACATAAACAAATCAGAGAATGGGAGAATAAAGAGGTTGGGGTATTTATTTCCTTGGCTCACTCTCTGCGAGGAGATGGGTTAGCTGTGATAACATTTCTCTACTGAATATCACTGCTCCCATCTGACAGCCTTCTACAAGTGCAGTTCAAGTACAGCTCTCCCTAGAGTCTGGTAACTAGTTATTACCCCTACGAGCTAGAGTCAGTGTATGTTTTCTGAAAAACGAATGAAGCTTGAGCTTCAAGGACTTTCACTAGTAAAGGCTTGATCCAAGGCCCTGGGAGAGGCTCCAGTAATCTGCTCAGCCAGTAGTATGAGAGAGACCATTTTGGTGAGCCTGTTTACTTATACAGGTGAAAGGCCAGTTTCTCACTACTGTAGGAAGGTAACTGTGGGGTGGGGGTGTGGACTTGTTCTCTCTCTGGCACAGGAAAGTCAGTTTAGTTTCTCCAGAGCATGGAGAATCCTAGAGGTCCATAAAGGAGGGGCTGGGACATAGGTTAAAAAGGGATAGGGTGTTGACCTCAGCCACATGGATACTGCCAAGGGAGTAGATAGAGTTTCAGATATCGGGTTTGAGTCCATGGGCTCCATGAAAGGCTAGTCTTGGGAGTATTTGGAAGAAATGATTATCCAAGAGAAAATCAGAGTGAAATTTTTTTACAGCACATAGTATGCTTCAATGTGCACGTAGGCTTGTGTGTGCTTCTAGAACTACTACATTGTACTTTGGAGAATAGACATGCATTGAAGTGACATTGGTAAAAATGAATGAGTAGAAAAAGGGAGTGAGAAATGAAGTGTGTTTTCTAGGAGTGTGAGTGAAGGGAATAGCAAATTATTAAAATAGCTTAAAAGTGAGTCTACTGGTAATCTTTAAATTATTATTTTATTATAAATATTTTTCTCAAAAGCATACATGCTCATAAATTAAGAATCTGTTAGTTATACAGTGTTAAGACAATCTTCTTAATGCTCACTACCCCCATTTCCATTTTCCTAGAAGCAACCACTTTCATCTCTTTTAGCTGAGACATAACATTTTAGTCAGACATCGCGTAATGACTGGAATACATTCTGAGAAATGCATCATAGTATAAACATTATAGCGTGTGCTTATACAAACTAGATAGCATAGGCTACTACTCACCTTGGCTACATGGTAGCCTGTTGCTCCTAGGCTTGAAATCTGTTCAACGTATTACTGTAGTTTGTGCTACGGACACTTGTAACACAATGGTAAGTATTGTGTGTCTAAACATATCAAAACATAGACAAGGTACAGTTAAAATATGGTATTACAATCTTGTGGGACCACAGTCATATATGTGGTATGTCATGGACCAAAAGGTAGTTATATGGTGTATGACTGTCTATAAATTTGTATGTCAGTGTGTGTGTGTGTGTGTGTGTGTGTGTGTGTGTGTGTGTGTGTGAGAGAGAGAGAGAGAGAGAGAGAGATTTACATTCATAGTAATATGTCATTTGCTTTTGTGGCTTCTATTTTGTTTTATTAATTTGGGCAGTATTTATAGCCTTCTTTCAGAAGATGAGGATTTAGTTCTGTTTTTCCCTCCCATTCCACAACACACACACATTTGAATTTAAATTAATCACTTACAAAAGCCTTTGAAAATAGGCCTCTTGATTATTTAAAATTCAAATATTAAACTATAATAAGCTATGTTTATTAAACATAGGATTTAATCTACCTGGTTGGGGGATATACAGTCCTCTTTGGGGGATATGACTGTGGAGTCATGTGGTTTTTATGGTGTGAGAAATTACTATTGGAAGGGTAACACGAGGGTTAACAATGTCAAGTTAGAGGCAAGAATTGGAAAGCTAATAGAAGTACCAGGGATAGGGAGAAGTGAGTATTTATTTGTCAAACACCTATAATGTGCCAAACACTGTGCTTAGTAATATTCTAATATATGCTTCTAATAAGCCTAGGGAAGGACTCCTTCATTAAGAAGAGACGGAGGTTGAACTCAAACCACATTCAGTAAAAAGGAATTCAATGGGAATTCTCAGAGATGGAGTGTGTTTCAACCATGACCAGATTGAAGGGCACAAGCAACAGTGCGACGGCTCTGGTTCTCTCTCTCTCTCTCAGCCTTGGCTGCATTGGCTTGGTTTCCTTGCAGGTGGGATCTCTCTCTATTTGCCAAGATGGCTGTTGGCCTGCCCATTCCTTCATTCTGTCATTTTAGCAAAACAGTCAGCAAGGAATTCCTCCTTCCAGAGTCGTTATTTTAAACCAGGAAAATCTCTGGTTGGCCCTGTTTGGGTTATCTGCCTACATCTCTTAGGGGGTGACCAGCCATCAAGGTAGATAGCTCCTCCATGGACAGAAGGAATGAAGGAGGGTCAATTTTCCAAATAAAGAAATACTTAAAGAAGAAAGAACATGCACCTGTTGCCAACTTCATGAAGCAAATATAATCATTTCTATTTTCCACATAATGAGATAAAGTTAAATCACTTGTTTTAGATCACATAACTCAATAGAACTGGGTTTAAGATGTTATTCACATTTTTTCCTCTGTATAAAACTGTGTACTGAACAATATTATGAAAGTTCATTTAGTGCTATACTTTTACTAATTTAATACAATGCTTAGAATACTTTATACCTGACCATGGAAATATTTCTTCAAAAGGGTTTTTCTATCTGAGGTTGTATTATTTAAACAAATTGGGATATAGTATTTACTTTAGAGAATTATAATTTTGTATAACTACAGCCATCTGTATGGGAAACCATTTATTTTTGAAGACAGAGACAGATGCATCAAGTCATGTAAGAGATGATGCTGGTACCCTGCTCACATCTGCTGAGCACTCAGCATTGTTGACTGCTGATCCCATGGTTTCCAATTGTAAATGCCTACTGCTTGTTGCTGAGAACTTTCTGTGGCTGCCAGAGAAGTGTCAGATGTTAAGAGTTCCTGGAAGTAGTGCTCAACAAATGATAGACAGGAGTTGGTGGATAAATCCCCCAGCTTCCTCATGTCCTGGAGGTGCATGCTCTACATTGCCTCTTAGAATCCAATCCCAATGGGATGGATCCACAGTTGCTCACAGCAGTCAAAAATGCACTTTATTGACATTTTTCTTTCCTGTCTTATGTACCTACTCCCCTTCTGATGCTTCCTGGGATTACTTCCCAAAATAAACTGCTTGCTCTCTCATCCTTGTCACAGGATGTGTTTCTGGGGCAAGTTACCTTAAGATAAGTGACGCTTGTACGTTAGACACGTGGCTAACTCTGGCTATTTCAGCCAACTTATACAAATATGTTTATTTTAATATGTTCATTAGTCATAGTGGTGAAAACCTGCAAATAGCTTCTATTATCTGTTTTCAGCTAAGAGTTAAATTTAGTCAAAATTAATAAAAAACATACACATTCTAATAGCAACTATTTTGTCTTAACATGAACTCTGAAGATGAACAGCTGGGTTTGAATCCTTTCTAGTTGTGGTTCTTGGACAAGGTTCTTATCCTCACTATGCCTCAGTTTTCTGTCTGAGGTACAGAGTATCCATCTTAATATTTTCTAAGAGCATTAAGTGAGTTAAAATTTGTGATATGTTCACAAGAGTGACTGGCAGAAAATAACTGCTATGTAAGTGTTGGTTAAATACTTGAATAAAAAATTAGGTCTATCAATGGTAAAAGTTAAGACTATACTTTCCCAAGTAGGCCACAGACTATTTCATTAACAAATTATTTTATTTTAATAATACATTCTCTTCCATATTAATTATACATTTTAAACCAGAGCACAATTATGTTTTAGCTTCATGAGCTGTTCATCTTTAATGAGTACTGAGTTAATTAGCCAGACCTGTCTTTTTGGGCACTGCATCTGTTCTGCAACATTCATCTCAGTATTCATTATTTTAAGACAGCAATTCTTTTTTTGAAAAATATTTGGAGAAGGAAGTGAATAATTACTCTCCTACACTACATCACTAAGTTTCAAAATGCAAATAATTGGAAAATATGCATGTGGGCATGGTTATACCTGAGACGTGACTCCATATTTCATTATACATAAGCAATACTTTCTTGCCTATTAAATTGATGCAGTTCATTATTTTTTCCTAAGAACTATTTTTAGTCTGCTTTTAGAATGCCTATTTGTGCCTTCCTTTTGTCCTCTGAATGTCAATCTAATTTCACTCTTGTGGAGCTGTAAATCATCCAAAGGTTTTCTTCTATTCTCAGAGGTGCCAATCCTCAGTATACAAATTAGGTCATCATTGGTTTAAAGAATTATAACTTCTCCAACAATGACCTCTCATCTTCTTTTCAGTTCTATATTTTTAGCTATCTATCAATAGCAGTGGTTCCAAGTAAGCGTCCATGGACTGGCTATATCAGAACTACCTAAGAAACCCATATATATATTCACATACTCTCAAACATGTATCATATAAATATCCACATACCAATATGCACCACTGCTAGAGATTCTGATATAGCAGTTGTGGGCTGAGACTTAGGAGACAGTATTTTTTGTATCTTGCTCAGGTAATTCTGTACCAAGAACAATCAGATTTGGGAACCCCTGGACAGTGGCTCATCCAATTGTCCACTGTCGCTTCAAATGATCCTATAGCATTGCCAAACAAGCTGATTTTCCTCATTCATTACAACTCTTCTGAAACTTTAGGCTTGACGTCTTACAATCATATTTAATTCCACCTGCTGCTTCATTCCCACTCGCAGACATTAAACAACCCAGTCGTCTCTTCTTTCTACCTTCTCTTCCTTTCCAGCACCTCATGTTATACCTTATATTAATTATTTAGGCATATGTTGTATTTGCTACATTTGATTATGAACACCTGGACACAAGAACCTGTCTTATTCATGTCTAGATGTGCCTCCTGGCATCCAGCATAGTACCTTTCATGGAGTAGGTATTTAACAAATGTTGGATGAATATCATATCACAGTCATTTGCTCTGTATCCAATCTTCCATTACTTCCAACATGGCCCTATTTTCCAATCATAGCCTACCCGTTCTTCCTTAGTCTCCTCTCTCACTTACTGTTTATCTCAGCTGGAACATGTTTTCTTTTTCTTTCCTTAAGAAATATTATATAATTCCTTTCCAGAATTAGTTTCCCAGGCTTATTATGGAGCAATATATTAAATATTAGACTATGAAGAAGCAGGATGAGACTCTCTACTCATTGATATTTCACAAGGGTATGAGGCTGATCATGGAGAACATGAGTATTTAGCAAGAGCCGCATGCCCTGTGATATCCTAGTCATGCAGGTCTCCCATTCTAGTTACGTGATAAATTTAGATCTTGAAATGATTGTGGCTTATTTCAATAGTTACTCAACCATTCATTTGACAGATATGTATTGAGTGACTTCTGTTCCAGGCACTGGGAATAGCAGTAAACAAAAACAGTGATCCTTGCTCTCATACGGTTTAATTTCTGGTAAGGGGTGATATAAAATAACCAAATACGTAAATATAGATTGTGTCAGATAAGTGCTGTGAAGGAAAATAAAACTGAGTAAGGAGAATAGGAAGTTGAATTCTATTACATTGAATGCCATGGAAGATCTCAACTGAGCAGAGGAATCAGGAGGCTATTACAGTAATCAGGCAGGAAATGGTGCTGGCTTAAATCAAGGGACAAATGTGGAGATGGTGAGAAGACATAAGATTTTGGGTGTATTCTGAGGGTATAGCTAACAGGATTTGATGATGGACACGATATAGGATGCTACAAAAGAGAGGAGTGAAAGATGACTCTAATGCCTGAGCAGCTGGAAGGATAAATTTGCCATTTACTGAGATGGGGAAATTTAGGAGAAATAGCTTGAGACGTGGGTAGGGAGGATTCAGCGGTTTGATTTTGTACACCTTCAAGTTTGTTGACTAGACAGTTAGGTATACCAGGA
This sequence comes from Homo sapiens, assembly GCF_000001405.40. NCBI lineage: Eukaryota > Metazoa > Chordata > Mammalia > Primates > Hominidae > Homo > Homo sapiens. Next base: position 25,960,275 of record NC_000003.12, read on the forward strand.
ACCTGTAGTTTACAGGAGGGATTGGGCTAGAGAAAAAATGGAATTTAAAATGTGAAGCGGGATAAGGTCACTTAAATAAACAAAGGTCCAAGAACTGAGTCTTACAGTATTTCAACACTAAATAGGGAGCAGCCAGCAAAATATACTGTAAAGGAATGCCCGGTGAGGTAGTAAATAATCAAGAGAAAAGGGTGTCCTGGAGCCAAGGGAAGAAAGCATTTTGAGAAAGAAGTGATTATCTGTATCAAATGCTGCTGATGGGTCAACTCAGGTGATGACTGAGAGTTTACCATTGGATTACCAATGGGGAGGTCATTGGTAACCTGTAGGAGGGCTGTTATAGTTGAGTGGTAGAAGTCTGAATGGAGTGAGATCTGGAGATAATGTTAGGGAAGGCATTAGAGATGGAATCGATCATGCTTTGGAGGAATTTTGCTTTAAAGTGGAAGAGGTAAATGGAGTCACTGTTGAGGGTAATGGGAAGGTTTTTTTTTTTTTATTAGCGCTGTTTTAGTTTGTTTATGTACTGATAGACATGATCCAGTAGAGAGAAAAAAATGATGAAGGAGGGAAAATGATTAATTGCTAGTGGGGCATCCTTTAATAGGTGAGAGAGTTGCAGACAAATGCAGGGATGAGGCTTAGAAAAGAGCTACACTGTTCATCTTTGTAACAGAAGGGCTGGCAGAGGACAAGGGAACAATGGGGCAGATTGGAATGAGTCAGGAGAATGCTGGCAGGAAACTGATAGCATACTCAAATGGGGTAATTGAGGAGAGGTTAATAAAGTAATTACTTACAAGAGTAGGAAATTTGAAGAAACTAGCAAGAGCTGGAGAAGCACCTTATGTGAGCAATAGCAGGGAGCTGTCACCACTCTAGGCCTGGAGAGTCAAGTGAAAGGGCTGTTATTGGACCCCAGCATGAGCTCTAGCTGGAACTATGACTGTAGGAGAGGGCCGCAGGAGAGGACCTGGGGACTTCGGGAGAGGCAGTATAGCAATTACCAACTCACAGCTCAGAACAGACGGAGCCAGGGAAACAAAGCCCTGGATCTCACTCTCCTCCCACCCTGAGTTCTCTGACCCTCCCATTGGCTCAACTAATCAGTATCCAGAGGGCAAGAAACTGGTGCAGTCCATACAGCGCAGCCTCCCAGGGCACAGAACACAGTGGAGAAGGGCAGGGATGGATCTCAAGGGGAAAATCGAGAATGTCCAGCATAATTGTGACGGAAATGTGGGGAGGTTGTCTTCAAATTACTTCTATTTTCTCAGTGAAATAGAAAGTACTATTCTCAACTGAGAGTAAGGATTACGAATGTATTGGAAGTTTAAGGAGAGAGAAACTGTAAAATAGTAATTGGTAGAGGAGGAGAGCAAAAGGACTAGGGAAAGAGTATCATTACTGGGCCCATTTGAAAACTTTCTTAGGCTAGTGATTATGAATGTAAAGTAAGATAAATCAGCCTGAGTTTGAAATCTTCACGAACCATATTCATCTGTCTGGAGGAAAGCACAGTGTTTTAAAAGAGCTACATTTTGGTTGAGTTTGGCAGGAGAGTACAATAAAATGTGAAAGCACAAGAAGAAAGAGACTGTAATGACAGACCATGCACTATAAATTCATATACAGGGAAGTCTGGATACAGGGGAATTAGTAGATAAGGCTGTAAAAAACTGGGAGGACAAATAATTTTTGGAGTCAAGAGTAGTAAAGGAGTGAGCTGAAAGACAGGAGACAATGATCAGAGACTCAGACTATGGGAAGGGGATAAACTTATTGGCAATGGCAGGGTCTATATATAGGGTACAACAGAGAGTGAGTTGTTAAAGTTAAGGAGAAGATTACTGGAGGTGAAGTGGTCAGGAAAATGAATTGAAAGGATCAGACTCATGGACTTTGAAATTGCCCGAAATAATGACAATAATAGAGATGAACAACAATGGTCCAGAAGTTGGAATCCTCAAGGAATGTGGGGATGGTCTGGTAGTCTGTAGATGACTGCTATAAAGAGGAGTAGTGGGAAGCACAGATTGATGCGTGAACTTCAGAGTTGGAGGGGGTAGTTGGGAGAAGGGAGGGATCATGACTTGGAAAGAATACCGAGATGCAAGGAAGACTTCCATTCATCCGTCAGTCTCAGTGGCATGAGGAATGTGAGGAAAGAAACAGACACCACCTGGTGGAACTTCAGGGAAATCAACCTCTCAGGTGAGAGCCAGAGCTCACTGAGAGCAGGAAAACAAAGGAAGAAAAAAAAAAAAGATACTAAGCACTTACTGTGTGTCAGGAACTCTTCAACGATGTTCTATATATTCATTTAATCCTTAAAACAGTCTCTCCAAGGAAGGTATTATTTTAACTCCATGTGATAGATGGGGAAATTAGAGCATAAAGAGGTTAAGTACCTTGCTTATGATCCTGTGAGAAGTGAGGGGAAGAGCTGGGAATTCAACTCAGATGGTCCATCTTGAATCTCAATGTACGTAATAACCACTGTGTTTTAAAACCCAGCCACAGGCATTTGAAGAAGGGGCTTTCGTTGGTGCTTCACCATGAGTTCCAGAGAGTACAGTGGAAGGATTTGGGACTTGGAGAAAGGTGGATGGGTCAGAATAGGGATTGTACAGAGCCATACGGGATGTAGGATAAACTGAGATTTGGATGTTCATAATTTTGAAAGCATATGAAATTAATGCTGATGGTGTCTAGGAAAGGTAGGTATGGTGAGGCTGTGTTGGGGTAATGGTGCCGAGGACAGGAGAGTCCCTGTCAAGAGCACAAGCTCAATGTCTCCCTCATCGCTTGTGCTGGTGGAGGCTAAGGCTGGTGAGAGACAGTTTTACTTGGAGTATAAGGAGATTTGGGGCCTCCTCTTCACTCAACCCACTGCCTTTTTTTTTTTTTTTTTTTTTTTAACAATTACTGCTGACATCCAGGAAGTTTATTATTAATGAATAATTTAATATTAAAATATGTTAATTTTAAATGTAAATGAACATATTTATATGTGTGAAAACATGTTCATATGTGAAAATATTTAAATAATGAACAATTTAAAAATTATCCCAACTTTTCATTTGGCACATCGCTTTGAAATATAAATTTTCTCATCAATTTATTAAAGGGATCCTATTACCTTTACAAAATGAGAACTCTTACAAATCTCCTTACATCTATTTATGCTTTATAGTTTATAAAACATCTGTGCACACACTATTTTATTTATGCACTTTACCAAGTACCAGTGTTCAGCTCTGTTTCTGGAATATTTTTGGCATGAAAAGTTCACTTATGTAGAGGGTGGACAAATGAAATATTGAGTTTGATGAAGGGCAGGGAGTGAAAATGTGAGACGTGGAAATACTCAAAATTTTCATTAAACATTTTTTCTCCTTAGTTTTTAAAAATGAAAACATTTTTATCATATTCTTCAAAGGGTAGAACAGAGAAAAATTAGCATAAAACTCTTGGCAGAAACTTTTCAATGAGCATTTATTACAGGAATCGACTGCATTTTAAGTGGAATGACTTAGACACTCAGCTTTGCACTTGGAAAAGCATATGGTAATAATAAGAGAAAGCATTTGAAGTGTCCAATCTGGTCAAACTGCATTTTCACTCTTATTGATGAATCGGCAAGAGAATAGTTTTATACATCAAAGTTATTTATTAAATTTTGAGCCATTTGTGCAATAGGTATTTGCTGTTAATAGAAACCATCAGCATGTTGGAGATGACTTTCAGAGTGATTTTTCTTTTGTTAAAAAGAACAGCAGGACAAAAAGAAACTAGCTAGAGAAAAAGGTAATGGTTTTTTTCTTGCATAAATAAATCACTTGCTTCTTACCCACTCACAGTGGTTTCTTCCAAGTGAAGAAATTCTACTGATGTGAGATTTCATACGTCTTTCTGCTTTTTTCTTTCTTTTTAACTCACTAGTGATTTGCTTGAGTGGTAAAATTGGAAGTAATAACTGGCATGCCTAGTTCAGCTCTGTGCTTCTTGCTTAACATGGTCTAGTACCACATGGTCTGGATACATGACCACACTTAATTCTGGGATGCAGATAGCAGGGATTTTTGGCTTTCATGCTAAGTTATATACTGTAAGCCTTAAAAAGAAAAGATAATATTTTGGTTCCCTCTGCCACTTCGTTGCTTTATTCCTAAAATTGTTCAAAAGCTGAGACATAATAGTGTTATGGTGATTAAATTATATAATAAACTGGAAGCTTTCTCAGGCCTTCAGAACTGGTTTAGATGCTTCTCTTATGTGCCTGCAAAACTCCTTGTACTCCTCCCTTTCCTGGTGCACTTTATAACTCTTAAAACACTTTATTATTGGTTTAATGCCTCTTTCTTTGCTACAATATAAAGTCTGTGGTAATGACCAAGTCTGTCTTGTTCATCTTGGTATTGCTAGAACCTGACATGGTGTCTGACAAATAGTAGACATCCAATTTGTGGAATAAATAAATGGATAAATCAATGAGTGAGCCACTGCTTGAGAAAAGATGAAGTTCCTAATTTAGGTAGTAAATGAGAAAAACAGAAAAAATTTTAAACTCTTCACTCAAAAAATGAAAATAGTAACAATAGTAGATGCTATCGTTTTATACTTTAGTTTTCAGTATATTTAATTATAACCATTAAAATATATATCTTCTTCAATGAGTCATGGTTGAACAGCTCTAGAAAACTATGGTTAACCTGGAAAACATCATGCTTTTTATAAGGATCTGCATTTCACTGATGTCTACCCATCATCCTAGTGTCTTATCAGCTCAGCCTCCAGGCAGTGATCATTTCTATCCTCTAGCATTTCATTCATGAAAATACAGATATGAAAGCCTATAGTTTATAAAACGCTTGATGCAACTGATTGCTTGCTAACAATAACATTAAAGCCTATTTTAACAAGGCTTTTAAGGATGAATAGATACAGCTGTTTTAGAAAAGTTTTAGAAAGGTTTAGCTGTTTCTACGTGAAGAGAACTGGGGGATAATGAAAAAGTAAGTAATAGTGGTTATTATTTTGAAAGAAAATAATAGAATCTATTTTTACTTGGATTGATACTCTGAAATAAACATTGAAATGAACACTGAAATAAACTCTGAAGTGAACATTAGATTGAGACTGCAATAAAGCTTGCAGGATTGTAATCCTCATTCTAGGACCATTTCTACATAAACCTTATAAAGCAAGAGTAGAAAAAAGGCCTATCTTGATTTGCAGTTAACTATTTCTTTCAATAAGTGAAATGCTATGCGGTTCAGGTTATCTATTGTATAATAATAAATTCTCAAAGATCTGGAGGTGCAAGTGTTTAGATAGGTGATTCTTGCTTAAGGTCTTTCATGTTGTTGCAGCCAAATGGTGGCTAAGGTAAGAGTCCCAAGTTCGGTGCCTGGGCTGGGATGGCTGAAATAGCTGGTTAGCTGTCTTTTTCTCTCCTTGTGGACTATCCATGTGGCCAGTAGAAGCTTTCTCACTGCATGGCGGTCTCAGGCATCTGGAACACTTTCATATGGCATCTGCCAGAGAGTGTTCCAACAGAAAGGAGGTGGAAACTGCCAGTCTCTAATGGCCTGGACCCAGGCACTAGAACAATGCCACTTCTGCCATATTCTCTTGGTGGAGTAGTCATAGAGCTCTCCCATTTTCAAGGGGAGAGAACATAGGCCTGACATCTTGATGGAAAGAATGTCACAAAATGTGTGGCTTTCCTTCATTTGCAACACATGCTAATGCCTCCTGATATTTCTTGGCTCTGCGTCCCCATCCAAATGTCATCTGGAATTGTAATCCCTGCATGTTGAAGGAGGGAACTGGTGGGAGGTGATTGGATCATGGGGGTGGTTTTCTCTATACTGTTCTCGTGATAGTGAGGAGTTCTCACCATATCTGATGGTTTTAAAAGTGGCATTTTTTTTTCTTGCACTCTCACTTCCCTCCTGCCACTCTGTGAAGAAGGTGCCTACTTTCCCTTTGCCTTCTCCATGATTGTAAGCTTCCTGAGCCCTCCCAAGCCATGCGGAACTGAATCAATTAAACCTCTTTTCTTTATAAATTACTCAGGTATTTCTTCATAGCAGTATGAGAATGAACCAGTATACCTCCTCAGCTGAAAGTTGTTCTCACTAGCATCACTGGGTTGTAGTAGAGTAAATGGAAGGTGCTAGCATAAAATTCTTTCTTAAAAAATTTGAACTCAAGATATCAAGGAACACTAAATTTGAAATATTTGCCTATATTATATGTACACTGTTCATTGATTCTTGTAGATCATTTAAAATTGTAACTTCAAAAGGTAAGAAAAAAATCAAAGGTGGAATAGATGAGATCTAATTTTCTTTCTATCAGTTTATGAAATTAATATGTATCTTAAGGCTATTTACAGTTGGCAGAGTGATTGCAGCTAATGTTTTAGATGATTTATTTTCCCCATTAGGTCTTACTATTATGCACAAGCAAACCGTTTTGGTACCCTCAATGTTTTTCTTTTTTTTTTTTTTTGTCTCTAGAGGAAGTAAACTTACATATAAAATTCATTCCTCTCTCAATTACAGATGTTTAGACAATTAAGGAGGGATTTGCAAAGCTCAGAGCAAAATTAATTTTGACCTTGGGAGAAAATGTTGAAATGAACTTGTTCTTTTTTTATCTTCCCATTTAAAACCCAAGAAACCAATATTTAGTGTACGTTTTCCCCTATCGGCATAACCTGGATTCCATAGCTGTGCAAAATCTCAACTTTTCTGGGTGACATAATTGTCAGTGATATGATGCCATTGTGTATATTTTATTTAAAACAATATTACTCTATTTTTTATTTTTAATTTTTTTTTCGAGACAGAGTTTTGCTCTGTCACCCAGGCTGGAGTGCAGTGGCGAAATATGGGCTCACTGCAGCATCCACCTTCCAGGTTCAAGCAATTCTCCTGCCTCAGCCTCCTGAGTAACTGGGACTACAGGCACATGCCACCACACCAGGCTAATTTTTGTATTTTTTAGTAGAGACAGGGTTTCACCATGTTGCCCAGGCTGGTCTCGACCTCCTGGCCTCAAGAATCCACCTGCCTCGCCCTCTCAAAGTGCTGGAACTACAGGCCTGAGCCACAGCACCCGGCCAGAAACATTACTTTCATAATAGCTAATATTTGCGGAGCACAAACTGTGTGCCAGGTTCAAGGCTAAGTGTTTATCTTTGTATTATCTCAAATATTTCTTTCAACAGCTCTACAAGGTAAGTACTCATATTATGCCCATTTTCCATGTGAGGAAATGGAGGTGCTCAGAGGTTACGTCACTTGCCCAAGTTTACGTAACTAGTAGTTGCTGGTCTGGAAAGTCATACCTAAGCATGTCTAATTCTGGAGACTCAGTTCTTAATCACCTTATTATACACACTCCAAGCACACGTTCAGTGACCCCAAGATCAGTGGATCACACACATTTTTAACTGTGGCTCTTATAGGCTGAGGATGAATTATAATGGTACAATTATTAGACTTACTTTCCAGTTGAAAAAGGCCTTATAATAAAGAGCTGAAGAGAAACAAAAATTGAAAAATGGTTATTTATTTGATCACCTTATAAACTGAAATGTAGCTTAGTAATTTTAGCACATTAACCTTGATAATGTGTTAAATAACACACATTCATAGCATAGCACTAGTAAAATATGTACTGTCACAGAAACAAAATGGTGAGCCAACTATATTCTTTCTAAAAGGGACTAGTATTTTGGAAGCCAAAAATAAGAAAATATTCTGAGGAAGAGGGGAGTCTGTGTCAAATGCTTCTGATAGATTGAGTATGGTGAGGACTGAGAATTGACCATTGGATTTAGCAACTTAGGAAAACTCAAGTACTGCATATACTCATGTTTAGTAGGAGATTTGTAATGTTGCACAGTAGATAGCTAGTTTATTAGACTACTGCATAAGAATCCTCAGTAAATTTGAGTAAAGTACTAATTTTAGTTACAAATGCCAAATTTTGATAACGCTCCATGGCTCAGGTAGAGTCAGGTTAGCACAGAGTTCTGTAGCCAGAATGCCTGCACTGGTTGCATTTGTTACTGATTAGGTGATCTTGGGCAATATATTGTACCTCTGTGTTCCTCTGATTTGCCATCTGTAAATAGGGATGACAAAGTACTTATCCCTGGGTTTGGTGTGAAGAATAAATGAGTTAATGCATGCAAAGTACTTATTAGAGTGCCTAGCAATAATAAGCAATACATGCTGGCTATTATTTCTATTATTAACATATTGCTAAAATATGATAAAAAATAAGTCTGTGGAATTGTGTATCACTCACTTCTAGGAACCAAAGAACTTGCAGTTGTAAATCATTTGGTGGTCTCTCAGGGGAACACTTGTAGCTCACTGATGGGGTGTAGAGCACACTCTGAGGCTCTTTGGTTCAAGTGAATAAATTGGGGGTTTTATAAGAGTTGACTCTTGTTTGGGGTTTGAAATGGAAAGAGAAGGAACTGAAATTGTTTTCTTAAAAATTGACCATTTTTTCTCTTTTCCTCTTTCCACTGGCTTTCCACTGTTATTTTTGGACTCTTGGGAGAGAATGGTCAAAAGCAGAAACTAGAGAAAGGTAAAAGCCAATGAATAAGAAGGAAAAAGTAGGAAGGAAATGCAGAGGGAACATATTGAAGATATTCACCTCTGTTTGTGAACAAGAAGAATAAAAAATATCACGTTTGGTTTGACTCTTTCATTGGCAAAGAGTAAAAGGGTACAGGGTAGTGGTAGTAATTGAATAAAAATATTTTTATCTTTTTTTTCATATGTTTGTTGGCCTCATAAATATCTTCTTTTGAAAAGCGTCTGTTCATATCTTTATAAATTTAGGTGTGGGCATGCGTAGATGTTTGAGGTCAGAGAATTTCCCATTGAGTGGAAATAACATGTAACTCATGCAAACATCTATGACCTCCAATTTTGGGGTATATATTTGTTTTTCCTCCCAATCTCCATCCAGAGATGGTGTGCCCAATTAAGGCCTGAAGTCGTAATAACATACAGCTTCCAGTATTCATAAAATCAGTCTTTTATCTTTGAAGGCGGAAATGGGGAAACTATTAGCAGAAAATTCATCTTTTCCACCTTTTCTTCTCTCAGCTGACATAATGGCTTATACAGCCAATAAATGTTCAATGGATAGATTAATATGAAAAAATAAATGGCAAGCATATTAGATATGAAATGATTTGGCAGCAACTCATTCATTGCCACGATTTGATTAAGCTAATGTAGCTTGTTAAGATTTTGTATGTGTGTAAGGTGGCTATGCATATTCTAGACTACAAAATCAATGTCTGCAGAAAGTGTAGCTTTCTAAATGTTTCCATAACTCAATATAATATCTTTTTTTTTGGAATATCTATTCTGGTGATGGCAGAAAAATAACAATCTTAATAAATTTTGTAAACACTAATGTATAAGATACTCTCCTGCCCCAAATCACATCACCTTTATCTCACTTCTTATTTAAACCTTAGCTGTGTACATAATTCCATAAGGACGTTGATTTACTTCCAACTGTCATCAGTGAGATGTCTATGTGCTAAGTCTTTACTTTTTTGCCCAGGGGTCCCTCTAAATTCACAAACATTGGCTGGTACTCACTTGGCCTATATTGCACAGATAGCTTAGAAGTACAGAAGGATTAACATCTCTGATAATATGATGGTTAGTTTTATATGTCAACTTGACTGGGCTGTGGGTGCCCAGATATTTCATCAAATGTTATTCCAAGTGTTTCTGAGAGGGTACTTGGGGATGAGATTAACATTTAAATTAGTAGGAGGCAAGCAGATTGCCTTTCTAATGTGGGCAGGCCTTATTTAATTAGTTGAAGGTTTAAATAGAACAAAAAGCCTAACCCTCCTCTGAGAATCCAGAAAGAAGAGATAATTCTTCCTGCCTAATGTCCTTTGAACTGGTAGATTGAATTTTTCTGTGTTTGGTTGTTAATTAACACATCAGCTCTTCCTGGGTCTTGAGCATGCTGGCCTTCAGACTGGAACTACCGCATGATTCTTCTCATTCTCAGGCCTCTGGGCTTGGACTGGAGCCACACTATGGGCTCTCCTGTGTTTTCAGCTTGCTAGCTCACCTTGAAGATCTTGGGACTCACCACCCTCCATAGTCATGTGAGCCAATTCCCTATAGTAAATCTCTCTCTATATATATACACCCTCATCCCATAACATGGGATGGGGAAGGGGAATCAATGGTTAAATGCCTCAGCTTCCCATCCTTGGGACAAACAGAGGTGGACAATTCTCTGACTTTCAGGAAGTCCCAGTGGAATTGAGCTTCTGTTACCCACAATGGCTACTTCAACAACACTCCCTTACATTGGCTTTGCCTCCTTCTCTGACTCACTCCCCTAGTCCCTCATTCCTGTTCTCTGGAATCACCTCTTAAGTAAATCACCTTCCCATAAATCCTTGTTTCAAGCTCTCCTTTTGAAAAACCAAAACTAAGACACATAATAATCTTAGATGTAACCTTGGTCAATTTGGACATTTCCCTTCACCTCTCCTCTCTGAATGCTGTGGACTGAATTGTGGCTCTTCTAAATTCATATGTTGAAGCCGTAACCCTCAATGTGGCTGTATTTGGAGATAGAGCTTATGAAGAGTATACAAAAGACACCAGATTTCTCCCTCTCTCTTTCTTTCTACTTTCCCTCTTCATTTTCCTTTTCTCTCCCTCTGTCTCTTTCCCTACCATGTGAGGACAGGGTGAGAAGGTGGCCATCTGCAAGCACCCCCTCCAACCATTCAAAAAAAAAAAGGAGCCTATACCAGACACCAAATCAGCTGGCTCCTTGATTGTGGACTTGTAGCCTCCAGAACTGAGAAAATAAATTTCTGTTGCTTAAGCCACCCAGTCTGTGTGTGTGTGTGTGTGTGTGTGTGTGTGTGTGTGTGTGTGTGTGTGTGTTGTTATGGCAGCTCAAGCAGATGAATACACTGAAGAAGCATTTATGATTTTATGGGCTTCAAAGTATGTGACTCTAGATGGGGAATCTGTAACTTGTCTGGCATCTGGTTTTTTGCTGGCATCCACTGCAATGGTCTCAGCTGCTTTGTTCTCAGCCATCACTACCCTCCACTTGCACTTCTGCTGAAATATTCACATTTCCAGTGACCTTGGCTGTCAGTTTTTGAACTGTTTACTTCTCCTCATGATGCTGTGCCTTCTCTTATCCACTTTTCTATCCTTTGTGTATTTTTATGTGCTTCCTGAAATCACCTTCTAACATCATTTTTACTCTACTTTTGTTACTGTTCCAAGCTAGTGAGAGGTGGGGAGACTCAAGGTCTTTGTTTGTGTTCAAGAACCCTTTGAGGGACTTGAACACAGATTCTTTCTTCCCTTGGGCCCTAAGACATGTGGGGGATTAATCATTCCTCTTCACGTTGGACTTGGCCAGTGGGGGACAAGGGAAGGGGCCCCTTCTCAAAGAGCCACACGAGTATCTCATGCCCTTACTTCTCCTCTGCCTCTGCCTTTTACTGCCTTCCCTTAACTCTCAAGCATATTACAGCAGGCATGGTTGATGCCCTGCCCTATATTGGCTCATTCTCTTGCCCACCTGAGCTGCATCTGTAGCCAATTTCTGGCACTCTGCCAGTTTTCCACCTACCATGCCAGCACCTATGTCATTATCTTCCTCTGCTTGAGGACTTTTTTGGTATTATGAAAGAGCTTGCTCAGCTGTGCAGGTACACCTCGAATTACATGGTATTGACATCCCTGTGGGTGCTGTTTGCCAGTGGGTGATGGGATTTGAGGGATAAATGCCCCAGCCTCCTTGTCCCCAATAGAAGGATTTTGAGGTTGCTTCACACTATTGCTCAGAGAATTCCCTATAAGATTTAGCCCCAGTTGCCCACATGGTAACTAGTTATTTAACATGCCATTTATTGGATTTCCTCCTTCCCTATCTCACTTCCCACTTGTGTTTCTTGGAGTCACTTCATAAATAAACTACCTACACCCAAATCATTGTTTCAGAGAGAACAAAAATATCTTCCATGTGGGGTAAAATTCTTTTTGATTGTATTCTTTAATGCCTTGCTATGATATCTGACCTATAAACTTAAATGCCAAGTATTTTCTACAAATGGAACCAAAAGGTCAAAGGCTGCAGGTTAAAGGAAGTGAAGAAAATAAAAAATTCCTCTTATCATATTTATAGTAGTCCCGTCTTATCCATAGTTTAACTTTCTAAGATTTTAATTACCTGTGAACAACCATGGTCTGAAAATATTAAATGAAAATTTTCATAAACAATTGATGAGTTTTAAATTGGACATCATTCTGAGTAGCATGATGGAACCTCACGCTGTCCCACTTTGTCCCGCCTTGGACGAGAATCATCCCTTTGTCCAGGGTAACCATGCTGTATATACTACCTGCCCGCTAGTCACTTAGTAGCTGAGTTCTTTATCAGATTGATGGATCATAAGAAGAAGGGTGAGCACAGGCCAATAAAACATCTTGAGACAGAGAGAGAGAATGGAGACATTCACATGACTTTTATTACAGTACATTGCCATAATTATTCTACTTTAGGTTGTCAATCTCTTACTGTGCCTAATTTATAAGTTAAACTTTATCATAGACTTATATGTATAGGAAAAAACTGTATATATAGTGTTCTGCACTATCTGTGGTTTCAGGCATTCACTGGGGGTCTTAGAACATATCCCCTGTGGATAAGGGGGGACTATTGTATCTGTCAACCAGGGCAGTCTTCCAGATAAAGAAAAGCTATTCTTGGTTAAGGGGGTCTGTGTAGTCATGCCCCACCTGGTACTGCTACTTTGGCATAGCAACCAAACACACTGGGAATTTTTAGCCCATCTGTCATCCTTTGCCATGAGGAGCTATTCTCTGGTTATATCTGCCTTTGCAAATAGGCCAACAGCAGGTATCCCTGAGGTATACAGAGACCTCTCCCTAGGTAGCTGCTACTGAATGCAGATGTGGGCATTTGAGCAGCCAACAAGCTACTGTAAACAGGTGTCAGACTTAACCATTCAAGGAAGATTGATTTTATTGTTGGCTGGGTTTATGACTGGGGAATATGCTTCACTGACCTGCTTTTGATTAAGTCAGAGACATGCTAAGGATGTTTGCTTGTCAAATGGTTTGAGGTTTGTGATAAACAATGAACGTTAGGCAAAGAAATCAGCACTTTCTGTGAACAGCCTACATCTTTGAGGCATTAACATGTATCAAGGTCATTCACACTACCTTGAATAACTGTTTCAGTGAAAAAAAAAACAATATCAATTGCGATGAAACGGTGGCATATAACCTAGAGATACAGGTCATTCCTTTAAAAAATAGCTTGCTTTTATCATGTAGAACAGATGAGTAAAGAAGGTTTTGGGGGGTGTTTTTGGTTGGGTTCTCTCAGAAACAAACCTGAGAAAAGGATTTGAATACACATAGTTTATTTAGGAAGCACAGGCAGGGAGTGGGGAAGTGAGGCCGGGAAAGGAAGGAATCCAATAAGTGGTAAGATATTGAGCACGCTATCACCCTGGGAAATAGGGTATTCTGGGACATGATCTAGACCATGCCTTAGAGTCATCTGCTCGCCAGCCCCAACCCTAAGAGGTGGAGATGCTGGGGTATTTATTATCCAACTCTTCTGTGTCATTGACTGAAGCTTGCTTGCTGAGGAATTGTGGAGGACATATGAGATGCCACCCAGGTTCCCCTTTAAGGAAGGACCTGTTGCCCAGCTAGTGGGGTTGCTGTAAGAGGACAACTTTCAAATGTCAGTCCACTCAGTAATTGCCCCAGCTGAAGAGAACCTCCTTGTCAAGATCATGCCCTCACTGGTAGCTCACATTCCATAGATGGATTAAAGTGGGTGTATAATGGCCTGGGCATTTCAGACCAACTGAGACAATTCTTAACTCGAGAGCTCCCCATAGGGTTGGCCAAGACTGTCATGGGGCCTGGAACACAACATGATTTTTCTCGCTGCCCTATCCTGTTTCCTTCCATTCTCTTTCATGGGTGTCAATACCAAGGGAACTCTTTCACAAACACCCTGCACACTGAACTGTATCTGAAAGTCTGCTCCCTGGAGAACCCAATCTGTGTTAATCAGGCATTAATTCCCTGATTTCTGGACTTGTGTTCATGCAGAATCGCAGCATTTTCAGTAGAAGATTTGGATATAGGCCAAGACGGTGAGTGCTGAGGGCAGGGCATGCAGGGTCTGCTACAGTAGTGTTGGGATGGTTGTTATTTCTTTGGATTGATCAAGAGAAGTGAGATCAAATGAGGGCAATGAGAAGCAAGGGGTGGAATGAACAGTGGGACAACTGGGAAGGGGGATTGCTGAGGTGTGGTTTGGTATCCAATATGATGGTAGTGGATTCAGAGCCCCAAGACATGAGTGCGAGGGCAGGTGGGCTAGCAGATGGATGTGGGGAGGGTGTGATCTGAAATTAAAATCAAAGATAACCCAGAACAGCCGAAAGCAAGGCAATAAGACCAGTGGGCATTTTGCGAATTAGCTGCTATTATTATTTTTCTCTCTCACTATTAAATCACTTGGCAAATCCTGCTAATTCTGTGTTCCAGTGTCCTGAAACTTGTTTAGTTCTCTCTGTCCCTATGGCTTCCCGTCTAATTTGAGCCTCTTTTATTTCATTTTTTCAACTGGATCCTCATAATGGTTTTCAGGTGGGCTTCTTTCTGGTCATGTCCTTCTCACATTTTCTCTCAGCAATGCAACCGAAATGACCATGTTGCTTAAGTGAATATTTGATGATTACAGTCCTGCTAGCTTATGAGCTTCAGTGGCTCCCTATTGTTTCTGGAATAAGGTCCAGACTTTTCAATGTGGCTCCCAAGGCCTTACTCAGTCTGGTCCTTTTCTGCCCTTCCACATCTTCTTCCTCCTCTTCAGACATAACTGCATTGGTTTCTGTTCCATCATTTCTCCAGCATCACACCTTTGTACACACTGTTTCTCCTTCAAAATATTTCTTATGTCCATCTCTCATGTTCCATATTCCTGTGTGCAGCCCACAGCAGGGACCTGCTGCCTCACACCTGGAATAATCATCGAGTTTTAAAATTCAGGAGCATCTGCGAGTTGCTCTGTTCTGACTGTTTCATTTTATTAACAGAGACACCAAGACCCAGAAGAGTAAAATGACATCTCAGGTCACAGCATTAGTGACACAGCTGTGAATGCGACTCTTGTCCTTGACTTCAAGGCATGATTCTTTCCACCTCCTCACCTCCAGGCTGCCCTTACTGATATTGTTCTCTTCCATCTCATCTTTGTTTCACGCTGAGTCCAGTTACCTCTTTTTTTAAGCACCATTTTGATGAGGTTACTCCTCTGCTCAGAAAGTCACTATGGCTCCTCCTGCCTCTAATATCAACTCTAGAATACGACTGGTTTTCAAGAGGCTGCGTAGTCTGCCTCTATCTTCTCCATTCATTTCCGAGAAGTTACCATCTATGGAAGTCAGACAAATCATTTCTATTATTTTGTTAAATCTAAGATGTCATCAATTATAAAATGGACTGTTATTCTATCATCTAAGGTAGAGAAAATAATGCCAATTAAGTTCAAATATACCATTGCTTAAAATACTGACTCCAATTTCAGAGACATAAAATGTGAAAATATGTGAATCTCAGTATTAATGCAATATTTTCTATCTTAAAAACTATTAGTTGGCTCAAATTTCACCTGCTACATAAAACTCGCCATGACTAACTGTGGCCATATTTTCTGAATTCCTGTGGAACCTGTTATCAGCCCATTACCCATTTCCCAACTGCCAATTTTCTTCTTTCTCCTTCCTCCATTTCACAAGTGATCATTGAGTGCCTTCTGTGTGCCTGGCACTGGGCATATGATGATGAAGAGCATCACATTCCTGCCCTTATGGTCTTTTTATGAGGAAGTAAGGAAATGTGTAAGTAAGTAATCACAAACCAAAAAAGCTATGAAGGAAATAATACTGACCCTAGACAATAAAGAAAAGGTGGCAGAGAGAAATCTATTCAGGTGAATATCTTACACCTAAACCTCCCCCTGTCTTCACATATCCACCTTTGTTTTTAAAACCCAGCACACATCTTTATCTTCCATCAAATATTTAACTCATTTTCTCCCATGTACTTTTCTACTTTACAGCCTCAAAAAATCACTCTCTCCTCTAGCCTTGTGTCTTTTCTTCAGAGAGAGCATAGCGTGGTGTTGATAGCATAAACTTTTACAGCCAGTCTCCCTGGGTTCAAATCTCAGCTCCGTCATTTATTGGCGATGTGACCTTGGGTGAATTACTTAATTTCTCTATGCCCTAATTTCCCCACCTTTAAAATAAAGATAACACTATCAACACCCTTGTGGCATTGCTGTAGGGATTAAAGGAAGAATCATGGAAAGTGTTTAGAATAATGCTGGGCATGTAGAAAGCATTAGAAGGATGAGTATGTCTAACCCAATCATACTTGATTTTGTCCATGTTCTATCTTCTCTTTTAGACTCTAAGGTAGGCATGGTTAAGAACAAGAAATTTGGGGTCTGAGTAGGAGGAGATGAGATCCTGGTTGGACAGCTTTTCCAGACACATGAGCTTGGCTACATAGCCTTTTTGCATCTGTTTCTCTGCCATGTAAATAATAGTTGTAGTGCCTACATTTTGGGGTTATTTAGAAGAGTAAATAAAATACGTATGCAAAATGCCTGCTACATGATCAGCTCTCACTGGAGCTTGCTATCATTCTTACCTCAAGACAGGAAGGGCAGAGTCCATCTTATTATCTGTGTGTCCTCCTATACCCTCAGAACTCACTATCCATGATGTCAGTGATATTAGTGAAATGTTTCACAACAACTTGTATGAAAGAGCCAGTGAGTAAGCAAACGTGTTTCCACCAGAGACCTCATCATGGAGACCGGTATCATATTTGTCCTCTCACTTTGGCTTCTTTCTTTTCTGGGGACACATGATGAAGTGTTTGGGGTTTCTCTGGAGAGGGGCAATAATCCCCTCTCCTCCTTCCAGGTATAGCACATCCTTCACTGTGCTGAGGTCCCTCACCTTACACAGGTTTACCAGGCCATGCTGTCATCTCTTCCTAGTCTGTTCTTGAAATCAGTGTGGCTTTTGTTAGGGGCCCCAAGCCACTGGCAATTTTTCCCCCACATAAAATGTAATTTGAAATTTCCACTGGAGAACACAGTTATCAAGACCAGCAAAATATCTGCTTTCTAGCATTGATTTTCAAAGTTGAACTTCTTCATCTGAAGACTGCATGAAGCCTGTGGGATCCCATATTTCATGATGATAAGACTTGGAATTCTTACTGTCAGTGAAGTCTGTGCCTGCATCTCTGATGATGTACAAACTTGTATCATTTGATTCACAACGTACAACTTTTGATTCACAGGCCCCTTCAGCTCTTTTGTGTCACCGTTGTCATGAAACTTTGTGACTCCCCGTTAAAACTGACAGACATTTGGCTTTCTTGGTTTTGTTAAGTACGAATTTATTTTGGGCAATTTTCAAGGTGAATTAACTGAAAGCCATATTCGTGTGGCTCTGGAAAAACATTTTTATTCTCACCTAACCCATAATGTATCATTTAGAATAAAGTGCTCCATTAAACTAGATCTCAGTAACAGACATGTGTCACAAGTTATTCCATCTTGCAGCACTCCTAAGAAATCAGTGTAAAATCAAACTGATGCTAAAATAAAAATGGGTTGGTTTTGAAAGTAAGTAAAATGCAAGTGTGTGTTCTACTGTTTCTTATATTACTATGTTATTTTCTTCCTCTAGTCATTCTCTTGAATAACATTGAATAGTGGAAAGAGGAAATATTACACGAAATACTTGACTGCTCCTCTCCCATTTCTGTTCTCCTCCCCTTCCACATGATTTAATCAACCCCCCAAACTTTGTCACTATCTCCTAAATGTCTCTGAAGCTGGTCTGTTTTTCTTCATCTTCACATGTTCTATCTCAGCTCACGCCACCATCTTCCCACCTGGTTATCGTAATAGGAAGCTTGCTAGTATTTTGACTGTTAGGCTAGCTCAGTTTTTTGTACGTTAGATTGACTGCATTCATGGCCCCAGTTCTTCACCCCTCCCTGTATACATATATTTGCCATGAGACTTTGCAATTCTCCTCACTAAAAAGGGGAATCAACCTATTTTTCCTCTTCTTAATCTGGGCTGGTTTTATGACTTGCTTTAGACAACAGAATGTGGCAGAAGTGAGGGAATATTGCTTCCTAGCCTAGGCCTCCAAGGGCCTTGTGGTTTACCTTGTTCTCTTGTACCTCTGCCATCTCCACAGGTGCAAGGCTAGTCTAGCCTGCTGGACAATGAGAGGCCTACGGAACAGGGCGGAGTCACCATATCCCACTGAAACTGGCCTAGGTTAGCCAACAGCCCACCTCTCCCAGGCACGTGAAAGCTCAGCGGACTCTGAACAGATGGACAATAAACATTTACTGTGTTTGCCACATAAGTTTTGTATTTGTCATTATAAAGCATTATTGTGACAATAGAGAAACTAACATACTTTCTAAAGTGGAATTTGATCATGTTGCTTAAAAAACTGTGACCGTCCATACTAACTGCTCACCAAATAGCCATTATGCCTTTTCTTTTTTCTCCTTATAACAGAACTTGATTTTGATGGGGACAAATTTTATTAGTGTCAGACTCCCTTCCCACTAATGTTGGCTCTGTGACAGATTTCTGGCCAATGACATATAGGCAGAAATCACTGGAGAGGAACTTCTTTTTAAATAAAAACATGAAGCTTCACTAGAAAGATCCAAGAAAGAAAAAAGTGATAAATCCAACTTCATAAAAATTTAAAACTTTTGTGCTTTAAAAGACATCATTAAAAAATGAAAAAACAAGCCACAGGCTGGGAGGAAATATTTTTGAATTACTATCTGATAAAGGCCTTATATTCAGAACAATAAGTAACTTGTACAACTCAATAATAAGATAAATAACACAATTAAGAAAATCTGAATAGACACTTCAACAATCAAAATTCTCAAATTGCTAATAAACACATAACAAGATGCCTCACATCATTAGAAATGTACAAATCAAAACCACCAATAAGAGATCACTTTGTAGCCACTAGAACGGCTATCAGTAATGTAGAGATATTGAAACCTTCATACATCATGAGTAGAATATAAAATGATGCCTCTACTTTGGAAAACTATTTGGCAATTTCTTAAAAAGTTAACCTGTTTATCATAAATTTATAATCCGACCAGTTAATCCACTCCTAGGAGACTACTTAAAAGTAACCAAAACATAAATCTACGCAAAGATTTGTACATGAATGTTCATAGCAGAATTATTTATAAATAGTCCAATACTGAAAACTCAATACTGGAAAGACCAAAGTCCACTAAGTAGTGAATGGATATTTCCATGGGGGGAGTGGAATACTATTTGCCAATAAAAAATAATGGACTAGGGATACATGCTAAAACATACATAAAACTTAAAAATATTATGTGAAGAGAAAGAAGCAAAACAGAAAAACACTATATATTATATATTTTCTTTTATATGAAATATTTAATAAAGCAAGTCTGTAGAGACAGGAAGTAGATTAGTGTTTGCCTGGGGCTGGCAGTGGGAACTGAGAGTGTTTGGTTCTATGTTCCCAACCAAATTTTGCCTTGGACTGTAATAATCCCCATGTGCCAAGGGCAGGACCCCTTGGAGGTAATTAAATCATGGGGACGGTTTCCCCCATGCTTGTGAGAGTGAGTTCTTGTGGTAGCAAGTGAGTTTTTGTGATAGTGAGTGAGTTCTCATGAAATCTGATGGTTTTGTAAGCATCTGGTATTTGCCCTGCTGGCACTCATTCTCTCTCCTGCCATCCTGTGAAGAAGTGCCTTCTGCCATGATTGTAAGTTTCCTAAGGCCTCTGCAGCCATGTGGAACTGTGAGTCAATTAAACCTCTTTTTATTATTTTATTTGTATATATATTTTTTAATAAATTACCCAGTCTCAGGTATTTCTTCACAGAAGCATGAGAATGGACTAATATACATCCAAAGGCTTTCCATTGCCCATGAGTAAAAAGTTAAAGTATAAAATTAAAGTTAAAACTCATTAACCTGACTTATAGAGTCCTTAATGATTTGGCCTTTGCCTGTAGCTCCATGAGGTTTAACAAAAAGCTGCTGAACCGTTGGTGGAAACAGGTTTCCTTTTCTTTGATCTCCATCTCTCTCCTTCTGCTGGCCTTCTGCACCATTAAGAAGCCACCCAGTCTTCTTCTCAGGCTTGACTCTTGTATAAGGTATTGACTGAGAGACAAAAATTATCCTGTAGAGGATTTAGATGCTTAGTCTTCCGTGGCTTCTAATCATCAAGTCTGCACTGCTCACCTGGCTTACTTCTCATTTCCACTCCCAGGCAATTATTTTTCTTGGGGGTGGGGAGAAGGTAAGAGAGAACTTCTGTTAGCCCTTGCTTGTTCCTACTTGCTATTCTCAAGGGCATAAGGAACTTTCACCTGTTCTGTGTGTGGGCCCATGGAAAAGCCAGGTAGGTTTTCCCCTGGCACCTACCTTGCCATGGACATCACCCCCAGCCATCCCTGGCATACTGATTCCTTGTCACTGTTATATGAGGGATATTATTAAGGCAGCCCACTTATCATGTTTTAAAAAGGAATGTGAGGCACAGTTCTCTTAGCTCTGTTATTCCTCAAACTTATCTAGAATATTCCATCACTTCTTCCTTCCATCACCTCTAGGACTTAGGGAGAGAGATTGGGGCATATAGATGCACCAACATCTGAAACTTCTTCTTCTTCTCTCTTGTTGTAATCCTCAGCTCAAATGGTTGGGGACAAGGACTCATTCTGTCTGATTGTATGTCTATTACATTCATTTTGAGCATCTACTTGCACTAACTTTTAAATATTTAAAGACAAAGCATTGGATGTATTGTTATTTGGTGTCATTTGAGAATTTCTTACTCCTCACTGTTTGAAGGGGATGGTAAGGTCACCCTTAAAGGGAATGAAAAATATGAGACACAGGAGCTAATTCTTCATAAGGTTATCCTATCACACCTGGAGTCTGACTCACACTTTTGCTTTTCTGTGTCCTGTGTTAATGGAACACTTGGAAAGACCCAACCTGGCAACTGGCATTGATAACATCTCTACCATGCATTCTCAAATGGCGTATTCCATTCTTATTTTTCCTCAGTGAGAAATCCAGCTTGGCTTTGCTTTGTCTCTGTTAAAAATTGGACTTCTTTGGATCATTTCCTTCCTGGGAGCTGCATTTTTGTTTACTCCAGAAACCCCATAAGTCTCTCTCAGTTTGTTCTTCCCCTTAGTCCCAGCATGCCATGCAGCTGGTACAGCTGGGAAATCTATACCATCCCCCTGCTGAGGGATAATTACAGCAAATAAAGCCTAGACTAGTATTTCAAGGAAATGGTTTTTCTACATCATCATTAAATCTGGTTTAATTTGCCATGTTATTTGAATGGTAAACATTTTTTCCCAATTTTGTGAATTTTAAAATATTCTACTGTCAGTACTACAGAAATTTGAAAAACATATAGCTTATGAAGATGCATTTGGCCAGGGTACAAACAACCAGAAAGGCTCTGTTTTACTGTACAAAATGTTTTAGGATGGTTCAGCTGTCTTAGGAAGGGATTTGGCAATTTGAGCAGAGCAATAAGAAATGCTGTCTTATTGGAAGGTCAGTTAAAAAAACAAACATAATGGGGTAAAAATTGAAAGGAAAAACAATGACATATAAACCATAATAATTTTTAACAACTTAAAGGCAATCAACCTCAAATAGGAGTCTTTGGTTCCAACATAATTCAGTCCACCAAAGATTGAATTTTCTTAGACTATGTATAAAATATTCATAGACGAAATTTCTTTTTAACTGACCATTTTCTCCTCCCCATGTCCACACATTTAATAAAAAATACAACTTATCTGTTAGAATTAAAGTCACTCTGCACTTCATGGCTTCCAGCTAATTATAATCTGAAGGAGCTAATGAGTTCCTCCAAAGTATCAAATTTATGAACCATGGTAATGGGAAAGGGGAAACTAAGTAAAATTTGTTCCCTATTAATTTAATACTAGCCAGAC
This sequence comes from Homo sapiens, assembly GCF_000001405.40. NCBI lineage: Eukaryota > Metazoa > Chordata > Mammalia > Primates > Hominidae > Homo > Homo sapiens. The sequence continues at coordinate 25,982,504 of NC_000003.12, forward strand.
CAACAGAAACTCTAGAAAAAGTAATTTTATCTAAGGAACAAGGGGATTTTCTTTTTAATAGCTTCATTCATCTCTATAACTCATTAAGATAAATGATTAGCTGAAATCCACTTTCTTTCCCATAATACATTGAGGGTGTTAGCAAGTTACTAATAACGAGATCTGGGAATCCTAGATTTTAGAAACACTGGTCCAATTACTGACATTGCCTGAAAATGCAGCTATATACTTTCCCTTTGTTCTAATGTTTGGACTCAGGGTTTTCTTTATCAGACCAGTTTTTCAGCAGGAAGTTTCCCATCTGCCTTTTCTGAACACAGCATATTATCAGTAAATGATGGGCACAGTAATGTCCAAAAAGAAAAAAAAAATCCAAAGTATCAGGAGCACACATCAAGGAGCATCTATTTAGTTCATGATCTGATGGATAGTCTGGCAGCAGCAGATTGAGGCTTGGCTTGACCAGGTGGCTCAGATCCAGGCCTCTCATTGTCCTTGGTGAAAAGAAGACGAGTTTGAACACATTCTCCTCATGGCAGTGGCAGAATTGCAAGGAAATTTGATTGAGAATGTTAAATTTTTCACTCTTAACCCTACAAGCTTCCTAAACCTAGGCTTGTGACTGACACTCTGTTAACTTCTGCCTTGTTCTATTAGCCAGAGCAAGTTACCAAGCTAAACCTGATGTTAAGGGACAGGAAAAACTATTTCACTTCTTTAATGTAAAAAACAGCAACATCACATAAGAAAGAGCAAAACATTTTTACAGGAAAAGGTAAAAAAGGAAGCTAATCACACCATCACACACAGTTATTGTGTAATTCATGAATAAAAGAAAAAGGCAGACTTGATGAGTATCAAGTACATAAGATGGAAAACAAGATATTTATTGAATCATTTACTAGTTATCTATCACTTCATAACAAATTTCACAAACATTTAGCAGCTCAAAAATATACATTTGTTATCTTACAATTTCTGTAGATCACAAATTTGGCACACTTGACTAGATTCTATCTCTTACAAAGCTGCAGTCATATCAAAGCTTGACTGGGAATAATCCACTTCCAAACTCAATCACATGGTTGTTAGTAGGATTTAATTCCTTGTGGTCTGCTGTTACACTGAGGTTTCAGTTCCTCATGAGTAGCTGGCTTGTTGGATTGTGGTGTCTCGGAGCTCCTTGCCATGTGGACTGCTCCACAGACATCTTTTTTTTTTTTTTTTTAATTATACTTTAAGACATCTTACAACATCGTAGCAAGCAAGCAAGAGGGCAAGAGTGAATACCAGCGAGAGAGAGAAAAGTAAGATGACAGTCACAATCTTCTGTAACCCAGTCACAGTAGCAACATCCTATGCTATATTCTGTTTATTAGAAGAAAGTCACTAGATCTATCCCATACTCGAGGGGAGACTACACAAAGGTCCTGGATACCAGGAGGGCAAGGATCCAGGGGCACCATTTCAGAAGCTTCCTACTACACTCAGTCACTCTACAACTTATGGAGACTCTACTGCATGCAAATGCTTGGGCCAGGAATGTGTATGTGCAGAGATGAAGAAACTATGGACCTTGAGCAAATGGCCTAGTGGATTCAGTGACATAATCAAAAAAAATCTGTTTAAGCCCTAATAACCCCATACTTATATTACCATACCATAGTAACACCTTCAAGTTTTTACTGTATTTAGAATTCTACACTGTTCCAATAACATGCAGGATGAGAAAATAAAACTCTTTACATGAGGCACTTTTTGATCCAGCAACTATATCTAATCCTTGATTTTCTCCACATGTATTTCCTAAAATGCTAATTCCACGAGCTGTTAATAGGATTTTATATTGAGTTTGGTAAATACTAGTCAAAAAAGGTCATGCTGGTTTAGTTAGAGACCATAGGCTTTCCTAGAACCTTCAGTATTCTAAAAGGTTAGTATAATTTATGTTTCCCAATCATATTACGTATTTAATCATTGAAAGTTTTTGTCATGGAGCATTTCAGGGGATTCATAATTCTTATGAATACCCTTTGGGGAAGACTACTTTCAACTCAACTGTTGTTACTTTTTCCCTTCTATCCCCTAATCCACCGTGTCTCTGAAATAATTGTGCAGTTACTGGTTTCCAAGTATCCTCACATTCTAATTTCTCTATCTAGAACATTCTTTTACCTTCTATCATCTGGTTAATTTGGACCAGATCTTTAAAAGTTCAGCTCAGAAAAACACTTCCTCCACAAAGATTACCCTGGTTTCCCCTTTTCTGTGCTTTAACAGTAACCTCTTCAACAGGACTGTGCTTATTACAGGATGTTGCTAATTGTTTGATTTCTTTGTCTTCTCCCCACATTTCCCTGAATTGTAATCTTGAGGAAAGGCTGATGTATGTAGCTCAAGTTTATGGTATTCTAGTGCATATGCAGTGTCAGGAATACATTGGCTACTAAAGAAAATAATTTTTTTCAATACTAGAAAAAATGAATTATACCTGGCTCTTTTTTTTAACTGGGGCAGAGATAGATAGTGGTCCTCTTGCATTTCCCGGCCTCCCCAGTAGCTAGGTTGAAGACACATGTCTTGTTCTGGCCAAAAGATAATGAAGGTTGTATATTGAGGTCATGAAACCACAAAGGTGAAAATTCTGGATCTCAATGGCACTGCATGATGAAGAGCTGTCTTACATAAAATGTTTGATGAATGAAATGAAACTTTGTTGTGTTAACTCATTAAAATTTCAGAGTTTAATCTATCTTGACCCAGGTATTATACCAAGGCTAGTGGAAATTTGATATGGGCAGGGGAATGTAGCGCAGAGACATTTTAAAAAGCCATCCAGGAGATCCAGACAGGTGCTACAAGTTGCTCTAGAGTTGCCGGAATTCTTTTCTATTTTATTATCTAAGAAGCTGCCAGATGTACATCTTCTTAGAATAGATGTCTGCAGAAAACATATAGACATGCTAGCAGTAACTGCTAGATTTTAAATTGAGCTGCCTAATTTGACTTATTTTATGCAGGAAAAACGAAATATGTGGAAAAGATGGCAGAAAATTCAAACAAAATATATAATGGTTTAAAAAAAGCGTTTGATAAAGTGAATGAGATTTACTGCCTATATTCAACAAATTCAATGGATAATTGCTCAACTTGACCACTGTTTTGCCTAGACAGCCTAAACTTGAATCTCTAAGAAATTCCTCTTGGATTAATCTGATTGTAGCTTGGCTGCCAGACCCATAATTCTAAGAGACAGGAAGATTCCATCTTTATTTATGGAGAAGTTGAGAATTTAAGGCTTTAATTCATAGGGAAAGTGACTGTGAGAAATACCAAGGACTTTGTTTTTCAGTCTGGATTCTGAGTTGCAAATAGCAGAAACTGACTCTGAGCTGAAAGGAGATTTATTAGAAGGATATGTGTATTCTCACAGAATCAGTGGGAAGGGAGGAGAACTAGGCTCTAAAATTACTGAGAAACTGCGGAAACAATTTGTGAGGATGCCTTGTTACTGTATAATGCTGCAAATCTAAATCTAGAAATAGTGATTATTCCAGTGAAAAAAAATCAGTGTCCTCGCCTTGATGGAAAGAGGCCAATGCAATCAGTCTGTTACAGGATAGCTACCTGGTTGCCCTCAACCCAGATAAATAGTTTTATATATTAGGACTTAGGGCTGCTTGGTGTTGCTGGCAGTTTGAGCACTCATCAGTGGTAGTGCCTGGTTGACTTTTATGGGGGAGATTCTTCTGTCTCTGTTGCCATAGCCACTGGTTCATGAGTTAACTGGCTGAAGACAGAGATTGACCGACATGCACTAGATACATTGTCTGATTGAGTTTGCTCCATAGTGAAACCTTCCGGTGAGGATTCATATAGAACATAAATACCCTCCACTCTGGGTCCATTCTGAGAAATCTACATACATACTTCTCCCTCGTGATTTCTTGCACTTGTTCTCCAGTCTTGATCCAGCTACACTATCAGTCACTCCCTATGAATTGGGCTTGCACCATACACTGAACAGTATTTCTGGAAAAAGTGAACAATGATATGTACTGTTATAGTAGATACTGTTTTTTCTATCTACATGCCCTTCCTATGAAAGGACAATATAGCCTACTGTTGAGACCATTGATTAGGCTTCTTCATGTAATATATTTTGGCCAATGGAATGTAACCAGCACAATGCCATGCCATAGATAGTGGCTGCTCTTTTCATTTTAAATACACGACTGAAAAACATGTAGAGCAAACCACAGCTAACCCAGAGCCAACAATACAGTGAGCAAAAATCAACCTTTGTTGTAAGCCATTCATGTTTTGAGGTTGTTTGTTAACACAACTTACTAAGTGAAAGGTCAATAATATCTGGTTCAATCTTCCACCCACAGGGTATTGTCTTTCCTGGCCAACCATAAGTAGGATTATAAGATTATTTATATTCTACTTCTGGTTGGCACCAGCACGGTGTAGAACTGTGGGCTAGACCTGTCTGTACACCAAGCTTACATCTTTCCGTCCATCAGCTCAGTGGTCAGAGGAATCTCCACAGGAGGCCATAGTGAGGGCTGAGGGAGATGTGGCAGAAAGCATGAGTGAGTGAGTATCTAGGGAGTGTAAATCACTTACTCAGGCAAATGACTTATGCTTTTAAGATCTGTCTCAGCTCTCTCTCTCTCTCTCTCTCTATCTCCCTCTCTTCCTCCCTCCTGTGTCTCTCTCACTATTTCTATCTCTGTCTCTACCTATATACATATATATGTGCCTAAATACCAATCATCTGATATGCATCAATATGTATCAATCATTTGATCACGGTTAGGTTTTAATTTGGTTAGGCTTTGTTGAATATGCCTGAGATTATGGGGGTGCCATTGATTAGATAGCACTTAATGATGGTATATGGAGAAGTTACATGGTTGACTGGTGTCCCACAGTGAGATATTGTGTCTTCATTCAGCCCAATAGCAAACTAAAACATACTTTTCAAAAGGACAGTGGCTTGAAAAGGGCATGTTTGTCCTCAAAATCTAGGAGTTGTCATTCAAATCTTACCAAAGTCTCTATGAAGCATCATAACCTGTTGTAGACCCATCAAGCCCCATTAAATCTGCTGGATCATAAGGGTCAAGTGTCAATGTCGAACCAGGTGGACCATCTCTATTTCCCCTTGGCATCATTTAAGTTGATAGTCACTGGAGTCAACAGAAATGGTTAGAGCAGCATGCTGAAATGTATATTATTTTTAAAATTCAAAGAGGCCCACCAATCACTGTGACTCTTTCTTAGTGGTAGGGGCCTCAAAGTGAAGCTAGTTTCTATCACTTGGTGGGAATATTGCAATATGCCTCGAGCTATAGATCCTAGAAACTTCACTAGAGGGGCAGGCCTCTATTTTTCCATGAAATATATTATTCCCAATATGGCACATACATCTGTCTGTGTAAGAGTGTAGGTCACCTACTACATTTTGTTCTCTAGGCCCCAGCAGAGTGGATCAGAGGGCTATGATGTTTTAAAAACTTTTCTTTCCATAAATTTTTTGGCAGATGGTTTGCTATTACCCCATGGCTCCGAGGTTTATGCAAATACTCTTTAGGAGGTGTAGGCCTCATTTTTAATTTTCTTTAGGCCATATGTGATTTCTCATAGGCATAACATCAGAAAAAAAGAAAGGGAAGTAAGTATCTAGGGTGGCAGATTGACTAAGAAGCAGGTAAAAAGAGAGACGTTATGTGTGGCTGTGAAGAAATTAGTAGTGCTTCTGCAGAAGCAGTCTTAGGTGTGTTTGTTCATGTATTGGCCTATCAACACACAATGGCCAATAGCTTGTTTAATATGTGGTAGTAATCTCAACATTTTTGGGGTCTTAGAACACTTTACAAATCCATTTAAATCTGTAAATTCTCAACCCAGAAACATTATAAACAAAAAACTCTATATAGATATAAACATTTCACCAACATCCTGAAGCTAATTTATAGGGGTCCAAAGACCCAAATTAGAATCCATACTCCATGAGTCTGGAGAGGGGTACATATTCAAATAGGAAAGGCCGTGGGTGGCTTTATAAAGTTTGGCTTAGAAGGCTGCTGAAAATTATTCACTGTCTTGATAAATAAGGCTGCTTATTTCTCCCAATGGTGTTTCTTTTTATCACTGTCAATATTTTGCTCATGGGTTCTTGTTTCTTTCTCTAGATTTGAGTATTGCAATTCTTCATTATGTGCACAGTCTTTGGGAACAAACACCGTAGGTAAACTCTTTAAATGAAGCCAGATGCTTTTTAATTTGAACTTGACAGATAAAACAATTTTAGTACAATTATGAAAAAATGAAATATTTATTTCCTTTTTGGAGAGCAATTACTGAGTAGTCATTGTGATTTCTGGAAGCCATGCTTCATAGAATAATATCAATATTGCCCTCAAAAATGTTGAGCAAACTTAGTACTGCTAAAGATTGGGTTGGAATTTATCCTAAAGGGGCTTATAATTTTTTTCTTCTTTTGCCAGTAAGCATTTTAAAATCCCTGGGAAATGACAATATTTTAACATTGTATTTATTAGTGGGGATAGACTGGTAATTCAAAGTAATTTAATTTCAATAAATATTTACTAAGAACTTACTATGGGGCTCACAGTTTAAGTAAGGCCATCAGAATCTTAATAAAAGGCAAAAGTGATTTTTTAAAGATGTACAAGAAAGTTACGTCACACGAGTAGCAAACTCAAATGTGCGAGGGTTTGAGCAATTAGTGGGGATGGGGGAGGGAGAAGAAAAGACAGAAGACTCATTTGACCTTATCATTAGAAACACTGCTCTTTAAGTGGCACAGAGATAGTTATATTTCAATGTCAAGGAAGGAAATTTTTACCATAGCTTACCACTTAGCTATGCTTTGAACAACAGAGTAATAATAAAGGAAATACTGTGTATTGATTTTCAACATTTAGAGTTAACCCATAGATTAGATGTAAAATATAAATGTTTTAGACTGGAATGTAAATATTCTCAAACTTGATGATGGAGAAGTATCCTGATTGAGGTAGCTAAAGAGAAAGAGGAAAGAAACGTGGAGGGATGGTAGGATTATTAAGATCTTTATCTTACATATATGGGGAATAAAGATACTCCATCTCTAGTTGGTGGAAAAATACTGTATTAGTGATCTAAACTTATAAAGGTAACCAATAGAAAAACTAAAAATAATAATGTAAGCATCAACATTTTTTAGGTTTAGAGTTGAATAATGAAATAAATCTTCATCTATCATAGCAATAAGGAAATAAATGATATCTAGATTTGATAAATGAGGAATTCATGGTATAAACCTGTTATTTAAAATAGAGATAATCCTTTGAAGAACTCAAGACATAAATTGTTGAATGTGGTTCACTCCAAAGAGTGGGGCAGTAAACCCTTGCTTTTTTGTCATTCGCCTTTGGGGTGTATTTAATATTTTAACTTTATGCTAAAAAATTTAAAAAATATTTTTAAAAAGAATCAAGCAGTAATGAGAGAGTAATGGATAAGCCAGGTTTTCTGGCCTGGGAGAAGTTGCTTGCTATGTGACCATTTGCTGTGTGACTCTGATAATGAAACATGACACCTTTCATGGTCTACACAGAGTGGAGAGTGCTGATCAGATGGATTCTTTTATTGATCTGTATAGAATGTTTGTCCTTTCAGTTTGATCCTGATAGCTTTTTAGTCATAGGATAAGAAATGATGTATAACCAGGTACATATTAAGTCAGATGTTAAACCCACAAAAAAGTCTACTTAAAAATGATGGGAGGAAGTGAGAGCATCAGGAATGGAGTAAGGACTTTAAAAGATCCTCTCCTCCATAAAAGCAGAGATTGCTGCCCAAAATAGTAAAAATCAATTTTATCCAAATGCTGAAAATTAACCAAATGATTACAATAACCCAGGGAGTATTTACTCAAGAAATGTCTGAATCTTTGAAAGGACAGCAAACTTTGTGGAGTTTAACTTGCCCCTAGTCCTATACCCTTCTTGCCAGTTCAGTGGTACCCTTAAAGATGAGTAGCCTCACACTTATGGTAAAAACTGTAGCAGCTTCTGAAGCATAGAATGGGATAGGAGCTCCTCCAAACCCAATATTCATCTAACTGCCATTATTTGACCTGCCTGAAAATTCCTTAGAAAATCCACTCACAAGGCTTGTCTTTGTTTAACTTGACTGAAAGTTGGCCCAGTGCAAACAGCTTTTTCCCAATGGGCATTTATCTAAAGCAATCAGTGGCCATTATTAAACATTGCAGCTACCTGAGGTGGTGATAGCAGGTGGGGCAAGCAATAACCCACCCAAAAAATTTAAAAGAAAAATCTAAGGAATGAGATGTATATAGGGCACTTTGAAAGGCTTCAAGATATTTCTAGGAATATAGAAAGACAAACACATATGTAGCACTTTGCACATGTTTAGGACTGTGCACCTGCACAGGAAAGACCTGAGAAAGCTTTAAACTCACCTTCAGCGGACTTTGAGGCTATATGCAAGCAGGAAGTAAAGACTAAGACAGAGTTGTAAACTACTTGCCTGAGTATTAAAGATGTGACCCAGCATGTACAGTGAGATCCTCACAAAGTTTAGGAGACTTACTGGTTCTAGGCATTTAAAGAAATCTTTGTCCAATTATAATATGACCATTAAGCTAACTGGGCAAAAGACTCCAATGGCCACACACAGCAAATAGTACAAATAGAATTAGAATACAGACTAATTGACAGAATAAGCTCAAGAAAGTCCTTAAATAAACACATTACAGCAACAATAAAAACAGAGCAAAGACAACAAATTCTGAGAGAGAGATCTGATTTTCAGAATTATATTACTTAAATGTCCAGTTTTCAACAAAAAATGATGAGACATACAAAGAAACAATAAAGTATAACTCATACATAGGGAAAAAAAATCAGTCAATAGAAATTGTCTTTGAGGAAGCCCATTGTACTTATTAGATAAAGGTTTAAATTAGCTATTTAAATAACATAGGTAGAAAGAAAATTTAAAAAATAAACCATGTCTAGCCAACTAAAAGAAAAGTACGAGAATGATGTCTCATCAAATAGAGAATATCAATAAAGAGGTAAAAATTATAAATAAGAAACAAATAGAAATTCTGGAGTTGAAAAAATATAACTGAAATAAAAAATTCACCAGAAGGGCTCAACAGCAGATTTGAGCTGGCAAAATAAAGAATAAGTGAACTTCAAGATAAGTTAACTGAGATTATCCAGTCTGTGTAAAAGAAAGAATAAAGAAAAAGAGTCTAGGACTCTGTGGACACCATCAAATGTAACAACATACACATAATGGGAATTCCAGAAGAAGAGGAGAGAAAAAAAGAAAGAGTATTTGAAGAAATAATAGTTTTAGGCAAAAAATTAGATAAATAAAAGGCATCCAGATTGTAAAGAAAGAAGTAAAACTCCCTGTTTTTACAGATGACATGTCTTGTATATAAGAGGCAGGATAGGTAGTCAAGGTAGTGACCATGTCCTTGGGACACAGCAACTGTGGTGACCATGCAGTCAACACAATAAGCCTTGGCATTTGCATTGTAACTGAGTGGATTTAAGCAAAGCTATCTTCAGTGTGAAATTTCCCCTGTAGAGAACATGTGCATTTTGATTTTACCTGTCCTTAGACTGATCCTTTGTTCATTATAATAGTGAAAAACACACCCTTGGATGGAGATTTAAGATGCTGTTGAAACATGTGATGTATGAACAAGTATGTGCAGCTACTGTGCATATGCACCCAGAGGACCACCAAGAACATGCTTACTAGAAACATCTCTTCCCACCTCTTTATGAATAATCAAGTAAGACTCCCATAAAGGGAGTCTCCCTAGAGCCAGGCTTTGCTGTCTCACCCTTATGAGCAGCCCTCCCTGAACTCTCTCTCTCTCTCAGGGTGTAATGTCTATTCCTCACTTAACTTTCAAAATATTCTTTTCCCTTTGCAATAAATCACTCTATACTGCATCTATATTGCTGTGTCTCCTGTTTAAATTCTTTTAGACTGAGAAGACAAGAACCATGGTATCACAACAGTCATCAACATATAGGGCATACTAAAATTTGATGAAAACCATAAATTCATATATTTAAGAAGCTTAATAAACTTCAGATAGGATAAATTCAAGGAGATCCACACCTAGGTATATTATACTCAAAAGCCAAAGACAAAGAGAGAGTCTTAAAAGTAGGAAGAGAAAAATTACTCATCATGTAACGGATCCTCAATAAGTTTAACAACTGACTTTTCATCAGAAACGATGAAACCAGGAGGCAGTGGGATTATATATTTAATGTGTTGAAAGCAAAAGGATTTTATGCAAGAATTCTATTTACAGCAAAACAATAATATGTTTTAAAAATGAAGATGATATTAAGACATTCCTAGATAAACACAGAGAATGTGTTGGTAGCAGGCATGCCTTACAAGAAACAACGAAATGAAAGGACACTAGATAGTGACTTGAATCCACATGAAGAAATAAAGAACACTATTAAAGATAACTATGTAGGTAAATTTCAAAGTCAAGATAATGTATTTTTTGTTTGTAATTCTTTTTTTTCCTCCTATCTAATTTAAAAGACAACTTTAAAAAAAAATTATACGTTAAATTCTAGAGTACATTTGACCAATGTGCAGGTTTGTTACATAGGTATACGTGTGCCATCTTGGTTTGCTGCACCCATTAACTTGTCATTTACATTAGGTATTTCTCCTAATGCTATCCCTCCCCCTGTCCCCCAACCCATGACAGGGCCCGGGATGTGATGTTCCCCACCCTGTGTCCAAGTGTTCTCATAGTTCAATTCCCACCTATAAGTGAGAACATGTGGTGTTTGGTTTTCTGTCCTTGTGACAGTTTGCTCGGAATGATGGTTTCCAGCTATATCCATGTCCTTGCAAAGGACATGAACTCATCCTTTTTTATGGCTGCATAATATTCTATGGTGTATATGTGCCACATTTTCTTAATCCAGTCTATCATTGATGGACATATGGGTTGGTTCCAACTCTTTGCTATTGTGAATAGTGCCGAATAAACATATGTGCGCATGTGTCTTTATAGTAGCATGATTTATAATCCTTTGGGTATATACCCAGTAATGGGATGGCTGGGTCAAATGGTATTTCTAGTTCTAGATCCTTGAGGAATCGCCACACTGTCTTCCACAATGGTTGAACTAGTTTACACTCCCACCAACAGTGTAAAAGCGTTCCTATTTCTCCACATCCTCTCCAGCATCTGTTGTTTCCTGCCTTTTTAGCGATCGCCATTCTAACTGGTGTGAGATGGTATCTCATTGTGGTTTTGATTTGCATTTCTCTGACGGCCAGTGATGGTGAGCATTTTTTCATGTGTCTGTTGGCTGCATAAATGTCTTCTTTTCAGAAGTGTGTGTTCATATCCTTCGCCCACTTTTTGATGGAGTTGTTTTTTTCTTGTAAATTTGTTTAAGTTCTTTGTAGATTCTGTATATTAGCCCTTTGTCAGATGGGTAGGTTGCAAAAATTTTCTCCCATTCTGTAGGTTGCCTGTTCACTCTGATGGTAGTTTCTTTTGCTGTGCAGAAGCTCTTTAATTAGATCCAATTTGTCAATTTCGGCTTTTGTTGCCATTGCTTTTGGTGTTTTAGTCATAAAGTCCTTGCCCATGCCTATGTCCTGAATGGTATTGCCTAGGTTTTCTTCTAGGGTTTTTATGGTTTTAGGTCTAACATTTAAGTCTTTAATCCATCTTGAATTAATTTTTATGAGTTGTAAGGAAGGGATCCAGTTTCAGCTTTCTAAATATGGCTAGCCAGTTTTCCCAACACCATTTATTAAATAGAGAATCCTTTCCCCATTTCTTATTTTTGTCAGGTTTGTCAAAGATCAGATGGTTGTAGATGTGTGGTGTTATTTCTGAGATCTCTGTTCTGTTCCATTGGTCTATATAACTGTTTCGGTACCCATACCATGGTGTTTTGGTTACTGTAGCCTTGTAGTATAGTTTGACATCAGGTAGAATGATGCCTTGAGCTTTGTTCTTTTTGCTTAGGATTGTCTTGGCAATGCGGGCTCTTTTTTTGGTTCCATATGAACTTGAAAGTAGTTTTTTCCAATTGTGTGAAGAAAGTCATTGGTAGCTTGTTGGGGATGACATTGAATCTATAAATTACCTTGGGCGGTATGGCCATTTGTACGATATTGATTCTTCCTATCTATGAGCATGGAATGTTTTCCATTTGTGTCCGCTCTTATTTCGTTGAGCAGTGGTTTGTAGTTCTTCTTGAAGAGGTCCTTCACATCCCTTGTAAGTTGGATTCCTAGGTATTTTATTCTCTTTGAAGCAATTGTGACTGCGAGTTCACTCATGATTTAGCTCTCTGTCTGTTATTGGTGTATAGGAATGCTTGTGATTTTTGCACATTGATTTTTTTTATTCTGAGACTTTGCTGAAGTTGCTTATCAGCTTACAGAGATTTTGGGCTGAGATGATGGGGTTTTCTAAATATACAATCATGTCATCTGCAAACAGGGACAATTTGACTTCCTCTTTTCCTAATTGAATACCCTTTATTTCCTTCTCCTGCCTGATTGCCCTGGCCAGAACTTCCAACACTATGTTGAATAGGAGTGGTGAGAGAGGGCATCCCTGTCTTGTGCCAGTTTTCAAACGGAATGCTTCCAGTTTTTGCCCATTTAGTATGATATTGGCTGTGGGTTTGTCATAAATAGCTCTTATTTTGCAATACGTTCCATCAGTACCTAGCTTATTGAGAGTTTTTAGCATGAAGGGCTGTTGAATTTTGACAGAGGCCTTTTCTGCATCTATTGAGATAATCATGTGGTTTTTGTCTTTGGTTCTGTTTATGTGATTACATTTATTGATTTGTGTATGTTGAACCAGCCTTGCATCCCAGGGATGAAGCCGACTTGATCGCGGTGGATAAGCTTTTTGATGTGCTGCTGGGTTTGGTTTGCCAGTATTTTATTCAGGATTTTTGCATCGATGTTCATCAGGGATGTTGGTCTAAAATTCTCCTTTTTTTTTGCTGTATCTCTGCCAGCCTTTGGTATCAGGATGATGCTGGCTTCATAAAATGAGTTAGGGAAGATTTCGTCTTTTTCTATTGATTGGAATAGTTTCAGAAGGAATGATACCACCTCCTCTTTATACCTCTGGTAGAAATTGGCTGTGAATCTGTCTGGTACTGGACTTTTTTTGATTGGTAGGGTATTAATTATTGCCTCAATTTCAGCGCCTGTTATTGGTCTATTCAGAGATTCAACTTCTTCCTGATTTAGTCTTGGGAGGGTGTATGTGTCCAGGAATTTATCAATTTCTAGGATTTCTAGTTTATTTGCATAGAGGTGTTTATAGTATTCTCTGATGGTAGTTTGTATTTGTGGGATCAGTGATGATATCCCCTTTATCATTTTTTATTGCATCCATTTGATTCTTCTCTCTTTTCTTCTTTATTAGTCTGGCTAGCGGTCTATCTATTTTGTTGATTTTTCCAAAAAACCAGCTCCTGGATTCATTGATTTTTTGAAGGTTTTTTTGTGTCTCTGTCTCCTTCAGTTCTGCTCTGATCTTAGTTATTTCTTGCCTTCTGCTAGCTTTTGAAGGTGTTTGCTCTTGCTTCTTGAGTTCTTTTAATTGTGATGTTAGTGTGTCGATTTTAGATCTTTCCTGCTTTCTCTTGTGGGCATTTAGTGCTATAAATTTTCCTCTACGAACTGCTTTAAATGTGTCCCAGAGATTCTGGTACATTGTGTCTTTGTTCTCATTGGTTTCAAAGAACATCTTTATATCTGCCTTCATTTCATTATGTACCCAGTAGTCATTCAGGAGCAGGTTGTTCAGTTTCCATGTAGCTGTGTAGTTTTGAGTGAGTTTCTTAATCCTGAGTTCTAATTTGATTGCACTGTGGTCTGAGAGACTGTTGTGATTTCTGTTCTTTTACATTTGCTGAGGAGTGCTTTACTTCCAACTATGTGGTCAGTTTTGGAATAAGTGCGATTTGGTGGTGAGAAGAACGTATATTCTGTTGATTTGGGGTGGAGAGTTCTGTAGATGTCTATTAGGTCTGCTTGGTGCAGAGCTGAGTTCGAGTCCTGGATATCCTTCTTAACCTTCTGTCTCATTGATCTGTCTAATATTTACAGGGGGGTGTTAAAGTCTCCCATTATTATTGTGTGGGAGTCTAAGTTTCTTTGTAAGTCTCTAAGGATTTGCTTTATGAATCTGGTTGCTCCTGTGTTGAGTGCATATATATTTAGGATAGTAGCTCTTCTTGTTGAATTGATCCCTTTACCATTATGCAATGGCCTTCTTTGTCTCTTTGGATCTTTGCTGGTTTAAAATCTTTTTTTTTTTTGAGTTGGAATCTTGCTCTGTTGTCCAGGCTGGAGTGCAGTGGTGTGATCTCAGCTCACGGCAAGCTCCACCTCCTGGGTTCACACCATTCTCCTGCCTCAGCCTCCTGAGTAACTGGGACTACAGGCGCCCGCCACCACGCCCAGCTAATTTTTTGTATTTTTAGTAGAGACGGGGTTTCACCGCGTTAGTCAGGATGGTCTCGATCTCCTGATCTTGTGATCCACCCGCCTTGGCCTCCCAAAGTGCTGGGATTACCAGCGTGAGCCACTGCACCCAGCCTTAAAATCTGTTTTATCAGAGACAAGGATTGCAACCCCTGCTTTTTTTCGTTTTCCATTTGCTTGGTAGATCTTCTTCCATCCCTTTATTTTGAGCCTATGTGTGTCTCTGCACATGAGACGGGTCTCCTGAATACAGCACACTGATGGGTCTTGGCTTTTTATCCAATTTGCCAGTCTGTGTCTTTCAATTGGGGCATTTAGTCCATTTACCTTTAAGGTTAATATTGTTATGTGTGAATTTGATCCTGTCATTATGATGTTAGCTGGTTATTTTGCCCGTTAGTTGATACAGTTTCTTCCTATCATTGATGGTCTTTACAATTTGGCATGTTTTTGCAGTGGCTGGTACTGGTTGTTCCTTTCCATGTTTAATGCTTTCTTCAGGAGCTCTTGTAAGGCAGGCCTGGTGGTGACAAAATCTCTCAGCATTTGCTTGTCTGTGAAGGATTTTCTCCTTCACTTATGAAGCTTAGTTTGGCTGGATATGAAATTCTCGGTTGAAAATTCTTTTCTTATGTAATGTTGAATATTGACCCCCACTTTCTTCTGGCTTGGAGAGTTTCTGCTGAGAGATCTGCTGTTAGTCTGATGGGCTTCCCTTTATGGGTAGCCCAACCTTTCTCTCTGCCTGCCCTTAACATTTTTTCCTTCATTTCAACCTTGGTGAATCTGACAGTTATGTGTCTTGGGGTTGCTCTTCTCGAGGAGTATCTTTGTGGTGTTCTCTGTATTTACTGAATTTCAATGTTGGCCTGCCTTGCTAGGTTGGGGAAGTTCTCCTGGATAATATCCTGCAGAGTGTTTTCCAACTTGGTTCCATTCTCCCTGTAATTTTCAGGTACACCGATCAAATGTAGATTTGGTCTTTTCACATAGTCCCATATTTCTTAGAGGCTTTGTTTCTTTTTACTCTTTTCTCTCTAACCTTGTGTTCTTGCTTGATTTCATTAATTTGAACTTCAATCACTAATACCATTTCTTCCGCTTGATCAAATCATCTATTAAAGCTTGTGCATGCATGACGTAGTTCTCGTGCCATGGTTTTCAGCTCCATCAGGTCCTTCAAGGTCTTCTCTACACTGTTTATTCTAGTTAGCCATTCGTCTAATGTTTTATCTAGGCTTTTAGCTTCCTTGCAATGGGTTCAAACATCCTCCTTTAGCTCAGAGAAGTTTGTTATTACTGACTTTCTGAAGCCTGCTTCGGTCAGCTCATTAGTCATTCTCCAACCAACTTTGTTCCGTTGCTGGCGAGGAGCTGTGATCCTTTGGAGGAGAAGAAGTGCTCTGGTTTTTAGAATTTTCAGCTTTTCTGCTCTGGACTTCTCCCCATCTTTGTGGTTTTATCTACCTTTGGTCTTTGATGTTGGTGACCTACAGATGGGGTTTTGGTGTGGATATCCTCATTGTTGATGTTGATGCTATTCCTTTCTGTTTGTTAGTTTTCCTTCTAACAGTCAGGAACCTCAGCTGCAGGTCTATTGGAGTTTGCTGGAGGTATCCTATTTCCCTGGGTATCACCAGCAGAGGCTGCAGAACAGCAAATATTGCAGAACAGCAAATATTGTTGCCTGATCCTTCCTCTAGAAGCTTTGTCCCAGAGGGTCACCTACCTGTATGCAGTGTCAGTCAGCCCCTACTGGGAGGTGTCTCCCAGTTAGGCTACATGGGGGTCAGGGACCCACTTGGGGAGGCAGTCTATCCATTCTCTGAGCTCAAACAGCATGCTGGGAGAACCACTGCTCTCTTCAGAGCTGTCAGATGGGCATTTAAGTCTGCAGAAGTTTCTGCTGCTTTTTGTTCAGCTATGTCCTGGCCCCAGAGGTGGAGACCACAGAGGCAGTAGGCCTTGCTGAGCTGCAGTGGGCTCCACCCAATTCGAGCATCTCAGGCTGCTTTGTTTACCTACTCAAGCCTCAGCAATGGCAGATGCCCCTCCCCCTGCTAGGCTGCTGCCTTGAAGGTTGATCTCAGACTGCTGAGCTAGCAGTAAGCAAGGCTCTGTGGGTGTGGGATCCACCAAGCCAGGTGCAGGATAATCTCCTGGTGTACCATTTGCTAAGACCATTGGAAAAGCGCAGTATTTGGGTGGGGAGTCTCCCATTTTTCCAGGTACTGTCTGTCACAGCTTCCCTTGGCTAGGAAAGGGAAATCCCCTGACCCCTTGTGCTCACCCTGCTTCAGCTTGCCCTCCATGGGCTGCACCCACTGTCCAACTAGTCCCAGTGAGATGAACCATGTACCTCAGTTGGAAATGCAGAAATCACCCATCTTTTGCACTGATCACACTGGGAGCTGCAGACCGAAACTGTTCCTATTCGGCCATCTTGGAATGGAATCCCCAAAAGACAACTTCTTAAAAAAATTTTAATTTTAATTTTAAGTTTTGAGGTACATGTGCAGGATGTGCAGGTTTGTTACATAGGTAAATATGTGTCATGGTTTTTTGCTGCACCTATCAACCCATCACCTAGGTATTAAACCCAATATGCATAAGCTATTCTTCCTAATGCTCTCTCTCCCTCTACCCCATTCCTTAACAGGTCCCAGTGTGTGTTATTCCCCTCCCCGGGGTTCACGTGTTCTCACTGTTCAGCTCCCACTTATAAGGGAGAACATGTGGTATTTGGTTTTCTGTTCCTGTGTTAGTTTGCTGAGGATAATGGCTTCCAGCTTCACCCATGTCCCGACAAAGGACATGATCTCATTCTTTTTTGTGGCTGCATAGTATTCCATGGTGTATATGTACCACGTTTTCTTTATCCAGTCTATCATTGATGGGCATTTGGGCTGATTCCATGTCTTTGCTATTGTGAATAGTGCTTCAGTAAACATACACCTGCATGCATCTTTGTAATAAAATGATTTATATTTCTTTGGGTATATACCCAGTATTGAGAATGCTGGGTCAGATGGTGTTTTTGGTTCTAGATCTTTGAGGAATTGCAACATCATCTTCCACAATGATTTAACGAATTTACATTCCCATCAACTGTGTAAAAGCATTCCCATTTCTCTGCAACCTCACTAGCATCTATTGTTTCTCGACTTTTTAGTAATCACCATTCTGACTGATGTGAGATGGTATCTCATTGTGGTTTTCATTTGCATTTCTCTAATGATCTGTGATGTTGACCTTTTTTCTTTCGTGTTTGTTGGCCACATGAATGTCTTCTTTTGAGAAGTGTCTGTTCAGGTCCTTTGCTCAGTTTTTAGTGGAGTTTGTTTTTTTTCTTGTACATTTGTTTAAGTTCCTTGTAGATTCTGGATATTAGCCCTTTGCAGGTGGGTAGCTTGGAAAAATTTTTTCCCACTCTGTAGGTTGCCTGTTTGCTCTGATGATAGTTTCTTTTGCTGTGCAGAAGCTCTTTAGTTTAATTAGGTTCCATTTGTCAATTTTTGCTTTTGTTGAAATTGCTTTTGGCAATTTCAACATGAAATCTTTGCCTGTGCCTATGTCTTGAAAAGTGTTGCCTAGATTTTCTTCTAGCTTTTTATAGTTTGGGGTTTTTCATTGAAGTCTTTAATCCTTCTTGAGTTAATCTGTGTACAAGATGTAAGGAAGAGGTCCAGTTTGAATTTTCTGCATATGGCTAGCCAGTTTTCCCAGCACCATTTATTGAATAGGGATTCCTTTCCCCATTGCTTGTTTTTGTCAAGTTTGTAAAAAGTCAGATGGTTGTAGTCTTATTTCTGAGTTTTCTATTCTGTTCCATTGGTCTATGTGTCTGTTTTTGTACCAGTACCATGCTGTTTTGGTTATTGTAGCCTTGGAGTATAGTTTGAAGTCTGGTAACGTGATGCCTCCAGCTTTGTTCTCTTTGCTTAGGATTGTCTTGGCTATACAAACTCTTTTTTGGTTCAATATGAATTATAAAATAATTTATTCTAATTGTGTGAAGAATGTAAATAGTAGTTTAATGGGAATAGCATTGAATCTATAAATTATTTTGGGCAGTGTGGCCATTTTCATGGTATTGATTATTCCTATCCATGAGCATGGAATGTTTTTCCATTTGTTTGTGTCCTCTCTGCTTTCCTTGAGCAGTGGTTTGTAGTTCTCCTTGAAGAGGTCTTTCACTTTCCTTGTTAGCTGTATTCTTAGGTATTTGATTCTCTTTGTAGCAATGGTGAATGGGAGTTCAATCATGATTTGGCTCTATGTTTGCCTGTTGTTGCATAGGACTTCTTGTGACTTTTGCACATTGATTTTGTATCCTGAGACCTAGCAGTAGTTGCTTATCAGCTTAAGAAGCTTTTGGGTGAGACAATGGGGTTTCTAGATGTAGGATCATGCATCATCTGCAGACAAAGACAATTTGACTTCCTCTCTTCCTATTTGAATACCATTTATTTCTTTCTCTTGCCTGATTGCCCTGGCTAGAACTTCCAATAGTGTGTTAATAGTAGTGGTGAGAGAGGGCATCCTTGTCTTGTGCTGGTTTTCAAGGGGAATGCTTCCAGCTTTTGCTGATTCAATGTGATATTGGCTGTGCGTTGGTAAAAGACAACTTTATAAAACAATAAATCTGTTTTCGTGGTCCTACAATGCATAAAAATGTACTTTATGTATAATGTCACTATGGAATGGGAGAGAATTGTGCTAAAAGGAATAACATTTTTATAAGTTTGTATTAATCTGAATAGATTGCCATAATTTATGATATTAATTGCCATCCCCAGAGAATCACTAAAAATAATTAAAAAATAGTAAAAGAAACCAGGGAATTAAAATGGTACACTAGAAAATATTTAATACAAAAGGAGGCAATAATGGAGAAATAGAGGAACAAAGGACATAAAACATATAAAAAACAAATGGCAAAATGGCAGATATAAATTCTACTTTATTAGTAATTATGTTAAATGCGAATGGATTAAACACTTCAATCAAAAGGCACAGTTTGGCAAGATAAATTTTACAAAATCCAACAATGTTTTGTCTACAAAAGACTTAGTGATCAAAACCTTGTTACAAAGAAAAGAGCAGGGCCTGATGGTGGATTCACTGGTGAATTTTACAGAATGTTTATAAACTCTTCTAAAATATAGAAGAGGAGGGAATACTTTTCCACTTGTTGTATGAAGTCAATATTACCCTCATACCAAAATCAAGCAAAGGCATCACAAGAAGAGAAAATTACAGCCAAGCACGGTGGCTCATGCCTGTAATCCCAGCCCTTTGGGAGGCCGAGGCAGGCAGATTACCTGAGGTTGGGAGTTCGGGACCAGTCTGACTAACATGGAGAAACTTCGTATTTACTAAAAATAGAAAATTAGCTGGGTATGGTGGCACATACCTGTAATCCTAGCTGCTTGGGAGGCTGAGACAGGAGAATCGCTTGAACCTGGGAGGCAGAGGTTGCAGTGAGCTAAGATTGCAGCATTGCACACCAGCCTGGGCAACAAGAGCGAAACTCCATCTCAAAAAAAAAAAAAAAGACAATTACAGATCAATATTATTTATGAACATAGAAGTAAAAATCCTCAACAAAGTACCAGCAAAAGCACAAGCAATGAAATAAAAAATATAAAAAGTTGACTTCATCATAATTGTCTTTGTCTATTTGGGCTGCTATCACCAAATACCATAGACTAGATGGTTTATAAATAACAGATGTATATTTCTCACAGTGCTGGAGTCTGGGAAGTCCAAGATCATGACACCAGCAGATTCACTGTCTTGTGAGGGCACGTTTCTTATTTCATAGACAGCTGTCTTCTCACTGTGTCCTCACATAATGGGAGGGTTGAGAGAGCTCTCTGGGGTCTCTTCTATAAGGTCACTATTTTCATTCATGAAGGCTCTATCCTCATGACCTAATCACTTCTCAAAGACCCCATCGTTTAATACCGTCACATTTGATTAGGATTTAAACACATGAATTTTAGAGAACAAAAACATTCAGTTTGTAGAAATAATTAAAAGCTTTTGTGCTTAAAAGAACAACATCAAGAAAGTGGAATGGCAACCCACAGAATAGGAAAAGAGATGTGCAAATTATTTATCTATGAGAGACTAGCATCCAGAATATATAACTCTTATAACTCAACAATAAAAAGACAAAAAATTAAAATTTGGGCAAAGGATTTACGTATGTGTGTACCTACGAAGATTTACAAATGGCCATTATGCACACAAGGAGATGCTTGACATCATTTACTATTAGGGAAATGAAAATGAAAAACAAAACAAGATGTGGCTTCACACACAACAATAGGTTGGCTATTACAAAAAAGCAGACAATAACAAGTGTTGGTGAGGATGTGACATCACTATAGGTATTGATTGGAATCTATCAATCTAATACCTATAGGTATTGATTGATTGGGATTTCTATTTTTTTGTACTCATTTTTTTTGTACTCTATTCTTTGTACTCATTGTAAAGGGGATTATTCCCTTTTACAATACTTAGGTACTTAGATAATTTAGGTACTTAGATAATTCCGCATGGTGATGGGGACTCCCAGAAGGGAATCTGCACTTCTGATAAAAAGGCAGGTAAGAGTATGAGTGATTATTTGAAGATGTTGTCCTATTTGTACTCCAAGGTGGTAAATTAGTTCATAGGGATTGCAGAGAGTAGAGCTGGAAGATTGAGAGAGGGTAGAATATTAATAAATTTTCTGCCTAGAAATCTTCAGTCTACTAAATGGTACATTGGCACATGGTAATAAATGGCTTAATAATATGATGTTCATATATTTCAGATTTCTCATCATGATGTTTTATTTAAATCAGTTAAGGCAGTTGTGCAGGATCTGGTGAGAGAGTCATTTCTGGTCCAACTCCTATGTTCCTTGGTTGTCATTCTGTTTCCAGATTGTTCCCAGTCTTTCTCTTGTTGCCACAGAGCCAGATATACCATTTGAGTTCACATGTAGCATGCATAGAAACCACTTTAGCTGGCCAAGGCAAGATGAATCAGATGGCATTAATATTTTGGGAGAGTATTCTTTTCTTTTTTCTACATTTGTCATTTCTTTTGACAAATTGCAGATATTTTAAAATCAGAGGGCTGTCACACAACAAAGGAGCCTCAGCCTCTTTTCCCTTTCTTCCAGCTGAAAGACATTGGAGCTCTCAGGGCACCTGCTTTTGTGGTGCC
This sequence comes from Homo sapiens, assembly GCF_000001405.40. Lineage (NCBI taxonomy): Eukaryota > Metazoa > Chordata > Mammalia > Primates > Hominidae > Homo > Homo sapiens. The sequence goes on from NC_000003.12 coordinate 26,004,317, forward strand.
AACTGCAATTACAGCAAACTCATCAAGAGCAGAAGGAAATGCCTGACCTTGAGCAAAGACCTATGATTGTGTAGTGAAAAACACAGGGTGCAATTTTATCTTTTCTAAAGGCCAGTGATAAGGTCTTTTGTTCTTTTGTTGTTTCTAGAGGCTTTCTGGGAAGGGAATTCATGGCAAATGCTACTGTGGGAATGGTAGGACATTTTAAGGACATAGTGATTTTACATAGACCTATAAGTGGGTGGTGAAGTTTTTGCACAAATCTTTTAAAGTACTTGTAACTACTTTTTAGTCTATTTATTGATGTGGACTTACCCTGGCTCTTTTCCAGATTTAGAATAGTATCAGAAGGAATGTGGATCTATGGCAAGTTTTCACATAATTAAACATTAGAGAAACTTGAAACAGATTCATTAAAGTGGATTGATTATCATACTTGATTTTCTAACTAGTTTTCAACCAAGTTTAATGTTGTAACCTTTAGGAAAATACCGTACTGCATGTTTTCCTTTGTGGAAAGCCGCAGTTGCTGAATTCTTCGAGGTCATGTACGATGGTATGAAGCTACACCAGGGATATGCTCTGTATTAGGAATGGTGCTCTCAGCCTATCATGAAATATGTCAGTTTAAAATAGCTCTACCTAAAAGCTGTTCAAATGACATATACAAAAGGGAAAAGAAAAGTTAAATACCCTGGGGAACTGCGATGCTTAACTCAAAGGAGTGGTAAGGCCTATTTCACTTACCCTTTCTTCTGTTATTCTGTCAATCTTCACAACTGTATTTATTTTTAGAATCTTATTCTATAAATTTATGCCTTGTTGCTGCCTTTATTCCCCTTTATGTCATCTGTTAAAAAAGTCAAGCAGTAGATTTTCACTCATACGAGTAGCCAGCATGTTTATTATGGATATTTTTGTAGTTTGTCCTTCAGATGGCCCCAAATCAATAATTTACACCAGCAAAATCAAGCTTCAAATCATATTCCTGCAAGCTGAAGGATATCTCAAAGGGTTCCTTAGCTTCTGTTGCCCAAGATGCTTATGTGTGTAGCAGTCAGCTATCAGCTGTAGTGTTTCTCTTCCTTCCGATCTAGGAAAGGTTGGTTCAAACCTCAAATATCTTATCCTGTGGCAGTCTCTAAGATCTCTGCAAATTTCCAGAGGATCTTTTGTTTTATAGAAATTCTGGCATGGAAAGTTTTGGTCCCTGTATTTGTGACCCAGTGTACAATCGTTAAATGCTATCTCAGTTCTTTACCACGTAGACATAGATGTAAATCTTTGTGCTTTTCTTAATTTCCTCAAAAGGTTTCCACCAGGCAACTTATGTGCCTGGTAGGTTTAACTGAAAATTTGGGAGTGGCAGTGGCCTTGGGGAGACAGAATTGGCATTTATTTTTCAGTAACACAACTTCAAGTTGAACACTGCACATTAACCAGTTTTTCCTCCTCCTCTGTCTTTTCTTTTCCCCCCGTTCTTCTCCATCCCATCCCTGCAGGAGCAAAATTACTCTTGTTTTATCTCAAACACAGCAGTTCAGCCACCCCGAACCCTACAAACATTCATGCTGTTAGATTTCACCTCCCTCTCTAGGTGGGGCATTGCAAATAAAGACATTTTCTTCTTTAAAAGATGTTCTTGTATCCACTCTAAAAAGGATACATTATTTTCCACTTCTGATATTCAGATATCACCCAAACAATCAGATTTCTGTGGGGGTTATTATAAAGGTAAAGCTCTCAACAGTGACTGTAATTTTGGAGAACATCAGGCTCTGGTTGAGAGATTCAAAAAGTCCAAGTGTAAAATTAATATGATGTGCAGTATAATTTCATTTAAGGCCAAGTGCCAGTGAATCCATTATGATGCCCTCTTGCTCACTTTTGATTTTTCACAAGAATAGAAAATTATCTGAAAACCAATCCTGTGGTTGATCAATTTATTGGTTTTTCTCTTCTTCTGGGAAATGTATTCTGTCTAAAAAGTGATTTCAGGTATTTGTATTAAGTGGATTATTTGTATTTGTATTAAATGGATTAAAATCTCACTTTCTCCCATGCCAGATAACATTAAGAATATAGGGAAATATAAACTAACTTATTAATTGGCAGGTTGAAATCACACCAGACCTACTCTCTTTGCCTTGAAGATAAACTGGTAATAGATAGGTACATAGATATAGATAGATACATACTCTATTGCAATACATATTTACATATACAGTAAATGTGTATATATGTATGTATATGCATGTATAATGCATATGTGTTTTTATACATATTATATATACACAATATAATATACATATAGTAAATGTAAGCACATATGGGTGTGTGTGTGTGTGTGTATGTGTGTGTGTTGTTTTTTAAAAATTAGGTGCTCAGGCAAAGAGATGTCTACTGAGATAACGCCAGGTGGAAAGGCCCAAGACCTCAGTCCCGCGAGATATTAAAGATGGAACTAGTATTCCTTGTTAACTAAGTTTCTTTAAAGGCCCAGAACTCCTCTTGCTCTAGAATAGGTCTAGCTATGCCTACAGCTTCATTACCTTCTCCAAATCTTGTCTACCCTTAATTTGTCTCAATATTCCCAAGTTATAGTGACTGACGTATTATTAATCCTTAGATTGATATGGTAATCCACTCGTACTCCCTCATACCCTAGGACATTTTGGTGCTTCTAATGAAAAGTTTATGAAAGGGAATACTACGTGGAGTTGATCTAAGATTTTTTTGGTCGATGATCCCATGAAATAAAATATTTGTTATCAAGCCACAAAAAGACATGGGGGAAACTTAAATGCATATTTAAGTGAGATAAGTCAGTCTATAAAAGCTATTATATACACTGTCTGATTTCAACTAAGTGACATTCAACTCCTTTGGGTGAACACAAAGGAGTATGATTTCTGACTCATATGGTAAGAGTATGTTTAGTTTTGCAAAAGGCTTCCAACTGTCTTCCACAGTGGCTGTACCATTTTGCATTCTCATCAGGAAGAAGTGAGAGTTCCTGTTGCTCCACATCCTCACCAGCATTTGGTATTTTCAGTGTTTTTGATTTTTGTGATTCCAGTAAGTGTGCATGCTAAATATTTTCACATACATGATTTAATTTAGTTCTCCAATAATCCTGTGTTGTATATTATTATTCCTATTTCTTTTAAAAATAAGAAAACCAAGATTGAGAAAATTTAGGTGACTTTCTCAACTTTTCAGGGCTGCTAAATTGCAGAGCTGATATTTGAAGCATAAGTGTCTTTTTCTACTCTACTGTATTGTGTTTTATAGAGGTTATCATTTGTTTGTTCGTTTACATACACCAGCACTTGTTTACTCATTTTTGTTACTCCTGGTAGCAGCCCTGATTTTCTTTTGGTGATCCACTGTCCCTGCTTCCCTACTCTTCTTCCCTCTCTCCACCTAGACCATCCTCAGTACATTGGGTTCCAGCAGAAGTGACTTCCCTTCCAGTTCCAAGGGAAGAAACTGGGCCAGGTTTTCTACTGTATTGTCCTGAAAACAATATTTGTTCATGAATGGCTTCATAATTCATGGTAGATTATTTAGAATAAATTTGGCTCAATTCTGTGTGTGTCATCTAATCTTCTGAGGAGGTGAGTTTCCTTTCTTCCCACTGGTCTTACATCTGAGATATTGTGAGGTTGGAGTGGTCATAGCCATCTTCTTTCTCACCATGGTTCAGCAGCCAGGAGACAGGGAAAAGCTGAGTCCTAATGACCTGACTTGATTTCTGATATTAGCATATCTGACGCTAAATCTACGACAGGGAATTACTTATATAAGCCAGGAAATTTATTTACTTTTGAAACTTAAGCTACTTTGATTAAGATTTTTATGTCATTTGCAACAGAAGCTGTCTATCCCAATATTTTTTCCTAGTTTAAGATAAATGTTATGTGAATGTACCTTTGTTAGAGAGCTGTACTTTATATAGGTATAGCCCTTCACGTTTTCATCATTTTTAGGCTCCTTTTTTTCCTGTACCTATTATGTGCTTTTAGATTTGGGTATTCTCAAAACTCTTGTTCTTTTAACCATTTTGTGCACTCTTTCTTTAAGCTGACACATCTACTTCCTTGGATTGATTGGTTTCCAAATAGCTATCTTTAAGCCTGTTTTTCTCCTTAATACCAGACCTCCATTTCCACATATATATCCTTTTTGCATACCAAACGTAATATGTTCAAAACCAAATCATATGTATTTCCCTTCAAAATTATTTATTTTACATTCTTTATCTCTATTGTGAAAGTCATTGTTTGCTTAGTCAGTCAGAAATCCAGTCTAGAAACTTTCGAGAGTCATTCATGTTATTGCATGTATCAGTAGTATATTTTTAAGAATTGCTCAGTAGTGGCCAGGCGCAGTGGCTCACGCCTGTAATCCCAGCACTTTGGGGGGCCGAGACGGGTGGATCACGAGGTCCTGGCTAACACGGTGAAACCCTGTCTCTACTAAAAATACAAAAAATTAGCTGAGCGTGGTGGTGGGCGCCTGTAGTCCCAGCTACTGGGGAGGCTGAGGCAGGAGAATGGCGTGAACCCGGGAGGCGGAGTTTGCAGTGAGCTGGGATCGTGCCACTGCACTCCAGCCTGGGTGACAGAGCGAGACTCTGACTAAAAAAAAAAAAATAATAATAATAATTGCTCAGTAGTTAGTATCCTACAGTTTGTTTAGTCATGTTCATATGTTCATGTTTGAGGGCATTTGGATTGTTTCCAGTTTATGACAATTATGAATAGACTTAACATTGTGTACAATTTCTTTTCTTTCTTTTCTTTTCTCTCTCTCTCTTTTTTTCTCTCCTTCCTTCCTTCCTTTGCTTTCTCATGTGTGTTTTCATTTTTCTTGAGAAAGTACTTAGAAGTGGAATTGATGGGCCATAGAGTATATTGCTTACAAAACTAAAAGAAACTGCCAGACTTTTCTAAAATGTTTGTTTCATTTTCCACTCTCACTGACAATGTATGAAATTTTGGTGCTCCACATCATCACTAACAGTTAGTGTTGTTTCTTTTTTATTTTAGCCATTCTGGTAGTGTGATTTTTTAATTTGTGTTTCTCTGATGATGACTGATACACAGTACTTTTTCATGTGCTTATTGGCCAGCTTTTATCTTTTTTGAGACATTTACAAATCTCTTGCCTATCTAAAAGATTAGAGTGTTTATATTTTGATTTTATTAAGCTTTTGAAGTTTAAAAAATATTTCTAGATACATACCCTTTCTCAGATATATTTTTCAAATATTTTCTCCTGTGACTTGTCTATTGTTTTTTCAATGGTGTATTTTGAGGCCTGAGTTTTTCATTATAATAAAGTCTAATTTAGCATTTTTTAAAAATCATTCTGGCTTTCTGCATCCTATCTGAGAAACTTTACCTATCAGGCAAATAAGCTTCTATGTAATCTAAAACTTTTATATAGTTTTAATGTTTACATCTAGATTTATGAGCCATTTTGAGTTAACTTTGAGTATAGTGTAAGGTAAGGGTCAAGGTTTATTTTTTCCACGTGGTTATGTAGTGGTACAAACACTATTTATTAAAAGATTTTCCTTCCTTCATCAGATTGATTATGTTCCATTGCCAAAAATCAAACGACAATATACTTGTGAAGCTTTATCTGGGCTCTTGATTCTGTTCTGTTGATCTATTTGTCTACCCTTATACCAGTTACAAATGGTTTGATTACTGTGGCTTTATAATAAGTGTTGAAATTATGTAGTATAAATATAAGTGTTTTTCCTTTTCAGGATTACTTCAGATATTACCTAAAGGTCATTGGCAATTCTATACAAATTTTAGCATTGATATGTCAATTTCTACGAAAAAGGTCTACCGCCATTATGATTTGGGATTAATAAATGTATAGATTTATTCTGGGGGAACTAACATCTTAACAATATTGACCCTTTCAATCTATGAGCATGGTATTTAGGTCTGTCTTCTTTACTTTCTCTCAGCAGTTAATATGGTTTAGCTCTGGCCCCCACCTAGATCTCATCTTGAATTGTTTTTTATTTTTTAATTCTTGTATTTTTTGTAGAGTTGGGGTTTCACTCTATTGCCCAGGCTGGTCTTGAACTCCTGAGCTCGATCAACCTGCCTGCCTCAGCCTCTCAAAGTGTTGGGGTTACAGGTGTAAGCCACTGTGCCCAGCCCTCATCTTGAATTGTGATTCCCATAAATCCCACATGTCAAGGGTGGGACTTGGTGGGAGATGATTGGATCATGGGGGCAGTTTCCCTCATGCAGTTCTCATGATGGTGAGTGAGTTCTCACGAGATCTGATGGTTTTATAAGTGTTTGACCGTTCCTCCTGCACACACGCTCTGTCTCGCTTGTTACCATGTAAGATGTGCCTGCTTCCCCTTCTGCCACGATTTAAGTTTCCCGAGGCCTCCTCAGCTATGTGGAACTGTGAGTCAATTAAATCTCCTTTCTTTATAAATTACCCAGTCTCAGGTAGTATTCCTTATAGCAGTGTGAAAATGGACTAATATAGCAGTATTGTGTAGTTTCAGTGTAGAGGTCTTTTGTTAAACTTATTCCTAAGTATGTTATGTGTTTTGATGGTATTGTAAAAGGTATCTTAAAAATTTTCATTTTCCAATTTTTGAAGCATATGTATATATAATATTAAGCTTGTATTCTGTGACATTGATAAATTCATGTATTACTTCGTGAGTTACATTGTAGATTGTTTAGGACTTACTACATGAACATTCTTGTCATCTGCAAATAGAGACAATTTTACCTCACTCTTTCTGAAGTTTTGTTTCTTTTTCTTGACTTTTTGCACTGAAGACCTCATCTTAAAATACAAATCTAATAGCAACACCCTTCTGCTCAAAAACTTTTGAATGCACCACCATTGTCACCAAGATCAAATATAAACTCCTGCTTCCAGACTTTCTCCTGCTTTAACTTCCCCTGAACAATGTGTTTCCTGGGTCACATTTAGCTACTGTTGATTCCAAGATACACTTTTTTCCTTTACGTACGCAAATAAGATGCATTTCAAAACTGAAATGTAATTTAATGTATTTCTCTCTGCAACATCTCCCAGATCCTATTATGCTGATAGCGCATCGTATGTCAAAGATTAGAAGACAAATAGTACTCAGCATTCCTGGGATATGGTGAGCACATTTACATACTCGTGAGTTTTTGCTCAAACCATTTTATCATATGGAATGTCTTTGCTGTTGAAATTCTGCTCATTCTTCAAGGAACGGTTTACATTCCACACTTTTTTTTCTGAAGCCACTGCTTATTTTGGCAGGTTGAAAATTATTTTCTGTCTCCCTATATTTCTATATAGAATTAATCAAATTTTTACCTTATTATAATACTTATAAATTGTCCTTTGCATATGTTGCATTACATGTCCTAGTCATCTCTCTCTTCCCTGGTTCCTGGCACAGCTGATGATTGTTTCTTGAATACTCCTGTCAATGATTCTCTCATATTCGAATGTTTTATGGGTAGGCAGTCTCAACATTAATAGGAATATATTAGCTTATATAGTCCTGTACTAATAGGACTATATTAACTCATTATGTTAATGAATTGGTTGTGTGAGGCCATTTAATCAAATAATTTGTATTACTAATTGTCTCTAGGCCCAGAGGATCCTGTTGCCTGTGACAAACCCTTGGGGATCATCTTTGACTTCTCCTTTTTTCTCAACCCCTTATCCAATTAGTCTTTAGATCTAATTCTTAAATGCCTCCCCCATGTATCCATTTCTTTCCATTTAACAGCACCTTATTCAGACCACTATAATATTGCCCTAGATTACTGTAACAGATACTTCCTGCTTTCAGGTTAGTCCCTCTTCAATCCCTTTATCTATGTTTCCAGGTGGATCTTTCTATAATGCAAATTTGACCATGATACTCTCATGCCTAAAGCCATTTTAGTGTGCCTGGATCCCAAAGGTTATTTTGACAATTACTTTCCCGCTGTGGAGACTCCATAAAAGACTATTTTCAGATTTCTTCCTTCATTTTGGGGACAGGGTGGAGTGTTTCTCTTCTCTGGTGACAAAGAGATTGCATGATGGAGATAGGCAGCAAGAATAGAGATGGGGGAAGGGAGAGAGGGAGAAGGAAAGAGAATGTCACTGATACTGTAATATTGCTTGTGTCTGTTCTGCATAATCTAGTTTCTAGCAAGGCAATTAGCATGCAGATCAGCTGCACAGGGTCCCACATGCATTAGCAATTGAACACCAGCTTTCCGAACCCTTTTCTGCTTCTTCACAAATCCGCACACCTTCTGGCTGATCTGACATAGCCTCAGTTCAGAATCCATTAACTGGAGATTTAGGCCATGAGCAAAAATAATTGTGCATGCTTATGATTAATGAGAAAGCTATTTCAAAATTACAAGGCACCATACTGGCTAACTACTATTAATTATTTTTATCATTATTATACTGAGAAACCATTTTATCAGACCAGAAGCCATTGGTCAAATTGGCTTAGGTAGAAAGTGTCTGTGCATCATTTTGAAAAGCAAGTGTTTTCTGATGTTTTTGATTTATGAAGATAATCATCATAAACATGGCCAATAGTGTGTGCTTATATTAAATACCCCATTGCAGTAAGTTATTTGAATGTCTTAATTTACTTAATTCTCACAGTAATTGTGTAAAGTAGGTACGATTACTATCGTTCCTATTTTATAGAGGAGAACACTGAGGCACAGGGGTTAGGTCATGCACAGGTGGTAATTGATAGGGCCTGGATTAAAACAGGCAGTCTCATGAGTCCACACTTGAGTTCTTACCCTATACTTACCTATCTTAGGGGAGAGGAGATTACTTATTAGGACAACTCTTTGTTGTCATAGTCAGGAACACCCTGGACTATGCTGTGTGTTGAGAACTAGTAGGGCAGATGGGTTGACTGATTCAGGGCTGCTAAAAAAGAACCAGAAAGACAATATATCCGATACCCATACCTATCTAGGATAAATTCAGTAGTTAATATGATCTAAGAAGTTTAGTGAAATCTAGTTGAATCTGGAAGTTTTCAAGGGTCTAATTTGAGGGAGGATTAGAACACGGTTGTGGGCAATTAGATTACCAGCAAATAAAAACTCTCCAATTTGTAAGCCACAGTGAAGGGAAGCATTCTGGAAGCAGAGTCTGAGAAGAACTTGGCTGTGGCACAGAGCACAGTAGTCTGCTCTACTGGCTTTGGGAATCATACGGAACAGAGACTCAAGCCTGGCTTTACCATTTACACTGTGAATTTGGGCAGTTTTCTTAATCTCTTCAAACTTTAGTTTCCTCATCTGTAAAAAGAGGTTAAACCTCCCTACCTGGAGGGGTTATTGAGTGTATTAAATGAGATGAAGTTTATAAGGCACCCAGCACAGCTCGGAGGCAGAAGTGGGCACTAGGGAAGTCCCTTTTAATGACAATGAACACAATCTGACAATGAAGATAATAAAATACTGGGTACCTAGTTGAATAGTTTGTGGTTCAAGTCTGGATCCAATCCCAAAGGCGAAACAGCATAAGTACTGTGAATAAGGGGTTTAGTAGAAGGCTGGGCAAGCAAACCTGCCACACCTAGCAGATATGGGCTAAGAAGGTTACATCCTGACCTGCCATGGGTATCCTAGGGCCCCAATTTACATCTCCACCACAGGCAAGATGGCAGGCTTTTTGCAGGTACTGACTACTGCTAGAGAAATAGTGCCTATGGTATTGCCAAACACTGGTTGGGACATATGCTGGATTATGTTGTCAAATCTACACAATCATCATTTCGTTCTAAGGCTGGGCCTGTTTCCCAGAATTCCTTTTCCACTATAGGTCAGAGTTAGTGTTTACCACTGGGAGGAACTTGCAGAGATTTGGAAAGCAAAAGTGAAAAGAAGCCATCATTTTTGGGAGCTCTTGACTGCTAGACATGGTTGCTTTGCAGAGCTCTTCCTGAGCTCCCTTTTCGGGTTGTGAAGCCAGAGGTGGTGGTTCCTTGGAGTTCCCCATGAGCCCTGCTTTCTTTACCCACTCTGGCACTTCAAGTTGAAATTATAGTGGCAGTTTCCCTGATCCTCCAGCTGAAGACTCCAGATCTTCACTCTTGTAGTTTTTTCCACTTTCCTGTAACTCCTGATTCCTGTATCAAACCATCTAATACCATGATATTGTAGTAACTCAGTTTTTCTGATTAAAGTGAGAATAACAAAGCCTGTTACTCATTTGCTGCCCATGAGGTGCTTGGCTATCTAGAGGAGGGGTTGGAAAACTTTTTCTTAAATTATGATGTTAAATAGTTTTTGCAGGATATTGCATCTCTGTTACAACAATTCAGCTACTTAGCTCTGCTGTTGTAGTGTGAAAGCAGCCATAGATAATACATAACAAATGAGTGTAGCTGTGGTCCAATGAAACAATTTATGGACCCTGAGATTTGAATTTTATATAATTTTTATATGTCACAAGAGACTATTCTTTTTTTTCCTTACCATCAGAAAATGTAAAATTTATTCTTAGCTCTGAGGCTGTACAAGAACAAGTGGTGAGCTGGTTTGGGCCATAGTTTGCCAACCCTTCATCTAGAGCAGGGCTGATGAAATCAGCCAGACCTGAACATAAACCTTTGCATGTCTCTTACTATGTGATGTTGGGCAATTTATTTAATCTCCGAGCCTCACTTCTAAAATAGGGACATTTACAGAGACAGTATAGACAGTGTAGTGTAGAGTGTTTGTTTTGTGAGGATTAAATAAGGATATACGTAAAATCTTTTGCTGACTATTGGACACATAGCTCATGGTCTATCATTTCTCATTGTTACTGTGGTGCGAGGAGCCACTATTTATTTGGTGCTTGCCATTCACTTACACAATTAAAAGGGAACTGAGGACAGTCTGCAGCCTTTGGGACTTGTACTGGTTTTTGCACAGGAAAGGTAAAATTATATCCAGGGAAAATAACAATGGGAGAACTCTTAAGCCTTTTCAAATTATCTACCACATTTGAATTAAATATGTCAATACAGAATGCTTGTCAGTAATTCAGTCATCAAGCAGATTGTTACTAGCAATTCCTCTGGCACAGCAATGAGAGTTAGGAACAGGGGCATAGGGATTGGAAAGACAAAAGAGGCAGAAGAATGGGAAACTTTAACTTCATTATATGATTGCTTTTACATGGAGGGATTACAGGTGATGGTTAATTTCTTAGTGTGTTTATTTCTCTTCAAATAAAATGTTAAAATTATGCTGTGGACGAATATCTAAAGATAATTCTATAATAGAGCAAGAAAACATTATATTATAAATTATATAAGCCAAGACTATGGTGTCAGACTGCAAGATTGGCCCACCTATCCTCAACAGTGGCTCGGCCAATTTAGGGAACAGGTGCCTCCAGATAATCGACTCTGTGGTCGATTATCTGTACCTGGATGTAACGAACACGGACCCTGCTCTTTAGGACAGTCAGTTTTTTGCAGTTTGTTCCCAGCGTCACATTTGGCCACACTATGGTAGAAAGCCTTCAAAAGCAGCCAGGTCAGGACTCTTTTCTTTGACATGCACATGAGAGGGTTTAGGCTGTAAACAGTGGGTAAAGCCAATGGCCAGAGGAGGCGCCAATCAGCACACCACCTTTCATCTTGAGGCTACTGAGAACCCAAGGACTTTGATTAAAGACATTTGGGAGAATGGGATGAATGTTGGCCTTGCCATTAAACTGGGAACTACAGTTGAGTATTTGGCACTGTGCACTAATAAAATAGATATGGCCTTGGTAATGACAGTGGAACCTGGATTTGAAGAACAGAAATTTATGAAAGATATGATGCCAAAAGTTCACTGGTTGCAGACCCAGCTCCTATCTTTGGATATAGAGGTGATGGTGGAGTAGGTCCTGATATTGTCCATAAGGGTGCAGAGGTAGGAGCTCACATGACTGTGTCTGGCAGTGCCATTATGAGGAGCGAAGACTATAGATCTGTGTCAACCTGTTAAAAATGTCTGCATGGAAGCTGCTCAGAAATGTTCTCTCTTTTTTTATTTTTATTTTTTTGAGATAAAGTCTCACTCTGTCATCCAGGCTGGAGTGCAGTAGCACGGTCTAGCTCACTGCAACCTCCGCCTCCTGGGTTCAAGCAATTCTCCTGCCTCCGCCTCCTGAGTAGCTGGGATTACAGGAGCCTGTCACCACGCCTGGCTAATTTTTTGTATTTTTAATAGAGATGGGGTTTTCCCATGTTGGCTAGGCAGTCTCGAACTCTGACCTCAAGTGATCTGCCCACCTCGGCCTCCCAAAGTGCTGGGATTACAGGTGTGAGCCACTGTGCCCGGCCCAGACATGTTCTCTTGATTGGTGAAAACACAAGGAGCTCAATGTTTCTGCTCATGAAATCTTTTCACTGGATAACAGGAATATTGACTGGCAAACCATATTGTAATTGAGGCAGTGCTGCTTTTCTGACCAATTATTTATTCCAATGATTAAAATCTATGGTGTAGAATGTTCTGAGATTAGAAATTGGTGTGTATAACTACATTTTTAATGATGCAATTTGAAGATCAGTGTGGTGAAATACTCAGTTTTTACTGGAATACTTGATTTTTATAAATAGTAATACATGGCTGTATTAAGGTTACAAACAGAAATGTGTCTTAATGACTAATGAGGGCATATTGGCTACTATAAAAACAACTTTTTTCTGTATTTCTAAAAATAATTTTCTGTTTTTCCTCAGCTTTTTTCCAAAAGCAAAGGAAGTCTTTATGTTTTTCTTATTTCATGTTACTTTTGATTTATTCATATGCTTGATAAAATGAGTAAAGTAGAATTTTAAAATATAAGCTTGGGTGGGATGGCATATCATATTTTTGCATCTGAACATTTATTTTTCCCTTTTCATCTTATAGTTGATTAATAAAAACTATAAAACAATATATGAAGCCCAGGGATTCTAAAATACAGCATAGATCTTATCAGGGTGTTTTCTTTGTCAAAATAGGTTATTCATTGATTCCTCCCCATCCCAAGTTTTCTTAGTCTCACCCACCATTCTTAATGATATTAAATAAGGCTGTTGTGTTAGCTCTGAGTGGAAGGGAGAAGTAAAGCCTCTATTTGGAAGCAATATTGGGTTGAGTCCCACCTGCCCCCTCTAGCTATTTGACCTTTATCAAATTACCTAACTTTTTTTGCAGTTCTCTTAACTCCTTTATATACTGAATGTAATTATAAAAACTGAGGGGTTGTGTTGAGAATTAAGAGGTAACACTATATATTAAAAGCTTCTAGTACTATTTCTAGAATTTAGAGGATGTTACATTCAAAGTGGCTAGCATTATATAAATTTATGTTTTGTGGGTTATAAAGTATTTTGATATATTCTCCTTAAATCTATAAATCACACCTGTAAGCGGTGATAGGGCAGATATTTTGTTCCTCATGTAAAAAATGAGGAAACGAAAGCTCAGCAATAGGATGGCACTGTGGAAAGAATTCAGCAAGGCACAGGATTTCTGGTCTGTACTCTTTTTACAAACAGAGCCCTTGGGAAGTAGGTATGGCAAAAGAAGCTTCTTTTAGTTAATAATGTCTTATTTCCAGCCTAACTTTACCCTGTACCTGAACCAGATGGCTGAGAATATTCTGGAAATGTGGATCTTGACCCTAAAGGATATGTATTTTATTCCAAGAAAGAACAGGCAGGCTAAAAGATGACAGGGTACAGAGTTAATCCACAAACTAAATTTTTATAACTGTGTTCAAAATTATACAGTGACTACCAATATGTGTCAGCTACTTCAGCGTTGTAAATACTATTGCTATGTAATAAATATGGCAAAAAATGCCAGGACCAGTATCATTAAACTTCTTGAGGCTACTGTCAGTTTTGAGAAATAAGGTTTGAAAAACAAGAGTGCCAACATTTTAGCATAGAATAGCATTAAAAAACCCTTTCTTGGTTGTTTTTTTTTTTTACATTACAAGGTAAAAATTTATTAATGTTTGTTTTTATTTTAGCTTATGAAAGATTTGCACGATGAATAATAGGAGACATTTAATCAAATCAAACAATATGAAGCATGTAGAAACAATTTAATTAAAAGCTTATATAGAAGATGATAATATCAGATGTGATAAAGATATGAGTTTATTTGCCTGGAAAACTTGGATTTGTCTTTTGTTTTCTTTTTTTTTTAAATAAATGTACAGTAAAACTACCAAAAAATAAATTATATAAGCACATCTAAAAAGAAGTGTAAAAAACATTCTAAAGTGTTAAAACTAGTTTGGCTACTGTTTATCCTTCAGCTTTCATCTCAAATGTCATACTTCCCATAAGAGAATTTTCTTGATCTTTCTATCTAAAATAGCCACCCACCTTCATCCCTCAGTTACTGTGTCTTATTACAACTACTTTCATTCTTCATAACACTTATTACTATCTGACATGATTTATTTACCTGCTTATTGTCCATCTTTCTTCCACTAGAACTTAAGTTCCAGGAAGACAGAGGCCCTCCCTGTTTCCATGTGTTTTAGAATGGCATGCTTTTGACAGACAGCTTACCCCACCTTTACTGGGCAGGAAAGAAAGTAAAGCATCAGTGTTCTAGAAGGTCAGACTGCTACAGCAGCTGCTGCTGGGATAGCAGTCTTCTTTGTGCCTGGCTGTATTCATGTTTTTTTCCTTGCTAACTTTTAAGGAAGAGGAAGCATCTGGAAAATTGGCCTGACCACAGAAAATAATAAAGCACTTGTACTTAAGGCAGATGGTATTGTCAAATAACAACATCTGCAGGTGAAAAATCCAGCTGACAACAGGGGTAACTGTCAAAATATTTAAAGACTGTCCATGTCATTTACTGCAAATTAGATCTTCATCCCTGCTGAATGTATGATTCAGTCAGCAGATAATGATTGACTTTTCCCTCTGTGCGTAGAGAATTCCTGGACTACTTTCACCCACTGGAAATTAGAATTGGCTTCAGTGCTAGGCTCTTTTTGTGGGCCCCAAACAGGAGTGTTTCCCTGAAAAGCTTTTTTAAGATGATCACACCTTAGGAAAGAAATGCTTTTAATATATTAAGTTTCAGTGAGTATGTTTAGCAATAGACTTGCTGGAAGCCTCCAATCTGCTTTTCTTCCAAAGGGCTATATCTTATTATCTTTAAAATCATCTTCAATTATCCTGTTAATATCCTGGAAATGAGGCAGAATGGTTAGAACCACAAGATATTTCACCCTAGAAGACTTGGCCTTGCTGACTAATGCATTTGTTTGTTCAATTAGAGGAAGGAAAGGAAGGCAGAATAGAAGGCTGCCCAAATTAAACCCTTCATATAGATTAACTCATGGGTATTGGATGACTCCTAATTGCTTTTCAAAAGAAGACCCACGGTTTATTGCATTTGAGTCCTCACACACCGTTGGGTTGTGTATGCTTCTCTGGTGTCTATAAGCTGATTAGTGTTTTTGCTTAGGTAAAAATGAGCCTACATTTTATCTGCTGTTTCTTCCGAATAGGAAATATATTCTGATATCTCAAAGCTATTCCTGTCTCATGTGGGAGTTGGTCTCGTATAGAGAGGAAAATATGTAGGAAGTTGATTCTTTGAGGCTGACTAGGGGAACTAGTTTAGACGTTTTTTCTTTTTTACCCTATGAACCAGAGCGAGCAAGACCACAAATTCAAAATGGTATTATTGTAGGATCTTTTGAGAAATCCTAATCGTAGAATACTGCAGCCCCCAAAGTTTAGAAAATTCTGTTTTCCTCTCAGACTGGTTCCAGTTAAGTAAGAGGCACTTTAAGAACAAAAATCTAGGGGCAGACTTGGTCTAAAGCAGCCTCATTTTTTTTTTAATTATTATACTTTAAGTTCTAGGGTACATGTGCACAATGTGCAGGTTTGTTACATATGTATACATGTGCCATGTTGGTGTGCTGCACCCATTAACTCGTCATTTACATTAGGTATATCTCCTAATGCTATCCCTCCCCGCTCCCCCCACCCCACGACAGGCCCCGGTGTGTGATGTTCCCCTTCCTGTGTCCAAGTGTTCTCATTGTTTAATTCCCGCCTGTGAGTGAGAACATGCGGTGTTTGGTTTTTTGTCCTTGCAATAGTTTGCTCAGAATGATGGTTTCCAGCTGCATCCGTGTCCCTACAAAGGAGATGAACTCATCCTTTTTTATGGCTGTATAGTATTCCATGGTGTATATATGCCACATTTTCTTAATCCAGTCTATGATTGATTGGCATTTGGGTTGCTTCCAAGTGTTTGCTATTGTGGATAGTGCCACAGTAAACATATGTGTGCATGTGTCTTTATAGCAGCATGATTTATAATCCTTTGGGTATATACCCAGTAATAAGATGGCTGGGTCAAATGGTATTTCTAGTTCTAGATCCTTGAGGAATCGCCACACTGTCTTCCACAATAGTTGAACTAGTTTACAGTCCCACCAACAGTGTAAAGGTGTTCCTATTTCTCCACATCCTCTCCAGCACCTGTTGTTTCTTGAAAAAGCAGCCTCACTTTATATGGCTTTATTTTATGGGTCTTACTGTCCCCCAAACTTTTATTCTTACATTAGGAAGTATGACAGAAAAGATTGTGGCATTGATATTATATATAAAGAAAGGGATTTCTTTATATATAATATCCTGAAACCAGATGCCTTTTTAAATTTTAATTTTTTTAAATTTTAATTGATAATAATTGTACATGTTTATGGGATACATGTGATATTTTGATACATGTATACAATGTGTAATGATCAAGTAAGATCAAACATTTATCAATTCTTTATGTTGATAACATTCAAAATTCTTCTAGCCATTTTGAAATATACAATAAATTATTGTTAACTACAGTCACCCTGCTGTGCTATAGAACACTATAAATTTTTCCTTCTATTTAACTGTAAATTTGTACCCATCAAGCCTCTAGTAACTACTATTCCACTTTCTACTTTTATGGGATCAAGGTTTTTAGCTCCCACATATGAGTGAGAACATGTGTTGTTTGTCTTTCTGTGTTTGGCTTATTTCACTTAACACAATGTCCTCCAGGCTCATTCATGTTTCCACAAATGACAGGATTTCATTCTTTCATTCTGTAGGCTTTTTCACTGTTATAAGTAATCTAGGGATAATTTAAAGTATATAGGAGGATGTAGATAGGTTATATGCAAATACTACACCATTTTGTATACAGTACGTGAACATCACATGAATTTTGATATGTGTGGGGGTCCTGGGAACAATCCTCCGTGGATACTGAGGGACAACTGTAGTTGTGTCTTGCTTTTTTTAAAAAATACATTCAGCCATTTTATATCTTTTAATTGGGGATTTTAATCCATTTACATTCAAGATTATTATTGATAGATATAAACTGACTCATGCCATTTTGTTTATTGTTTATTGTTGTTTTGTAGATCTTTTTTTCCTTCCTTCTATCTTGCTTTTTTTTGGTTTTTATTTTTTATTTCAATAGGTTTTTGGGAACAGATGGGGTTTGGTAACATGAGTAAGTTATTTAGTGGTGATTTCTCCGATTTTGGTGCACCCACCACTCAAGCAATGCATACTGTATGCACTGTGTAGTCTTTTATCCCTTAGTGCCCTCCCACTCTTTCCACCAAGTCCCCAAAGTCCATTGTATCATTACTATGCCTTTGCGTCCCCATAGTGAGAACACACAATGTTTGATTTTTCATTCTTGAGTTACTTCGCTTAGAATAATGGTCTCCAATTCAATCCAGGTTGCTGTGAATGCCATTATTTTATTCCTTTTTATGACTGAGTAGTATTCCATGGTGTACTTATATATCACACTTTCTTTATCCATTCACTCATTGATGGGCATTTGGGCTGGTTCCATATTTTTGCAATTACAAATTGTGCTGCTACAAACGTGTGTGCAAGTATCTTTTTTCATATAATGACTTCTTCTCCTATGGGTAGATACCCAGGAGTGGGATTGTTGAATCAAATGGGAGATCTACTTTTATTTCTTAAAGGAATCTCCACACTGTTTTCCATAGTGGTTGTACTAGTTTACATTCCCACCAACAGTGTAAGATTGTTCTCTTTCTCCCACATCAATGCCAACATCTATTATTTTTTGATTATGGCTATTCTTGGAGGAATGAGATGAT
Organism: Homo sapiens; assembly: GCF_000001405.40. Lineage (NCBI taxonomy): Eukaryota > Metazoa > Chordata > Mammalia > Primates > Hominidae > Homo > Homo sapiens. The sequence continues at coordinate 26,022,515 of NC_000003.12, forward strand.
ATTGCATTGTAGTTTTGATTTGCATTTCCCTGATAATTAGTGATGTTGAGCATTTTACCATACACTTATTGGCCATTTGTGTATCTTCTTTTGGGAATTGTCTATTCATGTCCTTAGCCCACTTTTTGATGGGATTGTTTGTTTTTTTCTTGCTGATTTGTTTGCGTTCTTTGTACATTCTGGTCGTTAGTCCTTTGTCAGATGTGTGGATTGTGAAGATTTTCTCCCACTCTGTGGGTTGTCTGTTAACTCTGTTGATTGTTTCTTTTGCTGTGCAGAAGCCTTTTAGTTTAATTTAGTCCACCTATTTATCTTTGTTTTTGTTGCATTTGCTTTTGGGTTCTTGATCATGAAGTCTTTGCCTGAGCCAATGTCTAGAAGTGTTTTTCTAATGTTATCTTCTAGAATCTTTATGGTTTCGGGTCTTAGATTTAAGCCTTTGATCCATTTGATCCATCTTAAGTTGATTTTTATATAGATGAGAGATGAGGATCCAGTTTCATTCTTCTACATGTGCCTTGCCAGTTATCCCAGCACCATTTGTTGAATAAGGTGTCTTTTCCCCACTTTATCTTATGTTTGCTTTGTCAAAGATCAGTTGGCTATAAGTATTTGGCTTTATTTCTGGGTTCCCCATTCTGTTCCATTGGTCTATGTGCCTATTTTTATACCAGTACCACACTGTTGCGATGACTGTGGCCTTATAGTATGGTTTGAAGTCGGGTAATGTGAAGCTTCTAGATTTGATCTTTTAGCTCAGTCTTGCTTTGGCTATGCAGGCTCTTTTTTTGGTTTTATATGAATTTTAGGATTTTTTTTTTCTAATTTTTTGAAGAATGATAGTGGTATTTTGATGGAAATTGTGTTGGTTTGTAGATTGCTTTTGGCAGTATGGTCAATTTTGCAATATTGATTCTACCCATCCATGAGCATAGGATGTGTTTCCATTTGTTTATGTCTTCTATTATTTCTATCAGCAGTGTTCTGTAGTTTTCCTTGTAGAGGTGTTTTACATCCTTGGTTAGGTATATACTTAATTTTTTTTGTAGCTATTGTGAAAGGGGTTGGGTTGAGTTCTTGATTTGATTCTCACCGTAGTCATTGTTGGTGTATACTAGAGCTAATGATTTGTGTACATTAATTTTGTATCCTGAAACTTTGCTGAATTCATTTACCAGTTCTAGGAGTTTTATATGAATCTCTAGGGTTTTCTAGGTATATGATCATATCATAAGCAAACAGCGACAGTTTGACTTCCTCTTTATCAATGTGGATGTCCTTTCTTTCTTTCTCTTTGTCTCATTGCTCTGGCTAGGACTTCCAGTACTACGTTGAACAGAAGTGGTGAAAGTGTGCATCCTTGTCTTGTTCCAATTCTCAGGGGGAATTCTTTAAACTTTTCCCTGTTCAGTATAATGTTGGCTGTGGGTTTGTCATAGTTGGCTTTCATTACCTTAAGGTATGTCCCTTCTAAGCCGATTTTGCTGAGGGTTTTAAGCATAAAGCGATGCTGGATTTTGTCAGATGCTTTCTTTGTGTCTATTGAGATGATCATGTGATTTTTGTTTTTAATTCTGTCTATATGGTGTATCACATTTATTGACTTACATATGTTAAAGTACCCCTGAATCTCTGGTATGAAACCCACTTGATCATGCTGGATTATCTTTCTGATATGCTGTTGGATTCAGTTTGCTAGTATTTTGTTGAGGATTTTTGCATCTATGTTCATCAGGGATATTGGTCTGTAGTTTTCTTTTTGTGTTATGTCCTTCCCTGGTTTTGGTATTAGGGTGATACTGGCTTCATAAAATGATTTAGGGAGGATTCCCTTCTTCTCTATCTTTTGGAGTAGTGTCAATAGGATTGGCACCATTTCTTCTTTGAATGTCTGATAGAATTCAGCTGTGAATCCATCTGGTCCTGGAATTTTTTTCGTTGGCAAGTTTTTTATTACCATTTCAATCTCGCTGCGTGTTATTTTTCTGTTCAGAGATTCTGTATCTTCCTGGTTTAATCTAGGAGGGTTGTATATTTCCAGGAATTTATTTATCTCCTCTAGGTATTCTAGTTTATGTGTGTAAAGGTGTTCATAGTATCCCTGAATAATCATTTGTATTTCTGTGGTATCAGTTGTAATATCTTCTGTTTTGTTTCTAATTGAGCTTATTTGAATCTTCTCTCTTCTTGGTTATTCTTGCTAATGGTCTATCAACTCTCTTTTCAGAGAACCAGCTTTTTGTTTTATTTATCTTTTGTATTTTTTTGTTTGTTTGTTTCAATTTCGTTTAGTTCTGCTCTGATCTTTGTTATTTCTTTTCTTCACTGGGCTTGGGTTTGGATTGTTCTTGTTTCTCCAGTTCCATGGGGTATGACCTTAGATTGTTCATTTGTGCTCTTTCAGATGTTTTGATGCAGGCATTTAATGCTACGAACTTTCCTCTTAGCACTGCTTTTGCTGTATTCCAGAGGATTTGATAGGTTCTGTCACTATTATCATTCAGTTCAAATAATTTTTAAATTTCCATCTTGATATTATTGTTTACCCAATGATCATTAAGGGCAAGTTATTTAATTTCCATGTATTTGCATGGTTTTGAGGGTTCCTTATGAAATTAATTTCCAATTTTACTCTACTGTGGTCTTAGAAAGTTCTTGATATAATTTTGATTTTCTTAAATTTAGGGAGACTTGTTTTATGGTCTATCATATGGTCTATCTTGGAGAATGCTCCATGTCTTTGGCTCTCAGGGTGGGCAGAAAAAGACCACCAGGTGGGAGCAGGGATAGGTATGTCTGAGCTCAGCCTCTCCTTTGGAGGGGCTTGCTGTGGCTGTCGTGGAGGATGGGGGTGTGGTTCCAAGTCCAGTGGAGTTATATTCTCAAGGGGATTATGGCTGCCTCTGCTGAGTCACACAGGTCACCAGGGAAGTGGGGGAAAGCTGGCAGTCACAGGAGTCATCCTGCTCCCATGCAGCCTGCAGTCCTAAAGGCTGGTCTTTCTCCCACCATGCCCTCCCCTCTCAACAGCACTGAGTCCATTTCCAGGCAACCGGTGATGAGGGCTGAGAACTTGTCCCAGACCACCAGCCTCTCCATTGAGAAAGCAAACTGACTCGCAGTTTTTCGGCATCTCAGGGAGCCTGCAGTGGTGATCCAGTTCCTTCATGGATTCTCTTGGCTTTCCTGGAATGTTCCTGTGGTAGTTCTTGGAGCAAAAGTTCATGATGTGAGTTTCCACACACTGCTGTGTCCATCCGAGCAGGAACTGCAAGCTAGTCCTGCCTCCTGTCTGCCATCTTAATCTTCTTGCTTTCTTTGTGATTTGATGGCTTTCTGTAGTGGAATGCTTTAGTTCTTTTCTTTTTATCTTTTGTGTATCTATCATAGGCTTTTGCTTTGCAGCTACCCAGAGGCTTATATAAAGCATTTTACAGCAGGGTAATTTAAGCTATAATAGCTTAATTTTGACCACATACACAAATTCTCTACATTTACCCCCTTTCTTTTCATGTTTCATGTTTTTGATACCACACTTCACATTTTTTATAATATATATCCCTTAGCAAATTATTGTGGCTTTAGTTGTTATTAATAGTTTTGTACTTTGACATTTATAGTAGAGATATAATTGATTTACTCACTGCAGTTTAAGTATTAGGGTGTTTTGTATTTGACAATGTATTTACTTTTACTAATGAGTTTTATATTTTCATATAATTTTATGTGACTTATCAGCATCCTTTTCCTTCAGCTTGAAGAACTTCCTTTAGCAATTTTTTTTTTGGTAATGCATGTCTAGTGGTGATAAACTTTCTCAGCTTTTGTTTGTCTGAGAAAGTCTTTATCATTCCCTAATTTTTGAAATAAAGGATTGCTGAGTATAGTATTCTTCATTGCCAGTCTTTTTCTTTCAGGATTTAAAATACATCATCCCACTCACTTTTGGCTTGCAAGGTTTCTACTGAGAAGTCCTCTGATAGTCGTGTGTGTGTGTGTGTGTCTGTGTGTGTGTGTGTGTGTGTGTGTGTGTAGGTGGGGGGGTATCCCTATATGTGATGGTTTGCTTTTCCCTTGCTTCTTTCAATATTCTTCCTTTGTCTTTAACTTTTGACAATTTGACTATGATTTATTACATATGTCTTTGGATTTAACTTATTTGGTGTTGTATGGGCTTCCTGGATCTAGCTTTCTAATTCCCTCTCCAGAGTTGGGGAGTGTTCTGCCATTCTTTCTTTGAATATATTTTCTGACCCTATCTTTCTTTTTCTTCTGGCGTGCCAGTAATGCATAAGTTATTATGCTTGATGGTTTCCCATACTCTTTTTCATTCTCTTTTCTTTTTGCTCCTCAGATTGGATGATTTCCAGTGAGCTATCTTCAGGTTCACTATCTTTCCTTCTTCCTGATCTAGTCTGTTGTTGAACCCCTTTACTGAATTTTTTCAGTTCAGTGATAACATTCTTCAGGTCTCTGGTGTCCATTTGGTGCTTGTTTATACTTTCTCTTTGCTCAGATTCTCAGCTTGTCCTAACATTGCTGTCTTGACCTCTCTTACACTGCTGTCTTGACCTCTGTGGAGCATCTTTATGACCATTGTTTTGAATTTCCTATTGCTGAATTCATAAAACTCCACTTCATTTGTGTTGGCTTCTGGACATTAATCTTGTTTTTTGCTTGGAATTTCTTTTCATTTTCCTTGATTGTCTGTGTTGATTTCCACACATTAGAAAATACACCTACCTCTTTATGTCTTGTTAGACCAGTTCTTGTGTAGGAGAAAGTTTTCACTAATCTGTCTGGCCAGAGATTTTAAGGTGCCTCTCTAATTTTTGTGTTTGTCCAGACCACTATCTTTGTTTTTAGTGGCCCTCTGAATCTTAAGGATGTACTACATATTGCCAGTACCCCAAGACTCATATGATAGAAGCAAGACATTTTAGTTATAGTTGGAAAGGTGAGGGGGGTGTTGAATATGTGTTCTAGTTCTTTCTATCTTCATGGTGGGGCTGGGTATGGGTGTTTATTTCCTACTCTTTCTGTACTAAGCTGGGGGAGGATTTTTGGAAAAAGCCTGAGCTCACATTTGGGCTATACCTTCTGATCCTTGAGGAATAACTTCTGGGTGTGGGTCCATTCTACTTTCAGTTACTTGTTTTCTGTCATCCTGTGTCACTCAGATTGGAAAGCCCCCTTAACTACCACAGCTAGGTCATTGAGATGACAGTCCCTTAGGTGGGAGTTATTAAAATTGTAGCACTTGGTGCATAGCCAAAATCCTTTCAAAAATAATAGGTAGGCTTGTACTTATTTTTGGGATGATCTGGGAGGAAGTCTTATGAAGAGCCAAATTCTGTACCAAAGGGCTATTTTTTGTTTGCACTGTTAGCTCTTTGATATATGTTCATGGGAGATTAAACCATCAAGTAGTCCATGAGAGTCTGTGTCATAATCTTTTTCCAGGGAGAAAGTGAGAGCTACACGTTCATGCCCCATTTCTGCATTGCTTCAAGGAACTACAGCCCCTGGAAATGTTTGGATGCCCATTTAAAGTCACCTCTTTGTTCTGGGATCAAGGGAGACACACCTATGCCTAGTCCCTTCTGTCCTCAGAGCTACTAGGTTTTGGGTGGAGTCTATTGGGATGTAGCTTTACAAATCAGGTTTCTGGATATGTGTCCTAAACTTCTTCTGGGGAGAAATAGGGACTTAGGTTTTTGGGGCCCCTTCTCTGTACAGCTCCAGGGGGATAAAGTCACTGTAGGTGTTCACATACCATTTTAAAATGCTACTTTTTCCTGCATTCTATAGAGATGTGTGTATGTCAGTCCCTTCTGCTCCCAGAGCCAAGAGATTTAGCATGCAGTTCCTAGGTAGGGGCTGCAGTAGTGAGTGAAAATTCTTCCCATGCTTGTGGTGAGTTATTAATTGACTGTCCATTTAACTCTCCAATGCAAGTTAGTTAAAAGTCATTCTGCCTGATTTGCCACTGTAGGAGTGTTTTATAAACCCCTTCTGGGGAGAAAACAGCAGAGGCCTGTGTTTTCTAAGCCCCTTCTCTGCACTGCTCCAGGGGAATGAGGTCCCTGGAAGTACTTGGGTGCCTGTATAAACCCAATTTTCTTACAGTCTAAGGTACCTGCATGTGTCCAATCCCCTCTGTTCTTGGAGCTGGTGAATTAAGAATCAACACCTGGGGAAATTCCAGGTTTGAGCCTGATATGTGAAGTCCAGATGCTCCTCTCCACAGGGAGAAACTGGGTGTTAGGGATTCCTTTGCTGATTTTGTGACACAGTGCCCAAGGTGGGGGTCTATACCCGACTGTGCCTTGGCTTTTCCTACCCACTTGATGTATACGTTTTCTCAGTTGCCCAGTGGGTAGGAGCTCATCCACTGGTCTCTACTTTCTCTCATATGGAATTGACCCATAGATAGATGTTCATTTGGAGCATCGTGGGTGGAGGGAGAGTCAGGAGCTTTCTATCCTGCCATGTTGGTGACCTCATGCCTCAGATTAATTAATTTATTATTTAATTTACCTATCTACCTACCTACATTTTAGACTTGACATGTAGAAAGCTAAAACCCTGAGAAGCTGACAAGTTTGTAAACTTCACAGTCCAAAGAGTCCCGAAGTTAGATTTCTTCTGGCAGCACAGTTTACCAGGTCTTCTAACTTCTCATGCGGCATCAACAACATTTTAGTCCACCTTCCTATTTTCTGTGAACACTCCTAGGAATAGAATTTCCCCTTCAAAAATGTGAAGTCAAACTATGCTTTCCACATTAACATTTCTTGCATTAAAAAAAAACCCTTAGTTTAATTTCTCAATTTCTGATTTACCCAGTTGTCAAAAATAATATTTTCTTTCCTTTAAATGTAAATAATGGTGGAAGAATGCATTTAAAAAGCCAGATTTCAATGAAGTTGATAAGGTCCACAGCAAAGTAAAGAACTAGAACTGTGAGGGCACTTGAGTAAAGCTGGGAGTTTCTCAAGTGTGCTCCGTTTGTGAATTGGAGACAAGTTAAGTCTACAATTACCAGCTTGGGAGAAGTAGTAAGGAAGCTGGCCAGTGTTCAGAACATGTGGGAAAATAGACCATGAAGCTTTTACCTACATATGTGGATCTCTAAATCCCCTTTTCTGTGTGGTGCGGGAACTCCTAGCTAAATAACTTAGAACATGATTGGACACAGGGATCTTGGACAATAATACACACAAACATGAAACTGCCACATAAGGAAACTCAGCTCAAATCATGTGGAAACTCCTTGGAAAACAATTTCTAATCCCATACTTAAAAGTTAACAGTTATGAGAACAAATCAGAGAAATTACAAAAAGCACACCTCAATAACTATAATTTATATAACATTTAAAAAGACATTCTAAAGAAAGAATTTCTATTATAAAAACCAAAAAAGAAAACTTAGGGAAGAACAAATAGAAAATTTTAGAAATGGAAAATATACACTTTGACATAATCTCTATTAATAGTTACATAGATGTGGTAAATTATTGGAAGGTTACATAGGGATAAAAATGGAATTAGAAGATATATATTGGAAATCACTCAGAAGGCAGCACAGAGAGTGGAAAAATGTAAAATGTAAAATGTGAAAGAGAAGCTCAGAGAGATAAGAAAGATAAAATGAGGCACTTTAATATGATAATTCCGTAAGGATAGGATAGAAAGAATATGAGAGAGGCAATATTTGAAGACATAATGGTGGATAAATTCTCAGAATTAAAAAAAAATGAGTGTTGAGATCAAAGGAGTATAGCAATTCCTAAAGAAGAGAAAAACAAAACAGTTTCAAAACCAGACATGTCATAATGAAAATGCAAAACTTCAAAGACAGAAAGAGAATTTTAAAAGCACTCACAAAGACAGATAACCATGAAATCCCAATAATAAGACTGAAAATAAACTACTCATTATCAAAGGTATATTCCATAAGAAAATAAAATGGCTTTCAAATTATAAAGGAGAATAATGTCTGTCTACAATTCTAGAACAAGTGAAACTATCATTCCATGGAGAAGATAAAATGTTATTTTCAAAGTATGGAGATTGAAAAGATTACTACTTACAGAGTGCTCCTGAACCAAACGAAAACAAAACAAGACAAAACTACTAATGGATGTATTTTATTTTACTAAGAAGAAAATGGAACCTAGAGGAAGGTACATGATGCAAGAAGCAAGAGTGAACAAGGCAATAGTAAACATGCTGATAATACTACACAAATATTAGGTATAAAAATAGTAATATTACTCTATGAGAGATGTTTGAAAACAAGGGAGAATCAAATTCCTAGGCAACATCATGGGTGGTAGGGACAGAAGTTCAAATTTAAAGTATTCTAATTTTCTTGTTTTTCTTGGAAAGAGAATAAAGAATTAATTAAGTCTTAAGTAGATAAGCATATTGAACAATTAAAGGTAGTCACTAAAAAGATAGAAATAAGCTCGTCACTAGTAGAAGAATGAAAAGGGAATAACATGGTAGGACGAAACAACATTATTTAGAGTGAGTCAAGCAGATATGCCTGCCCCTAGAGGTAAAGCGGTATGAAGTACACAGAATCATATATGAAGTGAGGTTACCCAAAGTGTTTAACCCAAGTATGATCATGCCTTAGAATTTCCAGCTTACAGGAAATACAGGGACAGAAAACAAGTAAAATGACATAATAGAAAAGCAAACAGATTAAATGGCATTCTACTGGAAAACTGACCTTGGGTCTTGGGGAAAGATGGGCATAGAAAAAAATGAGGGGAGATTAGCTTTAAGAAGTGCAATAAGAAAACATAATATGTGGACTATGTTTAGATCCTCCTTTGAACAAACCAATTATAAAAGGACTATTAGAAGATAATTGGGGACTTCAAATGTGAACTGGAATCTGATAATATCAAGGAACTGGTGTTAATTTTATCAGATGTGCAAAAGGCATGGTAGTTACATAAGAAAATGTTGCATATTTTGAGACGTCTTGGAAGTATGCAGGGATATAATAGTATGATGTGTGCTTTGGCTTTAAAATACTTTAGCAAAAAAGAAGAAGGAATATATAAAGCAAGTGGTTTTGCTAATTGTTAAATTTGGTTGATGGGCACAATGGGATTAGTTATCTCAGGCTCTATACTTTTGTGCATGTGTGAATAGTTTTATCATAAATATTTAAAATAATGTTACAATTCAGAAAGTTTAACAATAAAGAGATGAAAAATTGTATACTAGGAAAATAGTAATAATAAAGCCAGGGTAATAATTTTTGTGTCATATAAAATATAAATTAATGCAAAACCATAAAAGTAATAGAAACATAGCCTAATCATAATAATCTACTCAAGTAGCCATAGCCATCTGTGTGCACTAAACAATATAGCTTTCAAACATATAAATAGCAATTGACAAAATCACAAGAAGAAATTAAAAATTCTGTTATCCAGAGCAAGACCATAATGAATTCATTCAGAAATTTACAAGTCACAGTGACAAAACATTTTGATGGATATTTAAGAATTCAGTGACAGATTTAACAACCTGCTAATAGAGATATATGACTTTTTATCATCTATATATATAGATGGATATATATATAATATATATATATTTAAAGACACAGAATATATTTTTAATAATTGGCTACAAAAGAAGTCTTAGTGACACTCTAAGAATATACACTATTAACATCATTCTCCCTGAATACAATGTAATAAGATTAGAAATGAATAATAAAAAGGCAATAGAAACCCATGACTTAGACACTAAACTGCACTTGTAAATAGTTATTGTAAATAAAGCATACTTTAAATAATGCACAGATAACTAGAAATAAAAAGGAGGCATAACTACAGATAAAGTGGCTGTGTAAAAAACTGTGAAAAAATTAATCATTTTATAATAAAATTTTGGATAACTTTGAGGCAATTGATTAGTTTTTAGAAAAATAAGTTGCCAAGATTGGCTCATCAGGAAATAAAGTTGAATTAATCAAATGGCAACTAAAGACATGAATTGTTGTCCGATTTCCTTTCTTCTTTCACCCTTGTTTAAAGGTACCAAGCGGGGGTTTTATATTATGAAACTTTCAGAAATAATCTTCTTTTAATATAAATTTTTCCAGAGAAAATGCTTTCCAACCAATTTTAAACTCATGTAAACTTTTACCAAAATTGAACAGACTATAAAAAGGAAACTGGTTTACAGAGATAAAAATTCCAAATACCAACAAATTAAACCTAGTAATATATGACATATCTTGATCAAATAAGAGTTTATCCTAAGAATGAAAAAAATTGCTGAACTGTAGGAAATCCATTAATGTAGCACACCTCAAATAATATATTAAAGTAAAAAATTCACAAATATTCATGATTGAAAATTCTTAGCAAGGAGAACAAACTTTACTTGAAAAATTATCTACCAAAAACTTCAAACATATGAATACATCACAATTAATGGCAACAATTTAGGAAATTTTTATTAAAATGAGAAATGAAATAAAGATGCCTCTATCATTACTACTTTCATTTTTGTCCTGGTGGTCCTATCCAATGCAATAGAGTAAGAAAAAGAAATTGGAAGTGTAAGATTTGAAAAGGAAGAGAGTAAATAGCCAAATGTACAGCTGATCAAATTTTAGAGGATCTAACAGGATCTATTGATAACATATTTAAAATTTTAAGACAGTTCAGCAAGTTTTCGGGATTCAGATCAACATTTAATAGTCAACAGTTTTCTGATACTCCAGGAATAACTAATTCAAAAATATAATGAAATTTAAGAACAACCCGATTCATAGTAACAAGGTAACTAGAAATACTTCTAATAACGTTGTGCAAGATCTTGATGGAGAAAATTACAAAATTTATTAAAGGGAATAAACAAGACCTCAATATATGGGAAGACATATTCATACATGAAAAGAGGCCGTGTTTATTTGTAAGTGCAAAGCAATTCCAACAAACATTACAGTACATTTTGTGTGTAAATGTGTGTGTGTGTGTGTGTGTGTGTGTGTGTGTGTCTGGAGGTTGACAAGTAGTTCTTGTGGATGAATAAAAGGCCAAGAATAGCCTATATAATTTTATTGTATTTTAATTTTTTCTTTTTTGTTTGTTATTATATTTTTCTTTTTTAAATTATACTTTAAGTTCTAGGGTACATGTGCACAATGTGCAGGTGTGTTACATATGTATACATGTGCCATGTTGGTGTGCTGCACCCATTAACTCGTCATTTACATTAGGTATTTCTCCTAATGCTATCCCTCCCCTCTTCCCCCACCCCACAACAGGCCCCGGTGTGTGATGTTCCCCTTCCTGTGTCCAAGTGTTCTCATTGTTCAATTCCCACCTATGAGTGAGAACATGCAGTGTTTGGTTTTTTGTCCTTGTGATAGTTTACTGAGAATGATGGTTTCCAGCTTCATCCATGTCCCTACAAAGGAGATGAACTCATCCTTTTTTATGGCTGCATAGTATTCTGTGGTGTATATGTGCCACAGTTTCTTAATCTAGTCTATCATTGATTGGCATTTGGGTTGGTTTCAAGTCTTTGCTAAGAATAGCCTATGTAATTTTAAAGGAAAAAAGGGCAAGAGGTATCTTAATACACCAAATATTTAGGTTTTATAAAAAGATTTGTAGTTAAGACAATATGGTACTAGTGAAATGGTAGTGAAATAGATCATCCACATGGACTAGAGAAGCCAAGAAGCACATCCATGCATATTTGGGAACTTGGTAGTGAGAGTGAAGCCATTGCATATCATTGACAAAAAATAGATGGTACTGTAAATTGTATGAAGGAAGGTAGATTTCTAATACGAAAAATGCAACTTTTGAAAAAAGAAGGATATTGCTATGAACACAGTGTTGGGAATTGTACTTTAATCAGAACTTAAAAAGGCAAAAATTACAAAGGAAAATATTGATATATTTGACTTCATTAAAATTAAAGAACTACATGACGAAAGATAGCACAAATTTTACAATAAACACTAGACTAAGAGAAGAGAAAATATGTATAAAAAGGAAACAATTCTAGAATGTATAAAGAACTCCAACCATTAGTGAGAAAAATGCAAACAACCAAATAAAAGTTGGTATACAATATGAATCCCATGGATAGATTTCAAAACTTTTTTGGAGTGAAAAAAGGAAGGTTAGCTTATAAGTGGGAGCTAAATGATGAGAACATATGGACACATAGAAGGGAACAACACACACTGGGGCCTACTGGATGGTGGAGGGTGGAGGAGGGAGAGGATCAGGAAAAAAAACTAAGGGATACTAGGCTTAATATCTGGGTGATGAAATAGCCTGTACAATAAACACCCATGACACAAGCTTACCTGTGTAACAAACCTGCACTTGTACTCCTGAACTTAAAATATAAGTCAAAATAAAAAGAAAAAAAAGATTGAAAGTACAGAGCGATACCTTACAATATCAATTACATAAAATTTAATTTAAAAACCACTGTGTATTGTTTATATGATTTACATACAAATTGAAAGCATAAATACATGGACTTAATGGCTACTCTCCTGCTTCAAAAGAGTGGTTTTTTGGGGGACAGAGGGAAATAAATCTAGATAGAGTCACGAAGCATAATTCAACTGAATTAATACATTTTAATCTTGAAAAGATAAAATGTATGAAACAAAAAAAAATTAAAATTGAATTCCGGCATTGCTTCTGAGTTAATAAAATGTTAATATTTGTCCATATTTGAGAAGTAACAACCCAGAGGCACCCTTCAGATCTTTGCTTCTGAAATTAGATCTTGAGCCACATCTCAAAAGTGGCCAGGCTGCATGTAACCTGCGTGTTGTGGATTGCTTATTTCTCACTGGCTCAGATCTTTATCTCTGTGAACTCGGTCTAAGCCTCTGCTTCTTGTTGGGGTGAGCCCTGCCTGTACAGTTCTTATAGGACTAGGGTAGAAGGTGGAAGTGTGTCTTCTTTGTAGCCATGGGTGTGTGAAGCCAGAGAAGCCACTAGTCAGTAGAAGCAAGAGGTATGTAGATACTGGAAGCTCTTCCCAGCCTCAGATGCAAGGGGCCCTTTTTATACACGGGTCAGGAGGATCTTTTCCATTTTGACATCATCCTTTGTCTTACAGCACAAAGTCTCCCAGATCTTTCTCCAAAGGCAAGCCAACTGTGTGACCCTGCCCTTAAAAAATATATTTATTTGTATTTTTTTCCATTATAATGCTCTGTCCTTAAAGTGAGGATTCTATGGTTATGGCAACTAGAAATGGAATATACATAAAGCCCTTTAACTCTATCTGGTTATTCTTGTGGTTAAGGTGATGACTGTGTTCTTCCTCTGTTTTGTCTCCCTTCCACAAGGTCTGGTTCACTTAAACAATTTCTCCCAAATTTAGTAGTTAAACTCTTATTTCTTTGGGCCAGATTTATGCCCTTCCCTAGATTCTCTTTCTGATCAAGATTCGCCCTCACAACATCTACTCACCTTTTACAAGTGTTCTCCTAAACTTTTATGTTACAAAAAGTATCCCATTCATGACAGTTCCCTATTTCATTTTCCTTTGTATTGCTTTGCTGCTTTAATACATTACTATCACAAGAATAGTCACATCCTCTATTATTCAAACTTGCCACACTAAACCATGTAAATGTGTAACTTCTAATCCTCTCTTTCCAGGCTAATCTCTTAACCATGCCCTGATGCTGGATTTAGAAATAACATTGTCCCATATCCAGGTAGAGCTGTGACCTAGTTTCTGAGTCCATTGTTTCAAGGTTTGCATGTTACTGTGGTCCTTTTTGATTCATTGCCTCCTGTAATCGACACTCTCCACTATTCTTGCAATAGGCACCAAGGCTCAGGGTAGTTCTCTATATGCCACATCCTGGATATTTCTTTTACTAAGGACTGTTTCCTTTTGTGGGAACACAGATGTGGGGACACATATCCTAGAGATGTCTAGACCAAGAGAATTCCATGTACGGTTTTCTTTCTTTCTTTTTTTTTTTATTATACTTTAAGTTTTAGGGTACATGTGCACAACGTGCAGGTTTGTTACATATGTATACATGTACCATGTTGGTGTGCTGCACCCATTAACTCTTCATTTAACATTAGGGGTATCTCCTAATGCTATCCCTCCCCACTTCCCCCACCCCACGACAGGCGCCGGTGTGTGATGTTCCCCTTCCTGTGTCCATGCGTTCTCATTGTTCAATTCCCACCTGTGAGTGAGAACATGTGGTGTTTGGTTTTTTGTCCTTGAGATAATTTGCTGAGTATGATGGTTCCCAGCTTCGTGTTTGGTTTTTTGTCCTTGAGATAATTTGCTGAGTATGATGGTTTCCAGCTTCATCCATGTCCCTACAAAGGGCATGAATTCATCCTTTTCTATGGCTGCAGAGTATTCCGTGGTGTATATGTGCCACATTTGCTTAATCCAGTCTATCATTGTTGGACATTTGGGGTGGTTCCAAGTCTTTGCTATTGTGAATAGTGCCGCAATAAACATATGTGTGCATGTGTCTTTATAGCAGCATGATTTATAATCCTTTGGGTATATACCCAGTAATGGGATGGCTGGGTCAAATGGTATCTCTAGTTCAAGATCCCTGAGGAATCGCCACACTGACTTCCACAATGGTTGAACTAGTTTACAGTCCCACCAACAGTGTATAAGTGTTCCTATTTCTCCACATCCTCTCCAGCACCTCTTGTTTCCTGACTTTTAATGATCGCCATTCTAACTGGTGTGAGATGGTATCTCATTGTGGTTTTAATTTGCATTTCTCTGATGGCCAGTGATGATGAGCATTTTTTCATGTGTCTTTTGGCTGCATAAATGTCTTCTTTTGAGAAGTGTCTGTTCATGTCCTTCGCCCACTTTTTGATGGGGTTGTTTGTTTTTTTCTTGTAAATTTGTTGGAGTTCATTGTAGAGTCTGGATATTAGCCTTTTGTCAGATGAGTAGATTGCAAACATTTTCTCCCATTCTGTAGGTTGCCTGTTCACTCTGATGGTGGTTTCTTTTGCTGTGCAGAAGCTCTTTAGTTTAATTAGATCCCATTTGTCAATTTTGGCTTTTGTTGCTATTGCTTTTGGTGTTTTAGACATGAAGTCCTTGCCTATGCCTATGTCCTGAATGGTATTGCCTAGGTTTTCTTCTAGGGTTTTTATGGTTTTAGGTCTAACATTTAAGTCTTAAATCCATCTTGAATTAATTTTTGTATAATGTGTAAGGAAGGGATCCAGTTTCAGCTTTCTCCATATGGCTAGCCAGTTTTCCCAGCACCATTTATTAAATAGGGAATCCTTTCCCCATGTTTTGTTTTTGTCAGGTTTGTCAAAGATCAGATGGTTGTAGATATGCGACATTATTTCTGAGGTCTCTGTTCTGTTCCATTGGTCTATATCTCTGTTTTGGTACCAGTACCACGCTGTTTTGGTTACTGTAGCCTTGTAGTATAGTTTGAAGTCAGGTAGCGTGATGCCTCCAGCTTTGTTCTTTTGGCTTAGGATTGACTTGGCAATGCGGGCTCTTTTTTGGTTCCATATGAACTTTAAAGTAGTTTTTTCCAATTCTGTGAAGAAAGTCGTTGGTAGCTTGATGGGGATGGCATTGAATCAATAAATTACCTTGGGCAGTATGGCCATTTTCGTGATATTGATTCTTCCTACCCATGAGCATGGAGTGTTCTTCCATTTGTTTGTATCCTCTTTTATTTCATTGAGCAGTGGTTTGTAGTTCCCCTTGAAGAGGTCCTTCACATCCCTTGTAAGTTGGATTCCTAGGTATTTTATTCTCTTTGAAGCAGTTGTGAGTGGGAGTTCACTCATGATTTGGCTCTCTGTTTGTCTGTTATTGGTGTATAAGAATGCTTGTGATTTTTGCACATTGATTTTGTATCCTGAGACTTTGCTGAAGTTGCCTATCAGCTTCAGGAGATTTTGGGCTGAGACAGTGGGGTTTTTTAAATATACAATCATGTCGTCTGCAAACAGGGAGAATTTGACTTCCTCTTTTCCTAATTGAATACCCTTTATTTCCTTCTCCTGCCTGATTGCCCTGGCCAGAACTTCCAACACTATGTTGAATAGGAGTGGTGAGAGAGGGCATCCCTGTCTTGTGCCAGTTTTCAAAGGGAATGCTTCCAGTTTTTGCCCATTCAGTATGATATTGGCTGTGGGTTTGTCATAGATAGGTCTTATTATTTCGAGATACATCCCATCAATACCTAATTCATTGAGACTTTTTAGCATGAAGGGCTGTTGAATTTTGTCAAAGGCCTTTTCTGCATCTATTGAGATAATCATGTGGTTTTTGTTGTTGGTTCTGTTTATATGCTGTTTATATATGTATATGCTGTTTATATACATTTATATGCTGTTTATATATGTTTACTGATTTGTGTATGTTGAACCAGCCTTGTGTCCCAGGGATGAAGCCCACTTGATCGTGGTGGATAAGCTTTTTGATGTGCTGCTGGATTCAGTTTGCCAGTATTTTATTGAGGATTTTTGCATCAATGTTCATCAGGGATATTGGTCTAAAATTCTCTTTTTTCATTGTCTTTGCCAGGCTTTGGTATCACGATGATGCTGGCCTCATAAAATGAGTTAGGGAGGATTCCCTCTTTTTCTATTGATTGGAATAGTTTCAGAAGGAATGGTACCAGTTCCTCCTTGTACCTCTGGTAGAATTTGGCTGTGAATCCATCTGGTCCTGGACTTTTTTTGGTTGGTATGCTGTTAATTATTGCCTCAATTTCAGAGCCTGTTATTGGTCTATTCAGAGATTCAGCTTCTTCCTGGTTTAGTCTTGGGAGGGCGTTATGTGTCAAGGAATTTATCTATTTCTTCTAGATTTTCTAGTTTATTTGCGTAGACGTGTTTATGGTATTCTCTGATGGTAGTTTGTATTTCAGTGGGATCGGTGGTGATATCCCCTTTGTCATTTTTTATTGCGTCTATTTGATTCTTCTCTCTTTTCTTCTTTATTAGTCTTGCCAGCAGTCTATCAATTTTGTTGATCTTTTCAAAAAACCAGCTCCTGGATTCATTGATTTTTTGAAGGGTTTTTTTGTGTCTCTATTTCCTTCGGTTCTGCTCTGATCTTAATTATTTCTTGCCTTCTGCTAGCTTTTGAATGTGTTTCCTCTTGCTTCTCTAGTTCTTTTAATGGTGATGTTAGGGTGTCAATTTTAGATCTTTCCTGCTTTCTCCTGTGGGCATTTAGTGCTATAAATTTCCCTTTACACACTGCTTTGAATGTGTCCCAGAGATTCTGGTATGTTGTGTCTTTGTTCTCATTGGTTTCAAAGAACATCTTTATTTCTGCCTTCATTTCGTTATGTACCCAGTGGTCATTCAAGAGCAAGTTGTTCAGTTTCCATATAGTTGAGTGGCTTTGAGTGAGTTTCTTAATCCTGCGTTCTAGTTTGATTGCACTGTGGTCTGAGAGACAGTTTGTTATAATTTCTGTTCTTTTACATTTGCTGAGGAGTGCTTTACTTCCAACTGTGTGGTCAATTTTGGAATAGGTGTGGTGTGGTGGTGAAAAGAATGCATAGTCTGTTGATTTGGGGTGGAGAGTTCTGTAGATATCTATTAGGTCCGCTTGGTGCAGAGCTGAGTTCATTTCCTGGATATCCTTGTTAACTTTCTGTCTGGTTGATCTGTTAATGTTGACAGTGGGGTGTTAAAGTCTCCCATTATTGTGTCGGAGTCTAAGTCTCTTTGTAGGTCACTCAGGACTTGCTTTATGAATCTGGGTGCTCCTGTATTGGGTGCATATATATTTAGGATAGTTAGCTCTTCTTGTTGAATTGATCCCTTTACCATTATGTAATGGCCTTCTTTGTCTCTTTTGATCTTTGTTGGTTTAAAGTCTGTTTTATCAGAAACTAGGATTGAAACCCCTGCCTTTTTTTGTTTTCCATTTGCTTGGTACATCTTCCTCCATCCCTTTATTTTGAGCCTATGTGTGTCTCTGTACGTGAGATGGGTTTTCTGAATACAGCACACTGATGGGTCCTGACTTTTTATCCAGTTTTCAGTCTGTGTCTTTTAATTGGAGAATTTAGCCCATTTACATTTAAGGTTAATATTGTTATGTGTGAATTTGATCCCGTCATTATGATGTTAGCTGGTTATTTTGCTCATTAGTTGATGCAGTTTCTTCCTAGCATCAGTGGTCTTTACAATTTGGCATGTTTTTGCAGTGGCTGGTACCGGTTGTTCCTTTTCATGTTTAGTGTTTCCTTCAGGAGCTCTTTTAGGGCAGGCCTGGTGGTGACAAAATCTCTCAGCGTTTGTTTGTCTGTAAAGTATTTTATTTCTCCTTCACTTATGAAGCTTAGTTTGGCTGGATATGAAATTCTTCGTTGAAAATTCTTTTCTTTAAGAATGTTGAATATTGGCCCCCACTCTCTTCTGGCTTGTAGACTTTCTGCTGAGAGATCGCTGTTAGTCTGATGGGCTTCCCTTTGTGGGTAACCCGACCTTGGTCTCTGGCTGCCCTTAGCATTTTTTCCTTCATTTCAACTTTGTTGAATCTGACAATTATGTGTCTTGGAGTTGCTCTTCTCAAGGAGTATCTTTGTGGCGTTCTCTGTATTTCCTGAATTTGAATATTGGCCTGCCTTGCTAGATTGGGGAAGTTCTCCTGGATAATATCCTGCAGAGTGTTTTCCAACTTGGTTCCATTCTCCGTGTCACTTTCAGGTACATCAATCAGACGTAGATTTGGTCTTTTCACATGGTCCCATATTTCTTGGAGGCTTTGTTCGTTTCTTTTTATTCTTTTTTCTTTAAACTTCTCTTCTCGCTTCATTTCATTCATTTGATCTTCCATCACTGTTACCCTTTCTTCCAGTTGATCGAATCGACTACTGAGGCTTGCGCATTCGTCACGTAGTTCTCATGCCTTGGTTTTCAGCTCCATCAGGTCCTTTAAGGACTTCTCTGCATTGGTTATTCTAGTTAGCCGTTCATCTAATTTTTTTTCAAGGTTTTTAACTTCTTTGCCATGGGTTCGAACTTCCTCCTTTAGCTCAGAGTAGTTTGATCGTCTGAAGCCTTCTCTCAACTTGTCAAAGTCATGCTCCATCCGGCTTTGTTCTGTTGCTGGTGAGGAGCTGCGTTCCTTTGGAGGAGGAGAGGCACTCTGATGTTTAGAGTTTCCAGTTTTTCTGCTCTGTTTTTTCCCCATCTTTGTGGTTTTATCTACCTTTGTTTGGTCTTTGATCATGGTGACGTACAGATGGGGTTTTGGTGTGGATGTCCTTTCTGTTTGTTAGTTTTCCTTCTAACAGTCAGGACCCTCAGCTGCAGGTCTGTTGGAGTTTGCTGGAGGTCCACTGCAGACCCTGTTTGCCTGAGTATCAGCAGTGGAGGCTGCAGAACAGTGGATATTGGTGAACAGCAAATGTTGCTGCCTGATTGTTCCTCTGGAAGTTTTGTCTCAGAGGAATACCCGGCCATTTGAGGTGTCAGTCTGCCCCTACTGGGGGATGCCTCCCAGTTAGGCTACTTGGGGGTCAGGGACCCACTTGAGGCAGTCTGTCTGTTCTCAGATCTCAAACTGCATGCTGGGACAACCACTACTCTCTTCAAAGCTGGCAGACAGGGACATTTAAGTCTGCAGAGGTTTCTGCTGCCTTTTGTTTGGCTATGCCCTGCCCCCAGAGGTGGAGTCTACGGAGGCAGGCAGGCCTCCTTGAGCTGCGGTGGGCTCCACCCCGTTCAAGCTTCCCAGCTGCTTTGTTTACCTCCTCAAGCCTCGGCAATGGTGGGCGCCCCTCCCCGAACCTCGCTGCCGCCTTGCAGTTTGATCTCAGACTGCTGTGCTAGCAATGAGCGAGGCTCCCTAGGCGTAGGATCCTCTGAGCTAGGCACGGCATATAATCTCCTGGTGTGCCATTTGCTAAGACCTTTGGAAAAGCACAGTATTAGGGTGGGAGTGACCCAATTTTCCAGGTGCCGTCTGTCACCCCTTTCTTTGACTAGGAAAGGGAATTCCCTGACCCCTTGCACTTCCCGGGTGAGGCGATGCCTTGCCCTGCTTTGGCTCACGCTTAATACACTGCACCCACTGTCCTGCACCCACTTTCTGACACTCCCCAGTGAGATGAATCCGGTACCTCTGTTGGAAATGCAGAAATCACCCGTCTTCTGCGTCGCTCATGCTGGGAGCTGTAGACTGGAGATGTTCCTATTCGGCCATCTTGGCTGCACCCCCCATGTGTGGTTTTCAAATGTGTCACTCCTAGGGCGATATAAGACCTGATATTCAAAATCACTACTCGAATTCCCAACAGAAAGACTTCTTACCAACGTAAGGCACACTATAACACATTGCTGATCATTGGTCTCATACCCAGATTATATTTTATCCCACAAGATCTCTTGCCAGTTCTTTATATTTCTGTGTTTGATCCCAGACAACCTATCATGTAATCCATATGGACATGACTTCGTAGCTGTGTAAATATCAGTCCCTGATGGCTCTTCCACAACTTTGCAGATCATGTAGCTGAAGTACAAGTTCATCCATGAATCAGGAGCCACCCAGTCTACTGTGGTTCAGTTACAGAAAACACAGCAAGAGCCAAACATGTTACTAGGCTCCTAGATTCTGTTTACACTGGTGTTACCACCACGGATGGAGGCATCAGATTTTCAATTTAAGAGCTTAGCAAAATCAAAGGTCTGCCAAAACCATGAACTTATTCACTGCCAAAGAAGTGAATAAGTTCAGATGTTTAAAAAGATTAATTTCACATCTAGCCTTGAATATATTTTTTCTATGATGTATAAGGTGCAATTCTCCTCTGTTCTCCATCCCTAATCCTAGTCCCCCATAAGCTCCTGGGTTTTAACTATGGTTATCACTTTTTGTTGTTTATTTCTAGAACTTTGTCTATACATTTTGATAAACGTTAACCATAAATAATACATAATATCATTCTGTATTTTGCTGATTTTTTTCCTTTAATTCCATAACATGCCTTTGCTGATTTTACCATGTTAGTATATGTAGATTCTGTTAGTTACAATTAGGTTCAGCTGATAATAGAAACCCACATATTACTGTGGCTAAAGAAGATAAAAGTTTATTTCTGTCTCCCATTTAAGAAGCTGAGAGATAGTCAACCTGGGACTGCTTTGGTGTTTCATATTACTCACCCAGCCTCTGTCCAGCTTGTTGTTCCGTAGTGTATGACATCCCTTTTCAAGGTCACCTCAAGATCCAAGGTGGCTTGTGATTCAAGATTGCCTAAACTCAAGTCATTTGGAAAGAGGACTTTCAAGATCATTTCCCTGAAGTTATAGACAACCTTCATACTTATGTACCATTGTCCAGAACTTAATGACATTGAATACCTAACTGCATGTGAGAATAGAACATATCATCTTTTAGGGAAGATGGCCACAATCCCCAGCTAAAATCTTGGAGTTCTGCTATTGAGAATGAAGGGAACGAAAGTAATAGAGAGAAAACTCGCAGTTGTATTTACCTCAATTTTTGACTGCTATGTGGTTAGAGTGTTTTGAACCTTTCCTTGAAGAGAAAGTAGGTAGAGGACAGAGGAGAGGGAGAGAAATTCCTGGTACTTGTTGTAAAATATTGGCCATTTTTGATCACATATTGCATCAAATGTTTTCCATTTTTCTTCCAAACTCATTCTCCACCTTCTCTTACTCCCTGTTCTTTGGTGATGGAGGCTGGCTGGGTGCTCCCTTCTCTACATGGCTTTCTCCTCCATCCTCTTGCCCCTTTTGGCCTACAAGCGTTATAGTCTATTCCACTGTAACTAGCTCTGGGCTACTGCACTACTCCTTGTGGTCTCCTTACACTTCACCCATACCTGTATAAATAGATAAAAATTATCCTAATTTAATTATGTCAAAATCTTCAGTAATAAAACTACTGAGATCTGAAGTAGTGGTTCTCTAGCATTCCAACAGCAACCCTACTTAGTGCTATGTGAGCTTTCCATCTGGTTCTTACCATTTATTTGGGCAACTTGTTTGATTCCTATGGGGTTCATTTTTTTCACCTCCAAAGTATGAAACTGTCTGGATCGGTGGTTCTCAAACATGAATGTACATCACCATCACCTGGAAGGTTTGTGAACATTGATTGCTGAGTTCTACCCCCAAATTTTCTGAATCCATAGGTCTGGGCCAAGAATTTCTATTTCTATTTATTTATTTATTTATTTCAATAGTTTTTGGGGAACAGGTGATTTTTGGTTACATGGATAGGTTCTTTAGGGGCAATATCTGAGGTTTTGGTGCACCTATCACCGAGCAGTGTACACTGTACCCAATATGTATTCTTTTAACTCTCACTCCCTTTCCCATGCTTTCTCCTGAGTCTCCAAGGTCTGTTCTATCTTCTTATGCCTTTGAATTTTCATAGCTTAGCTCCCACTTATAGTGAGAACATATGATGTTTGGTTTTCCATTCCTGAGTTACTTCAGTTAGAATAATGGCCTCCAACTCCAGCCACGTTGCTGCAAATGCCATTATTTCATTTTGTTTTATGTCTGAGTAGTATTCCATGGTGTATATATACCACATTTTCTTTATCCACGTGTTGGTTGACAGGCATTTAGGTTGGTTCCATATTTTTGTAATTGTGAATTATGCTGCTATACATGTGTGTGTCCATGTGTCTTTTTCATATAATGACTGCTTTTCTGTTGGGTAGATACCCAGTAGTAGGATTGCTGGATCAAATAATAGTCCTACTTTTAGTTCTTTAAGGAATTTCCATACTGTGGTTGTACCAGTTTACATTCTCACATGCAGTGTAAAAGTGTTCCCTTTCACCACATCCATGCCAACATCTATTTAAAAAGATTCTTAATTATGGTGATTCTTGCAGGAGTAAGGTGGTATCTCACTGTGGTTTTAGTTTCCAGTTCTCTGATAATTAGGGATATTGAGCATTTCTTCATATGTTTGTTGGTGGTTTGAATATCTTCTTTTGAGCATTGTGTATTCGTGCCCTTTGCCCACTTTTTGATGCATTTTTTTCTTTGCTTATTTGTTTGAGCTTCTTGTAGCTTCTGGAAATTAGCCCTGTGTTAGATGCATAGTTATCGAATATTTTCTTTCATATCAGAAAAACTCTTCTACACGTTGGTGTAGGCAAAAAATTCATGACTAAGAACTCAAAAGCAAATTCAACAAAAACAAAAATAAATAAATGGGACCTAATTAAACTAAAAGACTTCTGCACAGCAAAAGAAATAATGAGCAGAGAAAACAGACAACCCACAGAATGGGAGAAAATGTTTATTTTTTGTTTTGTGGGTACATAATCAGTGTATACATTTATGGGGTACTGATGCTGCTGGTCCAAAGACTACACTTTGAGAACCACTGGTCTAGAAGATGATCTCTAAGACTTAATCCACTTCAGTACTCACTGACTTAATTTCAGTATCCTAATGTAGCATGGCTTCATTTAATTTTTCTTATGGATTAAGTGATTCAGCTGATTATCTTTTATAAGAGTCTCTCCAAGAGTAGTAACCACAGATACTGTGCCAGGGCTGTCTAAATAAGATGTCCTTGATATTGAATTATTAAGCAAAATGGAAACTTGGTCAAAGCATCCACACTTGAAAAAATAAAGTAATTCAATGTCAGGTCTAATTTTACAGTACACATTCAAGGATTTCTCTTGTGTATAGTTCTTCAGTAGATTTCAATATCTAGATGTGTTAATTTTTTTCTCAATTTTTATTTGGCTTGCCTCCGAATTCTATGTTTGGTCAACGAATCAGAGTGTCAAAGAATATGCTTCCAAACATTGTTTTACTAACCCTTAGTAGACCCTCCAGAGACCACCTAAGACAGTTGTATCTTTTAATGTGGTGGGGAGAATCAGAAGAGGTTTTAGGAGTAGGACTGAGAAAGGGAAGGAACAATTAAAGTATAATTGCACTGTTTTTCCCACTCTTTCTACTTGATCATTCAGTGGAACTAAATAGGAAGTAATGTTTTGGGGCTATCGATATATAAGGAGGAAGCTACTAAATGCAGAGCAGACGTGTAGTAACACAATCAAATGGTTTTCTCTCCATTATGCTGATCAGCATTCAGGAAGTTTAACCTAAACTCTATATTTTTATATAAATATTATAAGTGCATACATAAAATATACAAGTATAATGAATGAACACATATAATATACATACATATGTTACATAACTGACAATATACTATTATTTTAGAATTCCTTATTAAAAACAGCAACAAAAAATCAGTTTAAGTCAGGTGACTTAGATTGTTACAGTTCATAGTCATGGTTCATTCTACCCTGTATTATGATTATGTAGAAGCTAGTAATTTTGGTGGTTTGTATGGGTCAAATGAATAGTCCCAGGAGGTGGTACGTGCCTCAGAACAGTCTACACAGGGTGGGCAGGTTCTGTTAGGAGCCAAGTGGCTACATGGTGGGGCTAGTAAACGTTGTTTATGGAAGTCATGAGGGGAATTAAGCAAAAAAGTGTCAAAGCCACAGACAGACCAGGAACCAGAAGCAATGGCCAAGGTAACATGAGAAAAAGTTCAAAAGTAGCTATTTTAACTGTTGATGAAGGCTTTTTTCTCAGCAGACACTTGTCATCATGGCTAGATTCTATATGGGTTTGCTTTTGTCCTGGGCCAGTTGTACCTGATAATTGGTGAACATGTCTTAGCCACTTGATGTAATCTAAGTTTGTAGACCGAGATCTGTACCTGATTTTTCCTTGTCTGCCCAACAACTACTGTTAAGCTTTCCAGCATATATTAGTTAGTCAATAAATGTTAAAGAGTAAAACATACAAAATACCGTTCAAGGAACCTTCATAGGCTAGTTTTATAAACTGTTACAGTTCTGACAGCCAGAGAAGTGATCTTTTATTTTGTTTTAATTTATTGATGTCAGGACCTACCATGAACATAGAGTTATATTGTGCAATTTTTCAATAGTGATGTGAATTTCAGTCAGCTGTGTGTTTCAGATCTACTAGGGCGTTTGCTAGCTATTCAATTCCTGTATGTTACATCCAACAACTGCCAACTTGAGCTCATTCATGTGAATTTTTATTGACATTGAACACAATGCCAGCCTCTTAGATTTCTGTCAGTCCTTAACTGGGCATTTATTCATATCTTACCTCTTGATCTGTGAAAGAAAAAAAAAGATACACAAGTAAGAGGGATGGAAGCAGGCATATAACAGACTGCTTTATGATTTCCAGTTTCCAAAGTCTGCAGTCTTGGAAACCAAGTAGATAAGTCTGTGTTTTATTAAACCAGACTAAATGGTACCTGAGAGGTTTTATAACCAAAACTCAAAATATCTCTGGGTTTGTGGTGAGATGGACAGTACTTCAGTAGGAGCTGGTCTGGAATGGTGTCTGGGGACATTATGCTAGTGGCACAGGAATGTTTCCTGATGTTATATTTTGTTACATCTTGTCTCCTTCTGAGGTAGGAATGTTAACATTCTCACTTTACCAAGAATAATTCTGGATTTGATTGCAAGGAAACAATAAAAACATGAACTTTCTTAGAAAAAAGAGGGGTATCTTATAGGATTTAATTCATTCATTCAGGAAATATGTAGTCACTGTCTACTGTGTGCCAGGCACTGTTCTAGATCCTGGGGATATATTAGTAAACAAAAACATACAGAAATCCCTGCTGTCATAGAACTAATGATATCCTATGTCATCACCAAAGGTTGAGGTTCTGGGGGACCCAAATCCAGTGTCTTTGCTTTTTCCCACTACTTTCATCATTGTGCTCCCTTATTCTTCCAGATCCCCCATATGCTGGGGAAATTGGCTGCAAATAGCATCTGTGCCTTCCATGTCAGGCCTTTCCCATTGAAGAAAAATCACCCCCCTTCCCTCCATTCTTAGTGTGAAGCATCCTCTAATTGGCCTGGCTTGGGTCATATGATGAAGTCACGTGCACATTTCCTCACCTACAACTGTGGGCGGCCAGGTTGTAGCTTTTATATCTGGTTATCCACTCTTCAGTGTTAGAATTGGAGAAGGAAGAGTGCTTTCAAAGAAGGAGGATGTGCTTTCTGAGGGAGTAGTGTTGAGCAGATAAAATAATAGCAATCTGTTATGACACTCTCTTATAATACTACATTCCTTTTGGTATTAAGGTTACTCTTGACGTGACTTATATTCTTGGACATTTTCCTAAGATCCTTGAGGACAGAGATTGTTTCATTCATCTGTGTTTTCCTCAACTCAGGTAGCATAAAACCTTTCTCATAAGCAATGCTTAGTAAATGATTACCAAATGAATAAATGGCCTCGAGTTGTTGAAATTTATCTGCCATCTTGGAATACATCAAGAATTATAATGAAAGTTCATATTTATTAAGCACTTACACAATGTCAGGTGTTGTACTAAGTGCTTTACAACTATTTTGTCATTTAATCCATGTAACAACTATATGCTGTATATATATTTTAAAATTGTTATTTTCACATTTTGGTGGAGAAACTAAGGCTTGGCAAGGATATGTTAATTAGTTTAAAGTTACACAAAGTTACACTCTTCTGTCTTGGTACATCTAGACTTGCTGCATTTTTTTTTCATCAGCTACACAGGTAGCTTAGGTATTTTATTATGTATTTTGCCATTCCTATTGCTGTGACTTAGATTGTTTTCAATTTGAAACTGGGACTGGGATTTGAACTCAGGAAATGCTGACTTTTAAGAATCTGCTCCTAAAAATAGAAAGCAGTAGTGTTTTTTAAAAAATTAGAAAGTTCTAATTTTATTTTTTTATTCTGATAGAATAAAAGAAAATGGCATTTTATGCCATCCTTTATTTCATACTATTTTAGCACAAGAATTAAAGAGGTTAACACATTTCTCTTGTCTATACTTTAAAAAAAAAACTTTGAGTTATGCCCAGTGAGGCATATACAAAAATGATCATTGAAGAGTTTTTAAAAAAGCAAATAATTAAAAACAACCAACTATTCATCAATGAAGAATAGCAAAATACATAGTTAAATTTCTAAGGAGTACTATGCAGCTGATGAAAACAAAATGAGGCGGGTCCGTTTGTATAAAGGTGGAAGAAGTCCATGTCCCATTGATCAATGGAACAACAACAATAACATAATTCCGAAGGGTATGTATAATATGATGCCATTTATAAGACACAAACATCACAAAACATATGTGTTCTAATGTGTATGTACTCAAGACAAAGGAGTGGCGAACTCATTGCAAAATGGAGGAGCCAGGTTTGGGGCTAAAGGTCAAAGAAAACTTCAGATATTTATATAACATTGGAAATTTTTAGCAGAGAGATTTAGTCAAATATTACTGTTATTTATTTAAAATAATATGGAGGAACGTACAGGCTTTGTCAAAGTTTTGTTAATGAGCATATTTACTGGGAGACATTAGGATCTACATTAGCAAGAATTATTTAGGAATCAGGTTGACACTTTGAAATCTATATCAATCTTAAATTCATAGATTGGAATAGCCAGTCAAAGGCAGTGGGAGAAAAGGCCGTTTTCCTCTGCCAAAAAAATTTGCATTTGTCAGTCATGAGCATATGTTCTTCTCCTTGGAGACTTTGTAACCCAGTGGAACAGATAGTGTCATTAGGAAATTCATAATGTTCATTTGTGGAATTCTCACAAGCCAGTGTCCTAGCTTGAGCCATTTGGACAGATTCATGCTGGAGAAGTTTTTTATTTCATTTTTTTAATGAAAAAGTGAATATGTTATTCTAAGAATATTTTTCCTTTAATTATCAGTTTAGTTTACTGGTTATACATTGGCTTCTCTCCTTGGCTTGCATCTGTAGTTTTCTATAGTGTGTCTCAGAAATTTTATCCAATTTTATTCATCTGTTCTGATATACATTTCCCGAAGCGTATTTATCTAATTGATTTTTGGTGAGATTCTTGCACTAGGTTTTCCTAGTGTGCTTGTTAGTAATACTGGCAAAGATGCTTCACAATAAATTGAATTTTAAGAAATCCACACATTTATTGATTTAGTTCAACCTTTTCTCATGTCAACTCAATTGCCCAGCAGTCCTACTTGGCATTTTAAAACCACCTGATGATTCAAAGCCCTTCTGAGGTAAGCTGGAACCATTAAAATGAATGTAAAAATTCCTTGGTATTTTCTAAAGCGGTTATCTTAACTGTATTATACAGTTCTAATCCACAATTAAGACCTCAGCATTAGTTGCAAGTTTTTAGATAAAACGAAACTTGAAATTACCTCTGTTTGAGAAGAAGGAGGATGCTAAGTTGGAAGATGCTTTCCTTGAAGCCTAGGTGGTGCCATCTCCAGCTGTGATTTTTTGCAAGTGTTTCACATTTCCCTTTGCAGTGTTATCCTTCATTTCATGTTGGTTCCACTGTGTGAAATCAAAGCAGGCAAACACCACAGGATTCTAATAAGTTTCTCAGTTTTGCAAGTGGTGTGACTTTTCTTACTGTGGAACAAGATAGCAAAATGAAACCCTAAACAACAAACTTGTTTCTACCAACAAAATCTGTAAAACTATGCAATGTAAACTTCAGCTCCAAAAGCCTTAATTTAGCCCACTTGAGAAACACATTCTCTGCTTCTTTATTTTGGAGAAGGCAAATATACTTCTCTTTCTTGTTTAAGCCTGTCTTAATCTCTAAGAAGGCCATTGGGTTTCAGGTAGAGAAAATATTTTGAAAACATATGATGAAGAGACTTATGTAGGATTGACTGTGTGCATGTTTTTAAAAAGATGGGACTTCTACTACACAAATCATAATCTGAGAAACCAAACACAAATGCCATTCACAGAAGGACTTTTGACCAATTTTTCCTTTTTAGGATTATTATGGCTTATGGGGTTTAAGAAGAAGAATGAACAAAATGAACAAAGAATAAATATATTTCATAAGGATATTCGTGTTGAGTTTTCCCTGCAAAGAACAGATTCATATAACTATTACCTTATGTAAAAGGGGTAGATTCAGTGATCACTGAATTAATCAAAGTTCAAAGAAATGCCATTCCATTTAGTGAATGAAAAGAGGTACAAAAATATTTTGATGGAGCCAGATGTGGTGTAGATTCTGGAAATTGATGCAAAGAGTGTATAAAATACATAGATAAGAATATTACAACTTTGAAGAACAATGTATTTTATCACACCAAGCAATCTTGGCCAGTAATTACATCAAAATGTTAAAAGATTATTTAGGAAGTAAAGTGATTAAGAAGATTTGCTAAATGTCACCTTCTTTGTGAAGTTTTCTCTGCTTCTATATGGTCACACCATCATCTGGGCAGCTTTGGTATTTTGCACTTATCTCCTTAATGCCTCTCATCATATTAATTGTATTTTTCTTTTTTTTTAAATTTACTAACCTGCTTCTTATACTAGATAGTGTGATACTCTAAGACTGAGATTCTACCGTATTCTGTTTTGCTGAGCATGGTGCTTGGGAGAGTTGAATGCTCAAAAGGTTGGTGAATAAATAAATAAATGGTGCCATGGTTTGTTGCCAAATGCCACATTCAGGGCTCAGAACTCTGTCGCCATGGAAAACATACCTTTACATTGGATTCTGTTTCCTTTATCTGTGAAATGAGAAGAGTTGATTATCTGTAGTTCTGAAAATTTTAAACCACTCAATCCTTTCTTTAAATCTGTTAAACAGATAAAATAACTCCTTTAGTTGAACTGGGGATTGAGCTAGAACAAACCAGCTTATGTCGGTGAAATGCTAATGACATCTGTCAGGACAATTCAAAATCCTTGGATTTCTAAGGACCCTGCAGAACTAATCAATAGTTTTAAACTTGTGTGTAGATCACTGATATAAAAATACTGCCTTTGGAATAATGTTACTGATAAAATCTTATTCTGGGATTTAACTAAATGATAAAGTGAACTCAATGTAAATATAAAAACACTGCATTTGGAATAATGTTAGTGATAAACAAAATTTTATTCTGGAGTTTTAACTCAATACTCAAGTGAACTCAATGTGAATATAAGAGATAGATTGTATTACACAGCTCTGTATAAATAGTGATGGATAGATAACTCCTGGTTCCCCCCATCCTGACAAATAAGATATAAAGGGTGGATTATCACATAGCTAGATGACTATTGTTTGCCCCACACTAAAGAATAGAAAGCTGACAATCATTTCATTAAAAGATTTCAACAACCAATAAAGATAAATTCAGGCCTAAAGGTTTCCTTTTACCTGGAATTACCCATCAGATTAACCATCAGTTTTTCCATGTTGACTCACAAGGAAGAGTCTTAATGACAAAGGATTCATTCATTGCCCTTCAGATTTTTTTCTGTTGGGGAAAGTTTAACAAATTCACAAGCAAAAAGCCCCCACACCTATGGGCTTGGAGAATTCAACTGAGATCACAAGCGAAAGAGTCACTTAAATTTTTTTTTTTCTACTTTAAGGAGGAATTCCTTTCTCTGTTTGTCCCACTGCCTTTATATAAATCTGACTCTGGCCACCTTGATCAATCGTGTTTCACACTGTTCCTCTCCCTTCCTCATTTTCCTCTAGACTCAATGGCTTCCTTATTATTCTTTAAATGCTCCAAATTAGGTATGTTCCAGGGTTTTTGCACTTGCTGTTTCCTATGCCTGGGTGTTCTTTACTGAAGCCTGGCTTGCTCCCCCTTTTTTTTTTTTTAATTCCATTCAGATGTTACGTCTTCAGGCGCCCAATCTCTCTGTTTCTTTATATCCCCATTACCTTCTAGTTTCTTTTTCTGATTTATTTTTTTTCCCATAGTGCTGTTCACTACCTGATAATTATTACTTATTCACACATGTATTGTTTATTTCTCCACTGGAATGCAAGCTCCCTAAGTGCAGAGGTTTTGTCCTATTCACCACAGTATTCTCAGAATCTAGAAAAGTATCTTGCACTGTTTTATGAAAAAAGAGAAAGGAAGGGAGGCAGGAAAGGGAAGGGAGAGGTTGGATGAATGGAAGCAAGGAAGGAAAGAAGGAAGGAAGGAAGGAAGGAAAGAAGTCAGGCAGGCAGGCAAGCAGGCAGGCGGACTGCAAATCCTCAGCCTGCATAGAAACAGGTGATCTGATCTGATAAACAGCAACTGGTTGAAATAATGGCAATTTTGGTGATGAAGGGAAAAAGGAAGTATGTTGCACATTAAGAGACTCTTGGATTTTGTGGAAGACTCAGAAAATATGTTTTTCTCTAGTGAATTTTCTTGCTACCTGAGAATCAGCAGCATGAATTTATTTGGCAAAGTATTATAGAGATAATTACCTATTTCTTTTAAATAATAAAAGAAAATTCTTTGAACCTTTTATTTTTCTATTGCTTGTATCAGGTCAAGTATCTCTGCATAGGCTTTGTTCAATGGTGGCTATTAGAAGGGCCTGGTGGCATGGCACTGTGCCAGTGCTATGGAGGACGTGAAGACATCCAAGGAGAGAGTTCATGTCCTCTAGGAGTTTATAGTCTGAACTAGACTTCCTTTTTTCTTTTCTTTTTTTCCTGCCCAGGCAGGAGTGCAGTGGCCCAATCTCGGCTCACTGCAAGCTCCGCCTCCCGGGTTCATGCCATTCTCCTGCCTCAGCTGGGATTATAGGCACCGGGCGCACGGCGCCAGGTTAATTTTTTGTATTTTTAATAGAGATGGGGTTTCACCGTGTTAGCCAGGATGGTCTCGATATCCTGACCTCGTGATCCGCCCGCCTCAGCCTCCCAAAGTGCTGGGATTACAGGCGTGAGCCACTGCGCCCGGCCTAGACTTTCACTTGCAGCATCTAAGACGGTTCATGGATGATTAAGAGCTAATATGAGTACTGCCTTCTAAAAATACTGGAGAGATTCTCAGGACAAAAGTGATGCACATAGGCCAGAAACGTAAGAAATCCTTGTAAAGCAGATAGGATTTGCACCATACCATGAAGGAAAGGTCAGATTCTGCTGACAGAGAAATAGGGATGATGGATAGTATGATTCAATGTGCAAAGGTGGAAATGCCTGATGTGTTTGAGGAACCAGGAGGGCAAGCTTCTCTGCCCTTGGCTTCTTCATTAGAGTGGAGGCAATGGCCTCTTGGTCCACTTTGGAAACACCATATGTCATACTGCACCCTGCCATCTGATTTCCTTTTCAACTTTTGTGGTTAAGTTGGATAATTTCTAGTTTGAGACATTATTTCCTCTTGAGCAAAGCTACTCACTCTATACCACACGATCCTCCCTTTTCTAGGTGTAGACTGAGCTCTTTCTTGTCTCAGTTTTGTGACGTTGGACTCCATTATCCATGTTTATTTTGGAACTTTACCACCATTGGTGGAAAAATGGAAGATAATTGCTTTCTCAATCCCCATCTCTAAAGAAATTATGTGGGATACTAGCTCAGGCAGTGAGGTCACCCAGTATAGGATGGTGTCTTAATCTATTTGGGCTGCTATAAAAAAATACCATAGGCTGGGTGGCCTATAAACAACAGAAATTTATTTCTCACGGTTTTGGAGTCTGGGAAGTTGAAGATCAAGGCAGCAGAAGAGTTAGTGTCCATGGAAGGCTTGCTCTCTGGTTTATAGATGGTGCATAATGGGGTAGGGCCTCTTTTATAAAGGTACTAATCTCATTCATGAGTGTGAAGCGCTCCACCTCCTCATACTATCACCTTGGGGTGAAGACTTCAACATATAAATTTGGGGGGAACATAAACATTCACATCACTGCAGATGGAATGATAGAATATCTCAAAGTCAAAGCTGTAGGGAGCATCCAAATCAAGGATATCTCAGGAGCTCTTGCCATCTTTCAAATCAGGGCCTCTTAAAGGGCGTTGAAGCCCACTGGATCAAGCTCAGTTATCACATGCCTCTTCTGCCATGGAGAATTTAAGCAATTCCTAGCCACTTGTTGCAATTTCTGGGTGACAGATGCTCCCTGAATGAAAAAATAGTATGCCATGCCTATTTGTGGTTTCATTCTTTTCAATGAAGCTGGAAGAAAAATTATTTATCTTTTTTTTTTTTTTTTTTTTTTTTTTTTTGAGACGGAGTCTCACTCTGTTGCCCAGGCTGGAGTGCAGTGGCGCAATCTCAGCTCACTGCAAGCTCTGCCTCCCGGGTTCTCGCCATTCTCCTGCCTCAGCCTCCCTAGTAGCTGGGACTATAGGTGCCCGCCACCATGCCCGACTAATATTTTGTATTTTTGGTAGAGACGGGGTTTCATCGTGTTAGCCAGGATGGTCTCGATCTCCTAATCTTGTGATCCGCCCGCCTCGGTCTCCCAAAGTGCTGGGATTACAGGCGAGAGCCACTACCCCTGGCCTATTTATTTATCTTTAGGGCAAAAGTTACTAGTCCTGCATGTGGTCACCTGGGATATAAGCTAGGTGATTTAGGAGTAGTTTTGGCTTCTGTGAGGGTGTTAGAACATAAAGTGGATTCAATTCAGATTTACAGCTTTGAGCTTCAGAATACTCAGTCATATCTCCTGAATTTTCTCTCCCTTTTCATCCAGAGAAGGTTTCCTGTTGATTATGGTATCTTTGCATCCTCACTCCTCACTTCCTAGCTTCCTGGGGAAAGGTGAGTGATACTCATGGAAACTTAGCTCCTCTGAGCAGTTCCAAATGCCAACAAAGAAGGCAGTGGATAAAATTTTAAGAAATCATGTAGAAAGAAGACCATCTCTGCATCTGCTTATGCCAGGGGCAAATTTGTGGTAAACAAACAAACAAACATCATTTTGCCTATGAATCATGATGTGGCATTGGAACTTGCCCTGGGGCAAAGGGGAAGGCAACAAAGATCTAAGAACAGATGGAACCCTATTTACTTGACACTGTAGAAAGCTATTGTAGAAATTATTGGTTTTGGGGAAAAGGTATTTTAATTAAATGGGTCTTTGAGAGAGGGACAGTGTCATATACTTGGCATTTTATATCAAGGATTTTTTTCTCTTTTTTAAAAATGTTTCCTTCTATATTTTTCATCATATTGTATCATCTCAGTTCACTTCCCACTTCCGCATTCACTTCTCAGCCTCCTTTTTCTTATCACGCAGTGCTCCTTAAAGACCAGCCATTGGGATGCATCTATTCTCTTCCTACCTCTCCCCTTGGTTCTTTCATCTTCTATAGACTCAGCTATCATCAACATGTGGACGAGTTCATGATCCTATGATCCAAAATCCCAAGATTTTATCATTATTCATTAATTCTCAAATCAAAAGTCATGCCTTTCTTTCCCTCCGCACTTTAGCTGAGTGTCTATTCTGGCCTGATGGACAACTCTATCAGAATGACCTATAAGCATGACTTTTCTGTTAACCAGTTTCAGGGCTTGTGGCTGGCTAATTCTGTTGTATTAATATGTTTTGTTTGATGGACACACTGTTTTTTGTTTGTTTGTTTGATTTTGTAAATTGATTTTGAATATGCATTCCCCAGCTTATCAAAATTTCCACAGTGGAATCCCTGGCATTTTGTACCTGCCACTTAGTATATTTCTTTTACCTGCCTCTCCCTGAAGACCCATGAGCTTGTGACCCCAGCCTTAGAGATGTTTTTGGTTTTTTTCTCCCTGCCCACTTCACTCCTTCCCAATCACCATATCTACGCAGTGCCAAAGCCCTATTCATATTATCTCCTCAGTGTTCACCAAGTCCATGCCATTCTTTCCAATTCCTTCTGTCACTTTACCTGAACATCTGCAATAGAATCCTAGCTCTGTTCTGCTCACCTATGATGAATCCTTCTGAAAATGACATAAGATGGTGGCAATTCCCAGATCTAACATTCTTAATTGACTTCACATTTTGACCTAATTAAGTCAACTCTTTTTATCCTGGCTCCCTCTCCTGTCCCAGCTACCATTTATCTATTTTAAAATGTATCTCCTACTTAAGCCCAAGCAGATTGTTCACAGTTCCCCCAGTGTAACCTAAAATGTCCTGCCTCTGTATCTCTGCCCTGGTCTCCCCTCTCTGACTCTGTGTATTGACATCCTATCTTCCTTTTAAGGCAGACTCATGTAGGAGCAAGGCAGTTGAAAGAAAGGAATAAAGCAGGTCATGGGTTGGGTGCAACAGGGAGTGATGGGGACTGTAGCAAACTGGAAAACTTGGGTCTGGTTTAAAGGGATAGCCACTATTCTCATCTAGGTAACTACTACCGGGTTAGAATGTAGACCTAGAATTTTTGGATTTTGCAAGAGAAGCCAGAATTCTAGATATTTTAATGCAATATTCAGAAGTTTCAGTGAATTTATAGAAAATACTTCTAAAATATCACATGTGCTGAACGAAACCCATGCATGGGCCTCATTTAGCCGGTAGGTTTCCATTGGTAGCTCAGAATCCAGCCATATATGAAGCTTTCCTTTCCTGATTCTCCATCGTGTGTCTCCTCCCTTCTTCCTTTGGCAGAAGAAACTCCTTTATATGTCTTGCTGTGTGGCACTTACCTGCTTCGTATATGGGTGATTGCTTTCCTTACCATGTAACCTCCGTGAAAACTGAGATGGATCTTACTCAGTTCTGCCTTAGTCTTCTGGAAATTGAAACAGTGTTTGCATACATTGAGCATGTTTTAGTAGGTACATTTTAAAATGGACTACATAGTAGTAACCTTGTATTATACATGCCTAATAATTAGGAGCCAGCAATGGGGCAGACTAGACATGTTAGGTAATAAAAATGTACATACACTTCCCAATCTTTGCCCCTCCACCAATATTTTGACTTGCTTTTAATGCATCCTTAGCCCTGGGAATGCCCCTTCGCCCTAAGTAGGAATTCTACTACTTAGGGAAATACTTCACACTAATTTTTTCCCAGGTCTGTAATTTTTTCCTAGCTCACTTGGATTCTGGATCTCTCTATAGAGAAACATGTATTTGAAATTTTCATTTTTTCAGACTTACAATTATAAAGAGAGGTTTCTCTGCCTTTCATAGTATAGTTTCTGGTGGGAAAGAAAAGGGTTTAAGAACAATGTTAAATAACAGTATTAAAATGTGTTTCTCATTATATGCTTAGGTTTGGGATGATTTTTCCTGTTAGCTTTAACTATTTAATGTGTTATAGAATACTGAAACTCAGAACTGGAGGTGTTTTGAGGCAAACCAAGTGTGAATCCATTTTATGCTTTTGCTCTGTTTTTCATAAAATGAAAAATGAGCATATAAGGTCAAACTTGAGTGCTTTGTCTTAACATTAAAATTTAGTAAAATCTCATGTCTTATAAACTGCAGAAAAATAGAAGAGTTTTGTGGCAAAGAAAAAAAGCAACAGATGAAGAATGCTATTCTTGCAGGATGAATGATTGAACATAGCCACTGATCCCCATTTTCCATAGCCTGCCAAGACTGAGAAATGAAAATGCCATACAGCCTGCGTGTTTGCTTGGGCTGTGAAATTCCACATGGTTATCCCAAAGCCAAGGGTAACAGCTGAGAGAAACCTGAAAATAATGAAATGTGATTGATTACACTTGGGAAACACAGCAAGCCTTGTTGAAACTAGTATAAAAATAACGTAACATACAACGGCCCCAGAAATAATCACAATGTTGAGCCCAGGTCATGTTGTGTGAAATCACTCAAGTTTTTCTGATTAATTTGATCCAAGGCTGCATTTGCTAGGAAGGTTTGCTCTGTGTGTGTGTGTGTGTGTGCGTACATGTACTTTGAGTACTTATTAGAGATTCAGCAGTTACTGTGGTTGGCAAGCAGAAAGCTAAAGCTTGTAACTGATTTACAGAGGATTTCTTTCTCTTAATTGGCCAGCTGTGGTTCAAATCTCATTTTTGTGAATGTAGAGGCTTTTGTATAAATGTCAAGCACAATGGGTCTTTTGGTTAAGGTCAAATTTTGTGCCTTTTACATTTTATAGCCCTACCCCCATCTTCCAGAGAGCTTTGCAAAGGTTGAATTTTTAACATCCAGTTCTTTATTCTTTTTTCCACCCCCGAGTTGCCTATTTCTGAGCTAGGCTCCTTTGTTTAAAGAGGATTAGATTTCTTTCAATAAACATTTTTTTTTCCAAACATCCTAGTCATGTTCCTTTCATTGTATAAGCAGTGGTTCTTTGCCAGCAATAGACATCACTACTGATTAACTTGAGTGTCTTTGTCTGTTCCTGCTGCTGTAACAAAATACTTCAGACTAGGTAATTTATAAATAATAGAAATTTACTTCTGACAGTTCTGGAGGCTGAAAAGTCCAAAATCAAGTCCCCTGCAGATTTGGTGTCTGTGAGGGCCGTTATCTCTGATGCAAAGACGGCACCTTGTTGCTGTGTCTTTACATGGTGGAAGGAGTGGGAGCGACTGAGAGGGAAAGAGACAGAAGGAGGACCTCACTCAAGCCCTTTTATGAAGGCACTAATCCCGTTTATGAGGGTGGAGCCCCCATGACTTACCACTTTCCCAAAGGACTATTAATACTGCTGACTTGGAGATTGAGCTTCAATATGAATTTTGGAGAGACACAAATATTCCAATCATAGCATTGAGCAAAGAAAGAAATTTACTAAAAGGATACAGAGTGCTCAACAGAATTAAAGGAAAAGCAGAATAGCCATGCGTAAGACAGGAAAGAGGTTTTCTAGTGAAAACAAACATCCTTTCTAGGGTACTAGTGACAGAATAAATAAACTCCAACAGTCCTCTGTTGTTAGTTTATACCATTTGAAGTAACCTCACAGTGGTGGTAGAGATACGAGGTAAGTGGAAATGTGCTGCGTCTTAAACCCTGAGCTCAGACTGGCACACTGCTGTTTTAACTTACATTTATTTGCCGAAGCAAGTCACGTGGCCAAGCTCAACACCGTGGAGCTGGGAAATATTTCTTTCTTCTAGCAGAAGGAAGAGCAAATTCACAGCCAAAGGGCACGGACACAGGAAGGGGTAAATAATAGTGGCCAGTCATTCCATGTATCACAAAGTTATTTACTAAAGAGGATAGGGAGTGGTGATATCAAGAGGGAGGATAGAAGCAAGGCAAGCAAACAAGTTCTTCAGTGGAACACCAGTAGCATTTATAATCTGTCCTGCACATTGGGGGTGCTTGTGAAGTTCCTTGAATAAGATTGTGGGTGTGGAAAGAAGCTCTGGGTGGCTTTGGAAAGCAAAGTTTCTGGTTTGTGCATGTATGTATATGTGGAGAACTGCTTCTCTGGGAAGTGGTCCTGGAGTTACCTTTTCCATCTGTGGGAAAGGGAAGAAAGAGGCTTTCTTCTGACCATCACATCTGATGTTGCAGAAGGCAGAGGTTCAGCATTACATATGCAACCAGCTCTTGTATATGTGCCCATGCTACATAGATGCTCATTTGATGCACCTTTTATCCTTCAAGATTTTTCTTGGCATTCTATTAAACTCTTATTTGAAAAAAGATGTTGGAATTATAAGGAGGTTTACACCATGGACATTTGCATCTTTTTGGATGTTGTGGTTATTTATTACCATGTAACAAATGATCCTAAAACCTAGTGACATAGAACAACCATTTATTATGCTTGTGGATTCTGTGGGTCAAGAACTCAGACAGGGAACAGCAGGGATGGTTTGCTTCTGATCCACAATGTCTGGACCTTAAGATTGAAGACTCAAGAAGTGGGTGTGATGGACAGCTGGGATCTAGGATCGTTTGAAATCACTGTTACTCACATTCTTGGTGGTGGTTAATGGTGGCTGTTGGCTGTGACATCTACACATTCCCTCTCCATGTAGTCTGACCATTTTCTCCACATGGTGGCTGGGTTCTGAGAGTGAGCGTTCCAAGATAGAGAGACAAGTGGAAGTTGTATTGCCTGTTCAAACCTACCCTCTGATACAGTGTCACTTTTATAGCATTCTATTCATTGAGGCAGTTACAAAGGCCCACCTCATTTCAAGGGGGAGAGGAATAGATTTACCTTTTTATGGTAAAGATAATGGAAGAACATTTGGAATCCAAAACATTGATGAAGGTATTTTTGGAAATATAATCTACCTAAGTCAGCTGTCTGGCCACAACAATGCATAGCCGTTCCACATACTCACTCTTCCGTCAAAAACCCTAAAGCCTCATCTGATAACGGCAGCGTCAGTGTCAGGCTTGGGGCCCAGGATGCTATCATAAACTGCAGGATACTTCCCACAGGCCATGCTTACTTTTGTATCTATACCCAGGGACCTCCCACTGAGGTTCATGCATTGATTATTCAGCAGGTAGAGATATATAAAGCCTGGTCCAAACTGAGTGTAGGGGTTTGTCAAAGTTCAACACCAAGTGAATCTGAGATCCAGACTCCCTCAGCGGAGAACTGGAGTGAAAATTTGGCACAGAACAGAAAACTAGCTGGGGGCAGGCCACACATATTAGAGGTTGGTTAGGGAGGCTTTAGGTCATATGGTTTTATTGCTGCCTCTGGGACTTAGGGAACTGCTGAGCATGTAAGAAGAATGATAGTAGAGAGGTCTCCCAAGCAGAGCAATTTTCAGATTATTCTTTGGAAAGAATACCATTGATAGTAATCTAAGGAATGTTTGACAATGCTGTGAACCTCAGAGCTTAGGATGTGGTCTTCCTAGCAACAATACCTCAGAGGCCTTATCATCTACCAGGGACATTTAAGGAGGCAGAGTGCCAGCCCTCCTGCTCAAGAGACCCTTCCCTGTGCCCTTTTCAGTCTTTGAGGCTTTTCCTCTTCTCTCTTTTTGCCTTTAGAATAATCTCTTCAATCAGCTTAGACTTTGGAAAACAAAAGCCAAAGCAGGAAGTGTGTTGCACAGTCTCTTCTTTCCAACCTGCTGCTGCACTCCTCTGACTGCTGGACTTCAGAAAGGGAAAGAGGACAATGCAAGGAAAGACACACATTTTATATATATATATATATATATTTTTTTTTTTTAAATCAAACAAGTGAAGTTATATTTTGACACTTATTCCGTCTGTTTTATAATTAGTTGTATATTTGTACTTCTTACTCGATTGGAAGCCATAATATCATTTTTTTCTATTGCATTTTCCCCAACTTCTTAGCTTGAGAATTTTCACACATATGGAGAAGTTGAAGGAATAGAAAAAAAGATGCAACCCACAAACTTACTACTTTTATTCAAATTGTTAACATGCTGTCACACTCAATTTATGTAGATATAGGTTGCTATTGATGACCTATTTAAATGTGTCCAACATGACATTCTACCCTTAACTACCTCAGCCCACAACTCTCAACTGTAAGGACAAACTATCTCATAACCATCATGCTATGCTAACATCTAAAAAAATCCAGAGTAATTCCTCATGGCCACCTAATACACATTCTGCATTCAGTTTCCCGAGTTGAGAAAAGACTGTATTTTCATTCCTATTTGTATCTTAGTGGAGAATATGGCTTTCTGTTGAACTCAAGAATCCGAGTGCTGCTAAAGACATTAGGAACCATTTTCTCACAGCAAGTAGCCTTCCCTCTTGTACTTGCAGATGTGTTTCTCTAGGCCTTTTTAGCTTTGCTCTTCTTTCCCATCCCCCCAATACTCTGATGCTGTGGAAATGAGATTAAATGGTTTCACTTAGAGATAGGAATTTTAGAAAGATAGGGTTGCATTTTCTTTCTACTGGCACAGCAATCCTGCTCACCTTTCTGAGGGTTCTAGTGAATTTTGCGATCTGGGGATTGGTTATTCAGACAGTGGATTATGCAGAGGTTTTTCCTTCTCTTATTTTCTTGTTTGCTTCTAGGCCATGTTACTGACTGAAATATTTTCATGAATGAAAAAAATCAAAGGAAAGAAAACTCAGTGTTCATTCCTTTTTTTTTAAATAGCAGTTTTGGTCAAAGGGTTGGTAATGATTGAATCTCAGGCTAGATTTAGGTTTGTGGATTATGACTGCATTTTCCCTTGCCAGAATTTTTTTGTTCCCA
The DNA here is from genome assembly GCF_000001405.40 of Homo sapiens. NCBI lineage: Eukaryota > Metazoa > Chordata > Mammalia > Primates > Hominidae > Homo > Homo sapiens. Next base: position 26,063,480 of record NC_000003.12, read on the forward strand.
TTTGTGAGGATGGTCAAGAGTTACTCTTAATACATAAAGTACATTAAGGAACTTAAAGAGTTTATATCAGTATCAGAAATTGTTATAAAAACTGTCAATCAGGAAATGTTATCACCACTAATGGGAAAGAAATGGAGTCTGATACAATTCAGAGACAGCCTTTCCATTTGATGTGAACAAAGCTAAACCCAATTCTTAAGTTAGATTTATAATTCATTTCTCTGTTGCTATTTGATTTTCATGACTTTGAACAGAGTGCTTTAAGTACTATATCCAAAATATATTAACATTTTAAAAAACATATATTTATATATTGCTAGGTAGCCTAATGAAAGTGAATATTTTTACTTGGATTATTTGTAAAAGCAAAGCTTTCAATCAAACTGCTACATGATTGAATCGTTGACTCTAGTCTTAAACGCTCAGCATACTTAGACATAAGTTCAACAATAAAAAGGACTAAAGTACCTTGAGATGATCCTAGACTCAGACAATCCATTCCAGAAGAAATACAGTCATTGTTCACATTTATTTAATCAGAAAATGAAAATGAATGCTTAAAATGGGAAGGGAAATGACAGTAGAAAGAAAACATATAGTAACAAACAAGTTTTAAAGCATAAAAAATACCAAGATTTATTTTATTAATGTATATATGCACCAAAGAATGTATGCTTTATCAGATTAATCTGTTTTGTTTTTCTCCAGTGCCCTTTGCAAAACATGAAAAGTGGTATAGTTGGTTGGTAAGATGTCAACTGTGTGTCTTCACCTCTTGAGGGAAAGCCCATGAAGGCAGACATTTTCTGTCTTGTTTATTACTGTATCATCAGTGTCTGGTAGAAGACGGTCTGGCTCATAGCATATGCTCACTAAGCATCTATTGAATAAATGTATGAATTTGATCTTGTCTAGCTAGATCATTTTATAATTTACCAGCTCAATTATTAAAGGAGCCACTGTTAACATTAGTTAAATAATAGTTAAATATTAATTGTTAAATAATAATTAAGTTATATAATAATAAATAATTAAAAGTTATAGTTAAATAATAATAGTTAAATTATTATTATTAAATAATAGCTCAGGTTTTTTTTCTTTGTTGAAAATTTACTTTTTTCTCTATTTAAATGACAATTTAGCAAGTTTTTATTATGTCCATGGTCCATAGTTATAAAATAGAAATCAGGTATTTAAAAACTCAGTCTAAGGTTCCCTTTGAATGAAAATTACTCATTGACATTCCTGACCTTCCAGACTTCCAAGGAAAGAGAGTTGATAGCAAGTGCAAGAGAGACAACATTTCTGCCAAACTTCGTGTTTGGAATTACTTTGAGTTGTAACATTGTCTGTTTCTCCCATGTTGTAAGAAAGGTTAAGAGGTTGAGCACCTCATGAACTATGGGACACTGAGAAATTCTCCACTTTTTCCCTAATTGGATCTTCATAATGGATCTTAATGATTATGTCTATAACAGTTGGTACATCAGGAATACCCCTTGTGCTGTGGTCTTGATTTAAAGTACATTACTGAAAATAGTAAAATCACCTTTGTGTAACTTAAGTTATAAGTCCCCCCTACCAAATGTTTTCATTATTTAAAAAGATCTGTAGGACTTCTGATGTCTCTGAAGGTTAAGGAAATTTGAGTTCAAGGTTACTGAGTGCTATTACCTCTTACCTCTTCTGTGAAAACTCATCATACACTTTTTAATTCACAAGGAAAAGGAAGTCTAGATTGTTTCTCCATGGCTCTGTGCTAGAGACACAAAACAAGGTATGTTAAGCTCTGAAATGATAGTCATAAAAATAAAATATTTCATATGAGTTTTGCTTTGAGTTTCTTACAATAATATGGTTGGTCCTTATTAAAGTTCCATTCTCACTAGGAAGATATTCAGCTTTTTCGACAGGGACTGGTGAGTTCTAGGGAATCCCTAATGATTCTTCGTCTTTGCAGCTTCCTTATTCTTTCATCAATGAGCTATTTTGAACTGCCCATGTTTGAGTTTGACCTTGCAAATGACAGAAATGAACTTAGTAGTTTGCCCAGCCTCTTAATCTCGTGGCTGAGGCCTCGTTTTGAACCTAAATGAATATCAAGTTGCTCCAATTCCAATGATGTATGACTTTGTGAATACCATTGGTCACAGGATCAATGGGGTTGACAGAAAAGCTACAGCTCCTCCAATGTTTATTTTTTACATTAAATTCAAGTAATCCTTTCAAGATGAAAAGTCTCCTCTTATGTTTCCAGAGCCAAGTAAGCTCCGACAGAGAAATCTCATGTCTTGATAATGGCTTCCTTCTTCTCACCCCCAATTATATAATCCTTCTTCTTTCCCTCTTTCACCAAAACAGCATGCACCTTTTCATCAGCTTATTTCAGTCGGTTCTGAGATTCTGAATTATCAAGAGAGCAAAGGATGCCAGATTTATGACACTTACTTTTAAGAGAATCATTCAGATTGCCTCTGAAAGCAGGAGGCCGTAGATGGGCACTGTGGTTTACCTTCTATCTCTGCACAAAGGAAAGTTCCTCTGCGTATGTCTGCCTAGACCCACATTGATCAGATAGGCCACTCACTGTCCAGTCCCATGGGGGACATGCAGGCAATGCCTTGGTTTCATAAAGAAAAGAAAAGCTCAGGTTTTTAATTTTGCTCAGATCCTCAGGCAACGCATGATTCAGACAGATAAGCTTTGAGGATGACAAAGAGGTGCCTGTTCCCCCAAGGATGGAAAGCAGGGACAATAGGAGTCAGAATATAAGCTTCTCTGACTTTCTTATACATCTTTTTGATTTATTTATACAACAAGAATTTATCAAGCTCCTATTCTGTGTCCAGCATGGCTCTGTTCCTTGTCACTTCAGTTAAAGATGTTGAGCTTCCAGAACTTTTATTAGTTTTCCTAGACCTCCCTCCTACTCCCTCCACAAACATCTAGAAAAGTGCTCTGGATTTTCTGTCAGAAGGAGCTGGGTTTGAATTCTGTTTCTGCCACTTGGGAATATCAAGGATGTAGGTGCTATTTTGTTCACCCTCCTTCCTAACAGTATATGACTTCCCTTGGGGGGATTATCTTGTCCATTTTGTGGTCAGTCTTCGTGGGAATACAAGTCTAGGCAAGATAGTACTCCAAACTTCTCTCCCAGGATTTGAATCTTGAGTGAGACCTGATAAAAATGCCCAGGCCCATTTATCCCAGCAGATGTTCGAGTAGTTCCTGGTGCTGGGAGTTTTCCTGGTTCTCGTCTTATTTCCTAGTTCTCTGTGAATTCAGGAAGGTATCAGTATCCTGATAATTGATTTTCGTTTGTGTTTAAATTTGCCAGTGTTGGTTTCTGTGGCCTTCAAGCAAAGAAACCCTGGTTGATACACATTAGGTCCAGTTACTCAACGTCTTTGAGTCTTTGTTTCAGCATTTCTAAAATTAGAGAAATAATGCCTGCCTCATGGAGTGGAATGTGGACCAAATGAGATGGCATAGTAAGGAGCATGGCACAGTGCCCACCCCACAGAAGGTACACAATAAATGGCAGGTAAGTTACCATTGTGATTAACCCTTTCACATTGCTCTGGTTAAAAGCCCTACCTTGGGGTGATCCATTCTGAAACCCTTCAAGCACACTTTCCACTTACAGAGGTGACCTGGCAGCCTAGATTTATCAAGGAAAGACAGTCTAAGAAACAGAAAAAGTAGAAACAGAGTTTGAACACAAAGGTAGTAAGGAAGCCCACAGAGAAGCAAGGTGGGAGGAAACTGGAGGTGTTTTCTGGAAGTGTAAGGTGAGCAAAGAGTGGAAGTGGAGGTTAAGAGGGCACCCTAAACAGACACCTACTTTCCATTCTCACTGTCATAATTAGAGAAGGTTGAATCTTCTGTTATTTCAGATACATTCTCTATGATTCTGCCAGTGAAACCTGGCTGCATTTCATTTCTGCCTGAATTATGTTCAGAGACGTGGATATTTTTACTTAGCTAAGGAAACATTTGTCTTTTACTTTTGTTTATTTTTATCAATGGGAATAACATTTTTCCAGTCTTGCCTAGTATAGAATGGCATAGTGTTTTCAATTGTTTTAATTTTACATGTCCTTGAGGCATTATAAGTGGTGCTAAATAGCTTTTCATCTAGATCCAACTCCTAAAGGGTACAGTGTCAGGGTTCATCACATGCACATTTGTGCTAGGCTGTTTGTGTTCAAATCATAGCTTTCTCTCTAACTTGCTGTGTGACTTTAGGAAAGTAATGCAACCTCTCTTAGCCTCAGTTTTCTTATCTGTAAAATGGGCTGATAATAATAGTACCTTGTTGAGGAGACTAAGAGATAAAAGCAAATAGCACAGCATGAGACTTATAAGTGCTCGATAAATAGATTTGTTAAGGTTACATTTGTTGCCATCATCAGAAATGAACCTTGCCTCACTTAAGAAAAAAGGAGTAAAGGATTGGAAAGGTATTGGGGGAGTCTGCAGAGTTTAAGATAGAGCTGATGTCCCTGGGTTAAGGAGGAAGAAACACAGGGCACAGGGCATAGCAGGGCTGTACCATTAACAGCAAGAATTCCTGGATAATTCCTCCAGGGCCCTGCCATCAAAGTGACACTCCTACAAGTCTGCTGGGCTCACTGCCCCTTCTTTCAAATGCACAGAATCCTAAATGTCAGGCAATGGAAAGAGAATTAACGAAGTCCCAGATTGTATCACATGCGGGAGACCACATCGGGCCCAGATGCTGGTAGTTTAGCCTTTTGAAAAAGCATAAGCTTGCATCCCTTCTCCTGCTTATCAAAAATGAAATCGGTGTTAATAAAGGACAAAGCACAGGTTGAGCCTAGTGAGACAGAAGCCCAGCAAAGCCCTGTCTCCTTTTAAATCCTTGCCCAAGGAATAATCCCTATAGAGAAAAGTGATTTTATTATCCCTGAGATTATGGTAGAAAAATTCAGCAAGCTGCAGATCGTCTTTGATCCCAAAGGCCTTGACCAAACAAAAAGTTTTCATATTTTCTCTATAACACTGCTAAGCAGTAGTGTCATTTGTTGAAATATCTTTCTCTTGTTTTATGTTGTTATAAATACAGTATATACCCTGGGTGTTGGGAATTTGCATGATGCGGATGGATTTATAAAAAATATTCTGAATTGTTTTGGAGTTTATAAATAATAAAGTAGATTCTTTTGGTAGGTAATATGCAACTATAATTTAGAATCTTTTTTTGGAAGACCTTTCGAAGCAAAGTGCACAGAGGCAAAGCTTTATTAAATGTCACACTACTGTCCTATTGAGCTAAACAATATCTTAAAGTATAAAAGGTTCAATGTAGACAGTGATGACGATGAGAGCTAACTCTTATTACACCTTCCTCTGTGCCATGATAAATGCATTACACATATTAATTTATTGGCTTCTCCTGACAACCCTGTGAAGTAGTTAGTGTTATTATCTCCATTTTACAGGTAAGGGAACTGAGGCACCAAAAGGTGAGTTAACTACTCCAAGATTACACAGCAAGTAAACGGCAGAGATGGATGTAAACTCAGGTCATCCAAGGCCAGAGCCCAGGCTTTCAGCCAGCACACTCCATAGCAGTTTATAGCGTAGGAACATCAGGTTCCAGAATGAGGAGTGAGATGGATACAGAAGTGAAATAAACATATTTAAAGCACACTATGTGCCAGTATATACCCGAGATATCTTGTCTTGTTTGTTTCTGTCAGCAAACCTTTGAAGGTAGCATTGTAACTGTTTCATAGCATGGTAATCAGAAGCTGCTCAATGTTACAGTTAGTTGGTACGGGAAATAGAGGGGTTAGTGTTCAAACCCAGGCATGCGAGACTCCTCAGCATATGCTCTATTTTTAAAATTTATTTCTAATTATTATGGGTACATAATAGTTGTATATACTTATGGGGTACACATGATGTTTTGATACAGGCATATGATGTGTAATAATCAAGCCAGGGTAATGGGGTATCCATCACCTCAAGCATTTCTTATTTCTTTGTGTTAGGAGCATTCCAATTTCACTGTTTTAGTTATTTTAAAATACACAATAAATTACTGTTAAATATAGTCACCCTATTGGGCTACTGAATACTACTAGATCTTATTCATTTTATCTAACCATATTTTTGTTTCCACAAACTATCCCCACTGCCCTGTTACCCTTCCCAGTCTCTGGTAATCATCATTCTATTCTGTCCCCATGAGTTCAATGTTTAAAATTTTTAGCTCTGACATATGAGTGAGAACATATGAAATCTGTCTTTCTGTGCCTGGCTTATTTCACTTAACATAATGTCCTCCAGTTCCATCCATGTTGTTGAAATGAGAAAATTTCATTCTTTTTTATGGCCAGATAATATCCCCTTGTGTATATGTACCACATTTTCCTTATCCATTCATTTTTTGATGAACACTTAGGTTGATTCCATATTTTAGCTATTATGAATAGTGCTGCAATAAACATGGGAGTGTAGATATCTCTTCAATATACTAATATTTTTCTTTCAAATATGTACCCAGCAGTGGGATTGCTGGATCACGTAGTACTTCTATTTTAGGTTTTTTGACGAACCTCCACACTGTTCTCCATAGAGGCTGTACTAATTTACATTCCCAACATCAGTGTACAAGGGTTCGCTTTTCTTCACATCTTTGCCAACATTCATTATTGTCTATCTTTTGGATAAAAGCCATTTTAACTGGGGAGAGATATATTTCATTGTAGTTTTGATTTGCATTTCTCTGATGATTAGTGATGTTGAACACTTAAAAATATTTATATCATACAGTTTTCTGAATAAAAATGATTTCTCTCTTCAATGTTAAATGTTCTCCATATAATGTACTGATGCGTTTGTTATAGATAATACATTGATATAATAAAAAAGAAAACTCTGAGAAGTGGAGTCTCAAAATTGTGGTCTAGAGGAAAGTCATAGGGCAGAGGTTCTGAAATACCAGCTTCTTGTAATGATTTCAACGTGAATTTCCGAGAATCATTAGTCATAGATTGTGTATGGAATTAAGTCTACCCATGGGGATTTTTAGCCATAACATCTGAACAAACAAGCAAGTGCTCTGGCCATTTCAGTGATAAAAGGAATGCAATTTTCTTCTGATAAAATATGTAGTCCAAAAATGAGTAAGAAAAATATGTAAGTGAATATAGTTGTTAATTTTCCCAAATAACCAAAATATGAAGAAATAAAACATGAACACTTTTGAAATTAGAAATTTAACATCTACATCTATGTGCAGATGGTTCAGGAACCTAGGATATGAGGCCTATACACTCAGAAGGTTTGGGCTTGAAACACTACTTCCATTTTCCCAACCGAGAAATGGAATCATAATACCAGTTCATTTTACATGATGAAGATGAATGAGTGAGATATAATATTTATCTACTGCATGAATTTAATGTTGTTACTATTTTGGATAGATTATATATTCCTAAAAATAGTCAAAGAAAGCCTTAAAAATAGTCAAAGCCACAAATTAGAAACAGATTTTCTTGGGACTTTTATGGCATTTTTCTTGGCATTTTTACGACCATGAGCATGATAAAACACAGGGACTACCTCAGAGCAAGAGGCCTAGACTACATCTGGTTGTTATGAAAAGGCCACCTGTGCTCAAAGACCCTTTCTAGAAACCAAATAACATTATTAACAGGTGAAATTGGGGTTGGTCTAGCTTTGGGATTTTCTTAAGAATGTTTCCATCACTGTGAGCAAGGCTTGGAAATGCCAGCTCACACCATCAGTGCCTGCAAACATCCTTTTTATCTTATTTGATAATGTTTTACTGTGAATGAAGATCCAAGCTCAAATAAAAGAGCATTAAGTGTACAAGAAAGATATTTAGTTTCCAAGTATGCAGCCTCCAAGTTGAGTCAACAAACAGACATTGGGAGAAATTTTAGAAAAAGAAAAACTCAGGCAAAGTAGCGTAGCTAGCTAAAGGAAGCAGAGACAAGTCAAGTAGGTAATTCCATTAGTTTTTCAATGGCCCCTTATTGAACATCTGTCTTATCATAAGCTAAAAACATAACATGCAGTACCTCATTTACTCTCCACAACAAGTTATGAGGCAAGGAAAACAAGTGTCTTCACATTATACGAGAGGAAACGGAAACTCAGAGAAGGAAAATAACACAGCCAATGTCACACAGCTGGTATGTGATAGAGCCTGGATTTGAATATTGGGCTCCTCAGTTTCAAAGCCCACTTCTGGTTCTCCCAGATCAGTGTGTCTCAAACTTCCCAGTGTTAGAAATTCTCTTGGGGAAGCTTTCGTGAATGCAGATTCTAGGGCTTCATCTCTAGATATTTTGATTTGTTTCTTCTAAAGAGAGGGTAGGAATCTTCATGCTTCTGATACCCTTCATTGGTGGAATGCACTTTGGGAAATATTACCCTGTGTAATGTTGTCATCTAATAAACGGAAGTTTCGTTCTTAGCAACTTTGAGATCACCTTATGGTCAGCCTCAGAATCTTCAGCTAAAAATTAAAATAATAAAACCTACCTTAATCCCCTATGGGGAGATTAAAGAAGACACTGTATGGAATGTTTATGTGTGTGTGGACATGCAGAAACAGCTTTATAAATAATATTTCTCTTTCTCAATAAGGCAAAAGGACTAGAGCAGTTAACATTAAGAGCTTTAAAGAATATCCAGTTTATCAGGTGACTTGCTTGCCTGACCTCAATCAGAGGCAAGGGACAGAAAAGAGATGCAAGAATGGAATGAGTTTGCCTAGGCAAGTAATCATGGGAAAGGAAATACGGTTAATTATTGAAACAAAATTAGTCGAGAAGCTAGTATGCTAATGCAGCCCAGAGCAATCTCATGAATGCCAACTCCACTGCTGGCTATTGTGTGACCATGGTCAAGTTACTTCTCTCAGGACATCACTTCTTTCAGCTATAAAGTTGAAACAATAAAAGCTTCTTCACAGAGTTGTCGTTGAGGATCAAATGAAATAAGAGCATAGAGAGGAGTCAGCATGAAACTAGCAAGTCGTGGTGCATAGGAGATGTAAACACAGTAACTCTGGAGACTAGGATAATGTTATGAGTAGGAGAATTGTTATTATTACCATATTATTGAACTTGAAGGAGAAGAAATGCAAGTCTGTCATCCCTTATAGGAACCCTTTGATGCCAGAGTGTATGAGAATTTTTGGACTTTGGAAAAGTACATATACCACATACCACATCAGAGACTGGGAGAGCACCTTGTAATCAAACACACTAATCTTTCTTCAGTGAAATGGATGAATATTCACCTTAAGTGGCAAAAGTAGCCTCATGTCAGTTCAGGTCAGGTTTAACCATCAAATGCTTTACAAAAAGCCTTTGGTTTTTATAGCTTTTTGGATCTAAAAATTGCAGATAAGGGATATGGATCTGTCTAACAGTTCCAGTAACAATATTCTCCTTGGATGCTACTTTCCAAATCTATATAGTGGGCACAACATTAGTAGCCATCATAATATTATATCTAAATTAGTCTAATGTGTTTTTATAAAATTGGAGTCTTATTATTAATTAATTGGACAGTAGAGGATTAGATTGTAGTATTTTTCCTTTTTCTGGCAAATTATAAAAAGTGAAAATCAGAGAAAGTTTAGAAATGAGGGAAAAAATTACCCTCATTATGCCAGCACCCTAAAACACAGCTACTGTAGTTTTTGCACATGTATTTATAGTTTTTGAGACGGAATTTTGCTCTTGTTGCCCAGGCTGGAGTGCAATGGCGCGATCTTGGTGCGGTAGTTCACACCTGTAATCCCAGCACTTTGGGAGGCCAAGGGAGGCGAATCACCTGAGGTCGGGAGTATTTATAGTTTTAAATACACACTTTTGTTTAAATGTAAATATTTTGGTCATATGATTTTGTATCTTGCTTTTTTTTTTAAAAAAAATTTCAACTTCTTACAATATCTTCATACCGATCATTTAAATCTTCGCTTATTGTTACATACTACAGTATTTATATGACACTTCCCTTATTGGCTAAAAGTTTTTACTGTTACCAAAATGCTTTGATGAACCATATTCGCTCTTTGCCAGGTTTGTTATTTTCTAGGATTTATCTTAGTATGATGATGCAAAATTTTGGTACAAAAGATGTAAAGTCTTGGACCAAAACTAGGGGCGGGGGAAGGAGCAAATGGAGCCAAGAGCTGTATATAATGCTGATGGTCTTTAAGTTCAAAAAATGGAGTCTGGAGATTATCTCAGTTTTAGGTGAGAGAAGAAATTTGTTCAAAGATGGAGGCATGAGGAGAACTTAGCTCAGAGAAATGAGGAGTGAGCACAGGCTACAGAAAGCAACGCACGCAATTGTGTGGGAGAGCATTATCAGCAGCATGGTCTCTGTGGTCTTGTGAAGAGGCAGCCCAGCTTCGTTAACAGAGACAGAGGTAGAATTGGCAAGCCTGGGATATCCCTTTGCTTTAATATAGCCTTTATTTCTGTTAAGTGATTACTCGAAGTTGGCTTGATTTCTACCCAACCCTAGTCTAAGTTACCATTTATTCTCACCTGTACTCCTGAAAAACCATCCTAACTGGCTTCTAATACCTGCCTTGGAACTTCTCTCCCACACAGTAGCCAAAGGATCTTTTTGAAGTGAAAATGTACTCATCTTTCCCCTGCTTAAAGCCTTTCAATGTCTTCCCAGTGTTCCTAGGATAAGGATAAAATTACTTAATGCAGATAAGTTCAGACTCTTTTGATTATAAGTAACAAGCAACCTAATTCAAGCTGACTTAAGCAAAAAAAGGAAATGTTATCGGGTAATTCTATCTAATAAGGCTTAGTAGACACAGGACTTTAAAAGATTTAATAAAGATATGCTTCCTCTCTCTACTTATTAACTCTTTTATGTTGATTCTTTTCAAATGAGATCTTTTCCTGTGGCTATAACACAACTACCAGCAACTCTGATTTGTGTGCTGTGGGAATAAACCCTTACCCCAGCAGTCTCAATCCAAGCCCTGCCATTCACTTTGATTGGACTAACTTAGGTCATGTGTTCTTCCCTGAACCAGTACTATGGCTATGGGAATAGGATATACTTAGGGGTCAAGGGCTGGATCACATGCTTTACCTAGATTCTGCCTCACAACAAACCACGTGGGCTGAGACTGGGGAAAGCACAGACTCTAGCAACAAATCTGGGGCTTTAAGAAGAGTAAATGTGTTGGGGGGACTACAGATCTTCTCTACTGTATATATGGCTTTACATCGACTATTCCCTGTCTATTCCTCCTGCTTCATCTAGCACAACATTTTGCTTCCTGCAATCCAGCCACACTGGTCTTTGCATCAGATAACTATTTCTGCATAACAAACAGCTCCCATACTAAATGCCTTAAAACCATAACTATTTACTGTGTCTCATCATGGATCAGCTTGGTGCTTTTGCTGATTGAAATTGGGCTTGATTATGCTCAGCCTCTCTCTGCATCTGTGATCAGGTCAGCAGAGGGCTGCTAGAACAGCCTTGGCTGGGATGACACAGTTCTTCTCCATGTAGTCTCTCATCCTTCAGTAGGTTAGTTCAGGTTTGTTTTCATAGTGGATTCAGGGGCTCAAGATAGCAAGCAGCAGTGTTCAATGTGTTTTGAGGCATATGTTTAGAACTGGCACTTCCACCACAAGCAACTCACATGGCCAAATTCAGGGTCATTATGGGAGGATACTAACACATTTCAAGACCAATGTAACCTTTTATTTATGGGCATTATTGATGGAGAATTAATGAAGCTCATGCACATGCTAATTTATTTATTGAATAAACATTTATTGAGGAACAATGACATACCAGTATGTATGAATGTAATCATGAATAAATGCAAAGGAGTGGAATCTAGAAAAAGAATGTTTGCTGAGAAAAACTAAGCAAATGAATACACTCATTGGAAAACTATTAATATGTGTGTTTTTTAAAAGAACAAAGAGAACCCCTCACAGAGATTTCTAAAATATGCTTTTATAGATATAAGCTATTGAGGAGGAGGTTGAATCAGTGTCAAAATGAAAAATTAAACCTGTTGAAATATGAAGAATATTAGAACTTGCAAAAAGAGAAATACGATTCAATGTAAATGATTCCGTCTGCTGCAGTAAAAATATTTATACGTTTCTCCATTCTACAAGTACTTCCATATTTCTAAAATGATGACCCTTTCCTTTTGAATAGGCTCAAGCCTTATGTGGAAGCCAGCTACAGAATTATAAGAAGTTTCAAAATGTATTGAGGGACTGCAGGATGATCACTCTTTGGGTAAAGAGGGGAGGCAATAAACTTCAGATGTTCATGGCTCTGTGGTCCTAATACTGGTAGCCTCTGAGGCTGGGGAGACTTAAAGCTAGCTGGGAGAAGGAAACTATTCATCAGTTACCCCTGTGGCAGCAAAGTTGCAATAAGGGTGGCAATTATTCACTCTTCCCTCTATCCATGCCCTTTGTATGTTACTTTACAGTTCCCTCACAATGTGAGCAGCTCAACCCTCAAGGGGTTAAGGAACCTAAACCTCAAGTCCCAAGATTCTAAAATTGGTGTTCTCACTGAATTCAAGTATTAAATGATACAATTTGAAAGGAAGTGAACTTGATCCTTAAAACCAGAATTCAAGTTCTGACTGTAAAATAACCACATTACTTTGGATAGTTCCCTTAATTTCTCTAACTTTAGCCTTTCCAATTCTAAAATGGATATGATCATGCTTGCGTCAGGCATCTTATGATAATTAGTGTCACACAAGACATATGTCTAAAGCAAAACATATGTGTTGTGGGTTGAATTGTCTTCCCCCAAAAGATACTGAAGTCCCCTCTACCTGTGATTGTGACCTCCTTGGAAATAGGGTTATTGCAGATGTAATCAAATTAAGATTAGGTGGGCCCTAATGCAATGACTGGTATGCTTATAAGCAGGAGATTCAGACACACACAGGGAGAAGGCCATGTGATGATGGGGCCAGGGATTGGAGTGATGTAGCTACAAGCCAAGACTTGCTAAGATACACTGGTGAACTACAGACGCTAGGAAGAGGTAAGGACAGATTCTTCCTTAGAAACTTCAGAGGAAGCATGGTTCTCCTGACACTGATTTTGGACTCCCAGCTTCCTGCATTTTAGACTTCTGACTATGAGAAAATGAATTTCTATGGTTTCAAGCCACTCAGTTTTTAGTACTTTGTTGTGGCAGCCCTAGGAATCTAATACAATGTGTATATTAGATACTATGCTAAATTACAGATTTTACAAAGAAGAAGTCAACTTGTTTGTGGGTATATGTGAGTCACCTTTGGGGACCCTAGAATACTGAGGGGGTAAAATGGTTTTTAGCGTTCTGATTTCTCGCAGGTAAAGTAACTAAGCTTGTGAAATTTGAATATTAATGTTAATGTGAACTCAATTTTATCCCCAGAAGAGTAAAGCATAGGGGATTTCTAGTTACTTAATGGAACAATAATATGTAAAAATATTTAATAATTACTCATATCTATCAAATCCCAAGTACTGTTTGCAGCATTTTTATGTATTAACTCATTTAAACCTCTCAGAAACACAGTGAAGTACTGGATTACTCAGGGTTTAACCAGGTCTAATGAGGAAAACCCTACTTCAAGTATTTAAATAGAAGAGAGTTAATGCAAGAAATTATCTAACAGGGATAAAACAGATGGGAAGCCAACAAGTGATGCTGAAGCAGCTTAGATGAGCAGCACCAGGAAGCTGCTGTCACCCCTAGGGTGGCAGGACAAAGGGAAGTAGCATGTTGCAGGTCAGAGCTGGGTGTCACCTGGTTTAGTTTAGAACCCTGGTGGGCCTACCCCAAGAGAGCTGTGGAGAAAGTACAGTTACTGCAGGAGAGCCTGCTCAAGGAGGAGAGGGACCCCTGAACTTTTTCCTTCCCCCCACCCTCCATTCTCCCATTAGTGCCACCCATTGGCTGATCCCAGTGGAAGCCAGTTGATATGTGACCCTGAGAAATGCAGTTTATACCCTTTTCAGCTTGTATCATAGGGGAGGCACTCCTATGATACAGAGCCGGAAAGGGCGTAAACAGTTCCAGGATCAATTAGGTATGTACTGCTATTACCCCCATTTTTGAGATGAAAAAACTGAGGAATAGATGGGTAAAGTAGCATACCAAAGGTCACTCAGCTGGAGCTGAGATTTAAACCCAGGCACTCTTCCCCCTGCCCACAGTACAACTATACTGTATTCAGGGAAAGACTGGAGGCAGGGAGCGCAGTGTAGGGATTATTATGATCACCCACGGGGCAGGAATTAGGACCAGGAGTAGGTTGGTATCTATGAAATTGAATAAACGAGATTTCTTTGAGAAATATTACAGAGAAATGAATGATTTGTTTAAGAAAATGAGAAAGGAAATGGCTTTTGACCATAGGAAAATATTTGAAAAGGGAGACGATTTATTTTAACCGCAACAGTATTCAATTTCTAGTCAGAAAGTAAGTGAGGCAGTATGATGAGATAAAAAGTCCAATATTCATTATAACAAATTTTACCACTGCAAAATAATTTGAGATGTTTCTGAAAGCCTGCATGTCTCTTTTGTGAAACTTCCAAAAGTTGTTTCTCTTTTATGGCTTCCTTTTATCATCTGCCTTAAGACATAAGCTGGTTATGCTATTCTCAATAAATAGCAGTATTCTAAGATAATTATTTTCTTGGCAACCTGGAACCAGGAGCATAAGATGACAGTAGTAAAATTAGAACTGTTGCTTCTTGCACAATTTACTTTCTAGTCTAGGAGTCTTAGAATAAAATAAGAAATAGTTAATTAACTGGACTAGGAAAAACTGTTGCATTTTTCTTTTTTTAATGATTTGTTAGCTAAGTTTAATTAAGAAAATCAACAAGTCTGCTAGAAACTGATAATTACTTGAATAATGGGTGATACAAATCTTTTCTAAAAATGTAAGTTGCAAAAGAGGAAAAACCATCTAAAGGAAGCCTAAATGTTCTTTCTAATGAATGTGGCATATGGGAGAGATTGAATATACAGATTAAGTAGAGAGTGAGCAGTTATTTCAATGTAACCAAAACAAATGGCAATCTGGGTGATTCAGATAACTCTGAATTCTCTTTTACTTCAATAGCTGCATTTTCACATTGACCTGAATTATCCATATGATTGCTTTCGCTGTCTCCTTTTCTCTGCCTGTGCAGATAAACATAGGGTGTGATGACTTCCATCTCATGTAGGTGAGCTAAAGCAAAACTATCCAGTAAATGCTAGTTGAGTAGATCTGAGCTTTTCTTTAGCATTAGATATTATTTAAGGACTACCTTCCTTCCCTGTGTCAGTAATGGAGTATGAAAGGGATACTAGCCCTTGGTTTCAGGCAATAAAAATTATGCTGGTTTAGGGGTGTCTGCATAGTTTGAATTATAAACATACCTGTCAGTGTAATTTATTCAGGCACAGTTTGGACAATCACTGGTCCAGGGCCATTGTAAAAAAATGGTTTTAAGTTAAAGATCTAGTTGGATTAATTAATTGAAGTTCCATTCAATTCTGTGATTATATGAACACATAAAATCTCAAACATTTGTCTTTCCATGCATGATTGAGTCTTGGAATAAAAGCAGTCATTTGATGGCTTTAGCTTCTGTGGGGAGTGATCAATAAAGTGATTCTGAAAAAACAGATGCTTGTGTCCATTTTGTCCCATTCTATTGTGGCTCCCTTTATGTATATTTGGATGACAATTCTAGCAATGGAGCTCTTTCTCTGACACAAATCATGGAATTCACATAAGAGTGCAGAGTTTTGATTGCTAAGGGAAGTGGATTTTACTGTGACCAGCATTTACAGTCCCAGAACATCTGCAGAGCTGCTCAGGAACATGATAATGAAGCAGAACATCTGCAGAGCTGCTCAGGAACATGATAATGAAGCAGAACATCTGCAGAGCTGCTCAGGAACATGATAATGAAGCAGAACATCTGCAGAGCTGCTCAGGAACATGATAATGCATCAGAACATCTGCAGAGCTGCTCAGGAACATGATAATGAGGGAGAACATCTGCAGAGCTGCTCAGGAACATGATAATGAGGGAGAACATCTGCAGAGCTGCTCATGAACATGATAATGGACCAGAACATCTGCAGAGCTGCTCAGGAAGATGACAATGGAGCAGAACATCTGCAGAACCACTCAGGAACATGATAATGGAGCAGAACATCTGCAGAACCACTCAGGAACATGATAATGGAGCAGAACATCTGCAGAGCCGCTCAGGAACATGATAATGGAGCAGAACATCTGCAGAGCTGCTCAGGAATATGATAATGGATCAGAACATCTGCAGAGCTGCTCAGGAACATGATAATGGATCAGAACATCTTCAGAGCTGCTCAGGAACATGATAATGGAGCAGAACATCTGCAGAGCTGCTCAGGAACATGATAATAGATCAGAACATCTGCAGAGCTGCTCAGGAACATGATAATGGAGCCCAGTGAATAATGTTCAACATTTTGAAAAAGTTGAAGTGAATTTAAAAATAAGAAACTTAAAATTCCAAATATCCAATTGAAAGTTGTTTGTGTCTATGACTAATAAATACTGAGAAATCCAAACTTAAGTGCAGTATAAGTGGATAAAAAATTTTAAAATATGGGATTTGCGGGACAAAATATGTATGTAATATTAAAGGAGTTTGACTCCCTGATCTTGTCCAACCCTTTGTTTTTCTTGGGGGCAACAATAGAGGTCAGAGTAGAAAGCGGCTTACCTAAGGTCATAGAGATGTGTGGTAGTAGTGCTAGTATCAGACATGAAATCTAGAGATTTCTAGTGAGCAAAGACCAGAACTCACATGTTAACAACTTTCTGAAAGAGAATCTAGGAATCAAATCTAGGAAGCTTTTTCATCCTCAGTGGCATCTGGATTTACCCAGGACATTTTTATCCATGAAAATATTCTGTTATAAATATTTTCAAAATCATCTCTTCTAAAAGTTACAAAAAACAGGTGCATTTTACACTTGGCAAAACTGTGTGTATATTCCTTTGTTTATGTCTACCTTTTACAGATAAAGCTTTCAGTGAATAAAGCTTTCAGAAGCCACGAAGACAATACAAAGCCAATTATCTCTTATTGTGAAACTGTAAAGATGAAAAAGAGAACACAGAAAATAACTCTAAAGCTCCAAATTGAAGAAGTGAAGAATTGAGGTTAAGTATCTACATAATGAGGTTTATTGAAACTCTATAATTAAAGATAAGCAGATAATTTAGATGCACTTAAATATTATTGAGGTATTATATTTCATCTAATTTAAGAAACTATATTCGTTAGGGTCCAGATATGAAAAGATAAACCACGCCAGGTATTTCAAATAGAGACAATTTGATACAGGGAACTGGTTATGCAGGACGCTGTTCCTACCTAGATATGGTAAATGGACGCTGAGGCTACCTAGATATGGTAACTGCTGATACCATGATAAAGAATAAAAATAGGTTCACTGACCTAGGAGCTTGGCCCTGTGAGTCTGGTGTTTGAACCTCTAAGGGGGTTACAATGTGGCTGACATGGGCATGGCTGGCCATCTCTCTAGGGGCACACTGTATGGCTGGATCCAGAACTGCCAAAAGAATCCGAAGGCTGTAACTGCAGCTGTCCTCTGTTATTTGAGCAAAGCTGATAGGAACTGGAAACAAAAAAAAGTTGTTTCTCCTCTCTTCCCACCTTCCAGTGTCCCTGTTAGAGACAGGATACAGTGAGAAGCTGGCCACCTGCAAGCCAAGGAGAGAGGCCCCAGGAGAAACCAACCCTGCCAGCAACTTGATCTTGAACTTCCAGCCTCCAGAACCATGAGAAAATCAATTTCTGTTGTTTAAGCAATTCAGTCAGTGATATTTTCCTATGGCAGGCCTAGCAACCTAACGCAAGCAGAAAATCATTTTAAATAGCATTTAAAGTCAGCCCCTAGAGGACCAACAATTCACACAGCTCCTCAAAGGGCCAACTGTGAACATCTGTGACCAAAATTTACACCTGTGCCAGCAATCAGAACTACATCATAATTGTAGCCTGTCCAACTATAAGATATAGCTCAATTTCTGAGATGTAAACAGGAAAAAAAAGTCTGCATTTTGAACTTCATGAGATACAGTCATTCCCTCAGTTTTTCACCTTTCAGGTGCCACAATTTCTTGTCAGGTCTATTTCTTAGAGGTCTGTTTTCAGTGGTCTTTGTTTTTATAAACATTTAATATTTAGTGAGTTCTAAACGTGTGTTTAAAAGAATTTAGGAGCTACTTTCTTTATGTAGTCATTGACTTGGGAATACAAATAAGAGAAAATGGGTAATTTGGTATTGAATTGCAAATTAAAAGCAACCTATGTAGGTAAAATTTTAATACACAAATCGAGAAGCCTCTTACCACAGAATAATTTAGTCTATGCAAGCAAATGGAATCCTAATGGTGCCAAGTGAGGAGGAGCTGTGGCTGAGGGAGGAAATAAGTGTGAAGGCCCAATTCATGGATTGATTCAACTTCTGTTTGGGCAGAAAGAAGCCTGGAGTGGGGAATTTTGCTTAGTAGTTTACAGCAGCAATTTTTGCTGTATTATTTTATGTAGAAGTTCAAGCTTTAGCTTTTAAAATAACTGTTGCAAATGTGAGATTTTGCCATATCCAGAATGTTTATGGAAGGAAACACTTTAAGTTTCTTTCATTAAACTGCCAACTCTTCATTTTCTTCTTGCCCTTATTTATCACCTCTAAGGCTCCTTTAAAAAATATATATACACACACACATATATATTTATACATATATAAATATATAATAAATACATTTATACATACATACATAAATACATAACATATACTTGCATATATGTGTGTGGGTATATATATGTGTGTGTGTGTGTGCATATATATATATATATATATATATGCAAGTTAACAGAATAATATGGAATCATCACTGAGAACAATAATCCTCAGACAAGGGATTTAAGCTTTTGCCAACTTGAGAACAATTAGTAATTTTCTTCTACACAGTCCCATTGGGGTGAAATGTCCCCCTTTACAAGTGCTGTGCCTGAGCCATAATTAAGCAATTATCTTCTAGTTTCCAGCAGTGACTTTTTTTTCTTTAATTGTCTTCTGGACTCTGCTTGAATGGGATTATTTTCAAATGCATTTAATTTTCGGTCCTGGTGCCCAAAACTTCGTCACCTTTTGGCTTCTTCATGCCTACAATCTCTTCAGGTGCTGTGTCAATTAGAAACTTCGGCTTCCAAGTAAAAGAAAATGAGAGTCAAACTTCCTTCAACAATACAAGGGAATATGGGCTCATGCTATGAAAAAGTTCAGAAATGGGACATATCCCAAGCATGGTTTATTCTGGGTTCTACTTCCTTTTTTTTGTAGTTGTCTACACTTTGTTTTCCTAGGTTAGCTTTTTGGGCCCTCATTAGCAGAAGATGGCAGCCAGGAGGGTGTAGTTTTCCACAATTACTGAGTAAAATTGCTGAATACTGTGCCAATTCGACTACCCTAAAGCAAATCTTCGTTCTAAGGTAATGAAAGGCCTGGTTGGTTTCTGGAAAATTACCCTTGACAAAGGAGTTGTGATTTTCATAATTGGTTTGCCCAATTAAATCCTGCCCTGGAGCTAGGGTTAGGGGAGTAAAATAGATATTGGAGAGCTGGCCACAACATACTTTCCAAGCTCAAGATTATCGTACTTTCCTCTGTATATTTTTTTCTCACACCCTGCATTATTTTCCTGATTTTTAAAAGTAATTGACATCTTAAACTTTCTTTCTGATTTTCATTCATTAAATTTCTTGCCACTTGGGTCTTGGAACAAGGAAAAGCAACCTCGCTAGGATTCCTTCATTCCAATCAGATGTGACCTGCTTATCCTGAACATTGCCATTTTAGTATGGTTATCAGCATCGTGCCTAGTTTTCACTGAAAGTAGGTTTCTTTACTTCTAAGCAAGTGAACACAAGGAGTGAGAAAAGAGAAAGGAAAGCAAAAGCAATGTTCCTTTTTGTGCTCCCTAAACACAGTGGAGAGCAGAAGGAGGTGTGATGAGCAAGTCTTTGCAGCCTGCAGATCCTCAAGGACCTAGTTCTGCCTTGCCTGGTCAGGGAAGCTTCATCAATTGTGCCAACAAGCTGAAAGTGAAATAGAGAGAATAAAATCTCAGGGTGTTAGGGAAAGAGAGCTAGAGGCTTTGCCTCCTTTGTAGGATATTCAATTAAAGTCAAGTCAAGTAAAAGTGGTTAAGAATGGCCAAGAATGCAGGGGCTACTCTGGGAAAACAAACATAATTCGACAATCCTGTCAAATTATATTACTAAGTACACTATATTCTTAGAATGTGAATACAGCTTTTCTCCTTAAATAATAACTAGCATTACAATCATGTTGTACTGTTCTCCTTGTATCCTAAATTGAGCAGGCTTTAACTAATTGGAGAACATGTTTGGTAACCATACTTTTATGGGTATAACATAAGCTTTCCAGTGGTGCCAAATTGTTATTTGTAAATTGATATTTTAATTTATACATTGCCATATTTTATTGTAAACGCTACCAGCCATCTTGTTCTTTTCAGAGTCCAGACTCAATCCAAAGAGTCCAAAGATTAACCTCTCTTTCATTTAGTGTTTTGTTTTAAATCAGAGTTATGTAACATGCACAGTTTTAAAATAAAATATTATTGCAAATCTAATAATAAAAATGCAAAATCCTTAAATTCTCCCATTCTACTTCTGAATCTAGCCCCTGATAACTCTTTTAGATTTTCTCTGGGTATTTACCTCCATATCTAATTTAATTATACTGTTATATTTTGATTTTCTAGTAAGGGAGAATTTAGTTTTCTTGCCCACTTTTCTTAACCTAGACTAAAGATGCATACCTTTTCTCTCTTCCTGTTACTCTCACATCCTCTCTCTCTTCAACTCTCCCATCACAATATTGTTATATTGTGTTAAATCAATATTTTGTTTTCATTAGCATATCTATGTAAATATTACTCCCAGCTAAGCCAAGTTGTATAATATGATTACATTTCTTTACTTGTGCCGCAGTTATTTTCCCCTGAAGTTTTAGTAACTTCTCCATCCTTTCTGTTGCTTAGCTCAATCTGTAGCTGTCACTAATTAAGCTTCCCCCAGTCTCTGCCTGAGCAGTGAAGCTCTTCTCCACATAGCCCAGCACACCAGCAACCAGCAACTCAGTTTATTTTTTGTTCCAGGGCAGTTCTCTCTGAGTCCTGCCTCCTCCTGCTCTACCAAGGACTGGTTGCTCTTGAGGCTGCTGCACAGCTGTGACCTCAGACTTCCTCTCTCCAGTGCTGGGATTCCTGAGAGAGGAAAATGTTAACATTACCTTACACGGTACAAATAGATTCTATCAAAAATCTGCCTCTGTCACTGTTTATGGGTATTGGAAAGGCTCAAGACCTAGAAAATGAATATTAAAGGCATGTTTCGTCAGAGGGAGTGAGACATATATAGGGCTCATAAATTGAAACAAACAAAAATCCATGCCATGCTTTTCCATATTACTGTATCTTGCTGAACATATATATTTAGTTTTTTGTTGGATTTTTTCAACCGTATTTCTCCTTTCTTCTCCTTTGCAATTTTTCTTCTGTTTTCTCAGTGCTGTCTGCCCATCTTTCTAACCAAAAATTTTGATTTCTGTGCTCTATTTGATCTGTCTTCTAAGACCTCAAAGTTATCATGCACAGTATTGGGCCTCAGAACACAATATCCCAAAATATGCCACCTTGGTGTGCTAAGCATTTTTGAACTGAAGGAGATTGAGATGGCTGCAGAAACAAGAAGGTTTCTCTGACCTTCTCTCTGCCTCCTCTCTCCACCAAAATGGGTCATAGAAACCAGAATTATCTCCCAAAGCAAGCCATAAAACCTAGGAAATGTCACTCTCAACTTCTCCCTTCTCCCATGAAGATCCTCATGTGACAGGTGTCCTGTCTCATTCCTGGGGGGAAGAAATGTCATACAGAGACACAGAAAATAATCTGAACAAACAGCTCTTGCTGAAGTTATCCCCCCATTTTATTACCATCACATCCTACCCTTTTTGTTCAATCATGTTCCTCTACAACTATCCACTTCTTTCATCAGATGTAGCACAAAAATACACGGCTTTCCCTGGATCATGTGGTCTTAATTTCTGAGGGCTCCCATGTATTTAACCATATACAACTTTGGTTAAATAAATGTTTTATACTTTTCTCTTATTAATGTGTCTTTTGTTATAGGGGTGTCAGCCATGAACCTTGTGATAGACAAGTACAATACATTACTTCTTCTCTTTACAACAGGTTAGCCTCTTTTATACTCCCTCAAGCTTTTCAGCCTTTGATTAAATTAGTAAATCTGAAAATAGATGAAAAGATTGATTAAACAAATATTCATATATGCATACAATTAATCTAAATATTTTATACTATATTGAGTCCAAATAGAATGTGTTTAATGAAGCACACTATCAACAGTCCAATCTTAATTTTTTTAAAAATTAGAAAGATAATACATACAGTACTCAGTGCATCCTTATAAAGTTGTCACCTATTTTTTTCCTTCAACTTTTATCTTAAGTTCAGAGGTACATGTGCAGGATGTGCTGGTTTGTTACATAGGTAAACCTGTGCCATAGGGTTTTGATGCACAGATCATCCCATCACCTAGGTATTAAGCCCAGCATCCATTAACTATTGTTCTTGATGTTCTCCCTCCCTACACCCACCACGCGTTCCCAGTGTGTGTTATTCCCTGACATCTGACCAGGTGTTCTCATCATTTAGCTCCTACTTTATAAGTGAGAACCTGAAGTGTTTGGTTTTCTGTCCCTGTGTGAGTTTGCTGAGGACTATGGCTTCTAACTCCATCCTTTCACTGCAAAGGACATGATCTCATTCCTTTTTATGGCTCAATACTATACGGTGTATATTACATATTTTATTTATCCAGTCTATCATTGATGGGCATTTAGGTTGATTCCATGTCTTTGCTATTGCGAATAGTGCTGCAGTGAACATACGTGTGCATGTAGCTTTATAATAGAATGACTTATATTCCTTTGAGTATATACTCAATAATGGGTTTGCTGGGACAAATGGTATTTCTGCCTCTAGGTTTTTGAAGAATCACCACTGTGTCATCTATTAATATTGCATTAGTCTGTTTTCACACCCCTATAAATACCTGAGACTGGGTAATTTATAAAGGAAAGAGGTGTAATTGACTCTCAGTTTCACATGGCCAGGGAGGCCTCAGTAAACTTACACAATCATGGCAGAAGGTGAAGGAGAAGCAAGCAACTTCTTCACAGGTAGCAGGAGAGAAAAGGATGAAGGAGGAACTACCAAACACTTATAAAATCATCAGATCTCATGAGAACTTACTATGGTGAGAACAGCATGGGGAGAACCACCCCCATGATCAAATCACCTTTCTCCCTTGACAGGGGTGGATTACAAGTCAAGATGAGTTTTGGGTGGGGAAACAGAGTCAAATCATATTATTCTGCCCCTGGCCGCTCCCAAATATCATGTCTTTTCACATTTCAAAACCTATTATGCCCTCCCAACATTTCCCCAAAGTCTTAACTCATTTCAGTATTAACTCAAAAGTCCACAGTCCAAAGTCTCATCTGAGACAGGTTAGTCCTTTCTGCCTATGATCCTGTAAAATCAAAAGCAAGTTAGTTGCTTCCTAGATGCAATGGGGATGCAGGCATTGGGTAAATCCTTTCATTCCAAATGGGAGAAATTGGCCAAAACAAAGGGTTATGGTCTTATGCAAGTCTGAAATCCAGTGGAGCAGTCATTAAATCTTAAAGCTCCATAATTATCTCATTTGACTCCATGTTTCACATCCAGGGCATGGTGATACAAGCAGTGGGCTCCCACAGCCTTGGGAAGCTCCCTCACAAGCTGGCATTGAGTTTCTGTGGCTTTTCCAGGTACACGGTGCAAGCTTTCAGTGGATCTACCATTCTGGAGTTTGGAGGATGGTGGTCCTCTTCTCACAGCTCCACTAGGCAGTGCCCCAGTGGGGACTCTGTGTGGAGGCTCCAACCCCACATTTCCCTTTTCCAGTGCCCTAGCAGAGATTCTCCATGAGGGCTCCAGCCTTGCAGCAGACTTCTGCCTGGACATCCAGGCATTTCTGTATATCCTCTGAAATCTAGGTGGAGGTTTCCAAACCTAAATTCTTGACTTCTGTTCACCTGTAGGCCCAACACCATGTATAAGCTGCAAAGTCTTGGAGCTTGCACCCTCTGAAGCAATGGCCCAGACTGTACCTTGGCCTCTTTTTGCCATGGTTGGGACTCAAGGCACCAAGTCCCAAGGCTGCATACCGAAGCCAGGCCCTGGGCTTGGCCCACAGAACCATTTTTTCCTCCTAGGCCTCTGAGCCTGTGATGGCAGGAGCTGCTGCCAAGATCTCTGACATGCCCTGGAGACATTTTCCTCATTGTTTTGGCAATTAACATTAGGCTCCTCATTACTTATTCAAATTTCTGCAGCTTGAATTTCGCCCTAGAAAATGGTTTTCTCTTTTTTATTGCATCGTCAGTCTGCAAATTTTTCAAACTTTTATGCTCTGCTTCCTTTTTAAACATAAGTTACAATTTCAGATCATTTCTCTCAAGTTCAAAGTTCCACAGATCTCTAGGGCAGGGGCAAAATGCCACCAGTCTCTTTGCTAAAGTATAGCAAGAATGATCTTTGCTCCAGTTCCCAAGAAATTCCTTATCTCTAGCTGAGACCACCTCAGCCTTGACTTCATTGTTCACATCATTATCAGCATTTTGGTCAAAGCCATTCAACAAGTCTCTAGAAAGTTCCAAACTGGCCCGTATCTTCCTGTCTTCTTCTGAGAGCTCCAAACTGTTCCACCCTCTGCCTGTTACCCAGTTCCAAAGTTGCTTTCACATTTTCAAGTATCTTTATAGCAGTACCTCGCTCCATGGTGTAATTTCCTGTATTAGTCCATTTCACACTGTTGTAAAGAAATACCCGAGACTGGGTAATTTATAAAGGAAAGAGGTTTAATTGACTCATAGTTTTAGGTGACTGGGGAGGCCTCAGGAAACTTACAATCATGGCAGAAGGTGAAGGGGAAGCAAGCACCTTCTTCACAGGTGACAGGAGAGAGAATAACGAGGGAGGAACTTCCAAACACTTAGAAAACCATCAGATCTCATGAGAACTCACTCACTATCATGAGAATAGCATGGGGAAAACTGCTTCCATGATCCAATCACCTCCCTTCCTTGACACATGGGGATTACAATTCAAAATGAGATTTGGGTGGGGACACAGAGCCAAACCATATCAAACATCAAGATTTATTAATCAACAGATTTTATTTTCACGACATCACTGGATGCTTACCTGTCCATTGACTTGAAGTGCTCATATGAAATTCATTCCTAACCGAACCTCCATAGGTATACTTGAAGCTTACCTGAGCATATAAGTATGGAGAAAGAGATGACTTGATAGACATCTGCATTTGTGGAGCATTTACTATGTGTTAGATACTATTCTAACTGCTCTACTTACATTAACTTGTTAAATAAAATTTATGAGAGTTCAGTGATTAGGACTGAGCTCCTGCACTAGGCCCCAACAGACCAATCCAAAATGGAATCATTCATGCTAAGATTTCATGGCATCAAACTAAATCCTAAGCTGTTTACTTTTAAGGTCTTACCTTCCAAGAAATCATAAGAGAGATGATGGACAAATCCTCAAACAGACCAGTTTTCCAAAGAACAGGAGATCCACAGAAACCAGTGGCAAGTGGCCCAGTCAACCCAAGCTGTCATAATAAAAGACAGCTTTAACCCACACAAAGAAAGTAACTTTGAAATGACCAGTCCACTCTTTGTTTCTTGCTTCTGCTCTCTTCAGCCTTTTTTTTTGCCTATAAAGCTGACCCCATCTGCTCAGCTCAGCAGAGCATCCTTCTGTTTCCTAGATAGGATTTTGCCCAGTTCATAAATTGCTAATAAAAGCCAATTTGATTGTAAAAACTCGATTTATTAAAATTTTGTTCTATAACAAACTTAGTGAGTTCTCATTACAATCTCATGAGGTACAATCTCATGTTGTGACCTCCGTTTTAAAGACAGGAGAACTGAGGTTTATGTGACTTATCCAAAGCAACACAGCTAGCAAAATGGTAAAGCCAGGTTTCAAATCCCCTGATTAACAAGCCCTGACTCACATCTGGGGGCTCTCAGTATATAGCAACACAGAGCATGTGTTAGAGCATGACAGGAATCTGAAAGCTATTAAATGGGGGCATTTGTGGAGTGTTGATTTTCAAGCACCACATTATACTTGATCTTAACCAAAAGGCAAAGAAGCAATTCAAGCACCACATTATTATTAACTTATATGTGAACACTCTCTTCCGTATCTTTTGATTAACATATGCATACATTTCTGTTGGGTGTACTGACAGTTAAATTGTTAGGAATACAGTAACGAAATGTTTAACTTTGGTAAATACTGGCAAAGATTTTCCAAAAGTACCAATTTATACTTTTTCCATCAGCAGTGTTTGGAATTTCAGGTGCTCCCCATCTTTGTGAACGATTGATGTTGTTGGTCTTCCTAATTTCAGCTTTTTTTTGATAGGTGTCAGTGGTGTTCCATTAGGGTTTCAACTTGATTCCCCTAATGCATAAGGAAGTTGAGCATCTTTTAATATGTTTGCCAGTTGTTTGGATACTTTGTTTTGTGAAGTGTGTGTATATTCTAATCTTTTGTTCATTTTTCTATCTGATTTTCTTGATGGTCGTATTTAAATATGATCACTTAGATTATAATTTGAGGCCACAGTTTTAAGAGAATGGAATAATCCCACTACTGTAATGGCCAGATATTTTACCTATAGATGGTTCTTGCAACTTATTCAGTGTAACTGAATGGTTCCACAAAACTGCTTATGGAAAAAATGCTTCTCTGCCTTCCTCCAGAAATTAAAAGCGGTCGTAAGCAATATATATTTTTGGCAACTGGTATTTAACACTTGACATGTTATTGAGGCATTTTATTCTATCCCAATGGCCATATGCTCCCAGGTGACAACTCTGAGAATGCTCACTTCTTGGACAAAAGCTGACCTGTCACTGCTTGACATATGGTGAGTGGTAGGTAGACTCTTGCTTCCCTCTTAGGCATCTTCCCCCTCACCGCTTTCCTGGCAAGGTCAGCATGTTTTTGGGCATATGCCTATCTAACTCTTAGAGCAGTGACACCTCCCTTCCCAACAGAGCAAGAAGCTGAGTCTGTATCAGTGGCTGCACTAGAATTTCTTTAACGGCACAAATTAGGAAATGACTTTGTGTAAAGCAGAGGTTTGCATATTGTTTCCTCATTAAAAGGCAGTAGTAAAAACACCATGGACATTGGTCGTAAATACACATGGGTTGATCAGCTTCTATGAAGCTATTTTCCTATCTGTAAAATAGAAATAATTACACAGGATCCACTTTCCAAGGTTGTTGTGAGAGATAATGCCTGAAATGTGCCTAAAGTAGAGAAGTAGACCAGTTGTGAACCAAGGACATAAATGCCCTTGTTTGTGGTTGTGGTACATTACAAACTACCACACAATTTAGTGGCTAAAATAAGTGATCTATTTCTCAGATTTGATACTGGACTCAAAACAGTTCTTCTGATTCACATGGAGCAGACAGAGGTCACTCATGTGACTGCATTCAGCTGGAAGCTTGACTGAGACTGGAGCTCCAGGAGCACCTGTCATTCTCCAGGGCCCTGCTTCAAGTGGGGACCAAACCCCCCACATAGTAAATCAAAGCCTTTTTTTGTTTGTTTTAACAGCATGACATGAGAATTTGGTTTTAGCTTATAATTATCACAGGAGCATTTATTTCACATTCTCTGGGCCAAAGCAGCTCTATTAGTTTTCTATTACTAGGTGACACATGAGTACAAAATTAGTTGCTTAAAACAGCGCCTATTTATTATCTCAAAGTTCTGCAGGTCAGAAGTCCAGACAAGCTTTGCTGATTTTTTTTGTTTGTTTCATTTAAGGCTTCAAAAGGCTGAAGTCAAGATATGGCTTAGCCTCAGCTAGTGTTTATCTGGAGGCTTGAAGGAAGAATCCAAGTTTATTTGGGTTGTTGGCAGAATCTAGTTCCCTCTTTTCTTGTTGGCTGCCAGCTAGGGGCCACTCATTGTTTCTATTGGTCACCCATACATATTCTGTCTCATTTTATTCCTTCCATTTTCAAACCAGAAATAGCATATAAAGTCCTTGTGCTTCAAGTCTTTCTGCATTCTTTGGCTGCAAACCAAAGAAAACTGCAGTTAAAAACCCTTGTGAGTAGATGAGGCCCACCCAGATAATTTCTACTGTTATTGTTACTTCTAAATAATTTAAAAATAAATTTCAGACCGGGCACAGTGGCTCATGCCTGTAATGAAAGGCTGAGGTGGGTGGATCACTTGAGGGCAGGAGTGTGAAACCAGCCTGGCCAACTTGGTGAAAACCATTCTCTACTAAAAATACAAAAATTAGTGGGCATGGTGGCACACACCTGTAGTCCCAGCTACTTGGGAGGCTAAGGCAGGAGAATCACATGAACCTAGGATGCAGAAGGTGGAGTGAGCCGAGATTGCATCACTGCAATCCAGCCTGGGTGACAGAGCGAGACTCTGTCTCAAAAAAAAAAAAAAAAAAAAAAAAGTAACTGACAAATAAAAATAGCATATATTAAGGGGGTATAATGTGATGTTTATATATATATATATAGAGAGACAGAGAGAGAGGAATGATTAAACCAATCTAATTACTATATCAATCACTTCACATACTTATCATTTTTTGTAGTGGGAACGTTTAAAATTTACCCTCTTAGAAAATAATAAAAAGTACTCAAATTGGAAAAAAAGAAGTCAAATTATCCCTGTGTGCTGATGATATGATGTTATATCTAAAAAAACCTTAAAAACTCCACCAAAATTATCTTGGATTTTATAAATTAATTCAGTAAAGTTTCAGGATACAAAATTAATGTACAAAAATTAGTGGAATTTCTAAAACCAATAATGATCTAGGCAAGGACCAAATTAAGAAGGCAATCCCATTTGTAATAGCTACCAATAAAAACCTAGTAATACATTTAACCAAGTAGGTGAAAGACCTCAATAACAACTACAAAACAATGATAAAATAAGTTGTAGATGAAACAAACAAATGAAAAAACATCATATGCTCATGGATTAGAGGAAACAATACCATTAAAATGACTGTAACACCCAAAGCAATCTATGGATTCAATGCTATCCCTATCAAATTAGCAACATCGTTTTTTTACAGAATTAGGAAAAATAATTCTAAAATTTGTGTGGAACCAAAAAAGAGCCCAAATAGCAAGAGCAACTAAGCTAAAACAACAAAGCTGGAGACATCACATTATCTGACTTCTAATACAAGCCTCTAGTAACCAAAACAGTATGGACCTGGTATAAAAATAGACATATAAATCAGTGGAACAATACAGACAATTCAGGAATAAAGCCACATACGTACAACAAACTGATCTTCCACAAAGTCAATGAAAATATGCACTGGGGAAAGGACACCCTATTTACTAAATGGTGCAAGAAAAAATTGGATTGTTATATGCAGAACAATGAAACTGGACCCATTCCTCTCACCGTGTACATAAATTAACTCAAAATAGATTAAAGACCTAAATGTAAGACCTGAAACTGTAAAATTGTAGAGGAAAACCTAGTAAAAACTCTTCTGAACATTGGCCTGTGCAAAGAGTTTATGACCAACTCCTCAAAAGCAAACACAACAAAACCAAAGTAGACAAATGGGACTTGATTAAATTAAAAAGCTGTAAAGCAAGAGAAGCAATCAACAGAATAAACAGACAACCTTCAGAATAGGAGAAAATATTTGCAAACTATGCATCCAACAAAGGGCTAACACCCAGAATCTATAAGGAACTCAAACAGCTCAACAAGAAAAAAACAAGTTACCTCATTAAAAAGTGGGCAAAGGACATGAACAGATATTTTTCCAAAGAAGACATACAAGTGGTCAACAAACATGAAAAAATGCTCAACATGACTAATCATCAGAGAAATGCAAACTAAAACCTCAATGAGAAATCATCCTACACCAGTCAGAATGACTATTATTGAAAAGTAAAAAATCTCTGTAATCCCAGCACTTTGGGAGGCTGAGGTGGGTGGATTATGAGGTCAGGAGATCAAGACCAACCTGGCGAACATTGTGAAACCCCATCTCTACTAAAAATACAGAAAAATTAGCTGGGTGTGGTGGCGGGCGCCTGTAGTCCCAGCTACTTGGGAGGCTGAGGCAGGAGAATGGCATGAACCCAGGGGGAGGAGCTTGCAGTGAGCGGAGATCATGCCACTGCACTCCAGCCTGGGCAACAGAGTAAGACTGCATCTCAAAAAAATAAAAAAGTCAAAAATCAATAGAGGTTGTCAAGGATGCAGAGAAAAGGGAACACATACACTGTTCGTGGAAATGTAAATTAGTACAGTCTCAACGGAAAATAGTATGAAGGTTTCTCAAAGAACTAAATATAGAACTACTGTTCAATCCAGTAATCTCACTACTGGGTGTATACCCAAAGGGAAAGAAATCATTATATCAAAAAGATACCTGCACTCATATGTTTATCACAGCACTATTCATAATAGCAAAGATATGGAACCAACATAAGTGTCCATCAGTAGAGAACTGGATAAAAAAAAATGTGGTGCATATATACCATGGAATACTACTTTGCCATAGAAAGAATGAAATCATGTGTTTTGCAGCAACAAGAACGGAACTGAAGGCCATTGTTTTAATTGAAATAACTCAGAAACAAAGTCAAATACCACACATTCTCACTTATGAGTGGGAGCCAAACAACGGATACATATGAACATACAGAGTGGAATAACAGATATAGGAGATTACAATAGGTGGGAGGGTGGCAGGCAGATGAGGATTGAAAAATAATCTGTTGGGTACAATGTTCACTATTTGGGTGATGGGTACACCAAAAGCCCAGACTTGACCACGATGCAATAAATGCATGTAAAAAATCTGCACTTATAACCCTGAGTATATTTTTAAAAAGCATTAAAATGGCTGGGCACGGTGGCTCACGCCTGTAATCCCAGCACTTTGGGAGGCTGAGGCGGGCGGATCATGAGGTCAGAAGATCGAGACCATCCTGGCTAACAAGTGAAACCCTGTCTCTACTAAAAATACAAAAAAAATTAGCCGGGTGTGGTGGCGGGTGCCTGTAGTCCCAGTACTCGGGAGGCTGAGGCAGGAGAATGGCATGAACCCGGGAGGCGGAGCTTGCAGTGAGCCGAGATCGTGACAGTGCACTCCAGCCTGGGTGACAGAACAAGACTGTGTCTCAAAAAAAAAAAAAAAAAAGCATTAAAATATAAAATATACCCTCAGCAATTTAAATATGTACATTATGTTATTATTAATTATAGTCATATTGTGTGATAGTTCTCAAAAATTTATTCCTCCTAACTGAAACTTGGTAATTTTTGACCAAAACCTCCCCAATCCCCCTCTTTCCCTGCCCTGAGTTCTTGGTAATCATCGTTCTACTCTCTCCTTTCACAAGTTTGACGTTTTTAGATTCCATATATAAGTGAGATTATGCAGTATTAGTCTTCCTGCATCTGGCTTATTTTACTTAGCATAATGTCCTTGAGATTCATCTATATTGCTGCAAATTACAGGATTTCTTTCTTTTTAAGGCTGAATAGTATTCTGTTGTATACATATACCACATTTTTGTTATCCATTCATCTGTTGATGGACACTTATGTTGATTTCATATCTTGACTATTGTGAATACTGCTGCAATAAACATGGGAGTTCAGATATCTCTTTGGCACGTGAAAGGCACATCTCACATGGCAGCAAAGAGAAAAGGGCTTGTGCTGGGAAACCCCCCCTTATTTAATCATCAGATCTCATGAGACTTACTCACTATCATGAGAACAGCACAAGAAAGACCTGCCCCCAATATTCAGTTACCTCCCACCAGGTCCCTCCCACATCACGTGAGAAATCAAGATGAGATTTGGGTGGGGACAGAGCCAAACCACATCATTCTGCCTCCAGCCCCTCCCAAACCTCATGTCCTCACATTTCAAAACCAATCATGCCCTCCCAACTGTCCTCCAGAGTCTTAACTCATTTCAGCAGCATTAACTCAAAAGTCCATAGTCCAAAGTCTCATCTGAGACAAGGCAAGTCCCTTCCACCTATGAGCCTGTAAAATCAAAAGCAAGTTAGTTACTTCCTAGATACAATGGGGGTACAGGCATTGGTTAAATACAGCCATTCCAAATGGGAGACACTGGCCAAAACAAAGAGGCTACAGGTCCCATGCAAGTCCAAAATTCAATGGGGCAGTAAGATCTTAAAGCTCCAAAATGTTCTCATTTGACTCCATGTCTCACACCCAGGTCACGCTGATGCAAGAGGTGGGTTCCCATGGTCTTGAGCAGCTCTGTCTCTGTGGATTTGCAGGGTATAGCTCCCCTCCTGGCTGCTTTCGTGGGCTGGCATTGAGTGTCTGTGGCTTTTCCAGGTACATGGTTAAAGTTGTCAGTGGATCTACCATTCTGGAGTCTGGAAGACGGTGGCCCTCTCCTCACAGCTACACTAGCTGGTGCCCCAATAGGGACTCTGTGTGGGGGCTTTGACTCCACATTTCCCTTCTGCACTGCCCTAGCAGAGGTTCTCCATGAGAGACCCACCCCTGCAGCAAACTTTTGCTTGGGCAAAAGGTGTTTCCATACTTCTTCTGAAATCTAGGCAGAGGTTCTCAAATCTCACTTCTTGACTTCTGTGCACCTACAGGCTCAACACCACATGGAAGTTGCCAAGGCTTGGAGCTTCCAACTTCTGAAGCAACAGCTCAAGCTGTACCTTGGCCCCTTTTAGTCATGGCTGGAGTGGCTGGCCACAGGTCACCAAGTCCCTGGACTGCACACAGCACGGGGACCCTGGGCCTGGCCTGGCCCACAAAACCGTTTTCTCCTGGGCCTCCAGGCCTGTGATGGGAGGGACTGCCATTAAGATCTTTGACATGTCCTGGAGACATTTTCCCCATTGTCTTGGGGATTAACATTCAGCTCCTCATTACTCATGCAAATTTCTGCAGCCAGTTTCAATTTCTCATCAGAAAATGGGATTTTCTTTTCTATCACATTGTCAGGCTGCAATTTTTCTGAACTTTATGTTCTGCTTCCCTGATAAAACTGAGTGCCTTTAACACACCCAAGTCAGATCTTGAATGTTTCGTTGCTTAGAAATTTCTTCCACCAGATACCCTAAATCATCTCTCTAAGGTTCAAAGTTCCACAGATCTCTAGGGCAGGGGCAAAATGGCACCAGCCTCTTTGCTAAAACATAACAAGAGTCACCTTTGCTCCAGTTCCCAACAAGTTCCTTATCTCCATCTGAGACCACCTCAGCCTGGACTTTATTGTCAATATCGCTATCAGACTTTTAGTCAAAGCCATTCAGTAAGTCTCTGGGAAGTTCCAAAGTTTACCACATTTTCCTATCTTCTTCTGAGCCTTCCAAACTATTCCAACCTCTGCCTGTTACCCAGTTCCAAAGTTGCTACCACATTTTTGGGTATCTTTTCAGCAATACCCCACTCCTGGTACCAAGTTACTGTATTAGTCCGTTTTCATGCTGCTGATAAAGACATACCTGAGACTGGGAAGAAAAAAAGGTTTAATGAACATACAGTTCCATGTGACTGGGGACACCTCACAATCATGGTGGAAGGTGAAAGGCACGTCTTACATGTTGGCCGACAAGAGAAGAGAGCTTGTTCAAGGAAACTCCCCCTTATATAAACATCAGATCTCATGAGACATATTTACTATCATGAGAGCAGCACAGGAAAGACCTGCCCCCATGATTCAATTACCTCCCACTGGGTCCCTCCCACAACAAGTGGGAATTCAATATGAGATTTGGGTGGGGACACAACCAAACCATATTAAAGCCCATTTTTGTTCTCAGGACTAGCTTATGATCTAGTTGGGAAGAAAAAAAGTACACATAATATGGTCCATAAGCAATGCCAGTTGGTAGTATTATTTAGTGAGAGAAACAGTAGAGAAAATATTTAAATGTTCAGAAGTGGAAATGAGTGTAGTATTTTAAATCTTTAGTGGAGGAAGTGCAATTGATTTGGGTCTCAAAGGGTGAATAGAATTTGGATACATGCAATGGAGAGTGAAGGTAACCTTAGAAGAGAAATAAGAACTGCACCAAAGCAACAAGAAATAAATCAATAAATGTTTAGGAAATGAAAAGAAAAAAGTTCACTTGAGTAGAGGGATGCCTGAATATAGTTGGAAATGTAGGTGGGCGTCAAATTGTGGAGGATCTAGAATTCTAGCCTTAAAAATTAAATTTTTGTCTTACAGCTAATAGGAAAGTAACAGATGGTTACCCATATCCCTTAGACCATTTTAGTATGCTCAGTCAACTTCCAACTGCCAGTATGTGTACTCTATGCCTTAGGACTTTTATGGAACCTTGAAAATCTGCTCTGCCTACGCATGACAGTCAAAAGGCACTGTGGACTTAACTCTATTCTCCAGGAAGAAGTTCTCAAGCAATGACTGATGGAAAAGTAGTGTATCAGTAACTTCACTCAGTGTATTAGTTTCCTCGGACTTTCTTAACAACGTTTGACAAATTTGGGGCCCTAAAACAACAGAAATGTATTGTTTCATTTCTGGAGGATAAAAGTCTAAAATCAAAGTGTCAGCAGGGCCATGCAGGGCTCTGAGACTCTGGGTGGAATTCTTCCTTGCCTCTTTCTGGCTCTTGGTCGTAGTTGCCAATCCTTGTTGTTCCTTGGCTTGTAGTTGCATAATGCCAATTTCTGCCTCCGTCTTCATATGGCGTTCTTCCTTTGTGTCTTCACATTGTCTTCTTGTAATGACACCACTCATACTAGATTAAAGGTGTATCCTGCTCCAGTATGACCACATCTTATCTAAT
The DNA here is from genome assembly GCF_000001405.40 of Homo sapiens. NCBI lineage: Eukaryota > Metazoa > Chordata > Mammalia > Primates > Hominidae > Homo > Homo sapiens. The sequence continues at coordinate 26,098,654 of NC_000003.12, forward strand.
TATGCCTTCGATGATCCTATTTCCAAATCAGGCCACATGCTGAGGTACTGGGGTTAGGACTCATATTTTTTGGGGAGACACAATTCAACCCATAACATTTAGGGTAATAAAGTTCTGCAGTATGAGTTTGGCACCATTTCCCAGAGTTTCTGCATAGGGTCAAGCTCCAGTTGCCCACTGTGGTAGGTGAATCTATAACATACTCCTGTGGCTGCCTTTTCTTCACCATATCACTTTCCTGCTCCCCACCTGGGGTTCCCTCCATCTCTTGGTCCTTATCTCAGGTCCGTTTCTGGGAGAAACCAAACAAAAATAATGAGTCACTAAAAATATTCGATGATGGGCTGACACATTCAAAACTTTTCTTTTCGACTTTAGTTGGCGCTAAATCAATGTTTGGGGTTGGTGAGTGGCACATAGAGTGTACTGGAGTTGAATAGAGGCAAAGCGATGTGACTTTTTTTTTTTTTTCAATTCTACACTGGCTATAAAAAAGACTGGAGGTTGGAACACAGGAGGATGTCTTGCTTTCTATAAATCCTGCTTGTACCTGCTTCTCAAGTTCTGATTATAACCAGAAAGTTGCACACCCCCATCAAACACTCTTAACAAATAGTTTTAAGCCCTTAATTAATTGTATTACCTGAGATTTATACTGTTTATAAAAAAGGTCTTGGTAGAGGTGAGGTTCAGCTTTGTAAATTTACAGATTATGCCTTTATGTGAATTAACTTCAGGGTTTCTTATACTCCTGGTTCACCTGAGGATTTCTAAACATGCAATTTCTGAAAAATTCTCCCTATTTCAATTTCTCCACCAATTTAGTTTAGCTCTTATTTAATATACTGCAAGAAGTTGTTATTTCAAAGCAAGAAAGCAGAAAACAAATGTTTATACCCTAAAAAACCAACAATAACAACAATAACCTTTATAATATCAAAGATGGTTGTGGTGTGTAAGTCAAAGTGTGGGAAGGGTATGATTGCTAAGGGGGCAAAGTGAGATTATTTTCAAAACTCAGTTTCCGTCTCCTATACCTTCCAGAGACTTCTCCAGTAGTAACCCTGAAAGCAATAATCATAAATCCCTTTTACATATGAACAATCATTTGTGACAAACTTGAAACTAAAATCTAGATGAGTGAAGTAATGTGTAATCAACCCTTTGATCTCAGTGCAATGGTCCTTTCTGATTCATTTAGCAGCTGAATCACTGGGAACATGCTTACCCTGTTTTCTTAGCCAGCTCTCTGGCCAGGAATAGAATCCTTTGCCTGGAATGTCATGTCTATTTGGAGCACCATATCTGAGATCATGCCCCCCACATTTATCCTGCTGTGGCAGCATTAGCATTAGAGCTAAGATGAAGGGGCCCACAAGGTTCAGTTTCTGATTAGATGTGCTGTTTTTCTGCTTGACTTATAGCACATGTGTTTATTATTTCATGATTGTATTCTGTGTTGTGTTCTAGCCGTGGTTCATTTATGTGTGTGTCCTTAACTCTTAGCATAGAAACTTACCCATAGGAAATGCTTAATAATGCTTGTTAAACAAACAGATTGCTTAGAAATCTTCTAAGATGAGGTATATGATAGAAGATAAAACCTTGAGCTTAGAGTTGAATATACACATGGAAGGTGAGATTGGCCACCCATGAAAGCAAGCCACATAATCAGATGCTAAGAATTCTAAGTATGCATTAAGGAACTAGGAAAATACCCTCTAAAGATTTGTAGCTTTGTCTAGGTCCCTTTTACTGGTGATGTGTTTTTTAGCTAACTCTATTTACTCTGCACGGGCAAATGGTATTTTCTTAACAAGTGAGCTGGGGAGTAACAAAGTAAGAAAAAGGAAATGGGGTGAAGAGGTCTTGGTAAGTATATTTTGTCCTGTAGTGAGTGATGCTCTGCTTCAAATAGAACTCAATTACTCAATTCCCAGAGGAGATTGTCCTTACTTAGAAAAGCATCTGTTTTGCCCCGATATATGTAGTATAGCACTATAGTATGTATTACAGCATAGTTTTATGCTACGTATATGTGCAAATACACGCATGCATTTACTCGCTATTAATATTGCATTACGCAGTTACACAGCTAACACCATATTGGGCATGTAATGGTTAATTCATCATGTCCCTGGCATGTTTTACTTAAGGATGCTTTGTGGTGTTACTCAGGGAGGAACACTATGTTGCCCAAAGTAAGGATCCAATATGGGCATCAGAGAGCGTTCTGTTGGAAGAGGCTATAGGATTAGAGAGACACCAGTCATCCCTGAGCTAACAAATAAAGCAGGCAACCAGCATTTTGTTGTGGGTGTTGGAGAGGCAAAGCATCTGTAAAGATTACTTTGAAAGAGAGTGTTATGTAGTGGCAGATGCATAAACTAAGGACTATTTCAAATAGTAAGCAAAGACCTTGAAACAATACAATAGCCACCATTGGTAAAGTGTCAACTCTGTGCCAAATATTTCATGTTACCTTATCAGTAAACTTCAACACAATGCTATCTGATAGGTGTGCCCATATTTTAGAGATGAGAAAATAGATGTGAAATGGACTACAGGTCACAACTTTTAAGAGGCATAACAAAGATTCAAAACTAGGTTTGTGTGATTTCACAAATCTGAAATCTTTGCAGTACACTGCCATGCAATGCTTTAGCTCAGAATAGAATGAGACAATAGGATATGTTGATAAGTATCAATATGATATGTTGAAGACAGTCAGCAAGCTTGTAAAATGGAAGAGGAACCTGTTAGCAGTGGTGAATCCCTGTGGGCCTGCAGCAACCTCACTTCTTGTCTCCTCGGAAGAAAGAATTCGAACAGGGGCATAAGGCAGAGTGAGAGAGCAAGGCAAGTTGTAGAGCAGGAGTGAAAGTTTATTAAAATGTTTTAGAGCAGAAATGAAAGGAAGTAAAGTACACTTGGAAGAGGGCCAAGTGGGCAACTTGGAGATTCAAGTTCATGGTTCGATCTTTGACTTGGGTTTGTTTTACATTGGCATGCTTCCTGGGGGTGGCATCCCTTCTCCCCTGATTCTTCCCTTGGGATGGGCTGTCATATACTTGGTAGCCTGCCAGCACTTGGGATGCTGTGTGCACAGTGTGTTTACTGAGTTGTACACATGCTCACTTGAGGCATTTTCCCCTTACGAGTTGAGTGTTCATATACCAGTTAAACTTCACCATTTTGCCCGTTAGTGCACATGCTTGAGCCCACTTGCCCAGCTCCTGAGGTCTTATTGGGAAGCTGCTGATCGCCAGTTTCATGTATTTCTTTTTATTGGGAAACTGTCTTTCCCTGGCTCTGGCTGTGTCCAATTATTATTTTAGAGAGACAACTGAACAACTGCCAGACCATCACCTGATAGTTGTCTGACATTCCTGGTGGAGGGAAGGAGAACCCTCTCCTGCCCTCCTCCTGTCTGATTAACTGCCTACTGTGAAAAACCCAGACCAGGAAATTATCACAATAGAAGTTCCCAGTTGCTGTCAGGTCTCCAGTAAGGAGCAACCTGAATTGGTATTAGAATCCATTGAATATCCTTATATTATACTTGTGAATGAATAACTCTATTTTTGTCATTTAGGAATGCATGCATTTGAAGAATCTCTTTCCCATCTTATTACAGATACTGCTTTACACAGAGAATCTAAGATTTGGCTCTCCAGAGCAGTCAAAACCCTTTGATGAGTGATCCCTAATTTAGACTGCTTTCATTATAAGGCTTGGTGGCTCTGTAGACTGCAGTTGCCTCAAACAAAGTTGTTATTCTCAAGAAACTTCCCCTCTATGAAAAATAGCCTTAATCTTATAAGAATTGAGCAGACTCATCTTGTTTCTAGAAGAATGCCTGCATTTTGTCATGCCATGAGATTAAAAGGCTGCAAGTTTATAATAGACATGTGGCTGGTCCTCTTATAGCTCCTATAATGATGTGTCATTTGAGACTGATGTGACAAGATAGTCTGTAGAGAAACACTCAGTAAGATTTTAAAAGGGATTAGCACTTAACCAAATGAAAATAATACCTATGGTCCCATCGGGGAGACTATAATTTATAAATGTTGTTAGGGGTGGTCACACTGTTTCTGAATATAAACTGCTTACTAGCTAAATCAAGAAGAAATCTCTTACTCTTACTACCAGAGGAAGATACTACAAGTCTCCCTTCCCTGTCCTCAACCTGGCCTTGGCAGTTAGCAGATCCTATGCTGTGACCCATAGATCAGTGTCTGTGAGCAGCAGGAAATATAAAGTGTCAGTAATCAAGCTGGGGGGAGCTGTTCAAAGCTTGAATTTACCCCAGAGGATCTTCAGAAAGGGCAGAATGAAAGCCAAGGTATGCAAATGGAGCCAGGCAGGGGGAAAGATTAAATGTTGCTATTTGAATGCATAAACCTCTTCATGTTTAATAAGTACTCAGATGTGGGAAAGAAAGTTTCAGAGAAAATAGTTATAAATGGTAGTCCATCGGAGCAGCTTGTACCCTGAGACCAGAACTGGGCTTATGTATTTATACTAGCACAGGAGCCCATGCTTTGGTTTCCAGTTCAGTATCCCAGAATTTTCAGGCATGGGTTGGTAACTTACACTGTTTTGTCTGCTGAGTGTCTGCCACCCCAATCAATATTATCATCTTGAATTATTTCTGAAAACCATTCTTCCCCCAATATTAATCCAGGTACTTTGGGTGGAATTGCCCCATTTCTTGGTCCTTGTTCTAGGTGTGAACACACGACTCAGACCTGATCACTCAGTTGGCTCTGCAACTGATCGATTCCCTAACTGATGAATCAGAGATGGACATATGAACAAAATTAGTCCAAAAAGACTCAGCTGTGAGAATTTTTTTTCCAGGAGCTATTGAGAAAGGGAAGCTCTCTTCCTATAAGGGCTGGTTTTTGAGCTGGCAGCAGGTAGACATAGAGTGTGGTGAGCACTTTGCTATCATAAGGAAGGAGCTATCATTCAGGAAAGCAAAGTCCAGCAATGAAGAGAAGGTGAGTCCTGCTGACATTGTTTGAGTTCCTAGGTTGGGCCATACCCGAAGATCACATATCTCTGGAATTTTTAGGTACAAGTCTAATGGATTATCTTTTGTTGCTTACTCAAGGCCACTTTGAGTTAGGGCTCTTTCTACTAGAAGAATACTGATTTGTATATTTCTCAAGTCTTTTCTAGAGTTTGTCCCTAAACCTCAGCCATCCTGTCTGGGATTCTGCTATCAGACCTCTTTGATTCTGAGAATTGCCTTAAACATTCTACTCTGTACCTTTAGACCAGTGTTTCTCAACAGAGGGTAATTTTGCCTCCTGAGGGACATGTGGAAATACCTGGAGACATTCTTGGTTATCATTAATGGGAGTAGGTAGATACAGGCCAGTGATGCTGCTAAATATTCTATGATGCATAAGACAGTCACCTACAACAAATAATTATCCAGCCAAAATGTCAGTGGTGCTGCTGCTGAGAAACTGTGCTTTAGATTTTCTAATCGGCCCACTTCCCAGGCCTAATACTGTCTACCATTCATTAATTCTTCATTCATTCAAAATCATACATTAGGATCATCTGGTCTAAGCATTGTACTAATGTCTGATGATGCAGCAATGGTCAAGGCACAGTCCTTGCTATCAGGAACTTGGAGATGTATTTGACTCAACTAGTCTTATCCTCTTATTGCTTGCCTCAATTAGCCTCTCTGAACCTCACATCCACCCTGGGGTTCTGTGTTGTCTCAGGATGTTGGACATCCTGATCGTGAACATGGTCCATTCTGTACCTCAAATTGGGTCATGACAAGTTACATTCATCATGCTAAGTAGCTACTTTTAGCACAGCAATGTGTCGTCATTTGTAATGGCAGTGGAGAATTTTGCATGGGTTAAAGGAACTTAAACTTTTTCAGCCTTTCTTTTTTTTTTTTTTTTTTTCCTCCTGGTGGGTGGGTGGGGGGCTTCATGGAAATCTTTCTCTGGAGAAACAGCAGACAATAATTACATCTTTTTGGCTCCATGATGTGGTGAATAACAGATGTTGGTTGAAAGGAGAACATTTATAAGAGTAGAGGAAGTGAATGCATATTTGGTGTTCTGTCTAGAGTATTTGTAGTACATAATTTTGAAAAACTGTTTGCTAATGTCTGGTGAGTAACCTTTGAAAGTGTCCCTTCAGCATTATTATGCTAGTACTGTATTTCAGATCTCAGGAATTTGATCTAAAGAATGGCATTTGTGTGTGAATAAGCAGCAGGGGAAGAATTACAGGAATACATACGTTTTCTTCTTTTTTCTTCTCAGTGAATTAAATGGACAAAACAGATTGCTGTGGAACGGTTTGTGATTGCTATTTTGAAAACCTGGTCATATATTTTTAGCCTGCAAAACCTCTGCTTTGACACATTTCCTCATGGGGACACACTGCAGCTGCTGAAAGAAGGGAAGTCCCAGCACTGCTTTCTCACCATGGAACAGCAGGAGAGGAAAGCCTTTTGAATTCTAGCCATGATAACCCTAAAGTTTACATGGCCACAGACTCCAGCTTTGCCAGGTGATTTTTTTTTTTTAACATAAAACAAAGGGGACCCAAGGGTCAGGCTGGCTGCTAAAATGATACAGGCAGGGGAGGTTAAGATGATGAAGGAGTGAAGGCTGCAATTTAATAAATGTAAGTCAGAGCATCGCTCTTTCAGAGCAATGTGTTTATAATTTGTAACTGGAGGTGGCCAAAGGCATAACCTCACTGGATTTCTCAATCTATCGTCGTTAAATAGCTGTACATTCAGTGAAACTAGAGACATTGTTCAGTCTTCCATGATTTCTGCAGAGTCGGAGGATGGTAGGGAAAGGGGTCTTCACATGCCTTTTAGCCAGATCATCTGTCAGGCATAGAATTGAGATGTGCATTATTTTTTTGATCATGTGTGAATTCCAAGTGCTCTCAGATTAAAAATATGTTTCTCTTTATTTTGTGCTAGTGTACAAAGACTATTAACATGGAGTTTGATTTTTTTCTTTTTGAACTAGGAACACTAATGAAGATGTCTGAATTATGGAGGGCACAAATAATGACTAAAATATATTTCATACTTACTATGTACCAAACACTTTGTTGTGCATACTACATCCATTATCTAATTTAATCTTTATGAAAGAGATGCAATTATTTTTATTTTAATTTGGAAAGGAGAACTTTATTTCTGACACGGATTGTAACCTGCAGACTGGGAAACAGAGAGCCTCTGGCTGAGACCAAAAGCAAGCACTTCAAAGGAGGAAGAGTGGAACAGGAGTTTTATGCTAAATGGACTGGCTAAATGTTTATATTTAACAGGTTACAGGAAGATGCATATTTAACAGATTACAGGAAGATCTATGACTGTTCATGAAATGGGGCCTCACGCAGGCATAAGCAAACATGCATGTTACATATGTCCCATATCCACTTTGGGGTGGAAACTTAACATTAAAATGTAGTAAAATTAGGTTTTGTATCTCAAAAGGTGAAACTTAGGACACAAAGTGTTTAGTGTGCAGCTTCCATAAACTGAGCAGAACTAATCTGTAGTTGGTGGTCATTTATCAGGAAGGGATGCTTTGTGAAACCTGTCAGCTGCTATATAAAGACTGCAAAAATGAAGGGGAGGCTGGCTCTGGCCTCAGGTGGTTTGTTGAAGTCAGCTGAGGACTGAGTTCCATTCTTTGTTTTCCAGGGCTGGTTTCTGTTTAACTCTCAGGAAAAAAAAAAAAAAAAAAAAAAAAAAAAAAACATTCTGGCAATGGTTAGTGAGGAAGGGAATTACTGAGGTGTGACCAACTCCCATCCTGTTATCGCCTAGACATGTACTTTTTAAACGTTTTCTGAAGTCTCCTTGGCCAAGAGGAGTTCATTCAGCCAGTGGGGGTGGGAGCAGTTAGGATTTTGTTTTTATTTCACATGCCTATGCTGAGGAACCCTGCCTCAGGCAATGGAGAGTCATTGGAGGATTTTAAATAGTGAAATGGTATTCACTCTCTTAAATAGCTATCTAGTGTTTTCTTTAAAATTTTTTTATTTTTCTAGATTTAGATTTTCAAGTGCAGATTTCTTACATGCATGTATTGCATTCCTGTGAAGTCCGGGCTTTTAGAGAACCCATCACCCAAATAGAGAACATTGTACCCAATAGGTGATTTTTTCATCCCAAACCCTCCTCCAGCCCTCCTACTTTGTACAATCTCCAATGTCTATTATTCCACTTTGTGTGTTGATGTATACTCATGGTTTAGCTTCCACTTATAAGTGAGAACATGTGGTATAGAACATTTTGTTTCTGAGTTATTTCAGTTAGGATAATGGCCTCTAGTTTTGCATCCATATTCCTGCAAAAGACATGATTTTATTCTTTTTTATGGCCAAGTATTATTCCATGGTATATATACACCATATTTTCTTTATCCAGTCATCTATTAATGGATACTTAGGTTAATTCTCTATCTCTGCTATTGTGAATAATTCTGTAATAAATATGTGAGTGTAGGTATCTTTTTGGTATAATGATTTCTTTCCCTTTGGGTATATACCCAGTATTGAGATTGCTGGATTGAATGGTAGTTCTGTATTTTGTTCTTTGAGAAATCTTCATACTATTTTCCACTAAGGTTGTACTACTTGACCTTCCCACCAACAGTGTATAAGTGTTCCTTTTTCTCTGCATCCTCTCCAACATCTGTTGATTGTTGACTTTTTAATAGTTGCCATTCTGACTGGTGTAAAATGGTATCTCACTGAGGGTTGATGTGCATTTCTCCGATGATTAGTACTGCTGAGCTTTTTAAAATTGTTGGTTGACTCCTTGTATGTCTTCTTTTGAGAAACTTTTGTTTATTTGCCCACTTTTTAATGTGGTTATTGGTTTTTTCTTGTTGAGATGTTTGAGTTCTTTTTAGACTCTAGGTATTAGCTCTTCATTGGAGGCATAGTTTACACATATGTTTTTCCTCATTGTATAGGTTGTTTCCTCTGTTGTTGTTCCTCTGCAGTGCAGAAGCTTTTTAGTTTAATTAAGTCCTATTTGTCTATTTTTGGTTTTGTTTTGTTTGCTTTTGAGGACTTGGTTATAAATTCATTGCCTAGGCGTCCAGAAGAGATTTTACTAGGTTTTCTTCTAGGATTTTTATAATTTCAGGTCTTACATTTAGGTCTTTAATCCACCTTGAGCTAATTATTGTACATGGTGAGAGGTATGGGTTCTGTTTCATTCTTCTGCATATAATGATCCAATTTTCCTAGCACCCTTAATTGAATAGGATGTCCTTTCACCAGTGTATATTTTTGTCAGCTTTGGGGAAGATCGGTTTGTTGTAGTTATGTGGCTTTGTTTCTGGATTCTATATTCTGTTCCATTGATTTCTGTGTCTATTTTTATACCAGTGTCATGCTGTTTTGGTTACTATAGGCTTATAATAGAATTTGAAGTCAGGTAGTGTGATGCCTCCAGCTTTGTTGTTTTTGCTTAAAATTGCTTTTGCTATTTGGGCTCTTTTTTGGTTTCATATGAATTTAGGATTGCTTTTTCTAAATCTCTTAAAAATGACATTGGTAATTTGGTAGGTATTGCATTGAATCCATAGATCATTTTAGGCAGTATGGTTATTTTAATGATATAGATTCCTCCAATTCATGAGCATTGGATATTTTTCCATTTGTTTATCTCAAGAGATGCCATTATTATTTTCGCCTTATTAGTACAAATGCAGTGTCTTTTGTCGAATTCACCAATGCCCCTCTCCTGCTCCTGGAATAGTGCCTATAACATAGGGGTGTTACCTGACCAATCAGATAGTAAAAAGAGCTCACTAAAATGCTAATTAGGCAAAAACAGGAGGTAAAGAAATAGCCAATCATCTGTTGCCTGAGAGCACAGCGGAAGGGACAATGATCGGGATATAAACCCAGGCATTCACGCCAGCAATGGCTACCCTCTTTGGGTCCCCTCTCTTTGTATGGGAGCTCCGTTTTCACTCTATTTCACTGTATTAAATCTTGCAACTGCAAAAAAAACCACAAAAATATAGGGTGTTAAATAAATATTTGTTGAATAATTTGTAAAACCAATAATGATGTAGGAAAAGTTGAACTAAGTTTTCTCCCCACTTCTTGTGATGATAAAATACCTTGTTGTAGACATGTTTTAACTGAGAACAACTAATTGGATGAAATATTGAAAAAATAATCGTTGGAAGTTAAAAAAAAACAGATAAAGACCAAGTCAGTTCTCTCTAAGTGAAGTCATAAAGAGAGAAAATTCTGAATTAAAGAGAAGGATGGGGACAGGAGCTCAAGATAGATGTCTTCTTTCCCCCTTAACACAGACACCTTTCAAAGCAGTAGCAGAGAGCCTGGGAAGCTAGGAACAGCTTTCAGAGATTGTATAGGGCTGAAGCACAAATATGGGAGCTCACTGCTCACCAAGATGAAGAGGTCCTGCAAACATGTTGCGGATATTGAGGTTCTGCAGACCAAAGTCAAATTCCCATTCCACTACTTTCTAGCTGGGCATGTTAGTCCATATTCATTTTGGTTGCTAACAAACATTAATATGAATATAATATTGTTATTTTATTATATTATTGCTAATAATGTTAATAAAATAATAATGTTAATGAAATGTTATATTGTATTATATATTGAAATAAATATTTGTTATTAATATTTATAATTATGTGTATTTGTTAACATTAACAATTAATATATAATTAATGCTACCATTAATATTAATTGTATAATAACTAATATTAATTAATATTAATAATATAATAACTAATATTAATTAATTTTAATATAATAACTAATATTAATTAATATTAATATTTGTTAACCAAAATAACACAATATTAGTATTAAGAAATATTATTTGGTTATTAACAATAAACTTACATTGAAGCATCATCAGCATACATTTTGAATTAACACAAAGTGATTACACATATGTATCCACCACCAAGATCAAGAAACAAAATTCCAGAAACCTTTTCACGCCCACTTTTCCCAAAGTAATCATTATTCTGACTTCTTATGTTATAAACACATTTGTTTGCTTTTTAGCTTTATATAAACATCTGGCCTTTTAAATCTATTTCATATCTGAGAGATTCACCTAAATTGTGATATGTGGCCATATTTTGTTCATTTTCTGTTGCTGTTTATAATACTACTTTATGGCCCAACATAAGGGTAAGTCTGGTAAATTTTTCACATGCACTTGAAAAGAGTGGATATCCTGCAAGTGTTGGGTGCAGAATTCTATGTATGTCAGTTAGATACAGTTTGTTGATCCTGTTGCTCATCGCCTCTCTTATCTTTCTAATTTTGTGGTATTTTTCTGTCATTACTGATAATTGTATGCTAAAATCTCCCATTATGAGTTGGAAGGAAACTTAGAAACCATGTAGTTTACTTTTTAAATTTTACAGATTATAAACTGAGAAGAAAGCAGATGGACTGAATGTTGATTAAATAAATAGCATGTGTCAGGCAATGACTGAGGTTCTTTACACACATTGTATAATTAAATCCTCACAAGGATGCTGTGAGGTAGGTAAATTTCTCAAAATTTTACAGGTGAGAAAACTGAGACACAATGAAGTTAAGTGACTTGCTCAGATCTCTCTGGATGCTAAGCTGTACCATGTTATATACCCTAGGGTTCGCTACCTTGCCTATGTGTTGGATTCATTGGTAGTCATTCACAGGCATTTATTCAGGGTCCTTTTGTGCTGTGCAATGTGTCAGGAGCTAGGGCATGAATACAGAAAAGCCATGGCAAACTCACAGGTAAATCAACGTGAATGAACAGTTACAAGTTAAACCCAAGGGAAAGTTTCTCATGTTCTACCCATGAGTTTGTATTTTACCTGGAAGGCATTGGGGCAACCTTAAATCATTTTTACCAAGGGACAGAGACTGAGCATTAATTCCAGCAAAAGCTGCTGGCAGCACGAACTGTGGTCATGGCAGTAAGAATTGAGATCAGGGTATAGACTCAAGAGGAATGTAGAAAGCAGACCTGGGAGTGGATAGAACAGTGCTTTTTTTCACTTGTACAGCCCACAGTCACCAGTGTTGACATGCCCTCTAGAAGAGCATTTCTTAGCACTGGAAAATCAGTTCAGAGAGTAAAGCAACTTCTAGTGGAACATTTGTAGAATTTCATTATTTCGAATTTCTTAGGGCCATTCTTGTCCGAGGTGAGAAGAAGCGCTTTTCTGAGGTTGAACAGAGACTCAAGAAACCTAGCAAGTGTATCTGAGAGTAAATTTGGACACAAATAATGATGTTGTGAGGGTGGACACTTCTCATCCCTGATTACACCCTTTTCCACCAAAATTCCAAATAGTTTGAGAAGCCTGCTTGATGCTCCAAATGTAGCTGCTGATTCCTGTCTAGTAAGTGCATGACCACCCATGGTTTTTTTTCCCTCTTCTTGATCAGCATGTGGTCAAATCAAGGGTAGAGAGATATGCAGATGTTCCTGTGTTATTAGGAACAGAGCATTTCTCAATAGAGCTCATAGATCAGAAAGTTGCCTGTGAGTTCCCCTTTATCTTACCTGCAATAGGACTGGGCTTCAAACCTCTCCTGGCTTCAGTGATAATTTCCTTTGGGAATCTCCTTTGTCTACCTAGCAACCTGCACACATTCAGCTCATACCCGGCAATACTTACCTGGTCTGATTCTGTAATCTGGTTTTCCAGTTGGTCTTTAAGGGCCTTTTCTTGTTTTAAATTTTATTTTCTTTTAACTCCTCCAAATAGGGATCTTTCTAAAATATTTTATGATAGATAGATAGATAGATAGATAGATAGATAGATAGATAGATATAGATGGGTAGCTCTGTTTCCTGGCTTTGCAGTTATGTCTTGAGAATGACAGTGAATCTCTAACTTCTGGACTGATGCCCTGTTGAATCCTAACAGGGCCATTCTTAATATCCCATTCTGAATAGTGCCTGGGTTTTTTATAGCTGTGGCCATATCCGTTTTCTAGATAATTGTTCTTACTGAAACACTGAAACCTATCTTAGTAAATTTGAGGGTCAGTGGTAGCAAAGAGTAGCAGGTCACCTTTTAGAAGAAAGGATACATTTCTGGAGGCATTACTTGCCTAGATTTGCAGTAAATTATATCTCCTTGTTTAATAATCCTGCTATAATTTCTCTTTCATATTTTCAGAATTGTCTCTAATTTCTGCTTCAATTTTGGAATATTTGGTATTCAGAGTCCCAAAATTGCAAGTCTCTCAGTAAGATGTGTATCAAGAACTTTAAAAATCCATAAGCAAACTTTACTTGCCCTCCTTACTCTATCTAACCCCCAAATGTAGTAAAAGAAGTAATCTACTTTCAATGACTGAAAGAATTGTTCCCTCAGTGAGGAGATATTTTACCTTTAAAAGTCTGATTTAGCTAATCCAAAAAATCCACTGCAAGTGGATTAACTTCTTCCTCTGTCTAGTCCTGCTTCCTTCCTTTCCCTTCCACAGATGGTGATCCCCAAAGCATTCCATAATTAACATCCTGCATGCCAATCTTTGTTTTAGAGGTTATTTTCCAAAGAACCCAACCAGATGCAATCACCTAGAATCCCCTTTTGTATTTGCAGATTGTTTTTATGAGCAGTCTAGGGTGAGATATAAGGATGGGCCAGGCCAGTTTAAAGCTTAAATAACAAAGGAAAACCTTAAGGTATAGAGGTCTTTCATGTCTTCATATGACCTACAGTGCTGAACATGTACAAAAGGATTGTCTACACAGGCAAACTCGAGTATGAGAAGCCCTAGGGACATGGAAACCAAGGTCCTAACCTTTCCTAGATTAGAACACAAGTAACTCACAATAAATAAGAACTGAATCTCAGAGAGATAGCCAGCTGGTTCTTCATGCTAAGGTGATGAATAGAAATTGGTCCAGAGAGTGAACTGAGGTCTATACTGAGGAATCCATTAGAAGAAGGGAAGCACAAATGAACAAATCAGTGGTATAGGGGCTACTTCTGAATGCTGGAGTCTACTGGGGCAAGAACTGATATTTAAATGAGTCAAAACAGGAGACATTCCACGTGTTCCTTGAAACCTGGGGATGGGTGATAGATAGTGACAAAAAAGAATGAGTTCATTAGCACCTTGGATTTCTATAGGCTGAAGAATTTTTTCTGAAGCTTGCTGCTGAAGATCAGACAGATACAGCTGACATCCTGACATCCCTAGGAAGATCACTGTCTGGCTAAAACAGAGGCAGTATGATCATTGCCTCTTCTTTTCTTGCCTACAATGCATGACTCTCTAAACTTAAAGACATATAGGTGGAACCTACCATGTTATTTTGACCCATAACTCTCTATAGTATTTATAACAGTGTTTTATGAAATGGAGTTTCCTGGGATGAACATGGTATATATATACATATATATTTTTTTCAGAGCTGAATAAAGAGCCCTGGACATTGAACTTGGTGCATTAGACTTGCAAATCACCATTGGGAATTATGTGTTCAGGTCCTGCTCTTGTGTCCATAACACCTTTTCCCCCTTTAAATTTAGCTTGTTTATTTCCATAGATATGTACAAACGTATTCATAATTAATTTAGAATAGACCAAATGTCTAAAAGCGATAACATTGGGGACTAGGATAATAATTTGAAACAGTGGTACTCAACCTCTTCAGTGCATAACAGATATCAAATATTAGGATGTTTTGCTTTGTTCAAATTCAAAATGACACTAGCTGAAACAGATATGATTGTAACACAATCACATCTACAACAGCACAACAATGTCTTGCAGCATCTATAAAAACATTCACACTTCATTTTGTCCTCCTTCAGCGTCAGGCTGTTGTTAAATAGTATTACTTGCTGCCCTGATGTTAGACTTTTCTAATATACTTAAAACACAATGTCCTCATGTTCCGGGAGACTCACAGTCTTTCCGTTTGGTAGTCTCCATGCCTCTGCCCCTTGCCTCAACATTATAGCAATCATGCGTATGCCCAGAAAAAATAAAAATAAGATTTCACTTGTTGATCAAAACAGCGCTGGTGAAATGTGCTAGTGAAAAACTCTTACTGAAGTATTATATGCAGCATTCTCATTGACTCTATTTAATTCTGTGGGGGAAAACTACAATTGACTATAAATTCTTATTCTGAACTGCTTATCATACATTCTCCCGTTGTCCTAATTAATATTATCTTGTTCATTTTCGCAGATGGAAGAAAGGGAATGAAAAAAGAAAATGAGTTCCTGAGCTATTTTTTAAAAACATATATCATTTTGCATTTTATAGGTTATAACCTATGTATAATGCTAGCATATCATTTAATGCTAACATATCATTTAAAAACCCCACACACAAGGCAGTATACACATGACCAGCTATTTGTTTTTTGTTTTGTTTTGTTTTCAAATAAATATTATATCCTGTTATGAGGTCCATTTTAATCATGCAGCACTACCTTATTTTCTTAAAATAAAACAACCACATACTATTGCTTTCTAGTGAAGTATTGCGATTTATTTAATCAGACCCCAAATGGTAAAAGCCTGGTTGTTTCTACATTCTTGCCACTGCAAACAACACTGCAAAGAATGTTTGCATATTAATTTGCTGACTACATGCTACCTATAAATGTAATAAGTGATTTTCTTTAAACCCTGTAAAATTATCCTGGCTCTTTAACACAACATCATAGTAAGTGAGGAGAAACTGGAATGGTCAGTGTATTAGTCTGTTTTCATGCTGCTGATAAAGACATACCCAAGACTGGGCAATTTACAAAAGGAAGAGATTTAATTGGACTTGGAGTTCCATGTGGCTGGGGAAGCCTCACAATCATGGTGGAAGGCAAGGAGGAGCAGGTCACATCTTACGTGGATGGTGCCAGCCAAAGAGAGAGTGAGAGCCAAGCAAAAGGGGTTTCTCCCCATAAAACTATCAGACCTTGTGAGACCCATTCACTACCACAAGAACAGTATGGGGGAAACCACCTCCTTGATTCAACTATCTCCCACCAGGTCCCTCCCACAACAATGGGAATTGTGGGAGATACAACTCAAGATGAGATCTGGGTGGGGACATAGCCAAACCATATCAGTAAGCATTAACCCCTCATTCCCATCCGTATTGTTGTAACCTGTACCTCTCATATTTATTTTCCATCTATACCTCACTACTTGCAATTTTCCTTAACATGCCATGCTGTTTCACAGCTCCCTGTTTGCTTCCAGGAGTGCTTTTCTGCATTGAAAACCTAACAAATTTCTACTCATCTTTTAAAATCTATTCACACATTGTTACTCCTGCAGAAACGTATTCCCTCCACTACCAGAGTTAATTATCCCCTTTCTTGCAGTGCCCTCTACCTTGTACACACTCCCTCACTGCCCAAATAGCCCTTGATTATAATTATGTATATACATGTTTGCCTTTCTTATTGGACTCTGAGATCCTGACAGATTGGGACTATAACTTACTTGTCTTTTTATCTTTAATGCTAAGTAGACTCATTCTTTTTAGTTATTATCTATCTCTGTTCTTGACACAGTAGATCTTTGTCTAATGTTTGTTAAATGACAAGTGAAAACATTCTAAGTGAACTTGGCTGAATTTAAAGAAGAAAAGCATTTGGGGCCTGTAGTCAATTGTTAGTCATAGATTTGAGGAGATGATGGGGAGTTCTTGTGTTAGAAAGGTCCCTTGGCATGGTGATGGTCTCAGCCTTTTTTCCTGCTTACTCTCTGTGAGTTTTTGGCATTTTCTTTTCTCTGATATTCTTTAGCTTGTTGGCATTGTGACTTTGAATGTTTTGTTAGGCAATTTCCAAATTTACAAGTTTCAAGGAAGCATAATAAAGTTGATAGAAGGGACAGCACTGACACCAAAGTAAAAAATCTTGGGTAAGAAAGAATGAGTGACCAAAAAACGCTTAATAGACCTAAAATATTTATTGGTAATGATGTTTCAAAAGGAATATATGTCTATGTGAGCATATTCAAGGGAATTCCTTATTCTAAGTATGTTGCATTGCCATTAACTCTATTCCAGCCAGGATAAATGATTCCTGCACTTAAAGTGTACATCAAAGACTCATTTTAGCTTTTAGTATAATTACCCTCTATACTTTCAGTATTCTCAAACAATATTCTGAATGACTAATTTTTTAAAACTATAGATTACAGGAAAATAAACCCTCAATTTTTTTAAAAAAAGTATCTACTTTAAAATGTTTTGCTTGATTTTTTAATAGTTTCTACTATGCAAAGAATCAACTTCAAGTTAAATGGCTTGTCTGGTAATTAAATGGAAATTTCTCTCAATATAAATACTCTAAAACCAAACTTGTAGTTATTGCTGTAGTGAGAAGCAAGAGCTTTTAAACCCATATATTAGATAAAATATATTAGTGTCTCAATATCTTAGATTAAAACTGAAACTCTCTACTCATTAAACAATAAATCTCCCTTTTACCTTCCCCCAACCTCTGGTAACCATTATTCTACTAACATCAGCTCTGTGATTTTGATTACTCTAAATATCTTGTAAGTGGAATAATACAGTGTTTGTCTTTTTGTGACTGGCTTATTTCACTTAATATAATGTTCTCAAGGTTCACCTGTGGTATAAATGTATGTGAGAATTTCTTTCTTAAGGCTGAATGATATTCAATTGTATGTATATACCACATTTCACTTATCCCTTCATCTGTTGATGGGCACTTGCATTGCTTCCACATTTTAGCTATTGTGGATAATGCTGATATGAACATTGGGGTAAAAATATCTCTTGGAGGTTTGTTTTCAATTCTTTTGGGTATATACCCAGAAGTGACATTGCTGGATCATATGGTAGTTTTTTGAAAAACAGTCATATTCTTTTCCACAGCTGCTATACCATTTGACATTTCCACCAACATTGCTGCAATTAGTTCACATCCTCACTAACACTTGTTATTTTGTTTTTTTAAATTGTAGCCATCCTAATGGGTGTGAGGTGGTATCTCCTTGTAGTTTTCATTTGCATTTCCCTAGTGATTAGTGAAGCTGAACATCTTTTCATGTGATTTATAACCATTTGTGTGTGTTCTTTGGAGAAATGTCTATTCAAGTCCTTTACCATTTTTAAATTGGGTTATCTGTTTTTGTGTTGTTAAATGTTAGGAATTCTCTATATATTCTAGATATTAATCATTTGCCAGATATATAATTTGCAAATATTGCCTCCATTTTTGTGGGTTTCCTTTTTCTTTCTGTTGATTTTGTCTTTTGATGCACAAAAGTTCTAATTTTATGAAATTCAATTTGTCTATTTTTCCTTGTGTTACCTGTGCCTTTGTTGTTATATCCAAGAAATCACTGACAAATGTAATGATATGAAGCTTTTGCTGTATGTTTTCTTCTAAGACTTTTATAGTTTTAGGTCTTTGACCAAATCTGAGTTAATTTTGGTATATGATGTTAGGCAATAAGATGTTATTCTTCTGCATGTGGATATCCAATTTCTCAGCACCATTTGTTGTAAAGGCTGTCCTTTCTCCATTGAATGGTCTTGGCAATCTTGACAAAAATCATTAGAGACTTTTTAACAAGATGGCCAACTAGATGCAACTGGGAAGTGCTGACTCCACTGAAAGAGACGAATATTTTGACTAAACCAACATAATTTGAACAGATTTTTGGAGAGAAAATACTGAGACTGGATGCAGAAGTGACATAGAAGCTGAGACTGAAGAGAGAGAAAGCTGGGAACCCTGGGCATGGTGCTCGAATGCTAGAGTTGGTTCCCACCTCCAAATGGCTCTTGGGGAAGGGGTGAGTGAAGGGACTGTGGGACCGCCCACTGTTGCTGTGTACCTCTAGGGATCCTAGCTGCAGGGGACCCCACATCACACATGGACAGTTGAGTTGGCAGGGGGATCTTCCCAGATAGTAGATGGAAGTGGGCCTTAAGCCAGTAGGGAGCCAGGGGCCTCCGTACACAGGACAGCTCTGTCGGCCATATCCCAGGGCTCCCCATCTTCCTCCAAGAGACTCTGGCCCCGTTTAACTGTGGCCAGGAGGAAGTGGAGCTGACTTCCCTGTAGGTCTGCCTGCCTGCCAGTCCTTCCCAGGCCCCCTGCCTGGCCACCAACCAGGAGACTATACATAATACAGCCTCGATGACCAACCTGGGTACTTTGCTCCA
This sequence comes from Homo sapiens, assembly GCF_000001405.40. Taxonomy (NCBI): domain Eukaryota; kingdom Metazoa; phylum Chordata; class Mammalia; order Primates; family Hominidae; genus Homo; species Homo sapiens. Next base: position 26,117,878 of record NC_000003.12, read on the forward strand.
TCTGAGTGCATTCCCAGCAGCCTGGGAGCACTTCAAATCCCCCAGCACACCTGGAACCCAACCCAGAGGGTGGGGATGATGGAGCCACAGGCCAGTCCTGGCAGCCCAGGGCTGCCATGCACCACTTGGGATTGCTAAGCCTGGGGTCCACTCGAGTTGGGGAGGAGCTTACCCTCTCAGAGCACTGAGAGGGAAGAGACGTAGGTTTGTGGGATAGTGTGGGACCAGGGTGTTTCTCCCTCCACAGGGCCAGTTTGGAAAGGATGTGATCTATCTCCCTGCTGTGGCTTCTGCCTGAAGGACTCCAGCAGCCTGGAACACCTAACAAAAGAAACACGGGCACAGTGCAGTGATCAGAGAGGGAGGCTCTCCCAAGGCCCAGGAATGGACCTGGTAAGGGAGAAACCTTCCTCTCCAACCCTCTACCCAGCACCTCTCCCCACCCCCCAATTGCAGAGCACAGCTGCAAACTTGAGGAAATGCAAAGGAGCTGCGTGGCTCAAAGCTTATCTACTGCTCTTTACTCTTAAGCACCATCTACTGGGTCACAGCCCAAACTACAACACAAGAGATATTTTGCTAATATACCCCCCTGTGAAACCAAGGGCAAGAATTTGGCCACAAAGACCCTGTACAGAGCTTTTGACCTCTGAAAACATACAGAAATGAAGCCAACAACTTACATCACAATTAAAGGAACAACAGCCCTCCAAGATGAGAAAGAATCAGTGCAAGAACTCTGGAAATTCAAAAAGCCAGTCCCCTTATCACTAAACAAGTCCATTAGCTCCATAGCAATTGTTCTTAACCAGTCTGAAATGACTGAAATGACAGATATGGAATTGAGAACCTGGATGGCAAGGAAGCTCACTGAGGTTCAGGAGAGATTTGAAACCCAATCCAAGGAATCCAAAGAATCCAGTAAAACAACCTAAGAGCTGAAAGACAAAATAACCATTTTAAGCAATAACGAAACTGAAATTCTAGAGCTGAAAACTAGAAAAATAATTGCATAGAAACAAGAATTCCATAATATAATCGAAGTATTAATAGCAGAGTAGATCAAGCTGAAGAAAGAATCTCAGGGCTCAAAGACCAGTTCCTCAACTCAGTCAGACAAAAAATGAAGAAGAAGAAGAAAAAGAACATATAATTAAGAATAAACAACACCTCTGAGAAATAAGAGATTATATAAAGAGATCAAATTTTCAAAGAGAGAAGGAGAAAGAATAAGCAACTTGGAAAATATATTTGAAGATATAGTCCGCAAAAATTTCCCTAATCTCACTAGAGAGGTTGATATGCGATATGGTTGGGGTCTGTGTCCCTGCTCAAATCTCATGTCAAATTATAATCCCCAGTGTTGGAGGTGGGGCCTGGTGAATGGATCATGAGGGCAGATTTCCCCTTTGATGCTGTTCTCGTGATAGTGAGTGAGTTATCATGAGATCTGGTTGTTTAAAGTGTGTAGCACCTCTCCTCTCTCTCTTCCTCCTGCTCCAGCCATGTAAGACAAGCCTGCTTCCTGTTCACCTTCTGCCATGACTGTGAATTTCCTGAGGACTCCCCAGCCATGCTTCCTGTACAGCCTGCAGAACTGTGAGTCAATTAACCTCATCTCTTTATAAATTACCCAGTCTCAGGTATTTCTTTATAGTAGTATGAGAATGGACTAATACAACATGTGTATTCAAGAAACATAGAGAACCCTGGCCAGATACTATACAAGATGATCATCTCAAGGCATATAGTCATCAGCTTCACCAAGTTCAATGCAAAGGAAACAATCTTAAAGGCAGCTAGAGATAAGGGTCAGGTCACATACAGAGGTAACCCCATCAAGTTAGTAGTGGACTTCTCAGCAGAAACCTGAAGAGATTGGGGACCTATTGTCAGCATCCTGAAAGAAAATAAATGCCAACCAAAAGTTTATTTTTATTTTTAAAATAATTTATTTATTTATGAGATAGGGTCTCACTCTCTTACCCAGGCTGGAGTGAAGTGGCATGAGCTCAGCTCACTGCAGCCTCAATATCCCAGGCTCAGGTAGTCCTCCCACCTCAGCCTCCCGAGAAGCTGGGAGCATAAGTGTGTGCCACCACACCCAGCTAATTTCGTATTTATTTATTTATTTTTGTAGAGATGCGGTTTTGCCATGTTGCTTAGGCTGGCCTCAAACTCCGGGGCTCAAGCAATCCATCCACCTCTGCCTCCCAAAGTGCTGTGGTTATAGGTATGAGCCACTGCATCTGGCCCAACCAAGAATTTCATACTCCACCAAACTAAACTTTGTAAGTGAAGAAGAAATAAAATCCTTGCAGACAAGCAAATGATGAGGAAATTCATTTCAACTAAGCCAGCCTTATAAGAGGTCCTCAAGGGTGTGCTAAACCTCAAATCTAAAGGAAAACACCTGCTACCACAAATACACACTTAAGCACATAGCCCACAGACACTATCAGGCAACTGCACAATCAAGTCTACGTAACAACTAGCTAACAACACAATGACAGGATCAAAATCTCACATATCAATACTAACCCTGAATATAAATGGGCTAGATGCCCTACTTAAAATACATAGAATGGCAATCTAGATAAAAAAACATGACCTATCTGTCTGCTGTCTTCAGGGATCCATCTCACCTGTAATGACACCCACAGGCTCAAAGTAGAGGGATGGAGAAAGATCTACCATGCAAATAAAAACAACAAATAAAAGACAAAACAGTGTTTAAACCACTAACAAGAAGGACAAGAAGGGGTATTATGTAATGAAAAAGGGTTGGATCCAAGAAGAAGACTGAAGTATCCTAAATATATAACCAACATTAGAGCACCCAGATTCATAAAACAAGTTATTCTTCACCTAAAAAAAATAATTACCTAGCCACACAATTATATAGGGAGATTTCAGTAGCCCCACTGACAGCATTAGACAGATCACTGAAGCAGAAATCTAACAAAGAAAGACTGGAATTAAACACAACCCTTGACCAATTGGACCTAATAGAAATCTACAGAATACTCCACCCAACAACCAAAGAATATACATTCTTGTCATCTGCATGTGGAACATATTCTAAGATCAACCACATACTCAGTAATAAAACAAGTCTCAATAAATTCAAAAACATCTAAATTATCCTAAATACAGTCTTGGACCACACTGCAATAAAAATAGAAATTAATATCAAGAATATATCTCAAAACTACATAAATACATGGAAATTAAATAACTTGTTCCTGAATATCTCTTGGGCGAACACCAAAATTAAGGCAGAAATTTAAAAAATTCCTTGAAATTAATAAAAATAGGAGCACAACTTACCAAAATATCTGGGATGCAGCTAATGTAGTGTTAAGAGTAAAGTTTATAGCACTAAACATCTTCATCAAGAAGTTAGAAAGCTCTTAAATTAACAGTCTAGCTTTGCACCTAAAGGAACTAGAAAAAAAAAAAAAAAACAACCGCAAAGCTAGCGGAAGAAAGAAATAACTAAAATTAGAGAAGAGCTTAACCAAATTACAATGCAAAATTTCATACAAAAGATCAATGAAACTAACAGTTTGTTTTTTGAAAGAATAAGCAAAATTGATAGAGTGCTAGCCAAACAAATAAAAAAGAGACATTCAAATAAGCACAATAAAAAATGACAAAGGTGACATTATAGCTCATTCCACAGAAATAAAAAAGGTCCTCAGAGACTACTATGCACACACATTAGAAAATGTACAGGAAATAGATAAATTCCTGGAAATACACAATCTTCCAAGATTGAATCAGGACGAGATTGAAACCCTGAATAGACAAATATCAAATTCTGAAATGGAATCAGTAGTAAAAAACCTACCAACCAAAAAAATTCTGGACCAGATGGATTCACAATCAAATTCCATCAGATGTACAAGAAAGAATTGTACCAGTTCCACTGAAACTGTTCCAAAAATTGAGGAGGAGGGGCTCCTCCCTATCTCATTCTATAGAGCCAACATCAGCTTGATACCAAAATCTGGCAGTGACAGGAGGAGAAAAGAAAACTTCAGGCCAATATCCTTGATGAACATAGATGCAAAAATCTTCAACAAAATACTAGCAAACCAAATCCAGCAGCACATCAAAAAGTAAATACACCACAATCATGGAGGCTTTATTTCTGGGATGCAAGATTGGTTCAACATATGCAAGTCAGTAAATGTGATTCATCACATAAACTGAATTAAAAACAAAACCACACGATCATCTCAATAAACACATTTTGATAAAGTCCAGCAATCCCTCATGATAGAAGTCCTCAACAGACTAGGCATTGAAGGAACATATCTCAAACTAATAAGAGCCATCTATAAAAAACCCACAGCCAGCATCATACTGAATGGACAAAAGCAGGAAGCACTCCCCTCGAGAACTGGAACAAGACAAAAATGTCCACTCCCACCACTCCTATTCAAAATAGTACTGGAAGTGTTAGCCAGAGCAATCAAGCAAGGGAAAGAAATAAAAGGCATCCAAATGGGAAAAGAAGAAGTCAAGCTATCTCTCTTTGTTGATGATATAATACTATACCTAGAAAACTGTAGAGTCTGCCAAAAGGCTTTTAGAACTGATAAATGACTTTAGTAAAGTTTCCGAATACAAAATCAATGTACAGAAATCACTAGCATTTCTGTACACCAATAAAGTCCAGCCTGAGAGTCAAATAAAGAATGCAATTCTATATATAGTAGTCACAAATAAAATAAAATACCTAGAAATACAGCTAACCAAGGAGGCGAAAGATCTCTATAAGGAGAGCTACAAAACAGTGCAGAAATAAATCAGAGATGACACAAATAAATGGTAAAACTTTCCATGCTTATGGGTTGGAAGAATTAAAATGTCCATATTTCCTAAAGCAATCTGCAGATTCAATGCTATTCCTATCAAACTACCAATGCTATTTTTCACAGAAGTAGAAAAAATATTTTAAAATTCTCATGGAATGAAAAAGAGCTGGAGTACCCAAAGCAATTCTAAGCAAAGAGGACAAAGCTGAAGGGTATCACACTACCAGGCTTCAAAGTATAATATAAAGCTAGAGTAGCCAAACCAGCGTGGTACTGGCACAAAAACAGACACATAAACCAGTGGTGCATAATAGAAAACTCGGAAAGAAACCATCTGATTGTCAGCAATGCCAACAACAACAAACAATGAGGAAAGGACTCCCTATTTAATAAATGGTGCTGGGATAACTGGCTAGTCACATGCAGAAGACTGTAACTGGACCCCTTGCATTCACCTTATACAAAAATTAAGTCCAAGTTGATCAAAGATTTAAGTTTAAGACCTCAAAATATAAAAGTCCTAGAAGACAAGCTAGGAAATTCCCCTCTCGACATTGACATTGGCAAAAACAAAAAATTTGGTCAAGTTTCCAAAAATAATTGTAAGAAAAACAAAAATTGACAAGATTGACCTAAAATGGACAAAAAAATGACCTAAAATTGACCCAATTAAACTAAAGAGCTTCTGCACTGCACAGTAAAAGAAACAGAGTAAACAGACGACCTACAGAATGGGAAAAAACATTGGCAAACTATGTATCCAACAAAGGCCCAATATCCAGAATCTATTAAGAACTTAACAAGCAAAATCCAAAACACCCCATTAAAAATGGGCAAATGACATGAACAGACATTTCTCAAAAAAAGACATATAAGTGGCCAAAAAAAAATGAAAAATGCCCAGCAGCACTCATCAGAGAAAATGGAAATCAAAACCACAGTGAAAAACCATCTCACACTAGTTAGAATGGCTATTAGTAAAATGTCAAAAATCAACAAAAGTAGTCGAGGGTGCAGAGAAAAGGGAATGCTTATACACTGTTGATGGGAATGTAAATTAGTACAACCTCAATGGAAAACCGTATGAAGATTTCTGAAAGAACTGAAAATAGAACTATCATTCAATTCAGCAATCCCAATCTTGAATATGTACCCAAAAAGAAAGAAATCATTATATGAAAAAGATACCTGCATTCATATGTTTATTGCAGCACTATACACAATAGCAAAGATATAGAATTAATGTAAGAGTCTATAAATAGAGAATTGGATAAAGAAAATGTGGTAAATATACACTATGAAATACTACTTGGCCATAAATAATAATGAAATCATGTATTTTGGAGCAACGTGGATGCAATTGAGGCTGTGATCCTAAGCAAATTGTGCAGGTACAGAAAACCAAATACTGCATGTGTCACTTATAAGTGGGAGCTACACATTGAGCACATATGGACATAAACGTGGGAACAAAAGGCACTGTGGACTACTAGAAGGGGGAGGGTGGGAGGTGGACATGGCTTGAAAAACTACCTACTGTGTACTATCTGGGTGATGGGATCATTCATACCCCAAACCTCAGCATCACGCAGTATACCCATGTAACAAACCTGCACATGTATGCTTATATCTAAATAAAAGTTGGGAAAAAAATCTTTTGACCACCTATGAGAAGGGTTTATTTCTGTGCTGCTTTATTCCATTGAACTGTATGTCTGTCTTCATGCCAGTACCAAATTGTTATGATTACTTTAGTTTTGTAATAGATTTTTTTTTATTATACTTTAAGTTCTAGGGTACATGTGCACAGTGTGCAGGTTTGATACATAGGTATACATGTGCCATGTTGGTTTGCTGCACCCATCAACTTGTCATTTACAATAGGTATTTCTCCTAATGCTATTCCTCCCTCAGACCCCTACCCCTTGACAGGCTCCAGTGTGTGATGTTCCCTGCCCTGTGTCCAAGTGTTCTCATTGTTCAGTTCCCACCTATGAGTGAGAACATGTGGTGTTTGGTTTTCTGTCCTTGTGATAGTTTGCTGAGAATGATGGTTTCCAGCTTCATCTATGTCCCTGCAAAGGACATGAATTCATCTTTTTAAGGGCTGCATTGTAATCCATGGTGTATATGTGCCACATTTGCTTAATCCAGTCTATTATTGATGGACATTTGGGTTGGTTCCAAGTCTTTGCTATTGTGAATAGTGCCGCAATAAACATACGTGTGCATGTGTCTTTATAGTAGCATGACTTATAATCCTTTGGGTATGTACCCAGTAATGGGATTGCTGGGTTAAATGGTATTTCTAGTTCTAGATCCTTGAGGAATTGCCACACTGTCTTCTACAATGGTTGAACTAATTTACACTCCCATGAACAGTGTAAAAGTGTTCCAATTTCACCACATCCTCTCCAGCATCTGTTGTTTCCTGACTTTTTAATGATCTCCATTCTAACTGGCATGAGATGGCATCTCATTGTGGTTTTGATTTACGTTTCTCTGATGACCAGTGATGATGAGTATCTCTTTCGTGTGTATGTAGGCTGCATAAATGTCTTCTTTTGAGATGTGTCTGTTCATATCCTTTGCCCACTTTGTGATGGGGTTGTTTCATTTTTTCTTGTAAATTTCAGTTCTTTGTAGATTCTGGATTATTAGCCCTTTGTCAGATGAGTAGATTGCAAAAATTTTCTCTCATTCTGTAGGTTGCCTGTTCACTCTGATGGTAGTTTCTTTTGCTGTGCAGAAGCTCTTTAGTTTAATTAGATCCCATTTGTCAAGTTTGGCTTTTGTTGCCATTGCTTTTGGTGTTTTAGACATGAAGTCCTCGCCCATGCCTATGTCCTGAATGGTATTGCCTAAGTTTTCTTCTAGGGTTTTTATGGTTTTAGGTCTAACCTTTAAGTCTTTAATCCATCTTGAATTAATTTTTGTATAAGGTGTAAGGAAGGGATCCAGTTTTAGCTTTCTACATATGGCTAGCCAGTTTTCTCAGCACCATTTATTAAATAGGGAATCCTTTCCCCATTTCTTGTTTTTGTCAGGTTTGTCGAAGATCAGATGGTTGTAGATGTGTGATATTATTTCTGAGGGCTCTGTTCTGTTGCATTGGTCTATATCTCTGTTTTGGTACCAGTACCATGCTGTTTTGGTTACTATAGACTTGTTGTATAGTTTGAAGTCAGGTAGCGTGATGCCTCCAGCTTTGTTCTTTTGGCTTAGGATTGTCTTGGCAATGTGGGCCCTTTTTTGGTTCCATATGAACTTGAAAGTAGTTTTTTCCAATTGTGTGAAGAAAGTCATTGGTAGCTTGATGGGGATGGCATTGAATCTCTAAATTACCTTGGGCAGTATGGCCATTTTCACAATATTGATTCTTCGTATCCATGAGCATGGAATGTTCTTCCATTTCTTTGTGTCCTCTTTTATTTCGTTGAGCAGTGGTTTGTAGTTCTCCTTGAAGAGGTCCTTCACATCCCTTGTAAGTCGGATTCCTAGGTATTTTATTCTCTTTGCAGCAGTCATGCATGGGAGTTCACTCATGATTTGGCTCTCTGTCTATTATTGGTGTATAGGAATGCTTGTGATTTTTGCACATTGATTTTGTATACTGAGATCTTGCTGAATTTGCTTATCAGCTTAAGGGGATTTTGGGCTGAGATGATGGGGTTTTTAAAATATACAATCATGTCATCTGCAAACAGGGACAATTTGATTTCCTCTTTTTCTAATTGAATACCCTTTATTTCTTTCTCCTGCCTGATTGCCGTGGCCAGAACTTCCAACACTATGTTGAATAGGAGTGGTGAGAGAGGGCATCCCTGTCTTGTGCCAGTTTTCAAAGGGAATGCTTCCAGTTTTTGCCCATTTAGTATGATATTGGCTGTGGGTTTGTCATAAATAGCTCTTATTATTTTGAGATACGTCCCATCAATACCTAGTTTATTGAGAGTTTTTAGCATGAAGGGCTGTTGAATTTTGTCAAAGGTCTTTTCTGCATCTATTGAGATAATTATGTGATTTTTGTCTTTGGTTCTGTTTATGTGATGGATTACGTTTATTGATTTGCGTATGTTGAACCAGCCTTGCATCCCAGGGATGAAGCCCACTTGATCATGGTGGATAAGCTTTTTGATGAGCTGCTGGATTCGGTTTGCCAGTATTTTATCGAGGATTTTTGGATCAATGTTCATCAAGGATGTTGGTCGAAAATTCTCTTTTTCTGTTGTGTCTCTGTCAGGCTTTGATATCAGGATCATGCTGGCTTCATAAAATGAGTTAGGGAGGATTCCCTCTTTTTCTATTGATTGGAATAGTGTCAGAAGGAATGGTACCAGCTCCTCCTTGTACCTCTGGTAGAATTTGGCTGTGAATCCGTCTGGTCCTGGTTGGTAGGTTATTAATGATTGCCTCAATTTCAGAGCCTGTTATTGGTCTATTCAGGGATTCAGCTTCTTCCTGGCTTAGTCTTCAGAGGGTGTATGTGTCCAGGAATTTATCCATTTCTAATAGTTTTTCTGGTTTATTTGCGTAGAGGTGTTTCTAGTATTCTCTGATGGTAGTTTGTATTTCTGTGGGATCAGTGGTAATATCCCCTTTATCATTTTTTATTGTGTCTATTTGGTTCTTCTCACTTTTCTTCTTTATTAGTCTTGCTAGCGGTCTATCAATTTTGTTGATCCTTTCAAAAACCAGCTCCTGGATTCATTGATTTTTTGAAGGGTTTTTGTGTTTCTGTCTCCTTCAGTTCTGCTCTGGTATTAGTTATTTCTTGCCTTCTGCTAGCTTTTGAATGTGTTTGCTCTTGCTTCTCTAGTTCTTTTAATTGTGATGTTAGGGTGTCAATTTTAGCTTATTCCTGCTTTCTCTTGTGGGCATTTAGTGCTATAAATTTCCCTCTACACCCTGCTTTAAATGTGTCCCAGTGGGCATTTAGTGCTATAAATTTCCCTCTACACCCTGCTTTAAATGTGTCCCAGAGATTCTGGTATGTTGTGTCTTTGTTCTGATTAGTTTCAAAGCACATCTTTATTTCTGCCTTTATTTCGTTATTTACCCAGTAGTCATTCAGGAGCAGGTTGCTCAGTTTCCATGTAGTTGAGCAGTTTTGGGTGAGTTTCTTAATCCTGAGTTCTAGTTTGATTGCACTGTGGTATGAGAACCAGTTTGTTGTGATTTCTTTTACATTTGCTGAGGAGGGCTTTACTTCCAATTACATAGTCAATTTTAGAATAAGTGCGATGTGGTGCTGAGAAGAATGTACATTCTGTTGATTTAGGGTGGAGAGTTCTGTAGATGTCTATTAGGTTTGCTTGGTGCAGAGCTGAGTTCAAGTCCTGGATATCCTTGTTAACCTTCTGTCTCATTGATCTGTCTAATATCAACAGTGGGGTGTTACCACCTCCCATTCTTATTGTGTGGGAGTGTAAGTCTCTTTGTAGGTCTCTAAGGACTTGCTTTATGAATCTGGGTGCTCCTGTAATGGGTGCATATATATTTAGGATCGTTAGCTCTTCTTGTTGAGTTGATCCCTTTACCATTATGTAATGGCCTTCTTTGTCTCTTTTGATCTTTGTTGGTTTTATCAGAGACTAGGATTGCAAACCCTGCTTTTTTTTGCTTTCCATTAGCTTGGTAGATCTTCCTCCATCCTTTTATTTTGAGTGTGTGTGTGTCTCTGCATGTGAGATGGGTCTCCTGAATACAGCACACTGATAGGTCTTGACTCTTCATGCAATTTTCAGTCTGTGTCTTTTAATTGGGGCATTTAGCCCATTTAAATTTAAGGTTATTATTTTTATGTGTGTATTTGATACTGTCATTATGATGTTAGCTGGTTATTTTGCCTGTTAATTGATGCAGTTTCTTCCTAGCATCAATAGTCTTTACAATTTGGTATGTTTTTTCAGTGGCTGGTACTGGTTGTTTCTTTCCATATTTAGTGCTTCCTTCAGGAACTCTTGTAAGGCAGGCCTGGTGATGAAAAAAATCTCTCAGCATTTGCTTGTCTGTAAAGGATTTTATTTCTCCTTCACTTATGAAGCTTAGTTTGGCTGGATTTGAAATTCTGGGTTGAAAATTCTTTTCTTTAAGTATGTTGAATATTGGCCCCCACTCTCTTCTGGCTTGTAGGGTTTCTGCTGAGAGATCCACTTTTAGTCTGATGGGCTTCCCTTTGTGGGTAACCCGACCTTTCTCTCTGGCTGCCCTTAACATTTTTTCCTTCATTTCAACCTTGGTGAATCTGACAATTATGTGTGCTGGGGTTTCTCTTCTCGAGGAGTATCTTTATGGTGTTCTCTGTATTTCCTGAATTTGAATGTTGGCCTGCCTTGCTCGTTGGGGAAGTTCTCCTGGATAATATCCTGAAGAGTGTTTTCCAACTTAGTTTCATTTTCTCCATCACTTTCAGGTACACCAATCAAGTGTAGATTTGGTCTTTTCACATAGTCCCATATTTCTTGGAGGCTTTGTTTGTTTCTTTTTACTCTTCTTTTCTCTAACCTAGTGTTCTCGCTTAATTTCATTCATGTGATCTTCAATCACTGATACCCTTTCTTCCACTTGATCGAATCAGCTATTGAAGTTTGTGCATGCACCACAAAGTTCTCATGTCATGGTTTTCAGCTCCATCAGGTCATTTAAGGTCTTCTCTACACTATTTATTCTAGTTAGCCATTCGTCTAACCTTTTTTCAAGGCTTTTAGCTTCCTTGTGATGGGTTTGAACACGCTCCTTTAGCTTGGAGCAGTTTGTTATTACTGACATTCTGAAGCCTACTTCTGTCAACTCGTCAAAGTCATTCTCCGTCCAGCTTTGTTCTGTTGCTCGTGAGGAGTTGCAGTCCTTTGGAGGAGAAGAGGTGCTCTGGTTTTTAGAATTTTCAGCTTTTCTGCTCTGGTTTCTCCCCGTCTTTGTGGTTTTATCTACCTTTGGTCTTTGATGTTGGTGACCTACAGATGGAGCTTTGGTATAGATATCCTTTTTGTTGATGTTGATGCTATTCCTTTCTGTTTGATAGTTTTCCTTCTAACAGTCAGGTCCCTCAGCTGCAGTTCTGTTGGGTTTTGCTGGAGGTCCACTCCAGACCCGGTTTGCCTGGGTATCACCAGTGGAGGCTGCAGAACAGCAAATATTGCTGCCTGAACCTTCCTCTGGAAACTTCATCCCAGAGGGGCACCTGCCTATGTGAGGTGTCTGTCAGCCCCTACTGGGAGGTGTCTGCCAGTTAGGCTACACGGGGGTCAGGAAGCCACTTGGAGAGGCAGTCTGTCCATTCCCCGAGCTCAGACACTGTGGTGGGAGAACCAGTGCTCTCTTCAGAGCTGTCAGACAGGGACATTTAGGTGTGCAGAAGTTGTCTACTGCCTTTTGTTTAGCTATGCCCTGCTCACAGAAGTGGAGTCTATAGAGGCAGTAGGCCTCGCTGAGCTGTGGTGGGTTCTGCCCAGTTCGAGCTTCCCGGCTGCTTTGTTTACTGACTCAAGCCTCAGCAATGGCAGACGCCCTCCCCTAGCCAGGCTGCTGCCTCACAGTTCGATCTCAGACTGCTGCGCTAGCAGTGAGCAAGGCTCCCTGGGCATGGGACCCACTGAGCCAGGCACAGGAGAGAATCTTCTTGTCTGCCGGTTGCTAAGACCTTGGGAACAGCTCAGTATTTGGGCGACAGTGTCCCATTTTTCCAGGTACAGTCTGTCATGGTTTCCCTTGGCTAGGAAAGGCACTTCCTGGGTGAGGTGACACCCCGCTCTGCTTCGTCTCACCCTCTATGGGCTGCACCCACTGTCCAACCAGTCCCAATGAGATGAACTAGGTTCCTCAGTTGGAAATGCAGAAATCACCCATCTTCTGCATCAGTCACGCTGGGAGCTGCAAACTGGAGCTATTCCTATTTGGATATCTTGGAATGGACCTTACTTTGTAATAGATTTATAGTAAATTCTGAAATCAAGAAATGTGAGTACTTCAGCATAGTAGTTTGTTATTTTTTAAAATTAACTTTACTTTTTAGATCAGTTTTAGTTACACAACAAAATTGAGGGGAAGATACAAGACATTTCCCATGTACCCCTTGCCCCACACATGTGTAGTCTCCCTCATTATTAACATCCCTCTTCTTTTACAAGATCATTTTTGATATTTGGGGTTGCTTGAGATGCCATGTGAATTTTAGGATGAGTTTTTCTATCTTTGCAAAAATGTCACTGGGATTTTGATAGCCATTGCATTGATTCTGTAGATCACTTTGGTTATTATGACATTTTAACAATGTTAATTCTTCCAATTCATGAACATGATATGTATTTCCATTCATCTATGTCTTTTAAAATTTCTTTCAGCAATGTTTTGTTGTTTTCATTGTACAAGTCTTTTACCTTCTTTGTATCGTAGTTTTTATTCCTTAGTATTTTTTGATGCTATTGTAAATAAAAATTTTTGTAATTTTTTTCTGATTGTTTATTGTTAAGAGTACAGAAATGCAACTGATTTTATTTGTATTGGCTTTATATCCTGCTACTTTACGGAAGTCATTTATTAGTTCTAACAGGTTGTGTGTATGCAGGTAATATTTAGGGTTTTCTATGTGTAAGATCATATCCTCTGCAAATAGAGACAGTTTTGGAGCTGTATATTTTTACATCTGCATCAGATTTCATTCATTGGTTATATCATAATCTATCTTAGTCTTTTATTGATGAACTTTTAGATTGTTTGCAATATTTTGCTTATAGCAAAAATGATTTAAATTTATCACTTAGTGTCAGTGGGAGTAGGAAAGTAATTACCGAATCAAGAAACATGCAATCTTAATTTTCAATAGATAAAGCAAAACTGCTTCTCATTGAGAAAATGCCAACATATATTCCTCCCAGACATTAATAAGGATGCCCATATTATTATCAATTAGGTGTGTTACAAACTTTTTAATCTTAGCAAACCTGAGTTGTAAAAACTGTATCTCATTATACTTTTAATTTGAATTTCTATTTTTATTAGATATCAAGCATTTTCATCCAAACAGAGCCATTCGTATTTTCCTTTCATATAATTATTAACCGTTAAAAAATCCCAGCTTTACTGGGGTATAATTTAGATACCATAAAATTCACCCATTATAAGTATACAATTCAGTGATTTTTTTAAAGTAAAATTTACATTTGTGCAGCAATCACCACAATCTAGTTTTAGAACATTTACAGAACGCCAAAATGTTATCTCCTTCCCATTTGAAGATAATCCCCTATCTCACACCCAGCTCTAGGAAACCACTGGCCTGCTTTCTCTGTATATAAATTTACTGTTTCTGGATATTTTGTATATGTAGAATCATACAATATGTAGTGTTTTGAATAAGGTCTCTTTTAATTAGTATGACACTTTTAAGGTTGAAAATGCCATAGTATGTATCAAGACTTCATTTCTTTTTTTTGTTCGATAGTGCTCCATTGTATGCATATATCACATTTTGTTCATTTATTTGCCATTTAATGCAGATTTGGATGCTTTGCAATTTTGGGCTATCATGGATGATACTGCTATAAACATTCACTTACAAATCTTTGTGTGGACATGTATTTTTGTTTCTTTTGGGTGGATTCCAAGAAATAAAATTGCTGGGCCAAATGTTAAGTGTATATTTAATTTCATGAGAAACTATATTTTGCAAAATGGCTGTATTATTTACCTTCCCACCAGCAGTAAATGAAGACCCTGGGTCCTTCACATCTTTTCCTACACTTTGAAACACCTTTCTTTTTGATTATAGTCATTCTAGTGAGTACATAATGGTATCTTATCGTAGTTTTAATTTGTGTTTTCCTAATGGCTAATGATGCTAAACATGTTTTTATATGCATAGTGATCGTTTGTGTGTGTGTGTGTGTGTGTGTGTGTGTGTGTGTGTGAGGTCTATTCAAATCTTGTTTCTAGAAATTGTCCATTTCATCTCATTTGTCTTATTTTTTGGCATAGTTGTTTATAAATTCCCTTATAATGTTTTCATTTCTGTAGCATTGGTTGTAATATTTCCACTTTCATTCCTGAATTTGATAAATTATGTTTTCATGTTTTCCTTTGGTTAGTTCAGTTAAATATTTGCCAATTTTGTTGATATTTTGAAAGAAACAACTTTTAGTTTTATTGCCTTATTTTCCTTTTGTTTTTGTTTTGTAGTTCATTGATTTGTGCTCTAACCTTTATTTCTATCCTCTGTTTGCTTTGGGGTTAGTTTGCTCTTCTTTTACTATGCTCTTAAGGTAGAAGCATAGGTTATTGATTTGAGACCTTTCTTCTTTTCCAATATATGCCTTTAAAGCTGTAAATGTCTTTCTAAACACTGCTTAGCTGTACATCATAAATTTTGATATATTGTGGGGTTTTTCTGTTTGTTTTCATTCATGCAAAGCCTTTCCTAATTTACCCTGTGGTTTCTTCTGTGACTTGAATTTGGCAACTTGTGCCTCCTTTGTCTTTGTCTGTCTCACTCTCTTTTTATTGGTTAGTCTGGTTAAAGATTTGCCAATTTTGTTGATCTTTTCAAAAACTTTTAGTTTCATTTTTAGAATTTAGAAGTGTATTGTTTAATTTCCAAGTACTTAAGGATTTCCCATATTCCTTTTAGTTGTTTATTTCTAAATTCCATTTTGGTTGAAAATACACTGTATGAATTCAATATTTTTAAGTGTGTTGAGATTTGTTTTATGGCTTACCATATGATCTCATCCTGAAAAATATTCCACGTGCACTTAAAAAGAGCATGCATTCTGCATTCAATGAGTGGACCATTCTACCTAAATTAGTTTGAGTTGGTTGATAGTATTGTTCAAGTCTTGTATATCTTTACTGATTTTTTTTAATATAGTGGTTCTATCAATTATTGAATCTTTGGTATTGAGTCCTCCAACTTTCACTGTTGAATTTTCTATTTGTTTATTTCTCTATTCCTTTATTGCTTCTTTTCTGTTAAGACAATACTTTTAGTATGCTACTTTAATTGCTCTTTTGATTTTTAAAACTAGTTTTTGAGTTATTCTCTCAATGGTCAATCTAGGAAATTATAAAATGCATTTTAATTGATGACAATTTCCTCTAGAATAATACTAGCTTAATATTTGTAAAATACAGAAATTTTGCTTCAATATAGCTCTATTCTCTCCCACTCCTTTGTGCTATTATTGTTACATATTTTTATATATGTTATCAACTTAATAATAGATTGTATAATTATTGCTTTATACAGTCTTATGTCTTTTAAATAAATTAAGGGAAGAAATGTAAAAAAATGCTTTTAGAGTTTTATATTAACCTGCATAATTGCCATTTCAGTGTTCTTTATTTTTTCTTATGGATTTGAGTTACCTTCTTGTGGTATTACCTTTCAGGCTGAAGGTCTTCCTTATTCTTTTTCCTCTCTTCCCAAGAACTCTAAGCAGATGGGTTTAGAGTTCAAGAACCTCTCACCAAAGAGAAAAAGACTTGGCCAAGAAGAAAGGCTGGCTCTTAGCCTGGGAATCAAGATCTATCTCTGTGTTTAGGGAGAGCTTGATTATGATCAGGTGGGAGAAAGTTGAATTTAAGTGCAAAGTAGGAAGCTGACCAACAGTCTATATCCTAGGTTTAGGAATGCTGAGTTCAGTGTGAATCTTGTCACATGCAAAACAGGAATATTCTTGCTTGCATAACTTGTTTCAAGAAAATGAAGAATTCTTTGTGATTGATGATGATTCTGCTTCCTTAGGTGAATACAAACCAGTAGCCAATGGTTTACTGGCCTGATTTGTACTGTAGGTCAGCATCTCAAACCAAAGACTAAATTTCCCAAGGATGTTGCCAAAGTATTCAATTCAGACAAAGAGAGAACCAAAACTGTGTATTTGAAAAAGCATACATCCCTACAAATTAAGTTTGTGTGAAGATTTGAACTAAATTATGTATTAGCCAGGAGAAGACAACAAATTCAACAACAAAAAAATGAAAACAACATTTACTAGTGTGCTGCTTCATTTTGGCATTGTTTACAATAAATAAAGCTAAGAATAAAAAGAGGAGAGGACAATTGTCTTGATGAGACATGAAATTGATATTCCTATAGAACTTTACTCTTAAAAAGAAACATTCTATCCCAGATTAAGTTGTGCCTCCATTAATACGTGACATTACCCCTGAATGCTTTGTTTGGTACTCACATTATTTGAGTACTGGCTCTATAATTAGTCATTTTTGAATATCATCATTACTGTTACCAAGGCATACAAAAGATTTGTTTTTAAGTTTCAGGAGTTCTATTTTAAATCTTTTGCTCTACATTTTTCTTGGCAACACTCTTTTATTTCTTTTAAATTTATGTTCTATTTTATTTTCTGAGAAATGTCATGAAGTATTTTATTTTTTCCTAACTTTTCCTTGATGTTGGAAAGCTGTGAAGATTTGTGAAGCTGAAACAAATTCCTTCTTAATCATTTTAGACATTTCTGTAATAACACATGTACATGGTTTCTCAGCTCTTTTGATTCATTGTACATTAGAAACATTCCTTTAAGGTTAGTAGCTATAATTTCATTTTGTGGTAGAAGAAAAGAACTGCAGAGGAGTTTGACAGCTATTTTAAGACAATGGGAAAAAGTTTGTATGTGTTTTTGGATGATATGAGCTTAATGAAAGCTTTTTATGCTTCCTGCTCTTGCATGAGGAGGCAGGTCTACCAAAAATGGTAGATCACAGATTGACAACTTTTACTACTTGTCAAAGAGACTTCAGGAGCCACAGGGTTGGATGGATAGTTGCTGAGGGCAGACTGTCTTCTGGAGATTCTCTGTTAAATTTTGCACTAAGAGTTCCTCGGAGTCAAAATAGTATTCAGAGTATCAGTGAGTATGTAAACTGATTCTTTTCTTCCCATTTCAACTTCATATTCTGCTTTATTGTAGACATCATTACAGAAGTTAATGGCCTGCAGAATAGCTAATTATATTAGTACACCACTTGAAATAGGATGCATAGAATTCTGACCCCATGGTCCCCCTCCCAAATTTACATCATTACACAAAAGATAAACTTATCAGGGGAGTGAAAGCAGTAAGCATATGATAAATTACTTCATAGACTTAATAAATATCAATTTGTAGCCTGTTCCTTTTTTTTTTTTTTTTTTTTTTTTGCTAAGGCTAATATATCTAGCATAGTGTTGATCAGCTCCCAATCTGGGAAAATGCCAGACTGTCGATCACTTTTATAGAAAATGAAGCCATATATTTATTCAACAAGTATTTATTGATCTTCTGTTATGTGTATCAAGCACCATGTTAGATGCTGGGTCTACAATAATAAGATAAACAGACGAGACTCATTTTCCCATAGAACTGTCAGAGTTATGAGAAAGATAGACAATAAAATAACTATACAAATAGATATTTATACTATGTAGACATATAAAGTTATGTAAGGGCATAAAGCCAGAGCTAATGTTTTGCAGGATAGGGGAAGGATTTGTGGCGGAAGCAAGTGCTTCAGGTAGAGGGAGGAGTGTGTGCACAATCTTCACAATGGAAGGGAACAATTACTTGTCTGAGGAACCTAAAATGGCAATGCAGGAAACACAAGGAGAAGAAATGAAAGATACAAGACTAAAAAGATAGGCAGGATCAAGGTCATAAAGGGTACCAAAGGTTATAAAGAAGATTGATTTTTAGGACTTCTTACCTTAACCTGTGGGAAAATAGTTTCAGTTTAAAATTATCAGTTAGGTAGGCAAATTCTTAGCTTAAAGGTTTTTTTAATAATTGAGACACTCTCTCTTGAAGGAATAATAAAATTAATGATATGCGTGTTGTTGCATGTGACTAAAGAAATACCGCTAATATCCACAGAAGAATATTTTCCTTTTAATGTAGTGCTATATTACCCATTTCTGGATGTAAAGCTAATTATTTGTCAAATTAAAGTCTATTATTATCAGCAATATTATTATCTCTTGGAAATAATTGATAGCCTTGGTTTGCAAGCTCTGGTGTAACACAGGAGAATACAGTTTATCAGATTCAAAAAAGCCTGTAATAAAGGTAATTTGGTGGATTTAAACATTAGCGTGAGAAATATAAATGGAAACAGAGCAAAAAAAAGAACTTGTCTTTTGTTGTTTCCTGCTGTGTCATTAGCTAGTCTTCATATTAAAAACATTCTGTCCTAATAGGAGTGGCTTGATAATGTATTGGTCTCCATTAAAGAACAAAAATTATATAAATGAATCATTTCTTTGTAGATGAGGCAAAAGGTATAGCAACTTCTACTGAAGTCCTTGTGTCTATCAATTGCTTAGACAAGGTAGTTAAGTTAAGGAATATGTGTGTGTGTGTATGTATATATATATATAAATAAATAAAATGATTCAGTTGAAATAGCAAAGAAACTTAAATATGACTCATAATATTGGATTGCTACATAACAATTTACCCTTATAGTCTTTAATGTTTATTTTGTCTTTAATGTTAATGCAAAATTTATCTCTCTTCTCTTTCATTAGGAAAGTTTAGAATAAATCCCCTTCCACCCCTGCCCCTGGTGCCAAACTTGGAAGAATGACTTCATGGATGGAAGTAAGTAAAATGTGGAATCTTGCACTCTTTTAAGGAAGCTGTTACTGGTTGCAAGACTCCTTGATTAATCTGGAAAGGAGAATGAACTGAGTGTTACAGACTTCCCTTGTGGTGGACTGCATTCCACTGAATTTGTTTCTAGCACTGTAAAGACATTTGTGCGTTTTTGGAGTGGTGTTTCCATGTTTCTATTTTGTGGGTAACATATACCCCTCAAGGAACACTTGGGGTACTTGTTGATGATGATGGGTGACAATAAGCCCATACTGCATCTGGCTGAGCTAACTTGAGGTCAGGTTTCACTCTTGCATTCACCCTCTTCCCCACCTTGCCCTTCTAATCCTAACACAATTTTCTTAGTATTTAGTAATGGAGAAAACTCAATTTCTGTTTTCAAATTCTCTGTTCTATGCTCATGTGTTTAAGGCACCTCACAAAATACACAGAACACCCACTTCATAATTTAAAAACAATTATTGAGCACTGATATGGTTTGGCTCTGTATCTCAACCAAAATCTCATTTCGAATTGTAATCCCCACATATTGAGGGAGGTACCTGGTAGGAGGTGATTGGATCATAGGGGCAGTTTCTCCCATGCTGTTCTCATGGTAGTGAGGGAGTTCCTTCGAGAGCTGAGGGTTTTAACAGTATTTGGCAGCTCCTCCTTTGTTTGCTGTCTCTGGTCTGCCGTCATGTAAGACATGCCTTTGCTTCTCCTTCACCTTCTGCCATAATTGTCAGTTCCCCGAGGCCTCCCCAGCCATTTGGAACTGTGAGTCAATTAAACCTCTTTTCTTTATAAATTATCCAGTCTTGGGTATTTTTTTTATAGCAGTATCAAAATGGACTAATACAAGCACGTGTTATGTGCCATCCATTATGATAAGATTTTACAAGCATTTTCTTTTTTTTCTTCTCTTTCTCTTTTTTTTTTTTTTTTTTTGAAACAGAGTCTCACTCTGTCACCCAGGCTGGAGTGCAGTGGTGCAATCTTGGCTCACTTCAACCTCTGCCTCGTGGATTCAAGTGATTCTCCTGCCTCAGGCTCCCGAGCAGCTGGAACTATAGGCACGCACCACCACGCCCAGCTAATTTTTGTATTTTTAGTAGAGATGCGGTTTCACTATATTGGCCAGGCTGGTCTTGAACTCCTAACCTCATGATCCACCTGCCTCAGCCTCCCAAAGTGCTGGGATTACAGGCATGAGCCACCATGCCTGGCCTATAAGCATTTTCATTCGATGCTCTCAATGAGCCCAAAAGACAATAATGTGATCCCTATTTTACAGATAAAAATACGAAGGCAAGAAGGATGAAATAATCTTTCACTGCTAAGAAGTAAGATAATACAGATTTGAACCCATGGAGGCCAAGTGCAGAGCCAAGCTCCTAGCCATTTGACAATACTGCTATATTGAGCAATTTCTCTTCACTATATCAAAAATTAATATTTGCTGAGAATTTTAGCCTCTACTTGTGAAAAAAAAGTCATAGTGCATAAAATCTCAAGATATCATATCCAGACCTCTTCTAGTATAACAAGGGAAAAGGAAAGGCTGATATGATAAAGGCAAGCTCCAGTTTCATAACTCATAGAAAAGAGTAGGAAAAGAGGTTCATTTTACCCATGTCACTCCATCCTCCAGGCTGGCAGAGCTAAGCACCGAGAAAAATCCCCTTGGCTTTGAGTTCCCGTTGTGGGGGAAAAGGCGAGCAGGAGGAATCCCAGTAGCCTTTGCCGTTAATAATCCTGGCAGTCCTTGCTGCTGGCTGTGGACCCATGGCCTTAACCATCCAGGACCCCTGCAGTCTTTGCTGATTAGATCCCAGCTGTTGAAGCCACCTAAACTCCATCTTGCTGCACCTTCCTGGAGCTGGAGCTTTCCCAGTCCAAGGAGATTTAACAGAGTCAAATGTTAATCTCCTTTGGCAACATCCTCACAGACACACCCAGGAACAATACTTCACATCTTTCAATCCAATCAAGTTGACATGCGATATTAACCATCACTTTACCCAAAGTGATCTACAGATTCAGTGTAATCCCTATTAAAATCACAGTGGCTTTCTTTTCAGAAATGGAAAAATAATTCTACAATTTGCATGACACTACAAAAGACCCCAAATAGCCAAAGCAGTTTTGAGCAAGAAGAATGATGGTGGAGGCATATATTTCCTGATTTTGAAATATATTACAAAGCTACAGTAATCAAAACAGTACGGTAGTGGCAAAAACAAACCAAAAACAGATGTATAGACTAATGAAATAGAACATGGTATATATACATACACACACACACACACGTATACATACAATGGAAGATTATTCAGCCTTAAAAATAAGGAAATCTTGCAACTTTTGACAAAATGGATGAATCTGGAGGACAATATACTAAGTAAAATAAGCCAAACACAGAAAGACAAATATTGCATGATCTTACATATATTCAGAATAGGAAATAGTCAAACTCATAGAAGCAGAGGGTAGAGTGGTAGTTATTAAGGCCTGGAAGGAAGGGAAAATGAGATGATGTTGGTCAAAGGGTATGAAGTTCCAGTTTCACAAGGTGAACAGTTTGACACTTGAAATTTGCAAAGAAGGTAGATATTAAGTGTTTTACACACACACACAGACACACACACAGAAAATGTTAATTTTGTGAGATATTGGATATGTTAATTAGCTTGGATGTAGTAATCATTTCACAATATATACATATATCAAAGCATCAAGTTGTACACTTAAATATATGCAATTTTTATTTGTCAAATGTACCTTAATAAAGATGTTAAAAAAGAAAACAACATCAATCATTTTGGAAGAAATTTGGGCACTGATACGGTTTGGCTGTGTCCCCATCCAAATCTCATCTTGAATTCCTGCATGTTGTGGGAGGGACCCAGTGGGAGGTAACTGAATCATGGGGGCAAGTCTTTCTTGTGCTATTCTCATGATAGTGAATAAATCTCACCAGATGTGATGGTTTTATAAAGAGGAGTTCTCCTACACAAGTTCTCTCTCTTTGTCTGCTACCATCCATGTAAGATGTGACTGCTCCTCCTTGCCTTCCACCCTGATTGTGAGGCCTCCCCACCCATGTGGAACTGTAAGTCCATTAAACCTCTTTCTTTTGTAAATTGCCCAGGCTTGGGTATGTCTTTATCAGTGGTGTGAAAACGGACTAATACAGGCACAGAAACTTTTCCTGATAGGATGAGGCTATGGTCTGAATTTTTATTCCCCACCCCCTACATTCATATGTTGGACTTCTAATGCCCAAGATAATGGCATTGGGAGGTGTGGCATTTGGGAGATGATTAGGTCATGATGGCAGAGCACTCATGAGCAGGATTAGGGCCCTTATAAAAGAGGCCTGAGAGAGACTCCTTGCTTCTCCTGCCATGTGAAGTTAGAGTGAGAAGAGGAGCCCTCACCAGACACCAAATCTATTAGTCCCTTAATCTTGGACTTTCCAGCCTCTGGAATTGTAAGAAATAAATTTCTATTGTTTATTAACCACCAAATCTACCAAAATACCCATCTACAGTATTTTCTTAGAGCAGCTTGAATGGACTAAGACAAGTGAGTTACTGGGGGCTAACTGCACTCGTGAGGGAAAAAGAATGATGGTCACTGTGGATGTGCCTACTTGCCTGCTCTGAATATTTCCCCTGTTATTTCCCTAAAGCACTCATCTGTGATTTCAAATATCATTAAGATTTCCATGGTAAATTAGCTTCCAATTCTTGGTCTGTCTGAGGCCACAGCATGTCTGTTCAAACAGGACTACCAGCACCCTTTGATGGGAAGAGATACAAACAACCCATTGAAGGGAGTCGGGTAATCTTTGTCTTAGGAAAAAAAACCACAAAGATGGGAGAGATGGTATATGTTTACATGACACATGCCCCAGAAGATCCTGCTATGTGATGTTCTTGATTCTATTGATTATTTCTGTGCTGGAAACCCCTGGTGGTGAAGTCATATTTTGATCTGATTGCTGTTTAGACCCCACACTGTTTTGTAAACAAAGGCTATAAGATGTCTAAGGCCACTGTCCTTGTCAGTTTTCTCTGGTTTCTTCAAAGTAACCGAGTGCAGCTTCATGCCTCCAGCAAAAATAATTATCATTGGATTTAAGCTGGTTTCATGGGTAACAGCAAGAAAGCATCACAACATTCTCCTAAGACAGCTATATTGATCTGCATCATTTCACTCAGGTTTCCCACTATGTTGCAATACATTTAGAGAGCCAAGCTGCAGGAAACCTACTTCCACCACTGTGCCTTGTTTCATCTATTGAAATAAAAGAAAAACCAGTCTAGAGTCACTCCATGTTGAGCTGGCCTGGATTTTGTATTTCATCACAATTGTATGTGTTCCAGAGAATGAATGAATATAAATACATCACTGGCAATAGGGCACATTGTTACAAGCAAGAAAAGTGAAGGAGAGAAGGAAGAAAGGGAAGCAGGAAGAAAAGAAGCACTATGCCAGTATACAACGTAAATACATGAGCATGATGCTATCCTTATAAAAGATTGATAAATCTACCCTAACAATTTTACATAGGCCAATGCGTTTTAAGCGCTAGATTTCAAATTTTCCTCAAAAATCTATACTATAATTTGGTAATTGCATTCAGTATTGAAAGTGAATTTTTTAACCACATTCTGGAAAACAAACATTATGTATACTTTTGTATACACCTACAGATTTAGAATTTGTGAATTAAACAGAGGTTGGTCTGAAGTTGTGCTCTCTGTTATGGGAAAAACATTATTTCTCATTCTGTACATATGCTCTTAAATGTTGCTTTCCCCATGATTACTGACAGTTTTCTGAGGAAATGGCTGTGTCTGTGGGGGCTGATCTATAGTGAATAAGCTATCTGTAAGTATTCTCAGTGATGGGGTACTGAAAAAGATGTGGGAAAAACAAGGTGGAATCAAAAAATTGATGGGAAGAGTTATGAACCAGCTACTAGGAGGCAGTGGACGTAGAAAGCAATGGAGACTGTCTATAGGACCCTCGTTTGCAGTATTACTGGTTCTAGAGAGGAGAGAACTACTTACACGTGTTGATCATTTACCAGAGTTAGACTGCTTTATGTAAGTCTTCTCATTTAATGTTATCATCTGATCATGAGAGGTAGCAATTTTTAAATTTTATTTCATAGGACAGGCAATAAATCCTGTGAGATTATGTAATGTTCCAAGAGTTGCACAATTAGAAAGGAAAAGAGGATTTGAACTCTAGTCTGTTCAACTTCAACTTTACTCTTGTGGCAGAAAGTATTTTCTAAAGATGAATCCAACATTATCTACCATTCCTCAAGCTCTTCTCCAGAGTGATTTTGCCAGTCCCAATCAGAGATGGTGTCTAAATTCCCTTCCCCTCACCCCTGTTAAAATGGCTTATATCCAAAAGACAGGCAATAACAAATGCTGGCGAGGATGTGGAGGAAAGGGAACCCTTGTGCACTGTTGACAGGGATGTAAGTTAGTACAGCCACTATGGAGAACAGTTTGGAGGTACCTTAGAAAACCACAAATTGAGCTACCTTATGATCCAGCACTCCCACTGCTGGATATATACCCAAAAGAAAGGAAATCAGTATATCAAAGAGATATCCACACTGTTATGTTTGTTGCAGCACTGTTTACAATAGCTAAGATTTGGAAGCAAGTTAAGTGTCCATCAACAGATGAATGGATAAAGAAAATATGGCACATATACACAATAGAGTACTATTCAGCCCTAAACGGAGTGAGATCCAGTTGTTTGCAACAAAGTGGATGGAAGGAGATCATCATGTTGAGTGAAATAAGCCAGGCACAGAAGGACAAATGTCACATGTTCTAACTTATTACTGGGATCTAAAAATCAAATCACTTGAACTCATGGACACACAGAGTAGAAGGATGGTGACCAGAGGCTGGGAAGGGTAGTGGGGTGTTGGAGGGGAGGTGGGGATAATTAATGGGTACAAAAAAAATAGAAAAAATGAATAAGACCAAGTATTTCATAGCCACAACACAGGGTGACTATAGTCAATAATAACTTGACTGTATGTTTTAAAATAAAGAGTGTAATTGGATTGTTTGTAACTCAAAGTTCAAAGGATAAATGCTTAAGGGGATGGATACACCATTCTCCATGATGTGCTTATTTCACATTGCATGCCTGTATCAAAACATCTCATATACCCATAAATATAGACACCTACTATATACCCACAAATTTAACAATATATATGTATATTTGAGACAGAGTCTCACTGTGTTTCCCAGGTTGGAGTGCAATGGTACGATCTCAGCTCGCTGCAAACTCCACCTCCCGGGTTCAAGCGATTCTCCTGCCTCAGCCTCCCAAGTAGCTGGGATTACAGGTATGTGCCACCATGCCTGGCTAATTAAAAAAATATTTAAAAAAATACATTATCTCCCCTTGAATCTAGGCTGGTCTATAACTCAACTTGTAACCAACAGAATATAGTTACACTCTGTGACACTAACATCTACATCAGAAAAGGTCCAATGTCCAAAGAAGCTTCTACTCAGTTCTCTTGGGACACTTGCTCTGGGGAAAGCAATTGCCATGGTAGAAGTCTGACTACACTGAGGCTCTCATGTTGGAAAGGCAATATTAGTGACTCCTGTGAATAGTTCTAGCTGAGCCCAGCCTTCCAGCCACCCCTGCCAATGTACCAGATGTAAGTGTAAAGCCACCTTGGATTTTCCAGGCCAGCATATCTGCCTCCTGGGTACCACCAAGTACCCCAGTCAATACTACACGAAGCAGAATAGTTTAACCAAGATCTGCTCACATTCTTGACTCATAGTCATGAGGTTCAACAAATTTGGAGTAGTTTGTTATGTAGAAGTAGTAACTGGAATAGCTTATAACCATATGGTTGGGCTGGGAGCAGTGGCTCACACCTATAATCCCAGCAGTTTGGGAGTCCAACATGAAAGGATTTCTTGAGGCCAGGAGTTCCAGACAAGCCTGGGCAACATAGACTCCAACTCTACAAAAAATAAAAAAATTAACTGGGTGTGGTGGCATGTACCTATAGTTCTAGCTACTCAGGAGGCTGAAGTGGGAGGACTGCTTGAGCCCAGGAGTTGAAGGTTACAGTGGGCTATGATTGTGCCACTGCACTTCAGCCTGGGTGACAGAGTGAGGCCCTGTGTCTAAAACCAACCAACCAAACAACAAAAGATATGTTGCTCTTTTTCCCAAAGCCAGGCAAAAGTAGAAACAGAAAAAGACCTGCATCTTAGTAGCTGGGAGAACTTTGACAGCCTCATCTGAGACTAGCTAGAAACAAGTTGAAACTGAGAAAAAGTTTTCACAAGAATAGGTAAAGAAGGACTGGGCTGAGGACAGGGTAATTGGAAAATCTAGAGTAAAAAGTAAACGTAAGTGTTACATCCTTGAAATAGCTCCCAATCTTGTCTGCGTTTCCTTCTTCCTTTCAATAAGGCTTTTCAGTTCTAAACTTATACTATTATCTAAAATCAGCTTAGTTATCTTACCCTTTACCTTAAAATACTCTGCTCTACTCACTGATGTCTACAAAATAGAGTCCAAATTTAACTTGTTTAGTCCAGTATAAAGGCAAAGAAGGGTGAGAGGTCCAGAGTCAGAAGACGTGAAGGTTAAATTTCTAAGCAGAAAACCTTGTTCTCTGTCATTGTTCTTGTGTCCTATTTCTGGATATGCAGCATCTAATATGAACAAAATAATGTAAAGAATATTTTCTGGGTTAACATACTTTTTCTATGAGATGCATCCTTACAGACCGATAACTCAAGCTGATGCTTTATAAATTTTTTGGAAATTCTCAGTAAGTTTTACTATGGTCGCCCTTTCCACATAAAATTTAAGGCCTAAGATCCCAGTTATTTATGGCATTTGCTCCATTAAAAAAGACAGGAGGGAGGTGTCTGTACATTAAAATTGCTAGGCTAGCAAGTGGCCTAGATGGTTCAAGGTTATATTTCCCTTCTAGGTTTATGGAGAAGTAAATTATCCAAAGCACATGGAAGAATCCTCAAGCCTGCAAATACTATGACATAAGTGTAAGTGTAAGAAATGTTCCCAAGAAAATTATTCTTATGGATTATGATTAATAGAGATCTGTAAGGCAGTTGTGAGATTTGTCAGGGGACTCCTCATTTTTCACCGCAACAGAAAACTCTGTTTGTGCCTCATGGTATTTAATATTTGAAGACACTGTTGTGGGAAAGGTGGTGGCTACCTCAGTGCTGTTCATTACTTGGTGACTAAGCTTAGTGGCAATACAGTGAGGTGAAGCATCATCAGTGGTAACGAAGTTGTGAGTGTAGCAGATGCTGGGGTGGGGGTGCTCAGTGGGAAAGAAGTTGTTGGTGTAGCAGAAGCTGGGGTAGGAGTGCTCAGTCTTGGAGATGGTTTGAAATGGATGCTCAGGGTTAATGCTGCAGATCTTCTCAAGAAACTCTGTCAGAAAATGTTACCCATGAAAATGTGTCTTGACCTTTGGCCTGCTATTCACCTCCCTCCCCAGCTTCTGTCGTCTACAATTTGGAATTAGCTTTTAGTCTCTGATTTATTATTCTCAACCATACTTGTACTTGGCATCTTCTTTTAATTAACTTATAGGTGACTTTAGCCCACGTTCTGCTTTTTCTCTCACCATATGCCAGGTTCTGAGAAGCCAGCATATCACAGCCTTTGAGAGCTTTGTCATTGAATTAGCCCCTACTTGGGTTTGACTGACCTCAGCCTTGGCTTTTGTTAATTTTATTATCTTGGGAAAACTATTTATCCTCTCTCAGCATCTTTTCGTATTACTTGAAAAGTGGTTTTAATAAATGTGCTTGCTCAAAGGGTTGTTATGGAAGTTAAAAAAAAGTGCTAAAAACAGCCTTTACTTTTGCTGTTGTTAATTCTCTTATGTATATAATATTGGCCCATTTCCTGTTTTTAATTTTGCTCTTCTAACCCTGCCTTATCAACTTGAAGGACTCATAGCCTGTTTTCCTGCTATTTGCTCAAGATGGAACAGGTGTAATAACAATGCACGAGTGCAGAGATACTATTCAATATTTGCTAGACTCTTGTAAGGATCTATAGAACAACACTTTTGTAGAAGAAAGGGATGATAGAAATGAAAACCTCTGGGAGAACTCAAGTATTTAAAAAAATATTTGAAGTAGTCTCATCATACACAGAAGATGGAT
The DNA here is from genome assembly GCF_000001405.40 of Homo sapiens. Lineage (NCBI taxonomy): Eukaryota > Metazoa > Chordata > Mammalia > Primates > Hominidae > Homo > Homo sapiens. The sequence goes on from NC_000003.12 coordinate 26,146,531, forward strand.
GGTGTGAACTGCTCTTCTACGTACTTTGGGATGGCAAAGATCCTATTTGTCATGCTAATTTTAGTATCTTCAGAACTTCATGCCCTTTGCATAGAATATGCTCAATAAATATTTGCTGAATGAAAGAACAGGTTGTACATATGCTGGAAGCATTGTCCCAATATCAGCAGTGTTTTCTGAGAAAATGGCTCTGCAGGCTCCAATTTATTTGTCCTTTTTTTCCTTCTGATATGGTTTGGCTGTGTCCCCACCCAAAAATCTCATCTTGAATTGTAATCCCCATAATCCTCATAATCCCCATGTGTCAAGGGAGAGACCAGGTGGGGGTAATTGAATCATGGGGGTGGTTTCCTCCATGCTGTTCTCATGATAGTGAGTTCTCAGGAGATCTGATGGTCTTATGTGTTCGGTAGTTCCTCCTGCATTCATTCTCCTTCCTGCTGCCATGTGAAAAAGGTGCCTTGCTTCCCCTTTGCCTTCCACCATGATTGTAAGTTTCCTGAGGCCTTTCCAGCCATGCAGAACGGTGAGTCAATTAAACCTCTTTTCTTTATAAATTACCCAGTCCCAGCAGTTCTTTATAGCAGTGTAAGAATGGATGGATACTCCTTCCTTCCTTCCTTCCTTCTTCCCTTCCTTCCTTCCTCCCTTCCTCCTTCTCTCCCTCCCTCCCTTCCTTCCTCCTTTTCGCTCCTATTTAGTCTCATATTTTCTTCTTTCTGAAACAGCTTAATATAGTGTGAGATGTTTGAATTCTTAAGTACTCTGTTGTTCTCACAGAGATTTCATCAAACATAGCATCCCAGTTTTCACATTAGTGCAGAAAATTACAACAAATTTTGATATATTTTTATATATTTGTTGCTGCTATTATCATTATCATCATCATTGTGACTATACCAGTGTTAAAACCAGGGACTTGAGATTAAGTTCTACCTCTTTTGTTACTTATGTTTGGTCCATCAATCAGCAGCATCACCTGGGACCTTATTAGAAATGCAGAATCTCAGAACTTACTCAAGACTTCATAATTTAACAAGGCCCTCCAAGTGATTTACATGCTCACTAAAGTGTGAAAAGCCCTGGTCTAGATCAAGCAACAGGTAGAAGGGAAGGTAATCAATGCAGGGTGGAGGTTAAATAGTTTTAGTCTGTGTGCTGATGCCACAAGGCCGAAAGAGTTTTCCTAGACAAGGCTTTATTGGAGTTTATGTCCCAGCATAAGGGAGGCAGAATGAGAGAGAGAGAGAGAGAAAGAGAGAAATTCTCTGGTGACCCCTCAGAGGGAATTGAAAAGGAAGTTTTAAAGGGTTATGGCAGAAAGGAAGTAATGTTTAGGTAGGTAGAGGTGGGGAAATAGTGGCACCTGTGCGCTTTAATAATATGCTTCTTCATGCATCACATGTTCCATTAGCACATTAAATTTACACCCCTCGATCATCATGGTGGACAGGAGGCAGAACTAGATTGTAGCTCCAACTCAGACAGAGCAGCGTGTAAAGGCTTGGATCATGAATTTTAGCTCCAGGATGACTGCAAGAGCAAACCAGGAATCCCGAGAGGACCCACAGACTCTGTGAAGGAAGCAGACTGCTCCTGCAGGACCCAAGAGACATCCCAGACTCTGCTCCCAAACACACAGCCCCACTGGAGAAACTGAAAGTCTAGTTTGCTGGAGGAATTTCTGACCTTACCTGGATCTGAGTTGATTTAGAGAGCCGAGCAAAATATAGGGGTAGAGGAAGCAGTGGGAAAGGTCCTGGAAGCTTGCTGGGTCCCCAAGCACGTGTTCTTGCCTGGCATCACAGGGATCTGGGTGGGGCAGCCAGTGGTGTGAGGAAAATGCCACAGGGAGAAGGAAGTCTCCAGCTGAATTTAGTAACAATTTGAACCAGGTGAGAAGCCTCCTGGCAAGAACTCCAGGGAGGGTGTGAATCTGGTGTGCAGACTCCACAGGCGGGGGGAAAAAACCAAAGCCCCTTTCTTTTGCAGTTGGGAGGGGGTAGCCTGGGGCAAGTTCTCAAGTCCTGCTTGCCCACTGCCTGGAAACAGACTCAGTGCTTTTAGGGGAGACATGGTGGGAGGGAGACTGGCCCTTTGGATTGCATGGGAGCTGGGTGAGGCCTGTGACTGCTGGTTTTTCCCCACTTCCTTGACAACCTGCATGACTCAGTAGAGGCAGCCATTATCCTTCTAGGTACACAAATTCATTGTCCTGGGAACCTCATCCCCATCCCCCACAGCAGCCATGGCAAGATCCACCCAAGGAGAGTCTGAGCTCAGACACACCTAGCCCTGCCCCCGCCTGATAGGCCTTCCCTACCCACCAACATAGCTGAAGACAAAAGGCATATACTTTTGGGAGTTCTAGGGCCCTGCCCACCACCAGTTTATCTCCATACTACCACAACTGATTATTTCCATAAAGCACCACCTCTTGGCAGGAGGCCAGGCAGCACAAAAATAGAACATTAAACGACCAAAGCTAAGAACCCTCAGAGAGTCCATTTCCACCTGCCTGCCACCTCCACTTAAAGTAAAGGGGTGGAAAAAGGCATTTCATGCAAATGAACACCAAAAGCGAGCAGGAGTAACAATTCTTATATTAGAAAAAACAAACTTTAAACCAACAGCAGCAGTTGAAAGCGACAAAGAAGGACATTATATAATGGTAAAAGGCCTTGGTCCAACAGAAAAATATCACAATACTAAACATATATGCACCTATTACTGGAACTCCCAAATTTATAAAACAGTTACTAATAGACCTAAGAAATGAGATAGACAGCAACACAATAATGGGGGGCACTTCAATACTCCACTGACTGAACTACGCAGGTCATCAAGACAGAAAGTCAACAAAGAAAAAATGGATTTTAGCTATACCTTGGAACAAATGGACTTAACAGATATATAAAGAACATTTCATACAACAATCAAAGAATGCACATTCTTTTCAACAGTGCATGGAACTTTCTCAAAGATAGAGCATGTAATAGGCCACAAAATGAACCTCACAAAATTTGAGAAAATTGAAATTATATCGAACACTCTCTCAGACCACAGTGGAATAAAATTGGAAATCAACTCCAAAAGGAACCTTCAAAACCATGCAAATACATGGAAATTAAATAACCTGCTCCTGAATGATCACTGGGTCAAAAACGAAATCAAGATGGAAATTAAAAAATTCTTTGAACTGAATGACAATAATGATACAACCTATCAAAGCCTCTGGGATACAGCAAAGGCAGTGCTGAGAGGAAAGTTCATAGTTGTAAACACCTACATCAAAAAGACTGAAAGAGCACAAGATTACATTCTAAGGTTAACACCTCAAGGAGCTAGAGAAAAAAGAACAAACCAAATCCAAACCCAGCAGAAGAACGGAAATAGCATGATCAAAGCAGAACTAAAGGAAATTGAAACAAAATACAATACAAAAGATAAATGAAACAAAAGGCTACATAAAAGATACATAAAATTGATAGATCATTAGCAAGATTAACCAAGAAAAGAGGGAAAATTCAAACAACCTCATTAAGAAATGAAACAGGAGATATTACAACTGACATCAAAGAAATACAAAAGATCATTCAAAGCTACTATGAACCACTTTACCTGCATAAACTAGAAAACCTAGAAGAGGTTGATAAATTCCTGGAAATACACAACCCTCCTAGCTTAAGCAGGAATAATTAGATATCCTGAACAGACCAATAACAAGAAGTGAGATTAAAATGGTAATTAAAAAATTACCAACCAAAACAAAAAAATCCAGGACCAAATGGATTCACAGCAGAATTATACCAAAAATTCAAAGACGAACTGGTGCCAATCTTATTGACACTATTCCGCAAGATGGAGAAAGAGGGAACCCTTCTAAATCATTCTATGAAGCCAGTATGATCCTAATAACAAAATCAGAAAAGGACATAACAAAAAAAGAAATCTACAGACCAATATCCCTGATGAACATAGCTGCTAAAATCCTTAACAAAATACTAGCTAACCAAATCCAACAGCATATCAAAAAGATAATTCATGATTATCAAGTGGGTTTCATTCCATGGATGCAAGGATAGTTTTATAATAAATGTGATACACCACATAAACAGAATTAAAAACAAAAATCACATGATCATCTCAATAGATGCAGAAAAAGCATTCAACAAAATCCAGCATCCTTCTATGATTAAAACTCTCAGCAGAATCGGCATACAAGGGACATACCTCAATGTAATAAAAGCCATGTATGCCAAACCCACAGCTAACATGATACTGAATGGGGAAAAGTTGAAAGCATTCACTGTGAGAACTGGAATAAGACAAGGATGCCCACTCACACCGCTTCTCTTCAACACAGTACTGGAAGTCCTAGCCAGATCAATCAGATGATAGAAGGAAATAAAGGGGATCCAAATCAGTAAAGAGGAAGTCAAACTGTCACTGTTTCCTGATGATATTATAATTTACTTAAAAAATCGTAAAGACTCCAGACAGCTTCTAGAACTGATAAAAGAATTCAGCAAAGTTTCCAGTTACAGGATTAATATATACAAATAAGTAGCTCTTCTATGCATCAATAGGGACCAAGGGGGAAAATCAAATCAAGAACTCAACCCCTTTTACAATAGCTGCAAAAAAATAATAAAATACTTAGGAATTAACTACCCAAGGAGGCAAAAGACATCTACAAGAAAAACTAGAAAACACTGCTGAAAGAAATCGTAGATGACACAAACAGATGGAAACACATCCCATGCTCATGGATGGGTAGAATCAATGTTGTAAAAATGACCATACTACCAAAAGTAATCTACAAATTCAATGCAATTCCCATAAAAATACCACCATCATTCTTTACAGAATTAGATAAAAACATTTCTAAATTTCATATGGAACCAAAAAAGAGCCTGCATAGCCAAAGTAAGACTAAGCAAAAAGAACACATCTGGAGGCATCACACTACCTGATTTCAAACTATACTGTAAGGCCGTAGTCACCAAAACAGCATGGTACTGGTATCAAAGTAGGCACATAGACCCATGGAACAGAATAGAGAACCCAGAAATAAACCCAAATACAGCTAACTGATCTTCGACAAAGCAATCAAAAACATAAAGTGGGGAAAGAACACCCTTTTCAACAAATGGTACCGGAATAATTGGCTAGCCACATGTAGGAGAATGAAACTGGATCCTCATCTCTCAATTTATACAAAAATAAACTCAAGATGAATTAAACCTAAGACCTGAAACTTTGGAATTTCTGGAACATAACATTGGAAAAACCCTTCTAGACATTGGCTTAGGCAAGGATTTCATGACCAAGAACCCCAAAGCAAATGCAAAAAAAAACCAATTATAAATAGCTGGGACTTAATAAACTAAAAAGCTTTTGCATGGCAAAAGGAACAGTCTACAGATTAAACAGACAACCCACAGAGTGGGAGAAAATCTTCACAATCTATACATCTGACAAAGGACTAATATCCAGAATCTACAACAAACTCAAGCAAATCAGTAAGAAAAATCAGTGCCATCAAAAAGTGTGCTAAGGACATGAATAGACAATTCTCAAAAGAAGATATGTGAAAGGCCAACAAACAAATGAAAAAATGCTCAACATCCCTAATGATCAGGGAAATAAAAATCAAAACCACAATGTGATACCACCTGCATTCTTACTCCTGCAAGAATGGCCATCCATAATCAAAAAATAAAACAGTAGATGTTGGCATGATGTGGTGATCGGGGAATTCCTTCTACACTGCTGGTGGGAATGTATACTAGTATAGCCACTATGGGAAACAGTGTGGAGATTCGGTAAAGAACTAAAAGTAGATCTACCACTTGATCCAGCAATCCCACTATTAGGTATCTACCCAGAGGAAAAGAAATCATTATACGAAAAAGATACTTGCACAAGCATGTTTATAGCAGCACAATTCACAATTGCAAAATTGTGGAACCAACCCAAATGCCCATAAATCGAGTGGATAAACTGTGATTGATACATATATATATAGATATATATATATATATAGATATATATATACACACACCATGAAATACTACTCAGCCATAACAAGAAATGATTTAATGGCATTTGCAGCCACCTCGATGAGATTGGAGACTGTTATTCTAAGCAAAGTAACTCAGGAATGAAAAACTAAACATCGTATGTTCTCATTGATATGTTGGAGCTAAGCTATGAGGACGCAAAGGCATAAGAATGATACAATGGACTTTGGGAACGTGGGCGGAAGCGTGGGAGGGGACAAGGGATAAAAGACTACAACCAGGGTGCAGTGTATACTGCTTGTGTGATGGGTGGACCAAAATCTCACAAATCACCACTAAAGAACTTACTGATGTAACCAAACACCACCTGTATCCCAATAAACTATGGAGAAAAATTCCAAAAAATAAATACGTAAATTTCCACCCCTGGGTGTGACTTTTAATATTACAATGAAGCTAGGGTTTAGGATCAGTTACTCTCGTGGTCTTGTGCACATGCAGGAGATAGGGTAACTCCTTTGAGTAAGATTTATGGTGGGAGCTGCTTATTTTAGCTTCCTCAAGGTCCTGCAACCAGTGGGTATGGTGCTTTGAGCAAGAGGGTACATGGTCTGGAGGGATTGGTTGGGGTCCCTGCCGGCCACACCCAAAGCCCAGCTTGCAGTAGAAGTCCTTGGTGGGACATGGGAGGTGGGGGTGTGGAGACTGGGTCCCATCCCTAATCTGTCTCACTGGCATTGATTCATTTTCAAGGGCTGGCAGGAGCTGGCTAAAGGGATAGTTTGCCTTGGTTTTCCTGCAGGGAGAGGAATACCACAGATAATGTCAGATCTTAGAATAATTATTTAGCTGTCTGTTCAAATCTCTTGCTTATGCTTGCTTAAGAAGAAAATAAAAGGTTCTCATAATTGGAATCCTAGAGAAGGGGCCAGACATCATACTCTGTAGTACTCCCACTATCACCAGTTTTAAGACATGATTTGATCTCTTGCCAAAATGAAGGTCATAGACTATTGATTACCAACCATTCTTGAGAATAAATTTACTTTGTTAATTCTCTCCACCTTTTTTATTCTGAACTTTGCTAGGGAATTCATCACTGAAAAAGATGTCACTACTGTAGCAAGATCATCTTTACCACTGCAAAACATATTCCTGCCAGAAACAAAAAATGCAGCACTTAATTAAAGAATAAAGAAAGTCACCAAAATATTAGCATTGAACTGTAGCCTCTCACTGTCCTTTTTATATAAGGATCGCACCAGAGGAAAATTAACAACAAGAGACAATCTGAATCTTTCTTTTTCCCTTGTCCTCTGATTGAGGAATGACATTGTTCAGCAAATTAAACAGGTAAACAAGATTTTAAGGAGAATGTTTAAATTCCTTAATAGAACAAATTGTTTTTTAACACCCTTAAGCAGCTGTTAGAATCATCAATTTACATACAAGTAATGAATATGCTAATTGCAAATCTTTCTTCTCTAGTCATTAAAATAAGTCTCTTTTGGGACTTCTAAAAGCTTGTTGTTTTTCTGGTTGTAGTTACAATATATACCTGAATGCATTCATTTAAAAATCCTTACAACGTATATATTTTTGCTAATTGAAGTAGGTCTTCCCTCGCCATGTAGTTGAGTTTGTGAGATTCTACTACATGTAAACGTGTACAAACTTGCAAATAAATTTTAAACTTTATTATTCTGCAAATAATTTAACCAGTCTATGAATTTCTCACTAATCTTTCCACCTTTATCTGGTTTAACCTAGTTACGATGTATTCTGTGGAAGTGAATATTAGGAGCCCAGAGAATTATGATATTATTGCTTTGGGTCATAATTTCAATTGTTGCTGATATTCCTATACTTTCAGGGTATAACTTATTTTAAGTGTAACCAATTGCTTTTGGATCCTGAGCTTGTGGGACTTATTAATCTGCATGAATAATTTGCATTAATGTGAATGGGAATATAATTATTCCTGAATTGTTCATTACTTATAGATGTTATTCTGAGTACAATTGCTTCCTTGAAAATATCAAACATAGTATTTATTTTATTTTGTACATGTGACAGTTTGTATACTTAAGTATAACAATTAACATTAACCCAGGAAAACTTGAGGGAGCAATGGCATAGATGTTAACAGGTACCTGTGGTAAGATGGTTATCTCAATTAGGTACTGAGTTTGACTGGTAAACTCAAAGTGGTTAAAGAAATAATAAGAAGTCATCTTGTATTACAGGATCCTATTATTGCCCATTTTCAATCCCTGGTTTAGAACTTCGAGTAGTTTATATTTTAAGAAACTTAACCTGGATTGACTATTAAAATTCAACTAAGAATACTGCCAGGTAAGCACAGTGACAAGACTCAGCTGTGACTGAAACATGGATATTGAATAATTTGGAAGAAACTGATTTTTGGAAAGAACTCAAAGCAATAATAAGATGTTACCCATTTATGTGTAAAATCTAATCATGTATTTATAATTCCAAAATGAATTTTTATATGATTAATAAATAATAGACTGATTTTAAAAGATGTAAGAATACAAAACAGAAGAAATCCTAAAATTATTTTTTGCTTTATATATATTAAAATTTTTCTCCAAAATGGACTCAAAATTTACTCAAGCACCTTGCAATTCTGTTAATGAGCTCTCCTGCCACTTTTGTGGTCAGGATTAGAGAAGTTTCTACTGAGTTTCAATTTTCCCCTAACCAGTTAAGTATCTTTTATAGAGAGTGGGCTAACCATAACTTTCTTTGACTCCTCATCAACTTGTAATCTGGAGATTGATATTTTTTAACTAACATTCTTTGCCATTTTCTTTACAGCTCTAAGTTCCCATTTCTCTAGGATTTTCTACCATCCCTCTTTATTTAGAAAATAAACTGGCTTTCAGAGTTGTCTTAAGTATCAAGCAACTAGAGCTATTTTAGTAACAAGTCATACTCTCTTAATTCATCCTTAAAAGCCCCTTCCCTCCTCGCTTCCCTTACTTTCCTTTGTAAACCTTTACATATGTAGTTCACAATTACATACATGTTTATTGAATTGAAAATGAGAAAGTAACATTTTATAACCTGGAAACGTGTTGCATAATATTCATCTGTAAATAAACCTTGAAATTAAGCTTAAAGATGGATTTATCCTCTAGATACCAATAGAAAGTATGTTGAGTAAAATACTGGGTAATATCTTCATTTACAAATGTGTGAAAGATGCTCAAATGTTGCTCAAACAACTGAATGTTCTAGTGACCTTATAAGAACATAGATAATAGCATTAAATGTCACCCCAGTAAAAATGTTTTAGGTGCTGTTGATGTTCTAATTTAACATAAGAATGAGACTTTAAAAATCTACAGCAACCCAGAAGAATAAAGTACATGTCTTAAACAAGCATTTAGCAGGTTGTATTTAGATAATAATTTTTCTAATAACTCTCTATAGAGCCAAAATCAGAGTATTTAATAAATTTTTGAACTTCTTCCAAATTATTAACAGAGAAGAATGATGTTGCTAATAACATAGAATCAGAATATACCTATATGCATGGATACATATATATGCAATGTGGATATAAATATACATAAACCCTGATATGGTATTTAAATGTGTACTCTTATCAGAATTAATATCTCCTTATCAGAATTAATGTGATAGACAGTGTACTTTCTTGCAACTAAAAATGAGGGGAAAATAAGGAGAGGAAATATTAAATTCTCCTGGCAAGCTGAGATTAATAATGGGGCCTTAAGAAGAACAGAAAGATATGTTCAAGAAAGCAGCATGAAATCTAACTAACCTAGAATTTGATTGCTGATGGCATATCTTTTGTAATTTTATGTCCCCCATCTCCACCTTCAAAATAGACCCCTACAACTATTTTAGTCTCAGTGTTGTTCAAGTCAGCCAGAACACTCTATGATGCCTTTTGACATGACAGATATTTTTCCTATTCCTTCTCTTCGGGTGTCATAAATACGGCAAGCTATTATGAATCTTAAGGTGAAAACAGAATATCCATACAAAGTGAGCATTTTTTACCCCAGGGGATTATTGATTTGTGCAGTGACTTTTGTCCTTGGCAAATTTCAATTTTCAATGGTGTGCAGTTTTGTAGGTATAAGCCAAACCCCTAGGCCTTTGTTTAATTAATACATACTTTATTGGGAAGCTTGTCTTTCTCCATATAACTTTGCTGTAAACAAAATGAGATTTTGAAAAAAAGAATATACAAAAATGATGGGCTAATGTCAAGGTCAAACTACCTTTTGGTTAGCCTTACAGATTAGTTTTTATTAAAGTTGGAAACCAAATTTTTTTTATGCATGGTCACACAACATTCTAAAGCAAGATTTCTCAATCTTGTTACTGCAGATGGTCCCCGACTTACAATGGTACAGCTGTTTTTTTTCTTTTTTTTTTTTGAGAAGGGGTAGGGCTCACTGCAACCTCCGCCTCCTGGGTCCAAGTGATTCTCTTGCCTCAGCCTCTCGAGTAGTTGGTATTACAGGCACGTGCCACCACGTCTGGCTAATTTTTGTATTTTTAGTAGAGACGGGGTTTCTCCATGTTGGCTAGGCTGGTCTCAAACTCCTGGCCTCAAGTGATCTGCCCACCTCGGTCTCCCACGCCTACCACACCGGGCCACTACGGTACATCTTACCATGATATTTTGACTTTACAATGGCACTGGAAACTGTATTTGAGTACCCACAGAGCCATTCTTTTTTACACTTTCAGTGCAATAGTCAATAAATTACATGAGTTATTCAACACTTTATTATAAGATAGTCTTTTTGTTATGTGATTTTTCCCAACTGTAGGGTAATGTGTTTTGAGCATGTTTATGGGAGGCTAGGATAAGCTACAATGTTCTCTAGGTTAGATGTATTAAATGCATTTTCAACTTACAATATTTTAAATTTATGATGGTGTTATCAGGATGTAACCCCATTGTAAATCGAGGAGCATCAGTATTGACATTTTGGGTTGATTTTTTTTTTTTTAAACTGTGGGGAACTGTCTATGCATCATAGGGTATTTATTTATTTATTTATTTATTTATTTATTTATTTATTTTTGAGCAATAAAGCTTTTTGATCACCTGGGTGCAGGTGGGCTGAGTCCGAAAAGAGAGTCAGCTAAGGGGAGATAGGGGTGGGGCCGTTTTATAAGATTTGGGTAAGTAAAGGAAAATTACAGTCAAAGGGGGGTTGTTCTCTGGCGGGCAGGAGTGGGGGGTCACAAGGTGCTCAGTGGGGGAGCTTTTTGAGCCAGGATGTGCCAGGAGAAGGAATTTCACAAGGTAATGTCATCAGTTAAGGCAAGGACCAGCCATTTTCACTTCTTTTGTAGTGGAATGTCATCAGTTAAAGCAGGAACAGGCCATTTTCACTTCTTTTGTGATTCTTCAGTTACTTCAGGCCATCTGGGTGTATACGTGCAGGTCACAGGGGATACGATGGGTTAGCTTGGGCTCAGAGGCCTGACATTCTTGCCTTCTTATATTAATAAGAAAAATAACATAAAATAGTATTGAAGTGTTGGGACAGTGAAAAAAATATTTTTTTGGGGGGGCGGTGGCATGGAGAGTTAATGGGTGATGTTTCTCAGGGCTGCTTCGAGCAGGATTAGGGGCGGCATGGGAACCTAGAGTGAGAGAGGTCAAGTTGAAGGAGGATTTTGTGGTAAGGGGTGATATCGTGGGGTTGTTATAAGGAGCATTTGTCGTATAGAATGATTGGTGATGGTCTGGATACAGTTTTGGATGAATTGAGAAACTAAATGGAAGATACAAGGTCTGAATAAAAGAAGGAAAAAAATAGGTATTAAAGGACTAAGAATTGGGAGGACCCAGGACATGGAATTAGAGAGTGCCCAAGGGGGTTCAGCATAATTACTTGCTTGGTTGGCAAGTTTTTGGGCTCTATCCTTGAGTTTTTTTATGTTGTCATACACCAGGCCAGATTGATTTAGGTAAAAACAACACTCTTCATTTAAAAATATACAGAGTCCTCCCTTCTCAGCAGTGAGTAAATGAAGGCCTCGGCGGTTTTGGAGGACAACTGCAGCTAGAGTCAACTTGGGCCTGGAGGACTGATAAAGTTTGTGATATGTATGTGATGCTAGCAGAGAAGTCATTAGAGAGGCTACGGAAAGTCGTGACAGAGGTTGCCTGCTATTCCAGTAGGGAGACCAATAGTGGAGGCAGAAAGTCCTAAACCGACAAGCAAGGGAATTAGTGGAATAACTCTTTTTTGTCGTGTCGGTGTCATGAGGGGAACAGGGAGCTCTTCGGTCTCATTTGCAAATTGAATTTAGGTGGTAAGGAAAACTAGTGTGCATGTGCCTGTCCAATTAGCAGGTAGACACATGTAGGTAGAGGATCCACAGAGGAAGAAGAGACCCTGTGCGAGGCAAAACTGGAGATGCAAAGTAAAAAGATGAGAAGGAGTACCGAAAGGAGTGTCTTGTACTGAGACTCCTAGGGATCCAGCTAGGGTGGCAGCTGTCAGAGGTTGTAATGGGGACTGATGAGGTAACTGCATAGAAGGGGAGGTTTGATTTTCATGGTGTATGAGAAAACGTTGAGTATCTACGAGCAACCTTTCACTGTTATTTTCGGGGCTGGGTATAAGTAAACAAGAGGGCCTGGGAGGAGAGTTTGACGAGCAAGGGGAAGGTAGCCAAGGATGGAGTGAAATACAGGGTAAATGTCTTCCTAAGCAATAATTACTGCTATTATTTTTAAGTTTGTCAGTATTGATAGAGGGCTTATCTGTAATATGGAGCTGGAATGCTCCAGTTGTTTCAGTGATGTGTGTAGTTGGTCTTTGGAGATGAAGAGTAAAGGAACATCAAGAAGGTGAAAGGTTACCCAGGGGAATTCCAGTGGGTCTTTGCTGAGAGATACATAAAGGAGTGGCCACAGGAATAGTAGTTTGTGTTGTGAGAGGTCCAAATATGGGGGGAGTAGAGTTGATATAAGGAGAAAGGTTTTTTATGTAAGTGTGGAGGAGGGCGGCAGCTTGCTGGTGTGAAATGTCTGGGGACGTTTTGCTGGACCTGTCTAGAAAGTAAATGAGTTCTTCAGGAGGGTAAAGGTGAGGGCTGTTAAAGGAAGTTTGGAGGTGTAGGGAGACAGGAGATGTTGCCCAGTCTGTCTGTAAGGCGGGGACAGCTGTGTAGGAAGAAGGACAGCTGGAAGAAAGGGAAATGCAAAGCCAGCAGTTGTTCGCTAAGGAGGGATTAGAAGCGGCTAGGAGAGAATGGGTAAGGTTGATAGTGTGGTGGAGATAGCTGGGGAGAGGTAGAGGGTGGCACAAGAATGGGAATGAGAATAAGAGTGAATATAAAAGTAAAGAATATAACTTCATCAGGGTGACAGTATTGGAGGGTCCCCTGCCAGCAAAGATCATCTATCCACTCTAAGAGGGAGTCAAGAGTGGCGGTTTGGGGATAGCACCAAGAGATATCAGCTATGTTGGCTTGGAGAAACAGTGTAAACCAGCAGTGTAAATAAGAGTAGGGCATTTATAAGTAGTTGCGAACGAAGAATAGGAGTATGACTAGACAGAAGATAGGGATGACTAGTTTTGGGGGCTCAGTCCAAGTAGTGGGGGTGACTTTGTAAAGACCTGTTGCAAAAAGTAGGGTAAAGATGAACAGACCTAATAGAATGAAGGGATGTATTAGGCTCATAAGGGTTATTGCTGTTCTTCAGAAATACGAGTGAGTTTAAGGGAAGTAGGGGAGAGTACTTGCGACTTCCAGGAGAAAGAGGAGGGATTAGGCTGGCTGTCCAACCGACACAGCTTTATTCTGAAGCGGTGAACCCAATGGGGAGGGTCCTGCAGGCAGACAGCAGTTGGAGTACTATAGATGACTAAGTAGGGTCTGGTCCATCAAGGTTGTAGAGTTTGAGGGGTCAGATTCTTAACAAGAACTGATCGTCCAGCTAGGATGTCTTCATATGGCTGAGAATCTGGAGTAGGCAAGAGAAGATTAGCAAGAGAAGATTAGACTAGATAGGAATGGCGAATTTCCTGTCTAGTCTGCTGGAGGACTGGAATATATTCACCTAGGGGGCTGGTGTCTGGGACGAGGTTGGGGCTGAGTAAGAAAGCGCATCCGTATACAAGTTCAAATGGACTGTACCCTGTAGCATCTCGAGGACAGGCTCTTAATTCTGAGAAGGGCAAGAGGTAAAAGTACTGTCCAGTCCTTTTTAAGTTGGAGGCTGAGCTTGGTGAGGTGTGTCTTTCAAAGACCACGAGTCCGTTCTGCCTTTCCTGAAGATTGAAGACGATAAGGGATATGAAGTTTCCACTGAATACCAAGAGCCTGAGAAGCTGCTTGGGTGATTTGACTAGTAAAGGCCGGTCTGTTATCAGACTGTATAGAGGTGGGAAGGCCAAACTAAGAAATTGTATCTGACAGAAGGGAAGAAATGACTGTGGTGGACTTCTCAGACCCTGCGGGAAAGGCCTCTACCCATCCAGTGAAAGTGTCTACCCAGACCAAGAGTTATTTTAGTTTCCTGATCTGGGGCATGTGAATAAAGTCAATTTGCCAGTCCTGGGCAGGGACAAATACCCGAGCTTGATGTGTAGGAAAGGGAGGGGGGCCCTGAACAATCCCTGAGGGGTAGTAGAATAGCAGATGGAACACTGAGAAGTGGTTTCCCTGAGGATAGATTTCCACGATGGAAAGGAGATGAGAGGTTCTAAGAGATGAGATAGCAGCTTGTAACCTACATGGAAGAGGTTATGAAATCATGACAGAATAGAATGGGCCTGTGAGGCTGGAAGGAGATATTTTCCTTGGTCTAAGAACCATTTGCCTTGTGTGGGAAGAGATTGATAGGTGGAAGTTTCAGCAGGGGAATAGGTGGGAGTGACCCATGTGAAGGAGAAAGAAGTTGGAATGCTAGCTGCTTGTCTAGCCACCTTATCAGCATAAGCGTTGCCTAGAGCAATGGGATCTGACACCTTTTGATGGCCTTTGCAGTGAATGACTCAAGTTTCCTTTGGAAGTAAAGCGGCCTTGAGCAGAGTTTTTATTAAAGAGGCATTAATGCTGGAGGACCCTTGCGTAGTGAGGAAACCTCTTTCAGCCCATATAACAGCATGGTGGTGCAGAATATGGAAGGCATATTTAGAGTCAGTATAAGTATTGACATGTTGTCCTTTTGCAAGAGTGAGGGCCTGAGTTGAGGCAACTAATTTGGCTTGCTGAGAGGTAGTGGAGGCGGGCAGAGCAGTAGCCTCAATGATAGGTGTGGAAGATACTATAGCATAGCCTGCCTTTGCTGGTGAGTGGTGATTAGCCTGGTGGAGCTGCCATCAATAAACCAAGTGTGTTCAGGGTGAGGAACATGAAAGAATATGGGGAAATGGAGTGAATGTCAGGTGGATCAGAGACATACAGTCATGGGGGTCAGGTGTGGTATCAGGAATAATGTGGGAAGCCGGATTGGAGTCCGGGTGAGGAACAATGGTAACTGTGGGAAACTTAGCAAAGAGTGAGTACAGCTGAAGGAGCCAGGGAGCAGAAAGTATATGTGTCAGGTGTGAGGAAGAAAATAGATTTTGGAAGTTATGAGAACTGTAGAGAGTGAGTTGAGCATAGTTTGTGATTTTGAGGGCCTCTAAAAGTATTAGGGTGGTGGCAGCCACCGCACGCAGACATCAGGGCTAGGCTAAAACAGTAAGGTCAAGTTGTTTGGATAAAAAGGCTACAGGGCACAGTCCCGGTTCTTGTGTAAGAATTCCGACTGCATAGCCCTGCAGTTCGGCTGTGTGTAATGAAAAGGGTTGGGATGAGTCAGGGAGAGCTAGTGTGGGGGCAGTCTCTAAAGCTGTCTTCAAGGAATGGAAAGAGGAGTGGGGAAAGGATTTAGGATCTATGGGATCAGCTAGGTTTCCTTTTGTGAGTTTATCTAATGGTTTTCTTAGGATGGCAAAACCAGGTACCTAAAGTCAAAAGTATCCAACCATGCCTAGGAAGGAAAAAGAGTTGTTTTGTAGAAGGTGTTGGGGTTTGAGAGATCAGTTGGACATGATTAGCAGGGAGAGCATTTGTGTTTTTATGAGAGTTATGCCGAGATAGGTAACAGATGAGGAAGAAATTGGGCTTTACTGACAGTGGGGGCTGTCTGTGAAGGCTTGCGGCAGTACGGCCCAGGTAATTTGCTGAGCCTGATGGGTGTCAGGGTCAGTCCAAGTGAAAGCGAAGAGAGGCTGGGATAAAGGGTACAAAGGAATAGTAAAGAAAGCATGTTTGAGATCCAGAACAGAAAAATGGGTTGTGGAGGGAGGTATTGAGGATAGGAGAGTATATGGGTTTGGCACCACGGGGTGGATAGGCAAAACAATTTGGTTGATAAGGGGCAGATTCTGAACTAACCTGTAAGCCTTGTCTGGTTTTTGAACAGGTAAAATGGGGGAATTGTAAGGGGAGTTTATAGGCCTTAAAAGGCCGTGCTGTAGCAGGCGAGTGATAACAGGCTTTAATCTTTTTAAAGCATGCCGTGGGATGGGATATTGGCATTGAGTGGGGTAAGGGTGATTAGGTTTTAATGGGATGGTAAGGTGCATGATGGGTCACTAAGGAGGGAGTAGAGGTGTCCTATACTTGTGGTTTAAGGTGGGGAGATACAAGGGGAGGATGTGAAGGAGGGTTTGAATTGGAGAAAAGGGTGGCAATGAGGTGTGGCTGTAGCCTAGGAATAGTCAGGGAAGCAGATAATTTAATTAAAATGTTTCTGCCTAATAAGGGAACTGGGCAGGTGGGGATAACTAAAAAGGAGTGCTTAGAAGAGTATTGTCTAAGTTGGCACCAGAGTTGGGGAGTTTTAAGAGGTTTAGTAGCCTGGCCGTCAGTACCCACAACAGTTATGGAGGCAAGGGAAACAGGCCCCTGAAAAGAAGGTAATGTGGAGTGGGTAGCCTCTGTATTGATTAAGAAGGGGACGGACTTATCTTCCATTGTGAGAGTTACCCAGAGTGTCTCTGATGGTCCTGTAGGCTTCCGAGGTGACTGGGCAGTGTCAGTCTTCAGCTGCTAAACCAAGAAGATCTGGGAAGGACTCAGTCAGAGAGCCTTGGGCCAGAGTTCCATGGGCTCTGGAAGTGGCTGCCAGGTGAGTAGAACAGTCCAATTTTCAGTGGGGTCCCGTACAGATGGGACATGGCTTAGGAGGAATCCTGGGCTACGGGCATTCCTTGGCCCAGTGGCCAGATTTCTGGCACTTGTAGCAAGCTCCTGGGGGAGGAGGTTCTGGAGGAACCCCTGGCAGCTGCGGTTCAGGTGTTTGGAGTTCTTGTGTGCTGGAGATGTGGCTGGGGTTTGTCTCACAGTGGAGGCAAGGAATTGCAACTCAGAAATACATTGCTACTTGGGTGCCTCTACTTTATTATTGTACACCTTGAAGGCGAGGTTAATTAAGTCATGTTGTAGGGTTTGAGGGCCAGAATTTAATTTTTGGAGTTTTATTTAATGTCGGGAGTGGATTGGGTAATAAAATGTATATTGAGAATAAGATGGCCTTTTGACATTTTAGGGTCTAGGGCTGTAAAGCGTCTCTGGGTTGCTGCCAAATGAGCCATGAACTGGGCTGGGTTTTTATATTTGAAGAAAAAGAGCCTAAACGCCATCTGATTTGGGATAAAGAAAAAGGAGCATTAACCTTGACTATGCCTTTAGTTCCAGCCACCTTTTTAAGAGGAAATTGCTGGGCAGGTGGGGGAGGGCTAGTTGCGGAACTAAACTGTAAGCCGGACTGGGTGTGAGGAGGAGAGGTGATAAAAGGATTACAGGGTTTGGGAGCAGAGGCTGAGGAAGAATTGGGACCTAGCTAGGCCTGTTGAGGGGCAGCCTGGGGAGGAGGGGAGAAGTCAGATGGGTCTGTAGGAAAGGAAGATTAGAAAGACTCAGTGATGCTTGGGGTTGGGACTGAGAGGACAGGCAGGAGGGAAAGAAGGAGGATTTGGGATGAGTCGCATTGGGAACAGAGACTAGGGAGGGAGCAATGTATAAAAGAATGCCTGGACGTCAGGCGTCTCAGACCATTTGCCCATTTTACGACAAGAATTATCTAGATCTTGTAGGATGGAAAAATCGAAAGTGCCATTTTCTGGCTATTTGGAACCACTGTCGAGTTTGTATTGGGGTCAAGTGGCATTGTAGAAGAAAATAAGGCATTTAGGTTTTAGGTCAGGTGTGAGTTGAAGAGGTTTTAAGTTCTTGAGAACACAGGCTAAGGGAGAAGAGGGAGGAATGGAGGGTGGAAGGTTGCCCATAGTGAAGGAGGCAAGCCCAGAGAAAAGAGAGAGTAGAGACACAGAGAGAAGGGGTGGGGGATGCTTGCCCCCCAGGAAAGTGGAGAAGGGGTAGAGACATGGAGAGAAGGGGTTGGGGGGGTTCTTGCCCCCCAAAAAGCGGTACTTGCTGCTAAGGGTGAAGGACCAAGGCAGGCATCCTCGCGTGGTCAGACACCTCTGAAACACGGGTGAATAATCAGGCAGGTGTCCCGTGCGATTAAACACCAAGGGAAGACTGTCTTCCCGAGTCCGTGACCTGCGCCAGAGTTTTGGGTTCACGGATAAAATGCGTCTCCTTTGTCTACCAGAAAAGGAAAGGAACTGAAATTGAGAGAAGGGAGAGATTGAAGTGTGGCACCAAGATTGAAAGGAGAAGGAGGTTGAGGGATAGTGAGAGAGGTTGGAGAAGAGAGTAAAGAGAGGCCGCTTACACAATTTAAAATTGGTGAGATGTTCCTTGGGTTGGTTGGTCTGAGGACCTGAGGTCGTAGGTGGATCTTTCTCACGGAGCAAAGAGCAGGAGGACAGGGGATTGATTTCCCAAGGGAGGTCCTCCGATCCGAGTCATGGCATCAATTTCACTCGTGTCCATGTGAAGAGAACACCAAACAGGCTTTGTGTGAGCAATAAAGCTTTTTAATCACCTGGGTGCAGGTGGGCTCAGTCTGAAAAGAGAGTCAGACGCATCATAGGGTATTTAGCAGCATTTATGATCTTTACTTACTAGATGCCAGTAGCACCCTGGCTCCCAGCTATGACACCCAAAAATATTTCTAGAGATTGCCAAATATCCCCTGAGGGGAAAACTCACCCCCAAAGTTGAGAACCACAGTTATAAAATATTCTGTGACTGCTTACAAGTTACAAAGAAAATTTTGAATTCTTACAGCTAGAAGTCTTATTATCTGAACTAGGATACTTCCCTGGGCAAGATTTTAAAAACTGAATTTCAGTTTCCTAACTGTAAACAACCAAGTAATCTTTAGTTGTTCTGACTCAATACCCTGCCCTCATCTTTTCTGATGCTAAAGAGCAGTTGGGTAACATAACAGTTCTTTCAGGCAACTGTCATGTGTCTCTCACCAGCAAGGCCACACATTTTTTCCAGTCATCATTACCTCCTGCCATCCCTCTATCTCCAGAAGCTCAAATCTGGCTCTCTCTCTTTTTACTTCTATTTGTAAATATGCTGTTTCTTGCAGTCAGAGATCATGGATCAGCAATAGCTCAAAATATTGGTCAAGATGCTGCTGCTTCATAAAACCCTAAATCTTAGTGGCTTATTATTTAATACAAGTTTTTCACATATATCATAGTCTATCACATGTATATTTATGGTTGAGCACTTCATGTGATCCATGGGACCCAGGTTCCTTCCATTCTGTGATTCTACTCATCTCTAGGTCCTTGGAGTGCTGACTTAACAAAATATTGAATGGGCAGAGACCATGAGGAAGATTCACTCACATCTTAAACATCTCAGCCCCGAAATAGCATATAAAACCCATTCTCATTTCATTTTCCAGAACTCAGTCATTAACCACATCTAACTGCAAGTCAGGTTGGAAAATGGAGTCAAGTGGTGTAGTCATCTGAAAAAAGGAATTAGTTTTGCTAACAATCTTGGCCACACTCAACTTCTTCCAATTCATCTAGTCACATAGCTTTCTTCTGGCTCTACTTAGCTCTTGGCTATTCCTGGAAACCAAAGTGGGCTCCATCAAAGGTTTTTTCCTTAATAACCTGGGTTTCTTTGCTCCAAGGAGTATCTTCTGTACTTGCTCATCAATTTTTGCTGGTTTAAGCCTGAGTCATCTTCAGGGTCTCCTTTATCTTCACTGTTCCAAGCTTCAGTATAACGTAATGGCTGATGAAAGTGGTGACTCTCAATTCATTTCATGCTCCCCAATGGTAGCTTGGCTCCTATGCTTCCTAATAGTGTATCCATTTTGGTTTGTCGTTGGGAATCCTTTTAATTCTCTGGCATTATTTTTATAATGTTTGTTTCCATTGTTTTTTCATATTCCTTAAGCCAGAATCCTCTTTCCCTTATGACTCTTGACAGATGACTTCTTATGCTACTTTACTTTTAAAATGAAGATTATTAAAAGGAAAATTTTTATCCACTCCTTTCTTTACTTCAGTGTTGAGCTGTAATTTTTTTCATCTTTTCTTCATTCTTTTCCTAGCCAGATGAGAGGTACTGCTCTTCTATGAAATCACACCTTATAAAACTGACCCTATCACTGGATACTTGCTGGGACAGCTTCCCTCAGTTGTCCCCAGCCTCTCAGTGCTTCCGATAGTTCTTTAATTTATGTTTGTGGATTAGATACATGGATGTGTAAGTGGCAAGTTGCTAGAGTAAAATATCTACTCTGCTTCTTTTTTTTAAAATACTACTGACATTTGCTGAAATTTCTGAAATTGTGGACCTCTTCTTCCAGCTTCGTAAAAATTACACTCTTTAAGACTTCTGGACCTCATGGAAGACTGCTGACTTTTCAAACTTTGTGACTTTTCCTTAGTTCAAATACACTCCCTAGAACATTGGCTCTGTTATCTACCTCTTGTTTCTTGAAATTCTTATATATCTTAGCAACTTTCCCATCATCCTATCCTCATCTTCATCTCCTCTTTATGGCCACTTATCTCTTTGTAAGATTATGATTATGGAGACGCCACTATTTGCTGGATATTCTGGAAGGTTCTGAGGATCAAAGATAAAGATGCTTTTCCTCATGCATTCAGCGTCTTTCTCTTCTTTTCTCTAAATATTTAGTCTTTGGTTCTCTCTCTCTTTCTCTGTCTCTTTCTGCTTTACAAACCTCTCCCTTGAAGAAGAGTAATTTTTATAATATTGTCTCTTAGATCTATGCAAATGTCTCTCATATTTGGAATTGAGCTTCTACGAAGGCCAGTGCCATTTTTCTCCTGCTGTTTACTGCCCATCTCCATGGAAAACAAGTGAGTCTATAGTAAATTATGGCACCTGCCTTTTTTTCTAACTTCTACCCATCTTATTCTCCAACGTTAGACCTGTATGCCTCAATTATTATTTTATAAAAACACTTTAATTACAACTTTTCATGTAGAAATATCAGAAAATATTAGAAAAAAGTAATATTCACTTCTAACTGCATCAGCTAGATAGAGCTAATGTTAATGATTTGTTGTGCAGAGTGTACATTATATATGTTCATTTAGGGATCATCTTCTGTGTAGTCTTTGTAAACCTTTTTCACTTCATATGTCGCGAGCATTTTTCCTTCTCTATAGGTACATTTACATCATTTTTAATGGCTGCATAATTTTCCATAATTTGATTAACATTGTCTAAAGAATGCTGCAATTTGCAGACTGGTAGGCAATTCCTTCCTCACATCTTTATTTTTCCATAGGACACATTCCCAGAAGTGAAAGTGCAGATTCAAAGAACCTGTAAGTATTTAATGAGTCTGGTCAATCAGCGTTGCTCAGGGGGACTCTTTGCCTTCACGCATCAATTGAGTAAATATCCAAAGGGTTCTTGTTATGTTCCATGCCCTATACTCCTGTTTTTCCAACTTCTCTTCTCTCCAATTTATTTTTCATTTTACCAGGTTAATCTTGCTTAAACCTTGTCTGCATCTGTCATTTCCCTTCATGGAAACCTCCTCAGTACAATCATACCTAATGACTAAAGCCTGACTTTCTGGCCTGCCAGTCAAGCCCTACTCCCTTTTACACAAGTGCACACACACACACACACGTGCACACAAGTCTCAGCCTTCCTTTCCAATTAGGGATTCTGCTACCTTCCCATATGAACCTTCCACATCTCTGCAGGCTGATGTCCTGTCCTTCTGGTACTCCTTATTCATCCCTGATTCACCCACCACTCTTTCAAAGAACCAGAAAGGTGGCCGGGCGTGGTGTAATCCCAGCACTTTGGGAGGCTGAGGTGGGCAGATCACAAGGTCAGGAGATCAAGACCATCCTGGCTAACACGGTGAAACCCCGTCTCTACTAAAAATACAAAAAATTAGTCGGGCGTGGTGGCAGACGCCTGTAGTCCCAGCTACTCAGTAGGCTGAGGCAGGAGAATGGCATGAACCTGGGAGGCGGAGCTTGCAGTGAGCTGAGATCGCGCCACTGCACTCCAGCCTGGGCGACAGAGCGAGACTCTGTCTCAAAAAAAAAAAAAAAAAAAAAAAAAGAAGAACCAGAAAGGCATTCCAAGGGTCCTCCTCCTCTAGAAGTGCACTCTGTTCAGTGGTGGTATTTCTTCTCAAGCCCTGATTTGTCATGCGTTAGTGTTATCCTGAAAGGTGCAAGTATACTAAGCTCCTTCTGGGTACAACTGAAATTATATTTATTTCTCACTCCCCTGAACAGAATACTATGTACTTACTCTATTTTTATAGCTCATAAATGTATTTAACATTTATTGAGCATCTACTATGTGCTGGTTACTATACTTAGTTCTGTGGATACAATAATAACTAAGTTAGCTGAGGTCTTCATCCATATCACATAGGAATCTAAGAGTTTGCAAAGTTTTTACTTTCCAGACCTACCCATTTGAACATACATACCCTAAATACCCATATATTCCCCATAGGCTTAATTATGGGTTGCTGTCCTTCTACTCCTTTCTCAAGACTACTTCCTGATAAACTTCTTTTACAAACAAGTAAAAACCTAGAAGTCCAATGAAGTCCATTATTTATAAAATTCTATTCTGCATTATCTGGCCTATCCAGTGTAATAAATGAAAGTATTCAAATAATTTCAGGGATAATGGAGCCCAGATTCAAAGACAACTTCTCAAAGACAATTCTGTGGCTGTCCATGGTATGACTTTTCGCATTTTGAAGAAAAATACACACAATATACTTTTACATTGGAATTTTCTAGTGTTAAGTATTGTTAAATGAAAGTAGGCCAGGCATGGTGGCTCACGCCTGTAATCCCAGCACTTTGGGAGGCTGAGTCGGGCAGATCACCTGAGGTCGGGAGGCTGAGGCAGGACAATCACTTGAACCTGGTAGGCGGAGGTTGCTGTGAGCCAAGATTGCGCCGTCGCATACCAGCCTGGGGAACAAGAGCAAAACTCGGGCTCAAAAGAAAAAAAAAAAAAAAGTAAACACAGATCATGCAAAAACACATAAAAATAAAAGTAAATGGAACTAGATCACCACTATGAAGGATTATACACTGAACAATAAAGCAATGCAAATGTGATTGTCTTTATTTCTAATCCCCCAAATATTGAAATGAATTCAGTTTGGATGGATGTCTCAGCTCTGAAAAATCCTTTAATTGAGAAAACAGGAAATCCCCAGGTTGTGATGGGTTCTATTAGATTCTCTTTTGCACTGTGAAATATACAATTTTGTGATTACCTTAAATTTAGACTTTAAGGAAATACCTTACAGAAGGTGTATATATTAAGTTCTCTCAGGATCAGCATTTTCCATAGGGATCATGAGAACCTGAGCAGGAAATGTTGGGTGATTAGGGAAATTTTATACTTTCATTTGTAACAAATAATTTACAGGGAAAGAAAGGTAGAATCTTACAAGTAAAGGGATTAGGCAAAAGTCCAACTAGGGATTTAAGTGATCAATATGTTTCCTTTGGCTAATCTAATAGTAAACTTAGGTCCAAGAAATTAGGAAAAAAGTCAACAGAACTATGCTGTTAATAAAAGATGAAAGAAAAGAAGCAATAATGATGATTTATTCACAAGTTTTCAGAGACTTACTGAAAAATTTTCGTAGGCATAATGTAATGATTCTTCATTCTGTTTATTCAACCTTTCTACTCAAGATAATCTAAAGAAAAGTATGAGAATCAAAATGATTAATGAATGTATTTCAGTTTCAATACACCTGAAATTTTGAATGATAATTTAAACTGGAAAAGACATTTTTAATGGTAGAATTGTTACTTCTTTTGGATTTAATTCACTGGGAAGTTAGTGGGAAGTTAGAAAATTTGGTGTTTTAGAGACTATTTCTGAAAGCACAGAGGCTACATTTAGTAATAGATATAATAAAGAATATAAATATCTTCATACATATATATATATATATATATATATAGTTACAAAAAATAGATGTGTCTAGATTAGCTAGACATAAGGAAAACTTTTGGCTGATATACTGTGCTGTGTCTCCATGTCTATTCTTTTTTTACATCACAAAGTCTAAAAGCCTGAAATTTTATTTTATTGTTTTTACACCCCTTAAGCATAAATTTCACTATCTTAACAGTTCACTTGTTTCCAAGACAGATAACCTAGTGTCCCTGATATAGCCCATATGTGTCTTGGTAGTGAATGGCTGTTCATAAACTGTGAGTGCAAAGATGGCTTAGTGCATATGTTTTTGTAGTCAATTTCTTTTTTAAGCTGAGGCACACCATTTTTCTAAGAACTCTCTTGTTACTGTGCTCATTAATCAGTTTTTGTTTGCAATAACAGTGTTCACATGATAACAAGGCTTGTAGAAATATTATTTCAGGACTCAAAATCCTTACCAATGTACAGATTGCAAGGGACTAGAAGAGGGAAGAACATCCTATTGATGAAATTTCTGGGTCACAACCCTGGCCCTTGTGGATTACTGCAGTTGAAGGTGTTCAAGAAGAGGGTGCGTCACCACCTGGAAACTAGAATATGTTTAAAGGATGTTTTAGATTGTGAATGCTGGAACTACATTAGCAGTTTATTTTATCCTGATTTTTTTCTTTGAGTCCCAAATTCAGAGAATAAACTCCTTAAGTCATAGCATATGGTTGTCACTATTATCCATTCAAGAGCCTTCTTTTTTCTAATTTTTATTCATTTGGCCTTCCCTTTCTTTCCCAATCCTCACTTCTATTTTATTTCCTCAAATAGAAATGAACTCAACATATTTATGTCCTTAAATGTGCATGTATTCCTATAAAATGTGTAGACTTTATGAGTATATGTGTTTTAAATGTTCGTAAGTGGTATTATTTCTCAATCTCTTTTTTTCCTTCTCTTAGCTTTTTATTTTGAAATACTTTTAAATTCATGGAAAAGGGGCAAGAATACTAAAAAGAATTCCAGGATACCCTTCACTCAGATTCATTCATTAATATCATTTGACCACATTTGCTCTATCATTATTTCTCTATAAATACACATTTGTATTTTTTTCTGAACCATTTGAGAGTAAGTTGCTGACATGGTTTGGCTGTGTCCTCACCCAATTCTCTTGAAGTGTAACTCCCACAATTCCCACCCATCATGGGAGGAACCCAGTGGGAGATGGTTGAATTATGGGGGCGGGTCTTTACCATGCTGTTCTTGTGATAGTGAATGAGTCTCATGAGATCTGATGGCTTTAAAAACAAGAGTTTGCCTGCACAAGCTCTCTCTTTGCCTGCTGCCATCCATGTAAAACATGACTTGCTCCTCCTTGCCTTCTGCTGTGATTGTAGGGCTTCCCCAGTCACGTGAAACTATAAGTCCAATTAAACCTCTTTCTTTTGTAAATTTCTCAGTCTTGGGTATGTCTGTATAAGCAGCATGAAAATGGACTAATATGGTTGCATACAGGATACCCCTTTACCCTAAATGCATCAGTGTGAATTTTCTAAGAACAAAAACATTCTTTAACATAATATAGTACAATTATTCAAATCAGGAAATTTATACTGATATAATACTATGATCTAATCTACAGTCCATATTCAGGTTCTGCCGCTTGCCCCATAATGTCCTTCATGACAATTTTTTTCCTTGGTCCAGGCTCTAATCTAGGATCCTACCTTGCATTTAGTTGTCAAATCTTTTTAGTTTCCTTTAATATGAGTACAGTTCCTTAAACGTATTTTGCCTTTCATTATATTGACATTTTTAAGCATGCAGGTCAGTTGTTTTGTAGACTGTTCCTAAATTTGGGTATGTCTGGTGTTCATGCATTTTTGGGCAGGAATGCCACAGAAGTGATGTTGTGTTCTTAGTGCATCAAATCAGGAAGCCCATGAGCTAGCATCATTCATAATGGTTGCCCAGTATTCTACTAGTTCATTCAAACCAATTTCCTATTATATCATGTTTAGGTGGTTCTCAATTTTGCTTTTTGTTTTTTGTAGAGATAGGGTCTTGCTCTGTCACTCAGCCTGGAGTGCAGTGGCACATGCATAGCTCAATATAACCTCAAACTCCTGGGCTCAAGCCATCCTCCTACCTTGGACTCCCAAAGCACTGGGATTACAGGTGTGTGCCACCACACCTGGCCTTCAATTTTTAAACATAATGATAAACTATGATGAGGTAAATATTCTTGAACTTACATGTTTGCATGGCTGTCTAATTATTTCCTTAGGCTAAATTCTAGATGTAAAACCACTGAGTGAAAGGGTGAAAACATAGACTTGTTTTAAAGCTCTTGGTCCCTAGTGTTGCCAAGCCATTCTCCAGAAAGCAGTGCAGGTCTTTCTACTCCAGTTAGTAGCATCTGCCTATGTCTTGCTCTTTCCAACCCTCCCTATCAGAATCCTTGCCACTTTGATAAATGAAATGGTATTGCATTATTGTTTTATTGCTTTATTTATTTGTTTATTATTTCCATAGGTTATTGGGGAACAGGTGGTGTTTGGTTACATGAGTAAGTTCTTCAGTGTAATTTGTGAGATTTTGGTGCACCCATCACTCAAGCAGTATACAGTGAGCCCTGTTTGTAGTCCTTTATCCCTCACCCTCTTCTGATCCTTTCACCCTGAGTCCCCAAAGTCCATTTTGTCATTCTTATGCCTTTGCATCCTCATAGCTTAGCTCCACTTATGAATGAGAACATATGATGTTTGGTTTTCCATTCCTAAGTCACTTCACTTAGAATAATAGTCTCCAATCTCATCCAGATTGCTGTAAATGCCATTAATTCATTCCTTTTTAGGACTGAGTAGTATTTCATTGAATATATATATACCACAGTTTCTTTATCCACTTGTTGGTTGATGGGCATTTGGATTGGTTCCACATTTTTGCAATTATGAATTGTGCTGCTATAAACATGCATGTGCAGGTATCTTTTTCCTATAATGACTTCTTTTCCTCCGGGTAAATACCCAGTAGTGGGATTGCTGGATCAAATGGTAGTTCTACTTTTAGTTCTTTAAGGAACCTCCACACTGTTTTCCACAGTTGCTGTACTAGTTTACATTCCCACCAGCAAAGTAGAAGTGTTCCTGGTTCACCACATACATGCAAACATCTACTATTTTTTGATTTTTTGATTACGGCCATTTTTGTAGGAGTATGGTGGTATTGCATTGTGGTTTTGATTTGCATTTCCCTGATAATTAGTGATGTTGAGCATTTTTTCATATGTTGGTTGTCCATTTATATATCTTCTTTTGAGAATTGTCTATTCATGTCCTTAGCCCACTTTCTGATGGGATTGTTTTTTGCTTGGTGATTTGTTTGAGTTTGTTGTAATTCTGGATATTAGTGCTTTGTCAGATATATAGATTGTGAAGATTTCCTCCCACTCTGTGGCTTGTGTGTTTTCTCTACTGACTCCTCCTTTTGTTGTGCAAAAGCTCTTTAGTTTAATGAATTTCCAGCTACTTATGTTTGTTTTTATTGCATTTGTTTTTGGGTTCTTGGTCATGAAATCCTTGCCTAAGCCAATGTCTAGAAGGGTTTTTCCAATGTTATCTTCTGAATTTTTACAGTTTTAGATCTTAGATTTAAATCCTTAATCCATCTTGAGTTGATTTTTGTATAAGGTGAGAGATGAGAATCCAGTTTTATTCTCCTACATGTGGCTAGCCAATTATCCTAGCACCATTTGTTGAAAAGGGTATCCTTTCCCCACTTTATGTTTTTGATTGCTTTGTCAAAGATCAGTTAGCTGTAAGTACTGGGGTTTATTTCTGGGTTCTCTATTCTGTTCCATGGGTCTATGTGCCTATTTTGATACTAGTACCATGCTGTTTTGGTGACTATGGCCTTACAGTATAGTTTGAAATCAGGTAATATGATGCCCCCAGATGTGTTCTTTTTGCTTAGTCTTGCTTTGACTATGTGGAATCTTTTTTGGTTACATATGAATTTTAGAATTTTTTTTTAATTCTGTGAAGAATGATGGTGATATTTTTATGGAAATTGCATTCAATTTGTAGACAGCTTTTGGCAGTATGGTAATTTTTACAATGTTGATCCCACCCATCCATGAGCATGGGATGTGTTTTTATTTGTTTCTGTCATCTATGATTTCTTTCAGCAGTGTTTTGTAGTTTTCCTTGTAGAGGACTTTCACTTCCTTGGTTAGGTATATTCCTAAGTATTTTATTTTATTTTTTTGCAGCTATTGTAAAAGGGGTTGAGTTCTTGACTCAGCTTTGTTGCTGTTCATGTATAGAAAAGGTACTTATTTGTATACGTTAATTTTGTATCCAGAAACTTTGCTGAATTTTTTTTTTTATCAGTCCTAGGAACTTTCTGAAGAAGTCTTTAGAGTATTCTAGGTAAACAGTTATATCATCATCAGTGACAGTTTGACTTCCTCTTTACTGATTTGGATGCCCTTTATTTCTTTCACTTGTTTGATTGCTCTGGCTAAGACTTCCAGTACTGTTGAAGAGGAGTGGTGTGAGTGGGCATCCTTGTCTTGTTCCAGTTCTCATAGGGAATGCTTTCAACTTTTCCCCATTCAGTATTATGTTAGCTGTGGGTTTGTCATAGATGTCTTTTATTATATCTATGTATGTAATATAGGGTATGTCCTTGTATGCCGATTTTGCTGAGAGTTTTAATCATAAAGGATGCTAGATTTTGTTGAATGCATTTTCTGCATCTATTGAGATAATCATGTGAGTTTTGTTTTTATTCTGTTTTATGTGGTTTATCACATGTGTTGATGGGCATATGTTAAACCATCCCTGCATCCCTGGATGAAACCCACCTGATCATCACGAATTATCTTTTTGGTATGTTGTTGGACTTGGTTAGCTAGTATTTTATTAAGGATTTTAGCATCTGTGTTCATCAGGGATATTGGTCTATAGTTTTCTTTTTTGGTTATGTCCTTTTCTGGTTTTGGTATTAGGATGATACTGGCTTCACAGAATGATTAAGAAAGGGTTCCCTGTTTCCCTATCTTATGGAATAGTGTCAATAGGATTGATACCAATTCTTGTTTGAATGTCTGGTAGAATTCTGCTGTGAATCTTTCTGGTCCTGGACTTTTTTGTCGGTAATTTAAAAAATTACCATTTCAATCTCACTGCTTGTTTTTGGCCTGTTCAAGGTATCTAAATCTTCATGATTTAAGCTAGGAGGGTTGTGTATTTCCAGGAATTTATCCATCTCTTCTGGGTTTTCTAGTTTATATGCATAAAGGTGTTGATAGTAGGCTTGAATGATCTTTTGTATTTCTGGGACGTCAGTTGTAATATCTCCTATTTTGTTTCTTATTAAGCTTATTTGTATTTTCTCCCTTCTTTTCTTGGTTAATCTTGCTAATGGTCTATCAATTTTATTTATCTTTCCAAAAAGCCAGCTTTTTGTTTCATTTATCTTTTGTATTTTTGTTTGTTTTAATTTCCTTTAGTTCTTCTCTGATCTTGGTTATTTCCTTTCTTCTGCTGGGTTTGGGTTTGGTTTGTTCTTGTTTTTCTAGTTCCTTGAGGTATGATCTTAGAATGGAAGCTTGTGCTCTTTCAGACTTTTTGATGTGGGTGTTTAGAACTATGAACTTTCCCCTTAGCACCACCTTTGCTGTATCCCAGAGGTTTCCATAGGTTGTGTCACAATTGTCATTCAGTTCGAAGAATTTTTTAATTTCCATCTTGATTTTGTTTTTGACCCAATAATCATTCAGGAGCAGGTTATTTAATTTCCGTGTATTTGTATGGTTTTAAAGGTTCCTTTTGGAGTTGATTTCCAGTTTTTTTCCACTGTGTTCTAAGAGAGTGCTTGATATAGTTTTAATTTTTTTTTAAATTTATTGAGGCTCGTTTTGTGGCCTATCATATGGTCTATCTTTGAGAAAGTTCCATGCACTGTTGAACAGAATGTATATTCTGTAATTGTTGGGTGGAATGTTCTGTATATACCTGTTAAGTCCACTTGTTCCAAGGTATAGTTAAAATCCATCGTTTCTTTGTTGACTTTCTGTCTGGATGATTCTTCTAGTGCTGTGAGTGGAGTATTGAAGTCTCCCACTATTATTGTGTTGCTGTCTATCTCATTTCTTAGGTCTATTAGTAACTTTTTTATAAATTTGGGAGCCCCAGTGTTAGCTGCATATATATTTAGAATTGTGATATTTTCCTGGTGGACAAGGCCATTTATCATTATATAATGTCCTTTGTCTCTTTTAATTGCTGTTACTCTAAAGTTTGTTTTGTCTGGTATAAGAATAGGTATTTCTGCTCACTTTTGGTGTCAATTTGCATTAAATGCCTTTTTCCATTCCTTTACCTTAAGTTTATGTGAGTTTTTATGTGTTAGGTGAGTCTCTTGAAGGCCACAGATAGTTGGTTGGTGAATTCTTATGCATTCTGCTATTCTGTATCTTTTAAGTGGAGCATTTAGGCCATTTAATTTAATGTCAGTATTGAGATGTAAGGTATCATGCTATTTGTTGCCTGTATACCTTGGTTTTTTGTTGTTTTTGTTTTTTAAATTGTATTTTTGCTTTATAGGTCCTGTGAGATGTATGCTTTTTTTGATGTTTTTCCAGGATTTGTTTCAAGACTTAGAGCTCCTTTTAGCAATTCTTGTAGTAGTGTGTTGGTAGTAGTGAATTCTCTCAGCATTTGTTTGTCTGAAAAAAACCGTATCTTTCCTTCCTGTATGAATCTTAGTTTCTCTGGATACACAATTCTTGACTGATAATTGTTTTCTTTATAAGGCTAAAGATAGGGCCTCAATCCCTTCTAGCTTACAGGGTCTCTGCTGAGAAATCTGCTGTTAATCTGATAGGTTTTCCTTTATGGGTTACCCGGTGCTTCTGTCTCACAGGTCTTAAGATTCTTTCCTTTATCTTAACTTTAGATAACCTGATGACTATGTGCCTAGGCAATGATCTTTTTGTGAAGCATTTCCCAGCTGTTCTTTGTGCTTCTTGTGTTTGGATGTCTAGGTCTTTAGCAAGACGAGGGTAGTTTTCCTAATTTTTTCCCCCAAATATGGTTTCCAAACTTTTAGATTTCTCTTTTTCCTCCAGAATGTCTATTATTCTTAAGTTTGTTCATTTAACATAATCCAAGAGGCTTTGTTCATATTTTCTTCTTATTTTTTCTTTGTCTTTGTTGGACTGGGTTAATTCAAAGACCTTGTCTTTGAGCTCTGAATTTCTTTCGTCTACTTGTTTGATTCTATTGTTGAAACTTTCTAGAGCATTTTGCATTTCTGTGTGTCCAGTGTTTCCAAGTTTTGATTGTTTTCTATTTATGCTATCTATTTTATTGAATATTTCTCCCTACACTACTTATATCATTTTTTGGATTTCCTTGCATTGCACTTCGCCCTTCTCTGGTGCCTCCCTGATTAGCTTAATAACTTACCTCCTGAATTCTTTTTCAGGTAAATCAGGGATTCTTCCTGTTTTGGATCCATTGCTGGAGATCTAGTGTGATTTTTTTTTTTTGAGTGTTAAAGAACCCTGTTTTGTCACACTACCAGAGTTGGTTTTCTAGTTCCTTCTCATTTGGGTAGGCTCTGTCAGAGGGAGGGTCTAGGGCTGATGGCTGTTGTTCGGATTCTTTTGTCCCACGGGGTGTTCCCTTAATGTAGTACTCTCCCCCTTTTCCTATGGATGTGGCTTCCTGAGAGCTGAGCTGCAGTGATTGTTATCTCTCTTCTGGATCTAGCCAACCAGCAAGTCTATCAGGCTCTGGGCTGGTCCTGGGGGTTGTCTGCACAGAGTCCTGTGATGTGAATCTTCTGGGGGTCTCTTAACTATGGATACCAGCACAGTATTTGAGGTGTCTCCCTTTTCTGCAGGAACAATTCACTTTCTTCAGAGGGTCTGCGGGTCCTCTCGGGTCTCCCGATTTATTCCTGCAATCTTTCTGGAGCAAAAATTCATGATGCGAGCCTCTACACACTACTCTGTCCACCCAAGTCAGAGCTGCAATCTAGTCCTGCCTCTTATCTGCCATGATCCACCTTACTCCCTCAATCTCATTTAGCTTTCTGTTTTACACATTTGAAATTATTTATTTATGACTAAGCACATTATATCTAGCTTATAATTAGTGATTTTAAAACTTCCATTTTTTGGCTATAGAATGTTTCATAAAATAAAATTTTATAGACTATCAGACATGACAGACAGATGAAAGCAGGGCTGCTTTGGCGCAAGTGTGTTTGTATGGGTCTGGAGTTGCCCTCAATCTGCTTGGTCTTCCTCTTCTTCCCTAAAATGGTCCCTGAAGCACTTCTTCTGAATCGAGGGCTACCTGGAACACAATATAAAAATCTCTTAGACTAGGTGCTTTCTAAATCCACTCCCTTTCTCCCAACTGCTTTTCCAATATCTATCTTTCTGTAAGACGTAATAGGAACTTTAGTTTATTCGAGCTTTCTGTCTTGCCAATTAACCTTTGCGATCAACGTCTTGTTTTGGTGTCTTCGAGGGATTCACTCAGCCTTCCATACACATTTTAAGGGTGTGAGTGGGCAAGGCTCTCCAAAGGGAGACACTGTAGTATGTAGAGAAACATTTTACACAACAAGCTAATAGAATGCTTTGGAGAGGAGACGATAACCTAGAGGTAACTGGGTTGCCTCTATTTACATATGTGAAAAGCTCCTTCCTTCCTTCTCTGAATAAATCTGGATATGGAAAGTTAGTACCTTGTGAGATAACACATGGAGTGGAGCCTTAATACATTTTCTTTTCTTTTTTTTTTTTGAGACGGAGTCTTGCTCTGTCGCCCAGGCTGGAGTGCGGTGGCACGATATTGGCTCACTGCAAGCTAAGCCTCCCGGGCTCACGCCATTCTCCTGCCTCAGCCTCCAGAGTAGCTGGGACTACAGGCGCTGGCCACCACGCCCGGCTAATTTTTTTGGTATTTTTAATAGAGATGGGGTTTCTCCATGTTGGTCAGGCTGGTCTCCATCTCCTGACTTCTTGATCCACCCGCCTCGGCCTCCCAAAGTGCTGGGATTACAGACATGAGCCGCCGCACCCGGCCTACATTTTTCTTAAAACTTAAGCAGCAAACATGGGGGCGCGCGCACACACACACACAAACACACACACACACACACACACACACACACACACACACACACACACTCTCTCTCTCTCTCTCTCTCTGTCTCTGTTTCTCCCTCTACCTCTGTTTAATATTTAAGTGAAAGTCTGTGTAAAATGTATTCCACATTTTTCTGCTTTCTTACACACAGTATGCTGAAGAGAGTATGAACAAACTTTTCTCCATGCTTTGAGATCTCTGGAACTGTTTGCTTCATCTCTAAATTGCCCCAAGCTGTTAGGAATTAGTATGTCTTCCTTCACGTATTCTTTGTTTCTTATATTTCTTGTTAATGTCAATTTGTCTATCAATATTGGCCAGTCTTTTTTACTTTCCCTAGGTGGCCATTTCTAATCCTTTATGAATTAAGAAACCAGATAAGCAAGCTTTTAAAGATCGGATCCAAACTGCACAGTTCTGCCTGAAGACCTCAGTGACCCCCTGAATAAACTGCCCAATATTTGATGTTCTGATTTTGTGGCAGGCCTTTTGGATGCTCAGAGTTTTTTTATTTCCTTACTGTTAGTCTCTCTTTTCGGCAGTTGCAATTGCCATGTGAGTGCCCATAGGATTGAGTCAGCTTTTCCTACGTTTGATCTTGAAGGAAATAAACAGGGACATTGCAACTTTTATCCTTTTATTTCCTTTGATTGGTATTAATTTGACTTGAAAAAACAGGTTTTTTTTTGTTAGTGTCACTAAATTATTTTTGGTTTACTGAAACAGTCAAGCTGATTCCTGGATAGGTCCTAAATTCACTAATGAGAAACTTCTTAGCTAATCAATGGTTATGAAGTATTATTTCTCTCATGATACCTAAATAATATCAACAATAAAAAAATCTGTCTCTACTCATTGGCCCAAAGACCCTCAGGTCAAAGCTGGGTATATTTTGTTGCTTCACTATTCAAAACAGTCTTTATTTGTTTCATTATTAATAACAAAATAAATATTTTTAGAGGGTAAATAAAGTCTTTTGTGATGACTTTGTAATGCTGACAGTGACTAACTATTATTAATATCTTTAAAATGATGATGTTAGTGAAACCCAACAGTTGGTTATCTTACTGGAAGGTCTTGTAATAGCAAGAATTTTCCTATATTCAGTTCCATTTTGGAGAACACAATGCAATGCGCAGTATGTCTCAGTGCAAGAGAACATATAATAATTCCTGTGCTTTAATGGGATTGCACCATATTCTTTTAAATAATAACACTGCCTTTTCTTAAAGAAAAGATGCTAGTATTAGTGTTCTTAAGCCCCAGCTAAAACATGTTGATGCTAACATGAAAAATGTCGGCACAGACCGTGTCATTCATTCTTTTTACTTTCTAACCTGAGTCAATGACCATAGGATCCACATGGAATCCCCACGCCTTCATGAATTTCTCTGTTTTGCCATTCTTTTTTTTTTCTCTCTGTTTTTCCCAATTTCTAAACTGCTTGTTGCTCTAGTCTTCTTTGAAGCACTTACAGATCACACTCTGGGGTGAACAATTGGAATGAAAAGGTGAGAGACCATTTTTCTCCAGTAATTTTCCATAATTCCCATTAGAAATAATGGGGCAGTGAAGCCCTATGCAGTTGTTAGGGAAGAACAAATGAGACAAACACTTGTACCTGTGACAGGAGTCTACAATATATGGGTAAGTGAAAAATAATGGTTGCAAAACATTATTATTATCTCATGCTTGTGCAACACCAACACATAGAAATAGCAATGCATAGGAATGCATTAGATCCTTTCATCCAACAACACATAGAAATAATAATGCAAAAAGGCATAGGAATATGTCTAGAAGGAAAATCACCCTAGTTATCAAAAGAGCTATTACTGAGAAAGGGGAGACTAAGAGGGAAGGATTTGAAAAATACATTGCATGATTATTATATAGAAATATCTGCATTATATGTATACATAATATATAGAAAAATTTACATTGCATGATTATATTAAACAACCACACATGACATTTATCATAAAATAATGCCATTTTGGGGGGTTATTTTATAGAAAAACAAACTAGAGAAGCAGGGTGATGTATTTCTCTGGGGACATAAAGGTGTCACAGAAAGGAGAGATTTTCCTGGCCAGGATCACTGGTAGATATACACTCTGTCCATGCTGGCAACACGATATTCTATGGCCTTAGCACCAAGACTGAATAGCTACAAGCAGTTAAGTGAGAGCATTGAAGGATAGCCTTTCTGTCACCCTCCAAATCACTGAAAATAATTGGACTGACCCTGTGATTAGCCCAGAAGAAAATCTCATGGAGGTGCATTGACCCAATTCTTTGTAGTCATTTTCTGACAGTGGTTGGGCTTGCTTGCATTTAATTGGATTGTAGAGATGAAAAGAGTGGAGTTATGTATTTAGAACCATTATCATCTTGAGATGAGCTTTCTTGCAGCATGTGTGGAGCTGGGGTCAGCCTCAGACTGACCACTGGAAAGTGATCCAGAGTCATTTTTCAAGCATTGCTTTTGAACAACATGGCTTGCAAATTTGGAATTCCAGATAACCAGACATTACAATTTCCATGAGCCATTTTCACGGTTTTGAGGATAAACAAGAAGCTCTCTAACTCACTGATTTGACGGACAAAACTGTCTTTCCCTGTCTGTGTGTTGGGCACAAGAGAAACAGCAAAAGCTCCTAATTGCAAATAGAAATTACAAAAGTTTTTTTGGCTTTGGCACCAAAGTAAAAAGTTCAGCTAGAAAAATGGTTCATAATCTTTCTCAGTGTAAAAAGATGGGTTGTAGGAACATAGGAATCTTTATGTACTAATGGTAGAAAAGTAAAAGATACAGCCACCTTGGAGGACAATTGGGAAGCATTTATTAAATATAAAAATTAGTATACCCTATTGTTTCAGTTATCTACTGCTACATAAAAAATTCTCAAACTTTAGTGCTTAAAAGAATTTGCTAGTGTCTCTTGTAGTTCTGTGGCTTGACTGAGCTCAGCTGAGTGGTTCCCATTGGGTCTTTCATGTGGCAACCAGACAGTACCTAGGGCTGGAGTTATAAAAACACTTGACCTGGAAAGTAAACATTCTAAGATGACTTTTTCGCTCATAACATGTCTGAGCTTCAGTTAGGATAGCTGAAATGAATGGGGACTGACTGGCTTTTCTCCCAACTCCCATCATCTTTTACATGGCTAGCTTGGGCTTTCTAGAAGGACAGGAATCTCAGCATAGTCATACTTCTTACATAGTGATTGGCTTTCTAGAACAAGTATTTCAAAGGCTCAGGTGGAAACCGTAAAGCTTCTTATAACCTGGCCTCAGAAGTTCAAGAAAATCATTTCTATCACATTCTATTGGTCATGTAAGTCACTAAGGCCAGGCTCATTTTCAGGCAGATGGGAATTAGACCGTGCCTCTTGATGTGAGGAGCAACATGAGTTTATATGGAGATAGGAATTTATTATAATAACAACAACAGAAACACCCCTAGACCATGGGTAGCCATCTTCAGAGACTATTTACAACACTTACGAATTAGCAACTCCATGTCTTTCTAATTGTAACTGTGCTCAAAAAAACATGTAGAAAGTTATTCATTGTAGCATTGTTTATATTCCCCAGATAGAATCGATTTAAATGCCCATCAATAGGTGGATAAGTAAATAATCTGGTACATTTATGCTAATATTAAAAGGAATGTAATAAATGCTGTTTGAATTAATATCACTATATCTGCAATACCTTTTATTGAATGAAAAAAGAAATTGTAGAATTATATGTACAGTACAGCACTGTTTATACAGTACCACATAATTTTCATGAAATATATCTTTCTATATACATATATTCAAAAATCTGGAAAAAAGGTCTGGAAGGAGGTTTGCCACAAACTGGGATGTTTGATGAGAGGAGAAGGACTAGAGTTGTTCATAGTTGGATTTAGCCTTATATATCAGATCTCAATTTTTTTTTTTTTTTTTTGCTTTTTGAGAGAAAGTCTCGCTCTTGTCCCCCAGGCTGGAGTGCAGTGGCGCGATAGTGGCTCACTGCAACCTCCACCTCCAGGGTCCAAGCGATTCTCCTACCTCAGCCTCCCGAGTAGCTGGGATTACAGGTGCCTGCCACCACACCCGGATAATTTTTGTATTTTTAGTAGAGATGGGGTTTCCCCATGTTGGTCAGGGTGGTCTCAAACTCCAGACATCAGGTGATCTACCCGCCTTGGCCTCCCAAAGTGCTGGGATTACAGGCGTGAGTTACTACGCCCGGCCCAGACCTCAAATTTTTGAAGAGAAATTCTATGTTTTTACTTGACTAAGAAAAAAATTTAAAATTGGCAAAACATATTTAAACAGTTTAATTACTTCAGTTACGGCCAAAGGCTGATGCTAGGCAAAACTGAATTACTAAGTTTCTTTGTCTAGATGTTTCTAAATAAATTTAGGTCGATAAATATACTCAGGTAGAAATGGATACTGCCATCTTCACACAGGTAGAACTGGTTTATCTACCAAGTTTTGTGTATTGTTTTGTAAATGGCTGGATCAGTATCCAACTAAGAATAGGTTAAATTAGAGTGTTTTAAATTTTTTTCTATAGCTTAGAGTTAGAAGCACAGTTTTCAACTAGTCCAGTAAAAAAACGTACTGCAACTCCTGACAGCCACAGAGAAAGAGAAATTGACGTCTCATTTCCATTTTCCTGCACCTTCTCTACCTCCAGTTGTGCCCTTCCCGTAGCTCTCACTCAAATCTAAATTTCTGTTAGCATTCTAGAGCCCTAATAATTGGCCTGAAATAGGGAGAGACCTGATATTCAAGCAAATGTAGGTAAGGATAAAAGGTTTTTGATTCTGCTTTCTCTTTTTTTCTCTCTCCCCGTTACACCTTGCCAGTACAATAGAATATACTCTTCAGAAAGTTAACCATCTCTGACACAATACCTCTCTTCTCACAATAAACCCATTTTGCGCATTGGGTGTGCCTCTCCAGATCTATTATCTACTTCATACCACCTCTTCTCTGTCTCACAGGCTGATCTATATGGACTTCATCAATAGGGCTCCCCTGTCCTCTGGTTACTGACCAATGAGTAGGCCCAGTCCAAGGTCAGAAACAAGGAAAATAGTAAGACCAAGTTTTTAAATCCTTTCATGAAAACTGCCCTTAGGCTGGCTGTGTTCCTTAACTGGAGGTCACTCCAAGGGCAGATTTCTTTATAGTGCTTGACTCTTCCCCATTTCCTTCTTCCTTCTGCCCTGAGGGTGGCAATCGCTTAGCTGCTACTGTTCCCAGTTACTATATTGTCCGTTGGCGTTACCCTACCCTTATACGGTTGTCATAGCATCTTATAAACCCTACACAAATGACCCCATTTTATGTTGTTGAGTATGCTGGGATCTGAGTGATCCATGGGATATGTATGTGGCAGGGAATACCATTCCCGTTTGATTCAGAAGCTTTCAGAAGGAGAATATCTATCCCATCCAATCTTTTATTTTTTGTTACGCATTATAATAAAGATGTTCAACATGTACAACAATAACATAGATATTTTATCCACATTGGAGGTCTTTGATGTACCATGGTGGATGTTGTAGGGAAGATGAGCAAGCCTAGTATAACATAATATGTGCTTAAAAGCCTGGGAGTGCTTGGAGAAGTCTGAAGCCTTCAACAATCTATTTGCAGTGTTATAGAACAAGAGATGTGAGTAAATCTGAAAAAACAAATGAAAATTTGAAGACATTTCTTCAGAGGGCAGCCCTCAACCTATCCCAGCTAGGTAGATAGAGGGAGAAAAGCTCAATTGAGAAGAGCTTGAAGAAGATTTTGTTGACTGAGTTTACTTTGATTCAACTTCTTTGAGAGATGCTTGCCACAGGGCACCTGTTTCAGGTTTTTAGCAGGTCAAAAAGATCAACGAAATATTGAAAAATTTTATAAGCTAAATTTATCTTCATTTGTACTACGTTACCCTGGTCTTACTACTAAGGAATGGGTAGGGACTGTGGATACCTGATACCTTCCTTTTAGATTTTCTAAATAGGCAAGGGAGTCTTGTCTTGCTGAATTCCTATTTTGTAAATAACACCAAGGAAGGTATGGGATAATTTTAGGGAAGCCTACTTCCTGTGGTAGTAAAGATTGGTCAGAGAGCATTAGTACTGGCTAAAACCATTAATAATAATAATAAATAGCTGGAATTTATTGAACATTTTATTATTTAGGATTTTTTTCCTTTCAAGTAACAGAAGAACATTCAATTTTCTCACATACTATAATATCTACAGGGAGGAAGTTTCAGAGTTGATTAATACAGCACCTCATAGACATCAGGTCCCTTGAGTTGGCTTCTCCGTAACTCTCTTGGCTTTCCTTTCATGGTAGCAAGATGGAGTCCACAGCTTATAAAACAACATCATGGAAGCCAGAATGGGGTCAATCTTTTTCCTCCTGAGTCTCTCTTTTATCAAAGAAGTTGATCCAAGAAACCATCAGCAGAATTCCCTTGTTTCATTAACTGAGATCAAGTCTTATGTTCACTTCTTAATCAGTAATTATGAGTTCCCCGTCTGGGAGTGGAGGGTGGGTTGGCCTTTTCTGAACACATTGCTGCCCATACCACCTAGCACTTATTAGCAAGAGAAATGGTCTGTGGTTAGGTAATCAGCATTGTCTGCCACAAGCTCCTTCTATGGGCCAGGCATGCTGATGAGCATTTTTTGTAGTCTCTTTTTATTTGCTCCTTCTCACAACACAATAAGGTTTATATTATTAAACACATATAAAGAAACTGAGGTATAGGGAGACTATATAACACTTCCAGGATCATATAATTAGTAATAATGGA
Organism: Homo sapiens; assembly: GCF_000001405.40. Taxonomy (NCBI): domain Eukaryota; kingdom Metazoa; phylum Chordata; class Mammalia; order Primates; family Hominidae; genus Homo; species Homo sapiens. The sequence goes on from NC_000003.12 coordinate 26,186,960, forward strand.
GAGGAGAACCATTAATTCATCAGATATCTGCTTAGTACTTGCTAGGTGCAATGAGAATATGACTGCAGATAAGGGACAATCCCTGTCCTCAAGGTGCTCATAGTATATTGGAGCAGTTTTGATGAACAAATAAATAATGGTGCCATAGGTGGTAAGGGCAGCTCATGTAAGCATGTACCAAGTTTATCAATGGTACAAAAGAGAGGGTAATTAACTGCATGAGTGTGTCTGGAGGGGTTTCCTTGTAAATGTTTCCCAAGAAGCTTAACCCTAACAGGGTAGATCAACTAAAGTCCACAGAGAAGATTGGACAAAGGAACAGCACTGGAAAAGTATTGCTCACTGTGAGAAAGAACATTTCTTTTCTATATGCCAAGCTTTCCACTGTTAATTGGAAATTGTGTCTCTCAGGGGATTAGAGCAGATATAAGATGCAATGATCCTAAACCAATTTAGGAATGTGCTTTTGCACCTTTGATCAAATGACGGCTTTCCAATTGCATTAAAAGTAACTTTTCTCATGTTCACATCTAACAAGAAATTCAAAGAAAGGGAAAATAGTTTTCCTAGATAGACTCTTTATTCAATTCCAATTTGTTTTCTGAAAATGAAATAATTAGTTTTAAATGTAAAATGGTGCAAAATTTTATCATTTCTCCTATGGCGTAGATTTCCTTGAAGAGGAATTTTCTGACATTTTTCCCAGTTGATTCTACAGGGATTTGGTAGAAGTATGGTTAGGGAGTAGGAGGAAAGGTAAGGAAGAAATGAGAATTAATTAAGGAAAAGCCAGGAAGATATTTAAACTAAGATAATTTCAAGAGCATTAAATAAACCTTCAGCATGACTTAAAAGACCATTATATTTCTTGCATGTGAAGTAATACCTCTCAGTGATGAAAATCGTTTAGTAAAATACCGCAAATTACTACAAGGAACAATAGCATTTCCCGTCTCACCTTTATGGTCTGCAGAATGTTCTGTTTGATAACCTTTGCCTTTTCTATACTTGAGGTAATGACTTCTAAATAACTGCCGTATCACTCTGTCCCCCTTGCCAGCCCTTCCTACCATTTTCTTGTCCCAACCCATCCTGTGGATGGGCCAAAAGCATCAAGTGTATATTGGTTGGCAGCCCGGACTTGGAGAGTTTGCTCTTTAAGCACAAACAGCTTAAATAATCCAAAAAGCATACTTAAGAGAATGGGGCGTGTGGTGGTTGGGTGGAGAGGGGGTCAGGGATTGGAACTCTGGCAAGCATTTCATATTATAATAAAATATAATCCAGTTGTAAATTTATTGAAAATTTAGCTTTTTCTTCATTTGCATGGGTTTAAAATTTTTCTGATATGACATATTTGGAGCTAGCTAATGAGAATGAACCCCACCATTTTTCTTGAACACTGTTTTTATTGAGATGCCCACCAGTGAAGGAGGCCTGAAGCCATCACCAAATGCGTACACAACTGGTTTTCTATATCAGATCATCCCTAACACCGAAATAGATCCAGAAGTTGCCATACCTTAAATCTAACTGGAGATAGTCATGAAGAAGGGCATAGAGATAACAGAAGGAGCAGCGAAGAATGTATGAGCTGTAGTTTCAGTACATGCCAATCTCATCAAGATATAAATCATTTAAGAGAACATTCATAATTCAACAGCAATGTAATTGGGGATTCTAAGAAAATAAAAACAATTTCCTTTATTGGAAATAACAATGACATGTAATTAGTTTTTATCAACGCACCACAAAATCCTCCTTCACTTTTGGAAATACGTTAACCATGTGCTGGTTTATCTTGTCTATTATGCAGTTTGAAAAAATGTGACAGATCCTACTGCAAAAAATGAAGTCAATAAACATGACTTTCAAGGATGAGTATTATAATATTTCCTTAATAAACGTGGGAATTCGCATGAGTGATAATTTTAGAGTGAATGTTTCCGTGTCAGAGGAGCTCTGGCACAATTGGCCTGGGCCAGATATATTTTTCTAAATAGGAGTGGAAATGGTTGCAGCACCCTGTCACATACACCTGAAGAGTTTAATCCACCTTACATTAACTACAGTTTGGAGTTAATGGTGTGATAATGATTGATATTCACTGGAAATTTTGTTCTGCAATCTGTGTCCTAATTCATTCTGCCTATGTCCACTATAATCCATTAGCGAGCAGGCAGTTTTTGAGACATAATAGCATTCTCACCTACATTTAGGCACCACAGGAGACCAGATATTTAAAAATGTATTCACTATCCTCATAGAGCTCTGATCCTATTGTGCAAAAAATACCTGAAGTAGGAAACATTTAGGGATCACAATAGTAGATAAAAAAGTACTGAATGCAGGCTGCATAGAACTTTTAAAATTCAGAGAAATGAGAAATTCATGTCTGTGGAAGCAGCTAGAGATGGCTACTGGAAGAAGGCAGTATTGAATTACACTTTTAAAGGTGATGAGAATTTGGAGTAGAGAAAAAGTGGGATTTTGATGAGGGAAAGAGATGGTAAGGATCAGAATTGGGTTATGAAAATACAGGTCTTGCTGGAGACTGAGCTGAGGATCTAAATTTGAGGACCAAAGTCTCTGAGTGTCCACAGATATTCCGGGGTGTTCATGTTTTATGGATTCAATCACCCTAGGCTTCTGCTGGTGTTCCACCTTTTTGGAGTTATGGCCATTAGTGCTATATCTTCTGTGCTCTTTTCTTTTCTTTTTTTCAGAAAACTCTAAACAATAGTTTTATTTATTTTAATAATATTTATTTTTAAATTACACTTTAAGTTCTAGGATACATGTGCAGAACGTGCAGGTTTGTTACATAGGTATACATGTGCCATGGTGGTTTGCTGCACCCATCAACCCGTCATCTACATTAGGTATTCCTCCTAATGCTATCCCTCCCCTTGCCCCCCACCCCCTGAAAGGCACCGGTGTGTGATGTTCCCTTCCCTGTACGCATGTGTTCTCATTGTTCCACTCCTACTTATAAATGAGAACATGTGGTGTTTGGTTTTCTGTTCCTGTGTTAGTTTGCTGAGAACGATGGTTTCCAGCTTCATCCATGTCCTTACAAAGGACATGAACTCATTCTTTTTTATGGCTGCATAGTATACAAAGAGAATAAAATACCTAGGAATACAACTTACAAGGGATGTGAAGGATCTCTTCAAGGAAAACTACAAACCACTGCTGAAGGAAATAAGAAAGGACACAAACAGATGGAAAATCATTCCATGCTCATGGAGAGGAAGAATCAATATTGTGAAAATGGCCGTACTGCCCAAAGTAATTGATAGATTCAATGCTATTTCCGTCAAGCTACCATTGACTTTCTTCACAGAATTAGAAAAAAACTACTTTAATTTTCATATGGAACCAAAAAAGAGCCCGTATAGCCAAGACAATCCTAAGCAAGTAGAACAAAGCTTGGAGGCATCACACTATCTGACCTCAAACTATACTACAAGGCTACAGTAAACAAAACAGCATGGTACTGGTACCAAAACAGATATATAGACCGATGGAACAGAATAGAGGCCTCAGAAATAACACCACACATCTACAATCATCTAATCCTTGACAAACCTGACAAAAACAAGCAATGGGGAAAGGATTCCCTATTTAATAAATGGTGCTGGGGAAACTGGCTACCATATGCAGAAAACAGAAACTGGACCCCTTCCTTACACCTTATACAAAAATGAACTCAAGATGGATTAAAGATTTAAACATAAACCTACAACCATACAAACCCTAGAAGAAAACCTAGGCGATTTCCTGCTGTTTTCAAAAAGCAGTTCCTCCACTGTGATCTAGGTTCCGTTCCTCTCATATTCTGAAGACGTCACTTCCATAGCTATACTCCCCTATCTGTTTTATAACCAGTGTTTCCTGCTGTATTGAATCCCTCCTGTATACATGTAAACATGTTCTTTCATCTCCAAACAATAGCAACAACAAAACCACCTCTACACCATGGGTCCTCTTCTAACCACCACCCCATTTTTGTGCTCACTTTCACCAAAAAGAAGATCGAAGGTGTTAATGTTGCCATTGTTTTTTTTTTCCCTCCTGCCTCCTTAACTGATTTTGATTGACCTTCTTTTTCTACCAGTGCTCTGAAGCTGTTCTTGGGAAGGTCATGGATGACCTCTATATTAACAAATCAATGGTCATTTGCTGTCCTCATCCTTCTCAATCTTTCTGTGAATTTGGACACAGTTTTCTCTGCCTGCCTTCTTGAAACACTTTATTCTCTTGGTTTATGTGATTCCATATAGTAGGTTATTTTTCTACTTCACTGACCTCTCTGTTTCCTTCTTTGTCTCCTCAAACTCTTTTCTTTTGGACTGTCCCACAGCAGTTTTAGTTTTCCTGCTATTTGTCTGTATTCTTCGGTGGCCTCATCTAATCTCATGACTTTAAATTTATACAGACACACACACCACACACATGCACAGAATTATATAGACGTTTTATATTATGCAATCAATATATCTAGCCTAACTTCTCTTTTGAGTTCCAGATTCACACGCCCCTAAAATTTAGCATGACTAAGAACCCTTGACAGAGTTTCTATTCTCTCATCCCTCTGGTCCCCTGTCTTAGTATAGAGTACCACCATCTATCTATGTGCTGAAGTCAAAGGCCTGGGAATCATTCCTTATTACTCACTTTTTCTTACACCCAGCCCAATCCTAAGCAGCTTCTTTTAGCTCTACCTTCAAAGCATATCTGAATTCATTCACTTCTCTTCATTTCCACAGCTACCACAGTAGTACAAGCCACCAGTAACTCTCGCCTCAACCACAGCATTCTCACTGGTTTCCCAAGTACTGTTCTTGTCTCTCCACAGTCAATTCTCTATGCAGAAGTGATTTTTTAAGTGTAAAATCATGTCACTTTCCTGCTTGAAATGCTCCAAATGAGTTGCCAATTGTACTTAGAATAAAGGCTGAGCTCCTGACCATGTCCTGCTGTCCACAGACTGCTTTCCAACTCTCCGGGGCTCTTGCCTTCCTTGACATGTTCCAGACACAGAAATCTTTTTTCTCTACCTCAAACAGTCCAAGCTCCTGGCCTCTGAACTGGCTGCTGAATATTCCAGACACATGGCTGGCTCCCTTTTATGTAGACATCAGCTCATAAGATACCACCTTGCAGAGACCTTCCCAGATGACTGATTTTTAATTAACTCTCTTCTTGTTTCAATTTCTCCGTAAACTAGGTACTGCTTCTCATACAACTTAAACATTTTTTCTTCAGATGATAGGTTAAACAAGTAAAAGGAAGATTGAGAATGGCATGTAGAGAAATGAGAAAATAAATCTACCACTTGCTTTGGTTTAATTAATTTGTATTAGTTTTAAGTAAAAATTAAAAGAAATTTTGAGAGTCACATTGGTGACCTCTCAGCTTGGAAGAAATATTTCAGAAAAAACAAAAAAAGATCGTACCTGGATGTCCCGTTCTTTGATTTTCATCAACAAAAATAGAGACTATGTCCTTAATCTGCTTTACTAGTTAGAAATAAAATGTTCAGGTATCTTAGTGCCTTTTTCAAAGGGTCAGAAAGTGTTTCCACCAATCTACTGCATTCTCCACAATTATGAAGTGAGCCTGTTGTAACATTGTGAATTCCCAAATGCTGCATATTAGGTAAAATGTAAAAAACAAATGGATGCAATATCACAAAATGTTTAACCTCATTTATTTTGATAAGGAGATTGATAGTTCTTATGGTAATATTTCAGGGTCCATTTGGCAAGCCTATAAAGAAGGCTCAACAGCATAATATGTCTGTGGCAAGGTCTGTAGATACATTTTTGCTTGATGGTCGAGTACTCTCATGATTTGTACACTGGGACAAATTCTTTATATGCAGCAAAGTTCAGTTTATGAGTTTCTTGATGTGTATGCTTGTGTATCTGACAGCATTACATGGAGTGTGACCTGGACTGATGCAGCTATTCATACAGAAATTGTAATTTGACAGATGCTGTCTCCCCAGCTTCTGAATCAGCAGGGAGAACTGTTTTTGTTTTTCCACCTGTTGAAGCTTACGGTGGAGGAGAAAAAGCAGAGGAGACATCAAGCAAACAAACTGTTTATGGTACTGAGACCACTTTCTGATATGCTGAAAACACACTAGTCATAGTTGCAAAGCTGCTAAGAAAATTTCTAGCAAATGAGCGAAAGTGAAAATTTAAAGGCCTTAAAACTTGGATACAAACTTTGCTTTTTTTACAGCATGGTTTTGGGTCTTCTTTCTTTTCTTTCTAAAGGAATAAAAACAGAATGGACATTTTTCTTCCATCCAAATTAGCTAGAAACTTGAGAATATAAAGCCAGCCCTCTCAAAACCATCTTCCTCCTTCCCTTTTGGAATATGTTTTCTAATCTCACTTGGATTTTTCAATTTTACTGAATCATGAGAAATTATAGGTGTGTCTTCACAACAAAGCTCAGAAGATTATCTCAATGTCCATCAGTGTGAGTGATCTGAAATTCAAAGTTCTATATAATTCTTTTAGCTGTTTTCTCTTTTGTTCAGCAAATATCCAAATTTAAGTATCAAGGGCAGAGGAAACACATCTCCAAAATGTTATGGAAGAGACTTTACTTAGTTTATCATCTACTTGCCATAATGTAACATGTTTCTTCTACCACATGCACCCCAGGACTCAGCTAATAGTTTTTTGCTGTGGTAGTTTTAAAAAAAAATCAATCATCATGATACCGTTTTGGTTAATTCGTTTTCAATTTGAGATAATAAAAGATAATCTCTGCTATTAAATCAGTTAATGTCAGGAACAATCCTTTAAGACTGATGATTTGGTTATTGCTGGAGCCTAGACCAGGAGCCAGCTGCTGTCTGTCTTTTGAAAACAATAAAAAACAATCCCTGGCCTTAAACGTAATGAACCTAGACAGCCTTAGCAGAGATGAATGCTGCTGCTGCAGCCTTCAGAAGAGAGGAGAGAAAATATATAGGGTAAATAAGCCTTAGTGTAACTATTTTTAGTCTTTAATGAAACCTACTTTTATTTCACCACTTGGGAAAAGATTATGTTAACCATTTTCAGAAACATGTGGCAAAACATGGCTGTATATTAACAAAAGTATGTTCACCCAAATATTATTAGATAATATAGAACATTCCAGTGTACCATCAATTAAATGTTATTCCTTACTCAGGATTAGCTCAAAAGGGTGAAAGATTAGCAACAATGTAAATTTCTACCAATAAACAAATGGTTAAGCAAATTATGGAACATCCGCTCAGCAGGTTTTATAGTCATTACATTCTGTTCACAAGAATATAGATGTAAAGTATTGTCAGTATGGTATGAGCACACCACCTTTGTAACACCTGGAATTAAAATGCCCTCACAAAAAATACAAGAATCATGCATAGAAAAAACAAACTTGGAGAAAACATGTTCATTTATTCAACAAATGCATATGTAGTGCTCATGCATTGGTTTGGGTAGAGTAGGCAGTGGTAAGAACCCTAAAGTGTGTAGTGACTTAAACATCACAGCTCAATGCAGGTGTTTCTCTCTTTCTTAGTTTTTTTTAGAGACAGTGTCTCGCTCTGTCACCCAGGCTGGAGTGTAGCAGCATAATCATACAGTGTCAAACTCTTGGGCTCAAGTGATCTTCCCACTTTAGTCTACCCAGTAGCTGGACCTACAAGTGACCACCATCCGTGTTGATATAGTTGGGATTTATGTCTCTGCTCAAATGTTGTGTTGAAATGTAATTCCCCAATGTTGGAGGTGGGGTCTGAAGGGAGGTGATTGGATCTTGGAGGGAGGGTTTTCATGAATGATTTAGCACCATCCCGTTGGAGCTGTCCTTGCAATAGTGAGTGAGTTCTCATGAGATCCGGTCATGTAAATGTGTGTGGCACCCCACCCCATCTTGTTCCTGCTCTGGCCACGGATGAGCCTGCTCCCTCTTTGCTTCACTGCATGACTGTAAGTTTCCCGAGGCCTCCCCAGAAGCTGAGCAGATGCCAGCCTCATGCTTCCTGTACAGCCTGCAGAACCAGGAACCAATTAAATCTCTCTCACTCTCTCTCTCTCTTTTTTTTTTTTTTTAAATAAATTACAGCAATGCAAGAACAGACTAACATACTCAGCTACCGATGCACTTGTTTCTGGTTGGTGGAAGGCATTGTTCCCATTGTCCCCTGATCCTGAGCAGTCTTTAGTTCCAGTTACAGTGAAAGCCCAGGAGTTCTTCCCAGGGCCCTTCAGTGGGAGAAGGAGGCTGCTGCTCTGCAAGTGGATTCCTCACAGGCTGAGATCCCCAGATCTCATGTCAAGGAATCAGGAGCCACTCTTCAGGAGTGGGAGTCAGTGAGATGATTATTATATCTGAGCTACAAGATAAGGAGTTGTCTAGTCTCATTAGTAGGGCCTTAATCTTTCCTGAGAGACAACATGCAGAATCTCCTTCACTTGGTTAGGCAGACACCAAGAGATTGTTGGATTCTTGACTTCAAAACACAGTGGGGTTTCTCTTTCTTAACCCAATACTTGGATTGAGGCTTTTAGAGTGTTCCTGACTATTTTTTAAATTTGTTTTGTTTTGCTTTGTTTTGCCCAGAGCATCATCCCCCAGGACATTACTATTGAAGTCATGAATTCTCAAAGCAGTCTTATAATTAGGGAAGAGATTATTTTGGCAGCTACCTCCCTTCTCTTTTGGAAATACTGAGGAGGATGTTGATGATGGTGAGGCTGATGACCCACAGCTACTTTGTGGTGGTTTTCTTGCTAAATATTTTTGTATACATTAGTGTACTTGGTCTTTGGAAGAATTCTAGAAACCAGAAGTGTTTTTCATCATCATGATTATTATCATTTTACAGATTTAAAAATCAAAATTTGGAGAGAAAAAATAATTTGTTCAAGGTCGTATACTTAGTGAGTGGTGTCTGTGTAACTTCAAAGCCCATGTGTTATTTTGCTAGATTATTTATAATTTTAATTTACCCAGAATCCATCCCAATTTATCTTAATATTCCAATTCCTTTGGGAGTTTATCTGGCTTACATTATTTTGGAATGAGGCTGCTCATTTCCTAGCATGGAAATAAATGGAACCAGATTTTTCTATTCCTTTCTGCTCTCTGCACACCTCAGTGGTACACATGTGATATAAGCATGGCCAACTGCATATTGAATCTTGAACAAAAGACCCAAGAATGAGGAGGGGGTCATTTAATTGATATTATAAGTAGCAGCACTCTTATGACCCTTTATAATGTCCTAGGTTTCTGGTAGTTTTCAAGCCTGATCTTCAAAACTCCAACCAGTCCTTTAATTCCTCAGATACCTGTCTAATACATTTCCTTTTGGCTAAGTGATCTAGAGTTAGATTCTGTTGCTTATAATTTATAATAGTATATTATGTAGCAGAATGCCATTAGCTATAAGTAACAGACACTCATATTTAAACTGGCTTAGACATAAAGACAACATATTATCTCCCATAAAAGAAAGTAGGGAAAGCTTCAGAAGTTTTTTCAGTCCTGGTAGGATGACCCAATACATTATTAATCAGATACTAATTATAAAATGCTTTTTCTTGGCTTTCTTACTTTCTTATCTTAAAAACTCATGGGAATGGAAAAAATTGTTGGAGTCAATTTGATAATTAAGTCATTTGTAATGTGAAACACATATCATTTCCATAAGAAGTTGACCTACATTGCCTTCTCTAATAATAGTAAGCCCTATAAAACCTGAACACATTTGTACAGTCTTATAAGAGAAAATTACAGTAGGTTTACAGTTGGAGATGTTTAAAGGAAATTTTATATTATTGCTTTTTCTAAAGCATTGAACTATGAATATTCAGGGCAAGAGCATATTCAAAATGTAGAAAAGAAAAATAAGTAGTTTTAAAGATTCAGTAAAATACAGACTCTAACTTTTTAATTAACCAAATATGTCTAAATGTCCCTCATTTCCCAGATTCTCCCAGCAAGGGGTGCAAGATGACTGGTGATCTTTTTCTCCCTTAAGTCACTAAATGTGGCTGATTGCATTCCCTCCTAAAGAGCCATTCAGCAGGGGAGGTGCTTTTTTATTTTCTCTTTTGGATTAAGGGCCTCAGGGAAAGAAATACTTTAAAATTGTGTAAGTGACTGCTTTTTCTTTTCTTTTTTTTTAAAGGAAAAATATAAATCAGTCTTCATTTTCCAAACTAAGAGCCAGAAGTGTAAATACAAAAAGTAAAAAATGCAATGTCCTCATTTAAAAGTTTGATTGGTTACAGAAAGAAGCTATAGAGAGAACACAGAAGGGAAAGTGACACCAAGAGGAAAGGACAGCAGAGAAAGGTACAAGAGGGTACCTTCTTCTGATCTCTTTTTCCCCAAATAAGCATATACTAAGAATGCCAAAGAAGGCGGGCTGAAGAGTAGATGTTTACAAACTAAGAAGCACAACCATGGTGATCCAGGTTCATAGAAAACAGATATTCTTTGGAATAACTATCATCTTGAACATTTTCAGGTTGCTACTGATACTTACTTGAAAAACTGGGTTGTATTTTTGCAACCCTGCATATACATGGGGACACTTATACTGAATTTCATGACATCCTCTGAAGATATTTATGTGATGTCGAGATATTTATGTGATATTCCCAAAATATTACCCTTCTTCATAAGTTACTTCATCAATAAGGAGAAGCAAACAATGCCTACGGTTCATGATTCACAAGTTGACAGGAGTTATTTATAAACATTGGAGGCTAAACTAGGTCCCAAAGTTCTGCCAAACAAATTAAATTTTCCTTTTTGAAGATCAGAATTGCTGATTGAAACAACAAAGGGATCAGTTATAACAATTTAGGACCATGTGGCAGAGAAATAGAATGTAACCTAATATTTGGATTAAATAATCACTTACATTTTATTTGCAAGATAGAGCAATTTTAGCTCCTTCATAAGTAAAATCTGTTAAAGTTGTAACATGGTACCAAAAGATATTCAGTGTCCCAGGAAACTCATGCTGCTTTAAAAAATATTTCTGCCAAAGTAACAAAAGCGAGTAATTTACCCAACAATAATTGAAAATGATAGACTTCTCCCCTGTTGGTCTCTTTCCTTTTTTAAATTTATTAATTATGCTAACAAAGATAAATTTTGGACATGTGGCAGAGGATGAAAGCTTTTTTTTTTTTTTTAAAAGCATAAAGTGCACTGTTTCTCAAGCAACAGAATTCCTATTTTATGCTAAATACACAGCTCTCTTAGCACCAGAAAATGTCCATCTGCTACCACTGGGTTTGCTCTGCACAAAGCAGGCTTTGCACAAAACAGCATTATATTATTAATTTAGACATGTTGTGGGTGTGAGTGCTTGTAAGCAATTCGTCTACTGTAATCCACCGAAAGGAATGACCAGGACACTTTGGGCCGCAACGATCACACGGCAAATTGTAATGAAAGATGTTTTAATGGACACTTTTAGTTGGCACTGACATTTTATCCAAACAACTATCAGCAGTCATTTTCCCCCATATTTAGCTGTGCTTCCACTTTTATTCCACGCTGACCTCTCCCATCTACCTAACTCCAATAAAAATAAGAGAATTTAGAAATCTTAACTTCATGATGACATCCCCCAAATTAACAGAATAATTTTAAGAATTTTACGTTATATTGTTTGAAAGGCACATGTGATTATTATTTATTATCAACTAAATGAATATGATATAAAATGATTTGTGGTGTCACTGTTTCCTCAAATGCATCAGAGTCTTATAAAGAGAGGCTTAAGGAATTAGACTTATTTAGAAAGAAGAGTGCCAAAGAGATGACTCAGTAAGCTCTCACTTACTAGGGGTCATTGGGAGAGTAAGATTAGCCCGGCAATTGAATGCTTATCTACCTGGTGTTATTGCAGAAGAAATTTGAAAATGATAATCCTTCAAATGTCTCCCTATTGACAAGGAATTTCTTCAGCTGTTCATCTTTTTGGATTTTAAAGTTTTTTTTTAATTGTTCAGAAGTTTTGTATCATAGCAGATACTCTATCTGATCATCTTACCACCAAAAATATTTTCCATTTATAAAAGTTAGGTTGCTTCAAAGTACTTTCTGATAATTTATTTTGTTTATACCTCGATTCTGTAATTTGTGGTTATTATTACCATTCTATATTTGAGAAGACTGAGACTCAGAGTGGTTGGGAATTTATTATAGTTCAGAGCTTGATACAGGAACCCAGGTCTTGTGGCTCTTGATCTCAGCATCTTTCTCTACACAATTCCTGGTCAAATCCTCCATGAAGAAAACTTGGGTTAGACACATGCATTAATGAGAGCAAGAAGCAATAAGAAAAGGCAGGGGAACTTAAAGGATAGCAAGAACAGAGGCAGGAAACAGAAAATAAACACTACCACCCATATGACCCTTCAGCTGTCCTTTTGCTAAAACTTGCAGTAGCTATTGTTCATTCAGGAAAAATTTTGATTTTCTTTTGTCTTTAGTTCATAGTTCTCAAAAATTATGAATTGAAATTGCACCTCTTCCATTCCCTAGTATGTGACCTTGTGCAAGTCACATAATCTCTTCAATCCTCAATTTCCTCCACAATAAATAAGGATAATAGTAAAAACCAGGCCATAGAGTCAATTCAGTGAGATAAGGTTCATAAGGAAATCAATAGCAATAGTGCCTGGAACATGGAAACCACTCAACAAATGCTAACTATCATTAATATGTAATAGGTTTATATGTAATATGTAATATAACTGAACATTAACTTGTTCAGTTGCCTCGTATCTGAATTCTTTTCATATATTTGAGAACTCACCAATATGCTGTTTGTTAGTGCTTTCCACCAAATATTTTTTTTTCTCCTAAGCACATCATAGGATTATAGTTCTCTACCCTTCCCCTTCCCCATAAACTTAGATGTGGCCATGTAGCTTGCTTTGACCATTAAGGTATAAGCAGAAAATACATGCATCAGTTCCAGTGAGAAGCTTTAAATGCCAGTACATGTTTCCCCACTGTCTTCCTTTGCCATAATAACCTGTGACATTCCACATAGAGGCTATTCTCTCACTTTATGACCTAGAGTGAGAAGGAGAGAATGACATGAAGCAAATCCCCCAGCTAACCAGCTAACTTGTTACAGATAGGTAGTATGACTGGAAAAACAAAACAAAATAAAAAACAAGCAAAAACATTCTGTGTTAAGCCCTAAATTTGGGGGGCTCTTTATTATTACAGCATAACTTTCCCTATCTTGACTGTTATCCCTACCCTATGTGTCTTGGTGGGAGGCAAATCCTCTTTTATGTCATGGAAATACAAAAGACAAGCTAGTTGCTTTTACAACCTTCCTTGTAGGCACTTGATCTAAAGCTGACCAAGCAGTAGATTCATCTAGGTGGATAAATTGGAAGCCAGAAATGCAAAGAAGTAGGAACAATGAATAACTCATTTCCTTTTATTATGATGGCAACAGCAATGGAGGATATATATATTTCTGGGAAGACGAGGAGCAGGGGTTACAACAGTGACATCTGGGGTCTGGGACTATTATTGAATGCTTTTGCTAACAGTTGGGCCTAATTTTCAGGACATCTACAGAAGAGTCCCTATTGGATAACACTAGCCCTGATCAAGTTGTTGTCTAGTCTCCTTTGTCCTGCCTATTTTTCAACCTTCTGAGCAACTCAACTGTGCAAGCAGCTGATATAATTTCAGTTCATTCATTTTGATTGAATCAGCCAGAATGTGATGCTTGCAAATAAGATTCCTGAATAACAATATATAAGTTAATTTTGAAATTTTCTTTGTTAATGTGCAGAGTTATTTTAGTATATTCCTGGCAGCATGAATTATTTGCTCTAAATGCCACTGCCTATTCATGCCAACAGTACACTTATTCACTTATTTTAGAGATGTCCATACTGTATTTCAGCAGTTTCTTTTCAATGTATTTGTGGTTCTTTAAAAGATCCTTACTGGGTCAAGGTACAAAGCTCTCTTTAGGGTTTAAATTATATTTTAAAAATCAAATAGTTGAAACCATTTGTTTTTATTCTTTCCCTCTAAAAAATGTAAGTGAATTGTTTTCCTGGATTAGTCTATTGAAGTAAGCAGTGCATTACCAAAAGAGACCAACTCTCTGACTGCTTTAATATATCATTTTCTTTATTTTGAACTTGGTTCAACCTAGATATGAAGATGACCTAGAATACTTCTGAAATTTCTTTCTAACTCCATGATTCCTAAGACCATGATTTAGAGTCAACATTTCCACTGAAGTAGATTCATTTAGTTGGGTGGGTAAGGTGATTACTCTTCTGAAGGGTTATTATTCTGGAAATGACTTGATGACTAAATTAGACTGAAACAGGTATAGTGGGAGAATGTAAAGTGGTAGATTCATTACAAATGCCCAGCAGGAATGTAATTTTATGTATTCTGGATTTACTTTTGTAATTTGTTAGGAAAAAATAGGAAGAGGAACTTTACTCCTAGTGGCCACTCCAACACTGTAATTCTCTTGCTGAAGTTCGAACTCAAGAATAACTCTGATTTGCCTCTCTGCCACCCCTACAATCTGCAACTGTAAAAAAGAAATTAAAAGCAATGAAAAAGATTGGAAATGCCAGCAGCCAGAGAGTGCTAGATGATCTGAAGTATAGAGGGAATAAACAATTATTTCCTCTGTTCTGAACTATTTGTTTCTGGAAAGGTGGAGAAGAAAATGGTGGGGGAAAAGGAAGCTTCTTCAGAGACCTTTGGTCCTTTCTATTGAAGGCTTCAGCAAGAAGAAGAAAAAGTTGTAAATTTATAAGACTTGGGGCAAAAATGTAAGATGAGGTTCTATACTGAAGTATGGGATAAGGTGACTGTTGTACCTTAAAACAAGAGGTTTTGATTTTCAGAATAACCAGTCAAATGTGTCTCTTACTATTCTAACTATTGGGCAGTGAAGCAAAAGAAACAAAAGCAAAAACGAAAAAGCTCACTAACAAATATGTGGCACATACATGCAGAAACTTAAGGTAAAGAGGAGCCTTAATTGTAGGAGAACACAAATTTTAGGCAAGAACTGCTAAGACCTGATTACTTATCTGTCTTTACGTGGAGTTTGTTCACAGATCTAAAGGGGCTGGGTTGCAAAACAACAGATTTTCCTAAGATTCAAGTGATGTGATAAAAGTCAGCCTTTTTGTCAGCTGGGGAGAGAATCTTCCCTGAATTCCAGATAGACTAAGGCCTAGAGACGTCAAGTGACTTTTCCAGTGTCATAGCTTGTTCAGAACAGAACCTGGACTGGCAGTCAGGCTCTGATAATGAATACGGAGACACAGGAGGCCCTGGCTTTGTTTCTGCCCGCTTCAGCCCCTACTGGGTACAAGGAATGCTCTTCAAAGGACTGTTGGGATTCAATGTCAAAAGCTACTCCTCTGCTTGAAGGAACAACAGCCTACAAGGGTTGCTTTAACAAATGAGTAAACCCTTTAGAAACTTCCTAAAACTCAGTTTCATTTGAACTAACAATTAAGCACCTGGCTCTGGATTCAGCTACTCCTGGTTTCAGTTTACTTCTGCCACTTATCAGCAGGTCATTTTGGGACTGTTAATTAATGTCCCTAAACCTCAATTTTCTTACTGTAAAATGGAGATCATTGTGATACCTACTTTTTATGGTTCTTGTGAGGATTTATTCATGCAACTGAAAAATAATAAGAAGTATGAGATGAGAGTTTAATAAATAGAGGAGAGCCAGGTATGGAAAAATACAGAGTACAATACATATTAAGATAAATGAGCGAGTTTTTTTTATATTTGTTAAACTCTATTTTGTCTTAATATTTATTACACTCTATTTCTTTTCCTCCCTCCATTACTGAAATGCATTGCTCTCACATATGCTTACCCTGGTTTGCCTGGTTTATAGGCATCAGTTGCATACCCAGTTCAAAGGTAGAGACTTTGAAATATTTTTTAATCCACAAAAGTTTTATCCTGGAAAAGTCGGTAGGAAAAATGTACCCAGAAATTAGCAAGGAGTGATTAAAACCACAGGAGCTCAATACAGCTATGTGGGGAAAGATTCAGGCTGTGGTGAGAGATTTACAAAAAATTTTAGAGCTGGAATTGGCATTGGTGGCCATCTAGTTGACTTGTTTATTTTTTAAAAGGGGAAAGACAAGTCCAGAGAGGTTGCTCATGTACCTGAGGTCTCATGGCACTTCTTCTAGGAGAGCAACACTCTTGATTCTCCACTTTTCTATTTATCTTCTTTACTTAAGTTTTATTTTACCTCCTGTTTAATATTTCCCATGCTTGATTGGTAGGGGCATAATGCTTCTCCATAATTTGGTTCCTACTGTTTGAATCTGGTGTGCTTCATGCAGGACCCTACCAGGGAGATTATAGTGCAGGTGTTCTTGTTGAATGAAGTTCTTGCTGATGGCTCCTGTCTCACTTTTGTCTCTGAAGTTGACAAAGATTCTCCACCAGAGTGGAGTCTGGCCCACACCCACAACTATGTGTCTCCTCCTGTTATTTCCTTCATTACCCTGATTCTGTCTCTTGACAATTTCTGAGAGGTGGGTTAAAAAACAAGAAGCCTCTCTTCCAAAGAGGAAATGTTTTATTCTGGGGAGACTTTTCCAGATAGTGTAACAAAGTGTTTACAGTAGGGGCAAACCCCAGCCAACCACTATACCCCTGAAAGCCAAGACTGAGACCATCATGTCTCTTAGCCATGCAAAAGATAGTGATATGTCAATAGCCAGGGACCTTGACCTTTCTCTTTAAGTCCTTAAAGTCACAGAAATAAAGCCCATGAACCAAGACAAATCAACAAGATCTTCTCAAATCTCAACCATTTATCTCCATTGCTCTTAGTATTTACGGAAAGGTAATAGCTACTCATTTGGTGGCAGTAGTTTCTGTAAGCTTTAAACTTTAGACTAGTGACTCAAACTTGAGGGTTTATCAGAATTCCCAGAGGGTTGCTAAAACACAAATTGCTGGGCCAGTCTCTAAGAGGTCTGGAGTAGGGCCCAAGGATGTGCATTTCTAACAAGCTTCTAAGTGATGCTGATGCTGTTGGACCAGGGACTACATTTAGGATGCACCACTAGAAGAGAAACAGGCCTTTCCTGACTTTCACCCTAATCTTCTGCCTCGCCATACTTCCTTTTTATCTTTAGCTGCTCAGACCCTTTTTTCCAGTGCCAATAGGCTTGCAAATCCTTTTTGCACACTCAAACACTGATGGTCATTACAGCTCAAAGTCACACTTCTCTCCACACATTCATTCTGTAATGGGACATTTTGACTAACCAACCTCAGACATTGCAGGAATAGACTACATCTCCAAGTGATACACTGGTATCACTTTGCACATGCTGATGTGCCTGGGGAGTTTGACTTGTGCAACTGAGAGAGGTGGGTGGAGGTGAAATTTATTGTAGCTAAGCTTCTCAGACGGGAAGGGGTATGGCATGAAGAATGGCATTTTCTCTCTTCATCTTGTTCCTTGGACTGGGTTTGAGCCCCTGTGTTTACATGGATGAGGGAAAAAAAGTTTAAGGAACTGGTTAATAAAACTCTTTGCAGCATTTTGAGCATGAACAGACTTGTTTTGAGGCCAGGCAAAGGAGGTGAGGCCTTCGTAGTCTGATGCCTCTTGGTCACTGGTTAAGGGATCCCAAAGGAGGCATGTGAATTTTCAGGTGGGTCAGGCTCTTTTTCTTTCAGTAGTCTGAGGGCAGTCATATAGAAACACGCTGGCTGTTGGTATCTAACCCACTCCAAAGGGAGGAGGGATCTGCACAAACATAACAAAAAAGATATTCTAGGGGATCAGGGTGGAGCCCTGAAATTACCCAACACAACAGAGAGACCATAAGTATATGAAGCCACTTGGGAAGGGCGGGTGCGTGAGAATCCGTGAAAACATATTTACTGACTCTGATGATGACTTACCCTAATTGTTCTTCGAAACTGTGTTCATGAATCTCTGAGATGTTGGAGGCTCTCCGGTTCAAAACTGTCCTCCGAAGAAGTCTTTTATTGGCTCCTCCGTGGCATGAGATGCCTAGCTTGAGACGTGGTGAGGACAGCCAACACAAGGTTCCTCAGGCTGAGGTTAGCAACTGAGCCTTTAAATCGTCTTTCTATGTTGCCTGATTTCTTTCAGGCAGGGAGCCCAAGACTAGTGTGTTTACTGGGACACTGCCAGTTTCTTTTCATGCTTACTTTCTTTGATTCTGAGTAGCCAGGTGTCCCCTAAAGCAGTTGCCTGGGAATTTAGATGCATCTACAGTAATAAATTTTGCAGCATCATTTGCATGTTTAACCTTCCTCTGCTTCTCTTATTCTCAAAAAGATGCAGGCAAAGCCATTTCTGCAGATACTTCCATGCTGCTGAAGAAGGCTGGGGTTCTGATGAAATAAAAATGAGGACTATTTTGTTAGGACTCTTTGAGTCTTATGTCCCCCAACTCCACATCTCTTTTAAGAAGGGCATATTGAGCGGCTGTGCTATTTCATCAGTGAATATATCCTGGATTTTTATTTCACCCATGACTCAAGGACCATATTATAATTTATCTTCCACATTCACACAGAATTGCTAAAGTTGTGTTTTTCCATTCCATGGAAACAATACTGGTCATGAAATCAGAAGACATGGCCTTCAGTTGTGGCTTCTCACAAACTAGGTGACCTCCCCTGTGACATGGCTAAGATTTGTTTTCCTTACTCAGTATGGCCATTGTGAAGGCCAAAAGTACATAAATCAGTTTATAGGGCTATTAAGAGTAATAAAAAATAAAGAGTTTCTAGAATAGAAAATACCATATAATTACTAACTATACTGCACCATTGTGATCAGTATCAGTACACACATCCAAAGGGGTTGCCCTCCACCTTCTAGTTGGCTTTAAACCTGGGCTGAAATCCAGTCTATTTAATCCTGAGAAAGGAATTGCAGCTCTCTGAATACTACTTTTCCCATATTTGCCTTTTTGCATGTGGTAAGGATTGTAGCTAACACATATAAATGCCTGGAAGAGTTCCTGTCACCCTATCAATGATATTTTATTATCATTTCACTTTTTGACCTTTGGCAATTATAAAGAAACTCTGAGATGTTGTAGAGCAAACTCTTGTGTGGCATTGAGTGTTATTACCAAGACATAAGATTATTATGGAACCTCTGCCTTTGGCTCAAATACTGACTCCATAAGGAGGTGCTAAGTGTCCCTAAGGAAAAAATATCTCAGAGGCAAACTGTCACTGATTCTCAAATGTTGACACCTCTTTCCATTTTTCTGTTCACAGGGACCCAATTTTAGGCTCCATAACTTCTTTTTGTGCCCACCTGTGCTTGCCTGACTTTGAGCCCCCTGCATAACTACCTCCTCTGACCTTAGTTCATTGAATAATGCAACTTTTGCAGCAATGGCTGCAATGGACAGGACACAATGCCATCTCTCCTGTGTAACCTTCTTTGTCAGCCAGTATGCATTGGGCTTTTTCCTCCAAAACTCACTTTGCAACTATTGTCTATTATTCAAGCAATCATTTTCTGTAACTCAAGTAGCACCTTTTACTTCCTTTCTCTAATTATCTAGACCCCAAGGTATAGTACAATAAATACATACCTGCATGCCTTGAGCTAGCTTTCTTTCTTTTGTGTACTGACCTCTTCAGATACATTCTGAGTGTTTTCTGGGTGTGAACTATGCATTTTCTACCACTTAGCACTAATACAGAATTTACAGCCCACTGGGGTTTGGCGTATGGTAAGTTTTGATGTGAACTCACTGTCTGATGGAAAGTCAAAAGTGATTTCTATAGTGAGGATCTGTTTATTTCATGCTATTGGCTGTTGCTATGATTTAGAGGGTTTTCTCAGGATGTATATCAATTGCTTTGCTCTATTGAATACTTTTTAGGGGTTCTTACAAATGTTTGACCAATGCCAGTACCCTGGAAGAGGAAAGGGCGCCAGATGGGTATTCATATATTAAAGTTACTTGTTTCGAAAAATGCCAGACACAAAAGCGTACACACAAAATTATTTACTTGTATAAGGTTCAAAAATAGACAAAACTATGCCCTTACCTCTACCCTAGGGTGTGCAGTAATTGGAAGAATGTAGGAAGAGGTTTCTGGGATAATGCAAATGTACCATTTTGTGTCTTGATATGAAAGGATGGTTAGATAAGTATGTTTAACTTTTCAAAAAGTTTCCCAGCTAAGTACTTACAATTTGTGCAGTTTTGTATCTGTACGCTATTCATTCATAAAAGAAAAAAATCTTGGGTTCTCTTATTAATTTTGTTTAACAAGAGAAAAAGCAACATCAGTTTGGGCTGAGAATAAAAATAATATTATTGTGACTTACCTTAGATGCCTTCTGTCCTGTATATACCTTGGAAATGAGAAAACCTGCTCATGTGGGGTTGTCTCTAGGACTTAGAAACAACGTTTATAGAGAAGTGAAAGTCAACCATCTAGTTGAGGTGGAAAACTTAGAACTTGGCTTGTGTAAACAACACAGAATACCTAATAAGAAGTGGCCGATGACTTGTTTATTGTCTGCTGGGATCAGACAGCTCTCAATTCCTGGTATAAGTCTGAAGAGAATGGCTGTCTTACAAGGCTTGGAGATAGACAGACATTTATGGAGAATGTTATTAAGGTGTTTGCATGTCCTTTTAGGTATTCAAATCTCATGGTTTATTAGGGGATTCAAAATATCTGCCTGTAGGCTTTTTGTGAGAAAAGAAATCTTATGCATAAACTAAGGCTCTCTAGGTCAACAGCATCATATTCTTACTGAGCACAAATTTCCTTGCTACACAAATTATTTTATGTTTCTTTTCTTTTGCAGAAGGATTGACAAACAAGCTCCAGTGACACTGTTTTATATTGCCTATCTACTTAGAAACCATACCTGCCAAAGAACACAACTGCATTCACTGAGTGTCACGAACTTAACTCATATCACAGGAAGAGAGACTAAAGTCTGTCAACACATCTGGACAGGGTTTTCTCACAATTATTTTCTCTGCTGGCCCAATAGACTTTGTACCAGGCTGTTGTGTGTTCTCCAAACCCTTTGAATCCCCCTAAAAATAATTTACTAGCCCTCAAATTGTCACATTTTATGCATCTCTCTTTCCCCAATGAATAATGGTATATAACATCTGTACACCATTTGGTTATTGGGAAATCATTCTCCTCTAATTCCTCGATGCTATGCTAAAATACAATTTCGTATGTCTTTTCTGCCACTAATCTACCTTTCGTCAGTTGATGTTTCAGTAGAGTTTTAGAGGGTAAAAGCTGAGTTTTATCTTCACCCCTTCAGTTTTGGCACGATGAGCAAGGATAACTCAAAACCACTCTGCTCTTCTGGAAGCCACAGTCAAGGGAACCCAGGACCTGACAAGCTGGCAGAAGGACAAGAAATTCTTGCCAGCCAGACTCCTGGTCTATCTCTGTGGAATCCAGTAGAGCTGATGGTAAGAATCACTGTGTCTGTTTTTCCTTTTGCAAATTTAAGATTAATAGGAGAAAAGCATTTATACAGACTAGCCTTAGGTTTAGTGACTCTGATATATTTTTTGTTATGAACATTCATAGAGTCTGATCTTTTCCCTCCCAGAAATAGTATTTTTTTTTTTGGTCTCTATCCTTCTGTGTTGTTTGTCCCTCTTGTTTTGTTGTGTGTCCTTAAGAGCTTGACTTGTGATCAAGTAGGAATACTTCTTAGTCTCCACCATCCTGGGAGTGTGATTTTTTGGGTTGTGTCCAGTGGCCAGTCTGAAAAGATTAGAAACCCCAAGAAACCTAAGATATTAAGCACCATACCTTGTTCCAAATGTGCCAAGCTCTCAAGGAAGTTTGCCTTAATAACAATTCCCATTTATAGGGGCTTTTGTTGTTTTATATTTTTTATTTATTAATTTTTTTCCAACTTTTATTTCAGGTTCAAGGGGTACATGTGCAGGTTTGTTACAGAGGTGAATTGCATGTCATAGGAGGTTTGGTGTACAGATAATTTTGACACCCAGATAATCAGCATAATACTCGATAGGTAGTTTTCCAATCTTCATCCTCCTCACACCCTCCACCCTCAAATAGGCCCCAGTATCTATTCCCTTCTTTGTGTCCATGTGAACTCAATTTATAGCTGTCATTTATAAATGAGAACATGCGGTATTAATTTGCTGAGGATGATGGCCGGAAGCTCTATCCACGTTGCTGCAAAGGCCATGATCTCATTCTTCATATCTGCATAGCATTCTACGGGGTTAAAGTATCACATTTTCTTTATTCAGTTCACTTTGATGGGCATCTAGGTGTATTCTATGTCTGCTATTGTGAAAAGTGCTGTATTGAATATACTCATGTATGTGTCTTTGTGGTAGAAGGATTTATATTCCTTTAGGTATATAATCAGTAATAGGATTGCTGGGTTGAATGGTAGTTGTATTTTAAATTTTTGAGAAATCACCAGACTACTTTTCACAGTGGCTGAAATAATTTACATTCCCAGCCATGTGTGAGTGTTCCCTTTTCTTCACAAGCTTGCCAACATCTATTATTTTTTGACTTTTTAATAATAGCCATTCTGACTGGTGTGAGGTTGTACCTCATTGTGGTCTTGATTTGCATTTCCCTAATGATTAGTGATGTTGAACACTTTTTCATATGCTTCTTGGCCATATGTGTGTCCTCTTTTGAGAAATGTCTGTTCATGTCTTTAAGCCCATTTTTAAATGAGGTGTGTTTTCTGTTGTTGTTTGTTAGTTGATTTGCTTAAGTTCCTCATAGACTCCTGATATTAAGCCTGTGTTGGAGAAAATATTTGCAAATATTTTCTCCCACTGTATAGGTTGTCTGTTTCCTGTGCAGAAGCGCTTTGGTTTAATTAGCTGCCACTAATCAATTTTTTCTTTGTTTCAATTGCTTTTAGAGACTGTTATGAAGTTTTTGCTTGGGCTGATGTCCAGGAGGGTATTTCCTAGGTTTCCTTTCAGGGTTGTTATAGTTTTAGGTTTTATATTTAAGTTTTTAATCCATCTTGAGTTGATTTTTTATATGGTGTAAGGAAGGGGTCCAGTTTCAACCTTCTGCATATGGCTAGCCAGTTATTCCAGCACCATTTGTTGAACAGGGAATCCCATCCCATTGCTTATTATTGTTGGCTTTGTCAAAGATCAGATAGTTGTAGGTGTGTGGCTTTATTTTTGGGTTTTCTAACTGGTTCCATTAGTCTGTGTGTCTGTTTTTGTACCAGTACAATGCTGTTTTGCTTACTGTAGCCTTGTAGTATAGTTTGAAGTTGAGTAATGTGATGCCTCCTGCTTTGTTCTTTTTGCTTACAATTGCTTTGACTCTTTAGGCTCTGTTTCAATTCTACGTGAATTTTAGAATTTTATTTTCTCATTTTGTGAAAATTTTTTTTTGTAGTTTGATAGGAATTGCGTTGAATCTGTAAATTGCTTTGGGCAATATGGCCAGTTTAACAATATTGATTCTTCCTATCCATGATAATGGAATGTTGTTCCATTTGTTTGTGTTATCTCTTATTTATTTCAACAAGGTTTTGTAATTATTATTGTAGAGATTTTTTATCTCCCTGGTTAACTGTATTCTTAGGTATTTTATTCTTTTTGTGGCTATTGTGAATGGGATTTAATTATTGATTTGGCTCTTAGCTTGAATGTTATTAGTATATAGAAATGCTACTGGGTTTTATATATTGACCTTGTATCCTGAAACTTTACTGAAGTTGTTTATCGAACTGGGAGCCTTTAGGCAGCAATTTTAGGTTTTTCTAGGTATAGTGTCATATCATCTGCAAAGAGAGATTGTCTAATTTCTCCCTTTCTAATTTGATGCCTTTTATTTTATTCTCTTGCCTGATTGCTTTGGCTATGACTTCCAACACTATGTTAAATAAGAGTGGTGAGAGTGAGCATCCTTGTCTTGTTCCAGTTCTCAGGGGGAATGCTTCTAGCATTTTCCCATTCAGTATGTTCCCTGTGGGTTTGTTATAGATGGCTCTTACTATTTTAAAGTTGTGAAATAATACCTTAAAATACCTCTGATGCCTAGTTTGTTCAGAGTTTTTAACATGAAGTGAAGTTAAATTTTATCAAAAGCCTTTTCTGCATGTATTGAGATAATTGTGGGGGTTTTTGTTTTTAGTTCTGTTATGTGATGAGTCACATTTATTGATTTGTGTATGTTGAACCAACCTTGCATCGCAGGAATAAGGCCTACTTGATTGTGGTGGATTAACTTTTTGTTATTGATATGGTTTGGCTGTGTCCCCACCCTAATCTAATGTTGCCTTCCCATGTATTGTTGGGGGGACCTGGTGGGAGGTAATCAAATCATGGAGCAAGTCTTTCTCATGCTGTTCTCATAATAGTGAATAAGTCTCATGAGATCTGATAGTTTTAAAAAAAGGCAGTTTCCCTGCACAAGCTCTCTCTCTTTGCCTGCTGCCATCCACGTAAGACGTGACTTGCTCCTCCTTGCCTTCCACCAATGTGGAACTGTAAGTCCATTAAACCTCTTTCTTCTGTAAATTGCCCAGTCTTGGGTATGTCTTCATCAGCAGTGTGGAAATGGACTAATACAGTTGTGCTGCTGGATTTTCTTTGCTAGTATTTTGTTGAAGATTTTTGCATCTGTATTCATCAGGGATATTGGCTGGAAGTTTCCTTTTTTGTGTCTCTGCCATATTTTGCTATCAGAGTAATGCTAACCTCATAGAATGGGTTAGGGAGAAGTCCTGCCTCCTCAATTTTTAGGATACATTTCAGTAGGATTGGTACCAGCTCTTCTTTGTATGTCTGGGAAAATTGGGCTGTGAATCCTTCTGGTCCAAGGCATTTTTCTGACAGTAGGTTTTTACTAATGGTTCAGTTTTGAAACTTGTTATTCATCTATTCAGGATTTCAGTTTCTTCATGGTTTACTCTTTGGAGGTTATATATTTCCAGGAATTTCTTAATTTCTTCTAGGTTTTCTAGTTTGTGTCCACAGAGGTGTTTATAATAGTCTCTATGAGTTTTTTGTATTTTTATGGGGTGGGTGGTAATGTCCTGTTTGTCGTTTCTGATTGTATTTATTTGGATATTCTCCCGTTTTTATTTCTTAGTCTAGCTAGCAGTCGATCAATCTTATTCATTTCTTCAAAACACCAACTTTTGGTTTCATTGATCTTTTGTGTGTTTTTTCATTTCCATTTTGTTTAGTTCAACTCTGACATGGGTTATTTCTTTTATTCTACTAGCTTTGGAGTTGGTTTGCTCTTGTTTTTCAAGTTCCTCTAGGTGTGACGTTTATGACGTTAGGTTGTTATTTTGAGATCCTTCTAACTTTTTGATGTGGGCATTTAGAACTATAAACTTTCCTCTTAACATTGCTTTAGCTTATGTTAGTCCCAGAGATTCTGGTATGTTTTATCTTTGTTTTCATTACTTTCAAATAATTTCTTGATTTCTGCCTTAATTTCAATGTTTACCCAAAAGTCATTCAGGAGCAGACTGTTTAACTTCCATTTAGTTGTATGGTTTTGAGAGATCTTCTTGGTATTGATTTCTATTTTTATTGTGTTGTGGTCTGATAATGTGGTTGGTATGATTTTGTTTCTTTTGGATTTGTTTAGAATTGCTTTATGGCCTAGAGTGTGGTCAATTTTAGAATATGTGCCATGTGCAGATGAAAAGAATGCTTGTTCTATTTTTGTTGGGTGAAGTGTTCCGTAGATATCTGTTAGGTCCATTTGGTCAAGTGTCAAGTTTGGGTCCTGAATATTTTTGTTAGTATTCTGCCTCAGTGATCTGTCCCATATTGTCAGTGGGGTGTTAAATTCTTCCACTGTTGCTGTGTGGTTATCCAATTTGAGTGCTCTAGTATTGGGTGCATATATATTTCAGAAAATTAATTCTTCTTGTTGAATTAAACCCGTTACCATTTTGTAATGCCCTTCTTTGTCCTTTTTGTTTTGGTCATTGCTGGTTTAAAGTTGGTTTTGTTTGAAATAAAAATAGCAACCCCTGATCTTTTCTGTTTTCTGTTTGCTTAATAGATCTTTCTTCATCCCTTTACTTTGAGCCTATGGGTGCCCATACATGTGAGGTGGGTCTCTTGAAAATAGCATGCAGTTGTGTTGCTTCTTTATCCACTTGCCACTCTGTGCCTTTTAAGTGGGGGCATTTAGCCCATTTATGTTCAAGGTTAATACTGATACATGTGGATTAGATCCTGTCATCATGATGTTAGCTAGTTGTTATGTAGACTTGATTGTGTAGTTGCTTTATAGTGTTGATGATCTATGTATTTCAGTATGTTTTTGTGGTGGTTGGTAAGGTTTTTCATTTCCATGTCTAGCATTCCCTTAAGGGCCTCTTGGAAGGCCCGGTGGTAACAAATTACTTAGCATTTGCTTCTCTGGAAAGGATTTTATTTCTCCTTTGCTTATGAAGCTTAGTTTGGCTGGATATGAAATTCTTGGTTGAAATTTCTTTTCTTTCAGGATGTTGAATATAGCCGACCAATCTATTCTGGCTTGTAGGGTTTCTGCTAAAATGTCCATTCTTAGACTGATGGTGTTCCCTTTGTGGGTGACCTGCCCCTTCTCTCTAGCTGCCTTTAGTTTATTTTTTTTTTCTTTCACATTCACCTAAGAGAATTTGATAACTACATGTCTTAGGGATGGTCATTTTATATTGTGTCTCTCAGAGGTTCTCTAAATTTTCTGAATTTGCGTGTCAAGCTATCTATCAATGTTGGGGAAATTTTCATGGATGATATCCTCGAATATGTTGTCCTAGTTGCTTGTGCTCTCTTCTCTTTTAGGGATACCATGAGTAGTAGATTTAATCTCTTTACATAATCCCACATTTCTCTGAGGTTTTATTTATTTTTTAAAATTCTTTTTTATTTACTTTTATCTGACTGAGTTAATTTGAATAACTGGTCTTTGGGCTCTGAGATTCTTTCCTCAGTTTGGTCTATTCTGCTGTTAATACTTCCTCTTGTGTTATTACATTCTTGTAGTGAAGTTTCATCTCCATTAGCTCAGTTTTGTTCTTTCTTAAAATGGTGATTTTGTCTTTCGTCTCTTGAATCATTTTACTGGATGCCTTAGATTCTTTGGAATAGGTTTCAAGTTTCTCTTCAATCTTGATGGCCTTCATTACTATCCAGATTCTGAATTCTGTGTCTGTCATTTCAGCCATTTCCTTCTGGAATCATTGCTCGGGAGCTAGTGTGGTTGTTCAGAGGTAAGGAGGCGCTCTTTCAGAGTTTCCGGTGTTATTGCAATGGTTCTTTCTCATCTGTATGAGCTCATGTTTCTTTAGCTGTGGTATAATTTGGGTATAGTCAGTTTGCTTCATTTCTAGATGTTTTCAGAGGGCTGAGGCTTTGTGCAGGGTCTTTGTTTGTGGCTGAATTCTTCTCCTTGGTTTCATAGCGGGGTATATCAGCAAAATATTTTTGATTTTGCAGTTTGGGTTGCAATCCTATAGATGGTGCTTAAGTGTAATGGCCAGTAGGTAAGCTTTTGCTCAGCAACGTGGCTCCTTTGTATTTCCTGGTGTTTGCAGCTATGCTCCCTCTCAGTGCACTGAGAGTGTGGGTTTCTCTCCCACTTGAGTCCTGGCCTCGGATCTCAGCTTGACACTCCCATGCTCTACACTGCAGCCCTGGGGCAGGCTTAGGCTTTTTGTTTCATCCCCAACTTGGGGGCAACGGGGGTGAGGACCTTGGCAGTGGCCATGGCAGAAGGCCTTTCACTTGTCTCTTGGGGCTCCACCCCAGAGAACAGAGCTGCTGTCAATCAAAATAATCAACACAGGATGGGACAGCTGCATTGCTTACCCAAGAAAGGGGGCCTTGCCTGGTAATGAACAGGGGGAATGGGGCACTTGCAGAGAAGACAGCCTGGCCTCTTCTCCACAGGGCAGCAGCAGCATACGGGAGGTGCAAGTAAAACATTCAGGCTCTATTTCTTCCCCATCCTAGTGGCAGCAAGGGCAGGTATTGCTACAGTGGTAGTGGCAGGGAGACTGACAGTTGCCTCTGGAAATTCCACCCCAGAGAGACACAGAATCACTGTGAATACTGGGAAGGTTCAGCCAGGGATGGAGTGACTGTGCTATGGGCCCAAGCCAGGGCCCCTGCCTAGTGAAGAGCAGGAGATTGGGGGCTCACAGGGAAGATTCCTTGGGGATCCACATGGGCCTGAATGGTATCTCTGCCCAGAATCCAGGCATGTCTCCGTGTCAGTCTAGAGGCCCCAGTGGGAGGGTGTTAGGTGGGTGGGGGAACCTCCTGTGTCTAGGGTTTTGATAATCTGTGGCAGAAGTGGGCCATGAGGGCTCTCACTCACTTGCCATTTCCTATAATAGGGAGCCTCCCTTGGCTCCATACCAGTTCCTGGTGGGTGACTGTCCTGCCTCACTCATCTCTGCGCTCTGTGGGTTCCATTTCTTCCTTGATGAATCCCCTGTTGTTTTAACTCTTGCTGCCTCGTTAGTCCTCAGAAAGTTCAATCCTAGGAGGACCTACCTGGTGGCATGGATAAATGAGTCTGTGACTGGCAGCCCCTCACAAATTTGTGTGATACTGAAGGCGCTGTACACACAAACACCATTCTCACCCATCTGTAACAAATCTTTTGCTACCTTAGTCTGTTTCTGGTAATGAATTTTTTTGGCAATCCTAAGGGTTACACCATCTTTGCCTACTTTAAAAATACCACTTACATTTATGGTATTCTAAACCTGGAAAGTTATCTCTGGGACTATCCATGAAAAAGGCTTATTGGTTTTACTTGCTTATGGAATAAATAAATTAGCTACATTTAATAAAAAACTTTTTAGAGTACTCTCATTTTAAACAGGTATCTTATTGGTACCTATGAAAAGATACAAAGGAAACATAACCTTAGAAACTCCTTCTACGAGATTTTTTTTTAAAAGGCAGAAATCAGATGTAAAATGAAGTCCTTTGTATGCACAAACTGCCTGCTTTGGATCTTCTGTGGGATTTGCAAAAAAGGAGCTCAAGCCTGTAGACTAGTGGCTAGGATTCTATCCTTTCAGTGTCATGGCCAGGTTCAATTCCCAGTCAGGGAGCCAGTCCGTTGGAGGTACTGGATGTAAATCCTTTAAATTCAGGAGGAAAAATAAACATTTATAAAAATTAGGTTGGGGCTCTCACAGAGGCAGCTAGCATGAGGCTGAGGAGCACTGAGCCTCACATGGTGCCCTGCACTGCCAAGACAAGTGAACGATACAGTAAGGATGGCTAAAGGTGACCTCAGAAACCCGAAAGGCAAAATGTCTGCTAATGTCTTCTTTGTGAAGACATGCAGAGAAGAACATAAGAAGTTGAAACCAGATGGCCCTGTCAGTTTTTTAAGAATTTTCAAAAGTTATCTGAGAGGTGAAAGACAGTTTGGAAAAGAGAAGATAAATTTGATAAAATCTCAAAGGTGGGTAAAGGATGCTGACTGGGAAATGAAAGATTATGATCCAGCTAAGGGACACAAGAAGAAAAAGGTCCATAAGGCCTGCTAAAGCCCAGCATCTGAATTCTTCCTGTTCTGTTCAGAATTCTACCCCAAGATCAAATCCCCAAAACCTGGCGTCTCTGTTGCAGATGTGACCAAAAACTGCTGGGTGAGATGTGGGATGTTTAAGTGACAGTGAAAAGCAGTCTTGCATCACTAAGGCGGTGAAGCTGAAGGAGAAGTATGAGAAGGATGTTGCCGACTTTAAGTCTAAAGGAAAGTTTGGTGGCTCAAAAGACCCCACTCACCGTTACCTGGAAAAAGGTAGAAGAAGACAAAGAAGACAAGGAGGAAGAAGAGGAGATGTTGGGGGAGGAAGATGAATAATAACTGTTGATCTGACTCTGTGTGAGTATCTTAGAGTAGGGGAGCACCAAATGGACGTATCTCTTATTTAAGAAATGTCTATTGCCCTCATTGGGTTTAATTACAAAATTTGATCATGATCATATTGTAGTCTCTCAAAGTGCTCTAGAAATTGTCAGTGGTTTACGTGAAGTAGCCATGGGTGCCTGGAACACCCAGAAACAGTATCAAAGTTGTATATATCTCTAAACATTTTTAAAATGAAAAGGCATTCTTGTGTTCTCCTCACTCTTTGTACTGTGCTGTTGGTGTGACAAGGCATTTAAAGATGTTTCTGGAATTTCTTTTTTAATTTGCAAGGTGGTGTTAACTATATGGTTATTGACTAGAAATCCTACTTATTAACTGTATGCATCTACATTTTGTAAAAGGAACAAAACAACTGAGACAAACTCTGGATGACCCTTGCTTGGCGTTGAGGCTGTGGAGCATGATGCCTTTTCAAGGGACCACAGCTCAGGGCATGCATGATGAGGCTGGGCCTGTTTCCACTGCAATGAACATCCATTTAGCTTTAGGTTGTTTTGTTTTTATATATGATGACATCACATTCTGCTGCCATTTTTAGCTGTAGAAAAAGGGAGATCAGCTGGCACGAGAAATCGTTGAATTTTTTTTTTTTTTTACATTAAGTGTGGTAGTTTTAAAACAAACTATAGACTCCTTCATTGTTAGCAAAGCAAACAGCCACTGTATCAGTGAAAGTTTAAGAACTGGCCAGGTGCAGTGGCTTATGCCTATAATTCTAGCACATTGGGAAGCCAAGGCAAGTGGATTACTGGAGCTCAGGAGTTCGAGATCAACCTGTGCAACATGGCAAAACCCCATCTCTACAAAAAAATATGAACAATTAGCCAGGCATGGTGACGTGTGCCTGAAGTCTCAGCTATTGGAAGACTGAGGTGAGAGGATCGCTTAAGTTCTGGAGGTCAAGGCTGCAGTGAGCCGTGATCACATCACTGTACTCCAGCCTGGGCGACAGAACAAGACTCTGCCAAAAAAAAAAAAAAAAAAAGAGTAAAGAAAAGAAAGTTTGAGAACCTTGTATACTTAAACATGTTTTACTTTTTGTATGTTTAGAATACTGAAATGTTTTTGAAGTTAAGTAAACAGTATCATATTTTTAAAAGTTAGCTTGAATTGTCTGTTTTAAATTTATATTTATGTGACTATTACTTTTTTTCGGGTACCCATTTATTGATCTATTTTGCTCCCCTGGATAGCTATTGTTTTTCTGTTGTCTAAGTTGCTTTTTTCTTTAACTTTCTTTGGGAGTTACTCTGGATCTTGTGAGGACTGCTTCTTGACATTTCTTTGGACACCCTTCGTACATCCTTGGTTAAGTCATAAAGATACTGGTTTTGTTTCTGAGTCACTAGGTAACTTTGGATGAAGAGAAAGGTGAAAAAAAAGTTCAAAGGCCATAAATATTGGCTGTTTGTCCTGGCTAAAGTTGGATAATGAGAGATTTAAAAGATTTAAAGGAAAACCCTCTGTGGTCAATAGTCAGCTTAATTAAAAGCTGATATTCAGGCCATATTTTTTTTAAAGTTTCTCTGTTCTCTTTTGGATTCTATTTCTCTCTTGGGATTTTTTTCTTCAGTTGACTGAAACCTCATTTTAATTACAAGTTTGGTCCTTCTTTTCTTGTTGGCATGTTTTTTTTTCTGAGAAAAATGTAACATTTCATTGGCCTTTTTTAGAAGCTTAAAATCTCCACAAATTGGCTGCTCAAAGACTTGTTCTTTCCTTTGCTTTTATTTCTCCTTCCTTCTGCCATCTTTGATGCCACATGAAGGGGTCTAGAGGGGACCTCTAATGACTCTGAGACCCCCTTGAGAAACACACACACACACACACACGCGCGCGCGCGCGCGCGCGAAGTCACCACCTACCCCCTTACTTTGGAGTGCTCTGTATTTTTGTGAACCCCAAGAATCACGGGCAGGTGGGCAGTTTCCTTTTAGGTCTCAAGCTCTGATCTCTTACATTGAGCTCCCTAATCTCTTTGGCTTTTGTATACATACATATATGCATGTGTGTGTTGAATGTTGTGTCTATATATATGAATATGTCTAAACAGGCTTTTTTATATTGTCTACATGGTACCAAATTGACTTATAATAAGTACTCATAAATTCAATAAATAACCCTAAATTATTTTTTAAGTTCACGTGACTCTAGTAATCTTTGGTAAATAAAAATAATGTTTGTTTTAATGTATGTACTTAAAATTACCAGAAATATGGAAAACAATTTTGTGTGCAGTGTGTACAAGAAAAACAAGATGTATTTTTGGTGAGAAAAGTTATAAAAAGCCATGAAGACCTGTGGTTTTGTGGAGAAAAAAGGTGGCTTTGTGGAGAAAAATGTTAACTTTGTCTAGTTTAAAGGATATGTAAAGATTGTTTCAACATGAAGGGATAAAGTAAGAATGATGTAGATAAAACCAATTGGATATAGAAAGTTGGAGGAAGAAAGATAATAAAAAGATGGAAAGAGGATATAAAAGGTTTGTGGAAATCTTACCTTATGTGATCAAAGCTGAGTGATATTGGATGGATTTATTTATCAAGTTTTATTAAAATTGGCTTTAATATTAAAAGGATACTAATAAAATACTAAAATCTGGTTTTCTCTTTTAAATGAGATTTTCTGGTAGAATAAATAAAAGATAGTAAAACATTGTTGTTCCTCTTCTGAGTAAATTGCAGAGAGAGAGGGGAAGAGAAAAGAAAGAGAGACATAGATTCTGTGTGTCCCATGTTATTAATCATATAATCAAAAGAGCTTTAATAGGCCTTTTGATTATTTGAAAAGCTGTCTCATTGTCAAAGAGTAAAAGATTTTGCTTTTAATTTTTTTTTAATTATCATTTTGGCTAAACAAATGACTATTACCCTACAGTGACCTGTGATTCTATTTTTGAAGTGTTTTAAAACTTGGACTTATTTAACAGTTTCCCAAAATGAAATTTCAAATTCTAAATTAAGTATTTTTTATTATACTTTAAGTTCTGGGATACATGTGCAGAATGTGCAGGTTTGCTGCACCCATCAACCTGTCATCTAAGTTTTAAGCCCTGCATGCATTAGGTATTTGTTGTAATGCCATCCCTCCGCTTGTCCCCCACCCTTTGACAGGCCCCAGTGTGTGATGTTCCCCTTCCTGTGTCCATGTGTTTTCATTGTTCAACTCACACTTATGAGTGAGAACATGCGGTGTTTGGTTTTCTGTTCCTGTGATAGTTTACTAAAAATGATGATTTCCAGCTTCATCTATGTCCCTGCAAAGGACATGAACTCATTCTTTTTTATAGCTGCAGAGTATTTCATGGTATATATATGTATATATATATATATATGCGGCACATTTTCTTTATCCAGTCTGTCATTGATGGGCATTTGGGTTGGTTCCAAGTCTTTGCTATTGTAAGTAGTGCTGCAGTAAACATGTGTGTGCATGTGTCTTTATAGCAGAATGATTTATAATCCTTTGGGTATATACCCAGTAATGGGATTGCTGGGTCAAATGGTATTTCTGGTTCTAGATCCTTGAGGAATCACCACACTGTCTTCTACAATGGTTGAACTAATTTACACTCCCACCAACAGTGTAGAAGTGTTCCCATTTCTCCACATCCTCTCCAGCATCTGTTGTTTCCTGACTTTTTAATGATCATCATTTTAACTGGAGTGAGATGGTATCTCATTGTGGTTTTTGATTTGCATTTGTCTAATGACCAGTGATGATGAGCTTTCTTTTAATGTTTGTTGGCTGCATAAATGTCTTCTTTTGAGAAGTGTCTGTTCATAACCTTTGCCCACTTGTGGATTGGGTTGTTTGATTTTTCTTGTAAATTTGTTGAAGTTCCTTGTAGAGTCTGGATATTAGCCCTTTGTTAGATGGATAGATTGTGAAAATTTTCTCCCATCCTGTAGGTTGCCTGTTCACTCTGATGATAGTTCATTTTGCTGTGCAGAAGCTCTTTAGTTTAATTAGATCCCATTTGTCAATTTTGGCTTTTGTTGCCATTGCTTTTAGTGTTTTAGTCATGAAGTCTTTGCCCATGCCTATGTCCTGCATGGTATTGCCTAGGTTTTCTTCTAGGGTTTTTGTAGTTTTAGATCTTACATTTAAGTCTTTAATCCATCTTGAATTAATTTTTGTATAAGGTGTAAGGAAGGGGTCCACTTTCTGTTTTCTGCATGTAGCTAGCCAGTTTTCCCAGCACCATTTATTAAATAGGGAATCATTTCCCCATTTCTTGTTTTTGTCAGGTTTGTCAAAGATCAAATGGTTGTAGATGTGTGGTGTTATTTCTGAGGCTTCTGTTCTGTTTCATTGGTCTACATATCTGTTTTGGTACCAGTACTATGCTGTTTTGGTTACTATAGCCTTATAGTATAGTTTGAAGTCAGGTAGTGTGATGCCTCCAGCTTTGTTCTTCTTGCTTAGGATTGTCTTGGCTATACGGGCTCTTTTTTGGTTTCATATGAAATTTAAAGTAGTTTTTTTTTTTTTAATTCTGTGAAGAAACTCAGTGGTAGCTTGATGGGAATAGCATTGAATCTATAAATTACTTTGGGCAGTATGGCCATTTTCATGATATTGATTCTTCCTATCCATGAGCATGGAATGTTTTTCCATTTATTTGTGTCCTCTCTTATTTCCTTGAGCAGTAGTTTGTAGTCTTCCTTGAAGAGGTTCTTCATGTCCCTTGTAAGTTGGATTCCTAGGTATTTTATTATCTTCTTAGCAATTGTGAATGGAAGTTCACTCATGATTTGGTTCTCTGTTTGTCTGTTATTGGTGTATAGGAATGCTTGTGATATTTGCACATTGAATTTGTATCCTGAGACTGCTGAAGTTGCTTATCAGCTTAAGGAGTTTTGGGGCTGAGATGATGGGGTTTTCTAAATATACAATCATGTCATCTGCAAACAGAGACAATTTGACTTCCTCTCTTCCTATTTGAATACGCTTTTTTTTCTTTCTCTTGCCTGATTGCCCTCCCCAGAACTTCCAATACTTTGTTGAATAGGAGTGGTGAGAGAGGGTATTGTTGGTTTGGGCCGGTTTTCAAAGGGAATGCATCCAGCTTTTGCCCATTCAGTATGATATTGGCTGTGGGTTTGTCATAAATAGCTCTTATTATTTTGAGATGTGTTCCATCAATACCTAGTTTATTGAGAGTTTTTAGCGTGAAGGGCTGTTGAATGTTATCGAAGGCCTTTTCTGCACCTATTGAGACAATCATGGTTTCTGTCATTGGTTCTGTTTATGTGATGGATTACGTTTGACCTCAAACTAATTTGGGGATGCTCCAAAGGTACCTTGAAGCATCTGAAAGTGAGATAACTAACATATTTATTTTATATGTTAAATTATATGGGAAGGATCCCCTAATAAAAAATTATGTTCAACCTTTTTAAGTTATTAATATGTGTTCCAAAATTACATGTGATTCCCAAAAATCTGATATGTCTTGGTATATGCTATCAGTCATTATTATGATTATTATGTTGAATTGTTATGGTTCACAAAAAATGAATGACCAAATTTTCATGTCAGTTCTGTCTTTAACCATTGCCATTTTAAGTCTGGTTGTCCACAGTTATTTGCCTTCTTCTGATGCTTTTTTTTTTCCCCTGAAAACAGTTTGCAAATCCTAAAGTATGTCTTCAAAGAGGTTCATAAAAATGGTGAGAAAAAGCTTTGACAAATACACATTCTGGCAATTTTGTGATTGTATCATTGGACTGGGTAAAAATTTCCAGAACTCTAATGAAAAAAAAAACTGGACTCATAAAATTGTAATCCAACATCAAGCAGAACAAAAATTAATTAGAATTAATTACGTTGAGTTGAAATGATTTTTATGACTTTTTTGCTTAAAAATTTGTTGCTTCTTTTTATGTTTTGTCTTCCAAAGTTATGGAAATTTCTTTTTCTATGAAGCTTTACAGCTATTTGGTAAAGTGTTCTTCTGTGAGAAAAATTAAAACATTTCTTTTTCTCTCTACCTGATCTCTCCAAAATTTGGAAACTGTTCATAGATATTTTTATTTTATGGCAATATAGTTGTCAGCATACTGTCAGCATACATTCAATAAGAATTCTTTTTAAGTAACAAGACACTATTGGAAATATTGTTATATTACCAAGGCTTTTACTGGGATGTCCTTTCTTCAGTATCATCAGACAACTTTAAGGAACTGGGATTTCAGATTGACTTTACAGAGCCAGAACCCACTCTACCTTGGAAAGACTGGCCTGGTATCTTGTTAACACAGCTCCCTTACAGGGTTCTAGCCTTGTGGTAAGTAAAAAATATCAGTTTCTGGTGGGCCTAGGAACCTCAAGATATTTTTAAGACCTCAAGAAAAGAGGAATTCACTTGGGCACAGTCTGATGATGAATCCTTGGCTTGGCCCCAAAGCTTTGAGAGGCTTTTCAGAAAAGTCTAATCTGAGGTTCCTTATGAAAAAGTTTTAGCGAAGCCAACTTAAAAAGAGCCTATGTGGTCAATTGTCATTCTTACCAAATTTATGTAATCATTAGGTCAAAGACTAAACTTATTTTACAAGCTAGTCTTACTATGATTTATCTTTTGTAGAAAGGTGGGACTGGAGGGAGAAAAATTATATTTAAGAAAAAAGAAACTATAGTGTACTTGTTATTAGATTACAGCCCTGTCCATTTTTTAGTTTTTTTAAAATTCTGGACTGAATTTTAAAGTTGTAGTTCCCTCCAATATCTGGCTGCAACTGTCTTGACTAATGTTTTAAATTTTTCTCCCACCTTTTTGACTTGAAATTACTAAAATTAAAACTGCCTTTTTCCTAAAGCCCTGAAAGATGAAGCTAGTCAACTTGCCTTTAAAGAAAAATTACTGCAATAGTTTATATTTGGACAAACTTTACACATATACTACAACCCAGGAAAATCTATCAGATTGCCACTGGTCTTCTCAGATGACTGCCCTCTGCTCTAGATGAACCTACTTTATAGACTGCTCCAGACATTAATGTGTTTTTTTTTCCGATTTCATAAACATGTCTCTTATTAAAGATCTGTTTGCCTGAATATAGAGGCCTAACTTTAAGATCCCATTTGCAACTCGGTTTTCTAAAATGAGACACAACTGTGTAATTGGACTGGCCTATTCCCAGAATGAGATTACTTTAATAGGATCCTTTGTCAATTAGCTACTAACTCAGTTTTTCTTTTCACATCCACCAACTCAGTTTTCAGTAGGCAAAATTTCTAGGGAAGTTTCAGGTGGGAATTTTGGGGCTCAGAAACCAATATGCCCTTTGACGTGCTGAACTAAAGAAGTGGCCTCAAGGTCACTCTGAGCTTCCTCCCCTGACCTTCAGATATGGGAATGTTGTGACTCAGAAACCAATAACTCCCAGTACACACTTTGACATACTGGACTAAAGGAGCAGCATCAAAGTCATTCTGACCTTCCTACCCCTACCCAACACCTGTCTCTCAAGGGTCTCTCTCTCCCAAAGCACAGGCTGAAGGTTTTTTCTTTTTCCTTTTTTTTTTTTCTGAAGTTCCTATATCTGCCTAGAAACTGGACCTGACAAAGGACACAATTGCATTATCTGGGTTTTCATTAACTTAACTCAAATTGCAGAAAGAGAGACAAAAATCTGTCAACATATCTAGACAGACTTTTGTCACAAACAATTGTTTGCTTTGTAGACCCAATAGACTTAGTAACAGGCTGTTGTGTGTTGTCTAAGCCCATTGAATCCCCCTAAAAATCATTTACTATCCCTCAAATTGCTACATTTTCCTCATCTCCCTTGCCCTAATGAAGAAGATTATATAAATATCTGTATCCAATTGGGTTATCGAATAATTATTCTCCTACAATTTCCCATACTATGCACGTTAAAATAAATTTTGATATGTCTTTTCGCTTGGTAATCTGCCTTTTATCAGTATATTTTTCAGTGAACTTTCAGAGAGTGAAGGATAAGTTTTCCCTTTGCCCCTGCACTGTTCTTGGAGACAGAAATACTGAATTCCATGATAAAATAGATTTTGTGGCCATGTGACCAGGCCCCAGTATCAAGGTTTTCTCAGTTTCCCCCTGGGACACCTGGGATTGTGTTTCTCAACCATACATCAGAATCACCTGTGTTGATTATTAAAATGTGAATTCCTAGGCCCCAGCTCACACATCGTAAAGTCCTGGAGAGCAGGTCCCAGAATGCTGCATTTTAAATAAGCTTTCATGGTGATTCTCATGCACACTATAGCTTGAAAATTGTTGGCCCTGTGGCTACTGGCAAGTATAAAACATACTTTGTGGGTGACCCAGGAAACTTCCTGAGAACACCTGGGGAAGAATTTGTGTTGAATACTTTTAGGAAGTTGGGTTCACAGTGCCATAAAGAGGAAGGCAGATCCTCTGAACTTAGGTGGGAAAGATGTGCAAACATTACGGAGCTTATCTTCTACACAGCTAGACTAGCATTCTGTGTGTAGACAGAGAGCCTGCTGACCTTACATGTCTAGTGTTTACGCTTCTAGGACCTTGTGCTCTTCTATCCTTCTGTGTTGGCAGGAATTCTGACTTTTGCATTACCTTTGAATTACAAAATTGTCCTTTTCTGCGTGTTCCTTTTTGCCACTGCAGGCAATTTCTAGAAGAACATTCTTGCCTTTCTTTTTGTGGATGGGTTTCTTTCTCCCCAAAAGACATTTGAAAGAATACTCCCTTCTATGTATTGCTCAGTAGACTTTATTACAAGGACACACCACTAAAAAGTACATCTAGCAGTGTGCTAGTCAAAGGAGGGCAGGCAGTGGGGACCGGGAAAAAAACTTTGTTAGAAAAGTAGCTAGAAATAACCCATGAGAGAAAAAAAAAATAATACCTCTGATGTAAATCAGTATTTCTTGGGAAATGCTTGCAAGGAGCAGCCCAAGGCACACTGGTTGGTTTCTTCCATTCCAATGTGGGTATTGGAATTAGAAGCATTGAGAATGTCTAAGTATTGTCTCAGGATTTCACTATTTTTATCTTAATCTCACAGTCTGCGAAGGTCTGGGATTGTGTTCAAGTTTTTCTTTGATGGATTAAAAATGGCAGATTTGCAAATGAAATCAGGAACATGTCAGATTCAAGAGACCATATCTTAGAATTATAGATGTGAGAGTCCGGATCCCCCAGAGGAAGTTGTGATGTATGACCCAACTACATGGAGATACTAATAACAAAGTTAAGTATGAACCAGCTACAGGATACCAAGGGGCACATGGCAAGGAAGATTGCATTTTAATCCAAAAATTTTGACACATGATTATGAAAATTTCCAAAAACTTGGATGTCAATTAGTGACAATGTCAGAAGACATTTTCAGTTGAATATGTGCTACTGGTATCCAGTAGGCAGAGGCCAGGGATGTGGCTAAACAGCCTACATGTTCAGGGTAGTTCCTTAACCCCCAAAAAAGAATTATTCAACCTCACATGTCAAATGATCAAAGTTAAATTTGAAAGCAGGGCACAGTATTGTCAAGATTAGAGAAATTATCAGAATTATGGTGAAACTGAAAACTGTTTCAGCTATTTTTGGAACAATGGGTACCAAAGGCACACTGGAGGAAGTATCAAGCTTGTATCCTGAAGACAATATTTGGATGTTAACATGATGAAAAGAAAGGAGAATGCACAATTCCTATTTTTGTTTCCATTGTCTATAAAGTGAAAGCATTTTCCAATGGAAAAGAAGAAACTAAAAACAAAATAAGGTGATGTTGTGGCCCATGAAGAGTCAGTAAAAGAAAATCCAGTAGATTTAAAATAATTTAAGTACATGGGAATAAAAGTAATCATGGCTAACAGAAATTAGATGCATGATTTTTGAGACTTAGTCATTGTCATTAATCTCCAAGGACTTATAAAAGAGTTGTAAAAAATGGTAACAATCAAATGATTTTCTAATTCTCACAAAGCTAGCTTCTGATTGATATTAATTGATAAGCTTGACACAATCTTACAAAATTTTGAAAAAGATTATTAAATTGTTTATATACTCTTAAAAAAGTGAGGATTCATTGCCACTTGTTTGTATTCATTTAGAAGAAGACATCTGAAGTCAACTTTAGTATCTTTATAGGTACCTTGATGAGGTTGGTGGATCTAATTAGAGTTAGATCGAATAAAGAATTCTTGTTGGAGTTCACCAGTTAGAATTCTTCTCAAGGTCCGCAAAGCATTCCATAGTTTTAGATTCACAGCTGATTGTATGGATCTATGTCCACGTGGGTAGAGGTCTCTGGTGGTGTTCCACAGGCCTCAACTTTTGGTCTTAGAACTCTTGGTCTTTTTTAAGCCAATGGCTGAATAAAATGACTGAAGCAAGGAAGAATAATGAATATGTTAATTACAATAAAATTTCTATATATCCTCTCCACAGATTAAAATGATAGATCAAGATCTTCCAAAGGAAATTTAAGAGTGGGAAAAATATGATGCTAAATTTTTCTCAAAAGGTTAAACATGGGACTAAAAATAAGGAAGACAGTTTTGCAGCAGCTTCTGAAGAATGTCCGGGATTTTGATGGACCACAGCCTGAACAATATTAGATAGTTGTCAAAAGAGATAAACTAAGTAATAAAACATTAGATTGCTCAGGAGAAGATTATAAAATGATTTTTTATGCTGACTAGGCCACACAGAAAATTCTGTTGTCTTCTGGCATGATCTTTTAAGGAAGAATACTATAATTGAACATTTATTAAGGTGAAGATGATGATGAGTTGGTTTAGAGACCATGTCCTGGGAAAAATATTTGAAGGAGCTTAAGAAAGAAAGAAAAAAGATGTAAAGCAGACCCAATGATTAGCCTCCTCCACATTTTAGAA
Organism: Homo sapiens; assembly: GCF_000001405.40. Classification (NCBI taxonomy): domain Eukaryota; kingdom Metazoa; phylum Chordata; class Mammalia; order Primates; family Hominidae; genus Homo; species Homo sapiens. The sequence goes on from NC_000003.12 coordinate 26,227,853, forward strand.
AAGTTATTACATAAGATGGATTGTTCCATACTAAGAACTAATATGGGGGTGTAGAAATTTTAAGATTTTTGCACTTCGTAGAAAATCACTAACAACTGAAATGACATGACAGATGATCCTGGCTGCTTGAGAGTGTTGAAGTACCCCAAAGAGGTTGAAGCAAGGAAATTGAAGAAAGAATTCCTTTATTTGAGGGAAGGTGGATTAAATCAGAAGGTCCTACACTTGGTTGCTTACTTGAATCACTAGGGAGTTATTTTTTAAAAATACTAATGTCAGAAATCCAACCCAGAGATTCTAATTCAGTAGATGTGAAGCAAGGCCCAAAAGTCTAGATTTTAAAACAGAAAGTTCCTCAGATGACTCAGATGTGCAGTCCAATTTAAGAACCACCAAGGCCTTAAAGCTCTCTCCAGCATTCAACTTCAAGCTGCTGGGGGACAACAAAGAGCCATGGAGGATCTTCTTGACAGCACCCTGAGCTGGCTCTGTGGTTCTCCATGCACCACGGAGTTCTCCATGCACTACGAACTTGCACTTATTCTTTATCTCATTACATTTTGCACAGTGCCTGTCAAAGTCAGGAGCCTCTGTGAGTTGTTTACATGGATTATTTAAAGTAATCGTCATAACAAACAAGCCTTGCTTGTATAATCATTTTGTGTTTGTGGAAACTGAGGTTCAGAGATATTAGAAAATGACTTAGTAGTAGAATTGGGATTCAGGTCCAGATTGTCTGATGGCAAAGTTGGTTCTCTCCATTGATGAGTTCTCCTTCCTTCCACTATGCTATTCTGAAAACGAAAATGTGTTAATGCTTCAGAAACATAAAGGAACATACCCTGGAAAAGGTAGGAAAATGACAAATGTGACAGATACTTCTTGCTTTTCCCTCCTTACCACCTCCTTCCTCAGACTCTTCAGTTCTACGGGTCCTTCATTCTCCCTTCTTCCGACACATTAGTGAAGCATATGTTACTTTTACTCTTAAAATAGAATGCCTTTATTTCTTAAGCTGCCAAAACATTTCTGGATCTTTGATTTTTTTTTTCCCAAATGAACACTAACAATATTTTTATGGTCTACTGAGGATTTTATTTATACAGAATATATCTGAATGGGTTGGAAAGAAAGAAGCTGTTTCAAGAAAAAGCTCAGTAGGAGTGACCACCATGGCTTTGTCCTCACAAGCATCCTGTCTCAGGCACAATCCATAGACTGGCTGTGACAAGAATGCAGGTAGGAATACATAGAAAAAACCCCCAGCCAACTACCACCATAATGTGAATATTATTTCTAAAACTTACCCTATAAATTAAGCACAGTGTGCTTGGCTACAAATCCTATCTCTGAGCTTTAGACTATACATGATCTTCATCATCAAGCATTTGCTCAGAGAATCATGTGTGTTTTTTTTTGCAATAATAACACCGTATGTATGTATATGTGTATGTATGTATCCCTCTCTCTCTCTCTCTGAACTTGACTTGTCTCATTAAACATGCGAGTTGGGATTCTAATTTTCCCAAGCACAACTGCTAGAGAAGTAAATAGTTTAAAAGTATTTATAATCAACATGCTTTTAAATAAGTTTTATAAACACGGAGGGAAAACAGCTCAATATTTTTCAGCTCTCAGCCATTCCATTACAGTCTCCACAGAACAGGTTTCATACAGCTGATGACCTTTAAACACAAATCACACAAGTTCAAATAGCTCTTTTATTACTAGCACAAATTTAATGTATTTTTTAAAAGGACCTCTTTTAAAAAATAGTAAATTTAAATATAATGTGCAGGCAGGCTGCTCAGTTGTGTCTGGCCTTTTTTGTAAATATGATGTATGGAGTTCCAATGTAAACACTGTGCCCCAGGTGAAAAGTTCTGCCTTGTGGAATGGCAGGTCTTCAGACAGAGGTAGATAGATGGGTTTTACTGAGCTGTTTGAAAAGAAAGATGAAAGGTGAGGGCCAACTGTCAAGCTGGTGCAGCCTTGCCAGAGCTTTTTAATAAGACATTATTAGGCTGTAGGAGTCTTTTCAGGCTTTCAATCCTGTTCACACTTAACTGATTGCACTCCTTCTTCACAGCTGCTTCTCACATAACATCTTCAAGCACTTACTGCAGCCAGAGTGAGGTTTGAATTTCAGCCAAGCATTGGATTTCCATTAAATTAAACAAGGAGAAAAAGTTAGAAGAGGAGAGGTATATGTGATGGCGATTGGGCATACTGTCTGGTTTTCATGTTCTTTGAGAAATCGTGTTTCACTTAACAAACATCTGTGGAGCTCTGAGTTGGGGAGGAGCATGGTGCATCCAGAGGCTTGGGAGACCCATCTTAGGGCTGCTGCAAAACAGGGGGCAGGCAGGACTCATTCCTTCTCTGGGCATAGGTTTCTTTATCTGGATATTCAGGTGCTGAATAGATAAGTTTTCTGACTGCTTTGGGCTCCATGATTCCAGAGCAGGAATTAGTAGATTTTCTCTTTAAAAGGCAAGCTGGTAAATATTTTAGGCTTTGTGGGCCAAGAGGCAAAATCAAAGATCTTGTACAGGTATTTATATAACAAGAGAGGAAAGAAATATCCATAAATTTTTTTGAAATAATTCAGTATATTAATAATAATTGAGTCCATTGTTTTTTGTAATGCAGATATTCTATCAAGGAGAAGGACTTTATGTTATTGCTGTTGTTGGGAGGTAGATAACATCTTGCTTAACTGGAACTCAAAGATAGTGTTTCCCATCATCAGATTGATTGCAAATGTTTATCTGTACAAACTATTTTTAGCTGTCAGGCTATTAAAACACCAGGGGTGAGACCAATGTGGCCCATGGGATGTAGTATGCCAACCACTGCCTAATGGTGCAGGCTCTTTAAGAGGGTAACACAAGAACTGAGTTAGAAGTAGAGAGCTAAAAAAGGAAAGGTGTCTCAGACAGACGGGAAAGCATGAACAAAAGCATGAAAACAGTTCATGATAAATAGCAAAGTTATAGGGCAGTGGAAACTCAGAAGAAGGTGAGGGGATTGGTTCTAGGTGAACAATTCTTCAGGCAAATGTCACACAAGCAGAATGCATTCTTAATTCATAGGTGACCAATTAAAAATTATTTTTACCTAATCTGACTCAAATTTTCCACCTTTGTCACATTCTCTCTATGATCATTTCTATGATTATTTTATTGTCAGTCATTATTCATGACAATTCAATTTTTTAGTTGATTTCTGTAGCTTATAAAATTCTACATAACCTGCTATCAAAATTTAGTCATGAGTTGTAATAGATGATATAAGCAAGCAACTTTGGGGGCTCAAGGCATTGCTGAGTTCTGATTGGATGAAGTAACTGGTCTTATGATTTGTTTAAATGTCAGTCAGTCAGCCAAGGATGTACATTTGGAAGATTTGGATATTGCCTCTGCAGTACAGTCATGTTATATGCTTTATAGATTTTACATAGTATACAATAGTTTTACATTTTTGTAAGTAAATATGTACGATGTCATGAATTATGTTGTTGATACAAAAATTAAATCTTCTTTCCAAAATACCCAGAAAATGAATACCCATTTTGTTGTATAATTTATGCAAACTTTGCCTGTGGGACCGAAGCCAGAATGTTCCATGTTCCTTTTTTGGCTAAGCAAATGTTGGGTGGTCCAGAGAGGCATCTATCCCATAGCTCTTTGTAATGTCTATCATAGCCTGGGTTCTTGGAAAGTAGAGTCTGAGGAAAGGGTGAAAAGCTGAGGCTTTATATGGGAGATGTAGTCTAGAGCAGGAGAGTGAGGAAAAGAGAAAAGAAAGATGTGAAGTGACATGAAATGCTGCATTGCTGTGCTCACCATTGCTTTATAATCAACATCGGGAGACATTCTGGTTTGCTTGGCTAATGTATTTACTGAATCTAAAGGATGTCTCCAGCCTGGTTGGAGAAACTCCAGCTCAGAGAAGTCCATGAGAGCAATAAAGGAGGTGAAATTTATTTGCCCAGCCCTCTCCCCAGCTTCATTTTCTCATTGGTCCAAATACATCTCATGGAACATAACTCTCCCCCACTTTCTGCTTTACATCATGTGGCCTTTTTAGTGGCAACCTGGGATGCCACACCTTCTTACTTGCAGCGTGGTATTTCATACAACTCCAGAAGAGGTGAGAGAATGAGAAACTCCAGGCATATGGCTGCTTGAGCCAGAGGCATGGCAATAGCCCAGGGTGAAGCTTAACATTCCCAGAGCAACAGGACAGCCAATGGAGTGTATGGCTTCTACAAGATCTTTTAGTCAGATGTCAGGTTAGCCTTAGAGGACCACTGCTTCTAGGGAGAGGTCAATAAGCTCAAGGTGGGATTCAACTGAACCTAAAATGTTAGGTGAAATTCAGATTTCTAGAGAAGTAGAGTGTGCCCTTCCTTATGAAGCAGTTAATAATAACTAGATACAGAGATAAAAACCTGAGGACAAATGCTGGGGACTATGAGTAAGCTGTTCTTGCTGTAGTGATCTTAGACTTGTTTCTTTGTGTTGTCTGTTGGTTGCCTACCCACCTTTCCTCCCACCCTCATCTTCCTCTAATGAAACAACTACAGTTTCACACAATGTCTTGCCTTTTCCATGTGCACACATGCTTCAGGGAAAGCTATCCTCACCTCAGACTTGGAGATTGAATCTTGATTACTCAAAACCAATCTAGAAGATCCCATGTCATTTGCTGTGACTGGCTGAGAGATGGGCATGTGACTCAATTATGTTCAATGAACATAAATCTGCTAAAGGGTTCTGGGTGAGTTCCCTTGATCATTAGAAAGAGATTTGGATATATATGTTGTCAAGTCTGGATATGGTATCTAGATTAGCTATAGCCATCCTAAGGCACTGAGGGAAGCCAGAGTTGGGGGAAAAGTAAGGCAGCAGAGATGATAACAGAGAGTGAAGTGAAGAACTTTCATCTTCAATCAGATTTTGTCCATTATGTTAACGAATATCTCCTTTTCCCTATACAATGCTTGTTGACATTCCTCGGATCAATGAAAAGTCCTTTATACTACCATGACAGGAGTTTTGACTTTTTCTGACCATACGTGAGTATATTGTAGACAAGATGTTAACTTTTTCTGGTTTTGACTACACTCAATAACCAGTAAATAACTATCCCATCATGACATTCTATGTTTCTGTGGGGTTTTAATTGAACTGTAATAAAGGCACGTGTTCAACTTCCCATATTTATGTATCAGAAATTTTGCCATAGATGAAGATTAATAGTCAATGTATGGATAGTACCTCTTGGAGTATTTCTGCTCATATGATCAGCCTCATTTTTAAAAGCAGAGAGCTTTTTTGAGTGCTAATATCCTAGAGTTAGCAATTAGTTATCTTCTCCCATCCAAATTTAATTTTAAGACTTGTACCAGGATATGTTTACATGGCCTGAATAATTTACATGCAACACACTCAGCTAGTGTTAGATTGAGCAGTATCAATGTTTGAGATGCCCATGAATTTATCAGCCTTGCTGGAATTACTCCATCCATATTGGATGTGACTTCATGGTAAAACTCCATAAACTGATTCCTCAGCCTGAACTTTGTCTAGCTCATCTTTTTTAAGATAGCCTCTGAGAATACTCTATAATCATTCTCTCTTACAGTCTCTACTCCAGTGGAAGAACCCTAATTGGCTAGCTTACCCACTCATCTCACCACGTGGACTAGTTTACATAGGCCAGAATGGTGTGGCTAGTCACATGGAGAGCATGGTATATGTCAGAAAATGTTTGTTGTGAATGATAATAAGCCGCCCAGCAACATACATTTAAACAACACCTCTGTGTCTTCTCCTACTTCTTCTTCTTTAACTTTGTCTTCCTCTTCTTTGTCGTTGTTGTCATCATCGTTGTTGTCATCTTCCTCTTCTTCTTTTTTTTTTTTTTTTTGACAAGATCTCACTCTGTCACTGAGGCTGGAGTGCTGTGACATGATCTCAGCTCACTGAAGCCTTGACCTTCTGGGCTCAAGTGATCCTCCTACCTCAGCCTCCCCAGTAGCTGGGACATGCATGCCACCATGACTGGCTAATTTTTGTATTTTTTATAGAGACAAAATTTTGCCATGTTGCTCAAGCTGGTCTTGAACTCCTGAGCTCAAGCAATCCACCTGCCTCAGCCTCCCAAGTGCTGGGATTACAGGCATGAACCACCATGCCTGGCTTATTTTCTTCTTATTACAAAAAAGTAGGACATTGTCATTGCAGGTCTTTTAGGCAAACAAAATCTAACCATTTTAAATATTTGGTTATATAACTGTTAAACTTTTTCTTTTTTCTTTCCTTGTTTCCTTCTTTCCTTCCTTCCTTCCTTCCTTCCTTCCTTCCTTCCTTCCTTCCTTCCTTCCTTCCTTTCTTTCTTTCTTTTTCTTTCTTTGCATATACACAACATACACATAAAGAGTCTTATGTAAGAATGAGGAAATTGGGTTAAAATACTTATGCTATCTGGTATCCTTTTATTTTTTCTTTTCACATGTGGATTTCTTTCCACATATGTTTGCTTTCAAAGGTTGCTTGGTGCTTTATCATCTGTAAGCATCATAATTTATTTAATCTATTTCTTATTTTCCTGTTGATGGAGATTAATATTATTTTCTACTTTTCTGTACAGCAAACAATATTGAAATGAAAATACTGATACACATATTTCACATTGTCCCATGACCATCTGCCTGGCAACTCTAAGAGAATCAATTTAAAAACTGTTAGAAAAAATAAAAATGCTAAGCAAGGTGGTCAGTTACAAAATGAGTATATCAAAATCAATAGCTTTCCTAATATACCAATAGGAGTTGGTTAGAAATTTTAATGAAAAAGGAGATCTCATTCACAATAGTAACAAAAGAACAAAATACCTAGGAATAATTAATAAAAAGTGTCTAAGACCTATGTGAGTAGAATTATAACATTTTATAAGGAAAATACATGGGGAAATAGAAATAATTGTTCATGTATTGGAAGAATCGGTAAGAATGCAAATGCTTCTTAAATTAATCTATTCTATCAACCCAGTCCCCATGGAAGTTTCAATTGGATATTTATGAAAAAGAGAGCAAGAGGGGACTGAAAAAACATACCTGCCTCTATTCCCACTTCAAATTCCTAGAAATAATACAAGCATAGATTTTAAAACTAAAATCTGTAACAATGCTGAAAAACCAGAACAGATCCTGTAGATGGATGGATGTATGTTATAAGAAATCCCTGAAGTAATTAGTTCAGATTGGATTGGAATAGCAAACCGACTGTCTAAAACATGAACAGCGTAGTTTTTCTACACAAAATAGGAGCAGTGTCAGGGAGGTTCAAAATCAGGAGTTGCCAACAGAGGAGAAAGAGGCTCTGGAACAATTCTCAGAATGACTGTGTGAGGTTCTACAGAAGGAGAAGCTGTGAGAACCAGCAATATTTGCTCCTCTCAATTGTGCCAAGCGACAGACAGCAGAAATGTTTCCCCCTGCAGAGACAATGAATGAGACTCGGGCCTCAGAGAAAGGACAGTGCCCCAGGTTGTTGATATCATATGCCAGGGAGGGTCCTAATACTAATAAGATAGGCCTGTCTTACGAAGCAGCATGTTCTCTCCCTATAATGAATAGTGACAAATACAGTTGTCCCTTACTATCCACTGGGGGATTGGTTCTAGGATTCCTATGGATACCAAAATCCATATATGTTCAACTCTCTTATGTAAAATAGCATATTTGCATATAACCTACATATATCCTCCAGTACAAGTTGAATAGTTTCTAGATTACTTACAAATAATAAAATGTAAATGCTATGTAAATAGTTATTATACTGTATTATTTTTTATTTGTATTATTTATCTAGAATATTTTCCATCTGTAATGGTTCAGTCTACAGATGTGGAACCCATAGATATGAAGGGTCAACTGTATAGTATTCTCAGATAGGCTAATAGAGAATCTCAAAATAAAAGATACACACTACCAAGAGTCATTAAGTTGTTGGAAAAACTAACATTATGAAAAAAGCCATCAGAATCAACAAATAGAAAAATGACCAGCAAAGGTCAGAATTAATAAAGCAAACAGAAAAGGAATGCAAATATGTTTTAGAATCTTCTCATAAGACTCAATTTAACTGCACCTTATTCATTTTAGTATGTGCATAGTGTTCTAGGATGTGTCATATAGTGTTTAACCCTTACCTTGTTGAAGGACATTTAAGCACTTTCCAATTTTGCCTTATTATATGCAATGTGCAAAGATGACCCATGTACAAGCCTCTTTGAACATGTATGTGAATATAACTGATATCTTCAGAGGAATGTGATAAGATACTGCAACCATTAAAAAAGTAAACTAGCCGAATATATTTCTTAAAGAGAAGGTATATCAACTATTCTATGATAAAATATATTTTGGATGGCATTCTTTAAACTTTGATGATTTATTACATACTAATCCCACCAAACAGTGGCCTAATCAAGTAACTTTAGGAGATATTTGCAAATATATTTTTTTCTTGGAGGAATAAACATTATTCAAAGTTAGATATTCTTTGTTAAAATCTTATTTTGATAAAGGCAAGTGTCTTATTACACATGCCTCAAAAATGTTAAAGCTATGAGTATTACAGCTATATTCCATGAAGTATTCAACGTGGAACAGAATTTGGGGTCTCATTCACCGAGCCACCCAGGACATAGAATTTATTCAAAACCATTTTCTGAGGAAAAGCTTGACTGGATCTGCCTATGGGTTAATGGGAAAAGGAAATCCTGTAAGTTACACAATTCTCCCTGAGCAGTTGAATTGCTTCCTTTCTTCCGAACATTGTGAATTGTGTAGCTGACCTGGTTTTCTTTTTCCCATTGGCTACCTGCCACATTTTGGGTCATAAGTTCACACTATGATGTGCATTGTAAACTTCATTCCTGTTCTCTATTTATGTCCTTAATGTGATTTTCTTTTTAGTACTTCTTTTGCTTCACTTTTAATTTTTGCTATTTCTTGTATTTTAATGTCTCCTTATAAACTGTTTTAAATTATTTCTGAAATAAAGTGTTATAAAGATATATAGATGAGTGGTGGCTAAATAAAAAATAATATACATACAACATGCAGGCCAGAAGTTATACTTCCTAATGAGTATAACACCTTAAAAATATTTTATCTTAAGAGACCATAAACATATTGTAATTGATGTTGTCACTAACAAAAACATCTTTGAAACTTCTTTTTTAGGTTTTCCTCCTCAGCTTTTGGCACAGTGTGTAAATGTCTGTAAGATTTATGGGTCATGATTATAAGACTTTGTGGGTCACTGTGGTTTCTAGAAAAAAATCCCCAAGTGTTTCATGGTAAAGCCTGCTAACCTAAATGGCTCAGTGAGCTGGGTAATCAATCAAGTTGACTTTTCTTCTCCAAATATACAGTATACGTACATAAAGTGATATGACATTTTTAAAAATGTTCTTAAAAAACTGGCATTGAAAGTGTTTCCCAAGGTACAGCTCAGAGGAGTTTGCATGCCTGTTGGCATTGTTAGGCGAAGGGCGTGCCCTTTGAGGAAGTCCATTAATTTGGATGTATTTGTTCTGATGTGTTTTTTTCAAAAGCATCTCACCACCCCCACCCTACCCCCACAACCAAGAGAAAAAGAGAAGGTTTGGTGAAGTATTAGTCATGGTAATTAACACATCACAAGAAAAGTACATACGGACTCCCACTCATTTTTAGGAAATAGAGAAAATTGCTTGGGATCCTAGGCACTTCCCATCATTCTATAATTCACCTACAATAGAGCACAGATGTGCTTTTTGTATATTCTGAGAGTATAGGGCTTCGTACCTATATTTTTATAGGTATGAAGTGGTATACCACTGTTTTATAATAGTGGTATTATGCAGTTATTTCTGGTTGGAAAACCTGAAACCATTTTGCCCCGGTGAATGACGATTTTTGAAAATCTGCTCATGATCTAGTCTTTTAACTGCAGCCCAGCATGTCTCTTTCACTGAATGTTTTATGTTTAATACAACTGCTACAGCACCATGACATCATAGAATGTTATTACTTGAAAAGGCCTTAGAGGTTATCCAGGCTGTTGGACTACAGGTAGGTATAGAACTATGTGGCACAAGGGTTCAATGCTTTGAATTGAATTCATATGCCAGTGTTGAAGTTGCTTTAACAACTACAAAACAAGCTAAAAATAATTAATACTGAGAAAGATTACTTAAGACAAGAGGATTCCAACTTTATCATAGGCAAGTTTAGGGGGCCAGTGGAAGAAGAGATACAGATTGCCAGGACCCAAGACAATGGCAAAAGTAACAAGATAATCTGTGCAATGTGGCTTGTGTCCCCACCCAAATCTCATCTCGAATTGTAATCCCCATATATCCAGGGAGGAACTTGGTGAGAGGTGATTGACTCATGGGGGCGGTCTCCCCCATGTTGTTCTCATAATAGTGAGTGAGTTCTCATGAGTTCTGATGGTTTAAAAGTGTTTGGCAGTTCACCACCTGAATGTCTCTCTCTCTCCTGTCACCATGTAAGTTGTGACTTGCTTCCCCTTTGCCTTCCATCATGATTGTAAGTTTCTGGAGGCCTCCTCAGTCATGTGGAACTGTGAGTCAATTAAACCTGTTTTGTTTATATGTTACCCAGTTTTAGTAAGTGCTTTATAGCAGCATGAAAACAGACTAATATGTGGCCCAAGATGATTTCTATGTCTAGGTTGAAGGATAAGAAGATAGATAATTAAACAGTGAAATTCAGATATGATCATGCAGCAGTTCTTGTGAAGAATATGGTCAAACATTAAAGCAGGGAATAATGATTCTTTTCTATGCAGATAGATTGCTGAGTTGCATGTAGAGTTTCTCCTGACCAGGTTGATTTGGAGTTGCCAAAAGAAGTGCTCAGCACTTATTTAAATTAGATTAAGTAGGATTAAGAGTTGTCCTGTGGCACCAACCAACATCACAGCCTCTTGACACTGGACTGTAGGATATATCAGAAAGAAAGAAGTGGTCTAGTTGGCAGGATCATCTAACTCACTAATTTTACAGTTGAGAAAACCAAGAATAAAGAGATGACTAATAAAAATGAATCAAATTGTTGGGGCAAAGCTAAAACCATTAGCTGGGTCTTCTTCTACTCCTATTTCTTCTTCTTTTTTTTTAAATTTTTTTTTCTTAAATTTTATTTTATTATTATTATACTTTAAGTTCTAGGGTACATGTGCACAATGTGCAGGTTAGTTACGTATGTATACATGTGCCATGCTGCTGTGCTGCACCCATTAACTCGTCATTTAGCATTAAGTATATCTCCTAAAGCTATCCCTTCCCCCTCCCCCAACCCCACAACAGTCCCCTGAGTGTGATGTTCCCCTTCCTGTATCCATGTGTTCTCATTGTTCAATTCCCACCTATGAGTGAGAACATGCGGTGTTTGGTTTTTTGTCCTTGCGATAGTTTACTGAGAATGATGATTTCCAATTTCACCCATGTCCCTACAAAGGACATGAACTCATCATTTTTTATGGCTGCATAGTATTCCATGGTGTATATGTGCCCCATTTTCTTAATCCAGTCTATCATTGTTGGACATTTGGGTTGGTTCCAAGTCTTTGCTATTGTGAATAGTGCCACAATAAACATATGTGTGCATGTGTCTTTATAGCAGCATGATTTATAGTCCTTTGGGTATATACCCAGTAATGGGATGGCTGGGTCAAATCGTATTTCTAGTTCTAGGCCCCTGAGGAATCGCCACACTGACTTCCACAACGGTTGAACTAGTTTACAGTCCCACCAACAGTGTAAAAGTGTTCCTATTACTCCACATCCTCTCCAGCACCTGTTGTTTCCTGACTTTTTAATGATTGCCATTCTAACTGGTGTGAGATGGTATCTCATTGTGGTTTTGATTTGCATTTCTCTGATGGCCAGTGATGGTGAGCATTTTTTCATGTGTTTTTTGGCTGCATAAATGTCTTCTTTTGAGAAGTGTCTGTTCATGTCCTTCACCCACTTTTTGATGGGGTTGTTTGCTTTTTTCTTGTAAATTTGTTTGAGTTCATTGTAGATTCTGGATATTAGCCCTTTGTTAGATGGGCAGGTTGTGAAAATTTTCTCCCATGTTGTAGGTTGCCTGTTCACTCTGATGGTAGTTTCTTTTGCTGTGCAGAAGCTCTTTAGTTTATTTAGATCCCATTTGTCAATTTTGGCTTTTGTTGCCATAGCTTTTGGTGTTTTAGACATGAAGTCCTTGCCCATGCCTATGTCCTGAATGGTAATGCCTAGGTTTTTTCTAGGGCTTTTATGGTTTGGGGTCTAACGTTTAAGTCTTTAATCCATCTTGAATTAATTTTTGTATAAGATGTAAGGAAGGGATCCAGTTTCAGCTTTCTACATATGGCTAGCCAGTTTTCCCAGCACCATTTATTAAATAGGGAATCCTTTCCCCATTTCTTGTTTTTGTCAGGTTTGTCAAAGATCAGATAGTTGTAGATATGTGGCGTTATTTCTGAGGGCTCTGTTCTGTTCCGGTGCCAGTACCATGCTGTTTTGGTTACTGTAGCCTTGTAGTATAGTTTGAAGTCAGGTAGCGTGATGCCTCCAGCTTTGTTCTTTTGGCTTAGGATTGACTTGGTGATGCGGGCTCTTTTTTGGTTCCATATGAACTTTAAAGTAGTTTTTTCCAATTGTGTGAAGAAAGTCATTGGTAGCTTGATGGGGATGGCATGGAATCTGTAAATTACCTTGGGCAGTATGGCCATTTTCACAATATTGATTCTTCCTACCCATGAGCATGGAATGTTCTTCCATTTGTTTGTATCTTCTTTTATTTCACTGAGCAGTGGTTCATAGTTCTCCTTGAAGAGGTCCTTCACATCCCTTGTAAGTTGGATTCCTAGGTATTTTATTCTCTTTGAAGCAATTGTGAATGGGAGTTCACTCATGATTTGGCTCTCTGTTTGTCTGTTATTGGTGTATAAGAATGCTTGTGATTTTTGTACATTGATTTTGTATCCTGAGACTTTGCTGAAGTTGCTTATCAGCTTAAGGAGATTTTGGGCTGAGATGATGGGGTTTTCTAGATATACAATCATGTCGTCTGCAAACAGAGACAATTTGACTTCCTCTTTTCCTAATTGAATACCCTTTATTTCCTTCTCCTGCCTAATTGCCCTGGCCAGAACTTCCAACACTATGTTGAATAGGAGTGGTGAGAGAGGGCATCCCTGTCTTGTGCCAGTTTTCAAAGGGAATGCTTCCAGTTTTTGCCCATTCAGTATGATATTGGCTGTGGGTTTGTCATAGATAGCTCTTATTATTTCGAGATACGTCTCATCAATAACTAATTTATTGAGAGTTTTTAGCATGAAGGTTTGTTGAATTTTGTCAAAGGCCTTTTCTGCATCTACTGAGATAATCATGTGGTTTTTATCTTTGGTTCTGTTTATATGCTGGATTACATTTATTGATTTGCATATATTGAACCAGCCTTGCATCCCAGGAATGAAGCCCACTTGATCATGGTGGATAAGCTTTGCAATGTGCTGCTGGATTCGGTTTGCCAGTATTTTATTGAGGACTTTTGCATCAATGTTCATCAAGGATATTGGTCTAAAATTCTCTTTTTTGGTTGTGTCTCTGTGTGGCTTTGGTTATCAGGATGATGCTGGCCCCATAAAATGAGTTAGGGAGGATTCCCTCTTTTTCTATTGATTGGAGTAGTTTCAGAAGGAATGGTACCAGTTCCTCCTTGTACCTCTGGTAGAATTCGGCTGTGAATCCATCTGGTCCTGGACTCTTTTTGGTTGGTAAGCTATTGATTATTGCCACAATTTCAGATCCTGTTATTGGTCTATTCAGAGATTCAACTTCTTCCTGGATTAGTCTTGGGAGGGCGTATGTGTCGAGGAATTTATCCATTTCTTCTAGATTTTCTAGTTTATTTGCATAGAGGTGTTTGTAGTATTCTCTGATGGTAGTTTGTATTTCTGTGAGATCGGTGGTGATATCCCCTTTATCATTTTTTATTGTGTCTATTTGATTCTTCTCTCTTTTCTTCTTTATTAGTCTTGCTAGCAGTCTATCAATTTTGTTGATCCTTTCAAAAAACCAGCTCCTGGATTCATTAATTTTTTGAAGGGTTTTTTGTGTCTCTATTTCCTTCAGTTCTGCTCTGATTTTAGTTATTTCTTGCCTTCTGCTAGCTTTTGAATGTGTTTGCTCTTGTTTTTCTAGTTCTTTTAATTGTGATATCAGGGTGTCAATTTTGGATCTTTCCTGCTTTCTCTTGTGGACATTTAGTGCTGTAAATTTCCCTCTACACACTGCTTAGAATGTGTCTCAGAGATTCTGGTATGTTGTATCTTTGTTCTCGTTGGTTTCAAAGAACATCTTTATTTCTGCCCTCATTTTGTTATGTACCCAGTAGTCATTCAGGAGCAAGTTGTTCAGTTTCCATGTAGTTGAGTGGTTTTGAGTGAGTTTCTGAATCCTGAGTTCTAGTTTGATTGCACTGTGGTCTGAGAGACAGTTTGTTATAATGTCTGATCTTTTACATTTGCTGAGGAGAGCTTTACTTCCAAGTATGTGGTCAATTTTGGAATAGGTGTGGTGTGGTGCTGAAAAAAATGTATATTCTGTTGATTTGGGGTGGAGAGTTCTGTAGATGTCCATTAGGTCTGCTTGGTGCAGAGCTGAGTTCAATTCTTGGGTATCCTTGTTAACTATCTGTTTCGTTGATCTGTCTAATGTTGACAGTGGGGTGTTAAAGTCTACCATTATTATTGTGTGGGAGTATAAGTCTCTTTGTAGGTCACTTAGGACTTGCTTTATGAATCTGGGTGCTCCTGTATTGGGTTCATATGTATTTAGGATAGTTAGCTCTTCTTGTTGAATTGATCCCTTTACCATTATGTAATGGCCTTCTTTGTCTCTTTTGATCTTTGTTGGTTTAAAGTCTGTTTTATCAGAGACTAGGATTGCAACCCCTGCCTTTTTTTGTTTTCCATTTGCTTGGTAGATCTTCCTCCATCCTTTTATTTTGAGCCTATGTGTGTCTCTGTACGTGAGGTGGGTTTCCTGAATACAGCACACTGATGGGTCTTGACTCTTTATCCAATTTGTCAGTCTGTGTCTTTTAATTGGGGCATTTAGTCCACTTACATTTAAAGTTAATATTGTTATGTGTGAATTTGATCCTGTCATTATGATGTTAGCTGGTTATTTTGCTCGTTAGTTGATGCAGTTTCTTCCTAGCCTCAATGGTCTTTACAATTTGGCATGATTTTGCAGTGGCTGGTACCAGTTGTTCCTTTCCATGTTTAGTGCTTCCTTCAGGAGGTCTTTTAGGGCAGGCCTCGTGGTGACAAAATCTCTCAGCATTTGCTTGTCTGTAAAGTATTTTATTTCTCCTTCACTTATGAAGCTTAGTTTGGCTGGATATGAAATTCTGGGTTGAAAATTCTTTCCTTTAAGAATGTTGAATATTGGCCCCCACTCTCTTCTGGCTTGTAGAGTTTCTGCTGAGAGATCCACTGTTAGTCTGATGGGCTTCCCTTTGTGGGTAACCCAACTTTTCTCTCTGTCTGCCCTTAACATTTTTTCCTTCATTTCAACTTTGGTGAATCTGACAATTATGTGTCTTGGAGTTGCTCTTCTGGAGGAGTATCTTTGTGGTGTTCTCTGTATTTCCTGAATCTGAATGTTGGCCTGCCCTGCTAGATTGGGGAAGTTCTCCTGGATAATATCCTGCAGAGTGTTTTCCAACTTGGTTCCATTCTCCCCATCACTTTCAGGTACACCAATCAGACGTAGATTTGGTCTTTTCACATAGTCCCATATTTCTTGGAGGCTTTGTTCGTTTCTTTTTATTCTTGTTTCTCTAAACTTCCCTTCTCGCTTCATTTCATTCATTTCATCTTCCATCGCTGATACCCTTTCTTCCAGTTGATCGCACCGGCTCCTGAGGCTTCTACGTTCTTCACATAGTTCTCGAGCCTTGGCTTTCAGCTCCATCAGCTCCTTTAAGCACTTCTCTGTATTTGTTATTCTAGTTATACATTCCTCTAAATTGTTTTCAAAGTTTTCAACTTCTTTGACTTTGGTTTGAATTTCCTCCTGTAGCTCGGAGTAGTTTGATTGTCTGAAGCCTTCTTCTGTCAACTCATCAAAATCATTCTCCATCCAGCTTTGTTCCATTGCTGGTGAGGAGCTTCATTCCTTTGGAGGAGGAGAGGCGCTCTGCTTTTTAGAGTTTCCAGTTTTTCTGCTCTGTTTTTTCCCCATCTTTGTGGTTTTATCTACTTTTGGTCTTTGATGATGGTGATGTACAGATGGGTTTTTGGTGTGGATGTCCTTTCTGTTTGTTAGTTTTCCTTCTGACAGGCAGGACCCTCAGCTACAGGTCTGTTGGAGTTTGCTAGAGATCCACTCCAGACCCTGTTTGCCTGGGTATCAGCAGCGGAGGTTGCAGAACAGCGATTTTTGTGAACCGCGAGTACTGCTGTCTGATTGTTCTGTTTTGTCTCAGAGGAGTACCTGGCTGTATGAGGTGTCAGTCTGCCCCTACTGGGGGATGCCTCCCAGTTAGGCTGTTCGGGGGTCAAGGGGTCAGGGACCCACTTGAGGAGGCAGTCTGCCTGTTCTCAGATCTCCAGCTGCATGCTGGGAAAACCACTGCTCTCTTCAAAGTTGTCAGACAGGGACATTTAAGTCTGCAGAGGTTACTGCTGTCTTTTTGTTTGTCTGTGCCCTGCCCCCAGAGGTGGAGCCTACAGAGGCAGGCAGGCCTCCTTGAGCTGTGGTGGGCTCCACCCAGTTTGAGCTTCCCAGCTACTTTGTTTACCTAAGTGAGCCTGGGCAATGGCGGGCGCCCCTCCCCCAGCCTCGCTGCAGCCTTGCAGTTTGATCTCAGACTGCTGTGCTAGCAATCTTCGAGACTCCGTGGGCGTAGGACCCTCCGAGCCATGTGCGGGTTATAATCTCCTGCTGCGCCATTTTTTAAGCCCGTCGGAAAAGCGCAGTATTAGGGTGGGAGTGACCCGATTTTCCAGGTGCCGTCTGTCACCCCTTTCTTTGACTAGGAAAGGGAACTCCCTGACCCCTTGTGCTTCCCGAGTGAGGCAATGCCTCACCCTGCTTCGGCTCTCGCACGGTGCGCTGCACCCACTGTCCTGCACCCACTGTCTGGCACTCCCTAGTGAGATGAACCCGGTACCTCAGGTGGAAATGCAGAAATCACCCGTCTTCTGCGTCACTCATGCTGGGAGCTGTAGACCGGAGCTGTTCCTATTTGGCCATCTTGGCTCCACCCCTATGTAATCCTCCTATTTCTTCTTAAGGATTTCTATTCAGAGCAAGAAAATCCTCTTTGGTAACTATCCTGAGGTTCAGAACTTCCTGGACTTATTAATGTTGTTGAGTTCTCCTAGACTCTACTTTTTGTGATTTCTTTATAACTCTCTGCAACATTTAAGATCTGCAACTACTTTTGCTAATTCTCTGGAAAGGAATTTTGCTTGCTGTGATGCTGCTCCCCTGAGGGGTATATTTCTCAGCAATTATCCTGCCTATCCTTTGCCCTCCTGCTTCATAAATGTCAGTTAAAATGGGCCATAATTTAATAGAAATGAAAGCTGATTAACCCTTACCTATCCTTTTCAGTGTTTGGTTTTTGAGTTGTCTCTACTTATTAGTAATTTACTTTAAAAAATGTCTCAGTGATGTTTTCTTTATTCCTAGAAAGACATGTGTGTGTAAGGGTGAGGAGTGGCATATAGGTGGGAGGAGATAACTGGAGAAAACGGAAAAGAAGAACCATATTGACTTCTTTTGTCCCTTTCCTGGCTCTTCAGTTTTGGGTCCCAAAAAGCTATGGATAGCATTTATTTTTATATAAGAGCATTTATTTTAATATTAAACAGACATGATTTGAAATCCCAGCTAGATGACCATGGGTAAGTCACTTAACCTCTGTAAGATATTTTTCTTCTTTTATAAGATAGAGGTAACAATAGTGCGTATTTGATAGGACCATTGTGGGTATTGAATAAGATAAATGAAAAATGCATAAATTAGTGCCTGGCACTTAATAGGTACTCAATAAGTGTTAGCTATTATTATAATCTTCTACCTTGAACAAGTAAACTTGCTGCATGTTTAAAAAATGTGCTTGGAATATTGAGCTTGGTGAAAAAATAATGTATTATATCTTCCACTGGAGCAATTTGAATATAGAATATCATAGTGAATGCAATAGACGATATGGGCATTTGGCCGTGAATGATTCATAAGACTTCATTTGGGTCAGGTGAAGATGCTCATTTGATTTGCTTTCCTGCTATAATCTGCATGGAATTGACACAAATTGGAGTACAGCCCAGTCTCAGTGACTTTCTTAGGGACCACGTCAATGCTGTACTTTTCTCCTCTTAATGAATTTTGTTTCCGCTTCCCACAACCCCATTCTAGCATGTGGCCTGAACTGGAGTTGCCATCTTTTTAAATGACTCCATTTTCTGGGCATGAGAATTGTTTAAGAGTGGGTACTTACACTGAACCAGACTAGTCATAGTTCTCTCTAAAGCAGTGATTCTCAGTACAAGAATATTTTGCTACCCCACAGTGAAAGACATTTGGCATTATAAACAATTTGTAATTGTTATGATGGGGATGATTGGGGGGGCTATTAGCAACTACTAGGTAAGGGTAAACAATGCTACTAAACATATACAATGTCTAGGACAGACCTCACAACAAAGAATTATCCAGTCTGAAATGTCAATAATGGTGCTGCTGAGAGACTTTGCCCTAAATATTTTTTCATTAGCAGCTGGTAGATGGGGGTTTTATATCCCAAGACTGTAATATTAGAGAGTGATGTTTCTGGGACCATGTCCTTTACCATGTCCAGAAATCAATGTAGAGAGAAGAAAGAGAGAGGCTTAACTTTGTTTAAGTCCATGATTCTAGTCATTCTTAAAGCCAGTTCCAATTTCTTCTTTGTTTAAGGAGGTTAATAAAATGCCTTATTTTGTTTAAACTAGTTTAAGTTGAGTGTTTGTTACTTGGAACCTAATAGCTCTAATGCACTGGATATGTGTACTGAGTGCAACTCTGCATCTAATTTAATTAAGTGAGGATAATGTAGTAAAATTTGAGCTGCTTCTTCTGTAGGGGTTGTTTCAGCATTGCCATCTATTAGCTCTCACCCTTGGGCCATTCAGTCTCTCAAGCTTTAATTTCCTCATTGAAAATGAGTATATTAATACCATGTGTACAGATATCAAGATATTTTATCTAAAGTGCTGAGCACGATGTATGGAATATGGTAGGTATCTATCAAATGTAAACTCTCTTCCTTCGCATTGTTTAAATATTTAAAGAACAATTTGTTTTAAGAGAAATACTTTGGAGGCTTCCTTGGTTGCTTGTTTTTGGATCTATTGGAATTTGGGATTTTTGATACAAATCTTGAGATTTATGGGGAAGACCGACTTGAATTATTGGCAACTGATCTAAAAGGGATTAAAAATGTTGAAAATGTAAAACATTTAAAATTATAAAAATATAAAAATCTACAAAGCTCGTATCCAGTTGCGGCCAAATGAATATGCATCTTTTCCTCTGAAGATTATAGTAAGAGAGAATTGACCAACTACCCAGGACAGTGCCTCCTAACGTTGAATATGTTGATAGTAATTTCCACTTTGCATGTCATTCATAGTTTTTCAAACTATGAATTTTCGAACTATGAAGTATTTCAAAAGAAACTTGATTTCTTTTCTGTTTGTTTGTTTTTGAATGTGTTTAGCTAACAGAATTCCTATGCAGTTCATATTTAACTAAATTACTACATCTTTCTTTTTAATGGCACAGCATCTCTGCCCTAGTGCTTTGTGGTCAGTTAGGAGTAGTCCCCTGAGAAAGCAAGATCAGATAAGGCCAAATGGCTTCATAGAAGCGACTTTTGAAGCTTTGCAGCTAGAAAGATAAAAGCCTGGCAAGAGAGTAAGCAGGAGTAATATGCTTTGGTGTGGATCTAATGACCTAACTGAGTTTCCTGGAATATCTGAGGTCATAAATATGTGGAATTCCCGTAATTATTCTTTTATGATAAATTTAAATGTTTGATACAACCGGGTTAGCTGAGTATGTTTATCTTAAGCCATGAAGCAATATGCTTCAAAGTTTGGTGTTTCCAGTGGGAAAAAAATTTTTTATTCATTTGGAATGTGAAGTTAAATTCTTTCCAAACAGCTCCTGTTTTGTAGGTATTTTTTTTCCTGAAAATCTGTTCCCTTTGAAAATTTAAAAATTATAGCTCAGGGGCCTAAAATGTAAATTTGTAACAAGAAGTAGCTTGATATAGCACAGTAATTTTAGGATTTTTTTCTTTTTAATGTCACCAAGGACTTGTGTTTTGAAATTTTTTTCTAAACTGCATGCATTAAACAATAAATAATTAGTTCCATCTGAGTTATTACTGGCTTTCCATTTAAGCATGAATTCAAATTTAAATGAATGATCCAAGTTTACCATCGTATTATGATTATGCATAAATCATTACTTCAGTTATGATGCTACTACATAGTGAAGTTAGATAAGTATACAGGCAATAAGCACCATTCATTCCTATGGGCAACGTTAGTTTAGCTGTCTCTGCATTTTGGTCTAAGTGAGCAGATTCTACTTAGAAAGGGGGGTGTCTTCTTTACATAATGACTCTTGTGTCAGAGTCAGATCCACCAATCATATTCCAGAAAATTCTACCCTGAGGTTGCTTGAATCTTTTTCAGAAACTTTGTGGAGCTTCTGGGCAGCATGAGAGCATTAGTGTGACCATACTGAATTTACATAACTCCAGGTAAAATGAAAGAAAATTGATTTTTAAATTTGTCTTCCATACCTGTGTTATTAGATTTCCCTTTAGATCTCTAGAATTACTGAAAATGACTTGTAAGCTCATACTTTTCCTCATTCACTAACCTGGGACTCTGGGCTGAATATCACTGGTTTATCAGAAAGAACAAAAAAGAAACCTTTGAAGACTGTCCTTCTCATGCCAGCCCAGATATTAACAAGCTGGATGGTCTATGAAACCATTTCCTACCTGTGAGCAACTTTAGTGTCACCAGATGTAAACATAAGGACTTTGAACTGGATAACACCACCGGGTCACACCCAGTACTAAAAAAGTTTGTTTTCCCATGAGGTTGCTTTCTAGGGCTAGAAATCCATCCTGAAAGCTTTTATGTGTTATCATATTCTAAGAAGAACTTTTTTGTAGGTATTTTGCTAGCTCCAGATATCCTCATTTATTTCATTACATCGTGGAACATCACACAGAAAAATGACAAGTCCCAAATTCTTAAGAATTGAGTGTAGGAGGAGAAATTTCCTCTCTTACAAATAGTATATCCTGAGCTAATCCACTTTCATTTATAATGCTGTTCTTAATCTCTTTGGAAATGGCAATCCATGTAGCCTGGTGAGGATCTGTTGAAGTATTTCTAAACATTCTTCTGCTTTTTATATGTAGGAGACCACGGTTTATGCTATTTTTATTTTTTCTCAAAATATAGACCATCTGCCTCAGAATAAATCAGAGAAGTTAAAAAATGCAGATTCCTCATAGTGTGACTGAATCAGATGTTTGGGAATCTTTATTTTTAATGACTTATACTAAGACACACCAAATAAAGTGTGCAATAATCTTTGTTTGTTGAAACTGTTTTTGGTACATTCTAATAAAACCATAATTTTCCATTCAAATGGATGATACATATTGGTGAAGCTCATTGGAAAACCATGAAAAATGAGAGAGTAAAGGTAAATTACCAATTTTCCAACAAACATCTATCTTCCCCTAATGTTGTTAAAAAAATCAACTTACAATAAAATAGGTTGAAAAATGACTTTAGCTACTATTTATGCACCTTTGCCACTTGCTAAGCATCATGCTAGTTATTTGACATATGTTATCTCCATTTAGTTTTCTCCACAACACAGAGACAGGGATTATTAATTTCTTCATTTTGCAGGTGAGGGAGTCTAAGGCTCATGTAGCTTAATCAAAGTGATTTGCAAAAATTGTCACAGCTAGTGAAGTAGTGAGGCTAGGACTCATTTTTATAGTAGTAGTCAGACTTGAATCCAGATTCTATTTTACTGTGTAATTTGTGCTTTATTCTACATGTTTATGGTGGAACAAGTAATAAATGATCATTGTTTTCTTCTGCATAGACTCCTGGTATAGTTTCCATTGATCATGTGATGACAGGTACCAACTTCAGAGGATCCTGCTGTGGTGGCGATCAGCCTCAGGGCAGCCACCTGCAGCTGCTGCTGCTCGGTCTGTTGCTCCTGCAGCTTCCATATTGTGTGATGTGGCTCCAATATTTCATATGGCCTTAACATAAATCCCTGCCTCCCTGATTTCTTTAACCCTTTTCAGTTTCCCCTGCTAGAGTTGTTTGGGATCTGGTCATTCGTTCTTTAAATTGTCCGCATAACAAACCCCTTGCCTTCTGAGAAAAGGAGGAGAGGATGGCATTTTGACAGTGTGGGCAAAACAAGAACAATTTTATTTCTGGCCCAAAGTAAATTCAGTGGTCCTAACAAAAATCTGAAAATTTATTCTCAATATGACTTTCAAGGTTGGAGAAAGATATTTTGCTTATCTGTCCTTGATAAAATCTTCTATTTATATACAACCAGTTTGTGCTCAAATCTACACCTTCAAATTAGAATCCGGATGGAGTTTCATTGGCATCAGTAATGTCTAGGCTAATTTGCCTGGGTGAGAGAGCTGTGATTTAATATTTAATGAGAAGTTTATGGTATTAATTCTTATCTCAAGCTAGATAAATGAACTGGATTCAGATGAGACAATCACTTTGCACTCATTACGCAGGGCATTGCAAAACTGCAATGCCTTGATGCTTTTTCCCTTCATAACCTCATTTGTGTTTTGTTGACTTGACTTGAGGAACTATATTTCTCCTCAGTGTTCTTCAATCTGTTTACATTTGCAGTAAATTAAATTATTGGCAATTTTTTTCCCTTTGCCAGTAACTTTGCTATTTCTTCCACTTGACTTTGGACTTGACCACGTGACTTGGCTTGGCCAATGGGAAGTCGGCATATGTAATACAAGAAATAATGCTTGTGTATGTGTGATCATTTTCGCACCCCTGCCATCTCCATGGGAAGAACTTCATCTGATGAGCCCATGATCTAAGGAAGATTAGAGAGAAGTAGAGCAGCCCAGCAGATCTGCATCCTGAAGTAGAGCCATTGTAGCAAACCCACAGAGTTTAAAGAATATAATAATTTTACGACACTACATTTTAGGGTGGTTTACTACATAGCAATATCTGACTGAGACAACATTTTTTGAATCTATTTTTATGGTGCAGTCAGGAAATCATTAGATAAAGAACCCAGAGTTTTGAATTTTCATCACTATTCTACCACTACCACTATGCAAGTTACTCACCTTGAATTTCAGTGTATCCTTATTGCTAAAACAGTTGCACTGAGCCGGAGGAAGAAAGCGTAGCCTCATTCAGTTCAGAATATCTCTGATGTGGAAATATCACAAAGTTGGTATTGGAATAAAACTTCTAAAACAAAGAACTGGCACACCTAACTCAATGATTGTGCAAGCCTTCTGATATCAAATTTGTATTTTCTTTCAGTAGGAAATACACAGGTGTTTGGAACATTTATTGATATAAAAGCAGGGGCTTAGTGTGTATCTGCCATTTTATTTCTCATCATATGTCTCTGGAACTCACCAGAGCCATGGATGATTTTTGCATTCATGCCTTATTCCGTTGATTGTTTATGGCTTATTGGCTATTAGAAAAACCTAAATACAAGTGATTATTGATTACACGATAGATAGAAAAGCCCCCATCACTGTCTTTTTCACCTCAATTCAACCAGTTTCACATTTCTGTTATCAAAATCTGAATGCTAAATTGCTTTCAGCTCAAACCAATTAGCTAATTAGACTTGTGGTTCGTTAATGGAAAATTTCAGTGGTGGAGCAGTCTTTGGGCATAAACTGAGGTCCTGAATCTGTTTCTCTGCAATTATCTTTGCTTTACCTTCCCTGTGTATTGTGTCAATCCCCAGGGTAGCTTCCTCATGGCCACATGATGGCCACCAGCAAAAACTCCGGGCATGTGCCTCTATGTCTATAGCATTTTGAAGAACAGAGCTTCTCAAGATTATTTGAATAAAAGTCATTATCCTCCCTCTCTGGATGAACCCTTTTAACTCAATCACTCTAGCAAGAGATATAAATTTTCTTAATTGGCTTAAATCAATTGGGATATATTCTGGAGTTTGGGTCCTGTCAACCCTACTCAAAATCACATTGCTGCTGTACAATGCGGAAAGTGTGGGATGAACACTGGGGAGGTAATGACAGTGTCCTCTGCAAAGCAAAGTACGTACGTTTAATTTATTTCAATGTGTGAAATAGCTAAGCATATGTGTTGTAAACATTCATGGAAATGGTGAACTGAACTAACCCTTCAGATAAGAACATTTGGAATCCAAGTGCTGCAAGAATTCAATTTTGCTGAATTTCCTAGAACTTCCTAAGGTTAAGCCTTGTCACTGATATGACACACTGGACTTGAAAATCCATTAGGTTATGCAAAACACTGCTAACTTGTTCAACAAAATGCAGGAAAAAGACTGTTCTCATCTTCCTTTGGCAGATTCTTCTCAAAATAAATATACTATAGTATTCTGAAGACTTGAGTAACAATTTGTTGGAAAAACAGTCATAATTTCCAAATAGATTCATTTACGTAACAATACTTATTTTTCATTTACTCTTTACCAGATTGACTCCTAAGCGCTTTGAAAATAGAAACTCACCAATTTTGTTTTCTGTAGCTGCTTTAGGGTGGGTATAAATTATTAAGCTGCTAAATTTAAGAAGACTTGATCTTAAAGCATCCCTTGCCCACAGAATAAATATGGGGTCCTGAAATTTTAGAAATGAAAAATTTGAATCTTGGAATTTTTATAATTGCTTTTACTACGGGGGCCAAGTTTTTTGCTACATTTGAGCCCACTTGACTTTACAGAAGTATATTCCCTATTATAATTTCACTGAGAAGGATATAATGCATGTATGACCAATGAATTAGAACAGAGGTGTGCCTGGGGAATTATTTTAATTTTATAAGAATTGTTTAGTCTACTAAATTTTAAATACTGTATATCCCCCATAAATATATACTCTTCCTTGTGTGCTTTATATATAATATATTCTTTAAAATTTATCAGATTATTTTGAATTGATCTTATGCTTTTTAGTTCTAACTTTAATATTTTCAATCTAAAATATTAAATGAATTAAACTCCCTAATTTGTTATCCATTATCTTTACACAGCCCTATTTTATTTCTGTATTTATTAAGTATCTACAAAACTGACACAGAACCCCAAAACTGATTCATTAACTTAAATCTACTATGTGCTCCTTCTTCACAATATCTCCCTGTTTTACCCCCAGAGGCAATCACTATCTTGTTTTTGTGTTGCTCATTTCCATTATTTTATATACATATATATATAAGCTATATATATATATATCTGTGTTAAGATGACTTGTGTTTTTCTTTGATTCTTTCATCTTATCAGGAAAGAACAATACTTTCTTCTTTGAGATGTGGTATCTCTCTATCTATTTTTTGTATAAGATATACAACATGATGTTATGGTGTACATAGACATAGTGTAATGGTTACAACAGTCAAGCAAATTAACATAACCATCACCCTGGCATAGTTACCTTTTTTTTTTTTTTTTTTGTAGAAAGAGCACCTAAAAGTCTACTCTCGGCAAGTTTTCAGTATATAATAATGTAATAATAATGAAATATAACAATAGAATAATAACTATATAATATTGTTATATACTGCACTCCAGCCTAGGCAATAGAGTGAGACCCTGTCTCAATAAATAAATAAGACTTCATGTGATATTCTAGGACTAAACATTTGGCCCTGGATTTTAAAATGTTAAAATCTACTAACTTGGGTAAAATTGAACTATGCAAAAGCTTAAGATAAATTTGTTTCTGTAAAAGCTAATCCAAAAGGCAGATGTATATTGCCAAAATAAAAATGTGCCTAACTCACAGACTGTCTTGGGATGCTAGCCTGGCCAGGTTTTATAACAACAATCAGCATCGCCATTTTTATTATCATAGCAGCTAACTTCTATGAGCATTAACTAAACTGCAAGAACTATGTTAAGATGACTTACTTGCATTTTTCTTTGATTCTTCCATCTTATCAGAAAAGGATAATACTTTCTTTTATGAGGTGATTATCTGTGTGATGTATTTATGTATTTTTGTACATATTTAAGATAGGCAACATGATGTTATACATAGACATAATGAAATGGTTATATAAGTCAAGCAAATTAACATGTCCATCATCTGGTGTAGTTACCTTTTTGTTTGTGTAGTAAGAGCACCTAAAATCTGCTCTCTTCACAAATTTTCAGTATATTTACAATATTATTAACTATAGTCCTCATGCTGTGCATTAGGTCTCTAGAGTCATTCCTCCTACATAACTGTGAGTTTGTACCTTCTGACCTACATCTCCCCATTTCCTCCCCCTGCCCACTCCTGCTACCCACTGTTCTACTCCCTGTTTCTACATATTCAACTTTTAAAGATTCCACATATAAATGACACCATGCAGTAGTTATTATTTTTTTCTGTGCCTGGCTTATTTCACACAGTGTAATGCCCTTCAGGTTTATCTGTGTTTTTGCAAATGACAGGACCTCTTTTTATAATTGCTGAATA
The DNA here is from genome assembly GCF_000001405.40 of Homo sapiens. NCBI lineage: Eukaryota > Metazoa > Chordata > Mammalia > Primates > Hominidae > Homo > Homo sapiens. Next base: position 26,254,752 of record NC_000003.12, read on the forward strand.
ATATTCTGTTGTGTATATATAATATGTATGTACCACAATTTCTTTATTCATTCATTGCTGATCGACTCTTAGGTTGTTGGACTATCTTGGCTATTGTGAACAATGCTGCAATGAACATAGAGTGTAGGTATCTCTGTGAGGTGCTGAATTCATTTCCTTTAGGTATACACCAAGCGGAGGGATTTCTAGATTATGTGCTAGTTCTGCTTTTAATTTATTGAGGAACCTCCATACTATTTTTGTTGTACTACTTTGCATTGCCCCCAACAGTGTACAAGTATTTCCTTTTCTCCACATCCTTGCTGATACTTTTATTTTTTGACTTTTGAATAATAGCTATCCTAACAGGTGTGAGGTGGTGTCTCATAGTTTTGATTTGCATTTCCCAGATTTACATGGTTTACAAATGTTTTCTACCACTCTGTAGGCTGCCTTTTCATTTTGTTGATTGTTTCCTTTATTGTGAAGCAGATTTTCAGTTTAATGTAGTCTCACTCATTTATTGTTGCTTTTATTGCCTGATCTTTTGGTGTGATAGCCAAAGAAATCATTGCCAAAGCCAACATCAAGGGCTTTCTCCCTTTGTTTTCTTCCAGAAGTCTTGTGTTTTCAGATCTTACATCTTTAATCCATTTTGAGTGGGTATTTTTGTGTATGGTATAAGATAAGGTCCAGCTTCATTCTATTGTATGTGGTATCTAGTTTTCCAGCACTATTTATTGAAGAGCTATCCTTTCTTTCCACATTGTGTCTTTTTTGTAGCCTTGCCAAGAATTAGTTGCATATATAAGCTTGGGTTTATTTCTGGCTCTGTATTCTGTTTCTTTGGTTTATGTGTCTTTTTTATGCCAGTAACATATTGTTTTTATTACTATAGCTTCATAATATCATTTGAAATCTGGAATTGTGATGCCTCCAACTTTTTCTTTCTTGAGACTGCTTTGTCTATTCAAGGTCTTTTGTGAGTCCATATGAATTCTAGTATTGCTTTTTCTATTTCTGTGAAAAACATAATTAAAATTTTATAGAGACTGTTTTGCATATGTATGTTGTTTTGGAGGGTATAAACATTTAAAAATATTAATTATTCAATCCATTAATTGTAGATATATTTTCTTCATTTGTGTCTCCTTCAATTCCTTTTATCAATGTTTTATAGTTTTCAGATCTTTCACTTTCTTGGTTGAGTTTATTTCTGAGTATTTAATTTTTTGATGCTACTGTAAATGCTACTGTAAATAATATTTTTTCTTGATTTATTTTTGTATAGATCATTATTGGTGTAAAGAACTTACTTTTGTATTCTACTACTTTACTGAATTCATTTATTAGTTCTAACAGGCTTCTTTGTTAGAGTCTTTAGGGTTTTCTATATATAGAATTATGTCATCTGCAAATAAGGATAATTTTACTTCTTCCAGGGCAGGATTATATCTATTCCTGCTTTATAGATAGAAAATGTATGACATACAAGTTGAATAACTTTACCAAAGCTGTACAATTAGTAAATGGATGATCCAGGACTGAAATGTAGGCAGGCTGACCCAAGATCTGGTTCTCAGAGGACAGATGAACATGCAACAGACCGCAGAACCCACTTCGAGGCGCCTCTTGGTTTCCAACCACAAGTAAGGACACCTTGCTAGGGAAACTGTCCAAGTAAAGGCTCATCCATCATTTGTCTTGGGAGAGGCAGCTAAGCAGAAAATGCACTGGAATGGGAGTCAGAAGTACTGGATTCTGGCCCCAGGTTGCTAAGCAACCTTAGGACTTTGGGTAAGTAACTTAGCACTTATCCTTTAAATAGGGATGAAAATACTTGTCCTGCCTCTTTTTAGTGGATAGTTATTAGGATCAATTGATATCATGTATGTGAAAGTATATTATGAAATATAAAACTCTCTACAAATAGTAAGTAGAGCTTGGGGCATAAATTATATATGTTGAAAGAATTGCGTATTTTAGGATAAGAGAAGATGTTTTGTGACCTTTCCCATATACCTTTTTCCATCCATTCTAGCTTTCATTCCCTCACCTTGTGATTTTTTTGTCTTTATTCCTACTGACCCATAAATTAAGAGACTTTTAAATTTTTTTTTGGGTGAGGAGAGTTCTGAGAATATTAACAAGACAGGGAGAAACTCAGGCCCTTGCTGAGATAAGTCATTCAGATCAGAATTAGGCTGAAAGTGTATGCAAAGTGGTTGTCAAATCAGTATCTTCAGTGATTTTTAGCAAAAAGTAAAGACACCTGAAACTGAGTGCTTTTTAAGACCCTCAAATACTTATTGAGGTTTCCAGCTGTCTTTAGATCATGTTGTGTGGTGGTTAGAATTTCAAGTACTTTTCCGGAGCCTCCTACCTTGAAAGCTACGGACAGCCTCCTCCTGGCATCACATCAATGTAATTTGTATATTCTGATCCGCTGGTGCCTGGGGAGTGAATGATGAAATATTCATGCTGGTGACCATTCATTTTCCCTCCACTAAAAGCTTCTGCTATCATCCTCTTGAAAGAGAGTTATGGAATTTACCTGCTGCTAAGTGCCTGTGCTCTTATGAAAACACCCAAATCAAGTTCACAAAATTAGGTTTCCAATTTGAATCAGCTTGGAGTGGATCCTAGATAAAACTATTAGAGTCTTTCCTGTGATGTCCCTTCATTGTTTTCAAACCCCCACCTGAAAACTCATTTGGCTTTCTGTTCCCAGAGCTTCACTGTAGTTGGAGAAGTGTCCTTGTCTCATAGATTAATATGTTTGTCAACTCAAGTGTGATGTAGATATTTTTATATCTTACTTTCTAACATCATAAGTCTCATTTTGGACATATAACACTTTAGGACCTCTGGATCTTCCTGGAGGTAGCTCTCATTTAGACTTACAAGACCAAGGTCACAAAAGTCAAGAGTTACTGGGCATGGTGACTCATGCCTATAATATCAGCAACTTGGGAGGCTGAAGCAGGAGGATCACTTGAGCCTTGGGAGTTTGAGACTATCCTGGGCAACATAGTGAGATTCCCTGTCTCTATAAAAAAATTAGTCAGGCATGGTAATGTGCACCTGTGGTCCCAGCTACTTGGGAGGCCTTGGTGGGAGGATGGCTTGAGCCTGGGTGTTCAAGGCTGCAATGAGCCATGATTGTGCCACAGCACTCCAGCCTGGGTGACAGAATGAGACCCTGTCTCAAAAGAAAAAAAAAGTCGAGTCCATTTTAAGTAAATAAATTTGTCACTCAAATTGGAAACAACCTGTAAACACTTTATACTGTAAATCTTTAATGCTATAAACACTTTTGCAGTGTCAAAGGAAACTGGCTAACCCATGTTCTGCTATTTGCAGGTCCACTCCAGCCAAAGGCCATTGCTCTTGAAATTTCACCTATCGCCTCAGACAAGCAAGCAAGGAATGAATAGCTAGGACTGTGTTGTGTGTTTCCTGTGAGGCCACATCTCAGTTTAGGTTCTTGAGATTAGGATCTAGATGCAGGTAATTTATTTGGGAGATGATCCCAGGAAACAGGGTTGAGGCAGGGGTACAATGAGAGGTGAGGAGGATAAGCCAACAACAGCAACAACAATAAATAAAGGATGTGTTACTGACATGGCTACCACTGTGGGAACTGGGTTTAATTCCACAGTAGACCCTCTAAGAAACCCTGCTTTCAAAAGACAAGATGCTGGGTCAAGTATCTACTGTAACCTCTCCCCCATTGTTTAATGGCTGCCCCCCAGAGTATAAAGTGCCCTACCCTTCTGGCTGCTTCCGCATATGGGCTAACACAGTTTTTGAGCTATGGAGGAAGCCCTGAGACAAAAAAGCAGAAAGAAGCTGTGCAACATAGTTGATGTGGCTCTCAATCATGTGCATAGAATCCTCTGTTACAGCTGCTTAGAAATAAGAGGTGGGTTGAATGGATATGATAGTGGCCCCAAAAGCATCTGCCACAGTTAGTTCCAAAGGTTCTTCAGATAAGGGATGTTAAGGTTGCTCAAAGAGGAAAGTACACGGTGGTAGGAGAGAAAATAAGTAGTAAAAGAAGAAGCAGATGCTTTCCAAGAAGGTAGAAAAAGGAGGACCAGTAGCAGAATGGCTTTTGTGGGAGAGGCAAGGCTCAGGAATGGCCCTGTGTAATATCTTACATACCTACCTGGTTATTCACTACTTCCCACCATACACATCTCCTTTCTCATCTCTGTTCCTTTGCCATGCTGTTGTCTTACCTTAGCAATTCCTCATGCCAGCCATTTTGTTACACAAATTCAACTTGACCTTTGAAGCACAATGCAGCTAGCTCCTCCCTTGATGGCTCTTCAAACAGCACACTATGTAATCAGAATAAACCGCTCCCCCCACCACCCGCTTCCACATTCTCACACACTATATCCATTCTGTGTTTTCATTCATTTGTTTATTCATCCATTCAACAACTCTTTATTAAGTACTTCCTACTGGCAAACAAATATTCATGTGTTTGGATGACCTATATCTTATACCAAACCTTGTAAACCAAGGACCATGTTTCAGCTGTCTATGGCAGTGGTCATACGGTTCCTAGACCAGCAACATCATTCCCTGGAAACTTATTAAAAATGTCATTTCTGGGTCCCATCCCAGATCTGCTGAATTAGAAACTCTGGGAATGGAGCCCAGCAGTCTGCATTTTAACACGCTTTCCAGGTGATTCTAAGGCGTATAGTATTTTGAGAATCAGAGTGTCCCTAGTATCTGGCCATATTGAGTAACCAATACATTTTTGTTGAAGTTGTTTATGTAACACACTGTCAGGGATGCCCTAATCTAAACTCTTTGGCTCTTAAGAGTGATAAACTCTATTAAAGTGCAAAGGCTCAAATAAATAGGACCCTTCTATGTACCAAAAGAATGATACATTCACTCATGAGGCAGTTGGTAGCTTGGGGTCTTCTCAGCTCATAGTCTACGGAAGCATAGAAACAAGGACAGCACTGCTGACCATAACGTGCTTAAGCTGCCCCCACCTCCCTTCCTAAATGTTCCTCAGACCATGCATCTGTCATGCCTGTGAGTGACAAGGTCTACATGGGTCAATACTTCTGTTGAGTTCTTTGCGACCTGCCAATCAATAGGAGGGAAAGTCCAGTTCTTACAGGAAAATGAGTGTGTCCTCTGGAAGAAGAGAACTCTTAGGGTGATTCTTAAATCTCAAACCTAAGTTATTCCCTAGTTGGGTGTCAAGCCCTTTAGGCAACTGCATCAAAACTGGTGGT